>NC_000003.12:7510000-8760000 GCF_000001405.40 Homo sapiens | reverse complement strand
AAACAACTGTCTCACCTGGAGGAGGCGGGAGGCCAGTTGGAAGGTTCTAGCTCTGGTTTAGAGGTACCCTAGGCTGGGTCTTGTCTAAGGTATGGGTGGGAGAGAGGTGTAACCAGGTGGTGTCCAGTGTCCCAGCCCCAAGGCCCAAATCCTTACTCCTGATTCCTGCACTGAGGGGCAGCCTCTGCCAGTATCTCCTTTTGTGCTCAGCCGGGAGCTAAGGCTTCCTGCCCTTTAGTCAGATGCTTTGAGACTGTGGGCTTCTGCCCTCCCGGCCCATGTCTCCCACCCCAACGGCACTCTTGCACATTCTGTTTCTCTCCCTTTCTCTCCACCTGACCATATCTGAGGGCGAACTTAATTTTCCCAGAGGGAATTGCATTTGAGTCCAGTCACCTTACTGGGAGGCCATATCCTGTGGTTGAGCAGGGAAATTATTTGTAGCCCTTCCAACATACTGACAGCGGTGGCTGATTTATCAGGACCTCTTGCCTGCTAATTTCATGCTTCAGTCCAATTCAGCTCCTTATTGAACTCTTCCTATTTTCCAGTAGCTGTTAGCAGCCTAAGGACGGAGCTACCAATAAGACACAGTCCCCAGCCAAAGAGTGTCAGAAAATAATGACAATATGATGGGGTGATGCTGTTATAGAGCTATTTATTTACCAAGTACTGCAAATACCCTGAGAAGGCATTAGTTGATCTGTCTCCCTGGGAAGAAATCAGGAGGGTTTCAGAGGGGAAGTGTCATTTGAAAAGGGTTTTTGAGGGGTGAGTAGGAGCTTACTATGCAAAGAAGCAGATGCACATTCCACATTGAGATCAAGAACGGTGGACAGTTACTTTATTCATTTCTTCTTTCCTATCTATACGATTTGAGCTAGTTGGAAGGAAGCTGCTCAAACTTTAATGCGTATTTTGTTAAAATGCAGATTCTGACTCAGTAGGTCTGGGGTGGGGCCCCAAGAGTTTGCAGTTTTGACAAGGAAACAGGTGGCGCCTATCAGATGCCCTGTAGCCAGCCATTGGCTACACTTTGAGCAGCAAAGCTTTAACATATGACCTTTTACCAACACTCACTGTTTGCCTTTACACGTGTGGCCCAGATTGGATGGAGGGCCTTGTCATTCCTTGAAGGGTAGCGAAGGGCTGGTCGTTTGCAGGAAGGCCCTGGCTTGTCTTCTTCCAGAATGTGGTTATTCTCAGGCCCAGCCCAGTGAGTCCAGCACACCTACCAGATTGGAGCAGTGCTGTCAGAGAAACCCATTTTCAACTCTGTAGCCCGCCCGTTTGGCTCTTCACCCAGACCTTGCACTACACGGGGTGATCACACATCTGTGATTTTTAGGAAAATCACAGTTGTAAAACGATGGTCTTTTCTAAGAAGGCACCCTGTAGTGTATATTGAGACTCAATCTTTCTATAAGCATACATTCAAAAATCATTTTCTTAAGAAAGGGCCTTCCATAGTTTTGTTCCCAGATGCCCGCACAGTCCTGTAGGAATGAGGGACTTACATCTGAATTCCTGGTACTCTGGGGAGGCCTTGTGGCAAATGATTGGTTTCTCAAGTGCGGGCCTTTTGTGAAGTTGATGGGCTTGCTTTGACTCAGCCGATCTTGGCCACATGTCTTTGAGTCATATGAAACGTGCCGGTAGCCTCAGGAACAGCACAGCCCGGAGAGGCGGTGGCCAGCTGCCCGTCAGCTGTTCTGGGCTAATTTGGGGTTTCAGTGCTGGGGTGGAGAGAGTGCCGGGAAATCCTAACAGGGGAGTTCTTGGGGCTTGAGGAAAGCCAGGCTGGGAAGGATGGAACGTGGACCTCTGCCTCCCACCCCTCCATGAATCATGGTGCCAAGTAGAAATGCAGAGTTGATTCTCCCAGGGACAGAATTGCCCAGCAGGGGATGTTGGCGTTTGGTGTGTGGCTGTTTCTGCTCATGTCCCCCGCTTGGCACACAAGAGACTGCACTTGAAAACCACCCCTAGTCCCCAGCTCTTGTGCCCAGCAGCCCCTTCCCCAAATGCTTTACCCCCTGTTCAATATTCTGCTGGTCTTTTAAGTCTCTCTTTCTCATCCTGAGTCTGGAAATCACTTGAGGGCAGGGACTCCACTTAGATCCTCGCACCTACTCAGTGCATGGCATGGAGGGGAGGCAGAATGAAAGGATGGACGTCTGACCTCTTCCTCCTCCGAGAAATGCCGTAAGTGTGAGGCCAGCGGCCCCCGCGGAGTCCGGGTGGACAGCCTCTCCTCTGCATCCTCCCTTCCTGGCAAGGATGGGAGAGAGTAAGTTTGCAGTCTGGCACACGCTCAGGACTCGATCGTGGGGCAAGATGTGATTTTTATGGCAGGAAAGTGGGAGACACATGATTAGAACTGGCTCTTCCAGCGGAGACCCTAAGATCCTGCTCCTGCCCACAGTTGCAGCAACCTTCCCTTTTGGATTTCTAGGTCGCTGGTAGAATAAGTTTTCCAGAATGGACTGTCTAGAGTTCCTTTCTTGCCAAGTGATTCAACCTGAGGGCTCTGGGGTTTGATTTTTTTTGTTTTTTGTTTTTTTTTTTAACTTTTGAGAAGTGTTGGGAAAATGGGCTAAGGAGAATTTCTTTAATTGTTCTGGGATTGGGAGTCTTCAAACTTGGATTTTAAAGAATTGCTATAGTTGGTCATACCTCACATACATTAATATTAATATTAATACTAATATTAATACTAATGTTAATGATAATTACTTGAATAAACACTTTGCCAGTCACAAAGCCCTTTTACACGATCTTTAATTTTTTTTTCATTTTCTCAATAGCCTTATGAGTGCCGCCTCCATGCTACAGATAAGGAAACTGAGGCTCAGGCAGTAGTTCACTCAGATGTAGTTCAGAGAGTGATTAGGTGGGAGGGGGATCCAGGCCCCAGGACTTTGCATCTGGATCCTGAGTTCCTGGGTTCTCCTCCCTGCCTCTCAGCCAGTGTTTCTGTGGGCCAGGGGGCGCCCACTGTGAACAGCTTCCTTTCCTGAGGGACCCCGGAGAAGGTGCTCGCTGCATAGCAGACCTTTCTGAGTCAGGCCCATGAGGACTTGTAGGTCCTCCTCTCTGCGCTGACATCATTGTGGCTGCATTGTGTGGAAATGCGGAGGGAGGCCAGTCTCACCGGGAGCTTGGGAGTGGCCATGGCCCTTCAGAGAAGCCCGGATGAAGGCATGGGGCCTGGCCTTTGCACATTTGCACTAAGCAGTCATTGGGTGTGGTGGCAGCTCCTTTTGGCCAAAGGCAATGCCCAGAGAGGAGCTCAGCTGTGAGCATTTGGCAGGCAGCTCTTGGGCAGCTAGAGGAATGGGTACTCAGGGGGCACCACAGCATCCACAGCGTCAAAAATGGGGAATGGGCACTGCTTACTGTCAGTGGTGGACCACATTTGTTTTGGGAACAGGGAAGTTGCTCTCTGTCCCTCAAATCATAACATTAGGCAAACTGCCTAACCAGCTTCTGTCTTGGCTTTGGGACTGACAGGATTCACTAATTGGAACCAACCTGACCTGTGAGGATGCTAACCTGTTTTTAAAAGGAATCAGTCTTCATTACTTTTATGTATGAACACAGGGTGACTTGCTGTGTGCCCTTGGGGAAGTGACTCTCCTTCTCTGAGTTTTACTTTCCTCATCTATAAAATGAGGATAAGGCTACTTTGAAAACTGTACTCTCCTGGGCGGGCTCGAGCAGTGATTTTGATGGTCAGCATTGTCACATCCTCACATGGAAGTAACATTGTGAAATGTAAGGACAATATTTTCCATGCTTTTTTCTGTTCCAAGTCCTCTGTAATCCTGTGAAGCCTTTCTAGCCATCAGAAAGGGGAATGCTATGGCCTATACAAGATACAATAAGTGCAGAAAGCAGGTTGAAGTGGAATCCGTAGTCGCTCACCTGCTCAGTAACCATCAGTGGCTCCCTATTGCCCATACAGTAAAGTGGGCAGACTCTGTCTGGATTTAAGATCCTCCTGTCTGGTTCCAAACCATCTTTCCAAACTCTTCTCTTGTGAAACTCCCCTTTTCCCTTCTTGCCTCCCGGGAAGTCCCTGAGTGATCTTGGCTGTTCTCAACCATGGGCCTTTATTCCTGCTGCCTCAGCCCTTTGAAATATGCTCCATAGTCCCTGCTTTGTGTTCCAAATAGATCTCCCCCTGATGGTAGAGCTTTGAAGTGCTGTTCCTGGAAACTTAACGACTTTGGGTGACTAGGATATTGACAAATTAAGAACAGCCAAATGTGCCCTTAGTGTTAGTAACTTGACATGAGCAGGTTCAGCTTAGAGAGGGCCCTTCATCCCCTGAGGACCCACTTGAGGTCACTCGTGTCTGTGGCCACCAGGTGGGATCAGAGGCACTGGCCAGACTTCTCCCACCCAGACCAGCCTCTTGGAGGCGGAAGGATTGGTGGCTACTTAGGAATTCATTAACTATTTTCTTCTTTGTTGTTGATGTTTCTGTAGTTTTTTAAAAAATAGGATAAAAAAGTTGAAAGATCCAAAGAGTAAAGAGTGAGACCAATAGCTTAAATGAACAGATAAGATTGTGCCAAATAACTGTATCCAACTAGGCAAAACAGTGTCTTTCTGTGAACTTCATCCCTGATGCTTCCTCCTACCTCATTGCAAAGCTTTATACACCTATGTCCTTCCCTTTGTGGCTGGTAGGTTGTAAATATTGACTTTTGCACGTTGATTTTTGCCTCTTTCATTATTTCTAAGACATTCTGGTTTTAGTCTTGTGGGCGAACCTTCCCTTTGTGGCTGGTAGGTTGTAAATATTGACTTTTGCACGTTGATTTTTGCCTCTTTCATTATTTCTGAGACATTCTGTTTTTAGTCTTGTGGGTGAATTTCAATTTTGTTGGTGAAATATTCCATCAGAGTTTCTAAACTTAAATTCATCTTCTTATCCATCCAAATCAAAGCAAATTTCTTAACAAAATATTTTTTGTTAAAACCAGTGAATTTAGTAATATTGATCATTTTTCTTTCATTTTTCCTCCTTTCTATTCTTTATTATTTTAATACTAAGAGTTAAATTTCCATTCTTTGCTTTCTAAAAACTCTCTTTTGCAAGAATTTTGTTTTCTGTCTATCGTAGCTTGCTCTTGTTCCAACAGGTGCACCAATTAATTAGACTAGTGGTTCTTAACCTTGAGGGTGCATTAGAATTACAACATTCCTGAGCCCTACCTCCAGAGGGTAATTCTGGGGTGGGGCCTGAGAATGTGCATTTCCAGCAAGTTCCCATGTGATGTGTCGCTCTGGGAGGGGGGCCTACTTTGAGAGCCACTCATGTAGACTTACCAACAACCAACTGCCTTTCTTCCCTTGGTGCTTGAAGACTTCGCTGACAAACATCTCTGTTCTCTTCATCAGTGGCCACATCTAGATTTTGCACCTCTTGAGCATCCCCAGTGAAGAGTCCTTCCCTGGATTTAGCTCTGAACTCTAGAGTTATTTGTCAAAAAATTTTGCAGAGCAGACAGAAGGAAGACTAGTGGATTTTCCCAGCCTTCTTGCAGTTGCCTTCACACACAAGGAGGTGGCTGAACAGAATTCTTAGTTGTTTTCCTTGTGGGTTTCTGGAGATGTTGCCTGGCCTTGTCTGTCATCAGGAGATGTCTGGTTGTTCAGATTTAAGGCCATTGAAAGAAGGCAGATTTTTATCCCCGTGCTTGGAAGTACCTAGAATTAGGATTTTTTTCTTCCCTCTTGAAGTTTCAGTTTGTGACAAGCAATGTCTTGAAGCTGATTTCTGATCATTAACTTTGCCTGCACCTCCATGAGTCCTCAGTATAATAGCCTTTACAGAGTACTTCAGATAACTTCCATGTCACTTTCTTTTTCCTGCATGAGTCTTATTGTCATGCTGAAGCAGTGCTCTTAGGCACAGCTTCATGGAGATGCTTTCAGTTGGTCAGCCATGAAGATGTCATACAGTTTCTCGCTGCCACGCCTTTGCTGGGGCCATTCCTTCTGCCTGGAGCACATTTCTTCCCTGCTCTGCCTGGAAAAACCATAGGCATCTTTGGGAATCAGCTCACATGCCCCGTTTGTGGGGCCAGCCATGACTCTCAGAGTGGCACCCCCTTCCGGTGCCTACCTAAACCACAAGATGTCTGCATCGTGGTGTTTCTCATTTTATTTGATTTGCCCGGCACATGGTCGTGATAGCAGCCATCATTTATTGGGCACCCACTGTGTACCAGGCACTCTTTAATCCTTGCAGCAGTCCCCAGAGGTTTGGGCACTCTCCTTATGCCCATTTAAAGATTAGGAAACCGAAGCTTCTTAGGGACTTCAAGTAACTAGGCGCTGGTGAGGCTAGCATGCAAACTAGGTGTGGCAGCTTTTGGGTACTGTGCTTGCAGACACTCGAAGTTGTAGGCACTCAACATTCATTGGGTGAGTGATGCATGAAAAGGTGGCTGTGATGGATTCAGCTTCTGCTGAGGGAGGTAGGCAGTGGGAAAGCTGCTGGTGAGAGAAAGGCAGAGACAGTTCCAAGCCTGGGCTAAGCCTGGTGGGGAGGGTTTGGAGGACAGCCTGAGGGCATGTCCAGGACAAGGAGGGAGAAGGAAGACAAACTTTGCCTCTTTAGTACCTCATCTTGTGATTCAGGATGTAGTACTTGGACAAGGCTGTCGCTCAGGAAATGATGTTTAAGTCAGATAGGTCTGGAAGTGGCTCCAGTGTTAATTAATGCCCTTTTCTCCTTTCTCCTGCCCCCACCCCCTCAGCCTCGGCCTTCATCATCGTCATGCTCCTGGCCAGCCTCAACAGCTGCTGCAACCCCTGGATCTACATGCTGTTCACGGGCCACCTCTTCCACGAACTCGTGCAGCGCTTCCTGTGCTGCTCCGCCAGCTACCTGAAGGGCAGACGCCTGGGAGAGACGAGTGCCAGCAAAAAGAGCAACTCGTCCTCCTTTGTCCTGAGCCATCGCAGCTCCAGCCAGAGGAGCTGCTCCCAGCCATCCACGGCGTGACCCACCAGCCAGGGCCAGGGCTGCAGCCTGAGGCTCAGGCTGTGCTGGCATAAGTGCTCTGCTCCTAGGTGATGGCGTATGTTTGTGTATAAGGTACCTATCAGTTTGTATCCCTCCCCTCCTTGGGGTGGCTTCAGTGGGGTGGAGAGTGGCCTCCATGATGGAAGATGATAGGGGACTCAGCCATCAGACAACACCCTGGCCTCCTACACGTACTTCTACCACCCTGAACCCACTGCTGCCCTGGGCAGTGAGTGGCTTGTTTTTTCTCCTGGACTTGTAATTTCACTCCAGTATATTTTTACTTCTTCATTCTGGGATATTGTGAAAAGCGGTAAATATAGGATTGGTGACCAATTGGGTCAGGAAGTCCAGTGTTCTGGACTTGGGGTAAGCAGTGGGGTTGGGACCTCAGATGGGAAGGGTGGTGCTAAGATCCTCCTGACCTCAAAGTGTATTTGCCTTTAAGCGAACAAATGCTGGGGTCCTTGGGGACCAGCTTGTCAGAGGGTAGCCCTAAGAGAAGGGGATTACCTTGTAAGACCATCTGGCGCAGTGGACCTATTAGAACTTGGGTTAAAAATGTTTAAGAAGCTAATGTTTAAGAAGCATTTGGGAAAGAAAAAGAAATAAATGTATCCAGATAGGAAAAGAAGAAGTAAAACTATTTGCAGATGACACAGTTTTGTATATAGAAAATCCTAAGGAACTCACACACACACACACACACACACACGCACACAGCTATTAGAACTAATAAGCAAGTTCCGCAAGGTTTCAAGATACAAGATCAATATACAAAAATGAATTGTATTTCTTTATACTAGCAACAAACAATATGAAAACGAAGTTAAATAATTCCATTTATAATACCATCAGAAAGAATAAAATAGGAATCAACTTAACAAAACAAGTGCAAGACTGAAAACTACAAAATTGGAAAGAAATTAAAGAAGGCTTAAATAAATGGAAAGACATCCTGTGTTCATGGATCAGACTTAGTATTGTTAAGATGGCAATACTATCCTAACTGACATGCAGATTCAGTGCAATCCTTATGAAAATCATAGCTGGCTTCTTTACAGAAATTGATAAGCTAGTCCCAAAATTCATAAAGAAATGCAAGGGACCCAGAATATCCAAATAAGCCTTGAAAAAGAACAAAGTTGGTGGATTCACACTTCCTGATTTCATAATTTACGATAAAGGTAATCAGCTCAGTGTGTTACTGGTTTAAGGATAGACATACGGAGCAGAATAAAGAGTACAGATATGAACACTTATACTTACGGTCAATTGATTTTTGACAAGGTTCCCAAGACAATTCAATAGAGAAAGGAGAGTCTTTTCAACAAATGGCACCGAGACAATGATATGCAAGTGCAAAAGAATGAGGTTGGACCTTTACTCACACTATGTGCAAAAATCAACTCAAAACGCATCCAAGATCTAAATATAAGAGCTGAAACTATAAAATCTTAGAAAGAAACATAGGCATAGATCTTTGTAACCTTGAATTAGGCAGTGGTTTCTTAGATATGATACCAAAGACACAAGCAACCAATGGAAAAATAGGTAAATTGGACTTAATCAAGATTTGAAGCTTTTGTGATTGAAAAGACCCTATCAAGAAGGTGAAAAGATAACCTGCAGAATGGGAGAAAATATTTGCGAGTCATATATATGATAAGGGGCTTGTATCTGGAATATATAAATAACTCTTATAACACAACAATAAGGAGAAAAATAAATCAATTTAAAAAATGGGCTAACGGTTTGAATAGACATTTCTCCAAAGAAGATATGCAAATGGCTACTAAGCACATGAAAAAATACTCAACATTATTATTCATTAGGGAAATGCAAGTCAAAATCACAATGAGATTCCAGTTTACAATCACTAGGATGGCTACAATAAAAAGATGGACAAGAACGAGTGTCGGTGAGGATGTAGAGAAACTGGTAGAAATTTAAATTGTTGGTGGGAATGTAAATGGTGCACCTGCTTTGAAAAACAGTTTGGCAGTACCTCAAAAAGTTAAACGTAGAGTGACCATATGACCCAGGAATGCCACTCCTAGGTATTTACCCAAGAGAAATGAAAACGTACATACACACAAAAACTTGTACACCAATGTTCATAGCAACATTATTTGTAATAGCCAAAAAGTGGAAACAACCCAAATGTCTACCAACTGATGAATGGGAAATAAAATGTGGTCTGTCCACGCAATGGAACATTATTAGACTCTAAAAAGAAATGAAGTACTCACACATGCCACAACATGGATGAGCCTTGAAAACTTGCTAAGTGAAAGAAGCCAGGTGCAAAAGCCCACATATTGTCTGACTGCATTGAAATGCAATGTCTAAAATGGACGAATCTATATAGAGTGAATATAGATTAGCGTTTGCCAGGGCCTGGAGGCTGTGAGAGATGAGGCATGACTACTAAGGGTTTGGGGTTTCTTTTTCGGGTGATGAAAATGTTCTGAAATTAGTGGTGATTGTGCACGATTTTGAGAATGTACTAAAAACCAATGAACTTTAAAAAATAAAAATAAACAAAAAAAATTCAACAGATGAATTCAGAGAAGGCCAGCTTGATGGATGAATTCCTTGGAATCTCTTGCCTCTCAGCACTTTTGTTTCTCTATGTGGCTCACTGCTTGAGAGGGATCTCATCATTTTCTTACTCAGTTTTACTGCAAGAGATGATGTCTCTATTTGGCAAAAAGTAACAGCAGTGAAAATATATCCCTACTTTGTAAAGGCACAAGTGATGCCTTGTAGCTGCAGGTTGTTATGTTTTATTTAAAATAGAAATTCACTAGAGGTGTCAGAGGTTTTTCTTACCTAGTGAACATGTTCTCAAATGTCCTCTCAGCCTTGAGGTTAGGACATGACCACGTCTAAGAAATACCTTTAGTCACTAAATACAGGACACTACTGATCAGAGGTTTACTGTCAGGGACTGGCCAGCTGAGTGCATGGTGGGGCACCTTTTAAGTTTCCAGGCACATTTTTGTACTTACTGAGATACAGCAGGAGCACTCTCAAAGGCCACAGATCCACTCTGTCTCTTTATAACACACTTTATTCTTCCTCCATGCTGCAGTAGCCACATAGCCACACACACGCGCATACACACACAATAGAATGAGCTAGCATTGTCTAGAGGTTCTGGGAGAAGAGAGGCTTGCACTGAAATGTCCACGTTCAAAGTCTAAGGATTTAGCACAAGGTCTTCAGTACTACCCGGAGACTGAAGATAGTATCGTCTTTGGACTGCAAAGCATTGCTCAGTGTTGCTGGGACATGCACGAAGAGGGTCAACACCAGCCAGTCCTTGCTCTTTGGGAAGCTAACAGGATGCAGTTCTGGGGCCTCTGTGCACATGTACTGGAGCACTGGTGAGCTCTGGGTGCAAATGCAGCAGCAGTGGGGTCTGTTAGCATTCATGCCTCGCTGCCCACCAGCCAGAGATGCCCCAGGACTCTGCTGTTCCCAGGGAAGTTGCCATCCTAGGAGCCAACAGAGGCCACTGGGGATCAAAGGGACAGCAACTCACAGTAGATTTTCTGACCAGGAGCACAGCCTTCCTGGGAACCCTGGAGTTATAAGACTCTTGGGCATCAGAACCAAGTGGGATGCTTTGTCACTCTCTTCGTGTGAAAGCTCTGGCGGGTACATTGGGTCTTATTATGGCGCAGGAGTCTGTTTTATGGCAAATAAGTGACATTCAATTTCAATAGCCCCACTGGATATACACCCCGACCCCCACCCATCTCCTTGAGAGCATTTTCACCATTTCTTAGTCTTTCCCCAACTAAAGCCTAGAAGAATGAGCGCAGGGGTTCAGAACGCTACCTTGGGTTCAGTTGTTTCTGGCCTCCTCCCCAGACCCCATGCCTGAGGTCTGCCAACCACCTTTCCCTACAGTTTCAGACTTGTTTACAACCATATGCATGGCCGGGGTTGCCAGGAAGTGGGAGCTGCAGATTGTCTTCTGCAATGTATCATGGCTCTGATCATCAAAAGTGAACGTGGAAACTCTGAGGCTTATTTCTTTAAGCGCTGGAAAAAAAAATCTGACACATACTTTGGTCTTCTTTTGGCTTGAGTCTATGTGTTGCCACTTCAGGAAATGTAAGGGGACAATGCAGGCTGTCTTTTAAGAAAATCCTGGTTTCAAAGTGTTTAACACTTTTTGTATTCAATAGCAATGAAACGCCACTTAAGGCAAAATGTGAACACCTTGATTTTGTTCTACTGTGGTGACCTGCTCTGGCACCCCTCTGTAACTGTGCCAGTTGGTGAATGACATGGCTGATCATAAGTTGTCTGCTTCATTAGCTGCTTGATAGAGAGTGCACTAGATAAACATTTGTTTCCATACATTGCTTTGCCCCCGTTCTTCCTCCCAAGAACGGTGACTGGAACTGGTGGCTTGTAGACCCCAGATCCCTGCAGGGCTTCAGAGTTATTGGCCTGATTACGGCACAGATGCATGGGCTGTGACAGGGTGTGGAAGGGGGCCCTGGTCCCATTCTCTGGAATCACAGGTGCACTCAGTTATCAGAGTTCTGTGGGAAGATGCTCTAAGATTCAGGAACAAACATCATGTATGATGTCCCTGAATCTGCTCTGAACCACAGTGGAACTCTGGGGATGATAGGATTCTAGACTGTTACCTTGAAGGAACCCTAACAAATATTTCTTAAAAGTGGATTTGGGAGCCATCTGTAGCATCACAAATGAGTTTGTGTTAACATGCTGATTCCTGGGCCCCACTACTGAATCAAACACTGTAGCTAGAGCCTTGGAACCTGCATTTCAAACAGGAGTCCCTGGTGGTCCCCTATGTATCTTATGAGAGGGAATGGAACTCCATCCTCCTGCCTCAGGCCCATTCTCATCATAACCCCAATGTGATTTTCTGCCTGCTACTTCTCAAGGAGATTCCTGGAGGGAGAACTCCTTGGACACCCATGCATCTCAGATGTGTGTCCTGTCTCTAGTTCTGTGAACTTTGTGGCTAATTAAGCACCGACCATAGTCTGCCCTTAGAGAAAGACAGTGAGCTTGAAAAATTGGAGTCATTGTCAAATCCAGTTATAGCAAATACCAAGATGGCAAATTCTCTACATAACCCAAGATTCCAAGTCTGAAATGGATGGCCTCGTGATTTCAAGAGACGTTTGAAAGGGCAGGCCCTTTGAGGAGGACATAAGTAACATCAGCCTTAGTCCTTTTCAGCAGGGAGGAGCCTGGGCCTGCTGAGCCCCCCGACAATGTGGAAGAGCCCCAAGGGAGAGCACAGGCAGCAGGCTGGAGCCACAGTGATAGTGCTGGCTAGGTGGGTGCCTTTTGGCAAGGTTCCTGACTTCTCTGGACTGTAACTTTCTCATCTGCAGAAACAAGGGCTAAATGATGAAGTGTTTAGGGGTAAAATGTGCTGATCTCTACAACGTATTTAAACATGCGTAAAGATGAGATTGGTGGGATGGATAGAGGGGTGGATAGATGAATAGGGATGTAAGAAAGCTGGGGTAGAAAAACGTTAATGATAGAGCCAAGATGGGTATGTAGCTGTTCAACTTTTCTGTGTTTGAAATTTACATACAATGTTAGGAGAAAACCAAAATTGGGTAAAATTTTGGAGCCAAAATGCACATTAGAGATCAATTTGTGGGTGATAAAATTGAGGCAGAAAAGGCAACTAGGAGCGGAAGCAGGACTAGAACCAAGGCTGCCTGCGTCCTAGTTCCCAAGCTGTGTGTGGTCCACTTCACCACACTGCCTCCCAAGACCACTGGGCTCGTGGCCAGGCATGAATAATGTCTCCGAAAACCTGACAAGTGCTGTGGAACTTTAATTATATGAGACTTAAATGGGCGTTGCATGAAAAGAAAAAAAGAAAAAAAAAAGGTCAGATAGGATTGGGGGGATACTGGTTTAAACAGGTTTATCTACTGCAGGACATGTCAGAGCCTTTAATGTGCCAAAGTCTATTGAAAATCTCTGAGAGAAATATACAGCATTTCTGAAAGAACCGGACCACAGATGCTAACACCCATCCCCATCCTTTCTTTTTTAATGGCTAAGTTCTGGATAGCACACTCGGAAAAGACAGCCCTAAAGAAGATAAGGGCACTGTGTGTGTGTGTGTGTGTGAGAGAGAGAGAGAGTGTGAGGAGGGAGGAAGTGATACATGCTCTTTCTACTGCATTTTATTTCCATAGTGAGTCCACACACGCACAAATTAGACCTTGTTCCTTCGTCACATCTCCTGAGGGCGAAGGTACCCTCATGTCAAATGGCAGTACTGGGCATTTCAGGGGCTCGGTTAGCCAAAGGGGAGGTTCCGGGAGGCTTGAACCCAGGCCCTTCCCTCAGTGGTACCCTGGAAGGGTCACTGCCCCTGCCAGCCCAAGGGTCATTTTCCTCCATTGGTGCCCATTTTTGTGCTCAGGCAACAGGAGTCACTTAAACATGATCTTCCAAGGAACGTGTACGGTTCCAGCAAACAATAGAATCCGAAGAAGAAAAAGACTCTGTTCTTCACTTACATTTGGCCAAGTGAAGAGACAACCAACTCTCCCTGTGTCTGTTTTTCAGGGCAGTGAAGTATATTTTTGGAGCTGGTCAGGACACAAACCAATCTTACAGGCACGAACAAAATGCAGCATTCCCCAAATGCAGCCAAAACCCTTTACTGGAGCCACCTTCCTAACGCCAGTGGTCACTGGTCACTTTCCTGAGTGCGCGTGGAGAGGTTGGCCCCGGGTGGGAACCGCGTGCTGGTTTATGTTGTTACAGTACAAGTGAACGCAAAGACTTGCAGTAGCTGCCTCTTGGCAAATGATCTTCCCCCACGCCCAGGCATGGGGGCATCATGGTGGGGCTGGGGGAGAGCGAAGGGCCATTGTGCTTCTGTGGCTGGGCCGTCTTTTCTTTCTGGCTTCCCTACACCGTGTGCTCCATCATGGGGTATGGAGCAGTCCCTAAAGAGAAAGAGCTCGCCAGCAGCCCCTGTGAAGAAGTCCCCCGGGGACCAGTCTGGCCCACCACCCCCTGCCCTGCCACCGCTGTTGCCCCACCTGGCTTTAGACCTCCTTCCGCAGCACCACCTTGATGCTGCTGCAGACCTGGCCCAGGGCCGCGAAGAGTGGGTTGCAGAAGGTGCGGATGCAGAGTGAGTAGATGTGGCTGATGCACTGGATCTCGATCAGGTAGCTCTTAATGCATGGCACCACCGCCCAGATGTGGCAGAAGGAGATGCAGGCGAACAGGAAGCCCCAGAGCAGGGCCAGTGGGACGCCCAGCAGCGTGGACAACAGACGGTAGCACCAGTACTTGGAGACAGTGAAGGTGGTGTAGCTCACCTTCCACACGCCGTCAAAGCTGTAGGTGCCCACAGGCTCTGCGATCACGTCTTCAAAATCCACCTGCAGGGGTGGCAAGGGGAAGCCTCAACTCACAGAAGCCACCCGCTTCTCAAGCTTTTGGGTGTGTGCGTGCATGTGTCAGAATCCCCTAGAGGTCAGGTTAACCTTGGTGGCTGGACCCTACCTGTATTAGGCTATTCTTGCATTGCTTTAAAGACATACCTGAGGCTGGGTAATTGATAAAGAAAGGAGGTTTAATTGGCCCATGGGTCTGTGATCTGTGCAGGAATCATGGTGCTGGCATCTGCTTGGCTTCAGGTGAGGCCGCAGGGAGCTTTCAACCATGGCTAGAGAAGGGAGAGCAGGCGTCTCCCCTGGTGAGAGTGGGAGCAAGAGAGAGAGCTGGGCAGGGGGTGGAGTGCCACACTTTACAACAACCAGATCTTATGAGAACTCTCCCACTATTGTGAGGACAGCACTAAGCCACGAGGGATCTGCCTCTGTGATCCGATCACCTCCCACCCGGCCCCACCTCCAATATTGGAGATTATGTTTCACCATGAGGTTTAGAGGGGACACAGATCCAGACCATATCATCGCCCCAGGGATTCCGACTCCCCAAGTCTGGAGTGGGGCCTAAGGCTCTGTATTTCTAACAAGCTCCCTGTTGAGCCCAAGCTGCTGCTGTTCCTAGGCACCGCTGACCAACACAACACGCTCGTTCAACCCCCTCAAGGTGAGCGACTTGCTTAAAGCCAACAGTGACTTAGTGGCAGTGCTATAGTCGCAGCTCTCAAATTCTATTGTTTTATGATCTGAAGGGTGTTGGACGGTCGTATGCATCCTACAGCAATTTACTGAGCACCTGTGGATTGGATGGTGAACAGGCAGAGGTTCCTCACATCGCTTACCTAAGCTCTCTCGAGCCCTGCTATGCATGAAGCACCTTCCTAGCTGCCTACACATGGGTGATGTCACTTAGCATCACTAAGCCTCAGCTGTCTTGTCTGTAAGATGGAGTCAATGAACGTCTTCCAGTGGTATCATGAGGATGAAAGGATGGGAGGCTGTAAAATCCACTGGTCCACAGTGAAACCCTGTCTCTACTAAAAATACAAAAAAAAAAAAAAAAAAAAAAAATTAGCCGGGTATGGCAGCGGGTGTCTGTAGTCCCAGCTACTTGGGAGGCTGAGGAAGGAGAACGGCATAAACCCGGGAGGCGGGGCTTGCAGTGAGCCGAGATTGTGCCACTGCACTCCAGCCTGGGTGACAGAGCGAGACTCCATCTCAAAAAAAAAAAAAAAAAAAAATTCCACTGGTCAATTAAACAGCAGTGAACCAAATTAGCTGCTTCATGACTGGTCTCCCCATGGTTGTTACCAGTACAGCCCGCCAAGTGGGAGGTTGCAGAGCTGTTTGCTAATGCCTGAAACTGTTCTGAGATGTTTTCTTTCTAGCAGTGCTCCTGGGCCATTCAAATTAAAAGGGGGTGGATGCAGGTACAGACTAATCAGATCAACAGGAGGGGCCTGTGTGGTGGCCTGCAGGGCTGAGGCTCCAACTTCAATCTTCCTGGTTAGTTAGTCCCTTTCCCGCCTTGGTTATGGGGAGGGGATCCTCTCCTCTATTGCATCACCAATATTAAAATTACTTTCATTATAAAAAAAATGGCCATATCACAGAGAATTAACAGAATAGAAAAAAGAAAAGAGTCTTGGGTTTGTACTTCTCTATTACTAAAGATATGATTGTTTTGGTGCATTTCTTTCCAGTACAATATTTTCTGGGGAAAGAAGTGACTAGAACCATGTTGCTCAGACAGTGTTGGGCCCTCTTTTCTCATGTGACTTTAGCTTCTGAGCTCCTGCACCCCACCTCAGGTCCCTGATCCCCCTGTGCTCTGAGGCTGGGGATCCCTGAGGATGAGGCCTCACTCGGGGTGGTGTGTCAGCAGGCAGCACAGTTTACAGGGTGAGACTCTGGGCTGCAGGAGAAATGGAAAAGCTGACCTCCCAGGACCTTCCTTGTATAATCTTGGCCCCCAGCTTTCTCTGCTGCAGGTTTCATCAGAGATGACTTAATCTCTTATGCAACCCTGTGGATGGGAGGAGAGGAAGAAAATGGGCCTCATCTTCTCAGGAAGGATGTTACTTCTTCTTGGAGGGCTTCCAGGAGGTGGTGGCTGGCTGGGAATTTAGGGGACTTCGGGATTGGAACAGGGATGGAAAAGTCATATTCACTCCCCATGTTTATGGAGGTTCTAGTCAAACCCCCAGGGCCTGGATCCTGCTGACTGAGATCATTTTTCTTTCATGTATTCATCCATACATCCACAACCCACTGAGATGGTTAGGATGTTTGTCCCGTCCAAATCTCATGTTGAAATGTGATCCCCAGTGTTGAAGATGGGGCCTGGTGGGAGGTGTTTGGGTCATGGGGGCGGACCCTTCACCATGGCTTGGTGCCCTCCCTGTGGTCATGAGTGAGTTCTTGCTCGTTAGTTCACATGAGACCTGGTTGTTTAAAAGAACCCGGCAGCTCTCTTGCTCCCTCTCTCGCCATGTGATATGCCAGCTCCCCCTTTGCCTTCTGCTATGATTGGAAGCTTCCTTAGGCCTCACCAGCTGCAGATGCCTGCACCATGCTTCTTATACAGCCTGTAGAACCATGAACCAAAATAAATCTCTTTTCTTTATAAATTACCCAGTCTCAGGTATTCCTTTATAGCAATGAAAAACAGACTGACACTCACCATCTATCCACTCATTCATCTATCCATCTATCCACCTATCTGCCTGCTCATCTATCATCCATCTATCCATCCATCCTTTCATCCATCCATCCATCCACCCACCCACACATCCAAATAAATACTGATTGATTACCCACTTTGCCCAGGCACACTACCTCTTGAGCAGTGCTTAGCACAATGCCTGGCTATTGTGATGGTAATATTGCTCAGTGATGGTAATTATTCCTTCAGGTGCTCTGAAGATTCCTCGAAAATACATCTGAGAAATTCTTTTGACATCCCGGATTATTCTCCAGCCTACTTAGTTATAAATGAGTCTGCGTGTGTCTCAGTCTGTGCTGATAAGACGGATGGAGTCCTCCTTTCCTTACAGTAGTAAGTACAGTACTTACAGTAATAATCCTACCGCCAATGGCTTCTGTATGTGTCTTTTAATTATCTTTCTTCTTCTTCTTCTTCTTTTTTTTTTTTTTGGTGTTTGCAGAAGCCATTGGTGCTAACATTTGAATTATTTCCAGGGATTGCCTTTGGGTGCTGTGTGTGGGGCAAGTGCTCTATTTTCTGTGAATCTCAGAAAACATGCTCTCAGAGGGCTGGGCTGGGCTTGGAGGAGGCAGCTGTTCCCCTAGCTCAGATTTGAGCATTGAGAGAGCTTTGGCCACAGCATGCTAGTTTGGGGAGATATTTATAAGGCCCGGCTCAGGCAGCTCTAGGCAGCTGTACCATGCAGCACAAGCATACGGTGACTTCATTTCTTAATTCCTTTCCAGAAGAGAGGAGATGGCTTTTTCTTGGAGGGTGGTGGGCTGAAAGCCTGCATCTGCGTGCTGAGGCTCAGGACACTGTGTGCAGTTGGAGAGAGGGGCTGGAGGGTGAGGAAGGGGGAACGATGGTGCACATTCTGTCGGTGTCCCCTTCTGTGGCATATTTATTTTTGGAACAGCAAGAGACCCAGTTGATTAATTGAAACCAGCCAGCGCAGTCCCCGCAGTCTCTGAGAGGGCGGGGAAGGTGTAGGATAGCAGGGCGGGGGATTGCTTGAGGATGCGGGGGAGGACAACAGTCACCCGGGGTCGAAAATACCTCCCCCAGAGTCCTGCATGACTCAGTCCGTAGGCATCCAGGACCTTGGACAATTCAAATAGGATATCTGTGGGTGGGGAAATAGCTCTTAGCAGGGTGGGGAGGTATATGGTCCCAGTATCCACTGGCCATTGAGTTACTGTATGATTTGGGGCATGGTACTTTCCCTCTCTGAGATCCTAGGTTTTTTGTTTGTTTGTTTTCTTTTTTCAACTCTACACAGAGACGATTGGGCCAAGATCTGTAATGACACGGAGTTAGCTTCAGAGTCAGAAAACCCAAGTGAGAGGCTTAGCTTTTGCCAGATCCCAGCTTCCTCCCCTATTACCTTGCTACTTAAAAGGCAGTTCACAATCAGTGTGTCCTGTCTCCCAACAAGGTAATTATAGAAGTTGAGAGTGCTTAGAAATATTCATAGAAATTTGATGCAGTAATTTTATGTTTATTGAATCTAACAATAAACATTGGTGCTTGTAACTGTACGGCTGTTTTCATTTCATTTTTCCAGTGATTAATTTTTGTTGCGTTTTGCAAAAGTATAGCTGTGCAGTGGATTAGAATAATAATATTAAAACTGGTCCTTCACTCAGTTTTAGAGGCACTGGCCTACAAAGTAGGAAGTAAAATGAGGTGATAGCTGCAAAAACTGTAAAAATGACAAAGCTCTGCATCTTTTGTTATAAAAGGTAGCAACAAAAGAATACAACTGTGTACAATCTGGGATAACCATGGTAACACCCACGATGTATATGGCCCTTTATGCATGTCAGTTTGGGGCCATGTATCTTACATGTGTTATTTCACATGGCACGTAAGGGACTGGCAGAGTGACGCTCAGGTCAGCCTGACAGCAGGGTGATTGAAGGGGCCAGATACCCCAGCAGGGCCTGAGGCCAGAACACAGCATAGGCTGGCTCTGATGGGTGGAGGAGGTGGCCAGGCATCATCTGGAGCTTGGAGTTGAGAACATCTGTGACTCCTCCTTCAGGAGGGTGCTCTAGGAGTTGAGAGCATCCTAGGTAGGACCATATATCTACCCCCATCCTAGTTCCCTCCAGCCTCTCTTTTCAGCTCCAGGTCTACCTTAAGGGACCTAGGACACCTGGGCTGGGGCATAACAGGACTTGGTTTTATGTAAAGGAGCTGGGAAGAGACTGAGATAACAGAGGGCTGCAAGGAGAGAGACAGAGAGAGAAGAACCTGCCAGAAGAAGCTCCTCAGCAATCCACTAAGCCCTGATCTTTGCCTCACTGCCTGTCCCTTCCCATCCGCTCTTCTGCTCTCTCAATCTCTGCCTTCAAGAAATTTGGTGCATATTGGAATAGGGAGGAATAGAAGTACCCTGGGTGGAGCTCTGGGCTTGGCTGTGCACGAGCTTTCAGTGGGTGGTTTGCTGGTCTCCAAAGATGACCCTCCATTAGTCATGCTTCTCGGTGTTTGTCCTCAGGTAGTCTCATCCCATCTTGAGTCTGGGCTTGCCCTGTGACTCACTTTAACCACAAGAATGTGGCAGAAAGGATGTTGTGCCAGTTCTAGAACTAAGCCTTCAGAAAGCCTAGCACCTTCTGCTTTTAGGAGCACTGAGCCCCCATGTTAGAAGTCCACTTTTATACTCTGCTCTGGAGACTAGCAGAATTAGAAATGCACTGCTGAATGCTGCTCGAGAGACTAATGGAGAGGCCATGTGAATAAGGAGGCCTGAAACTACATGGAGATAGAGGGCCAGCCACCCCAGCACCACAGCTCAGCTGTGCCTCCCAGCCATCTCTGCCAGTCCTCCAGGGCTATGAGTGAACCATCTTGGATGTTCTAGCTCGGTGGAGCCCCCAGGTGATTGCAGCCTCAGCCACCATCTGACTGTAGCTGCATGAGAGGCCCCCAGTGGGACCAGCAGGACTGCCAAGCTGAGCCCTGCCCACCCACAGAACTGTGAGAAATAAAAAAATGGTTGTTTCCTTAAGCCATTAAGTTTTGGAATGATTTGTTACTCACAATTGATAACTGATACAGTCTGTCTTTAGGGAAAACAAGGGATAACTCTGGGCTCCAGGTGTCTTCTATAGGATGAATGGGACTTGGTTGCTGACAAGCTGACAAGTTTGAGCGTGAAACTCTTTTTTTTTTTTTTTGGAGAAGGAATTTTGCTCTTGTTATCCAGGCTGGAATACAGTGGTGCGATCTCGGCTCATGGCAACCTCTGCCTCCTGGGTTCAAGCAATTCTCCTGCCTCAGCCTCCTGAGTAGCTGGGATTACAGGCACCCACCACTACACCTGGCTCTTTTTTTTTTTTGTATTTTTAGTAGAGACAGGTTTTCATCATGTTGGCCTGGTCAGGTTTTGAACTCCTGACCTCAGGTGATCCACCTGCCTTGGCCTCCTAAAATGCTGGGATTACAGGTGTGAGCCACCGTGCCTGGCCTGAGCATGAAACTTTTATGCTCAAACATTAAAGTGTAAACATTCACCAGCTCAGCTGAATAAGAACTTCTGGGGGCAAGGCCAAGGAATCTGCAGTTTAGTAAGTGCCCCCACCACTGGACCCTGGGAAAGTGGACTGCATTTTGAAAAACTCTAGATCAGTTGATACCCAGGAGTCCTCATAACACTAAGTTGTAATACCTCAGTGTGAATTAGTCTGATGCAGCTCTTCTTAGAGGTCATTGACAGAGGGCAAGACATTTCCAAAAGGAAGGAATTGCCAATATGGAATGACAGGTGGATTGGATGACCCTCTATTATTTAGTTTCAACCTGCCCTTCCTGCCTTCTCTCCCACAAATTCCCTTTCAGATCCTCTGTCCTAATCCTCTTCGATAGTTCATTATTCTTCTGCAGACAGAGCAGCGAAGTGTTATCTGTTGTACCCACTATGACTAGCTGATGGTGCATGGCTTCCATGGAGCAGTGCTGTGATCCATTAGTCATGGAGCAGTGCTGTGATCCATTGTCATGTCTGCCATGAACACTGGAAGGGGCAGTGGTAATGACAGCCTCTTACGTTTGCCAACTCTGCCCAACATTCTTCCCAGTGTTGGGAAAGCCTTTGCTTATTCCATTTCTTCTTGGAAAGCTTTGTTCCTCCATTTCACATTTTTAATTTTTCTCATTTTTATGATGCACCATGGATACCACCTGTCCATATAGCTGGCTTCTGATTTTTCCAGATGAAAGTAATTCTTCCTCTCCTAACCTCCCATGACACCTAACCTGGCACTCATTTACGGTGTTCAGCTCCTTCTCCTGTATGTTCTCATTGTTCTCCTCTCATCTTCTCCCCAGGAATGGATTCCCCGCCAAGGGAGGTACCAGGTCAGTTTCTTCTTTGTGCAACAGGGTGTCCCTGATGAGCACAAACCTGGAACAAGTGTTTGTAGGGCTGGTGGGCATCTGGTTCCTCTGGGTGTTGTGTAGCCTGAGCCGGGGGGCAAATGGGTGTTTGTTTTTCTGAAGAAGGCAGGCGTTCTGTGGCAGATGTGGGTGGAGGGGGTTGGGGAGTAGTATCATGGAGAGGCTGGGATCCTATCTATCTCCTTCCCCTGCTTGAAGGGCAACTTGGGAGAAGCTCAAGAGGGAGGAGTTGACTGCAGAAGCTGGGATACCTGCATAACTCTCAGGTTCAAGCATCACTGCTTTAGGGCCCTGGGGGCCTATGTGTGAGTCAAGAAAGGGAGATAGAGAGAGAAGAGAGAGAGAGGAGAGAGAGAGAGAGAGAAGACAGAGGAGAGAGAGAGAGAGAAGAAAGAGGAGAGAGAGAGAAGAGAGAGCAGAGAGAGAGAGCATGCTGTCAGTGAGGTGGCCCTAAGCCCTCTTGGAAATAACTTGGAGGCACTGTGGGGTGGCTCTGAGGTGCTGAGGTATACCTGTAGTGGGGCTAGGACCTTTCCAACCTGGGTCTGAAGGTTGAGGCAACCTTGGGTGTACCTGCTGGTGAGCTGAGAGCCCTGGGGACCTTTGGCAGACATTCCCACCCCTGCAGCCTGGAGGGTTTGCATGCAGTGAGGCTGTCCTGCTCATCACTACGTCCTCTGGGACAGCACATTGCCTGTGCTGAACAGGCATTCAGTTGCGATTTGTGGAATCAGTGTTGGTGAGGAGGGCAAGTGGCAACAGAAATGGGGGTGTGCTCCCCCCAGTTCCTCAGCTACAATCTCCATGACCTTCTACACTGCCCTGGGCCCAGTCCCGAGCCTTGGAGACCACAGCTGAAGTCTGTTGGAGTATACAGGGCTCTTCCTCTGTTCTTGGCTGCCTGGGTTTAAAGGCAGGGCCAAAAAGGGGTGCCTCCCCTCTACTGGGGGTCAAATCCATGGATGTAGTATGCCTATCTCCTACTCTTCATCCTTGGCTTTTTTAAATGTGAAACGGCCGTGACTGGTGGCACCAGGGACTTGGGACCAGAGAGGGCAAAGGATTTCCTCAGAGTCACACAGCAAGTTACTGTCAGGTCTTGGACCAGAACTTGAGTCTGTAGCCAGGTCCTATTCCAGCATTCTTTCCGTGTCACTCATCCTAGCCCATGAGAAACCTGCTACCACCTGTGAGGCCACCCTGCCACCTGCCACCTGGGGCACTGCCAGGGCCTCCTGCACCTTCCTCTCAGTCTCTGTCCAGTTTCTCCATCTCTCTCTGTCTCCCTCATTCCCTTTTCCTTCCCATCTCTCTTTTCCTCCATCGATGGCAAAACCCGGGCAGTTGAGAGGCTGAACAGTCTGGCTTCATCCCTCCTAGCCACAGTCCCCTCTCTCCTTCTTTCTTTTCTTTATTCTTTAACAGACTGTAACAGAGACCTGAAATCTACCTAAACCTGTTTGTGATCTATATCTGAGTCTGCTTTATGATCCTTGTTCTGCATTAACTTTTTTCATTTCTCACTCACTAAAAATAAAAGAAAGAAAAAGTCAAACAAATCCCTAAAGCAGAGAATGTCCAAAACATACCAAATAACCACCTCCTCTGGACAAAATTATTTGCGGCATCCTTTCTTAGCCTTTGCTATTTTTGCTAGGGCTCAGGGCCTCCAGGAGAGGACAGCTCTCAGCCCCAGGAGGGCTGCGTAAAGCCGCTGCACCTGTGCCGCCGCCCCCGCCGCTCCCTCTGCGTCATAATCCAGGCCTGCGGCTTGGAGCTGGCTCCCTCCTGGCTCAGAGGGATCCAAGGGCTCCCTCTGTACTTACCAGCCATTGTGGGTGCCCTTTAGAAACCATGTTCTCCCGTGGGATCCTCTTTCCCATCTCCCTGCAGCCCACCTGGGTGTACCAGATGGCTACCTGGGCATGACGCAGGCTCCTGGCTTAGCTCTCTTGCCCTCTAGACTGCAAGCTCTTTGAGACCCTTCTTTGACTCACACTGTCTCATCCTTGCTGGGTGCCAGGGACTGTGATAGACACTTTCAAACCCTTCATCTCATTCAATCCTCATGCTATATTTCTAACGCACAGTGCTGCTTTGAGATTCGTTTACCTGGTGGAGGTAAATTGGGAAATGATATTATTCCCACTTTACAGGGGAAACTGAGTCTCAGAAAACCTAGTTGGTTTGTCCAGTGTTATCATTTTTAGGTAAAATGGACTGGATTTGAAATCAAGTCTATTAAAGTCAAGTCCAGGACTATTCCTGCTAGATGACACTGATGGAAACCATAACTAATAATATTTTACAGGTACAATTTTATTTACATGTATATAGTGCTTTACAGTTTGTGAAATTTGTTTCCTAATTTTCCTCATTTCAGCTTTCACACTGTGCTATACTGTATACTCTATCTCCATCACTAACGATGTATAGAAATATAATATCCAGTATAAGAAGAGCTGTGGTGGAGGAATGCCCTGAGTGAAGCAGGGGGACAGAAGTGGGAGCAACTAATTGCCTGGAGGAGTCAGGGAAGGCTTTCTGGAGGAGGTTGCATTTGAGTTGGGCCTTGAAGGCTGAGTGAGGCATTCACCACCTGGAGAAGAGAGGACAGGCACTTCTGGCAATGGCACAGGAATGTACTCTGGTGGGTGGGCTGGCAGGTGGGAGCCAACCAGGCAGAAGAAGCAGGTTGGGGCCAGATTGTGTTGGGTTTGGACAGCCACGTGGAGAGGCTAGGCTTCTCCAGCATGGGAGGTGCCCCACTGAAAGACCGCAATACAGGCCTGTCTGATCCAGTGGCCAGGAGCTTTGAGCGCTTGAAATGTGGCTAGTGAAACTGAAGAATTCTAGATTTTGTTTAACTTTAATTAAAATGTAAACCCCGATTTCATTATTGAAAAATTTTTGCAGAATGTTTGAAACAGTACAGGCATGCGAATCGATTTTCACATGTACATTTTATGAAATCTAAATGCAGAACAAGCATTTCGGATGAAAATGTGGGGTCTGAACTGAAATATACTGTGGGTATAGGAAGCACACTGGATTTCAAACTTGAAGACTGTACAATAGCTCATTGATAATTGTTTTATATTGCTTACATGTTGAAATAATACTATTTTAGATATATAGGGTTAAGTAAGAAATATCAGGAACATTAATTTCACCTGTTTGCTTTCGCATTTTAAAATGTGGCTGCTAGAAAATTTTAAATTCCTTGTGGTAACAGTATCCCTATTGGACAGCACTGGCCTGAGATTCCAATGCTTTCAGTAGGATCTGAGAGGCCTCAGACACTGGCCTCTTAACAGCCCCTCCAGTGACTCAGATGCTGGTGGCTGGGGACCCTTCTTGGAGGAATTCTGCTTTAGAAAGGTACCTCTGAGCCAGTTGTGGAGTCTTGCACCTGTAATCCCAGCACTTTGGGAGGCAGGAGGATCACTTGAGCCCAAGAGTTTGATACCAGCTTGGTCAACATAATGAAACCCAGTCTCTACTAAAAATACAAAAATTAGCTGGGCATGGTGGCACTCGCCTGTGGTCCCAGCTAATCAGGAGGTGGAGGAGGGAGAATCACTTGAGCCTGGGAGGTTGAGGCTGCAGTGAGGCGTGAGTGTGCGACTGCACTCCAGCCTTGGGGACAGAGAGAGACTGTCTCAAAAAGAAAAAAGAAAGATCCCTCTGGGTACTGGCTGGAAGTTGGATTGAAGGTGTGGGCCTGGAGGCAGCAGGGCCGCTAGTGTCACCAGGAGGCGAGGGAAGAGGCCCAACTTCAGACGCTGAGAGACTCCCTGAGGGCTAGACAACCCCGAGCTTTCTCTTCGAGGGTCCCGGGTGCCGTCTGCCCTGTCCTGGCCACTAGACCTGGGGTGAGGGGGTAGCTAGGGGAGGGCTGGGCATGGCCCTCGGCCTTGGGGACAGATATTGGGCAGTGCTCTGGGGGAGTGAGTGTACCTCGAGGGGCTGCCGGCCCTGCTGGAAGCTGCCCTCTGGGGATTAACCCTGCACCCACTGGAGAGACCGCAGAAATGCCCCTTGGCACAGAAAGGAGCCCAACTTGGCCGCCCGTTCCTGTTCCTCCCAGGGTGAGAGCCAGGAGTGAGTGGCAGGAGCGTCACAGTAGTAAGGAGGGATTTTCTTTGTGACTCGCTCCTCCTGCCCTGATTAGCACTTAGGTCATGGAGATGAGGCTAATTTTTTGCTCTTGATTTTGCTAAAGATCCTTCGGTGATTTAGAAGCCTTTTTTTGGGGGTGGGGTGGGGTTGGGGGGGTGATACAGAGACAACAGAGCAACAAGTCTCTTTTCAGGGAAACTGTGTCTGCAGCAGATACCCTCCCCTGCCAAGCGCCCACGTCTCGCAAACCTGACACTCTCCGCCCGCCGAGGCAGGCCTGCAGAGCCTACCTTGACTATGTCCTCGTTAATGTTCTTGGGGTCTCGGTTCACCAGGTCAATCTCCTTGCAGTGGATATCCTTGACGATCTGGGCCTCGAGATCTGTGTGCTCTTCTGCCATCATCGCAGAGCTGGGGGGATCCACAGGAGGAGATCCGAGCTGTGTGGCCGGCTGGGGCTGAAAATACTTGGGGCAGAGAGACCAATTCAGTGTCCCCAGACTTATGTC
This sequence comes from Homo sapiens, assembly GCF_000001405.40. Classification (NCBI taxonomy): domain Eukaryota; kingdom Metazoa; phylum Chordata; class Mammalia; order Primates; family Hominidae; genus Homo; species Homo sapiens. The sequence goes on along the minus strand of NC_000003.12, from coordinate 8,733,771 downwards.
CCTGCCAGCTAAATAGGCCCCACCCAGCATGCCGGCTGACAGCTGTCCCACATAACTTCAGCCTGCCTCTCTCTAAAGCCTCCTGTGGCAGGCCTCCAAGCTAAAATTAAGACTGGAGCTCTTCTGGAAGGCCGATCGCTCCTTAAAGGGGGCTGCCTCAGGGCACTGGGCCTCAGGAGAGGGTGCAGAGGGCCTAGCGTTTCCTATGCATCGTGTGGCTGTGGCCAACTCGGCGGTCGCTCCGGGGCCCCTGGAATTTGCCCCACTGCTGTCAGCATTTTGGCTCCTTTGGGGTGCACTGCCCGTGGAGGGAAGTGGGGTTAGTCCCTCCTCTGCCTCTGGCTGGCTGTGTGACCTTTGGCACACTTCACCTCTCTAGGCCACTCTGTCCCCATCTGTAAAATGGAGAGATGATAATAACAATCAGGGCTCTCCTACCCAGGGAATGGCTTCAGGAGCTGGAATGCGATGTAGTGGGGCTTCTCGTTGGATTGCCAGTGCCTGGCCCTGCTGCTTGGTGACCTGGAGCAGGTCCGAGCTTTGTGGGTTTCTGAGGTTTCCACCTGGAGCAGGAGTTGATGGACTGTGGTGTGGGGCCAGGCTGGGGATGAAACAGGGAGAGGAAGCTGCTGTGGGGCTGCCCCTCGTCTGCCGTCTGGAGCCTGCACTGGGATATGCCCGGTGGGGGGAACATGAAGTCCATGTTCGTGCTACCCTTCACCCTGCCCTAGTGACAGCTTCCAGGATTTTCTTGGGTCCCAGACACTCCACATGCATCAGTGGGGTGCACCTCTCTTAGATACCTGCTCGGTTTTTCTGTGCCCTCTTCTAACTCAGCCTTCCCCTGGGCTCCAGCAGCATGAAGGATGGCAACTCTGAATCCTCAGGGGTCAGGGTCTGTGCTTCCATTTACCTGTCTATTCACTCCTTCATTCAGGATTTGCTAATAGCTGGGGATAAACAGACCAACAAGGCTCTGTCCGCCTTGAAGTGCTCCCAGTCAAGGTGGGGAGACTAATTAAAACAATAAGTGATTATAATACTGTGCGGTAAGTGCCACAGATCAGAGATATTTTACAAAGAGCTGGTCTTAGAAGTCCATAGGAGTCAGTAACTTACTCTGAGGACACCGGGGAAGACTTCCTGTGGGAGGTGGCTTTGCAGATAGGTATCGAATGACAAGCAGGAGCTCAGCACCTAGAACACTTCAAGTTACAGGATTGTGGATATTGAGGAGTGGTATAGACAGGAATGTTGAAAAGTGTGGAGTGGCTGGAGCACAGGGTGTCTGGGGTTGAGGCAGGAGATACAGCTCAGCTCAGGCCTGGGTGTGCAGCATCCCAAATGTCATACTAAAGAATGTGGATTTTGTCTAGGGGTGCTGGAAAGCCATTGAAGGCTTCAAAGCAGGACAGGGTCGGTATCAGATTTGTGTGTGAGGAAGCTCCCTGGTGGCCAGGTGGAGGGTGGATTGGAGCTGGGTGAAGTTTGAGGTAGGAGGGGGAAAACCAGAGGTGATTTAGGCTTTATCAATAATTACACCTGGCTAGTAACACAAAGGATGCAAAAGTAATAGTGACTTGAATAAGGTAGGAACTTTTTTTCTCACTTAACACAAGTAGTTCAGAAATATTATAGTGGCTCCATGATGTCTTCAGACATCTGGACTCCCATCCTTCTGTTCTGCTAGCCCGAAAGCCACCTCATAGGCACAAGATGTCTACTGCTCCTCCAATCATCATCTCTGAGTCTGGATAAGAAGAAAGAGGAAGGGGCAGGGACAAGAAACGACATCTGCGAACTGAGTCGGCTCTGTTATAAAGCTTTGTTAGAAGTCCAACCCAACTACTTCTGTTTATATCTCATTGGTCACTCCTGTCTTGGCAAACGATGATGGAACTGTAGGTTTTTTAGCTTGAGCACATTTTCGGCACCCCCACAGTGTTACTAGGGATAAATGGTGGGCAACCAGAAAACTGTCCCTAAGTCGCTTAGGATTAAGAGGTAACTTTTTTTGTTGCTTTTCCATTCCCTTGCCTGGGTCCCCAGGTCCCCCTGGTCCCAGGTACATGAATATTCTGCAAAGAGATTGTAACAAAAAAAAAGAACATTGCTGCTTGTATTCACAAGGGACGTGGCAGGGATCTAAGCCTGAGCTTAAGCTTTGTGCACCGTAGAACCAGATATGTCTGGTGAAAGGTGGGCCAGCTAATGGCAGTCTTGTCGCCAGGGATGGAAGAGCCACCTAGAAGAACTCATCATCCTAAAGGGGAAGTAATAATAACGACATAGTAATAATGATTATGGAAGGCCATCTTTTCCAAAGATGATGAGATTGACACTCCTTCCACCAAGAGGGAGGGTCTGTGTTCCCTCCCTGGCTGGCTTCCTGGCTCTCTCCTCTCAGGATTCTTGCTCTTGGACCTCAGTCACCACGCTGGGAGGAAGTCCACACCAGCCTATGTGGGAAAACCACATAGAGAGGAGCTGAGGCTCCAGCTGTCAACCAACATCAGCATCAGGCATGAGGGTGAACAAAGTTTTGGATGTTCCCAGTCGCCAGTCTTCAAGTCATCCCCAACCTTCCTGTCTTCCAGCTGAAGCCTCAGACACCATGAAACAGAGAAACTGTCTTCTCTGTGTCCTGTTTGAATATCTAAACCACACAGTTCATGATCATAATCATTTTTTTATGTCACTGGAATTTGGGGGAGCTTGTTTCACAACCATAGTCACTGGATCAATGAGCGCTAATGGCAATAGCAACTACTGTTTGTTGAGAATCATTATGTGCTTGGCTTCCTTCCTAGGCATCCTTGGTGTGTGTAAGGAGGCTCATTTGTTATCTGAAAGGGTCAGTGCCCCTAGCTGGTGATCGGTGCTGAGGGCCAAGGGAGTGGAGCAACTAACACACATTGTGGATTTCACAGGAAGGAAGTGTACTTCAGCTGGGCCAGAAGGATGAGTGGACTCAGAGAGGCAGAGAGGAAAGGGCCAGATGCCAGAGGCAGAGAAAGGGTCATCTCTCACTTTCTTATGACAATTGTATTTCTAAAAACCTCACTGGTGAAAAGAGCACTGAAGCCGGGAACCATTAGTTGTTTCTTGGCCCTATCGTGAAGCAACTCTGAGCCCCCTCTCTGAGGCCTGGGGTCCTTGTCAAGTTTGGATGGTAAAACCTGCCTGTATTCCCCACGCATGAGTCTGTGCCCCCGCACTCAGTGGGAAAACCTAATGGGGCACCAGAGGGGCTGTGTACTCACAGAAAAAATGTTACGAAGAGAACGTACTGACAGATGAAACTTTCAAGTCAACCCTGGGGTGATGCAGCTAACAAGAGAAAGCAATTAAGGAGAGAGAGTGGCTTTCCGGAGCCCATTTTGTATCTGGGGTTTTATAGAGGACACAGCGTTCTTATTTCAAAGGATTTTTGTCGTTGTTGTTGTTATTTGGCTTGCCAGGGAAAAGAGAGAGAAAAGAATTTTGAAAATGGGATGTGCAGGAAGACACATTTGTGGAGGGTCCAAAGGGGAAGTAATGGGAAAGGGAAAGATTTACATGAGCTGAGTCACTAAGAAAGTAATGGTACCATGGACTGAAAACTCAGTGAGCTAACAAGTCTAGGGCTACTGTTAACAAGCAAGATTGATCACTCATGCAAATGTTTCCAAGGCTAGTAACTCTAGAATGATCAGCAGGAAAGGAAGCTTTTTTTTGTTTTTCCTACAAGTTTTAGATCTGGATTGAGAGCTTCTGTTTTCTTCATGACTTGGCTTTTGGGGTCTGCATTTAGAAAACAAATCACAGTATGCTCGAGCTCGAAGAGACCCAGCTTTTCCATTTTACAGATGTAGAAACCGAGGGCCCAAAAATCTCAGTTGGTGGACTGGAGAGCTTGGGATTTGGAGACAGAACTGCTATATGTCCATGAGCAGGCCACTCCCTCCCAAACTTTGGTTTACTCACCTATATAATGAGCATAACGGACCATCTTTTCCTACCATGAGGGATCTGGGAGATTTTTGGAATGGGTTCCAAAATAGACAGAGTGATCTTAGGATGCATCAATAGAGATGAACACTCTAGAATAATGGAGGTGACTGTCCTACTCAACTGTGCACTGGTCAGACTACGCTTGGAGGTCTAGTGGGGCTCCATGCTTGAAGAGGGGTGTTGGGAAACTAGATCATCTCTATAGAGGAAGGAAGCTCCTTTAAGAAAGAGCTTGAAACATGTCTTGTGAGAAACAGACAATTTTGGGTTCTAAAGAGAAGACTCAGAGAGAGGGACGGAAGAACTTTCCTCAAATCTCTGAAGGCATAAGGGATGAGATTTATTCTGGGAGGTCCCAAGGACTGGTGAGTAAGTGGCAGACTTTCGCTTGACTCAACCCAGGGCCTGGGTCATCGTTGGCCCCACTGATAATGATAGCTGATATAGTTCTCGGTAAGGGTACCAGGAAGGACTGCCTCAAAGTTTCCCAGAGATATAATAGACTGCTTCCGAAAGGGGCTGGCTTCCTGGGTCCAGAAACATTAAGGTAGAAGAGTGAAAGGGAACCAAGAGCTAAAAAAGGAGAAGAACAGGGCAAACTGTAGGACCATATAGTAAATCTTTCAGGCAGGACTGGCTATATAAGTTGAGGGGTCCAGAGAAAAACAAAAATTCAGCTCTTGTTTAAAAATGATTAAAAATTTCAACATGGTGAAATCAAGCTGTGGCATCTCCCAAGCATGGGGCCCTATGGGTTGCACTGCCCTGGTTTCAGATTTCGTGGGCCATGTGGTCTCTGTCGCGACTACTCACCTCTGCCCTTGTAGCTCAAAAGCTGCTGTAGAAAATGCGTAAATGAAGGGGCTATGGTTGTGTCTCAGTAAAACTTTATTTACAAAAATAAGTGGCAGCCAGATTGTAAAAACACGATTTTGGCTCATGGGCTGTATGCAGTTTGCAGACCCTGTGTAGAGTCCTGGGTCATCAGAGCCGTCTTGGGCTGGTGCTGTCCCGAGCCATGTCTGGACGGCCTCGGTTTCACGTTCGAGCCAGTACAGACTCGCTCTCCTTACCTACTTCTCCCACCTGGGGGAAAATAGCTCTGAGTTGAGTCCCATATCTAACTGGGATTCCTTCCACCCGACTTGATTATCCATCAGACAATGAGAATGAGTAAGTGAACCCCAAGTTGCCATACTCCCCTCCAAGAGCAGATGCCAGGACAGGGGAGACTGGCCCTTGCCATACTCAGGTAGAACCTGCTTTGCTTCCCAGGTGAAAGAAAAGAGATGGAAAATTTTCCAGCCTTCAGGACCAACAGTGAAAACTCCCTGTTCAGAGACCATGCTGGAGCAGGCTCTGGGGAAGGGGCGTGTATTCTTGTGGGTGGGAACAGCGTTTGCTGTTTACTTTCAGCAAGGCCCAGGGTGGGCCTCAGTCTCTGAGAATATCAGGTGCTTTGGCATTCAGAACGTCTTCATGAATTCACAGAGTCCTGACACTTGGGCGGGGCTCTCTGGGCTGGGGTTTCTGCATGTCTCTTTGAGCTCTGTGATGTATACCCCAGACCAAATGGATGTTCCAGAGACTGGGTGCCCTGAAGATGAGCCCTTGGTTCTGTCTGCAACCTCATTCTGCAGAATTCTTGAGGGGTGAGGATGAGAGATAAGTCATCATTTCTCCTTGTCTCTGTCTACTTAGCCTCCCAGAGGATCTTGGTTTGAGTCAAAAAGAGCTGGCTTCAATTTCATCTGGCCTAAGCCTCAGATGTGAGCCACACACGCTGCCCTAGAGATTCAGAGCACGCCCCACCTCATACACCACACTGCCTTTTTTGAAAACAGGTTGAACTCAACTCTTCTGCATTGAGGGAAGCTTTCCAGGGGCTATATTTTCATTCAACACATAGTGACTTCATGCTGGTGTTTTTCCTAGGCTCAGTGGATGGGAAACAAAGATGAATAATGCATGATTTCAACAAACGCTTACTGGGTGTGCAGCACATAGCAGATGCTGAGGATAAAACAGTGAAGAAGACTTGAACCCTGACCTGGTAGATTGCACAGTTCTGCTGGGGAGGCAGACAAGAAAAAACAGTGATGAACAGAGGGCCTGGCACGCTGCCTGCTGGGGTAGGCAGGTGGCAAACACTGGGAGGAAGCCCTAGGATCACGGACGGACATGGCTCCTGCCTGGGAGGATTTCCCAGTCTCGTAGGGAATGAGGGAGGCCCTTGAGCACCCCCAGATCCCTGCAGCGTGTGCTGAAGTTCCATCGAGTCAGTGGGGGAGGTGAACACTGCCCCAGAGCACTGGGTGTTGGCCTCTGGGGAACAGAGAGAGGGAGCTTGGGGAACAGACAGAGGAAGTTGGAGGGTCATTTTCTTGCAGGGAAATAATTATTGCCCTCCTTCCCTGCGATTTGTAGAGGAGGGCAGCTTTTAGGAATAATGGTGTGTTAGGGGTTGAACTGTATTCCCTCAAAAGCTGTAGAAGTCCTGACCTCCAGTACCTGTGAATAGGACCTTATTTGGAAATAGGATCTCTGCAGATGATCAGAGTTAAGATGAAGCTATTAAGTCATTGAGGTTGGCTGGAATCCAATATGACTGGTAATATTAGATTCCAGCCAATATAATATTCTTATAAAATGGGGAAATTTGAATATATAGACACATACACACACACAAACACACACACACACACACACACACACACACACAAAACACAATGTGAAGATTGGAGTTCTGCTGCCACAAGCCAGGGAACTACCAGCAGCTCAGAGAGAGGCCTAGAATCGAGCCTACCCTGGCGCCCTCAGAGGCAGCATGACTGCCCACCTTGATCTCGGATGTCCAGCCTCCAGAACTGTGGGACAATCCATTTCTGCTATGTAAGCCCCGAGTCGGTGGTCATGGCAACCCTAGCAAACTAATACATGCTAGAAGGACCCAAACTTCTAACTGTATTCGTTTCCTATTGCTCCTGTAATAACCATAAATGTATCTTAAAATAACACAGATCTATTATCTTACAGTTCTACAGGTCATGAGTCCTCAAATCAAGGCATCAGCAGGGCTGCATTCCTTCTGGAGGTTCTAGGGGAGAATCTATGGCCTTACCTTTTCTAGCTTTCAGAGGTCACCTGTGTTCCTTCTTCCATCTCCAAAGGGCATCCTTTCAACCTCTGCTCCAAATCAGGAGCTGTGATCCAGGTTCTCACCTCCTCTCTGCCTTTTCTGTTCCCCGTCAATCCCACACTTTTGGTCAACCAGGGGTTCCTGTGCTTCTTGCCTGTTGGCTGTGAGTTCCTTGATTCCTTTCCAGCCCACAGCCACTGGCTCCGTGGAAATCCTGGGGCCCCATCTCTAGGGCTGTCCATCCAGATAGTGAAGACACTGCTGGTCCCCAGCTGAGCAGAACCTGCTGGTCAGCCAACATGCAGCTGGCGCCCAAACTCACTTTCCCTCCCTCTCTTTCTATGTGTGTGTCATGTTTGCAGCTGAGAAGCAGATGGGGGGCTTTATTTAAGGGGGAATTTCCAACTGCCAGTGCTCTCTGGGAATAGTACAGGGTAGGGTCCTAGGGTAGCTCACTTGAAGAGGGCAGGATCCTGTAGATCTTAAGAGCTTGGGCTTTTGATTCAATTGACCTGAGAGAATCTGCTAGTCATAAGGTGTATGACCTTGAGCCTCAGTTTACTTGCCTGTAAAATAGGAATGATAATAATAGGATGATGTGAGGACCATGTCAGGCTCACAAACTGAAATGCCCTCAAGGTAAATGAATGACACAGGCCAGGCGGAAGACACCCACAGCCTCATTGATCATCTCTTTTTTGATAGACATGGCGATGAGAAACACACCTTTCTTTTGAGCTATAGGAAAACCGACAGGGCAATCATTACCATAAGAATCAGGGGCTGGGCACGGTGGCTCATGCCTGTAATCCTTGCACTTTGGGAGACAGAGGCAGGCGAATCACCTGAGATCAGGAGTTCAAGGCCAGCCTGGCCAATATGGTGAAACCCTGTCTCTACTAAAAATACAAAAATTAGCCGGGCGTGGTGGCGCATGCCTGTAGTCCCAGCTACTCGGGAGGCTGAGGCAGGAGAATCGCTTGAACCTGGGAGACAGAGGTTGCAGTGAGCTGAGATTGTGCCACTGGCCACTGCACTCCAGCCTGGGTGACACAGCAAGACTCCGTCTCAAAAAAAAAAAAAAAAAAAAAAAATTCAGGGATGCCCAGCCTCAGTGTGGGGAGACAACAAGGAGAAGTGGGGACTGTGGAAAATCGGAGATCACATGCCCAGCTCACTCCAAGAGGAGTGGGGGTTGCAAATCCAGGGATGGGGCAGAATGGCCCAGCCTGAGAGGGGACCTGTAGTCTGGGGCTGTGACCTCATGGGCTTTAAAGAATTTCAATGCCCAGGCCACACCCCAGACCAGTGATAGCAGAATGTCTGGGTTAGAACCCGGGCACCTGTAATTTTTAAAGCTCCCCTCCAGTGATTTCCTAGTTTTAGAACCACTGTCTGGCAGTGGGGAGGAGGCGGTCAGACCATGGGGCTCCCAGGTGGTTGGGCCAGGGAGAGACTGAGGGAAAGAAGGAGTTGTTGGTGGGATTTGGGGGTGGAGCACCATCTGTCTGCCCTGCAGTGCGACTCCTCACCATCTTCATAAAAGCTTCACAAGTTCAACATGCCTGTTGTCATTGGATTCTGGAAAAGGGGCTGAGTTTAGCATCAAATGATGGGGGAGGGAGGCTGGAACAGCTACTGTGAATAAGAAGAGCGGCTGCTTCGGGGGGAGGAGAAGGCTGATATTCTTGTGGCATTGCCTAGTTGTGGTGGGTCTTTCACGGGGAAAAACACAACCTTTTTCAAAATCCAGGCAAGAAAAGTTTACAGAATGTGCATCTACACAGTGTGGGGCTTGCAATGCCACACTGAATCCTGGTGGATTGAAAATTAGAAAGACAGAGCCTTTGGGAGTTACAGAGTAAGCAACTGACATTAGGAGCAAATGTGCAGGGTTAGCTGCCAAGGACCTGAAATGAAATAAAATGCCTCAACCACCTCCAGCTTGGTCAACTCTAGCTTAAAGTTCAACCCTGCCTCAAAGGAGATGAAGATAATGGCATGTGTAGAAAATGACTGTCAGAAGTTTAATAGAATGTTTAAACAAATGGGATCTTGGTCACCTCAAGGAAAAGCTGTGAGACATTCAATCGGATCATTAAATAGAGGCAGTGAAGGAGAATGACTCATTAGGTTGCATATATCTGATGAACTTGGCACCTCTGCCAGGTAAATAAAAATTACTCTCATGGAAACAAAACTTTTGTGGTTTGCTATTGGTCTTTATTTTGTTTTGCTCAGATATGTGAGGCTCTCCCCGTAATATTTCATTTCCACATGCTGTAGGGTTGGTGTGGGGTTTAAGAGAAGTTTTAATTTTTGTCAGCTTGCATATTTACCTCCATTGTTTATTTGTGTGTGGTAATGTAGGAGGCATTCATTTTATTAGGGAAAATGCAATGTCACTTTTTTTTTTTTGAGACAGGGTCTTGCTCTGTCGCCCAGGCTGGAGTGCAGTGGTGCACTCATGGCTCACTGTAGCCTTGACCTCCTGGGCTTGAATGATCCTCCCACCCCAGCCTCCCAAGTAGTTGGGACCATGGGCGCATACCACCATACTCAGCTAATTTCTTTTTTTTCTTCTTTTTTTTTTTCAATCTTTTTGTAGAGAGGAGGTCTTGCCATGTTGCCCAGGTCGGTCTTGAACCCCTGGGCTCAAGTGATTTTCCTGCCTTGGCCTCCCAATGTGCTGGGATTACAGATGGGAGCCACTGTGCCTGGCTGCAATGTCATTTTAATAGACCTTAATTTTATCTTTGTTTAGTGGACCAGGTAGAATGGTCCTGCTGTGTGGTTTCCTGCAGCCAAGGGGGCTGGGGAAGGAGGTGGTAGGGTTGGGGAAAAGAAGCAGGAAGTAGGCGTCTGGCTCTGCAGAGGTGAGGAGGAGAAAGTGGCTCTGCGGTTGGTGCATGGAGACCAATGGAAATGGAAGAAAGCTTGCAAACTGAGCAAGGAGGGTAGAGCCAGAATAAAGGAAGCAACATGGAGGGAGAAGCAAAGCCTCATAACCCACCCCAGGCAGGCTTGCTGGAGTGCCATGGATTTAACTAATGGGTTGGGACAGGACAATCTTTTCTTTAATAGAGCTAGGTTAACTGGGAATAATTGAGCCCATGGAATTTTCAAGGTTTCTGACCATATGTTCTGAAGATTTCACTGTACGAACCCCTCCAGAGACCAAAAGGAACTTGTGGAAGACACTCATTCCTAGGAAATGAATAAGAATTAGGAATAAGTTGTTGTTGTGAATTTAGCTTTTGGAACAGGGCCTGGCACCCAGTAGAGACTCTATAGATACTTGTTGATTGACTGCATGAAGGTAAGGTCACACTGATTCATATATGGAGTGAATAAATGGAGATAATTTCACACTGATTCATATCTGGAAAGAAAATTAGAGCAGAAGTGCTCAACCGAGAAATTCTGTGAATGAAGAATGTTGGAAAAAATTGTGCCTTGTTGTATGTGTTCATGCGAGCTATTCAGGTTTGAACCCCTGGCATCTCTGCATTTGTTTCTCATGGAGAGAAGAAGACAAGGATTGTGAATGTGGGCCTGGCTCCAATCAAGGTGAATGTCTGCTCCAAGAGCAGGGAGGTGGCTGACAGCCAATCCGCTTTGCATGTGCTGCCTCTTGGTTCTTCCAAAGCTGGGGTGGCTATTCCTATGCATATGTAATGACTCGTGTCACAGGGGAGTCAAGAAGTCCCGGCAGCTTTCAGCTGGATTCTGAATACTTTTGAATTGATATTTAAGGCCATCATATTTACATTAAACACAGAAAATCTTGAGATTTGTGTTTTTGAAAAGATGAGGTATACATTGGGTCGTATAAATTTGGATTCCTCCTAGCTTTTACTTACTCAGTGTGACTTCAGGCAAGTTACTTAATCTCACCATGTGTCACTTTCCTCCTCTGTAAAATGGGGTGATTGTTTCCCAAGTCACAGGATTAAGGGAGTAACCCCATGAGTTAACGAATGTAAAGTACTTATAACAGTGGCGGGGAGTCCAGGTATTAGTTAGTATTGTTATTAGTTGGTTCTTGCACTGCTGTAAAGAAATACCGGAGACTGGGTAATTTATAAAGAAAAGAGGTTTAATTGGCCCATGGTTCTGCAGGCTGTACAGGAAGCATAGCAGCAGCAGCTTCTGGGGAGGCCTCAAGGAACTTACAATCATGGTGGAAGGCAAAGGGGGAGCAGACGTCTTACATGGCAGGAGCAGGAGGAAGAGAGAGAAGAAGGGGAGGTGCCACACACTTTTTAACAAGCAGATATCACGAGAACTCACTCACTATCTCAACACAGCACCAAGGGGAAAATCTGACCCCCGTGATCCAATCACCTCCCACCAGGCCCTACCTCCAACATTGCAATGGGATTACATTTCTATGTGAGATTACATTATGTGAGATTACATGTAATCTATGTGAGATTAAACGTAATGGGATTACATTTCTATATGGGTGGGGACACAGATCCAAACCATATGAGTATTGTTGTTCTGTTTTTTTTTTTGTTTTTTTGTTTTTTTGTTTTTTTTTTCTTTTATTAGTATACTTTAAGTTTTAGGGTACATGTGCACATTGTGCAGGTTAGTTACATATGTATACATGTGCCATGCTGGTACGCTGCACCCACTAACTCGTCATCTAGCATTAGGTATATCTCCCAATGCTATCCCTCCCCCCTCCCCCCACCCCACAACAGTCCCCAGAGTGTGATGTTCCCCTTCCCGTGTCCATGTGTTCTTATTGTTCAATTACCACCTATGAGTGAGAATATGCGGTGTTTGGTTTTTTGTTCTTGTGATAGTTTACTGAGAATGATGATTTCCAATTTCATCCATGTCCCTACAAAGGACATGAACTCATCATTTTTTATGGCTGCATAGTATTCCATGGTGTATATGTGCCACATTTTCTTAATCCAGTCTATCATTGTTGGACATTTGAGTTGGTTCCAAGTCTTTGCTATTGTGAATAGTGCCGCAATAAACATACGTGTGCATGTGTCTTTATAGCAGCATGATTTATAGTCCTTTGGGTATATACCCAGTAATGGGATGGCTGGGTCAAATGGTATTTCTAGTTCTAGATCCCTGAGGAATCGCCACACTGACTTCCACAATGGTTGAACTAGTTTACAGTCCCACCAACAGTGTAAAAGTGTTCCTATTTCTCCACATCCTCTCCAGCACCTGTTGTTTCCTGACTTTTTAATGATTGCCATGCTAACTGGTGTGAGATGGTATCTCATTGTGGTTTTGATTTGCATTTCTCTGATGGCCAGTGATGGTGAGCATTTTTTCATGTGTTTTTTGGCTGCATAAATGTCTTCTTTTGAGAAGTGTCTGTCCATGTCCTTTGCCCACTTTTTGATGGGGTTGTTTGTTTTTTTCTTGTAAATTTGTTGGAGTTCATTGTAGATTCTGGATATTAGCCCTTTGTCAGATGAGTAGGTTGCGAAAATTTTCTCCCATTTTGTGGGTTGCCTGTTCACTCTGATGGTAGTTTCTTTTGCTGTACAGAAGCTCTTTAGTTTAATTAGATCCCATTTGTCAATTTTGTCTTTTGTTGCCATTGCTTTTGGTGTTTTAGACATGAAGTCCTTGCCCATGCCTGTGTCCTGAATGGTATTGCCTAGGTTTTCTTCTAGGGTTTTTATGGTTTTAGGTCTAACGTTTAAGTCTTTAATCCATCTTGAATTGATTTTTGTATAAGGTGTAAGGAAGGGATCCAGTTTCAGCTTTCTACATATGGCTAGCCAGTTTTCCCAGCACCATTTATTAAATAGGGAATCCTTTCCCCATTGCTTGTTTTTCTCAGGTTTGTCAAAGATCAGACAGTTGTAGATATGTGGCATTATTTCTGAGGGCTCTGTTCTGTTCCATTGATCTATATCTCTGTTTTGGTCCCAGTACCATGCTGTTTTGGTTACTGTAGCCTTGTAGTATAGTTTGAAGTCAGGTAGTGTGATGCCTCCAGCTTTGTTCTTTTGGCTTAGGATTGACTTGGCGATGCGGGCTCTTTTTTGGTTCCATATGAACTTTAAAGTAGTTTTTTCCAATTCTGTGAAGAAAGTCATTGGTAGCTTGATGGGGATGGCATTGACTCTGTAAATTACCTTGGGCAGTATGGCCATTTTCACGATATTGATTCTTCCTACCCATGAGCATGGAATGTTCTTCCATTTGTTTGTATCCTCTTTTATTTCCTTGAGCAGTGGTTTGTAGTTCTCCTTGAAGAGGTCCTTCACATCCCTTGTAAGTTGGATTGCTAGGTATTTTATTCTCTTTGAAGCAATTGTGAATGGGAGTTCACTCATGATTTGGCTCTCTGTTTGTCTGTTGCTGGTGTATAGGAATGCTTATGATTTTTGTACATTGATTATATATCCTGAGACTTTGCTGAAGTTGCTTATCAGCTTAAGGAGATTTTGGGCTGAGACAATGGGGTTTTCTAGATATACAATCATGTCATCTGCAAAGAGGGACAATTTGACTTCCTCTTTTCCTAATGAATACCCTTTATTTCCTTCTCCTGCCTAATTGCCCTGGCCAGAACTTCAACACTATGTTGAATAGGAGTGGTGAGAGAAGGCATCCCTGTCTTGTGCCAGTTTTCAAAGGGAATGCTTCCAGTTTTTGCCCATTCAGTATGATATTGGCTGTGGGTTTGTCATAGATAGCTCTTATTATTTTGAAATACGTCCCATCAATACCTAATTTATTGAGAGTTTTTAGCATGAAGGGTTGTTGAATTTTGTCAAAGGCCTTTTCTGCATCTATTGAGATAATCATGTGGTTTTTGTCTTTGGCTCTGTTTATATGCTGGATTACATTTATTGATTTGCGTATATTGAACCAGCCTTGCATCCCAGGGATGAAGCCCACTTGATCATGGTGGATAAGCTTTTTGATGTGCTGCTGGATTCGTTTTGCCAATATTTTATTGAGGATTTTTGCATCAACGTTCATCAAGGATATTGGTCTAAAATTCTCTTTTTTGGTTGTGTCTCTGCCAGCCTTTGGTATCAGGATGATGCTGGCCTCATAAAATGAGTTAGGGAGGATTCCCTCTTTTTCTATTGATTGGAATAGTTGTAGAAGGAATGGTACCAGTTCCTCCTTGTACCTCTGGTAGAATTCGGCTGTGAATCCATCTGGTCCTGGACTCTTTTTGGTTGGTAAGCTATTGATTATTGCCACAATTTCAGAGCCTGTTATTGGTCTATTCAGAGATTCAACTTCTTCCTGGTTTAGTCTTGGGAGAGTGTATGTGTCAAGGAATTTATCCATTTCCTCTAGATTTTCTAGTTTATTTGCGTAGAGGTGTTTGTAGTATTCTCTGATGGTAGTTTGTATTTCTGTGGGATCAGTGGTGATATCCCCTTTATCATTTTTTATTGCGTCTATTTGATTCTTCTCTCTTTTTTTCTTTATTAGTCTTGCTGGTGGTCTATTTTGTTGATCCTTTCAAAAAACCAGCTCCTGGATTCATTAATTTTTTGAAGGGTTTTTGTGTCTCTATTTCCTTCAGTTCTGCTCTGATTTTAGTTATTTCTTGCCTTCTGCTAGCTTTTGAATGTGTTTGCTCTTGCTTTTCTAGTTCTTTTAATTGTGATGTTAGGGTGTCAATTTTGGATCTTTCCTGCTTTCTCTTGTGGGCATTTAGTGCTATAAATTTCCCTCTACACGCTGCTTTGAATGCGTCCCAGAGATTCTGGTATGTTGTGTCTTTGTTCTCATTGGTTTCAAAGAACATCTTTATTTCTGCCTTCATTTTGTTATGTACCCAGTAGTCATTCAGGAGCAGGTTGTTCAGTTTCCATGTAGTTGAGTGGTTTTGAGTGAGATTCTTAATCCTGAGTTCTAGTTTGATTGCACTGTCGTCTGAGAGATAGTTTGTTATAATTTCTGTTCTTTTACATTTGCTGAGGAGAGCTTTACTTCCAAGTATGCGGTCAATTTTGGAATAGGTGTGGTGTGGTGCTGAAAAAAATGTATATTCTGTTGATTTGGGGTGGAGAGTTCTGTAGATGTCTATTAGGTCTGCTTGGTGCAGAGCTGAGTTAATTCCTGGGTATCCTTGTTGACTTTGTGTCTCATTGATCTGTCTAATGTTGACAGTGGGGTGTTAAAGTCTCCCATTATTAATGTGTGGGAGTCTAAGTCTCTTTGTAGGTCACTCAGGACTTCCTTTACGAATCTGGGTGCTCCTGTGTTGGGTGCATATATATTTAGGATAGTTAGCTCTTCTTGTTGAATTGATCCCTTTACCATTATGTAATGGCCTTCTTTGTCTCTTTTGATCTTTGTTGGTTTAAAGTCTGTTTTATCAGAGACTAGGATTGCAACCCCTGCCTTTTGTTGTTTTCCATTTGCTTGGTAGATCTCCTTCCATCCTTTTATTTTGAGCCTATGTGTGTCTCTGCATGTGAGATGAGTTTCCTGAATACAGCACACTGATTGGTCTTGACTCTTTATCCAATTTGCCAGTCTGTGTCTTTTAATTGGAGCATTTAGTCCATTTACATTTAAAGTTAATATTGTTATGTGTGAATTTGGTCCTGTCATGATGATGTTAGCTGGTTATTTTGCTCGTTAGTTGATGCAGTTTCTTCCTAGTCTCGATAGTCTTTACATTTTGGCATGATTTTGCAGTGGCTGGTACTGGTTGTTCCTTTCCATGTTTAGCGCTTCCTTCAGGAGCTCTTTTAGGGCAGGCCTGGTGGTGACAAAATCTCTCAGCATTTGCTTGTCTGTAAAGTATTTTATTTCTCCTTCACTTATGAAGCTTAGTTTGGCTGGATATGAAATTCTGGGTTGAAAATTCTTTCCTTTAAGAATGTTGAATATTGGCCCCCACTCTCTTCTGGCCTGTAGGGTTTCTGCCAAGAGATCTGCTGTTAGTCTGATGGGCTTCCCTTTGAGGGTAATCCGACCTTTCTCTCTGGCTGCCCTTAACATTTTTTCCTTCATTTCAACTTTGGTGAATCTGACAATTATGTGTCTTGGAGTTGCTCTTCTCGAGGAGTATCTTTGTGGCGTTCTCTGTATTTCCTGAATCTGAACATTGGTCTGCCTTGCTAGATTGGGGAAGTTCTGGACGATATCCTGCAGAGTGTTTTCCAACTTAGTTCCATTCTCCCCGTCACTTTCAGGTACACCAATGAGACGTAGATTTGGTCTTTTCACATAGTCCCATATTTCTTGGAGGCTTTGCTTATTTCTTTTTATTCTTTTTTCTCTAAACTTCCCTTCCCACTTCATTTCATTCATTTCATCTTCCATTGCTGATACCCTTTCTTCCAGTTGATGGCATCGGCTCCTGAGGCTACTGCATTCTTTACGTAGTTCTCGAGCCTTGGTTTTCAGCTCCATCAGCTCCTTTAAGCACTTCTCCGTATTGGTTATTCTAGTTATACATTCTTCTAAATTTTTTTCAAAGTTTTCAACTTCTTTGCCTTTGGTTTGAATGTCCTCCCGTAGCTCAGAGTAATTTGATCATCTGAAGCCTTCTTCTCTCAGCTCGTCAAAGTCATTCCCCCTCCAGCTTTGTTCCGTTGCTGGTGAGGAACTGCGTTCCTTTGGAGGAGGAGAGGCGCTCTGCTTTTTAGAGTTTCCAGTTCTTCTGTTCTGTTTTTTCCCCATCTTTGTGGTTTTATCTACTTTTGGTCTTTGATGATGGTGATGTACAGATGGGTTTTTGGTGTGGATGTCCTTTCTGGTTGTTAGTTTTCCTTCTAACAGACAGGACCCTCAGCTGCAGGTCTGTTGGAGTACCCTGCCGTGTGAGGTGTCAGTGTGCCCCTGTTGGCAGGTGCCTCCCAGTTAGGCTGCTCGGGGGTCAGGGGTCAGGGACCCACTTGAGGAGGCAGTCTGCCTGTTCTCAGATCTCCAGCTGGGTGCTGGGAGAACCACTGCTCTCTTCAAAGCTGTCAGACAGGGACATTTAAGTCTGCAGAGGTTACTGCTGTCTTTTTGTTTGTCTGTGCCCTGCTCCCAGAGGTGGAGCCTACAGAGGCAGGCAGGCCTCCTTGAGCTGTGGTGGGCTCCACCCAGTTGGAGCTTCCCGGCTGCTTTGTTTACCTAATCAAGCCTGGGCAATGGCGGGCCCCCCTCCCCCAGCCTCGCTGCCGCCTTGCAGTTTGATCTCAGACTGCTGTGCTAGCAATCAGCGAGATTCCGTGGGGTAGGACCCTCCGAGCCAGGTGCGGGATATAATCTCGCGGTGCGCCGTTTTTTAAGCCCGTCGGAAAAGCACAGTATTCGGGTGGGAGTGACCCGATTTTCCAGGTGCCGTCCGTCACCCCTTTCTTTGACTCGGAAAGGGAACTCCCTGACCCCTTGTGCTTCCCGAGTGAGGCAATGCCTCACCCTGCTTCGGCTCGCGCAAGGTGCGCGCACCCGCTGACCTGCGCCCACTGTCTGGCACTCCCTAGTGAGATGAACCCGGTACCTCAGATGGAAATGCAGAAATCACCCGTCTTCTGCGTCGCTCACGCTGGGAGCTGTAGACCGGAGCTGTTCCTATTCGGCCATCTTGGCTCCTCCCCCCGTTTTTTTGGTTTTTTTTGAGACAGAGTCTCACTCTGTTGCCCAGGCTGGAATACAGTAGCATGATATTGGCTCACTGCAGCCTCTGCCTCCTGGGTTGAAGCAATACTCCCACTTCAACCTCCTAAGTCGCTCCTAAGTAGGCATGCACTAACATGCCTGTCTAATTAAAATTTTTTTTTTTTTGTAGACGGTCTCACTCTGTTGCTCACTGACGCTGGTCTTGATCTTCTGGGCTCAAGCAGTCTTCTCACCTCAGCCTCCCAAAGTGCTGGGATCACAGACGTGAGCTACCGATCCCAGCTACCATTGTTCTTAATCAATGGTATCAATGTTTTTTTAAATGGAGGAAGAGGTAACATTTGCCAGTTATATCTTTGTTGAATGCACGGGCTCTGAGGATTAGACACCAGGCATTGTGCTAAACACATCGTATCCGCTGTCACTGGATCGCCACCATGACTCTCAGAAGAAGGTGGGTGCTACTGAGGTTCAGAGAGGTGCAGTACTGTGCCTGCTGGAACACAGCTGCTAAGCAGTGGTGCTGGAATTTGATTGCAGTGAGGCCAAGGCTTTTCCTTAGGCCTCAGGGTGGTTCTGAAAGGGATCAGGATGACCTGTGGTTTACAACTGAGACGACCTTTGGGTGGGGAGTAGGGATCAGCCTGTGGGAGTGGGGATCCATGTGCTGGATTCCTCTTGGGTGGAGGGGCCTCACTTGGAGTGTGAGATTGGGGATCATGGCTTTAATTGGGCAAGCAGTCTCTAGACTGTCACCTTGGTAAGTCAGTTCCTCCTGGTGGAGAGGGGGCAGCTCTTGGAGCTGCAGCCAGGAGGAAAGTTGCTTGGGTGAGGTCCAGGTGGGCAGAGCTGAAACCAATGTGGTCAGGAGCCCAGAAGGCAGAGCATCAAAGGAGCCCAGGGCATCAAAGCTGCCATGTGTGGGACTAGGGCCGGCAAGAGGGCACAGTGGTGGAAGCGGCAGCAGTGGCCACCAGTGTCTGGGGTCAAATTTAAAACAATCATCAAAAACACCAACCCCTGAAGCCCTCAGGTGTTGGTTGATGGTAAGATATTTTTGAACCCAGGTGAGATTCCCTTGGGGGAGTCCTGGAAATTGGGACGCAGGTCCCGGTGGAGGGAGGGCCTACATTCAGCAAAACCAGGCAGTAGCAGAGAAACATGGTAGGTATCTTTTCCCCATTTCACAGATCAAGAAATAAAGGCCCGGAGAATTGTAGCAACCTGCTCAAGGTTGATCTGGTAGACAGTGGAAGAACTTGCTCATTAATTCAAGCACCACATGTTTTCCATCTTTTGAATTGGCCATTAATCCATTCAGCAGGATTGTAGACTCAGAGTAATACGCGGATCTAAGCAGGATAGAGTGGCAGGGTAGAGGGGTAGGGACACGAATGTAGATGCAGGATTAAAATGCAAAATGCTGTTGTGATCTGAATTGCTTCTTCAGGAAGGCACCCTGGGCTTCAACAGGGTTAGGGAACTGGAATCTGCAGCCAGGAGGCTGTGGGTCTGTATCTTCCACCCTCCCTCTCCAAAGGTGGGCGAGGATAGGAGTGGATGTGGCTCCCTCTCAGAGAGGCGTGGCTTCGATGTTGGGCAGTGCTTCTCTGGGAAGACTGAGAAGTTCGGTAACAGTGCCTGGGACTGAGGGTGGGCTGAGGGAGGGGAGCATCTTGGGGGGATAGCAGGAACTGTGGGTGCCTTGTCCCTATCCCCTCACCCTTACGGTGTCCAGGTGACCCGATGGCCTGATTCCCTGTGCCTGACACTCAATGTTTCCCTGCCGAGGGCTTTCCTTGGGCCCTGGAGCCTGCTTTGGGGAATTACTGCCCTGTGGGAGAAGCCAGCAACCACTGACTGTTGGGAATTGGTGTATTATAAATATATACACCCGAGCTCCCTCACCCTTGGAAGCCTGGGGAGATGAGTCTGAGGCATGTGCTTGACACTGCCGCCTAGAGGCCCCCAGCAGGGTCACAGGCCAGTCACCTCCAGGGGCGGTTAGCTTGATCAACCTTTATTTTCCTATATCAGTTCCCTACCCCCTCTCAGTCTTCCTTGCGCCTTTCATATAAGCTACTTTTTCTGGAACCCTTGTCTGAAGGTCTCCTCCTGGGATACCCAAATTAAGAAACTCTCTATTCTAAGACCTGGCCACTGATTCCCCTTTAAATGCTCCGTTGGTACTTTTGTCCTCTCCTTGTGACAGTAGACCTGTTGGAATATATCCTCACTGTTGACTTGGGAACTTGGATTATTTCTTCCTGGGCAACCCTGCCACCAGGCCATCCCAGTTCCCTCTGGCAGCCCAGCACACAGGGCATTGACCATGCATTTAGAACAGTGGATCTCAACCAGGAGCAATCTGGGGACATTTGGCAAAGGCTGGAGACACTTGATTGTCATAGAGGTGCTCCTGATATCTGGTAAATAGAGGCTGGGATGCTGCTGGACATTCTATTCTGCACAAGACAGCCCCCCACAACAAAGGATTATCCAGTCCCACAGTCAGTGGTGCAGAAATGGAGAAACCCTGTTTTAGACGATGGAAGCCTGTATCCCTGGCCTGATTCTTGGGAGTCCCATGCTCCAGGACAGACCATCAACAACAGAAGCAGCCCTGGAGACTCACCCAATGGCACCCAGCGAGGTAGCTGGGGATGGAGGAGACCCATTTCTTGCTGAGAATGTGCCAGCATCTTTGAGGTGCTAAGGAATCAGCTGGGAGGAATCTCAGAGAAGTAGCACCACAACCAGATAAGTTTTAGCTGCCTGATTGTACAGGTGTGAGTGGCAAACTCAAGATATTACAAGTTATGTAAAGGAAATAGCGCATTTTCATCTGCAATGGAAAAACGGAAGCTGCCTGATGGAGCAGCTGTGGCTGTAGCAGCCACCACCAGCCCCAGGCTTGGCTACTGTGGGAGGCTCCACTATTTGCATTTTTATGAATCTGGAGTTAAAGTGGCTGTGAAGATCAACCAGGACAACAGGCCAGAAGGGAGGGGGTACAGTGAAAGCCCATAGAGCTAGAGAGAAGAGACAGTGGTTTCTGCAGGAGCTGGGCTCTGATTTGGCTTTGTTTTCTCTCCCACCATGGCTTCAAGCTCCTCTCCACCCCTTGTTGACCTTCTGGGCTGAGCCTCCAGCCTTCGGTTCTCGTTGGAGAATTGGAACAGACTCAATTTCAGGCTTAATTAAGAAAACCCACCATAGGGCATCCAGCAGGAAGGGCCCCCAGGGGCTGCCTGGGGAGGTGGAGGTATGGTAAATATCTGGGTGCCAGCTGCTTGGGTGTGTCCGTATGTGGGCATTTCTGCAGCTGTTCATGTGTTACACCAGCACTTCTCAAACGTTTGTGGGCTTGTGACTCACCAGAGGTTCTTGTTAAAATGCAGATGGTAGGGCCTGAGACTGCATTTCTTCCAGGCTCTCTGGCGATGCTCCATTTCAGATCACGCTTTGGACAGCAAAGTGTCACACTTCAATTAAAAAAAAAAGAAAGAAAGCCCAGCCCATTACAACTTTAATTTAATTTCATTTTCAGCACCAAGCAATCTCCTCTCCTCAGGTGAGGCTGCCCCTGCTGGGAACTGAAGCGGGGAGGGCTGTGGTCTCATCATTCAAGTTGCAGCTTCTTTTTTTTTTTTTTTTCTGCCATGGCGTCCTGGAAGAGGCCGAAAGATGTTTTCACACAGCCAGTGCTGTCTGGGACTGCTCTTTGTGGGTGGACAAATGGCTGACACCCCAACCCAAGCTCCCCTTGGAGAATGCTCTATAAGGACCTCTGTCCAACCCTCCCCAAATGCACTCTTGGTCTAATTGTTGGTCCTGGCCCAGGCTACACACCCCTGGGACTCCCAGAGTCTGGCAGGCTGCCCTCCACAGAGTACTGGTGCCTGGGAATAGGCACATACCCTGGGTGTCTTAGTCTGCTCAGGCTGCCATAACAAAATACCCTAGACTGCATGGGCTTAAACAACAGAAATTCTATTTCTCACTGTGCTGGAGGCTGAAGGGCCAAGATTATCCAGGAGCTGGCCAGGTGGTTTAAGGTGAGGGCTCCATTCCTGGCTTGCAAACAACCACCTTCTCATTGTATCCTCAGGTGGCAGGGAGAGCAAGTGAGCTCTCAGGTGCCTCTTATAAAGACACGAATTCTATTGGATCAGATTCCCAATTTTGTGGCTTTAATTCAAACACAGTCACACTGAGAGTTAGGGCTTCAACATAAGAATTTGGGGGAGATGCAATTTAGCCCCTAGCATTGGGCACGTCACACTAGCAGGCTGCTCTCCTGGCTCTGCCGTTGTAGGCGGCTCCTGCCAGCCACCAGCCTTAGGCTTACCTTGCATGACCCCATGCCCCACCCCCACCCCCCCAATTCCTGGACACTAATATTAGGCACCATCAAGAACTCCATGAACTTTGTTGACACTTGGGGTGGCCTTTGGGAATCTGCAGCTCAGTAGAAATCCGGCAAGGGAGAGGACGGCTACGTCCTCATCCTGCAAGCCCTCGCCACCAGCCTACCCAAATAGTTATCCTGGGCTTCCCCTCACTTGGCTTGGGAGGCAGAGGAACGACCCCCTCTTCTCGCACCCATAGGGAAATGCTGTGGTACTTGCTACCGGAGCAAATTCCCTCCAAAAATCTCTAGCCTTCCCTTACAGAGGTAATGGCAGGTGATGGGTTTGACAGTTAAGTATCCCATTTGACTATCTTTTAAATAAATAAGCACTTACATAGCACTTGCTAAATGCCAAAAGTTGTTCTAGGTGCTTTACATCTTATTTAATCCTCATGGTACTCCTGTCTGATAGCTATGATTATTAACCTTATTTTACAGATGAGGAAACTGAGGCTCAGGGAGGTTAGGTAACTTGCAAAAGTCACACAGCTTGCACATGGCAGAGTGAGGATCTGAATCCCAGCAGTCAGGCCTGCAATCACTGCTCTCTGTAGCCTCTCAGAGGCTGGGATGTAGGTGTTAGCATCTCTCTCAGAAGAGAGGAAAATGAGGCTTAACAGGGGAAATAATGTTGCTGAGTTTACATAGCTCCGAAGTGGCAGAGGCCAAATTCTAACTTGGGCCGATGACTCAAAATCCACTGCTCCTCGCTCCAGGGTTATATGTTAAACGTGTCTTTCTCACCTACTTCCCCCACCATTTGGACTTTTGAAAACTTTGAAGCACAATCAGACATAGAGAACAGAACTACTTCCCAACAGACTGTAATGTGCGTTCCTTAGGATGGAGGTCTCTGGGGATCTGGGAATGAATTCCTTGGATAGGTTTCCAGAGGAACTATCCCTTTAGAGTCCTAGAACAAGGATGAGCAGGGATTTGTCCTTCACACACTTCTCTGGAGCTCTTGTCAGAGTGAGAATTTTCAGAAGCCTGGAGCACCCAGGCCACCCAAGCCCCCATCTTTCCTGTGCTCTCTACTGCCTAGCACCCTACTCTCACACCCCTGATACTCACACCTTCCATCCTTAGACTTGACTCTTGACAAAAGGACTCTGGCTTTCCAGAGTCTCAGATTTTACAGACAACTCTGAACCATGCCGTCCTCTGTGACAAGCCCTCCTAACAGTAATAACAACACCAGCTGCTAACAAATAGCATTAAAGTCTCAGCTCACCAGACCTGTAATTCAGCTCCCTGCTTCTTTACTCTGTTGATCATTCTAAATTAAAATAAGACAGGCCGATTGCCAATTTAAACCTTCTAAAGCATTAGCTCATGACCATTTAAAGGTGTGACATCACCTGGCCCCTGGTAGAGGCTCTGTAAATATTTGTGGAACTAATGGGTAAATGGACTTACGAAGGACATTTGAACAGAGGATCCTGAAAGACGCCAAAGCCTTCCCTAGAATTCATCTCCGGTGGTGGCATGACAGCCACTGTGGTTCAGGGAGCTGGCGGAAGTTCAGCAACCTCACCTCCCCACCCCAGGCCCCTCTCCCACCTTGCAGGCTGAGGCAGCTTTTGAATGATATAATAAGTAGAAGTGCTTAGCTTTATGCTGGGCTGTGACAGCTGCCACAGATGGCCACCTGCTTCCTCGGTTCATGGGCCTCCCTGCCCACAGGAGGTGCATGACATGTCCTCAGTCCCCTGACACCATAGTCAACACATCCAAAGCCCTTCTGCTAATTTCTGGCTGAAATCCAGATGGCCAGCCCACTCATCTGGCCATTGTGGACTGTCTGTCCCAGCCTATCCCCACATGACACCCAATCCGTCACCTCAATTTGCACACCACCAACTCACTAGCACTGAGTACTCATCACCCTAATTACTGTCATGGAAGTTGTTGGTGGAGTCGCTGAAGGGGTTACTTCGCCAAACCCATGCCTTCCTCCCATCTGCTCGATCCTCTTTTCTCATTTTACTTCCCTTTGGGGAGCAGAAGGATGCATTTCCTCCTTGGTTTCCACGTGGAATCATTTCTTCCCTTCTGCCCCAAGTACAACTTTAACATCAAGCATTTATCAAGACTTTCCAACCAGGCCTTCTCAAAGTGTGGTCCCCAGACCAGCAGCATGAGCATCTCCTGGAAGCCGGTCAGACATGCAAGTTCTCAGGCCTCACCCCAGACCTACTGACTTGGGAGCTCTGCAATGGGGACTGGCATCTGTTTTAATGTCCTGCAGGGGATTCTGACTGATGCTCAAGTTTGAAAAGCTTTGGTCCAGACAGCAAGTATGCTTTCCCTTGGGAGATTTCTGGCGAATCAAAACGTCTTCTTGTTAAGAAAGTTTCAAGGGGAGTTGGGCTTTGTGGGAGGCAGCTCAGCTTCTTCCTATTCAGCCAACAGAGCGTGGACTTCGGAGTCATCCTGCCTGGATTTTGGTCTTGCTGTCTGCGTCTTATAGCCTGTTCAGCACTGGGGAGGGTGGTTTACCTCGCTGGGCCTAATTTTCTTTCTCAAATGAGTCTTCATTTTACCTTTTCTCAGGACTCTTGTGAGTCTCAGGGGAGATTGAAGACATGGAGGTCCTTTATAAACCAGAAACCTGGGGGTGGGGGTAGGGGCTACCGCATGATCTTTAGGCACGTCCCAAGGTGGGGGCACCAGTGGTGTCTCTCTCTCTCTCTTCCTCTGCACAATCTCTGGGTGCTGAAAGCCTGGGTCTTCTGTTGACGAAAAAAGGAGTTGGGTGTGGGGTGCAGGGCCTGTTGGGAAACTGGGTTTGAAGACAGTGAGAGGCATGCTGAGCATGGGCCAGAAGTCTCCCTCCACACCTGACCTCAGGCTCCCTGGGCAGCTGCCCTGACCCTGCAGGTCACACTGTCTAGGAACCCTGAGCTGAAGGGAGAAGCAAAGAAGAGTGTAACGTGGCACTGTGCAGCATTCTTCCCATATATTACCTCATTCATAACCCAGATTGCAGGAAAAGGAGAGAGGGGAGAAAGGAGAGGGTAGAGGGGAGGGAGGAGAGGGATAATACACTGCTCCAGATTGCTTGATGCAGAAACTGAGGCTGAAAATTACCCACTCTCCATTAGCCTAGCAAGGTACAGCACTTTTCATTATCCTGAGCTCCTTTTATTGTTGCACTCCTGCATATATAAATTTTCCATAATTATAATCCCAACCTCTATAGGCTTTTCTTTTTTGAACTAAGCATATTAAAAACATTCTCTAAGATGCTACATAATCTTCAAAATTACCATTTTAGATGACTCTCAAATATTTCATTAGGTGGACATATTATAATTTGTTGAACTATTTTCATACTGTGGACATTTAGATTGTTTTTGTAACTTTTTTTGGTGCCGTCAAATTATGTTGCAGTGCCAATGTCTTTGGGCATTTAGCTTTTAAAGTCTTTTAGAAGAAATACTTTGGAGTGTGATCATTGTTGGGTTATAGGGTATCAGTCATTTTATGGTTCAAGAAACTTACTTTCCAAAATACCCTGCCACTAGCATTATTTGAACTTACCAGCTTTGCTGCAACCTTGCCAGCATTGGGCATTATTGTTATTCATTGGTTTTGCTAATTTATAGCTACTATGTGTCACATCACTTGCATTTCTTTAGTACTTAGTGATGGCAAACATTTTTTTTCTGTTATTTTCTTATTTTTATTCCCTCCTGGGGAAATCTTCACCTCCTGTCTTTTGCATATTGTCTTAACATTATGATTGTTTGGATAAGCTCTTTATGTAGATATTGGCTCTTTGATGGGTTTGTTTGCTTATTTGTGGTAATATTCTTCCCTCAGCTCAACCTAGTTTTTAAACCAAGAGCTGTAATCACATAACTCTGTGTACCTCTAACTTATGATGCTTGATAAACTCATGGCATTGCCAGAGGCTGAGCACTTGGAGTATTGGAAGTTTAATTTGCAATGAAAAGAATTGGCAATCTGGACAGGGGTGCATTTCTGAGTGCCTGATGTCTTAAGTGCAGTACCAACTGTGGCAGTTTGGCATTCTCCCCTCCTATGCCCTGAGTTTCCCTTTTCTTCTCCTTTCTTCTAACTCTAGCTGGGGATGAATCCAAACAGGCATCCCGCAAATAAATAGCAAGCTCTGTTGCTGCCATAGGTCACTGCAAAAGAAACGACTGTTGGAATCTAACTTCCTTTACTACCTTTTGGGACACCCTCCTACACCCCTCGGTATCTTTTGGGTTCCCTGGGACCCAGGTAAAGCTGACTCTCTCTACTCATGACTGCCTATTTGGTCAAGGAGTCCACTGAGTCAGACGGTTTCAGGGAGGCTAAGAAAGGCAATCTGAATGGGAGTGTTAGTGCAAGCTTCCACCCCACATTTTATGTGATGACTTTGATGTCAATATTCCCAGAGCAACTCACAGAACACAACCATTGTAGTCATTGATTACTGGCAACTTTATAACTCCTATAACTTTAGTCTGCATCAGAAGCAAGGGACTTTGTGAGCCCATATGCCCAGGAACGGATGGGGAATAGCTTGCAGGAACCAAGGCCCCAGAGACCAGAGCAGGGGTTTGGTGGTACCAGGATGCTCTCTGTGTCACTCCCCATCTCCCTAGTTGTCTGCTAATCTCCAAAGGGCTCCATTTCTTCCTGCTGCCAACAGGCTATCTCTACGCAGCAGGAAAAATGGCCTGTCAGGTCTTAGCTTCCAGTTCTTCTGACACCAAGGCAAGGCTCCGGTCCCAGATCACCACAAGCATCATCTCAATACGCACTCAGGGACTCCTCCTAGAAACTTCCAGCAGCCCAGAGAGGACCCACCTGGAACATCACTGGGTGACTAAAACCCTGAACCATAAGTTTAATCTATGCTAGAGTAATACAGTTTTTTTCTCAAAGAAATTTTAAAAAGGTTCCTTGTGAAGAGGATGAAATATCCAACCTCCTCAAATGGACAGTGTCAATTAAAATGCCCAAGTCTTCAGCCCTGGCCTCCCTGCTCTGAGCCTTCTTTCCCTCCCTAGAGCCACCATCGCACCCACAAAGTCTCTGAAGTAAAGAAAGTTTGGTCTAAATCTAATCTTTGCCATTCAGTTGCCTTGGTTAGCCAGTTCCATACCCGCTTCGGACCTCAGTTTTCTCATCCAACCAGTCTTCAGGTGATGCACTGAAACAGAGATGGGGCGACATTCATGAGTGACCTCTGCTAGGATCAAAGTAAAACTCACCCCAGTGGGTCACACTGGATTTAACATAAACCAAGTGAAAATCGCACCCAGCATTTACAAGGACTACATCTCTCTGAAAAATAAAATCAAAACTGTAAAATGAATATGTCATATTGTAAAAATTGCTCAGCAAAAAATATAACTGCAGACTGTCTATTGTGATAGAGTAACCTGCCAGTGTCTGTTTTGTTGCCAAGTTTTCCTTTTGCTCTGTTTTAGAACAAAAGCTGCTCCAGCATCGATTTGTCACTGAGCAATCTTCCTGGATAGTCCCGCGGGCAGGCTCGATGATTACGTGCAATATGGAGCATTGTCTTGTTTTTGTGAGCCAGCGAGTCTAGTCTTTTCCCCTCTGTTGTGCTCAACTGTCCACACAACAATAACAGTTTCTAAAACTCCCTGACGTTTAACAAATTTAACCACTGAGACTGCCCATGAGGCAGGTAAGATAGGGACTCTAATCCTTACTTGGTGGCTGAGTGGACTGGGGTTTAGAGGGTTAAGAAGCTTATCCAAATTAGGATGCAGGTAGAGTCCAAGACTGGCTGAGGAGCCAGAGTCCTTCATATAGCCCAGTCACTACTGTCTGAGCTCCAGGCCACAGGGGTGTGTGGTTGGTCAGCTTGAGTTCTCACGCACCCCTCCCTCTGATTGGTCCACTCGAGCTCCCAGATGCTCCTCTGGGACTGCCCCAGGCCTTTGGCACCTCTGAACTTATGAAGCAGAGGAGGTGGGAAAAGGATCAGTGGCTGGGGACTTAGTGACGTGTTCCTCATCCTGCCTTTATGTTACTTTGTTGTGTGACCTCAGGGGCAGGTCATCTCACCCCTCAGAGGCTTGGGCAGGTGAGATCCAGCTCAGTCTTAAGCTAGATGAAGTTGTGCAGAGGATCACTTGTGGCCCTCAACCATTTCATCATTTCTTTCTGCCTTGTCCTCTTGAAGATGATGCCTCTGTTAGAACTGGCCTCAGCTTGCTGTGGTTTAGAATCTTTTAGATGCTTTATGTAGCGTTTTCATTTCTTTTCTCATTGTTAACCACCACTTCTTGTTACTATCATCTGCCTCCAAAACTTCTGTCCCCTCTTAATTCGTTATATCTAATCTGCTGTGATTTGGAATATCAGATAACTAATCTTGTTAAAATTTTGTCTCAAATGTGAGTTACGGCTATGAATGAAGGCTTTGGTGATTGCGCTGTGTGATGACAATAACTTTGACTTTTTCAAAGCCTTTTTTGGCTTTTTTCAACATGCTGAGTAATGAAGGATGAAATTCCCACATCAGTTTTGACATTTGACCATAGGAGGGGAAGTGTGAAAAGCATGGCTCTGAGGGTGGAAGTAATGGTAGGTGAGATGTGTCATTGCAGGTTGCCCTGTGTTCAGGGGCAGTGTGATGGGCAGGAGATGCATGTCCCTGGAGGCTGATCCAGACTCTCTTCCATGCATCACCAGGCCCAGGTGATTTCTCCTTTCATGTTTGCAAACAGCTAAAAACCTTGACCCCATGGAGTTTCACTTCAAGCCTTGGACTTAGACAGCTGGCACTTGGTGGTGGATTACTAAGAAGTAATAGCCACTGTAGCTGAAGTCATAGATCATGAGTTGAATTGAAATGTGATTAACTCTAGGGCCAGGGACTTTAAAAGAGAGATCTTCCAATCATCTGAGGCTCACATGTGCTAAAAAAAAATCCAAATTTAAATTATCTAAAAAAGATCATCATGGTTATTTATAATGGCAAAAAATCAGAAATTAATTAAGGTGTACATATATCTGTAATAGAATGCCAAACAATAATCATACTATTTTAAAAGTATTTCTAATATTGTAGGAAACAGCTGATGATATAAAGTCAGGTGAAAATTGTTAATATAAGATGATGTCACATGTGAAAAGTTATTTGTATAGGCAAAGGACAGGAAAGATATACTCAGTCATTATAACCCCTTTGATGACTATAGGAGCCAGTGGTTAGTGACTTGGACCAGTTGTAATACAATAGGGAATGGTGGAGACCGAGACAAATTGGAGAGAACATACCCTCTGAAAAAAAGACTCCTGGCCAACTTTTGCTGCCTATCTCTAGCTCTTCAAGTTTCTTAATGGAGGTTAGAAATCCTGATATTTATGTGAAATTCCCTAAATATTGGTAATAGTTTACACTTTTAAAAGCACTGTATTGGCCAAATAAAAATTATGTGGTTTGGCTTTGGCCTTTGGTCTACCAATCTACTGCCTTTGAAATACACAAAGATGTTGACGCCAGCTGCCTCTGGGAAGTGTGCTTACTGGAAAATCTAATTTTTCTTTATCATAGCTTTAACAATTTTCTAGTTTTATAGGATAATATATAGTATTTCTACAATTGAAGAAAAAAATGAATGACCCTAACCTCAGGTGATTGAGATGTGTGTGCGCGTGGTGTGTGGTGGGCATGTGAGTGCTGAGGGAAAGGTATCTAAGAATTCTGAGCACCTCCCAGAACTTTCTGGAGCCTCAGTTTCCTCATTTGTAAAGTGCAGAGAGCAATTCTACTCTGCTTACCATACAAGATTGAGAAGCAAAGGAGATGGCTAACTTGAGAGGACTTTGCAAATAATGAGGTGCACTGGGGATGAGCATGAAGTAGGTGCCCAAAAAATATTTATCAGGTAAATGTGGGGACAGAGGAATGAGGAAGGCTGGTCTCTGCAGTACTGAGAAGCACATGGCATTGGGTGCCCGATGCGTGTGCTCAAAACACCCTGGCTCTGCCCCCCACTAGCTGTGACACCTTGGTGAGTAATCCTAAGTATAATTACAACGTGTTGCACGGTCACTGTACGCTAACACTTGGTTAAGCACTTGTGTGCATTATACCTTTCTGAGTTGAATTCTGTGGAAAATCACAGTACAGGTATTTATTTCAAAGTGTCACTTTGAGGATTCATTCAGACAATCCAAATGCCGTGCTTGTGACAGAACTCGATAAACAGCACTTCCCTTTCAATTCTGGGCCTGGTTTCATCATTGGTAGAACCTCGTTAATTTCACCTGCTCCCACGAATTCCATGAAAGTAAACGGCCTGTAGGTATGAGTGCGATAGATTACATATTCAAAATATGTGATTTCCCCTTTCCAACACTTATTCAAAATATGTATTTTTTTCCCCCTTTATTCGTTTCTTACAGAAGGGATGCTCATTCCACCCACTGAGATGGCTTTCAAATCGACAGTAGAATCCAGCACATATTCTGTCTTTGGAAAATTGCTCCAGGTGTATCCTCAGAACAATCCAGCCCCGTCGTCACTTTCCACAGCCACTGCTTGGCACCTGCGGTAGCTCTGAGAGGCTCCGTTATGCGTGTGGCATCAGCCTTTTTTTCTAGCAGCCTTGGGTGAGTAAGCACTTTCATATAAATGACCTTGTTAGATTATATATATATTTCAGTAAACGGTTAGTGTAATTTATTTCTTAGGGTGGAGGGTATTTTAAATGCTGAACTCTAATTTAGGCACTTTGTATACATCAGCTCTTTAACTCTCACAGCAACCATGTAAGATGGGGACTGACTTTTGTGAAATTGAGTTTAATTTTTTTGTGGTTGCTATGACCAAGTATCGAAAGCAATTATCTTGAGGACATCTTTTTGACCTCTCCCGTGAGTGCCCGACACTGCCTCCTAGAGGGCCCCAGCAGGATCACAAGCCAGTCACCCACAATGGCAGCTGGTTTGATCAGCCTTTATTGGCACCTTCTTTTTCCTGTACCAATTCCTAACCCCTGCCAGTTTTCTTTGCACTTTTCATATAAGGTACTTGTTCTTGAATCTTTGCCAAAGAGAAATCAGAATAAGGGCCCACACCTCTGCCTTTAGGTTCCCTTGAGCTGTGGGAGACATCAGATCATAGGCTGACACTGCCTGTGTCTAGGGAGATAAACAAGAGTTGTGATTCATTGGTCCTAAGAATGACTGGATTCTGGGGACTGCTGCCTCCAAGGCCATCAGTGACACTGTTCATCACCCTAAGAGCGCAACTTGACCTCTTGTCACTGCTGTGGCCTCCCTTCTTCTCTTGGGATGCTGTTTGCTGACTATGGCAGCAAATACCCCCTTCCCTTAAGTCTCCAAGGTTCACATCAATTTTTACCCCCTGCGATGTGGATCGTAATATCCGGGGGGGAGAGGGGAGGAGATATTACTCTATTACTCCTGCGATCTTTTCTCTACTGCCACACTGGTTTAACACCCTGGGACACTGTTTTCCATATTCTAGCAAGATGCCACTACTAAAATCACAGGGGGGTATACACCCTGCGATATTATTCGTAGTATTGTAGGGGAATGTTAATCCTGATGTCAAAGGACTCTACCCACTGTAGCCTAGTAGGTAGTGGGAGACCCACTGTCTCCCAGTAGCCTAGCGGGACATTAGTAAGTATGTCACAATGTGTGTGCAACTTGTGGTGTTATTCTTAATCTCCTAAGGGGAAGTTACTTTTATTGTCACACGGGGTATGTTCCTTTTGATATTATTCATAATATCCTAGAGGGATGTCACTCCTTATGTCACAGGGTTTGTACACCTTGTCAAATTACTCGCATGATCCTTATCAGATGTCACTTCTCGTATCACAGAGGATGTACGCTCTGTGATATCATCGGCATATTCTAGGGAAATGTTACTTTTAATGTCACAGAGGGTGTACACCTTGGGAAAGTATTCATTATACTTTTGTGGGATGTTAACCCTAATGTCACACGGGATGTACACACAGTGATACTACGTGCAATATTCTATCGAAATGTTACTCGTAAATCACGGGTCCTGTACATCCTTTAATATTCTTCATAATATTCTAGGAAAACGTTCCTACTAATGTCACAGGGCATGTAGACCCCGTCATAAGATTCGTAATATCCTAGTGGGAGTTCACTACTAATTTCACAATGCGGGTACACCCTTTGATATTATTGATATTTTCCTGAAGAGATGTTACTACTGATGTCCAAGGCAGGTGCATTCTCTGATATTATTCGTTATATCCCCAGGGATGTAACTTCTAATGTCACACGGGGTGTACTCCCTGTGTTCTATTTCATAATATCCCAGGGCAATTTTACTTTTAATGACACAGGGGGTGTACACATAGTGATATTATTAGTGATATTCTAGAAAGATGTTACTCCTAATGTCACAGGGGTGTACACCCTGTGATAGTATTCATAATTTCCCAGGGGTCTATACTCCTATTGTCACAGAAGATAACACCCTGTGACATTATTCGTAATATTCTGGCGAGATGATACTCCTAATTTCACAGGGGGTGTACACCCCGTGATATTATTATTACTATTCTAGGGAGATGTTACTCCTAATGTCGCAGGTGTGTTCCTTCTGTGATATTCTTCAAAATATGCCAGCAGGAAATTACTACTAATGTCACAATGCATGTACACCTTGTGATATTATTAGTAATATTCAGGGGTTTTTCACTCCTAACACTACAGGGGTGTACACCGTGTGATATTGTTCCCAATATTGTAGGGGGATGTTTCTCCTAATGTCACAGGGGGTGAACACCCTTCGATATTATTTGTAATCTGATAGGGAGATGTTACTTTAAATACCACAGTGGATGTACACACATGGGGTACACCCACTGGGATATTATTTGTAATATCTTTGAGAGATATAACTCCTAATATCACAGAGGGTGTACCCCATGTGTGTACACCCTGTGACATTCTTTGTAATATCCATGGTAAACATTACTTCTAGTAACCCACCGGAGGGTACACCCTGTGATATTTTTCATAATATCATAGGGAGTTATTGCTGCTAATAACACAGTGGGTGTACGCCACGTGTGTACACTCTGTGATATGATAGCTTATATCCTAGGGAGATAGTCCTTCTAATATCACCGTGAGTTTACACCCTGTGATATCATTCATAATATCCTAGAAAGATGTTGCTGCTAATATCACAGAGGGTGTGCCCCCAGTGACATTATTTGTAATATCCTAGGGAGATGTTACTCCTAATGTCACAGGGGATGTACACCCTGTTATATTATTCATAATATTCTAGGGGGGTGTTACTTTTAAAGTCACAGGAGTGTACACCCTGTGATGTTATTCGTAATATCCTAGGAAGAGGTTACTCCTAATATCACATGGGTTATCCTAGGAAGAGATTACTCCTCATATCACGCTCCTAATATCACACCCTGTGATAACATTCAGAATCTCCAAAAGGGATGTTACTCTTAATGTCACATGGGGTGTACACCGTTTGATATTATTCATAAGATCCCAGGGACATATTACTTCAACTATCACGTTGGGTGTACACACATGGTGTACACATTATGTGTGAACACCTTCTGTGATATTATTCATAATATCCTTGGAAAATGGGATGCCTAATGTCACAGTGAGTGTACACACTGTGATATTATTAGTAATATCCTAGGGGAATATTACTCCTAAACAAAGGCGTGTGTACCCCCTATGATATTATTCGTAATACTCTAGGGAGATGTTACTCCTAATGTAATATCACAGGGGTGTACACCCTGTGATATTATTCACAGTATATGAGAGGGATATTAGCACTGAAGTCACAATGTGTGTACACCTTCTGATATTATTCATAATATCCTAGGGGGACGTTACTCCTATTGTCACGGGTTGTGTTCGCTACGATAGTATTCGTAGTCTCCTAGACGGATGTGACACCTAATGTCACAGGTTGTGTACATCTTGTTATATTATTCGTGATATCCTAAAAAGACATTACTCCTCATGTCACAGGGGCTGTATACCCTATGACATTATTCGTAATATCCTAGCGAGATGTTACTTTTAATGTCACAGAGGGTGTACGCCTTTTGAAAATATTCATCACAGTTTCGTGGGATGTTACTCGTAATGTCACACGGGGTGCACACCGAAGGATATTACTTGAAATATTCTATAGAAATGTTACTCATAAATCACAGGTGTTCTACACCCTGTAATGTTATGGGTCATATTCTAGGGGAATGTGACATAAATTCATGTCACCCGGCGTGTACACCTTGTGATATTATTCGTGATGTCCCAGCGGGATGTTACTACTAATGTCACAATACGTGTACACCCTCTGATATTATTCATTATATCCTCACGGGTTATTCCTCCTATGTCACACGGGGTGTACTCCCTGTGATATTATTCGGAATATCTTAGGGGGATTTTACTTTTAATGTCACAAAGTGTGTACACATTGTGATATTACTCGTGATGTTCTAGAAAGATATTACTCCTAATGTCACAGGGGGTGTACACCCTGTGATATTACACAGGCTAACCCCCTGGGGCATTATTCGTAATACTTTAGTGGGATGATACACCTGAAGTCACAGGAGGTGTACGCCCTGTGATATTATTCGGAATATTCCAGGGGGATGTTACTCCTAAAGTCACAGGTGTGTATACCCTGTGATAGTATTCACAATATACTAGCGGGATATTACCACTAATGTCACCGTGTGTGTACACCTCCTGATATTATTGGTAGTATCCTGGGAGGTTGTTACTCCTAACGTCACAGGGGTGTACACCCTGTGTTATTATTAGTACTATTCTAGGGGGATTTTACTTTTAAAAATCACAGGGGGTGTCAAGCCTGGGATCTTATTCGTAATATCCTAGGAAGGTGTTACTCGTAATGTCACATGGGGTGTACAACCTTGGATATTATTTCGAATATCCTAAAGGGATGTTATCTTAATGTCATAGGGTGTGTACACCCCTTGATATTATTCGTAATATCCTAAGGAGATATTACTTTAAAAATCACAGTGGGTGTGCACACATGGTGTACACCCTGTGATATTATTCACAATATCTGAGGGAGGTATAACTTTTAATATCACAGTGGGTGTACACACTGTGATATTATTCATCATATTGTAGAAGTATATTATTCCTATTGTCACAGGGGTTTAACATCCTGTGAAATTATTTCTAGTCATCCAGGGGGATGATTACCCTAAAGTCGCAGGGTGTGTACACCCTGTGATATTATTCGTAATATTCTAGGGGGATGTTACTCCTAATGTCGCAAAGGTGTGCATGCTGTGATATTATTCAGAATCTATTAGCTGGATATTGTTACTAATGTCACAATGCGTGTACACCTTGTGATATTATTGGTAATATCCTAAGGGGATGTTACTCCTATTGTCACAGGGGGCGTGCTTTCGGTGCTATGATTCGTAGTATCCCAGAGGGATGTTACTCCTACCATACAAATTGTGTGCACTTTGTTATATTATTCGTAATATCCTAGAGTGATGTTACTCCTCATGTCATGGGGCTGTACATCCTGTGATGTTATTCTTCACATTCTAGAAATATGTTAATTCCTAATATCACAGAAGGTGTACGATCTGTGAAGCTATTCATAATCGTTTCGGGGGATGTTACTCCCAATGTCACACGTGGTGTACAAACCGTGATATTATTCGTAAAGTTTTTTTGGATATGTTACTCCTAATATCACAGGGGCTGTGCACCCTGTCATATTATTCGTAATATCCTAAAGAAATGTTACCACTAGTGTCACAGGCGGTGTACACCTTGTGGTATTATTCCCAATATTGTAGGGTGATGTTACTCCTAATGTCACGGAAGGTGTTCACACTCTGATAATATTCGTAATACCCTAAAGTGATGTTACTAAGGATGTCACAACGCAGGTACACAAACTGCTATTGTTTCTTAGATCCTCGGGCGATGTGACTTCTAATGTCACAGGGGGTGTACATTTTGCGATATTATTTGTAATATTTTAGAAAGATGTTATTCCTAATGTCACAGAGGGTGTACACCCTGTGAAGTTATTCATGATAGTTTTGGGGTCCGCTACTCCTAATGTCTCCCGTGGTGTACAAACAGTGATATGATTCCTAATATTTTATGGAAATGTTACTCCTAATATCACAGGGGCTGTACACCTTGTAATATTATTCATAATATCCTAAGGAAATGTTACCTCTAATGTCACAGGGGGTGTACACCGTGTGATATGGTTCCCAATATTGTAGGGGGATGTTACTCCTAATATCACAGGGGGTATTCACATTGTGGTAATATTCGTAATATCCTAAATGGATGTTACTGCTAATGTCACAACACGTGTGCATCCTCTGTATTTGTTCCTTATATCCTTGGGTGAGGTTACTCCTACTGTCACACAGGGTGTACTCCCTGTGATATTATTCATAATATCCTAGGTGGATGTTACTCCTCGTGTCACAGGGGCCATGTGTCTTGTGATGTTATTCACAATATCCTAGAAAGATGTTACTCCTCAGGTCACAGGGGATGTACACCCTGTGATATTATTCGTACTATCCTAGGGGATGTTACTCCAAATGTCACAGAAGGTGTACACTCTGTGATATTACTCGTAATGTGTCAGGGAAATGTACTCCTAACGCCACAGGGCATGTGCACCATGTGTGCCCAGCCCCTGTGATGTTGTTTGTAATATTCTGGAGGGATATTAATCCTAATATTCCATATGGTGTTAACCATGTGTGAACACCTTTGTGGTATTATTCCTAACATACTAGAAGGGTGTAA
The DNA here is from genome assembly GCF_000001405.40 of Homo sapiens. Taxonomy (NCBI): domain Eukaryota; kingdom Metazoa; phylum Chordata; class Mammalia; order Primates; family Hominidae; genus Homo; species Homo sapiens. Next base: position 8,696,782 of record NC_000003.12, on the reverse strand, counting down.
CTCTTAACATCACATCGGGTATACACCATGTGTGTACACATTCTGTGATATTATTCATAACATCGTAGGGAGATGCTACTCTTAATTTTACAAGGTGTGTACATTATATGTGTACTCCCCCTCTGATGTTGTTCATAATATTCTAGGGGAATGTTGCTGCTAATGTCACAGGGAGAGTACACCATGTGTATGCAACCCTGGTAATATTATTTCTAAAATCTTGGGGTGATGTTGCTCCTAATGTCACCTGGAGTGTCCACCATGTGTGTACACCTTCTGTGATATTATTCGCAAATCACAGAAGAAGATTACGCCTAATGTAACAGGGTGTGCACACCGTGTGCGTCAACCGCCTTTGGTATTATTCATAACATACTAGGGGGTTGTGACTTTTAATGTCACAAAGGGTGTACAAAATGTCACAGGGTGGGTATGCCTTATGATATTATTCCCAATATCCAGAAGGATGTTACTCCTAAGGTCACAGGGGGTGTACACCCTTCGATACTATTTGTAGTCTTATACGGAGATATTACTGTAAATCTCACAGTGGGTGTACACTATGTACACTAAATGTACACTCACTGTGATATTATTTGTAATATCTCAGAGATATTACAGAGTTATTGCTCTCTGTGTTATATTAGAGAGTTATATCTCTCTAAGACAGTACAAATAATACCACAGTGGGTATACCTCGTGTGTGTACAACCTGTGATATTATTTGTAATATCCATGTTAAACATTACATCTATTATCACAGAGAGTGTACTCCCTTTGATATGTCTCATACTATCAGAGTTAGATATTGCTTCTAATATCACAGTGGGTGTACACCTTATATCCTAGGGAGATATCTCTCCGAATATCACAGTGTGTGTACACCTTGTGATATTATTCATAATGTCTTAGAAGGATTTACTCCTAATATGGCAGAGGGTGTACACCCAGTGATATTCTTCGTAATATCCTAGGGAGATGTTACTCCTAATGTCACACGGGGTGTACACCCATGATATTATTTGTAATATTCTAGGGGGATGTTACTTGAAAAGTCACAGGGGGCGTACACCCTGTGATGTCGTTCATAACATCCTAAGAAGATGTTACCCTTAATGTCACATGGGGTGTACACCCTGTGATATTACTCGGAATATCTTATGGGGATGCTACTCCTAATGTCACAGGCTGTGTACACTCTGTGATATTATTTGGAATATCCACAGAGATGTTACCTTTGATGTCACAGACGGGGTCCATGCTTTGATATTGTTTTTCATATCTTAGGGAGATATTACTTCAAATATCACAGTGGGTGCACCCACTGTGATTGTATTCGCAATACCCTAGGGAGATATAACTTTTAATATCACAGTAGGTGTACACACTATTTATGTACACCTACTGTGATACTATACCTAATATCCTAAAAATTAATAGGACTCCTAATATCACAGTTGGTGTACACACTGCGATATTATTCATAATATTCCAGCGGGATGTCACTCCTCAGGTCACAGGGGGTTAATACCCTGGGACAGTATTCGTCATAATCCAGGGCGGTGGTACTCCTAAAGTCACAGGATGTGTACCCTCTGTGATATTATTCATCCTATTCTAGGGGGATGTTACCCCTAATGTCATAGGGATGTATACCCTGTGATATTATTCATAGTATACCAGAGGGATATTAGTACTAAAGTCACAATGCATGTACACCTTGTGATATGATTCGTAATATCCTAATGTCACAGGGGGTGTGTTCCCTGTGATATTATTCCTAAAATCCTAGAAGAACATTGCTCCTAATGTCACAGGGTGTGTACACCTTGTCACATCATTCATAATGTCCTAAAACTACGTTATTCCTCAGGTCACAGGGGGTGTTCACCCTGTGATATTATTCATCATAGTTTTCTGGGATGTTTCTCCTAATGTCACACGGGGTGTACACAGAGTCACACAGTGATATGACTTGTGATATTCTATAGAAATATTACTCATAAATCACAGGGGCTGTACCTCCTGTGATATTATTCGTAATATTCTAGGGGAATGTTACTACTATTGTCATAGGGGGTGTATACCCTGTGATATGACTCATCGTATTCCAGCGGGATGTTACTACTAATGTCACAGTGCGTGTACACCCTGTGATATTATTTGTAATATCCTGAAGAGTTGTTACTACTAAGGTCACAATGCACTTACAAACTCTGATGTTATTCGTTATATCCTTGGGGGATGTTACTCCTAATGTCACACGGCGTGTACTCCCTGTCATATTATTCATAATATCCAAGGGGGATGTTATTTTTAATGTCACCGGGGGTGTATATCATGTGTATTCAATGCCTGTGATACTATTCCTAATATTCTAGGGGCATGCTTTTCCTAATGTCACATGGGGTGTACACCATGTGTGTACACCTGCTGTGATATTATTCATAATATCCTAGGGGAATGTCACTCCTGATGACACAGGCCGTGTACACCATGTGTGTACCCCGCCCTGGTTATTATTCATATCCCCCAGGATATCTAGCGGGATGTTTCTTTTAATGTCACAAAGAGTGTACAAAATGTCACAGAAGTTGTACACCTTGTGACGTTATCTGTAATACCCTAGAAGGATGTTACTCCTAATATGTCACAGGGGTGTACACCCTTTGATATGATTTGTAATCTCATAGAGAGATATGACTTCAAATATCACAGTGGAGGTACGCACATAGTGATACCCTGTGATATTATTAATAATATCCTAGGGAGATACAACTCCTGATACAGGTGATGGTTGTGGAGCCCACAGGACTGCAACCTCACACTGCAGGGCTGGAGGCACAGACTGAGTATTTACTATTCTATGGCCCGGGGGGCTCAAGGCACAGAGCTCCTCATTAGCCAGAGTCGCCCAAGTTCCCCTTGCTCTCAGGATTTCCTCATCATCATGCAAGAAGAAGAAGAGAAAAGTGAGTGTCCATAGAAGCTCTGGGGCTCTTCCTCTCATCAGGAGAGAGCTTGTGTGTATTATTCGCTTCTTTCTTTTCTTTTACAAGATCCAAGTGCTTTAATTTTCATCTTTTATTATGGGAAGATATACCACGTATAAATATTAAAAATCACAAATATAGATTATTTCATATAGAATGGCCAGTATAAACATTTACAATTTCCACTAGTTTTCAGTTTACAGTTTAATCACATTAGGTACATTCACATTGTTTAGCAACCATCACCGCCATCATCTCCAGAACAGTTTTATCCTTGAAAATGGAAATTGCACCCATTAACCAAACTCCATTCCACTCTCTCTCGCCCACCCCTGGGGGCCACCATTCTGTTTTGCAACTCTGTAAGTTTAACTACTGTAGACACGTGATATAAGTGGAATCATACCGTGTTTAATTTTTTTGGTTTGTTTGTTATGGAGACAGAGTCTTTCTCTGTCGCCCAGGCTGGAGTGCAGTGGCATGGTCTCAGCTGACTGCAACCTCCACATCGTGGGTTCACGCGATTCTTGTGTCTCAGTCTCCCGAGTAGCTGGGATTACAGGCGTGCGCCACCACGCCCAGCTAATCGTTGTATTTTTAATAGAGACGAGCTTTCACCATATTGGCCAGGCTGGTCTCAAACTCCTGACCTTAAGTGATCCGCCTGCCTCAGCCTCCCAAAGTGCTGGGGTTACAGGTGCGATCCACTGAGCCTGGTCGTGTTTATCCTTTTGGGATTTATTTATTTCACTGATGAGAATGTCTTCAAGGTTCACCCGTGTTACAGCCTGTGTCAGAAGTGCCTGTCTGGTTGTTTGCGTGTTTTTTTTTTTTTTTTTTTGGTTTTGTTTTGTTTTGTGATTACATGGAGTCTCACTCTGTCGCACAGGCTGGAGTGCAGTGACACAATCTGGGCTCACTGCAACCTCCGCCTCCCAGGTTCCAGCAATTCTTGTGCCTCAGCCTCACCAGTAGCTGGGACTATAGGCACACACCACCACGCTCGTCTAATGTTCTGCATTTTCAGCAGAGACAGGATTTCACCAAGTCCATGGCCAGGCTGGTCTTGAATTCCTGACCTCAGGTGATCCGCCCACCTCGGTCTTCCAAGATGCTGGGATTACAGGCATGAGCCACCGCACCGGCCAGAAGTGCCTGCCTTTTTAAGGCTGAATAGTCTTCCATCGCATGAATGAACTGCAGTGTGCTTTTTCATTCATCTGTCCACGAACCCTTGGGTTGCTTCCACATGTTGGCTGTTGTGAATAATGCTGCTATGAATTTGGGTGTACAAATCTCTCTTCCACTCCTGGCTTCTAATTCTTTTTGGAGGGTACCCACAAGTGCAACTGCGGGAACATCTGGTAATCCTGTTTCTACTTTTTCCAGTACACGCCATTCTATTTTCCCTGTTCCTTCACGGTTTTACATTCCCTCCAATCAGTTTCGAGCATTCCTACTTCCCTCTAGTTTCACCAATGCTCGTTTGTTTATCACATCCATCCAAATGTGTGGTATCACATTCTTGGTTGGATTTGCGCTTCCCTATGATGAGTGATTTTGAACATCATTTTAGATGCTTATTGGCCATTGCTGTATCTTCTTTAGGGACATGTCTACTCGAGTCTTCTGACCATTGTTAATGGGATGCTTTGGGTTTCTTGTTGTTCAGTTCTAGCTGTTCTTTGTATATGATGCATATCAGCCTCTTTTCAGAGATATGATTTGCAAATCTTTTTCCTAATCCATGGGTTATCTTTTCACTCAGTTCACAGTGTTTGCTGATGTACAAAAGTGTCTGTCATTTAGATGTCATCCAAGGGATCTAATTTTCTTTTGTTGCCTATGCTTTTGGTGTCATATCCCAGAAAGCATTGCCCAATCTGATGTCATGAAAGTGTGGCCAATGTTTTCTTTTAGGCATATTATACTTTCAGCAGTTGGGGTTAGGTCTTTGATCCAGTTTGTGTTCATTTTTGCACCTGGTGTGACATAGAGTCCACCTTCATTCTTCTGCATGTGGAAATCAAGTTTCTCCAACACCATTTCTTGAAAAGGCTGCTTTTCCACCAATGGACTTTCTTAGCACTCATGTGAAAAATCATTTGAACATATAGGTGAGAAGTTATTTCTGGGCTCAAAAACAAACAACAGACAACAGATAAGGATGCAGCATGGGCCGGGCGCCGTTGCTCACGCCTGTAATCCAAGCACTTTGGGAGGCCGAGGCGGGCGGATCACCTGAGGTCAGGAGTTCAAGACCAGCCTGACAGACAGGAAGAAACCCCCATCTCTACTACAAACACAACATTAGCTGGGCATGCTGGGGCATGCCTGTAATCCCAGCTGCTTGGGAGATGGAGGCAGGAGAATCGCTTGAACCCAGGAGGCAGAGGTTGCGGTGAGCCAAGATTGCACCATTACACTCCAGCCTGGGCAACAAGAGTGAAACTCTGTCTGAAAACAAAAAACCAAAAACAAAAAATCCAGCATGATTTCGAGAGCAGAAAGAGAATAGCTGAAAAACCAGCATAATGAGAAAGTTAGGAAGCTTCTTACCAAAGCATCTGGAAATATGCCAGAAATTCTTGTGAACTAAAATTTTCATACTGTACTATCAAACACTAGAACTCACTTATTCCATCTTTCTGTATTTTGGGACCCAATTATCCACTTCTCTTCATTCCCCATCCCACCCCTTTTCTTCCTAGCGTCTGCTAACCACCTTTATACTTTCCACCTTCCTGAGATTCCTTTTGTGTGTAGGTGTGTGATGGAGTCTCTTTCTGTTGCCCAGGTTGGAGTATACAGGCAAAATCCGGGCTCACTGCAACCTCCGCCTCCCGAGTTCAAGCGCTTCTTGGGCCTCAGCCCTCCGAGTAGCTGAGACTACAGGCACGTGTCACCACACCCGGCTAATTGTTTGTGTTTTCAGTAGAGACGGGATTTCACCATGTTGGCCAGGCGGGTCTCGAACTCTGGGCCTCAAGTGATCCATGTGACTCGGCCTCCCACGGTGCTGGGATTACAGGCCTGAGCCACCAAACCTGGCCAAGATTTTCTGTTTTGTTCCTACATAGAAGTGAGGATATGAAATATTTGTCATTCTGTGCCTGGCTTATTTCATTTAATATACAGACCTGCAATCGCATCCATTTTGTCTGCAATGAAGAGGATTTTGTTTATTCCTTTTTAGGCTGAATAATACTTCATTGGGTGTGTATACCACAGTTTCTCAATTGAAACAAATTTCTAAAGAGCAAATATTTTTAAAATGTCTCAGAATGTGAAACTTCAGGGATACTGTGCCCATTTTATTCTTTTCTATTTCACATCTTATGTATATGCAAGTGTATAACAAAACAGCAATCAAAGTGTGTATAAATCTATAATTTCAACAAATGTAAAATGAAAATGCTAAGTGGTGGCTGGGCGCGGTGGCTCATGCCTGTAATCCCAGAACACTGGGAGGTGGAACCAGGCGGATCACCTGAGGTCGGGAGTTCAAGACCAGCCTGACCAATATGGAGAACCACTCTGTGTACTAAAAATACAAAAAAAAAAAAAAAAAAATTAGCCGGGCATGGTAGCGTATGCGTGTAATCCCAGCTACTTGGAAGGCTGAGACAGGATAATCTCTTGAATACGGGAGGCAGAGGTTGCAGTGAGCCGAGATCGTGCCATTGCACTCCAGCCTGGGCAACAAGAGTGAAACTCTGTCTCAAAAAGAAAAAAAAAAGAAAAAAGAAAAAAATAGAAAATGCTAAATGGTAAGAAACAACAGCATAATAAACATTTGTATGGTGTTGATGGACAATGCATTTGAAGATAATATTTGAAGAAATCATATTACAATTAACTTCTGTTCTTACTAATTGGAGCTTGATGCCTCTAAAAACTTCGTCATTGCAACCACCTCTGGTGCTTAAAAAAAAAAAAAAAAAAAATCCACATACTCACACAGGTGCAGGGAAATCAGAATCTCAGGTAATGGCACCCAGGCCTCAGCATTTGTAAGCTCCCCAGGTGATTTGACTCAAAGCCAAGATTGAGGACGGGTGACATGGATCTCTACACATAACCTGCCTAAATAGATTCTCTAGAAGCAGTTTATAAAGAAATTCCACATGAACTCTGGAAGAGGATATGAATTTGATGTACAGTATGTCCTCACTTAACATCTTTGAAAGTCTCTTGGAAACTTCACCTTGAAGCAAAATTAGGTATAGTGAAACCACTTATTCCTCACCAACATTATAACTACACAACTTTGAACGCACCAATGGTGTTGGAGGACCTGCTGTACATTGTTTCCATAAAGGCAATTTTCAGGGAATTCCAAAATGAAGTGAGGACTTCACGTATATAAAAAGATGGTTGTGATTCCACCTGGATGACAGGGTTATTGCTCAGAAACTAAAGGAGGCCACCTAGGTATAGAGGATTCAGTCATGAGGTTTCTGCTAAACAAAGGATCCCAGAATCCTCACCCATTCCAGTGAAAGGTATAACGAAGAAAACAATATTCACATAGGAAATGCAGAAAGGAATAAAAGCCATCAAGCCACAAAAATAATGTGACTAAGGGGCAGGATTTGCAGATGTAGGGATTTAATGTGGTTGCCCTTTCTCACCCACACAAGAAAAAGGATGGAACAGATCATGAGATTCGACTGTTCTGCTGAGCAGCCTCCTCAGGGTGCTTTGAATGTCCCTGTTTCTCAGGCTGTAGATGAAAGGGTTCAGCATGGGGGTGACCACAGTGTACATCACTGACACCACCACACCATTCCTGGGGGGTGGTGACACAGCTGAAGTCAGGTACACGCCAATGCCTGCTCCATAAAATAAGCAAACAAGTGCCAGGTGAGAGCCACAGGTGGAGAAGGCTTTATATTTCCCATCTGATGTTGAAATCCTTAGAATGGAGGGAACAATTTTACAGTAAGACAAAAGGATCCCTGAAATGGGAAGAAAACCAAACATAGTACTATCGAAATATATGAATATGCTATTGATGATGCTGTCAGAACAGGCAAGCTTGAGAAGTTGAGATGGCTCACAGACAAAATTAGAGATTTCCACATTCTTGAAGAAGGTGAATTGTAACACAATCTAACTGTGCAGCTGGGAATCCAACAGGCTAAGGAAAAAGGACACCAAAACTAAGAAGACACGGAGGTGAGGATTCACGATGACTGGGTAGTGTAGAGGGCGACAGATGGCTACAAAGCAGTCATAGGCCATCACAGTCAGAAGCATGTCTTCTATACATGCAAAAAGGACCAAAAAAGACATCCGTGTCAGGCAGCCCACATAAGAGATGACTCTGCTATGCGACTGCATGTCCACAATTATCTTGGGAACCGTGGCCGAGGTGAAACCGATGTCAGCCCAGCACAGGTTGGAGAGGAAGAAGTACATGGGGGTGTGGAGGTGGGAGTCAGAGCTGACAGCCAGGATGCTGAGCAGGTTCCTCAGCACCGTGACCAGACACATGGACAGGGACAGCCCAGCGAGGACGGGCTGCAGTTCTGGATCCTCTGAGAGTCCCATGAGGAGGAATTCTCAGACATCTGTGAGATTCCGTGGCTGTGACTTGGACACCCTGGGAAGAAAAGAGGATTGGAAAAATAAAAGATAAAAACCAGCCCTTAATGCTGTGTGTATATTTTGGATGCAAACAATTCACAAGGAACATTTTCACACTTGAGGACCATACACCGTCAGCAATATTTCTCAGTTGTGACAAACCCAAAAATCTCAGAATTATTACATGATTTACTTTTTTCTTTTCAACTCCTTCTGTACATACTACTTTAGAGAAAATCCACTGAAGAATGTTAGAAGACCAAAATGTCATATATAACAAATCCGTGATCTCAGTAAAATATGGCCTACTCTTTTCAGAAAAAATAAAATGCAGTGAAGATGCTCTTCTCTCTTTAAGAAAAAGATCTCAGCCTAATTGAAAGAAATTAAGAAGCAGCGAAATACACTCTATTTTATTTTGACACCGTGCTACAAATTCCTTTGATGTGGAATATGTAAAAGGATGATACAAGAGCTAGGACCGCATTATGTAAAAATGAAATTGAACCTTAGAGTTCTTAATCGGAAGACCTTTTAACATGCCAGTTACTTTTCATATTTATTATCATCCTTAGGTTTTCTGACATCATTTCTTCATAAAGTACATGCACACTCAAATATGGGAGCTGTGTTTCCAAATGAATTGAATATATAACTCTTGGCCGAGCACCATGGCTCACACCTGTAATCCCAGCACTTTGGGCGGCCGAGGCCGACGAATCACCTGAGGTCAGGAGTTCCAGACCAGCCTGGCCAACGTGGTGAAACCCCGTCTCTAGTGAAAATAAAAAAAAATTAGCCGGGCGTGGTGGCGGGGTAACCCTAGCTACTCGGGAGGCTGAAGCAGGAGAATCCCTTAGAGCCTGGAAGGCAGAGATTGGACACCCTGTGGTATTATTTTGGATATCCTAGGGAGATATTGCTCCTGACATCAGAGTGGGCGTACACCCTGTGATATTGTTTGTAATATCCTAGAAAGATGTTGCTCCTAATATCACAGTGGCTGCACACCCTGTGATATTAATTGTAATGTCCTACAGAGATATCACTCTTAATAATACAGTGGGTGTACACCCTGTGATATTTTTCATAATATATTAAGGAGATATGACTCCTGATATCACAGTGAGCGTACACCCTGTTTGTACACCCTGTGATATGATTTGTAACAACTTAGAAAAATATTACAGCTAATATCAAAGTGGGTGTACACCCTGTGATGTTCTTTGTTATCTACTCGGTAGATATTACTCCTAATATCACAGTGAGTGTACAACCTGTGATATTATTTGTAATCACCTAGGGAGATATGATTCCTAATATTACAGTGGGTGTACACTCTGCGATGTTATTTGTAATGTCGTAGGAAGATATTACTCCTAATATCAAAGTGGGTGTACACCATGTGTGTACACTCTGTGATATAATTCGTAATATCCCAGAGAGATATTTCTCCTAATATCACAGTGGGTGTACACTCTGTGATATTATTCGTACTATCCTAGAGAGATATTGCTCCCAGTATCACAGTGGGTGTACACCCTGTGATATTATTCATCATATCCTAGAGACACATTACCTCTAATATCACAGTTTCTGTACACCCTGTGGTATTATTCGTAATATCCCAGGGAGATATTATTCCTAACATCACAGTGTGTGTACATCATGGGTGGACGCCCTGTGATGTTTTTCATCATATCCTAGGGGGATATTACCCTTAATGTCACAGTGGGTGTACACCACGTGTGTACACAGTGAGATGTTACTGGCAATATCCTAGGGAGAAATTATGCCTAAAGTTACACTGGGTGTACACCGTGTGTTTATGTTCTCTGATGCTATTCATAATATCTTAGAAAGTTATTATTCCTAGTGCCACAGTGGGTGTATACCGTGTGTGTACACTCTGTGATGTTATTGGTATTATCCTAGGGAGATGGTTCTCATAACATCACTGTGGGTGTACATCATGTCTGTATTCCCTGTGGTGTTATTGGTTATGTCCTGGGTTGATATTACTCCTAATATCACCATGGGTGCACACCATGGGTGTACATTCTGTGATGTTATTCGTAATATCCTAGGGAGATATCACTCCCTGTGTCATAGTGGGTGTACGGCCTTGTGATATTATTGGTAGTATCCTTGGGACGTATTACTCCTGTTATCACAGTGGGTGTGCACCCTGTGATGGTATTTGTCATATCCTAGGGAGATATTACTGTATACCTTGTGATATTATTTGTGACATTTTAGGGAGCTATTTCTCCTAAAGTCCGAGTGGGTGTACACCCTCTAATATTCTTGCTAATATCACAGTGGGTGTACACGATGAGTGATATTTTTTCTAATATCCAGCGGGGAAGAGGATGATGTTGCTTCCAATATCACAGAAGGTGTACACCCCCCTGTGATACTGTGCTGAATATCCAGGGGAGGAGAGGATGACATTATTCCCAATATCACTGGGGGTGTACCAACTCCCGCCGGGATATTGTTCTTAATTTCTGGAGGTGGAGAGAATGATGTTACTCCCAATATTACAGGGGGTGTACACCACCCCTGTTTGTAAACACCCCCCATGATATTGTTCCAAATGGCCTGTGAAGGAGTAAATATGACTCCCAATATCGCGGGGGGTGTTCAGCCCTGAGGATATTGTTTTCTAACATCCAGGGAAGGAGAGTATGCTATTACTCCCAATATCGCAGGGGTTGTACACCCTTTTGTGTTTCTGTGCCCAATATCCAGGAAAATAGAGGATGATATTACTCCCAATATCGAAGTAATTGTACAGCACCCCTGTGATATTCTTCCTAATATCCAGAAAGGAAAAGAATGATGTCACTCCCAACAGCATAGGAAATGTATACCCGCTCTGCGATATCTTTCCCAATATCCAGGTGGGGAGAGGATCATATTACTTCCAATGTCACAGGGTGTGTACACCCCCTCTGTGATCTCGTTGCTAACATCCAGGTTTGGGGAGGATGACATTACTCCCAATGTCACAGTGGGAGTACACCCCCCACCGTGACCTTGTTAGTCATTTCCTGGGTGGAGAGGATGATATTACTCCCAATATCGCAGGGGGTGTACACACCCCTGGGAAAATCTTCCTCATATCCAGAGGGAGAGAGGATGATATTACTCCCAGTACCGCAGGGGGTTTACACAGCCCTGTGATACTCTTCCTAATATCCACAGGGAGAGAGGATGATATCACTCCCAATATCGCAGGGGGTGTACACAACCCTGTGATATTGTTCCTAATATCCAGAGCGAAAGAGGATGATATGACTCTCAATATCGCAGAGGGTGTACACCCCTCCTGTCCTATTGTTCTGAATACCCTGGGAGGGAGAGGATAAGCTTATGTTGAATATCGCAGGGAATGTACACCCTCCCCCTCTGATACCCTTCCTAATGTCCAGGGGAAGAGAGGAAAATTTTACTCCCAATATCGCAGAGGCAGTACACCCCACCTGTGATGTTGTTCCCAATATGCAAGGGGGGGAGAGGATGATACTACTCCCAATATCGCAGGGCTGTTCACATCCCCAGTGACATTTTTCCTAATATCTAGGGGAGAGACAGTTCTATGACAGCAAAGGTCTCAGGGTCTGTACATCCCTTCCTGATATTGTTCCTAATATCCAGGGGGGGAAGAGGATGATACCAAATATGAAAGGGGGTGTACACCCCCCACCCCTATGATATTGTTCTTAATATTCGTGAGGGGAGATGATGATATTACTCCAAATATCGCAGGAGTTGCTGACACTTCCCTGTGATATTGTTTCTGATATCCGGGGGGGAGAAAATCATATTACTTCCAATATTGCAGGTGGTGTATACCCCACCTGAAATATGGCACCGAATATCCAAAGAGGGAGAGGATGGTATTAATACCAATATCGAAGTGTGTGTACATGCCCCTTGTGATATGGTTTTTAATATCCAGTGGGCGGGAGGATATTAGTCCCCACATCCTAGAGGGTGTACACTACCCCTGTGATATTGTCCCTAACTTCCAGAGGGGAGAGGATGACATCACTCCCAATATCTCAGAAGTTGTACATCCCCCGTGATATTGTTCATCATATCCAGGGAGGCACAGGATGACATTCCATTGAATTTCGCGACAGGCGTACACGTACAGTGTGATATTGTTCCTAATATCCAAGAAGGGAGAGGATGATATTACTCCCAATAAAACAGTGGGTGTACATTGACCCTGTGTTATTGTCTCTAATATCCGGGGCCGGGGGAGGTGGGGAGAGGATAACATTCCCTCAAATTTAGCAGGTAGTTTGATGCCCCTTGTGGTGTTGTTTTAAATATCCAGCGGGGAAGACAATAGTACTATTTTTGAAAGTCCGATTCATCCATTCCACCTTTCCGGAACTCTGAGGCCGGGAGGTGGCAGGCAGTTTCCGTGTGATCCCCAATACCTTTGCCGTCTTCTGTACCAAGGCCGCCAAAAACGCAGGTCCGTTATCTCAGCCGATCCGTAAGGGCAGTCGAAATCTAGGAATCAGATTTCGAAGAAGCACAGGGGTTATCACGAGCTTTCTCAGTTCGTGTTGGATAGGCCTCCACCCACCCAGAGTAGGTACACCCAAGAACTAGTAAATACTTGTTACCTCCCCACTTTGGCATCCCTGTGAAGTCTACCTGGAGATCTTCAAAGGGGGCTGCTCCATAAGCTTGTATGCCGGGCGGAACGGCTGCACCTTGCCTCGCATCATGCTGTCGGCAGGTAACACACCGCTGCCTCACCGTTTTGGCAAGGGCTGACAAATGTGAGATGTAGAAACACTGGCCTAACAACTTTTCCAGTGACTCCTGACCTCGATGGGTGGTTTCTTGTCCAACTACAGCTCCTAGCAACTGTGGCGCAGCTACTCTCCCATCTGGTAACCGAATCCATCCTTCCTCCATCACTTGTCCTTCCCTCTACCTGGAGAAAGTCCTTTTCTTCTTTAGAAGAAGTAGGTCCAAGATCAGGTGCTTGAGGGAGCACTGATGCCCGAAAGGGGGCAGATGCTGCTTTTCGAGCCTCTGAGTCAGCGCGGGAATTCCCCAAACCCAGCAAGGTGGAAGCTCGCTGGTGTCCTCTGCAATGCATAACTGCCACCTTGTGGGGTTTCCACTCTGCTTCTAATCATTGCGAGATTTCTTGTTGATATTTTCTGTCTTTTCCCCCAGAGTTAAATAGGCCTTTTTCTTTCTATCACGCTCCATGCACTTGAAGGGTTAAAAAGACATACCGGGAATCAGTGTAAATGTTGACAGTCTCACCCTCACTGAGTTCTAACGCCCCAAATGAAAGCAATGAGTTCAGCTTTATGGGCTGCGGTGGCCTGGGGCAACGACCTGGTTTCAACAACAGTGTCCAGGGTTACCCCTGCACACCCTGCACCTCTCTCTCCTTGGGGGTTGAAGAAGCTGCTCCCATCCACGTATAGTTCCCAGTCTACTGATGCCCAAGGCTGGTCCCGGAGGTCAGGTCTGCTAGAGTCAATTGAGTCCAACACTTCTACACAATCAGGCTCGACAGGGCTCTCTGATACCGGGAGCAAGGTGGCGGGGTGTAGGGTGTTACAAACTTCAATGGTTATATGGGGATTTTCACAGAGCAAAGTTTGGTACTGGGTGAGTGTGGCATTCGTTAGCCAATGGTGTCCTTTAGTATTCATTAAAGTCACCACAGCACAGGGGGCCTTTATGTTCAGGTTTTGCCCAAGAGTCAGCTTATTTGCTTCTTGTACTAGCAGGGCAGTTGCTGCCAAGGCCCTCAAACAGGGGGGCCATCCTTTAGAAACCCTGTCTAGTTGTTTAGAGACGTAGGCCACCGGCCTCAGCCAGGGCCCCACAGTTTGGGTTAAAAGTCCAGCTGCCATCTTTTCTCTCTCTGACGCATACAATGGAAAAGGCTTTGTCAGATCGGGTAGCCCCAGGGCTGGGGCTGCCAGAAGTTTTTACTTTAACTCATGAAAGACTTGCTGTTGTTGGGATCCCCCTTGCAAAGGTTCCCGGTCCCCGCCCCCTTTGTGATCTCATAGAAAGGCTTGGCTAATACTGCAAAGTTTGGAATCCACAGTCCACAAAACCCCACAGCTCCTAAGAATTCTCTCACCTGCCTTCTGCCCTTAGGCTCTGCTAGATTGCAAATGACCTGCTTTCTTTCTGATCCTGGGCTGCGTTCCCACCCCTGTCAGATAGTAAATCCCAAGTAAGGTACCTGCTTTCGGCAGCTCTGAGCTTTCTTCTTGGACACCTAAAACCCACAGTCCTCCAGGTGGGTCCTAAGGATCTTAGGATCTGCGATGGGGTTCCTAAGCCAGGGGGGGAAGAGGGGCTGGCTCTCAGTCCCCACCCTGCGGTGGGTGCCTCCCCACCCTGTGCTGGGCGTCCTAAGAGCCAGAGGGGGAAGAGGGGCTCGCTCTCACTCCCCGCCTCCCAGGGGGTGCCTCCCCCCGCTGCGATGGGGGTCCTAAGAGCCGGGGGGAAGAGGGGCTGACTTTCAGTCCCCATCGCACGGGGGGTGCCTCACCCTCCTGCGATGGGGGTCCCAAGAGCCGGGGGAAAAGAGTGGCTGGCTCTCAGTCCCCGCTTCGTTGGGGGTGCCTCCCGCCCCCCATGGGGGTCCGAAGAGCCAGGGGGGAAGACGGACTGGCTCTCAGTCCCCGCCTCGTGGGGGCTGCCTCCCCCCTACGACGGGGGTCCTAAGAGCCAGTGGGGGAAGAGGGGCTGGCTCTCAGTCCCGGGCTCGCCGGGGGTGCCTCCCCATCCTGCGATGGGTGTCCTCAGAGCCAGGGGAAAAAAGGGGCTGGCTCTCAGTCCCCGAGCCGCGGGGGGTGCCTCCACCCCCGCGATGGTGGTCCAAAGATCCAGGGAGGGAAGAGGGGCTGGCTGTCAGTCCCTGCCTCACGGGGTTCCTCCCACCCTGCGATGGGGGTCCTGAGAGCCAGGGGGGGAAGAGGGGCTGGCTCTCATTCCCCGCCTTGCATGGGGTGACTCCCCCCCCTGCTATGGAAGTCCTAAGAGGCAGGGGGGGAAGAGGGGCTGGCTCTCAGAACCCGCCTCGCGGGGGTGCCTCTCCCCCCTGCTATGGAAGTCCTAAGAGCCAGCGGGGGAAGAGGGGGTGGCTCTCAGTCCCCGCCACTTGGAGGTTGCCTCCCCCACTGCGATGGGGGTCCTAAGAGCCAGGGAGGGAAGAGGGGGAGAGGATGATAATAATTCCAGCATCACAGGCAGTGTTCACCCAGCCTGTCAAATTGTTATTAATATCCTGAAAGGGAGAGGATGATATTACTCCCCATAATAGACAGATACGGCTCCCCATAATAGAGAACGAGGTGTACACCCACCCTGCAATATTCTTTCCAATATTCAGAGGCCGAGAGGTTGATATTACTCCAAATATCGCAGTAAGTATACACCCCTGTGTGAGATGCTCCTTCATAATATACCAAGGCGGAGGGGGTGATATGACTTCATGTATGGCAGAAAGTGGAAACCCCCAGGGATGTTGTACCCACGATCCTGGAGGGAAGAAGATGATATTACTTTCAATATGACAGAAGGTGGACACGCCCTCACTGATATTGTTTCTAATTTCAGCGTGGGAGAGGAGGATATAACACACGATATCGCAGGGAGTAGAAACACCCCTGTGATACTGTTCTTAATATTCAGGGAGGAAGAGGATGATATTACTCCCAGTACAGACAGGTGTATACCCTCTGTACACCGAGGGTGTACACCCATCTGTGAAACAGTTCATAATCTCCAGAGAGCGAGAGGATATGACTCACAATATGGTAAACAGTCTGTGAGTCCACCTTGGATCCTAAGAGCCAGAGAGGGAAGAGGGGCTGGCTTTCAGTCACCACAGCATGGGGGGCCTTTATGTTCAGGTTTTGCCCAGGAGTCAGCTTCTTTGCTTCTTGTACTAGCAGGGCAGTTGCTGCCAAGGCCCTCAAACGGGGGGCCATCCTTTAGAAACCCTGTCTAGTTGTTTAGAGACGTAGGCCACCGGCCTCGGCCAGGGTCCCACAGTTTGGGTTAAAAGTCCAGCTGCCATCTTTTCTCTCTCTGATGCATACAACGGAAAAGGCTTTGTCAGATCGGGTAGCCCCAGGGCTGGGGCTGCTGGAAGTTTTTCCCTTAACTCATGAAAGACTTGCTGTTGTTGGGATCCCCCTTGCAAAGGTTCCCGGTCCCCGCCCCCTTTGTGACCTCATACAAAGGCTTGGCTAATACTGCAAAGTTTGGGATCCACAGTCTACAAAACCCCACAGCTCTTAAGAATTCTCTCACCTGCCTTCTTCCCTTAGGCTCCGATAGATTGCAAATGACCTGCTTTCTTTCTGATCCTGGGCTGCGTTCAGACCCCTGTGGGATAGTAAATCCCAAGTAAGGTACTTGCCTTCCGCAGATCTGAGCTTTCTTCTTAGACACCTAATACCCACAGTCCTCCAGGTGGGTCCTAAGGATCTTAGAATCCGCGATGGGGGTCCTAAGCCAGGGGGGGAAGAGGCACTGGCTCTCATTCCCCGCCTCACCGGGGGTGCCTCCACCCCCTTCGATGGGGGTCCCAAGAGCCAGGGGGGGAAGAGAGGCTGGCTCTCAGTTCCTGCCTCGCTGAGGGTGCCTCCCCTACCTGCGATGAGGGTCCCAAAGCCAGGGGGGGAATAGGGGCTGGTTCTCAGTCCCCGCCTCCCGGGGGGTGCCTCCCCCCGCTGTGATGGGGGTCCTAAGAGCCAGGGGGGGAAGAGGGGCTGGCTCTCAGTCCCCTCCTCCTGGGGGATGCCTCCCGCCAATGCGATGGGGGTCGGAAGAGCAAGGGGCGGGAAGAGGGGCTGGCTCTTAGTCCCCGCCTCATGGGGGGTGGCTCCCCCCCTCCGATGGGGGTCCTAAAAGCCAGGGGGAAAATTGGCTGGCTCTCAGTCCCCGCTCACGGAGGGTGCCATCCCCCCTGCGATGGGGGTCCCAAGAGCCAGTGTGGGGGAACAGCGGCTGCCTCTCAGTCCCCGCCTCGCGGGGGTGCCTCCCCCCCGCAATTTGGGTCCTAAGAGCCAGGGGGGAAAGAGGTGCTTGCTCTCAGTCCCCGCCTCGCGGGGGGTGCTTCCTCCCCTGCGTTTGGTGTCCTAAGAGCCAGGGGGGGAAGAGGGGCTGGCTCTCAGTCCCCACCTCGCGGGGGGTGACTCTCCGCCCTGCGATGGGCGTCCCAAGAGCCAGGAGGGGAAGAGTGGCTGGCTCTCAGTCCCCGCCTGGCGGGGGGTGCCTCCCTCCCTTGCAATGGGGATCCTAAGAGCCAGGCTGGGGGAAGAGGGATTGGTTCTCAGTCCCCGCCTCGTGGGGAGTGCCGCCTCCTCTCCCTGCGATGGGGTCCTAAGTGGCAGGGAGGGAAGAGGGGCTGGCTCTCTTTCCCCGCCTCGCGTGTGGTGCCTCCCCCCCCCACGTTGGGGGTCCTAAGACCCAGGAGGGGAAGAGTGGCTGGCTCTCAATCCCCGCCTCGCGGGGGGTGCCTCCCCCCACTGCGATGGGGGTCCCAAAAGCCGGGGGGGAAGAAGGGCTGGCTCTCAGTCCCTGCCTCGCGGGGGGTGTTCCCCCCTCTGTGATTGGGGTCCTAAGAGCCATGGAGGGAAGAGGGGCTGGCTCTCAGTCCCCGCCTCGCGGGGGGTGCCTCACCCCCTTGCAATGGGGGTCCTAAGAGCCAGGGGGGGATAGAGGCGGAGAGGATAATAATTCCAGCATCGCAGGCTGTTCACCCAGCCTGTGAATTTGTTATTAATATCCTGAAAGGGAGAGGATGATATTACTCCCCATAATAGACAGATATGACTCCCCATAATAGAGCACGAGGTGTACACCCACCCTGTGATATTCTTCCCAATATTCAAAGGCCGAGAGGTTGATATTACTCCAAATATCACCGTAAGTATACACCCCGGTGTGAGATGCTCCTTCATAATATTCCAAGGCGGAGGGGGTGATATGACTTCATGTATGGCAGAAAGTGGAAACCCCCAGGGATGTTGTTCCCACGATCCTGGAGGGAAGAAGATGATATTACTTTCAATATGACAGAAGGTGGACACGCCCTCACTGATATTGTTTCTAATTGCAACGTGGGAGAGGAGGATATGACACGCGATATCGCAGGGAGTAGAAAAACCCCTGTTATACTGTTCTTAATATTCAGGGAGGAAGAGGATGATATTACTCCCAGTACAGACGGGTGTACATCCGTCTGTGAAACAGTTCATAATCTCCAGAGGGGGAGATGATATTACTCACAATATGGTAAACAGGCTGTGAGTCCACCGCAGATCCTGAGAGCTGGTGGTGGAGTGGGTGTGTGGGGCTGGCTCTCAGTCACCACAGCATGGGGGGCCTTTATGTTCAGGTTTTGCCCAAGAGTCAGCTTATTTGCTTCTTGTACTAGCAGGGCAGTTGCTGCCAAGGCCCTAAAACAGGGGGGCAATCCTTTAGAAACCCTGTCTAGTTGTTTAGAGACGTAGGCCACCGGCCTCAGCCAGGGCCCCACAGTTTGGGTTAAAAGTCCAGCTGCCATCTTTTCTCTCTCTGATGCATACAATGGAAAAGGCTGTGTCAGATCGGGTAGCCCCAGGGCTGGGGCTGCCAGAAGTTTTTCCTTTAACTCATGAAAGACTTGCTGTTGTTGGGATCCCCATTCCAAAGGTTCCTGGTCCCCGCCCCCTTTGTGACCTCATAGAAAGGCTTGGCTAATACTGCAAAGTTTGGGATCCACAGTCTAGAAAACCCCACAGCTCCTAAGAATTCTCTCACCTGCCTTCTGCCCTTAGGCTCCGATAGATTGCAAATGACCTGCTTTCTTTCTGATCCCGGGCTGCTGAGTTCGGACCCCTGTTGGATAGTAAATCCCAAGTAAGGTACCTGCCTTCGGCAGCTCTGAGATTTCTTCTTGGACACCTAATACCCACAGTCCTCCAGGTGGGTCCAAAGGATCTTAGGATCCGCGATGGGCGTCCTGAGCAAGGGGGGGAAGAGGGGCTGGCTCTCAGTCCCTGCCTCGCGGGGGGTATCTCTCCCCGCTGCGATGGGGGTCCTAAGAGCCACAGGGGGAAGAGGGGCTGGCTCGCAGTCCCCGCCTCCTGGGGGGTTCCTCCCCCCACCGCGATGGAGGTCTCAAGAGCCAGGGGGGGAAGAGGTACTGGCTCTCAGTCCCCGCCTCACAGGGGGATGCCTTCCCCCCGTACTATGGGGGTCCTAAGAGCCAGGGGGGAAAGAGGGGCTGGCTCTCTGTCCCCGCCTCACGGGGGATGCCTCCTCCCCTGCGATGGGGGTCCTAAGGGCCAGGTGGGGAAGAGGGGCTGGCTCTCAGTCCCCGCCTCACTGGGGGTGCCTCCCCCCACTGCGATGAGGTCCTGAGATCCAGGTGGGAAGAGGGGGAGAGAATGATAGTAATTCCAGCATCGCAGGCTGTGTTCACCCAGCCTGTGAAATTGTTATTAATATCCTGAAAGGGAGAGGATGATATTACTCCCCATAATAGGCAGATATGACTCCCCATAATAGAGCACGATGTGTACACCCACGCTGTGATATTCTTCCTAATATTCAGAGGCCGAGAGGTTGATATTACTCCCAATATGGCAGTAAGTATTCACCCCCGTGTGAGATGGTCCTTAATAATATTCCAAGGCAGAGGGGGTGATATGACTACATGTATGGCAGAAAGTGGAAACCCCCCAGGGATATTTTTCCCACGATCCTGGAGGGAAGAAGATGATATTACTTTCAATATGACAGAAGGTGGACTCGCCCCCACTGATATTGTTTCTAATTGCAACGTGGGAGAGGAGGATATGACACGCGATATCGCAGGGAGTAGAAACACCCTTGTGATACTGTTCTTAATATTCAGGGAGGAAGAGGATGATATTACTCCCAGTACAGACGGGTGTACACCCTCTGTACACCGAGTGTGTACACCCGTCTGTGAAACAGTTCATAATCTCCAGAGGGGGAGATGATATTACTCACAATATGGTAAACAGGCTGTGAGTCCACCGTGGATCCTAAGAGCCAGGCGGGGAAGAGGGGCTGGCTCTCAGTCACCACAGCATGGGGGGCCTTTATGTTCAGGTTTTGCCCAAGAGTCAGCTTATTTGCTTCTCGTACTAGCAGGGCAGTTGCTGCCAAGGCCCTCAAACGGGGGGCCATCCTTTAGAAACCCCGTCTAGTTGTTTAGAGAGGTAGGCCACTGGCCTCAGCTAGGGCCCCACAGTTTGGGTTAAAAGTCCAGCTGCCATCTTTTCTCTCTGTGACGCATACAATGGAAAAGGCTTTGTCAGATCCGGTAGCCCCAGGGCTGGGGCTGCCAGAAGTTTTTCCTTTAACTGATGAAAGACTTGCTGTTGTTGGGATCCCCATTCCAAAGGTTCCCGGTCCCAGCCCCCTTTGTGACCTCATGCAAAGGCTTGGCTAGTACTGCAAAGTTTGGGATCCACAGTCTACAAAACCCCACAGCTCCTAAGAAGTCTCTCGCCTGACTTCTGCTCTTAGACTCCGCTAGATTGCAAATGACCTGCTTCTTTCTGATCCTGGGCTGCGTTCCGACCCCTGTGGGATAGTAAATCACAAGTAAGGTACCTGCTGTCGGCAGATCTGAGCTTTCTTCTTGGACGCCTTATACCCACAGTCCTCCAGGTGCTGGTGTAGGGCATCTGTTCCCTTGGGACACCCGACTGCAATGGGGTGTCCCAGCAGAAGGTCATCAACCTACTGGAGCAACACGCAGCCTAGGTCTCTGGTGGGAAACTTCTGATGGTCTCGAGCCAACGCCTTCCCGAAGATGGTGGGGGAGTTCTTGAACCCTTGGGGAAGCCCGGTCCAAGTGTACTGAGTAGTGACACCTGACTCCGGATCTTCCCACTGAAAGGCAAACAGCTTCTGCCTCTCAGGGGATAATCTGATAGGAAAGAAAGCGTCTTTCAGGTCCAAGCAGGTGAACCAGCTGTCCTCAGCTGGCAGCAAACCCAACAATGTGGACGGGTTAGGTACTGTTGGATGTAAAGTCAGTGTAGCTTGATTAAGCAAGCACAAATCCTGTACTGGCCGGTAGTCCTTGGTCCGTGGCTTGGGAACAAGCAGGAGGGGAGTGTTCCATGGCGACTGACAAGGAACAATAATTCCAAAAGTTGTTAGGTGCTTGAGACGGACCTGGATACCTTGAAGAGCTTCTCTGGGGACCCGGTCCTGTTTTTGCCTAACCGGCTGGGCCGCAGTCTTAACTGGCCAATCCCAGAGGGTTGTCTTCCGCCCGGACCCTTGGCCACCGCTTGGCCAGAGCTTGTCTTCTCTCTTGGCCCAGCTCAGTTCAGAAAAGTCTCCATTCCTCCTCTCGGGGGACCGTAAGGGTCATAATGACTCCTGTTCTGGGTAACTTTAGCAGCAAAGAGCCGTGCTCTGTCAAAGAGGTAGTGGCTCTCAGCTTGCTGAGCAAGTCCCTTCCCAAAAAGGGCAAGGGACAGTCAGGCATGTACCAAAACTGATGAATGACTTGATGTCCTCCTACAGTACAAGTCCGAGGCAAGCAGAAAGCTTGCTTTGCTGAAACCCCCATGGCTCCGGTGATGTCAAGAGCCTTTTTGGATAAGGGGGTGACCGGGGCGGTTACTAGCGAATGTTCAGCACCGCTGTCTACAAGAAAATCAATGTCTCTACCCCGACCATCATTCTGACCAGGGGGTCTTTGGGGACACTTGAGCCCGGTCTCCCCTCAGTCCAATAACCCTTCTGCCAGGTTGAGCCGGGCCCCTTCCTCCTTGTCCGGGGCCTCCTGCTCTGAGTCACCTTGTTTTCTTTTGAGCTGAGGGCATTTGTTCTTCCACTGTCCTATTTCTTTCCAATAAGCACACTGGTTACGCTGCAAACCCTGACAGCCAAGCTGAGTTTCTTTCCCAGGGCCCCCCTTCCCTTGCTTCTTTGGGGGGACCCCTCTGATTGCTGCAGCTAACAAACAGGTCAGCATTTCGCCAGGCCTGACGTTCATTCTCTTTGCGCTTTTCCTCGCGGCTTACTGCATCCCTGTTTACAAACACCTGCTTAGCTATTTCTCATCATTGTGATGTATTCATCCCTGCAAGCCCAGCCTGCTTCTGCAGTTTTCTTCTAACGTGTTCCGCGCTTTGACGGACTAAAGCCATGTGAATCATGTGCTGATTTTCAGGGTTATCGGGATCAAGGGGAGTATACATACCTTAGGCCTCACACAGTCTCTGGTAGAATTGTGCTGGACTTCTTTTCCCTGAATGACCTCAGAGACCTTGTTAACGTTTGTGGCCTTTTGAGCTCCCGTCTTTAATGCTTCCAAGAGAGCTTCCCGGTCTCAGTTTAGCCTTTGCATATCCTCTCTTTCACGTGGGTCCAACAGGTGTTCGGTTCCTGGTAACTGAGTCCTTCCATACTCTTGGGGGTTTTGATAATCAGCTGGTCTGGTGCATGTTCCTCTAGCCACTTAGTTGCTGCGTGGAGCCCTCTCCGCCTTTTGCCTTTCATCTCTGTTAAAGAGGAACATGAGCAACCGATGGCAATCAACCCAGGTGTGGTTGTGGGTCTGGATAACAGTCTGGAGCAAATCAATTAGGGCTTGCGGCTTTTCGCTGTAGGATGGGGTATTGTTTTCCCAGTTGAGAAGGTCAGCAGAGGTGAAGGGCTGGTACACAAAAACATGCCTCTCCACCACCTGACCATCCTCCTTTATCCCAGTATACCGCTGGTCTCTCAGTGGCATTTGGATCCCCGTTTTGCATCGTAAACGAGCAGCCGAGGGAGGGGTGGAATGGCGCAATGTGACTTACCGCAATTAATAATCTCAATTATTAATTAACACTTCTAATTATCAATATTAATAACTGATCATGTAATTGTTAAAATCAATACCGATAATAATGATAATTCATATTAAAGAGTTATACTAACGATAACAATAAATGATTAATATTAATGATGCCTGGTATTAATAAGTGATATTGATCTTATTCATTAGAAAACAGTAATATTAGCTTGTAATAATTAATATTAATATTAATAATCTGAACACTATTAGCAATGATTTCTTAATATTAATATTAATATTGGTAATACATATTCATGTTTATATTAAATGAGGAAGAATTAATATGAATATTATGCCTAATACCTCAGTGGGTGTACACCCACCTATGATATTGTTCCTAATGTCCAGAGAGGGAGAGAGCATGATATTACGTTCAATATCGCAGCAGGTGTACACCCACCCAGTGATATTGATCCGAATATCATCTCCAGAGGATGGCGTATGACGTTACTCCCAAGATAGCAGTGGGTGTGCATCCACCTGGTGATATTCCTCCTCATATTCCTGGAAGAAGAGAATGCTGTTACTCCCAGGATCACAGGAAGTGTACACCCCTTTTGTGACATTGTTCCTAATATCCGGAGGGGGAGAGGGTGATATTACTCGAAATATCGCAGGCTGTGTACACCCACCTTCTGATATTGTTCCTAGTATTCAGGAAGGGAGAGGACGATATGACTCCCCAAACAGCAGGGGGTGTACACCCATCCTGGGATATTCTTCCTAATATCCATGGAGAGGAGAGGCTGATAAGACTCCCAATATGGCAGGGGGTGTACATCCAGTCTGTGATATTGTTCTTAATATTCAAAGGCGGAGAGGTTGATATTACTCCCAATATCACAGAAAGTGTACAAACCCGTGTAATATTGTTCCTACTATCCAGAAGAAAAGAGGATGATATTACCCCCATGTCGCAGGAGGTGTACACCCACACTGTGATATTTTTTGTAATGTGCAGGGCGGGGGAGGATAATATTCTTAATAGCACAGGGTGTGTACAGCCCCCCTGTGATATGGTCCTTAATATTACAAGGGGGAGAGGATGACCCTACTCCCAATAGCGCAGAAAGTGTACACCACCCCAGGGATATTGTTCCCATGATCCAGGAGAGAAGAGGATGATGTTACTTTCAATATCGCATGGGGTGGACACGCCCCCAGTGATACTGTTCCTAATTTCAACGTGGGAGAGGACGATACTACACCCAATGCTGCTGGGGGTGGAAACACTCCCGTGATATTGTTCTTAATATCCAGGGGCAAGAGGATGCTATTACTGCAAAGAGTACAGAGGATGTACACCCGTCTATAATATAGTTGGTGATTTCCAGAGGCTGAGAAGATATTACTGACAATCCCGTCAACATGCTGTGTGACCACCGTGGATTGTAATATCCAGGTGGGGAGAGGGGGGTGATATTACTCCCCGCATCGCGGGAGGCGCCCGCCCCCCTGCGATGTGGATCGTAATATCCAGGTGGGGAGAGGGGGGGTGATATTACTCCCGGATTTTTCCTAGGATCTTTTGTCTACTACCACCCTTGTTTCACACCCTGGGACATTATTTTCCATATTCTAGCAACATGCCGCTACTAAAGTCACCGGGGTATACACCCTGCGATATTATTCGTAATATTGTAGGGGAATGTTATTCATGTTGTCACAGGACTCTACACACTTGAGATGTTATTCACAGTATATCCTAGCGGGACATTAATAATAATATCACAATGTGTGTACACCTTGTGGTCTTATTCTCCTAAGGGGAGGTTACTTTTATTGTCACACGGGGCAGGTTCCGTTTGATATTATTCATAATATCCTAGAGGGATGTCACCTCTTATGTCACAGGGTTTGTACACCTTGTCAAATTACTCGTATGATCCTTGTAAGATGTGACTCCTCGTATCACAGAGGGTGTACACTCTGTGATATTATCGTCATATTCTAGGGAAATGTGACTCTTAATGTCACAGAGGTTGTACACCTTGTGAAATTATTCGTTATAATTTTGTGGGATGTCACCCCTAATGTCACACGGGGTGGACACACAGTGATGTTACGTGCAATGTTCTATAGAAATGTTACTCGTAATTCACAGGTCCTGTACACCCTTTAATATTCTTCATAATATTCCAGGAAAACGTTACTGCTAATGTCACAGGACGTGTAGACCCTGCCATCAAATTCGTAATATCCTAGCGGGACTTCACTAGTCATTTCACAATGCGTGTGCACCCTTTGATATTATTCGTATTGTCCTGAAGAGATGTTACTACTGATGTCCCAATGCAGGTACATTCTCTGACATTATTCGTTATATCCTCGGGGGATGTTACTTCTAATGTCACACGGGGTGTACACAGAGTCACACAGTGATAGGAGTTGTAATATTCTACAGACATGTTACTCATAAATCACCAGGGCTCTACATCCTGGGATATTATTCATAATATTCTAGGGGAATGTTGCTACTATTGTCAAGGGGATGTATACCCTGTGATATGAATCGTCATATCCTGGCGGGATGTTACTACTAATGTCACAATGCCTGTACACCCTGTGATATTGTTTGTGATATCCTAAAGAGATGTTACTAGGAAGGTCACAATGCATGTACACCCTCTGATATGATTCATTATATCCTCGGGGGTGTTACTCCTAATGTCACACGGCATGTACTCCCTGTCATATTAGTCGTAATATCCAAGGGGGATGTTATTTTTATTGTCACCGGGGGTGTATGACATACGTATTCAACGCCTGTGATACTATTCCTAATATCCTAGGGGCATGCTCTCCCTAATGTCACATGGGGTGTACACCATGTGTGGACACCTGCTGTGATATTATTGGTAATATCCAAGGGGAATGTTACTCCTGATGACACAGGTGGTGTACATCATGTGTGTACACCGCCTGTGTTATTATTCATAATATCCTAGGGGGATGTTTCTTTGAATGTCACAGAGTGTTCAAAATGTCACAGAAGGTGTACACCTTGTGACGTGATCTGTAAGGTCGGCAGAGGTGAAAGGCTGGTACACAAAAACACCCCTCTCCGCCACATGACCATCCTCATATATCCCAGTATACCGCTGCTCTCTCAGGGCCAGTTGTATCCTCGTTTTGGGTCATAAACGAGCTGCCAAGGGAGGGGTTTCTTCCGAGTCTTCACCTCCTCTCTTGTCTACTCTGGGGGGCCTAGGGATATGCTTGTCTTGCGGAGGTGCAAGCACTGTGGACTCAAGAGTGGGAAGCCTCTTTCCCTGGTAAGGGGAGCGGATCAAAAACAAGAAATTAATGCCAGGACAACACTATTCAGTAAACTACAGAATGTGTTCAGATGTCACCAGTTTTTCCACTCATGTCCTTCTTCTTTCCCCAAATCCCACATTACATTGAGTCCCATGTCCCCCGTTCTCCTCCGATCTGTGACAGTTCCTCAACCTGTACTTGTCCTTTTATGACCCTGAGAGTCTTGAAGAGTACAGGTCAGGCATTTGATAGAATGTCCCTTAGTTTGGGTTTGTCATGTTTTCTCATGCTTTGATAGATTGAGATTATGGATCTTGGGGAAGAATGCCATGGTGGTGATGTGCTCTTCTCTGCTCAAAATACTGCGGGTATGTGCTATTGGCACATCTGTTGCTGGTGATGTTAGCCTTGATCATGTGATTGGATGGCATCTGCTTTCCCCACTCAAAGTTGCTATTTTCCCTTTTGTAAATAATACATATTTTGGGGAAAGTTCTTTCTTCTTATCCCTTTTCTTCTTAGTATCCTATATCTTGTCAAACTTTTGTCCACTAATTATAGTATTGTTTGGTGAATCTTGCAGCAATTATTGCTGTACTGCTCTGATAAAGTTTGTCTACTTTCCTTATTCTGTCTCTATTTGTTAACTGGAATTCTTCTGTTCTCCCTTACTTGTTATTTATTCAATCACTTTTTTATGTTAGCATTGACTTATGGTTATTTTATTCTTTGGGTTATAAAAAATGTTTTTGTTACTTATTTTGTTGCTCAGTTTTGTTCCAACTTTGGCCACTGGGAGCTCTTTTAGGTTGGCTCCTGTGTCCTTTTACATGATGTATTCCTTTTATAGTTTAAAAAATACAACAGAGTACAAATAATTAAAATTGTTGTCCACCGCTTTTTATTTTGTTGTTTCATTTGAATGAGAGAGTATGCTGAGACTAGCCAAGGAGCAAGTGAGATTCATTTGGGGTACGTAAACAAATCTTTAAAAGAGTTCCTCCCTCCCTTCCTTCCTTTTTCCCTTTCTTCTTTCCTCTCTTCCTCCTTCCTTCCCTTCCTCCCTTTCCTTCCCTCCCTCCCTCCCACTCTCTTTCTCTCTCTGTATGCACAATTCTTTTTGGCATATGAGGCTGAATGGTTGTAAAACGTAGAATCAGGAATCTACCTAGGTTGTGAAAATAACATGAATAACATGTGGAACTGTTTCTTTTTTTTCGATCACAAAGAATAACAAGAACTTCATATTGTGAAAGAGACTCATGAAATCCCTGAACTTGAGTGCTGCCCAAACTTCACTTGGGGAGAAAATTACAAATAAATTCCAGAATATTGATTTGTCTGATTTTTCAGTGAAAGGCTGAAAAGATGCCTAAGGTTAATTCATCCCTAATAAAGGAAAATTGTACTCACTGCTTGTTTATGCATGCTGCAGTGAAAAAGAAACTGTTCCTAAGCCCTGGAGAGCACCCCTTAAGTTGATGATGTCTTTGAAGCATAGTTGAAATTCTTTGAAGTAATGAGATTAATGAGGAAAAAAAAGAGAAATAATGGATGTCTGCTGATGCTATTTCATTAATGTTAGATTTGCAGTAAACATTTAAGACAATAATCCAAGAGAGATGAATCATTTTATGATGTCACATTGCTGCCAAGCATTGCAGTGAAAAACTCCATAAGAGCATCTCAGCCTAGCTATCCAGAGAGCCAACCTGTGAAAAATAGTGTCTTAAAACATCAGCCTGTTTGCCTTTTTTGTGTGTGAAGATTTGAATGCTGATCTTAGAATACTCAGGTTCATTTCTTGCTACAGGGAAATTAACCTGGCTGGAATTAATGAAGGCCACAGTGGTTGTGTTTGTGGAATACCCAGGGAAAGAGCTTTACAAGTTTTTAATAATGTTAACTCTCCATATAGCTGGGTGTAGCAGATTCTCTCGGTGCTTCACCTGGAGACCCTGGGTCTTTTAATTAGTTAATTTAATTTTTTTTAAAAATTGAAAATTAATTTCTGTAAGGAGGTGGGGTCTTGTTATGTTGCCCAGGCTGGAGTGAGAGCCTGGGTCTTTTTACTGGTTGGATGCTTTCATCCAGCTCCCTCCGTGGGTGGGTACTAAGGGATTCTCAGGTGTAATGCGCTGAGATATTGTGAAATATTAACTTGGTCTTCATTCCCGTTTCCTGGCATACAACTCCTGGAGTCCTTGGGATCACCAAAGTGCTGTCTTTTATGTGTCTTTTGTCTGATAGGTTCAGGGTGGGGCTGGTTACCAGAGTGGCCGAGGCAGAATCAGAGGGTTGGGACTTTTAGCCCCAGGAGGGGAGAGGGGCTGAAGGTCAAGTTGATCCCCAGTGGCCAATGGCTTAATCAATCATGCCTGTGTAATGAAGCCTCCATAAGAAGAAAAGAGGACAAAGTTCGAGAGCTTTTGGATCTCTGAACACGTGGTGATTCCTGGAGGGTGGCCTGCCCAGGTGTCAGAGGCTTTGGAACCAGAGTGACTCCATCAAATGGGTGAGACTGGAATTGGAGGGACTGGTTTTTCAAGATACAGGCCACAAAGACCCTGCTGATAAAATAAAGTGCGGTAAAGAAGCCAGCCAAAATGCACTAAAACCAAGATGGTGACAAAAGTGACCTCTGATTGTCCTCATTGTTCATTATACGCTAATTATAATGCATTAGGATGCTAAAAGACATGCCCACCAGCACCATGACAGTTTATGAATGGCATGGCAATGTCCAGAAGTTACCTATATGGTCTAAAATGGGAGGAACCCTCAGTTCCAGGAATACACTACCCCTTTCCTGCAAAACTCATGAACAATCCACTCCTTGTTTGTTATATAATCAAGAAATAACCATAAGTCTATTCAGTCCAGCAGCCCATGCTGCTGCTCTGCCAATGGAGTAGCCACCCCTTTACCCCTTTACTTTCTTAAAAAACTTGCTTTCACTTTACTGTGTCATCTTGCTCTTGAATTTCTGTGTGAAGCAGAGAACGTGCGTGGACTCCCAGCCTGAACTCCAATTTTGGGATTCACCCTGTGGCATGGGAGGGCATGGAAGCTCTGCACCCTACAAGTCTCTTCATCAGTATCATCTGTAGTGTCCTTTGTGGTAAACTGGTAAATGTGGTTCCCTGAGTTCTGTGGGCTGCTCCAGCAAATGAGTCAAACCCAAAGAGGGGCTTTTGGGAGGCCAACTTGAAGCAGGTTGGTCAGGAGTTCCAGAGTCCTGGACTTGCAACTGGTGTCCGGAGTGGTGTGGTCTTGGGGACTGAGTATTCAACCTGTGGGATCTGACGTTATGCCCGGGTAAATCGTGTTGGAATTGAATTGGAGGACATCCAGCTAGCATCTGCTGCTTGGTGGTGGGCGAAACCCCTGCCCCCTGCCTACATTTGGTCACAGATGTCATCTTCTGTGTTGATGATTGTTGCGGTGGTATGAGAGCAGAGGAAAAACATGGTTTGGGAGAGTTTTTCCCAACACACGCACCTTCCAGAAATGGTGCCCTGGCTGGGCTCTTCCCCCTTCCTTGTTTTTCTTCCCTCACACCTTACAGGTTTCTCCTTCATAAACCCCTTGTGGGTGTTTCTTCCCTGACGGTCTGCATCTCAGGAGCCCAGCCTAAGATACTTGGTGTACTTAGCAGATACATTTGAACTTTTGAATATATTGATTGTGAAACTTCAAGAAATAAATATCCATCTTGTTTCTCAGCATTGCTTACATCAGGAAATTATAGCCCACATTTATCTAAAAATACATTATATTAGTGCTAAACGTTTCTTTTTAGTGTTTAGATTTGGTGGTCTTGCTCTTAAGGAGAAAAAAAGTAAAAAGCAGTTTCTTCTAATATGTCTGCAAAATGAATTTAAGAAATCCATATTTTTCTGATATTTTGTCTGAAAAGCACATTTGAAACTCCATAAGGAAACCCTTTCTCACATGTTCAGTCTTTGCCAGATCTCTCAGAGGTGTTTTGGGAGCTCAAGCTTGAGTCTAAGACAACTTAATCAAGTGGGCTTTCAAGGTTTTTGGGAGTAAATAATCTCCTTGATCCTCTGAACACAAGTAAACATGTAGTGAACATCATTTCTCATTTTTATCAACATTAAAAAAAGCTGGCAACAACTTTGATGTTGAAAATGATCTTCATTGTGTTCTAATGGCCACTTTGACCAGGAAAGAGGAACCAGGGCAGACAAGCAGATTGAGACCTTGTGACTAAAATAAAGATTCTATTTTTAGGGAAAATGAACTATTTTCATCTAACATTGCCACAGCCTTGCTTTGTTTTGAGTAATGATATTTAATTTGTTAAGACGTTTGAAGTGACATGAAAGGCATGTTTTGTGTGTTTGGCTTTTGCGTTGGTGAACGGGGGGGACTTTGGGTTGCAGAAGGTTTTGAGGGCTCCCTTAGTGACCTCTGTGGTCTTTCCCTACAATGACATTCATTGAAAACAAGATTTACTTATTTTTTCTTAACTAAGACTTGAGTCTGAGTCAGACTACCTTTTCTTCCAAATAAGGATGTTGTGGAAGTTGCATTAAATTTTGAGTTTCGGGTCCAAACACTGAGGGACAGAGACTGCAGAATGAACCTCTCCCTGTGTCAACAGACTATGCTAATTAACATGGTTGTCTTTGGCTGATCTGCGAAAATTAAAAGATGACCGAGGGTCCTCTTTAGCTGGACATTCTCCCTCTCTACCTCCTTCCTTGCTTCTCCTTTCTTCTCTCTTCCCCTTCTACCCTGTTTTCTTCTTTATCTTCCTTTTCTTCCAATTCATTTCTTTCATCCATTTTCCTTTTTTTTCTTCCTTTTCTCTTTTTCTTCTTTCTTTCACGGCAACTGAAATATACCCATCCCAAAATAATTGCAGTCAACATGTCACCTTTTTTAATAATAAATATTCTACAACATTGACACAAAAGGACTCCTGCAGTTAAACATGAAGCAGAAAATTCGGTGGAAAAGAAGTGGGTGTAGACAGCAGGGATTGTTCTTGTGTGAGGGTGATTCTTAAGGAAGGCATTTTTAAGGGAGGGGTCTGCAGGGGCCAGATGCCAGAGAGAATTAAAGCTCCATGCCTTGGATGAGGATTCAAATCCAGAAATAACTTGCAGGAATCGGGAGATGCCTTTCTTGAGAAACGTTTGAGCTGGGTTGGTGTTGATCTTAATGACCTGTTTAGGTTGTCTTCTGTATGCCTTAATTTGCTTTTTTGTTAAGTGGGAGCAAGGATTGTGATTCCTTTCCATAGATGAGAGATATTGTGAGGGCCAAGGGCCCGTTGGAAGGCAGCATGGTGAGGATGTCAAAGCACCGAGCTGGGAGCCGGATCTGGGCCTTAGACCCAGCTCTGCTGTCCTCCAGGTTTGTAATCTTCACTGTGTACATAGCTTCTGAAGATCTTTTCCTCATCCATGAAATGAGATGGTCGAGTTTCTCAAAATGGGGTGCATTTTCTTGGTTCAAAGCTGTTTTGTGCCCCCCTACACTTTTGGATACATGCTTTTTAAAGGCATAAATGTGGTAAAAAAAAATTGCTCAGAAATTTTGTTGAAAGAGCAGATGGATAAATGAATGCTCCAAATTGGGGCCTCCAAGCATGACTGTGTGGGCTGTGGGGCTGTGCTATACACAGCGCCAAGGGAAAGGGGGACATGCTTCATGAAGATGGCGATGGCATTCCTGCCCCATGGATCTGTGGCAGATGGCTGCCTGATCCCAATGGACAAGGATTCAATGACCTGAAGTTGCTGAGAAGAACACGAGGCTCTTGAAAGATGTAACATCCCCTGTATCCTTCTATCAAGGGTCGTTTTCTAGGAGCTTCGAAACAATCCACTTGGGCTCCCCGTCTTCCTCTCTCCCTAGAGAAACACAGGTCTGTGCACACTTTCTGGGTTTGCAGCAGCCTTGGGGGTCCAGGACCTGCTAAGAGGACTTGGCAGGGCACCTGGGTCAGCAGAAACCTCGTGTTGACATGGGCCGGGAGAGAAATAACCTGGGTCTCCCAGCACTTCCCTTAGAAGCTATATTGTGTAAGTTAACAAGCCAAAGAATCCCTCACTGTCTAACCAAGGAAAATATTTTTATCTTACTCAGAAAGCAGTTCCCTCCTTTGTGCAGTGCAGCTAGAAGAAAACAACATTGTCTTGGGACACGCATCATTACTAAGAATTTTTCCGTAAATTTATCTGTGTGCCTTCTACAGTTACCTGTGTGTCCCCTGTGGTACCTATGGAAACCAGTTGTTGGGAAATCCTTGTTAAGGTAAGAGCGTCTATGGACCAGTGTGTCCCAATAGCTTTGGATGGGGGAGGCTGAGTTAGTTAATCAATTAACACATTCCTAGCACCCCCTGGTGGACATTGCTGGTCTAACTGACCTTGGAATTCCTGGACTTGCCTGGGCTGGAGATATCACACCCAGCCAGACACCCCCCACCCCGCCCCACTGCTGTGGCCCCCACCTGACCCCGACTGCCAACCACGCCTTCTTAATTTTCTCTGTGTTTTTCTGTCGCTTTGTGTTTGTTTCTCACAAAGCCCTGATGAAACTATCAGGGAACAAAGGACGAGAGACAGGGGTCTGAATCCAGAGTAAAGAGTTTCAGTTCCAGGCACTTCCTTGGGCTCAGCCCATGCATTGCTGTTCTCTGTATGTCAGACAGGAGGGGGTAGGTGAATTCCAAGGCTCCTTGTAGCAGAATAATGCAGTGTGGTAGAGCCTGGGCTTTGGGGTCGGTCAGACATCTGAGATGTTGGTTTATATCTGAGCTTAGTACTTGAGGCAAGTTACCTCAGTGCCACGAACTTTAGCTTTATGAGCTGTAAAATGGGGATAATAATGATAATAGCTGTCCCTGGATTTATGGTGGAGATCAAATGGGAGCAGGCATGCAAAGCCCAGCTCAGCATGGCACGTTAATTATCAGGCTCAGCTCATGGCAGTGGCTGTTTTTATTAATGCCACTGTGATCTTCCAATGATTTGATCCGGGAGATGCCTGCTGAAGAGAGCAAATCAATCTCTACACGATAGTAGGAATAGTAGCATCGATATGGCCTTGGTACTTATTTTGCATTTGGAAAAATTCCAAAATGCTTCATTCATCTCAGGTTTTTAGTGGGTAATTTGTCCCAAGTCAGTACCACTGGAGCCTGGAGCCATCTTCAGCCACGTGGGTGTCATCACATCCCTGTCTGCGAGTGCAGATTTGGGATGAAGACCAGAGTCAATAAGGTAGGAAATGACATCTGCCTAAGTGGCCCTGTTGGAGCCTGGGGAAAGCAGGGCTGTGTAGGTAATGATGTTCTCTGATGTTTCACAGCTGTAACTCTGTTCCTTGTTCCTGAGTAGGGCCAGGCTTTTCTGGTCTAGGTGCTCAGCCTTCTTCTACTTCTGTATATCTGTCCTTGTTCCTTCTCCTTTTTCATTCCTTCCTTGATTTTGCTAACACACATAGCACTCGCTGTATACTTGCCTCAGTACTTCACAGGAAAAACTCAGTTCATTTTCTCAACAACCTTGTGAGCTAGTTCCTGTCATTATGCCCCCTTCACAGGTGGGGTGAGTAGTGCCACTCTGGGTCCTGCCATTCACTGGGAGGGAGACCTCAGGAGGGACCAGGTCAGGGCTCTGACTGGACACTCAGTACTGACGTTTGGTATCAGGAGGGCAGAGTGAGACAAAGGTGCGCATTTCACACTCAGCTTCTGTTAGGGGACACAGGTTTTGTTAGAGGACAATTCCCCATGGCCCTCTCTCATTTCTGCATGTCTTGCAAGCAGAGGCACTGTCTGCCTTTTGTTCTGTGTTATCTTTGCATAACAAACATTCTTGGGAGACAGAGAGAGTGTCTCCCATTGGAACAAAGGTGGGCATGTGTATTAGTGTACTTTCGCACTGCTGATGAAGACATACCTGAGACCGGATAATTTATAAAGAAAAGAAGGTTTAATGGATCCACAGTTCCACGTGGCTGGGGCAGCCTCACAATCATGGCAGAAGGCAAAAGGCACGTTTTACATGGAAGCAGACAAGAGAGAGAATGAGAGCCAAGCAAAAGGGGAAACGTCGGATTTCATGAGACTTATCCACTACCACAAGAAAAATATGAGGGGAAACCATCCCCATGATTCAATTATCTCCCACTGGGTCCCTCCCAAAACACATGGGAATTATGGGAGCTACAATTCAAGATGAGATTTGGGTGGGGCCACAGCCAAACCATATCGGTATGCTTACTTACAACAGGTTCCCCAAGCTAAGCATTGCTGTTCTGTAATGCAACCCACTGCATATACAGTATTACCTGGCCCTCTTCATGTGGTCCTGTGGAAACTGAGGCTGAGGGCACTGGTGCAAAAACCTTGATTGTCTGGCTATTGCTGTTGCTGTGATAATAAAGTCCTTTGTCTCGGATTCGGGAGTCTCTCACGCCTCCTGTCAGCATCCATGAAACAGGCAGGCTGACTTGTTGGCTTGCAGGTAGGGTAAAATCTCATTGCCTTCACAGTTCCTGACAGCTTCCAGGTTCATGACTTAGAGGAGGCAGAAGTTTAGGATTTTAATGATGAATCAGCCATAGCATCCACTCTTAAATTGCTCATAGACTAATGGGTGTAGAGGGAAAAGGATACGTGAGAGAATGACATACAAGTTAAACAGTGAATACTTTCAGAGCAGTTAAGGAAAAGACAGTTGTTGGGCATGGCTTGAAAGATGAATGAGATTTTGGTGGATTAGGAAGCTGGGCAACGGAGTTCTAGGCAGAGGGAACAGAGTGAGTGAAAGCACAGAGGTGCATGTGAAGGCCAAGAGTGGATTCAGGGGACAGTGCCTGGTTACTTACAATTGTAAAATATTTCTTTAGTAAGGTGTAAGGAGCAGTGGCTAGAAGAAACAGCATGGACTTCGGCGTCAGACAGTAAGTCCAAGAGCATGAGAGCCAGAAATGCATGGCCAGCTGGGCTGGACAGCTTCATCCATTCTTCCAGAGTCACCCTTTACCCTTCACATCCTGCTCACTGTCCTGGCAGCCTGGCCTTGTCCCCTTGCTCTGTCTGGGTTGGCCAATGGGAGGTGCCAGTGAGAGATGAGTGTGTTGCAGGAAACTGAGGACAGGAGAGACTGATACGGAGAACAGGAGGATTGTTTATTTTAGGTACTCACCGGCTCAGTGGATTCATATCCAAAAAGCTGAGCATTGAACAAAGACTGAGCACAGTTTTTATAAGTTGACTACAGAAGCAAAACAAAAGCAGCTAATCATATGATAGGTCATATAATCTATAGCATAACGTAACTTGTGGCCCTGCATAGCTGTTGGCCTTGTGAAAGAAAAACAAGAACAGGCTAAATATAGACATTTGTAAAACACAGCTGTACTTAAGAAGCCAGGGAAAGGAGCAGTAACAATAAAGGAATTTGTCTTTCTCTCTTTTTTTCCCTTCAATCTTGCTCTGGCAGGGGGTTGTCTGGAGCCCATTCTTTTGGCCTTGGCTTCTCAAACAGTGTTATCTTATAACTGTTCTTGAAGTGAGATTGCTAGACAGAGGAAAACTTGTTCTTTTCTTCTTAACCCTTGACTTGCCTGTTACTTTTCTTGGAGTGAATGAATGCATATTTATTTTAAGTTTCTGCCTCAAGTGGATGAGAGGCGAGTGAGGTCAGGGTGTTGATCTTGGCTCCTGGCCTGCAAGGTTGCCTTGGGCTGCTCTTTTCCTTTGATGGAAAGTCACTGTGCCCTCAAGGGGGTCTCTAACCAGCGCTCTCTTTATGGATTTCTATAAATTCCTTCCTCTCACCTTTTCAAGTGGTAATGGCTGCATTACAACTAGCCAGGTAACCACACTCTCCTGTGTGGTCCCCAACCCTGCCTGTTAGGAATTGTGTAGTCCCTGTGGAAACTAACACGCCTCCTGGGATCTGACTGGAGCAGACTAGCTTCCCTGTTGGGACCCGAGTGGTACAGTGGCTGATGGGGATGAGATGGGAAGAACGTTAGGTCAAACCCTAGAGGACATGTGTTAGGAGCCTGTCTGAAGAATGGTTTCCTAGTTTCACCTAATGAACTCCATTCTCCCTTTAAGATCCAACTCAGATGTCTGCTTCCCTGGAAAGATTCCCATGAACCCATGCCACTTTCCATAGCATTTATTGACTGTGTTCTAATTGCCTCCTTCTCTATCTCTCTCTCTTCTGACTGCAGGTATCTGATGAATCTCCATATCTCTTACACTGCACACAATAAATACCCATTGAATGAATGAATACATATATGGATGGATGGACAGACGGATGATGCATGGTAGATGGATGAATACTGGATCCCATGCCCATTGAGGGTTTGGGTCAGGGGACTGATGTGAGCAGACACACAGAAGCACGGGCAGCCCCCGGCCTCCAGCAGATTCTTCCAACCCAGCTGGAAAGACATGATATGGACTTGGGAATTCTCTAACTCTGAAAGGCCCCCTCTGCTGAGGTGTCCCATGTTCACAGACAGTGTGCATGACCAGAGGTCAGAAAGAAGGGAGCTCACTCTGCTCTGGGCAGGGGGAGATCAGGGAAGGCTGCCTGGAGGAGGTGAGGCTGGAGTGGGGCATTGAAGGATGGGAAAAGTTATGTGGATGGAGAGGCGGAGGGAACAAAGGCCTGGGAATCTGATGGGCCAAAGGGAAGACAGGAGACAAGTAAAGCTTGGAGATTTTGTCGAGAAAAGAAGAGAGGAGGCAATTAAGGTGGGAGAAATGACACCAGAAAACCACTGAAAATGCCCCAGTGGGGTTTGTTACTTTTAAAAAAAAAGCAACCACAAAGAAAGACAATGAAACATCCATGTTTTCTTTAGTAAGGTGTAAGGAGAAGTGGCGCCAAGAAACAGCATGGATTTCGGAGTCAGGCAGACCTGGGCTAGAATTTCACCCTTGCTGATTTTTCACTGTGTGACTCTGGGCAGGTGACTTTACCTCTCTGAACCATAGTTTCCTTTTCTAGAAAATGGGCCTTGTAATAGTACCTCTTAGGGCTGCTGTGAAGGAAGGATAACATGGAAGCAACATGCCTATCATAGTGCTTTGTGTATGGTAAGTACTTTGTTGATGTTATTGTTAATAATATGACTACTATAGCCTTTATTATGTTTTGTTTTGTTTTGTTTGGGGGAATGTGACATTTGAGAGTCCTGGGCATTGTCTGCAGTAGCTGTGGCAGCTGTGATTGTGGGTAATAGAAGGAGAAGTCATGCAGGCACAAGGCTTTTTTTCTTCTCTGTTTTTTTGTGGCCTGAAAGAATGAGATAGCAGAATATTAATACTGCTATCTGGAGGCTTGACGCTGGGGCCTGGCGGGGGCTTGTTTTTGCAGCCAGAAATAGTCTGGCCTTTGCCTTTCCAGTGGGCAGGTTGCCAGGCCAACGAGTGTGTAAACCACCCGGCCGAACAAAGCAAAACTATTTTTACCTTGGGGAGCCCAAGAATGCATCACAGAGTTTACGCACCTGCCCCACCCAGCCTGGCGGCCCAAGCCAGTCGCCAATGGAGGCTGGTCTGCGGCAAGCAAGTGGAAAGCAAACAGTCCTGCCCCTTGGGGACCAGCTGCCCTGGCAAGGATACCAGGTGTTCCAGAAAGGCCCAGAGTACCCCCTCTTTCTCCTCTAGCCAGAAACTCTGAGAGAGTTTCTGAAGTGGTCACGCAAGGAGCAATAAAGGTTTAATTTTACCACCTAATTCGATATGAATAACAGCAATTCTACTCATAGCAATGCCTTCCACTTACTGAGATTCTGCTAGCCACAGGCACTCCGCTAACTGCTTACACATGTCGTCATCTCTTAGCCTGTAATAAATATCTCCATGAGGGTCATCCCCAGTTTTCTGATGTAGAAGCTGAGGGTCAGAGAGGTTAAGTGACCTGCCCAGGGTTACCCAGCTAGGATGCAGTTTGACCCCAGGCCCATTCACTGCAGAGTGGATGCTCTTCTCACCTCCCTCACTGTCTCCCCACACATGGGAAGAACAGGGAGGGCCAGCCTTGGAGTTGTCGTGGGGAGAAGGGTGCCTACGGTCCTGCCCATGCAGGGCTATGCAGGCGTGGAGGCTGGGAAGAGACTGGGACAGCCCCACTGCCTGCTGATACCAGCAGATATGCACACATACTGGAGAGCGAGGGTGGCGCCATGCCTGGTTCTCTGCTGAGCAAGAGGGAGGCCAGGGTGTCGGAGTCTACAGAACTGAATCCTCCATGTGTTACCATAGTGAAGGCTTTTCTTCCTTTCTCCCTCCCTCCTTCCCTTCCTTCTATACTCACCTCTTGGTAGGATGTGGTAGAAAGAGCATAATTTCGGTAGTCAGCCTTTGTTCCCTCCTCTTCTCCATGTACTTGACTCTTTTCATCCTTCAGTGCCCAGTGTCAGCCTCGCCTCCTCCAGGCAGCCTTTCCTGATCTCCCCCTTCCCAGAAAAGAGTGGGCTCATCTGACCTCCTGTCGTACCCACTGTCTATGAGCATGGAACACCTCATGGAGGGTGGCCTGTCAGTGCTAGAGAACTTCCACGTGTCCATGTCATGCCGTCCCACCTGGGTTGAAAGCTGCTTGAGGGTAGGGGCTGAGTCTTGGGCTTCTTCATGCCACTTTGTATTACTCCTCTGCCTCCTAACCTTCCATGACTTGTACCACCCTTTGGATTGATTATTCATCCACTCACCTATTCAACAAATACTCATCAAGTGCAGTGTCAGTTATGTGAAGATGCCTGAGATGCTATCCTGAAGTCTAGAGTCAATCAGGAAAGAGAGCTAAGAAAGGAGGTAATTATAAAACAGGGTGGTGGGCCAGGCACAGTGGTCCAGGCCTGTAATCCCAGCACTTTGGGAGGCCAAGGCAGTAGGATGACTTGAGGTCAAGAGTTCCAGACCAGCTTGGCCAACATGGCAAAACCCTCTCTCTACTAAAAATACAAAAATTGGCCGGGTGTGATGGTGCATGCCTGTAGTCCCAGCTACTCAGGAGGCTGAGGCAAGAGAATCACTTGAACCTGGGAGGTGGAGGTTGAAGTGAGCTGAGACTGTGCTACTGCACTCCAGCCTGGGTGACAGAGTAAGTGAGACTCTGTCTCAAACAAACAAACAAACAAACAAACAAACAAACCAAAAAATGAAGCAGAGTGGTAAATCCCATGGAAGAGGAGGCAGACTCATCGTGGGAGCCAGAAAAACCCACATTCAAATCCCGGCTCCACCACTTCCCACCTGTAGGAGCTTGGTCAAGTCACTTCCTCCCTGTGCCTCAGTTTTCTCATTTATAAACTGAGGCTAATAACAATTCTCAACTCACAGGGTTGTAGTGAGGACCGAATGAGATGATGTGGCCTTTTCGTCCTTTCCATCATGTTGGCTCCACATGGGCAGGGGTTGTGTCTTCCTCGCTCCCCGTCGTGTCCCCAGCCTAGGGCACATGGTGGGGCATGAGGACTGTTTGTGGAATGGCTGTTGCTCCGTCCCTGGGTCACAGTCAGTGACTGCCTGGTGCTGTCAAGAGGGGCTGAGAGTCCAAGAATTGGAACGCTCAATCCATAAGCAGGTTTTGTGCCAGGTTGGGAACACAAAACAGGGCAGAGGTGGCCAGGAGGCGGGCAGCAGCGAGGTTCCAGGAGGCCTCATTTCCTGTATGTTAGAAGAATAAATAGTAAAATGTGTCCTGGACCAAACCTTTGTTCCTTTTCTTGCCAGACTTGCTTATGGGAAAATTAGCTGCTTTTAGCAGAACATGGAAAAGAGGGAGAGTATATATTGCCAGAGGTTTAAGTTTCTCAATTTCAAACCTAAACATGAAGGCTTTTCAGTTGTGTGTTCTGTTTGAGATTTGCACAAACCTGGTCTCTCTCTTTCTCTTTTTGTCTCTCTCTCTTTCTTAAAATCTTAATTTCCTTGGTTATTGTTGAAGTGGGACACAAATTATTAAAAAACAGAACAAACCACCCAACAACTAGAAACTTTGTTTTCATAGCAGCACAGGCTTATATTTAGTTAGAATAATATTCTTTTGAAATTCAATTTCCCTTATTCCACAGTGGTA
The DNA here is from genome assembly GCF_000001405.40 of Homo sapiens. Classification (NCBI taxonomy): domain Eukaryota; kingdom Metazoa; phylum Chordata; class Mammalia; order Primates; family Hominidae; genus Homo; species Homo sapiens. The sequence goes on along the minus strand of NC_000003.12, from coordinate 8,655,935 downwards.
GGAGGAGAAGAAAAAAAAAGTGGAGATATCTGAAACATTCCCCAGCATTCTGAACTTAGGATAGAACAGAGCGGGTTTTGAAATCCTGGCCTGTGTGTTTGCCTCCCGAGTCTTCTGCTCTACCTTCAATCATTCTTCTGACAAAAACAGAAGAGCGAGGGGCTGTGTTATCAGTTTTCTGATTGGCTCTGAACAAAGGAATGGTGCTTTCTCTCCACGCTGTCAGCTCATTGATGTCAATCAGAAAATGGATTCGAGGCATGTTTGGGATTCCGACTAGTTTGTGTGCATAACGAGTTCCAAGTCAATATTTTCAGAGGGATGAAATAGATAGAGGTTGTGGGGACTAATGGGGGCAAGAATGACCCACTGAGACCTTGGGAAGCCACCCACTGTGATCTCGGGGAGGCCACACACTGAGACCCGGGGGAAGAGGCCACCCACTGTGATCTTGAGGAGGTCACACACTGAGACCCGGGGGAAGAGGCCACCCACTGTGATCTTGAGGAGGCCACACACTGAGACCCGGGGGATGAGGCCACCCACTGTGATCTTGGGGAGGCCACACACTGAGACTGGGGGATGAGGCCACCCACTGTGATCTTGGGGAGGCCACACACTGAGACTGGGGGATGAGGCCACCCACTGTGATCTTGGGGAGGCCACACACTGAGACTGGGGGATGAGGCCACCCACTGTGATCTTGGGGAGGCCACACACTGAGACTGGGGGATGAGGCCACCCACTGTGATCTTGGGGAGGCCACACACTGAGACCCGGGGGAAGAGGCCACCCACTGTGATCTTGGGGAGGCCACACACTGAGACTGGGGGATGAGGCCACCCACTGTGATCTTGGGGAGGCCACACACTGAGACTGGGGGATGAGGCCACCCACTGTGATCTTGGGGAGGCCACACACTGAGACTGGGGGATGAGGCCACCCACTGTGATCTTGGGGAGGCCACACACTGAGACTGGGGGATGAGGCCACCCACTGTGATCTTGGGGAGGCCACACACTGAGACCCGGGGGAAGAGGCCACCCACTGTGATCTTGGAGAGGCCACACACTGAGATCTGGGGGAGGCCACACACTGAGATTTGGGGGAAGAGGCCACCTACTGTGATCCTGGGGAAGCCACACACTGAGATCTCCGGGAGAAGACCACATACTTTGATTTTGGGTAGGCCACACACTGAGACCTTGGGGAGAAGGCCACACACTGTGATCTTGGAGTGGCCGCACACTGAGACCTTGGGGAGGACACCCACTGAGACATTGAGATATTTATATTTTCCCTGGAGCTCCGGCATCTGTCTGTAAAGTGAGGTGCTACGGTTCTATTCCTACTAATTTACCCTATGGAAACACACACACATGTGTAGACATAAGTACAAGGCTATCTTTAAACCACAGCAGTGTAACTGCAGGGAAGTAGGAGACAATTTGGGTGTCTATTGAGAGGAGAATGGTTAAATACATCATGATACATTCCTACAATGGGAAACTACGAAGTGTTAGAAATAAAGGAAACTGAGATGACGTGGGTGATTCTACAAACATGATGTTGAGTGAAAGAAGCCAGATTCTTTTGTTGAAAATTCATCTGTTGAAGCCCTACCCCCTAATGTGATAGTATTTGGAGATGGAGTCTTTAGGACGTAATTAGGTTTAGATGAGGTCGTGAGGGTGGGGTCCCCAGGATGGAATTAGTGCCTTTCTAAGAGACAGAAGAAAGCTTGCTCTCTCTCTTTCTCCTCTCCACATGAGGGCATAGCAAGAAGGCAGCCATCTACAAGCTAGGATGAGAGCCCTCACCAGAACCCAACCATGCTGGCACCCTGATCTTGGAATTCCAGCCATCCAAATGGTGAGAAAATACATTTCTGTCATTTAAGCCACCAGTCTGTTGTCATGGCAGCCTGAGCTGACTAATACAAGTGCCTGCTGTTTGAGTCCAAATGTATCAAGTTCAACAGGCAAAACTGAGCCATGCTGTTACAGGCAGGGGAACGGTTCCCACTGGGTGGGGTGGAAGGGTCGGGAGGTAGAGAGTGAGTACCGGAAAGTGGCCTAAAGTGGCTTCAGAATCTGGTCATGTTCTGTTCCCGATCTGAGTTTTGGTCACACGGGTACATTTACTTTGTCAAAATGCATCCAGTTGTGTTTTTAAGATTTGTGCTTTTTAAAGGATTTGTGTTATAATTCAGTAAAATGTATACAAAGAAAAATAATCTCATTCAAAAATTATCAGTAAAAACAAAAGTCTTGTGAACAATATTTTAGTTATTTCTATGTTATTCGTATTCAGCCCAGTGCCTGAATTTAAACCGGATTGTGTGCTAAATGTAAAATCTGCTACAGCAACAACAATAAAATGAACAAGGTAAAACTGTGTATGCTGTTGACACAGAAAGATATCCATATTGTATTTTTTGTTTCTTCTTAACAAAAAGGATGAGCAATATTTACAGCATGATTTCATTTACGCTTTTTAAAAATTCTAAGTGTATGCACACTTATAAGCAAATTTACATGTAAATTGACATGTGGACATTGGAGGTGGGGTGACCATTAGTTTTTAGTTTTTAATCTTTTGAATCTTTGATTTTTTAAGGATTAGGATATTTCTTTTATAAATATAAAAAGTAATGGTGAAGGTAAATAAAAGAGGACAATGAAAGTGAGTTTGGAGCAGATGACATCTGCGGCTCCTGCCTCTTGCTCTGAGGTCTGTGATTAACATTGACCTTCTTCATGTCCAGCCAGATGGATGACCAGGTTTGAGTTGGATGACATACATCTCCATGTGATTCTCAATTTAGATCCAAAAAGGTGTCCATTCTTGTGGCTATCATTTCGGTTTTTGGTTGTGGATTCTCTTTCTCCAAGTGGATGTGGAGCTGGCTCTGGAAGCCAGGTACAATGGCAGAGCTTCAGGGCATTTAGGTAGCCGATCCCCAGGACAAAGAGGAGCCCAGTCTCCTCCCCACTCCCAGGGAGATGGCCTGAGGGAAAGGGGGAGTCAGTCACATGCTTATATTCCAAAATAATAGACCTGTGGAGAGTGGCCTGAAGACACAGAGGAGAGAACAGTTGTTTCTGGTCAGGGAAATCATGAAAGGCTTCCTAGAGGAGGGGGCATCTGAGATGGTCCTTGGAGCATGAGTAGAAGTTTGCCAGGGAGAAAATGGTAGAAGGAGAATGTTTCAAATGGGGGAAACTGTATACATAAAACTCGATATAGGTATATCAGGGGAAAACATGTGAGGGCTAAGGCTGGAAAGGCTGTTTGGAGGCTGGCTGAAGATTTGGACTTTATCCTAGGGTAATAAGGAGCCATAAAAGATTTGAAGCAAGACACTTAATCAGATCTAAGTAGGCAGGAAAAGCTTTCCACCCTTCCCCTTTCTTTCCTCTCTCTTATCCTCCCTTCTTGGGAGGGGGACTCTGAGCAGCAGGAATAGAAGACAGTCTGGGTAGACATGATAAGCATTGAGGTTATGCCATGGAAGGCAGCTGCTATTAGTGACACAAAGGTTTGCTTGACTTGTGGATGTCTGATTGGGAAAAATCTGGAGATGGTAAAGCCATTTCTGTTACTGGTCTATAAGGCTACTCCTGATCACAGAGCACCTGAGACCCTGGGACTGGGGGAGATTGTGGTACAGGTGCAGAGGGAGGAAGATCAGAGAGATCCCGAGGAGGGCTCTGTGTGCTTGGATCAAGGACTCAACAGGGAAGGTGGGAGAGTTCTGTCGCACTTTGGACACTGTGTGTCATCCTGATCATGTGATTGTTTGATTTTCCTTCTGGGGATGGATGGTTGACCTCCACCGTTTCCTGGTCATCACTGTGCATGCGGGACACGCTGTAGAACAGCTCACACTGGCTGGCACTGCTAAGCAGGTGCGGAGGGGAGTCAGAGACCCCCGGATGGAGGGGTGAGTGAAAGCCTGCCTGAGGCAGTCGCCACGGAGATGGAGGGAGGAGAGATTGGCAGGAGGTGTGTGTAGTGGGAAGAGAAGAGACAGAAGTTGAGGATAATTAGGGGTTTCCTGTATGTGTGGCTGGGCATGATGGTGAAGAGGCAGAGGAGGGGAGGAGCTGGCATGGGGAGAAAGAGAATTAGGGTGGAGCCATGGGAACACATCCATCCTTGCTGAGGGCTGTCTCTCCAGTTGACATTAGATGGGAGGCCTAACATCAGGGGATGGAGGAAAAAATGATTTCTGCCACTTTTGGCTTCATGGGAGACTCTGCAGTGGGGCTATGTCTGATGTTACTTATCGCTCTGGTACCCATCAAGGTCTCTGCAAGGAATCAAAGCTCTTTAATAACATGTGAAAAAAATACACGATTCCTCATTCTGCTCCTGCTCCCCATTTTTGTGTGGCCCCAGGAGTCACTTCACCTCTGGGGACCTCAGGGCAACATTCAAAGTGTATTTGTCATGGAGGAAGCCCTGGGCCATGGTCTGCTACTCACTGCCATGTGAGCCTGAACGAGTCCTTTCCTTTCTCTTGGCCTCAGTTTCCCCATGTGCACAGTGAAGAAGTAGAACAAAAAGAATTCTGAGGTCCCAACAAGTGCTCACCGTCAGCAATGATGGCTTCCCTCACTTGCCTCCCCGCTTGCTGAGATAGCCGAGAGATGCAATGGGCTGGATCCCGAAGCATTTATGACAGAAACCCCTCTGCAAACACAAGGACGGGAAGTTAGTGTTGTCCTGTGGCCTGGGAAGGCTGGTGGTGCCTTGCAAAGCAAATTGAATTTGTGTTTGAAAATTTCAGTGACCAAACAGACTGGCCTTTTAAAATTCCAAATTGGCTTTGTAGATAAATGGATCAGATTAGTAGGAAGGAAGGGAGAAACGGAGGGACCGTGCAAAATGCGTGCAATTGCTGGCAGGCAGCCTTCTGCCTTATGAGATTAGCATCTCTGCCTTTTGCTGGAAATGAGCCACTCTGTTCTCCTTGCCTGCCAGGAGCCACGATTTAAAACCTCTTCCATTTTCTAGCCCAGTGAGGACAGCAGCCGGAACCACAGAAACTGGTTTTAGTTGGTTTAATCTGAAGCCCCCAGGCTGGGCATCTGCACTGACCCACAAAAGAGCTCCCTGGGAAATGTCTTCCAGAGTCAAGGCCACGGATGGAGCAGGAGCTGTCACTGGTCAGTTTTCCAACCACGGGGATGGAGCGTCCTGTAGTCCCAGCTTCCAGGGAAGCATCCTTCATTAAGGCTTGAGCCACAGGGTCAAACTGAACTCCTTCCTGCTGTTCCTATAATGTGGCACTCAGACTGGATCCCTGTTTTTGAAGAAGTAAATGTCTAGAAACAGGGACAAACTGGTATTTAAAAATTACTAGTGGCCTTCTTTTTTCTTCTATCAGTTTCCCCACAGTTGGAACAAAGCTTATCTTTGGAGAAAACTGTTTAGAAGTCCAGGACAATGGGAAGATAAAGTCCCTGCATAAGAATATATTTATTTATTCATTCATTCATCACATGTCTATAGAGCATCTATTATTTTCCAGGCTCTGTTCACAGTGCTAAGTATACAGCAGGGAACTAAACAGACACAAATATGCTTTTTGGGATTTTTATCTTGGTAGCCTACATCCAGATTATGACAGGTGTTGAACAAAACACATAGTAAGTTAGTTAATGTGTTGGATAGAAGTAAGTGCCATGAAGAAAAACAAAAGCAGGAAAGAGGGTCTGAGACTGGAGATTTGGTGGTGGCGGCAGGGTGTTCAATTTTAAATAGGGGCCAGGGACAGCCTCCCTGGGAGAGTGACATTTGAGCAAAGGCCTGAAGGTGGTGAGGGAACAGTTTGTGTAGAGATCTGTAGGGGAATTCCAGGTCTCCAGTACAGCAAGTGCAAAGGCCCTGAGGTGGGAATGTGCTTGGTGTGACCCAGGAACGATGAGGAGGCTGGTGGGGCTGGAGGAAAGGGTTGAAGGGAAGCAGGCAGAGGCCATATTGGTAGGGAGGGTGCAGGGGGTCGCTCGCAGAGCACGGCAAGGACTGGGCTTTTAGTCCAAGTGATTTTGCAGCCAGGAAGGGTGTTGAGCAGAGGAGGGGCTGTCTCCTGACTTACAGGTGTAGAGGGATCAGTCTGAGTTCTGAATTGAGCATGGGCTTTGTCAGGGCGAGGGCAACAGATAGGAGGCCCATGAGGAAGTGACTGCAGCAATCCAGGTGAGGGGGGCAGGGGGCTCAGGCACGAGTGGGAGCAAGGAAGCAGACTGGGAGAGGACCCAGGCAGATATGACTTGCTGACATTGAATGCGGGTATGAGGAAAAGGGGGAGTGAAAGCAGGTGGAGACCAGAAGTTCAGTGCTGAACACACAGAGAGAGCTCGAGGTGTCTGTTAGACAACTGAGGGGAGATGTCCCAGCCAGATAGAGGAGTCAGGAGTTCAGAGGAGAGGTCAAAGCAGAGGCAGAAATTGGGAATCATGAGTGCGTGGACGACCATAACACTGAAGGAGGTCACCAAGGGAGTGAGCACGGATGGACGGGCACACAATGGGTCCAGACACCCTGATATTTAGAGATCAGGGGAGAGGAGCCACCATCCCACCTTGCCCGCTCCTGGGACCTGCTCTGGGAATGAGGAGAAATGCAATTCCTGCCCTCTTCATGAACTGCAGGAGCCAGGAGATGTGGTAAGATGTGGCGAAAGTTCCTGTTGCAGGCAGCGTTCTTGGGAAGAAGACTTTGAGGAGGAGGACCTTTGTGTGTGGGAAGTTAGCTGGGGGTGCTCTTGGGATCAAGTCCTGTGAGGAAGCAAAGGCAGCAGGATTTCACAGAGGGAGGAGTTGAGTTGCGCTGCAGTCAGGGCAAAGGTCTTGCCCATTGTTGGAGGGTAGGGGCTCAGAAGTAGGGCAGCCCTTCAGAGCTGCCCTGAATGAAGGCCCAGGGTGAGTCAGGGAAGGGCTTGGCCAGGTGCTGGAGATGAGGTTCTCATCCTGAGGGGACCTGGGAGGGCAGCCCAGCACTCACTAAAGCACCCAGGGGAAGGTGACCAGGCCACCATTAGACGGTGGGGGCAGGCCAGAGTCTCTTAAGAAAGTTGATGAGTTGGGTTCCTGGAGCATCAGGATTGGTAGAGTCCTGGAGCTGCGATGTATCCAGGGTCAAGGTTAAGTTTTGTGTTGTGTTTAATCATTTCCCCACCTGTGTTTTGGGAGCCTTCCAAGAGGGGCCTCAGCTACATCAAGGGAATGAGGGAAGGGGCACTGTGGCCTGGAGGAGGTGATAGAGGGAAGCCCAGGGCAGCAGCAGACCAGAGTCACAGAAGGGAGTAGTGCTTTGGTGAGCACTCATTGGAAGCTTCTAGAAAGACTTCAGGATGGGGGGGCACCAGCTAAAGTGTGGCTTTGCTGTCGCTGAGGAGACAAAGGTTCAGGATTGGCTAGGAAAAGGAAAGGTGGAAGGTGACCTTCCTGAAGGCCTCTGGCCTGCGGGCATCGTAGTTTCTCAGCTTTCCTCCATTGCTTTCTGTTCAGCTGATTGGGTAGCCAGACTTACACGGGCCAAGCCACTAAGTAGCCAGGTCAGTGAAAACCATGCCACGCTCCTTCCCCTAGCTTCTTACAACGACACATAACAACACACAGAATTGTTTGTCATCTACATCAGGGCCTTGGTGCCAACTTGCTCTCATTCCTGTTCTGCCGCACCAGAGCTGTGTGACCTTGGGTAAGTCACTCAACCTCTCTAAGCCCTTGTTGTCTCGTCTATAAGGAGAACAATATCTATCTTACGGAGTTGTTGTGAAGGTTTAACTGAGAAAGCATCTGTGAACGCATCTCCCTTCCTATGTGGTATTTGGGGGGCATCAAGAAGATCTCAGTCCCTGTTTTCTGTCTGTGCAGTTAGAGGTCCACGACTTGGGCCTGGAGGGATATGCCAGTTTCCCTGGCTCCCAGAGAGAGGAGGGTGCTTGGGCATGGTGTTTCGAGAACCTCCTACTTGGACAAGTTTCTTATTTGTGTCAAGCCCATTCTCCTCCACTCCATACTTGATTCCTGCCATGGGCACCACTGGTCTCCATCCACCCAGCCTGCAGATAAGCCAACAACAATGTTATCTGTGGCTGCCAGGCCCTTTGGGGCAGAACTCCTTTGTTGGCAGTCTTGGCTCCTGTGGGGGTTCTGGGTGGCTCTGGGTTCGGTTGGGTTGTGAGGGCCCGAGGCAGGGCCTGGTTCCTGGTGGATGTGCAGGGAGCATTCACTGGATGAATGAGAGTGAGGGCTCTGTAGATGGTGGGGTGAGACCTTCGTCCAGCAGGAGCTGAGCAATAGCCGGCTTCTCTGAGACAAAAAGAAATAACCAGACCAGGCACTGTTCAAGGTTCTGCCCCCTGGGAGTACTTCTCCTCACCACGGTCCTTCAGGGATGTTCTGGAAAGGGGCTGCAGTGCTGCCATGTCCACTTTAGGACTTTGAACTCAGTCTACCCTGACTCTGAAGCCACAGACTGTGATGTTCTACTATTGCTCACACCCCACTTTGTTTAATCACCAAGCTTCTGCGTTAATATTCTTCCAAAGAGCTCAGTCCAAAGGCAAGAAACTCTTCTCACTAGAAAGTTTCTTTGTTCAGCCGAAAATGACCTCCATTCCGGACCAGCTCTCCGCATGCCTGCGCATGGATAGGACAGGTGTCCTGAGATTCTGTTCTGCTGCTGCCTTCCCACATGCCCCTTTAAACACTTGAAGACAGTTATTGAACCTTGCTTCTAGGTTTTTCCTCACTATCATGTTCAATTGCAGTCTGACCACGTGGTTCCTTGATTCCCTTCTAAAGCTCTGCCCTACCCTAATTCTTGCTGCAGCCATGACATATCCCAAGACAGACACCCACCTGTGAGATTACATAGATTTTATTTCCAGGAAAAAACAAGGTTCTTAGACAGCAATCAATTGATAGAGTCAGCTCCTGGACAGCTGTGCTAATTCCACAAATGTTTCTTGAGCACTTAGCACATGCAGGACACGAGGGCCAGTTCAGGAGGAGCTCTCAGAGCCCACTCATTTCCATCAACAGCAGGGAGGAAGAATGACTGTCAGATGTCAGGCACATAGTGGGCGCCTCTCTTCCCTGATCCCAACCTCCTTTGATAGTAAGAGGCAGGGACCAGTACTAGCCTCACACTGTCGTGGGTCCCAGAGCTAATGCTGCTTGTTCCTGCTGCTACCACGGATGTTAGGTGTTGATGGGTACATTACTTGCCCCGAGTCACTCAAGCACACTGTTGCAGACAGCACTTCTGTACGGATGCCGAAGCAAGATCAGAAAGGTCTAGCTGTTGGTTTGTTTATCTTCCATGCGTTTTAAGAGCTTTTTATTAACTTACTATTATGTGATCTAAGTAGCGTGCAGAAAAGGACTGTCATTTCTGCTGATCAGCACTTCCTGGTTACGAAAATACAGCTCAGCGTTGTCTGCATTTTTGCGGCCTCAAGATTTCGGGTCCTTGTAATGCTTAATTCTCTTCAACATTTTGTTCAATTTGACATTTAAAGAATTTTCTGTGGTTGTTCCTTTTAAATGCTGAGGAGGGTTTTAGGTAAGCATATATTGCGCTTAAAAAGTACTCAAGATGTAATAGTGGTATATTGTTTTAGTTAAGTTGCAAGCATTTTGTCATTAATCTATCATTTATCATGTTTTGGCTCAAATATATACACACATGCAAACACACACCTAAACAGATACAGCAATGGATGCTCACACAGATGTTTAGGGTAAAATATACACGCAGAGAAAGGCATACAAATTCATGATAACCCCATTTACCATGGGGACAATTCTATAAGGGCTTAAAATCATTGCTTCATGTATAAAGGCATCAAAAGACCACATTTGTTCCTCAGGATCATGGTCTTCCTTGTGTATACACAGTAATGAAACTTATATGACTCTCAAGTATCAGAAATCCAGTGCTCCTACCAGCCATAAAAATCGATTTGTGAGGACTGAGTCACCTAAGAAGCATTTGTGAAATTGTGAATACTGCTGAAGGTTGCACTTGCATGCTGTCGGCGATGGGCAGTCAGTGACGAGGGTGAAGGCAGTAGAGAGAATAAAGACACGCTCTTTATGGAGCAGCTGGGAGCCATCTCTGTGCAGTGTGGCCATCCCAGACAGGCCGACATTTAGGACACTGACAAAATAGTCCTGATGCTTCCCCTGGTGAAGGCAATCCCAGGTTGTCATTGAGGAATATCATGGCACATCCCACGTGCATTGCTGGGATGGGGAAGTCAAGGCGTAGGGCAGTTTCATCACCCTGGCCAGAGAACCCCAGGTTCAGCTGCAGAGGAGTGATTGCCAAGGATGCAGTGGAGGGGGTGGGACCCATAGAGCCTCGGGGACCAGCTCACAAGTTCTGTGTTTAGACTCATGCAGAGGAGGATGATCTTCCAAGGGCTGAGGTTGAAGGGGTGTCAAACTCCAATGGAAAAGGTTTAGGAAAAGACCTTTTACAAATCCAAAGATGTTTCACAGTGGGCGAGGCTGGTGTGGCGACAGTAGTGGCCCACATGGCTGGGTTGGGAGCCAGCTCTGCCCATGAGGTGCCGTGTGGCTTTGCAGTGTGGCCTCACAATCCCAGCTTTGTTTCTTCCCCAGGGAGATGAGGCTGGTGATGCTCAAGATCTCAGAGGCCCTGCCCAGGCTGAGTATCTGTATATAATATCCCCCTTGGGGAGGTAACCTTCTTGTGGTTATGACCTTTTTCTGCATGCGCCCTACAATACTTAGGAGTCTGCCTCCTACAGCTGGGCGATGTAGCTCAGTTGTCAGGCACTCTGACTAGAGAGTCAGACTGATGAGGGTTTGAATCTATCATCCTGCTCAGAAAAATGGGCATGATACCAGTGCCCCTCTCAAAGGGGTGCAGTGAGGACATGAGTAACTAGAAGCATCCATAAGAGCTTGGTCAGTAGAAGGCTCTTGTGGAAGAGGAGCTCCCAGAACCCGGTGGATTGGGTGCAGAGCAGCTGCTATGATGAACGATATAGATGTTTCCCTTTGTTGTATTCCAACTGGGTAACAATGGGCCTGCTGTTCTGGGAGGGGCCTGAGGGTGGTCCATCAGAGCACATCGGTCCAAGCACACTCGAAGGGCAGACATCTCTTTGGCAGGACGTCTGGAACATGGACAGGGATCTGAATGAAGATGACAGTAAGTAGAGCCTCAAAGATGGCACGGAAGACTGTGTGGAGATATTTTAGCCTGCATTTGAAGAGGACCTAATCTGACCTCTAATATGTTGGAAGTTATGTATCCATAGTCTTTTCTAATAAGCTCTGTAGCTAGCACTGTGTGAACTCTTCCATCTGCCCTAAATGCAGTCCTGGGTCTGCATCTGGATTGCCGAGAGCACCCCTTCCTTCCTTCCTTCCTCTCGTGTGTAAAGCCTACCTGTAGCTTGCGATCTCTTCTTCCGTTATGAGCCTTTGGACAATGGAGAAGGAAGGTGAAAGATGAAATTGAGAACTTTTCTCTCTATCACAGTGACACCATGCAAACCTTATATTCTTTTCCCTTTTTCTTCTTTTCTCTAGTTGACAGTGTCTCCTGCTCCCAGCCAAATCTAAGTGAGATTTTCAGGATTCTTATTTCAATCACAATTGGATTCAGTTCTTAGATGATGTTAACTCTACAGAAAGGTCGGGAAAAGGCTTCACTCGTGATCTTTCTCTAGCAAACGGCCAGTTCGTTCATTATCGCTTATGAAACATAGCCCAGGTGACCCCATCCTGTCACTACCGGGACAGAAATACAATGGATTCTCAGAGCTATTTAAAAACATGAAGGAAATGGTATTTCAGGAAGAAATGTGCTATGTTTTAAAAAGGGAAATTTTTGAATCCGAATTTGAAACAGGCAGTGCAGAGGGGTGGTGGTTGCCGGTGGCGGGGAGTGGGGAGGGGAAGAGCATGAGACTGAGAAGTGGGAGGCCAGGGTTCAAGTCCTGGCTCTGCTCTGAATTGGCTGTGTGATCTTGGGCAAATCACTTAACCTCTCTGAGCTGCAATATTCTCATCTATAAAACGAGATTGGTTTAGGTCTCAATCTGAGGACCATGAGGGTGTGGGCAAAATGCTTTTTGAGCATGCTTTTTGGGAGATGTAGAGAGAGGTCTATAGCTTTCATTTGAATCCAGAGAGATCCATGACACTAACACAACTTCATAGTCACCAGACTTGATGACACTGGAGCTTCTTTGCAGGCATAACACTCTTTCTTGTCTTTAATGTTGATATCTTAAAGCTTTAAGTTTTAGACCTGAAGCAGAATATGAAATTAACCTATACTAAACTTAGAGAGCTCAATTTAAATTTTGTTGGAATCTTTTTTCATATTGAAGTGAAAGACTGCCTGGAGATATTTTAGCATGTATTGGAGGAGGGCTTAATCTGACCTCTAATATATTGGAAATTGTATATCCATACTCTTGTTCTAATAAGCTTCAAATAACATTCTAATGCAATCTTTTTTCTTCAAAACACTGTTTATTAGCAGTCTTTCCATTTATGATTAGAGTTTCTCATAGTAGCAATGGACTAGGTCAGATCTGGACTCAAACCTATGCTCTGCCTCCTAGTTTCTGGGTGACTTTGCTCAAGTCACTTAACCTCTCTGAATTTCATTTCCCATAATTTTTTTTAAAGGGATGGTGTCATCTTGCAGGATTGATCAAAGATTCGTTGGCTACAAAGTGCCTAATACATCACCAGCCCAGAGTAGACATGGAGTCAATATTGACTCTACGAAATGATCAGGTCCCCAGAACTTTAAAAGTAAACTGCTATTAATGGGAAATATTATCTTCTGTGAAGTTCCTGTTTTGACCTCATGCCTTTTGGTGAGCAAGGTGAGAGAAAAGTGAAGTCTTTGGGCCCATTACAAGTCTAGGAACCCTGAGTCTTTCATAGGGTTGTCCTGAGTGCTGGTCTCAGATGTGATGGAACTCAGGTGAGCACTTGGGGTTCACTGCAAGGTATAGAGGCACCCAGGGAAACTTTTAGAAAAAGTTAATGAAATCAGAAACCAGGTAGATTTTTTTTTCCCCAAGTGTCAGAAAGGGAGCCTGCTACAGGCCTTACATAATTTAAATGTGCCTGTTTAGGGGAGAGGTGATTGCCCATTTTATCCAATCGAGTTAATGTTCCAGGCACTATAGTGTTGTCCCATCACTTTTCAGGTCTATAATATGAGTGACTTCAGGGGGAGAAAACCTTTCTCCAGTGATACGTTTTGGGACAAAAGTGCATGGATAGGAACGTTCTGGGATGTGGCACCCATGTGCAAATCTCCTCAAGGAGGCCTTTGACCATCACCTTCAGGTGCTGGCTGTCTACAGCATCCCTGACCAGGGCAGCATCTCCTACTTTGGCTGGACCACTTCCAGTGATGGTCTGGTTCTATTTCTATAGTCGAGACTGTCCAAAATTCTTTCTTACATTGAATCGCTATCTCTCTCCCTGGAGCTTCTACTCTTTGGTCTTGATTCCAGGCTGCAAGTCTACTCAGAATGTCTGTTCCCTGTTTAAGATAAGAGCCCTGTAAGTCTTTTCTTTTCTAGCCTAACCAGATCCTGTTTCTTCAACAATCCTAGAGGTAATCACTCTTTTCTTAAAGTGCAGTGTCCTAGCACAGAGCGGAAGAGAAAAAAATCCCCTCCCTTATTCTATATACCATATCTTTTGTGATAGAACTTACTTCTTTGATTGCAGACTGAAACCTTTTCCAGAAATGGTGAGCAAAAGCCTCTTCAAGTAAGATGGGCTATAAATACAGTCTCTGGTAATTTTAGGAGGCAGCTTTTCTGGTCTAGGACTATAAGACATGGGTTGTACCTTTTTACTCCTGGGCATGAGTTCCTGTGGACCCCCGTCCACAGGGGCAGGATTGAGATCACGAGTGAGAGCCCTGGTCTGGGGCCACATCGCCATCACCACCCCTGACCCAGTGCTGAGCAGCTGGGACTCTCCCTTGGTACCCAGGCCAGCTCTGCTCCCAGAAGTCTTGTTCATAGAATGCCCCTGCCCTCCACGACTAGGGATGGAAAATTGATACTAGCTTTCAGGCTCTCAGTGTATCTTGGTGAGAAAGGGTGCTGGACTTCTTGGCAAGGGCCAAGCTGCCGTTAGCTGTGGTGACTGACGGGGGATCTCAGTGTTTTTCACACATCCCGTGGATGGAGGCACAGCCACCGGAATGCAGCTTTCCCAGCTAGGTTAGCCCTGGCCTCTAGGGGCCCATCTGGTCTTTCCCACAGGCTGCACACTTCGGGAGGGGGATAGTGGTTCCGGTAGCCCCTAATAGGAAGATACAGCATCTACTTTGGGGAGTGAGTAAGAAATAAAAAGCTTCAGTGAAATTGTTACAGCTTAGACAGGATCCCCAGGCTCTCCTGAATCAGTTTCCAGAGTCCCCTCTCATCCATTGTCTCATTTGCTCCTCTCAGTGACCCTACTCCCTGAGCCCTGCTTTTAGGGAAAGGAAATCAAGGCCCTAAAAAATTGAGTGATTTTTTCTCCCCAAAGACTGCGTAGCAGGTTAGGTATTTTGTGCTGTGGTCATTGCTGGGAAAATGAGGATGAATAAAACATTGATCTACCTTTGGGGTACTCCAAGTCTGGTGGGGGACACAGACCCCACATGGACCTTTTACAAAGGATTCTTAAGAAGCCGTTTGGCAAAACAACAGTGGAGAAGTGGAGTGGAGTGCCAAGGGGCACAGGACAGGGAGCCGCACTCAGGCAGGCTTTGGAGACGGGGAGGTCTAAGCTAAGTCTGGAGGGGGTGCCCAGTGGTGCCGCTGGCAGAACCAGCCCCAGCCAGGGCTGGGGAAATGGCACAGGGTGTGTGAGGGTGAGTACAAATGTCTGTATCATGAAGCCACAGGGCACCTCTGGGAAGCCCAGTCCCTGTGTGGCCCTGTCTTGGCATGACAGCACTTTCTAAGAAGCATTAATTTCATATTTCAAATAATTGAAAAATATTGACAAATAACAATCTCAAATAATTGAAAACAAAAATTGCAATATTTGCTGCATTCTTGCTTGGCAACCCAGGGTGGCCTACATAACTTAAAGCAAATCTTCTCCCAACCCTTCACCCATTTCTCTTGATGTTGGTCTCACGGCATGGTGAACATTTGCTTCCCCAAATATTTTTTCAATGGCTCCCAAACCAACTATTCATGCTTCTCTCTCCAGCAGGCTTGCCTTTCTCCTTCCTTCTTTCTTTCTGTTCTCCTTGTCTCTTTCCTTCCTTTTTTCTCTGTGTTCTTTTTCCCTACTGTTGCCGTCTTCCACAGTTAGCTGCCTTACCTTCTCTCACCCTGGTCTGCACATGTAGGAGGCTTTTCCTTGGCATGTGGGCAGATGAGAATCCTTTCTTCCTCTCTTGTGGGTAAGGGCATCTAATGTAGGGACCTTACCTGCCAAATTCAGGAGCTTGGATTTAGCTGTGGGTAATAGTGAGTCACTGCAGGGGTTAGGTGAGGGGGTGATATGATCAGGTTTTCTGGTCTTGCTAGGAAGTACTTGAACTACTGTGACCAATTATTTGTTTGTTCTTTGTGGCAAAAACAGAACTTCTTTCTTTTCTTTCTCTTAGGATCACCTGTCATTCTCAAGTTGTTTTTATTTGTGATAAAATATACCTGACATAAAATTTGCCATCTTAGCCATTTGTAAGTGCCCAGTTCAGTAGTATTGTTCATTCACGTTGTTGTGCAGCCATGACCATCCTTCTCTGGAACCCCTTTCACCTTGTAAATCTGAAATTCTGTCTCTATTAAATAATTCCTTATTCCCTTCTCCCCACAGCCCCTGTCAACCATCACTCTACTTTGTGTGTGTGAGTTTGACCACCTGAATCTTTTTGGCACCATCTCAAGTATAATTCAAATCACGAGGCATTTGTGCATATCGACAATACACCCATCGTGGTAGGTTTGCTGTTCCCCTAACACTTACGTGTGCCTGTTGGATTCCCACTCTTTGTTTAAGTGTTGAATGCCATTCCTTTCTTATACGAGACAGGGGCCCCTGTCCAAAAGGGGCCCTCACACCTGTCAAAGGAGACAATGTATGAAACAAACTCAAGTAAGATGGTGATGGGAAGCCCTTTGAGCACGCTTCAGTGCTTTTAAGATGATTAATGTGGAATTAGGGACAAAGGACATTGATTTCCTTTCTCATCTGTAGTCAAGGGAATGACATTTTAAAAAGAGAACGTTAAAGGGGTTACCCATTAATAATGCCTTTCTCCACAAGGAAAATTCCTTTCTATACAAAAGAAAAATATCTTGTGGGTGGTGAGCTGAAACACTACCTTGGCGACTCTCTTTGCAAAGTCTTCTCAACATTCACCTGATGCTCTTTGCATGGAGCCATAGGGTGTTCAGCTAAGTAGAAAGGTCACTGGGCTTGGAGACAGGATCTGAGCTCTAAGTGCTATTTCTATCTCTGCCATGCGTGTGTGAGCAAAGTTGCCCCAAACCACATCTTTGAGTCTCATTTCATTCTTCTCTGAAATAGGGAAAACTGGTTATCGTGAAGCACAAAGGAGATCATGCCTACAATGTCCCTTTGGGAGCCACGGGACACAATGTGTGTGTTAGGGCGGGGTGGTCCAGCTGGACGACTGCCTGAAACAGCTGCAACACCATGGGAACAGCAATGTGGCTGGTGGCCCCTTCCGAGTGCCCCGTGCTGGGTGTCACACAATGCCCCGTGACGTCCACATTCCCTGCTGAGCCCGTCAAGATCTGTACAGGAAACGACACCTCCTCCTTAGTTGAGTCTGGAGTCCTTTATTTTTGTACATAACAGAATGGCGAGATTAATTTAGCTCTGATGAACTGTAGCTGCTCTGAGAGGTCAGGGTGGCTCCTGGTTGAGGAATGGAGTCTGAGTTTCCCACCTCTCATTCTTCCCCACTTCCTGCCCCTTTTGTTTGGTTTCCAGCAGGACATTGCAGCCGAATGGTATTTCCCTGTCTTCTCGTCAAGAGGAGTATTGATGCCCCAGCAGACCCAAGACTTGTGGGTGGGTGGGGGGCCATCCCAGGGGACAGGGCTGTGACAGTCTTTCTATGCTTGATATTTTCACTGTTGTCTTCTGGCTTAAATGAGCACAAAGAAAGGGGAAGACCCACCCTTCTTAGGTTGGAGGCAGTGACTGGGTTTTGTTAAAGGCCAGGCACAGGACTAAGGACTATGCACACATTGTCTCATTGCTTGGGTATTAATATCAACTGCTCTGTTTTGCATAGGAGGGAGTTGAGTTCTACAGGGATGTGTGGCTTACATGGTGTCACATCATGCAGAGAGCCTGGGCCCAAGGTGACATGTCAGAACCCATGTTTCTAACCATGCTGCCTTTGGGTTTCTGACTCCGGTCAAAATGTGGCAGGACCATTGGCTCACAAAGATGTGTTTTCTTGCTTACAAAGGCACTCTACGTCTATGAAACTTTTTTCTATTTACCTTCCTTGTAGGTTTTCTGCCAGGAGGAAAAGACCTTAGAGAGGCAGATAGTATTTCTTATTGTCAGAGGACAAGGACATTCCCAGTTTGGGAGGTGGTAGAGAGGGGGTGTTCATTCGTCTTAAAGGCATCCCCTCCTTCCTCCACTGCTTGGGCCATGTATTTCAGGGCTACAGTCCAGCCCTGACCTTGATCTTTAATTCTGATAATGGAGCTGACAGAAACTACAGTGGACATGCATGGGCCTTCGCCCCAGAAAGGCTCAGGTTTCAGCCTCTACCTTTCTGATCCCCTCAAGCCCATTCCCAGGAGAATGTCTAAGTAGACACACAGGTGAGTGTCTAAGTCAGGGATGGGCCAAACGTGACTCCGAGGGCCAAATCGGACCCACCACCTATTTTCACAAATGAAGTTTTCTTGGAACGAAGCTTCTATTGTCTGGTTTTTGTTTTTATTAAACTTGAAGGGACAGGGTATATTATTTTTACTTTTGTGAAGGGAGAGAGCTACTACGGGCTTTAAATAGGTTCCTCCCACCAAACAAACAAACAAACAAACAAACAAACAAACAAGCTCTAGGAGATGGGGCAGTTCAGCTGGAAGTCTGCTCTGAGTTTGCTTCAGTGACTGAGACAGACGGTGTCCCCTTCCATGACCATTTCACAGGCACTATTTGAAGTCAACTCCTGTGACTGACTTGGCCACTAGACAAACAGAACCAAGGGATTCTTGTCTCCCAGTGTGAGGGGTTGTAGGAACAGTTTTAAAGGGGCGGCCCAGTGGGCTGGAACTAGACCTCTTGTTTCAGAGGCCTCTGGGACCTCTGTCCTGCTCTAACTCCACAGCTGTGTGACCTAGGATTACTGGAGTAATCTCTCTGAGCCTCATGTGCCTCATGTCAAGTGGGGTCAGAAGTGCTGCCTTCCACACCCCCAGGTGGGAGTGTGGGATGAGGCAACATGTGTGGGAAGGTGTTTCATGAACCTTCCAGTGCTTCAGGGGCCAGTTCTTATATTATGCTTTCCTCCTTGGCATCTCAGGGCCACCTGTATCTATGTCACACCCGACAGGCTAGGATGAGGTTTTGAAAACAGATACGTAGTGAATGATTTTTTCATAGTTTTGCCTCATGAAAAGTACAGATACTACTCCACCTACAGTGGGGTTATGTCCCAATACACCCATCATAAGTTGAAAATATCAGAAGTCAAGAAGGCGTTTAATACACCAGGCAGTGGTGGAGTGGGAGCTGTGGTTCACTGCCGCTGCCTGGCGTCACGAGAGTGTGTCATATTTTCTATTGCTAGCCTAGGAAAAGACCCATATTCAAAATTTGATGTTTGGTTTATAATGAATGCATATGGCTTTTGTACCATCATAAAGTAGAAAAATCAATAAGTCCAAACATCCTAAGTTGGGGACTGTCTGTACTTGGAAAGAACACGAACTTTGGAGTCAGACGAGTCTAGGTTTGAATCCAGCCCCACCCACCACTTGCTGGTTGTATGATCTTGGGCAAGTCACAACCTTTCTGAGCCTCAGTTTCCTCATTGGTGGAATGAGGGAAGGCGTTAGTGTACCAGTTTGGGTCACCCATGAAGCAGACACCAAGATGGCATTAGATGTGCAAGGGGTTTCTTGAAGATACCTGTGAAGAGAAAAGAGGAGGGAATGTCTTCAGACTGCAATGCAGGTCTGACGTTTGTGAAGGGAGAGAGGGAAGGAAGGAGATTAAGTAGGAGGAGTCTCAGACTCCATGTGGCTCCAAGAAAGTCTTGGTCAGGTCTGCTGGGAATCCCAGAGCAAAGATTGTCCACTGGAGGAAGCTGCATAACAAATGACCCCACATCTCGGTGCCTTAAAACAACAATGTTTTTATGTCTCATGATTTTATGGGTCAGGAATTAGGGTAGGGCTCAGGCAGGAGATTCTTCTGCTCCACGTGGTGTTGATTAGGGTCATCCAGTGGCATTCAGCAGGTGGCTGATATGGCTTGGAGGGTCCAGGATGGCTTTGCTGGTTTGGCGGGGATAGCTGGAAGGCTGGACTCAACTGGACCTCCTTCCATGTAGTCTTAGGGTCTCCTCATGGTCCCTCCAGCATAATAGCCTGACTTAGAGCTCAGGGTTCCAAAACAAATGCTCCATGAGGCAGAAGTAGCTGCAGTCTTTTAATGCTTCCACTGTGTTCTCTTGGTTGAGGCAGTCACATATCTTCCCAGTTTCCATGAAAGGAAAGCATCAAAGAATATGTGGCCATCTGTAATTCCACAGTGAATTACAGACTCATGAATGCAATAATGCATATTCACGGAGTAGGTACCCAGCAAATAGGAGCTGGCATTCTTGATGTTTCTCATCACTATTATTACTGCTGCTACTACCACCTGCCCTGCAGATGTATTCTGTGTCCTAAGGATGCCAGAGTGAGGCTGGCTTAAACGTGAGGCTTTTTATAATGCACCCGCCCTAATTTCTCAACTTCCTGTGAAGCCCTCATCAGCCCTCGCCTCCCTACCCAAGGCTTAGGAATGCTTGTCTTTCTGCAGGTGTGGTGGACCTCAGTTTTGAGGCCGAGAGTCCTCTGGCGCCCCCCACAGAGCTCCTGGAGAGACTGCCCAGCTATGACTGGCTTCTTCAAGGGGGCAGTAAGTTCCAAGAGGGCTTGGTTCTTTGGGCTTCTACCTAGGGCTCACGCTGGTTGGTGGGATGTCTCGGGAAAAAGGTGGTGCTGAGATAGCTCCCCTTTCCCTGGGGGGGCCCTGGGAAGCCCCTCATCTTGGGCAGGTGGAAAGAGGAAGCAATGGGGCATAGGCCTTCTGTCTATGAACAGTCCATGACTGCGACAGGTCCCACTAAGACCTAGATGGTGCTGGTCTTGGAGTCCCCATTCTTTTTGCATTAAATGCATCACTGTTTCTTCATCTGTTCTTTCTCACATTCAATCAGTCTTTCCTTCTTCCACCACACAAATATTTGTTCCTTTGGCCTGGGCTGTCCAGCCCCTGACTCTTCCCTTCTCCAGGAGGACAGATATTCTTCCCACCTTTGGAGGCCCCAGGGAGGCCCCAGGAGCAAAGGTCCTGGCCCTCGTTCCTGGAACACAGGTGAGTTTCAGGTTGTACTCTGTGACTGTGTGCATTTCCTATGTCACTATTGCCCCTTGAGGATCTCAGCCCTGGCAGTGCATCAGGATCCCTGGAGGGGGCCGTCTGCACCCCAGACCTACTGCACCAGATCCTCCAGGGATGGGGCTTAGGGATTTACATTTTACCAAGCTCTTCAGGTGGTTTGGCAACAAAGCCAGCGTTGAAAACCATAGTCTAGATCAGGGTTGCAAACTCCTGTCTGTGGGCCAAATCCAGTCCACTGCACATTTCTGGAGTAAAGTTTTATTGGAACACAGTTACACTCAATTGGCTGTGTATTGTCTCTGGCAGCTTTTACTCCAGAGCTGAGTAATTGAGACAGAGACTATGTGGGCTACGAAACCTCAAATATCACTATGTGGCCCTTTGCAGAAGTTTGCTGACCCTGGTCTAGATCCGCGGAAAGGCCCATATCCACCTTGTTTTGAGAGGACTCAGGGCCGAGCTCAGGGTTTCCAGCCAGCTTTGTGCGGAGAGAAGGTGGAGCTGCCCCCTATTTCAATCCAGCCTCTCACCTGGGCAGCATGAGAGGCTTCTCCCGGGGGCTTCTGGCCCTGCTGCTGCCAGAAGCAACCCCCTTCTCCTCCATGGACACCCACTTTCCATGCTTAGGAAGAACCCTGCTTCCTCCGGGGAGTCATCTCTGGCCTCTCCAGCCCACAGTGTCTCTTGTGCTGCCATCCATGGATCTGAAGACAGACGGGCCCCTCTGTGTGCCAGGGCTGGAGGATGCTGGAGATACAAGTGTGCAGAATTGTGGATTAATGGCTCTCAGGGCTGCCATGGAGAAATGCATGAAGATGCAAGGGGAGGAAGGAGGATTCTTTCCTCTTGGAGGTGTTGGGGCCAGAAAGACTTCAGTAAGGGGGTGGCATGGCCTCAGGGAAGGGACTTCCAGGAGGAGGGGGAGGCATGCAGAAAGAGGGCCGAGGTTAGGGTCCCTGTCTGTCGTCCCACCCACGGTCCTCAGGGTGAGTCTCCATGGGCGCTGCCATCAGCCCTGGGCCAGTGCCTGGCTGGGGTCTTCCCATCATGTTGCTAGCAGCTCCTCTGGCTAAGGTCAAGGTACCCGAGGGCAGGAGCCTTATTTAGCCTGTCTCTGCCTCCTTTTAACTGTGCGACATCCTCTCTGGACCTCTGTTTTTCTTATCTATAAAATGGTACAATTCCTCTCTAAGGTTGTGTTTCTTCAGTTGCAGGATTCTATCAGCTTTTCTCCTAAGCTCCACATTTCAACTAAAGTGTTTTTGGCTGTTCTCTAGGAAAACCTGCCCCGTTCTCACGCTGGGCACCCGTTCACATGGTCCCCTTTGCAGGAGATGCCCTCCCCAGTTGGACTGCTGAGGGCTTTACCACTACCGTGGCCTCAGTTTCTCGCCTGCACGTTGAGGAGGCTGGCTGGCCCGCGTGAGTCCACAGGCCCTTCCCAGAAGCCCCCGCCTCTCTGTTCGGTCCCCTGCAGAGTCCCTGCGATGACGGAGGAGGTGGCCCGGGAAGCCCTCCTCAGCTTTGTGGACTCTAAGTGCTGCTACAGCAGCACGGTGGCTGGAGACCTCGTCATCCAGGAGCTGAAGCGGCAGACCCTCTGCAGGGTGAGAGGCCAGGGCCGGTGGGGGGCCTTGGCCGGGGGGCTGGGGAGCTGGGGGCTTTGGGACAGTGGAGGCCTGTTTGTGTGATGTGGCCAGGGGAAAGGAGTCCTGGGGGCAGTGTGTTTGAGTGTGAGCGGTGGTGATGTTGAATCCCATCTGCAACTTGACTTGTCTGTGGCTGTGAGTGATAATAAAAAGAACAAGTGTCAGGCCGGGTGCGGCGGCTCATGCCTGTAATCCCAGCACTTTGGGAGGCCGAGGTGGGTGGATCACCTGAGGTCAGGATCACCTGAGGTGAGTCAGGTTAGACCAGCCTGACTAACATGGTGAAACCCCATCTGTACTAAAAATACAAAAATTAGCCGGGCGTGGTGGTGGGTGCCTGTAGTTCCAGCTACTCGGGAGGCTGAGGCAGGACAATTGCTTGAAACTGGGAGGCGGAGGTTGTGGTGAGCTGAGATGGTGCCATTGCACTCCAGCCTGGGCAACAAGAACGAAACTCCAACTCAAAAAAAAAAAAAAAAAAGGCGTCATCAAACACCACTGACAGGCTTGAACATGCCAGGCATCATAGAACGCATGCTACACACACGCCTTGTCAAATCCTCATGGCTGCCCTATACGGTAGCATCACTGTCACTGGTTTACAGACGAGAAATTGGAAATTTAAAGAGGCAAAGTGATTTTCCCAAGAAGATGCAGCTAGAAGTGACAGAGGTGAGATTCAAACTCAGATTTGGTAGCCTCAAAGCCTATGTCCTCACTTCATACTTCCACAAGGCATGGGCTGAGAGAGGTTCATCTACCTGCCACTAGACTTCAGCTCCCTCTGCCTCCCCCAGATCATGACTGTGCCAAGAAATTCTTTATTCATTGCTGCAGGGAAGTCCTGCCTCTGACAGGCACTTCTGTCTCCTGTATTGACAGAGCAGAGGAGCAGCTTTTACAGTCACATTTTCTAGTGCTGCTCATCCAGCCACCCTCTGAGGAGCACATAATCACTTGCAGGCAGTGGTTAGAGCAGGAATCTGAAAGAAGAGGCCACTGTGTGGCTGTGTGACCTTGGGCAAGTCAGCTGACCTCTCTGAGCCTCCATTTCCTCACATGTAAAAGGAGAGGGCAAGTGATGTCCAAGACCTCTTCCCATTCTGTCACCCTATGGATGAAGATCAAGAAGGAAGATCTTGATATCAGGGAGATAAATTCCTCCATAAGGGAAATCTCAAAGCCATAGATTCCAGGGACCTCCATCTATCAAAGACAGCTACTGCTCTGAAGCTTGTCTCATAGAATCTTTGTATAAATTCATGGGGAACTGAATTAGCTCTAGTTTGAGCCTGTCAGGGGAGATTTCCTGGGGCTGGCTGACTTCCCTGCAGACATGGGGGCACGTGGAACAGAAATCGCTGTTGTCAGCCAGTTCCAGCAGCCGAGGGTGTTGTGCATGGACCTCTCAGTTTCCCCACTGAGCCCTGGGAGGGTAACAGCTTCATCTTTTTGCATAATGCTCTGTCTTCATAAGGGGCACGAGTGTGAACATGCTGTTTTTTTCCTTTTAGTACCGTCTGGAGACCTTTAGTGAATCCAGGATAAGCGAGTGGACATTTCAACCCTTTACTAGTAAGTGAATTGTCTGAAATTAGTTTAACTGGGGGCAAATAAGTCAGGGTGCTGGTGGAAAATATCAGGACTTGGCTCAGGCACTCATCTCAAATAAGATGGTCTTCTGCTTGGAGCCTTGGCTTCCTTACCCCCTGCAAAATGAGAGGATGGACTTTCATCTCAGAGACTTTCCAGTGCTTATCTTAGGAAATGCTTCCTGCCCAGGAAGCAGGAGGTCCTGAAAAAGCCAAGCATTTGCTTTTGCTACAGTCTGGTGCTGCCACACGGGGCCGGGCTGTAAAGCAGCATGCGTGTCTAAGCATTCACCTACACCCCCTCATGCCACCCCTAATTCCTCCTAAGCTTCTAGGCCCCTGTGCTCCCCATTCGCCTTGCCACCCCACCTTCTGCTGAGCCCCCACTGGAGGCCTAAGCTTCTCTCTTTGGGAAGATCTATGTCCTCCTTGTTTTCCCTAACAGACCGCTCAGGTCCATTCTTCAAGACTCAGCTCACGTGTCACTTCTTTTAAGAAGCTTTTCAGGATTTCTCCTCCTGCTGCTCCCCTCCCAGCAGGATGGGCCAGTCTTCTGAGTTTTCAGAGCCCTTTATGCAACTCTTGTCCAAAGCATGTATCATATCCTATCATATCTTATTGTGATGGTGTGCTGTCTGTCTCCTTGAACAGAGCAAGAGGAAGAAGATGGGATGGTGAAGGGGATGGTGATGATAATGGTGACAATTCTTGTGTGTCATCCCCTCAGTATGTGCCATTCCTGGTGCTAACAATTTTATATACATTCTTCCGTTTAATTTTCACTACCATCTTGTATGGTAGGTGCCATGACTATCCCCATTTTAGAGATGAGAGAATGGAAGCTCAGAGAGGGTAAGAAACTTCTCTAAAGTCAAACAGCTAGGACATAAAAGAGCCAGGAGTCAAACCCAGATCTGTCTCTCTCTAAATCTTGGTTGCTTAGTCACTGCCTCCAAGGAAGGCCTTGACTATCCATCCCTGTAGCCCCAGGATCTAGACTCATGCCTGGCACCAACTGAAGGCTTCATGCTGTTTGCTGGATAAATGAAAGTTTATCCCTGCTGCCCTTCGTCATTCTTACAATGACCCCTTTCTGTGTCAGACCACTCTGTGGATGGGCCGCAAAGAGGCGCCTCCCCCAGGCTCTGGGACATCAAGGTTCAAGGTCCTCCGATGTTTCAGGAAGACACCAGGAAGTTCCAGGTCCCTCACTCGTCACTGGTCAAGGTAATACGATTAACGCGATTACTGGAATACTTGCCCTTCTCCCTGAGAGGCTTTCCAGGCACTGCATGTTTCCTCAAACTCATCCTTTGAAGGGAAACCCAAAATTCAGGCCGGTGCTTCATTTGTTGGTTATAAATAAACGTAATTTAATAAAACCTGGTATATGGAATGTAGTCCCAAATAAAATTCCAAGCAAATCTGGGAGTGTTCACCTAGCAAACAGATCATCCGATTTACAAATCGTCACCAGCTTTAGTGAGCAGTGACATTCCTGGACAGGTTGAGTGTAGTTTTCATCTTTTTTAAAAATTTATTTTAGCTTAAACAGCTGAAGGGCTGAATGAAATTGATATAAAATAAAAACTTAAAACCCTGCTGGGATTTTGCATGAGAGTCAGTAAGGAAACAGAATCTGACTTCCATCCTGCTTTATGGACATATATTCGTGGCGTGAAGGGAGAGGAGCCTAGTGGATTACAAAAACACGACTGAGATAGCTCATATTGTGTTCTTTTCCGGTTACTGCCTGCTTTACACTTTTGGACTGGATTTAAGGGTGCAATTTTGCTCTATGAGTTTTTACAGAGTTCTAAGATAAAGAGTACTTTGAGAGGTCGAGAAAGTGTTCTATTCCTTTCTCAAGGGGGCCAAGGCTATTTTAAATTAGTGATTAAATACTAGTAGCTAGCTCATTGCCTTTCATAAAAATCCTGTCCATTTTTTAATGGCTTCTGTTCCCAAAGACCACATTAGCTACCTTATGGGCAAATGCCATCAGCCTTTGTAGTTCAGCCTGGTAGGAAACCGTAGAGTGTGAGCTAGGATATGGGGCTCCCAGAACACGTCTCCCCTTGATGGCATCCAGATTGGGCTAGGGCTCAGAGGAAATGGTGACATGATCTCCTGATGCAGTCAAGCCTTCTGGAATCTTAGTCAAATGGGAAGGGCCATTTCTTTCCTGTGCCATCTTCCTATCCTGGTCCTGATCCACTCCACCTTCGGTTTAGATGGTGATGTTATGGGTGTGGGAGAAGTGGCCCTTGGGAAACTAGATCCCAAGAAAGCGTTGCACTTTCAGGAATGCCACAAATGCCATGGGCGTGGGCGGTACAAGTGCAGCGGCTGCCACGGGGCGGGCACGGTGAGTCATCTGTGAACCACTGGTGAGTCAGTGAGGGTGTGGTGGCCGGGGGATCCTGGGGACAGCGGGCTGGGCTGGTGGCCTGAGGCTCCCTGCAGTAACTGTGTCATCTCAGCCAAGTCATCCTCCCTTTCTGGGCCTCCATTTTCCCGTCTATAAAATGAAAAAGTGGGGTTGTGTGGTCTCTAATGACACTTTCACTTTGACAGTTCGATTTTAATTTTTCTCTTATTTTCTCATCCATCTACCAACATACACTGAATACCTGCTTGGCTCTGACCTCTAGGTCCTGTAAGAGGGCCAAGACCTGGGGTTCTTCTTACCAGGCAGTCTTTGTCAGCCAGGGAAACCAACAAGCAACTCCATTTGTCGTGCAGGGCAGTGGGTGCTGAGCAGGTAAAGTTTGGAAGGCTTGGAGAGACAAAGTAGACAGTGACACTTGAGTTAGTTTCCTTCGGCTGCTGTAAGCCATGACCACCAATGGGTGGCTTAAAACAACAGACACAGCTGGGCGTGGTGGCTCACACTTGTAATCCCAGCACTTTGGGAGGCCAAGGCGGGCAGATCACGAGGTCAAGAGATCGAGACCATCTGGGCTAACACGGTGAAACCCCGTCTCTACTAAAAAAAAATACAAAAAATTAGCTGGGCATGGTGGCGGGCGCCTGTAGTCCCAGCTACTCAGGAGGCTGAGGCAGGAGACAGGCGTGAACCCAGGAGGCAGAGCTTGCAGTGAGCGGAGAACGTGCCACTGCACTCCCGCCTGGGCGACAGAGCAAGACTCCATCTCAAAAAAACAAAAAACAAACAACAGCAACAAACCAGACACCTATTATATCACGGTTCCGGAGGCCAGAATTCCAAAATCAAGGTGTGGGCTAGGCTGGTTCTTCTGGAGGCACTGAGAGGGAAGCCATCCCCTTCCTCTCCCCCAGCTTCTGGGAGCTGCGGGCCGTCCTTGGTGTTCCTTGGCTTGTGACTGTGCCACTTCAGTCCCCACCTGCCTTGTCACCCAGCCTTCTCCCTGCATGTCTTTTTGTCTTCACATGGGCTTCTAATAAGAACACGTCATCGGATTTAGGCCCTACCTTGTCATATGACCTCATCTTAACTAAATGCATTTGCAAAGACTATCTCTAAATGAGGTCCCACTCTGGGATTCCAGTAAACTTGAACTTGGAAGGGCCGCTATTCAACCCAGCACAGGCCCCTCAGTGGCATTACTCATGGCATTAGTTGTCTTTTCAGAAACCTTCATTCAGGCCTATTAACAATCCCAGGGGGTAAAACCAAACTTCTCGCGTTCTTTGGTGTCCTGATTCGAGCCTCATCCTTTGGCCATGCTCTGACCCTGGCTACCGTGAACTGTCTTCTCCACCAGCCCTTTCATCCCTCGCCTGCTGGGTTTGCATCCCCAGCTCACTCCTGCACTGCCTGTGGGTCCCAGCGGTGGTCTTCCCTGGAATGTTTCTGGAGCCCACCATGAGCCCAACTGGGAGCACAGCCTAGGCCTTTTCTGGGGGCCATTTCTCAAAAGGAGCCCCCTGTCTCCAGTGCCAGGCCCCTGACCAGCGCCTGTGTCCCAGCTTCCTCTCAACACTTGGTAGGGGTCAGGTCTCAGGGGTTGTGGGGATCAGAGAAGAGGCAGGAGAGGCTGATGTCTCAAAAGAAACAGGGATCTTAGGGAGTGGAGGCTTTGAAAGCTACAACTGGAAGGATCCAAAGATACCCCATCTCCACCCCGCACCATTTTACAGATGAAGGGGCTAAGGCCCAGGGGGAGGAAGGTCACCAGGCTGGGATTTGAACCAGGTCTTGGGATGCCGTTGGCCCTGCTTCCTGGGAGGCCAGCGGGGGCTGAGGCAGTGGTGTGTCTGCAGGTGCGGTGCCCATCCTGCTGCGGAGCCAAGCGCAAAGCCAAGCAGTCCCGGAGATGTCAGCTGTGCGCGGGGTCCGGCAGGCGAAGGTAGGGGCATCTCCCCAGCACCGCGGTGAAGTGCTCTTGCTTTCTGGCTTTTCATTGCCTGCCCATCTGGAAGGCAAACAGGAACCCATCTGTCTCGTCACTGCTGTGTCCCCAGAGCTCTGCACGTAGTAGGTGCTCTGTGGTTATTTGAAGAGTAGGTGAGCTTTTCTCAAGGCCTGGCATTTCTGGACAAGGCTGGAACTCGTCATGCAATATATGTGGAAAGAGTGTGAAGAAAGAGCCACTGCAGGGAGGAAACACAGGGACGGGGTTACCAGGAAAGGAGACCTCTCCCGCCCACGGGTTGGGAAGTGAATATCAAAAACCACCTAAAGGCCAGATTTTTAACTCACTGAGGATCAGTTCCTGGGCAAGCCCCTATTTATAACTCATTTTGGGGTCTGAATGGAGGAGGAGTCAAGGAAAGTTGGTTGATTGACTAAACAATAAACAAAATTTCATCACTGCTCACAGCTTTGCAAACACTGGGCCATTGCATTTTGTAAATCCTATCCTTTAGTGTATTTATAACTTTTTAAGGGAAACAGGAAACCGTGAGGAGTAAAAATACTCAAGGTTGGGTTGGTTAATGATACTTTTGCCTCATTAAAGCCCAGGCCATCCTTCTGACAAGCCAGTTGGAGAAGCTTTGGTGGCACCTTCCATCGTGGTTGGTAGAGACAGTCTCTGACTGGGAAAAAGACACTTATTTTTCTTTCATTTGCAAGTGAAAGGAATCCAATTCAAATTGGCTTTGGCAAAAAAAGTCGATTTACAGGCCTAGGTAAGAATGAAGTCCAGGGGTATATTTCAGGGATGGCTTCAGGCCCAGCTGGATCCGGGTGCTTAAACAACACCACCAGGAATCTGTATCCACCTCTCACTCTGCTTTCCTTTGTGTGGGCTTCATTTGCAGGCAGGGGGTTCCTTGTAGTGGCAGAGGAGATCACCAGTAGCTCCAAGCTTACTAATCCCAGGAGAAAAGATGTCCCTTTCCCGATAGTCCCGACAAACATCCTGGGACAGATCTCATTGCACTCGCCTGGGTCATGTGCCCATCTTTGTATCAGCCACTGAGACCAGGGACATGGAATAAGATGATTGGCCAGTCCCAGATCCCAAGCTGTTCACAGAATTTAGTGGTGGGGGAGGGGGGGGGGCAGGCCCTAGAGCCATGTGGGCTGGGTGGGGGAAGGGTGATCCCCATAGAGATATTGGGGCACTGCCAGCAGAAGGAGGACTAGGTGGTGGGCAGGTACAAACAATGCAGGCCCACCACAGTCTACCTCCAGGAGGAAGGGGGTGCAGGTGGGAGCCTCTGGAAGCCACCAGGACCTGCAACTGATCTGGGGGTACGGACTCTGTGCCTTTCTCAGATGCAGCACTTGCTCAGGGAGAGGGAACAAGACCTGCGCCACCTGCAAGGGGGAGAAGAAGCTGTTGCACTTCATCCAGCTTGTCATCATGTGGTATGTGGCAGTGTCTCAATGCTGTGGCATGCGGGGGTGGCTGAGGGACTTAGCCCTGGACTGGCTTCTGCAGAGAAACTGTGGTTGGTTGGGGCTTTCACAGTGCAAGAACCTGCCAGGACTTAGAAGGGGGAGAATTCCCTTGGAAGAGGCAGTGTGGGGTTGTGGGATGCTGACTGGCTTTAGAACAGACAGACCTCAGTCCAAATTCTGCCATCACCACTTTCTAGGGCAGCAGCCGCTCCACAACTGAGCCCTTCCCGTAGGAATAGAGCCATAGCATCCTGCTACGTCCCTAAGTCAGTCAGGGCTTCCGTGCATTAAAGGTTTCTCCTGTCTCAGGCACCTTGCTAAGTGCTTTGTAGGCAAAGATGAAATGAGGTAATGGAGCTGAACTGTCACTCTCCTTACTAGCTTCATTTTACAGGTGAGGAGACTGAGGCTCAGAGAGGCTACAGAACTGTTGCAAGGTCCCTCCAGTAGCAATTCAAGCCCTCAACCCCAGGTCTGTCTGATTGCAAAGGCCATGCTTTTAACCTGCCACACTGTGTGCTTTCATCCCTCATCCTCCTTCCCTCCAGGAAGAACAGCTTGTTTGAGTTTGTGTCTGAGCACCGGCTCAACTGCCCCAGGGAGCTCCTTGCTAAAGCCAAAGGAGAAAACCTCTTTAAGGATGAAAACTCGGTGGTAAGAGGGCATTGTAGATGGGAACAAAGGAAGCTGGGTTCCTCCTCTGCTCTCGTGGGCCTGGGGCTGCTAGCTGTGTGTGCAGGCTGCATTCCTTGGAAGGACAGGTTGTGTAGGAGCAGAGCTCCCCAGACATGGATAAGGCTGTGGGGAGCCTGGGGGCTGTCAGTTTCCTTTTGACTTTTACACACTCAGCCCTCTGTCCTTCCCCACCCACCATGCCGTTCTTCCTTCCTAATACTCTCTTTCTCTCTTTCCCTCCCTCCCTTCTTCCTCGCTCTTTTCCTTCCTTCCTCATCCCCTCCTTCCCTTTCTTCCTCATCCCCTCCTTCCTTCCACAAATCTTGAGACCCTCCTCCTATATCAGGCACTATTCTTGGCCCTGGGTAGACCATGGCAAATAAAACAAGGACCCTGCCCTCATAGAGCTTACAGTCTGGTGAGGGGACTATGATGGACCCTTTTATAGCAATGTCAGATGGTGAAGGGGCACTGAGAAACATTCAAGCAGGGTAAGGGGCAGGGAGGGGTGGCAGTGTCGTTCCAGCTGGAGGTGGGAAAGCCTCTTTGTGGAAGTGACCTTGGGCACAGACCTGGATGCAGGGCAATTGGGGAGTGGACCTTGTGGCGTGGGAGCGAGGGGACAGTGGGGCAGAGGCCTTGAGGACTGGCAGAGGGCAGTGAGCAGGGCAGAGCTAGGAGCTCAGAAGTGAGAGGTACCTTCAGCCAGAGGAGAGGGTCCTGCGGGCCAGGAGTTGGCACACCCAGCCCACTGCCTGCCTTTGTCGATAAAGCTTTATTGGAACACAGCCCCACGCATTTTCTGACAGGTTGTCTATGGCCGCTTTCCTGATGGTGGGACAGAGCTGGATAATGACAGACTACATAGTCTGAAAGCCTGAAGTATTTACTATTTGGTTCTTAGCAGAAAAGGTTTTCTCACTCTGCCGTTGGCCTTGGCAGAGAGATTGGCTTCAATGGGACTTCTGATGGGGGTCCTCAAACTATAGGGAGGTGTGTCAGCCTCCTTTCTTTGCTCCAGTAATTTGGCTTTTTAAAGGCTCACCTCAGGCATCCCCCCACCAGAAGCCCTGCACCCCACTCTTCCATTTGAGTTAGGGATTTCCCCCTGGGCTCAGCTCAGACTGAGGACCATCCCTAGGCGTCACTGGCTGCTGGCAGCTCTGTGAGCTGACCCTGCCTGGTGCTGAGCTCTGACCACCGTCTCACCCTCAGCGTCCACAGCAGCACTGGGCCCAGGTGGACACTTAGGAGGAGGGTGGAGGAAGGAGCCACAGTTCCACAATGAGGGGCAGAACAGGGAGCCCCAGGGGAGGGCTATGCTTGCCCTTAATATGTGGAAGGCTTTCAAGCCTGGCAGAAGGGGATCTGGGGGCTTTGGGGACCGAGGAGATGCCCCAGTGCCCGGACTTTCTGTAGGTTGAGTGCAAGCGCCTGGGCTTATTTGTGGTTCATTTTGTATCCTCAGCTCACAGACAGTGCCTGACCCTTAGAGGGCGGTTTGAATGTGTACATGAGAAATGAATCTGAGTTCCTTTCCCGCTACACGTGTACAGACCCCACGAGTCCACACTGACGGGGACCACACCAGCCATGGTCACTGCCTTGTCCTGCACCTAGCGCGGTGCCCGGCACACAGGAGGCACGCAGCTGGGGTATCCAGTGGGCTGCAGGTGATAGCGTTCTCTCTCTGACTGCAGGCCCCCTGTTTTCCTGTTTTTGAAATTCCTGAGACCACACCGTGGGTCCCTCTCTCAGCCCCCTTCTCTGTCTGGCTCTGGCTCTGGCTCTAGTCAGCCCCAGTGACTTCCAAGGCTCCAGGTGCGGCAGCCAGGTGGTCTGTGTCTCTCTCTCTTTCCCCCAGGTGTACCCCATCGTGGACTTCCCTCTGCGAGACATCTCTCTTGCCTCCCAGAGGGGCATTGCAGAGCACAGCGCTGCCTTGGCCTCCCGTGCCCGCGTCCTGCAGCAGGTGAGCCAGGGCGGAGGGGCCATCTGGCTCTGACGTCTCTTCCTGGGCTGCTGAGCCCTCTTTCCTGAGAACGTCGGAGCGGAAGGATGAGGACGTAGAGGTGAGGGAGGTCCCGGGGGAGGAGTGTGGGAAGGGGTAGGGCCTGACCTAAGGCCCCAGGGCATGGAGCAGGGCAAGTAAGACGCAGAGGCAGGAAGGACCGTGGGTCGCAGGAGAAGTTTGCATTTTTATTCCCAGAAGCGATTGCAGGGTTTTAAGCACGAATGTGGTGTCATGGGATTTTTGATTCTGACTCCCTGGTGTTCAGATAGGGGAAGAAAAAGGTGGGGATTGAACGTCACAGGCCTGGCTGGAGCCCAGTGTCTTGCCCCTGAGGCCCCTGGCACTTCCCAACCCCCAGCCCTGTCTTCTCCTGGCCTCTGTGGTTTTGGCCGCTGTATCCTGATGGCCACAAGGTGGCGGTGGTGGCTGCTACATCCCCAGGAGCAGCCCTGAGTAGCCCCTTCTGCTGCTGCTGCAGCCAGCCAGGGGACCCTAACGTGGGAGGTTGGCCTGATAATGTGCTTTGCTGGAGCTGCATGAAGTGGGACAGCAGCCGGGACAGGAACCTTGCAGACTGGGCTGAGATCCTGCGTTTCCTGCATCCCAACATGATCCTGGGCCAGCCACTTCCCTCCTTCAAAGCCAGTCTCTCACCTGCGAAAAAAGACACTAAAGCACCTCAGAGGGTTTTGCAGCAAAACCCTCGAAATGTGTTTGGCACCCGGTGCTCAAAATGTCCCTTTCTGTCCTTTGCAATGGGCATTTCCCCTTCTCTGTCTCTGTCTGCACATCTCCCTGATTTGTAGGAGAGAGAAGATGCATTTTTATCTACATGAATACGGATCATCTTGGAGCTGGAAGGGGGCTGAGAAATCATGCAGTTCAGGCACTGCAAACTTACATGCCTACCAGGGCCAGGCAGTAAGGAGGGTGACAGAGCGTCATTCAAAGGGGCCTGTCGACACTCAGCTTTCTGTAGGCACAAGACCCAGTGTTTCCAGACTGTCTGAAGTCCAGATTTTTAGATGAAAACTTGTAGTTTTTCAATATTTTGGCAGCTGGGAAAACTGAGGCCCAAGGAGGGGAAGTTACCTGTCCTAAGTCACACAGTTTGTTGGTGGCAGGTCCAGGACTAGAACTCAGGTCTCCTGAGGCCCTGCCTCTGCCAATACAGCCATTCCGGGAGCCAGGAAGGGTAAACCAGGGGGCAAATACACATTTTTCTTTAAAAAGGAGTATAATGGGAGTGGAGGTCACTTCTCTGAATCTTTTTTCTAATTTTGCCTTTGGTCCTAGAGCTGTAACAAAGATTCATGCTAATATTTTACTCAAGATGGAGAAGTTAGAGCCGAAATCCAGCCATGAGGACATAGCTGGCTAAATTCCATCTCCCAGCCATGGCCATGACTCTGAGACCTGGAATCTGCTTATTGCAGGGGCTCAGCTGCACAGACAGATAAACAGCCAATTACGTGATGACCACTTGATGGCAATTGATGTCTTGAGCAATTTGTGGCCTCAAACTTCGAGACTTTTTGAGCCAGAAGCAGATAGAGGCAGGGGGATTGCGGGGGTTGTGGGGGGGCTGGTATTGCCATGCTCTCCATTGGATCTTAATAGAAAAATCTGGAAACAAGAGTGGTCCTGACTTCAGTGTCCAGGCCTTCTGAGCACTGACATTGACTCCCATCTCCTTGTGCCCTTTAGTCCCTATTTGGGGTCCTTTGCACTGAAATTTCAAGAGGCATCTTCCAACTTTTATTTCCGAAATTGTCATTTGGATTCCAGTTTCTGGCATATGAAGAAAACTCAGTCACCGGGGTCTTATCTGGTTGTCTCAACAACTCTGTGAAATAAGAGTTTTTATTCCCATTTCACAGATGAGGAAACTGAGGTCTAGAGAACTGGAGCACAAGATCACATGGAAAGCTGTGTGGAAATTTTGTGCCCTGACTCTGATTCCCCTCTTCCTTCTGCAATGTCATGCTGCCCCCTGGCCTCTCCTCTGACAGAACAGGGGCCTGCCTCTCAAAATACACCCCCACTGCCCAGATCTCCAGGGATGGCCAGGGCAGTTTTTCTGAAATGGAGAGAGAAGTCGAAGCAGCCAGATGGCTTCAGCCTCAGCCCCCCACCCGGCCTGGTTTACCTCTTCCCTAGGGTCTTCAAGCTATCAACTACAGCAAGAGGACTTGGGGTTCTTTTCCCAACAGGAAGAATTCCCTGCAAGTAAAGAGGGCCTGACCCTGGGCCAATCATGCCACCTGTCCCTGGGTTTGGGTCCCCACATCTGAGTCTGGGACAGGGGAACATCTTGTGCAGAAGAACTTAGGGGTTTTTGCACAGAGCCCGGCCCACAGGAAGTCCACAAGAAAGCTTGGCTTAGATGATCAGGAGCAACATTCTTATGTCAACTACGAAGTGTAGTTGCCAGTAACAAAACAGCACCAGAAGCCAGTACAGATGGGAGCCTAATGTTTGCTCCCAAGGTGGGCTGCTGTTTTCTGTTCAGGGCCTCATATTGCAGAAAGTTATTGAGTAACTGCTCAGAGAAGGGGCTGGAGAATGAGGGACTTAGCATCTCCCTGTGGGAGGGAATGAGGTCCCCATCCTGAAAATAGCCTGGCACAGCCAACTAAGCTTTCAAATGTCTTCGGGGTCAATGTTTTATCTTAAAATTTGATTCAAATGTTAGAAACCGCTTCCTAATACCTCTGTGGTTGTTTTAATACACACATGTTTAAACCGACTTTATCCTCCACTGCCCCCCAGCACTCCATCTAAAAATTAATGCTTCTGGAAGTTGTCCTACTTGGTTGGTGACTTTCCGTACACCCTGGAACTCCCCTGGGGATGCCTGTGCCCACTTGGTGAAACCTAGAATCAAATGGTAGCTAAAGATGAGAAGTCGGTTTTGGCCAGAGCTTAGGGTGCGTGAAGGAGCACAGTAGGAGATACATCTAGAAAGGCAGATTGAAGGCAGATTGTAGCAGGGTTTAGAATGCTGTGTTAGTCTGTTCTCATGCTGCTAATGAAGACATATCTGAGACTGGGTAATTTATACAGGAAAGAGTTTTCATGGACTCACAGTTCCCATGGCTGGGGAGCCCTCACAATCATGGCGGGAGGCAGAGGAATGGCAAAGGCACATCTTACATGGCAGCAGGCAAGGCAAGAAGAGAGCATGTGCAGGAGAACTGCCTTTTATAAAACCATCAGATCTCGTGAGACTTACTCACTATCATGAGAATGGTATGGGAAAAACCCACCCCCACGATTCAATTACCTCCCTCTAGGTCCTCTTATGTCACATGAAGATTATTATAATTCAAGGTGAGATTTGGGTGGGAACACAGAGCCAAACCATATTGAATGCCAACTCCAGAGCAGGACCTTTCATACCACACACAGTAGGGAGCTACTGAAAGTTCCTGAGCAGGTGAGTGACTTGAACAGAACACTGACATTTTCCTTGGCTATTTGTTTCCTCAGCGCCAGACCATTGAGCTGATCCCCCTCACAGAAGTTCACTATTGGTACCAAGGAAAGACTTATGTCTACTACATCTATGGCACTGACCACCAGGTGTATGCGGTGGACTATCCTGAGCGGTATTGCTGTGGCTGTACCATCGTGTGACATAGCATGGCTGTCCCCAGAGCCTGCCATTCACGTTTGCCAAGGAAGATGGCCGACACTCTCTGAGTGTGTTCACTGTTGGCTGCATTGGACAATCACATACAAACCCTGGCATGTCCTTCCAGAAAAACCAGCTTATCATCTATCAAGCTCCAACCCCTTATACAGCTCCTCTGGTGGAATCCATGACTCATATGTTTAACCTACAATAATTCAGCTATACACATTCCTGTAGAACAAATGAGAGAAATAATTTAAATGGCAAGGACTTTGCCTCTGGTCTCCAAGTTAATGCCCCGATGATGCGTGTGATTTGATTTTGCTTTTTCCCTTTGTCGGTCTTGGTTCTGGTGTGCTTCTTCTAGTGGGAGCCTCTTGACGATCTGAGTATTACTGAAATGTTCAAGGATACACACAAATATCTGGCCCTAATGCACAATAAATACTGCACTTAGGCATAAAGTGCAATATGTTACTGCCCATTCTGTGGATCAGGAATTCAGACACAGCCACAGTGCGGATGATTTATCTCTGCTCTGTCATGTCTGGGGCCTCACCTGGAAGATTTGAAGCCTGGAGCTGCTCAAGGGTGGGGCCTGAAATCATCTGAAAGCTGGTTCACTCAGATATTTGGTGGTTGATGGTGGCTGGTGGTTGGGACCCCTTTAGGGAAGCTGTCAGGTGGAGCACATATATGTGGCCTCTCCACGCAGCAAGAGCTTCCTCACAAGATGGCAGCTCTGAGAGTGTGTGCCCCTCATGCACGTCCCAATTGAAGAAATAGAGATCTGTTTCACAGCTGGAGAACAAACCAGCTGTGTTGGATGGACCAAGGGTCTGCATGCCAATCTCTAGTGTGGTGTCTATGTAAGGAATTTAGAGAGTGTTTTCGAATAGTTACAGTTTTTTACATCACGGGCTGACCTTAGAGCCTGCCCACTGAATAAGATGTGAACTTGATGCTCTGTGCACCCATCACAGGCAGGAGCTCCCACCTGGTGGTATAAGGCTGGGTGGGGGGTGGTGCTGGAGGGGATGCTCTGCAGTCCTTTTGCCGAGTCAGCTTTGGAGAGGTGGTGCTGGGCTAGGCAGGTCTCTGTGCATCTGGTTGTGGGTAACCATAGACCTTCCGTCATCTCATGATGCCTGCCCCACACCCAGAAGGGGATTGCTACAGCAAGGAGTGGCCTCAGGAAGCAGCCCCTCAGAGGGCCATTGGTGCACTCTCTTGATCCCCAAATCCCCTCACTGGGATGTGGACTTAACAGGCCTAGTTGAGGGAGGCTGGGGAGACTGAGGCCATCCCCCAGGGCATCACTGATAAATGATATGGAAATGAGCACTCTCATCCTCACCTGCTACTGCCGAACCCTGATTTTCCTGCGTCCTGTTTGCATGTGGCTGTTTCCCGAGTTTGGCTGAACCACGTGAACCCCACACACGGGTGGGTCCTGGCTAACAGTGTGGTGGCTAGCCTCATGCAGGAACAGCAGGGGTTAGGGGGGTTCTAACTCCCTTGGGACCACACAGAAGCCCAAGGGGAACCGGACAGAGAAGCAAAGGGAGAAACACCTGGAGGCTTGGAGAAGCCAGGGCCCAGCAAACCTTCCAGGCTCAGATTTCAGCTCCCGCTCACTCCATAGCTCAGTATGTCAGGGAGGCCAAGGGCAGGACGAGGTGTCCCCTTGGGTCAGGGTGCACTGGGGCATGGGCAGCAGCTGGTCCCAGGGACAGAACCTGGTGGTGGCAGGGGAAAGAGGAAGCATTCCGCAAGGAAGACCTCACTTCATCTTCCTCCATCACGCTGAAGTCTGGGAGGCCCCTGCTCTGGTTTAACAAGGGAGGCCATGCCCTCCTACCCCCATGGCCTACCTGTGTGGCCCTCAAAGGGGAGGCTTCTGCCTGTCAGGCGCATGATACAAGCTGAGGGGACAGCTTTTGGTTGACAAGCTGGGGGGACAGCTTTTGGTTGACAAGCTGGGGGGACAGCTTTTGGTTGTTACAATGATTGGAAGCAACACCATTGCACTAAGTGCACAGAGTCAGGAAGCTCAGGCATCCAGCAATGCCGTTCTGCAGCTCACCCGACCTGCATGTAACCCACTGACCTTCCTGCACGTAACCCACTGACCTTCCTGCAGAATCTCGGTTATGCACAAAAGTCCTATCAGGTAGTACTTAATGTAATGCTTATTTTTATTTAGTGCTCACCTGTGTTTTTTGTTTTTTCCTATATGTCTTGTTTGAAATGACTTCGGATCATCTTACTTTTCTTAAGTCCAAATGTGTGTTCTTTTTTTTTTTTTTTTTACTGGTGGAATTTTAATTTTTCTTTTTTTTTATTATTATACTTTAAGTTTTAGGGTACATGTGCACAATGTGCAGGTTAGTTACATATGTATACATGTAGCCATGCTGGTGCGCTGCACCCACTAACTCGTCATCTAGCATTAGGTATATCTCCCAGTGCTATCCCTCCCCCCTCCCCCCACCCCACAACAGTCCTCAGAGTGTGATGTTCCCCTTCCTGTGTCTATGTGTTCTCATTGTTCAATTCCCACCTATGAGTGAGAATATGCGGTGTTTGGTTTTTTGTTCTTGCGATAGTTTACTGAGAATGATGATTTCCAGTTTCATCCATGTCCCTACAAAGGACATGAACTCATCATTTTTTATGGCTGCATAGTATTCCATGGTGTATATGTGCCACATTTTCTTAATCCAGTCTATCATTGTTGGACATTTGGGTTGGTTCCAAGTCTTTGCTATTGTGAATAATGCTGCAATAAACATACGTGTGCATGTGTCTTTATAGCAGCATGATTTATAGTCCTTTGGGTATATACCCAGTAATGGGATGGCTGGGTCAAATGGTATTTCTAGTTCTAGATCCCTGAGGAATCGCCACACTGACTTCCACAATGGTTGAACTAGTTTACAGTCCCACCAACAGTGTAAAAGTGTTCCTATTTCTCCACATCCTCTCCAGCACCTGTTGTTTTCTGACTTTTTAATGATTGCCATTCTAACTGGTGTGAGATGGTATCTCATTGTGGTTTTGATTTGCATTTCTCTGATGGCCAGTGATGGTGAGCATTTTTTCATGTGGTTTTTGGCTGCATAAATGTCTTCTTTTGAGAAGTGTCTGTTCATGTCCTTTGCCCACTTTTGGATGGGGTTGTTTGTTTTTTTCTTGTAAATTTGTTGGAGTTCATTGTAGATTCTGGATATTAGCCCTTTGTCAGATGAGTAGGTTGCGAAAATTTTCTCCCATTTTGTAGGTTGCCTGTTCACTCTGCTGGTAGTTTCTTTTGCTGTGCAGAAGCTCTTTAGTTTAATTAGATCCCATTTGTCAATTTTGTCTTTTGTTGCCATTGCTTTTGGTGTTTTAGACATGAAGTCCTTGCCCATGCCTATGTCCTGAATGGTAATGCCTAGGTTTTCTTCTAGGGTTTTTATGGTTTTAGGTCTAACGTTTAAGTCTTTAATCCATCTTGAATTAAGTTTTGTGTAAGGTGTAAGGAAGGGATCCGGTTTCAGCTTTCTACATATGGCTAGCCAGTTTTCCCAGCACCATTTATTAAATAGGGAATCCTTTCCCTATTGCTTGTTTTTCTCAGGTTTGTCAAAGATCAGATAGTTGTAGATATGCGGCGTTATTTCTGAGGGCTCTGTTCTGTTCCATTGATCTATATCTCTGTTTTGGTACCAGTACCATGCTGTAGTACTATACAGTACTATACTGTAGCCTTGTAGTATAGTTTGAAGTCAGGTAGTGTGATGCCTCCAGCTTTGTTCTTTTGGCTGAGGATTGACTTGGTGATGCGGGCTCTTTTTTGGTTCCATATGAACTTTAAAATAGTTTTTTCCAATTCTGTGAAGAAAGTCATTGGTAGCTTGATGGGGATGGCATTGACTCTGTAAATAACCTTTGGCAGTATGGCCATTTTCACGATATTGATTCTTCCTACCCATGAGCATGGAATGTTCTTCCATTTGTTTGTATCCTCTTTTATTTCCTTGAGCAGTGGTTTGTAGTTCTCCTTGAAGAGGTCCTTCACATCCCTTGTAAGTTGGATTGCTAGGTATTTTATTCTCTTTGAAGCAATTGTGAATGGGAGTTCACTCATGATTTGGCTCTCTGTTTGTCTGTTGTTGGTGTGTAAGAATGCTTGTGATTTTTGTACATTGATTTTGTATCCTGAGACTTTGCTGAAGTTGCTTATCAGCTTAAGGAGATTTTGGGCTGAGACAATGGGGTTTTCTAGATATACAATCATGTCGTCTGCAAAGAGGGACAATTTGACTTCCTCTTTTCCTAATTGAATACCCTTTTTTCCTTCTCCTGCCTAATTGCCCTGGCCAGAACTTCCAACACTATGTTGAATAGGAGTGGTGAGAGAAGGCATCCCTGTCTTGTGCCAGTTTTCAAAGGGAATGCTTCCAGTTTTTGCCCATTCAGTATGATATTGGCTGTGGGTTTGTCATAGATAGCTCTTATTATTTTGAAATACGTCCCATCAATACCTAATTTATTGAGAGTTTTTAGCGTGAAGGGTTGTTGAATTTTGTCAAAGGCCTTTTCTGCATCTATTGAGATAATCATGTGGTTTTTGTCTTTGGCTCTGTTTATATGCTGGATTACATTTATTGATTTGCATATATTGAACCAGCCTTGCATCCCAGGGATGAAGCCCACTTGATCATGGTGGATAAGCTTTTTGATGTGCTGCTGGATTCGTTTTGCCAGTATTTTATTGAGGATTTTTGCATCAATGTTCATCAAGGATATTGGTCTAAAATTCTTTTTTGGTTGTGTCTCTGCCTGGCTTTGGTATCAGAATGATGCTGGCCTCATAAAATGAGTTAGGGAGGATTCCCTCTTTTTCTATTGATTGGAATAGTTTCAGAAGGAATGGTACCAGTTCCTCCTTGTACCTCTGGTAGAATTCGGCTGTGAATCCATCTGGTCCTGGAGTCTTTTTGGTTGGTAAGCTATTGATTATTGCCACAATTTCAGCTCCTGTTATTGGTCTATTCAGAGATTCAACTTCTTCCTGGTTTAGTCTTGGGAGAGTGTGTGTGTCCAGGAATTTATCCATTTCTTCTAGATTTTCTAGTTTATTTGCGTAGAGGTGTTTGTAGTATTCCCTGATGGTAGTTTGTATTTCTGTGGGATCCGTGGTGATATCCCCTTTATCATTTTTTATTGCATCTATTTGATTCTTCTCTCTTTTTTCTTTATTAGTCTTGCTAGTGGTCTATCAATTTTGTTGATCCTTTCAAAAAACCAGCTCCTGGATTCATTAATTTTTTGAAGGGTTTTTTGTGTCTCTATTTCCTTCAGTTCTGCTCTGATTTTAGTTATTTCTTGCCTTCTGCTAGCTTTTGAATGTGTTTGCTCTTGCTTTTCTAGTTCTTTTAATTGTGATGTTAGGGTGTCAATTTTGGATCTTTCCTGCTTTCTCTTGTGGGCATTTAGTGCTATAAATTTCCCTCTACACACTGCTTTGAATGCATCCCAGAGATTCTGGTATGTTGTGTCTTTGTTCTCGTTGGTTTCAAAGAACATCTTTATTTCTGCCTTCATTTCGTTATGTACCCAGTAGTCATTCAGGAGCAGGTTGTTCAGTTTCCATGTAGTTGAGTGGTTTTGAGTGAGATTCTTAATCCTGAGTTCTAGTTTGATTGCACTGTGGTCTGAGAGATAGTTTGTTATAATTTCTGTTCTTTTACATTTGCTGAGGAGAGCTTTACTTCCAAGTATGTGGTCAATTTTGGAATAGGTGTGGTGTGGTGCTGAAAAAAATGTATATTCTGTTGATTTGGGGTGGAGAGTTCTGTAGATGTCTATTAGGTCCACTTGGTGCAGAGCTGAGTTCAATACCTGGGTATCCTTGTTGACTTTCTGTCTCATTGATCTGTCTAATGTTGACAGTGGGGTGTTAAAGTCTCCCATTATTAATGTGTGGGAGTCTAAGTATCTTTGTAGGTCACTCAGGACTTGCTTTATGAATC
The DNA here is from genome assembly GCF_000001405.40 of Homo sapiens. Classification (NCBI taxonomy): domain Eukaryota; kingdom Metazoa; phylum Chordata; class Mammalia; order Primates; family Hominidae; genus Homo; species Homo sapiens. Next base: position 8,613,849 of record NC_000003.12, on the reverse strand, counting down.
TGGATGCTCCTGTGTTGGGTGCATATATATTTAGGATAGTTAGCTCTTCTTGTTGAATTGATCCCTTTACCATTATGTAATGGCCTTCTTTGTCTCTTTTGATCTTTGTTGGTTTAAAGTCTGTTTTATCAGAGACTAGGATTGCAACCCCTGCCATTTTTTGTTTTCCATTTGCTTGGTAGATTTTCCTCCATCCTTTTATTTTGAGCCTATGTGTGTCTCTGCACGTGAGATGGGTTTCCTGAATACAACACAGTGATGGGTCTTGACTCTTTATCCAATTTGCCAGTCTGTGTCTTTTAATTGGAGCATTTAGTCCATTTACATTTAAAGTTAATATTGTTATGTGTGAATTTGGTCCTGTCATGATGATGTTAGCTGGTTATTTTGCTCGTTAGTTGATGCAGTTTCTTCCTAGTCTCGATAGTCTTTACATTTTGGCATGATTTTGCAGTGGCTGGTACTGGTTGTTCCTTTCCATGTTTAGCACTTCCTTCAGGAGCTCTTTTAGGGCAGGCCTGGTGGTGACAAAATCTCTCAGCATTTGCTTGTCTGTATTTTATTTCTCCTTCACTTATGAAGCTTAGTTTGGCTGGATATGAAATTCTGGGTTGAAAATTCTTTTCTTTAAGAACGTTGAATATTGGCCCCCACTCTCTTCTGGCCTGTAGGGTTTCTGCCAAGAGATCTGCTGTTAGTCTGATGGGCTTCCCTTTGAGGGTAATCCGACCTTTCTCTCTGGCTGCCCTTAACATTTTTTCCTTCATTTCAACTTTGGTGAATCTGACAATTATGTGTCTTGGAGTTGCTCTTCTCGAGGAGTATCTTTGTGGCATTCTCTGTATTTCCTGAATCTGAACATTGGCCTGCCTTGCTAGATTGGGGAAGTTCTGGATGATATCCTGCAGAGTGTTTTCCAACTTAGTTCCATTCTCCCCGTCACTTTCAGGTACACCAATGAGACGTAGATTTGGTCTTTTCACATAGTCCCATATTTCTTGGAGGCTTTGCTTATTTCTTTTTATTCTTTTTTCTCTAAACTTCCCTTCTCACTTCATTTCATTCATTTCATCTTCCATTGCTGATACCCTTTCTTCCAGTTGATGGCATCGGCTCCTGAGGCTACTGCATTCTTCACGTAGTTCTCGAGCCTTGGTTTTCAGCTCCATCAGCTCCTTTAAGCACTTCTCCGTATTGGTTATTCTAGTTATACATTCTTCTAAATTTTTTTCAAAGTTTTCAACTTCTTTGCCTTTGGTTTGAATGTCCTCCCGTAGCTCAGAGTAATTTGATCATCTGAAGCCTTCTTCTCTCAGCTCGTCAAAGTCATTCCCCCTCCAGCTTTGTTCCGTTGCTGGTGAGGAACTGCGTTCCTTTGGAGGAGGAGAGGCGCTCTGCTTTTTAGAGTTTCCAGTTCTTCTGTTCTGTTTTTTCCCCATCTTTGTGGTTTTATCTACTTTTGGTCTTTGATGATGGTGATGTACAGATGGGTTTTTGGTGTGGATGTCCTTTCTGGTTGTTAGCTTTCCTTCTAACAGACAGGACCCTCAGCTGCAGGTCTGTTGGAGTACCCTGCCGTGTGAGGTGTCAGTGTGCCCCTGTTGGCAGGTGCCTCCCAGTTAGGCTGCTCGGGGGTCAGGGGTCACTTGAGGAGGCAGTCTGCCCGTTCTCAGATCTCTAGCTGCGTGCTGGGAGAACCACTGCTCTCTTCAAAGCTGTCAGACAGGGACATTTAAGTCTGCAGAGGTTACTGCTGTCTTTTTGTTTGTCTGTGCCCTGCTCCCAGAGGTGGAGCCTACAGAGGCAGGCAGGCCTCCTTGAGCTGTGGTGGGCTCCACCCAGTTGGAGCTTCCCGGCTGCTTTGTTTACCTAATCAAGCCTGGGCAATGGCGGGCGCCCCTCCCCCAGCCTCGCTGCCGCCTTGCAGTTTGATCTCAGACTGCTGTGCTAGCAATCAGCGAGACTCCATGGGCGTAGGACCCTCCAAGCCAGGTGGGTGGTGCACCGTTTTTTAAGCCCGTCGGAAAAGCGCAGTATTAGGGTGGGAGTGACCCGATTTTCCAGGTGCCATCCGTCACCCCTTTCTTTGACTAGGAAAGGGAACTCCCTGACCCCTTGTGCTTCCCGAGTGAGGCAATGCCTCGCCCTGCTTCGGCTCGCGCACGGTGCGCGCACCCACTGACCTGCGCCCACTGTCTGGCACTCCCTAGTGAGATGAACCCGGTACCTCAGATGGAAATGCAGAAATCACCCGTCTTCTGCATCGCTCACGCTGGGAGCTGTAGACCGGAGCTGTTCCTATTCGGCCATCTTGGCTGCTCCCCCACTTCCTTGCTTTTTTAAGGGATCCCTTCAGGTACTAACAATGGCAAACATTTATTAAGCTTTTCCCAAGTTACAGGCACTATTCTAACCATTTTTCAAGGGTCAGACCCTAAGTCTTCACAACAAGCTTATAAAGGAGGGGCTGTTTTTATCCCCGTTTTACAGATGAGGAGACGGAAGTCCAGAGGGTTTCAATCGCTTGCCCAAAGTCACAGAGTCGGGAAGTGCAGAGCCAGGCCACTGCCTGGTTTTAAATTCTGGGTGGAAATGCAACGTGCCGGTCAACATGGTGTGCTGGTGAGTGTGTTATCCTCAGCGGTGCCCAGGGCACAAATGTGCAGACCAGCTGACAGCAACAGCAGGCTCCCCTTTTCTCCATCAGGAACTGTCAGAGGAGGCTGGGTAAGGAGAGCAGCTTGGCCGCCTGGGGCTGCAGCTGGGAGGTCCCAGCACAGCAGCTGCTGGGTGAAAGTGGGTTGTTCTTCTTCAGTAGGAGTTGTGGGCCCAGGTTGCTTTGTTGCCGAGGCCAGCTTGGCCTCTTTGCAAGTAATTGGTAATTGTGCCATTGCACTTCCGCCTGGACAACAGAGTGAAACCTTATCTCAAAAAAAAAAAAGAATTAATAGTAATAACAATTACTGAGTACTTGGTATGTGATATGGTTTGGCTCTGTCCCCACCCATATCTCACCTTGAATTATAATAATCCCCATGTGTCAAGTGTGGGGCCAGGTGGAGATAATGGAATCAAGGGGGCAGTTTCCTCATACTGGTCCCAGGTAACCTCTTTAGCCACACCTGAGAGTAGAAACATCTTCAGTTTGGAAGGCAAGTAAGGGTCCTATCCACAGCTTCCTGCATGTGATCATTGCTCAGGGCAAGGTGACCAGTAGAGCCCTGGGTGAGCCTCCCCTCTACCAGTCATTGTGCGACTAGAATTACTTACAATGCATATTATGCAAGATATGGTGTATGTAGTACATACACACACACAACATGTATATGATTAATTGTAAAACAACTTTTGCCTTTGAATAAATCTTAGCTAAGCCCCACCCTAGCCCTGAGACCATCTCATCAATCTCTGCGAACTTAGTCTGCTCATCTGCAAAATGATCGTATTAAGAGTACCTACTCCTCCCAGACCTGTTGTGAGGACTAGAGATACGTAATTAACGGAAGGCTCTTAGAACACAGCCCGGCACATACTGTATTAATCTGTTCTCACTCGGCTAGTAAAGACATACCGGAGACTGCGTAATTTATAAAGGAAAGAGGTTTAATTAACTCACAGTTCCACATGGCTGGGGAGGCCTCACAATCATGGCAGAAGGCAAAGGGGAAGCAAGACATGTCTTACATGGCAGCAGGTAAGAGGGCATGTGTTAGGGGAACTCCCATTTATAAAACCATCAGATCTCGTGAGACTTATTCACTACCACGAAAAAGAGTGTGGGGAAGCTGCCCTCATGTTTCAATTATCTCCACCTGACCCCACCCTTGACATGTAGGGACTATTACTATTCAAGGTGAGATTTGGGTGGGGACACAGCCAAAAACCATATCACATACTAAATACTCAATAATTATTATTACTACTAATTCATTTTTTTGAGATAGGATTTCACTTTTGTCCAGGCTGTAGTGCAATGGCACGACAGGGCTCACTGTAGCCTCAAACTCCTGGACTCAAGCAATCCTCCTGCCTCAGCCTCCCAAGTAGCTGGGATGACAGGTGTGTGCCACCAGGCCCGGCTAAGTCCAATGTCACATATTGTCATTATTACTGTTACTTTTACAGTGTGGAGTCATTGTGGGACTTAGATGCATAAATGAAATAATTCCTCGCACAAAGTAAGTGCTCATTAAGGGGTACTTTATATTTTTGTTGTTATTACAAAGTTCTTTCTCCCTCATTTAATCCCCACCCCAGATGTGGAGGAAAGCTGGGATTCCTTTTCTCATTTGAAAAATGTTGAAACAGATGGATATAAAAAAAGCAAAATGTCTTGTTCCACGTTTCCAAAAGAGGAAGTATGAAAGGCGTAATTGAAATTCAAAACGTTTGGTCTGAAAATCCTACATCCTTTCTCCTAACAACCGTGAATTCTTACTAAAGGATAAGGCATTAAAGCCTTTTTTGAACCATCTTTCTCTTATGGAGGAACACAGCCTATTAAACCACACCAGCTACTAACTGCCTGCTAGGGTCTGAAAGTGTCCTCCCAGCAGTCATGTCTCCAAGGTGATGGCATTAGGACGTGGGGCCTGTCGGAGGTGATTAAGTCACTAGAGTGGAGCTCTTATGAATGGGATTAGTAACAACTTTCCTAAGAAGAGGCCAGAGAGCTAGCTCTTTCCACCAGGAGAGGATACAGGAGAAGTCAGCCATCTGCAACCTGGAAGAGGGTCCTCACCAGAACTCAACCATGCTGGCACTCTGATCTCGGACTTCCAGCCTTCAGAACGGTGAGAAATGAATTTCTGTGGTTTATGAGCCACCCAGTCTATAGTACTTCAATATCAAAGCCCAGACAGACTGAGACACTGCCTGTTTACACAATTCTATTCCACCTATCGTTTCAGTTTCGTACTTTTAGGAGTCCTTTGAGGCCCGTCTCTTTTGAAACCCATTTCAAAGATGAGAAACCTGAGGTTCAAAGAGGTTGAGCATCCTGCCCAAAGCCATGCAGCAGGTTGGGCCGGACCAGGGTCTTCTGTCTTCTGGTTCTCCAGTATGGAATCAAAGAAAGAGTCCCTTTAAATCCAGAGGAGGCTTGGGGTATGCCAAGAAGCACCCAGTGCCTCCACAGAGCAGGCTTCGTCCTTCTCCGTCTTCACCTCCCTGGCCACCCTGGCAGTCCCAACTGTGCATAAGGGCCAGCCTCTCACTGTGGCCTCCACCCCGTCTTGTAATCGGTGCCTCCTGGTGAACTTGCCATGCCTTAGAACCCATCGCTGCCTCCCTTTCACTGCACAGTCTCGGTGTGAACCTTCTGAGTGCGTCTCCCAGCACTGGACCCTGCAGCCTCTGAGCCCCACTTCCACACTCTCATGTCAGACCTGCCAGCAGGCAGTCACCTGTACATGGTATGGCTGAGCCTGAGATCTCGCCTCCCAACACACAGCTGGCTCTAGACGGGCGGGACCATTCAGAGGCAGACAGAGGGAGGTGTGTAGGGGTACAGAGGACAGATAGATGTCACTGACCCCACCAACAAATAGTGAAACAGCAGAAGGAAAACATAGATGTACACGTGGGCATTAGGACACTTGGTCGAAAGTAACGGAAACCCAACCCACGCTGGGTGAAGCAGTTTACTGGCACACAGAACCGACAAGTCTGGTGTAGTTCTGGCTCTGGGCTGGGGTGTTCCCAGAGGTTCAGGCAATGTTGTTGAACATGTTTCTTTCTACCTGTCTCCTACGTTTCCCTATCCTGCTAATGGCAAGAGGTACACCCTTAGTTTCAGGCTGGCTATGACTTTCTCAGCATTCCTGCAGCCAAGAGCTCATGACTTTCCTGGTTGCTCTACAAAAGGCCCCAGGACTGAGACTCCTTGGGCCAAACACCCTGGCTTGAGCCAGCCTAACACCAGTCTCTATGGCCCTGTGCTGAAATAAGCTGATTATCCAGGCCCAGGTCCAGGGGATGGGAACTGCCCCATCAAAACCCATCCTGGTTGAGGAGAGGGCAAACCCCGCTTCCCGCAGGAAAATTCAGGTGCCATTTCCAGAAGCGGAGGGGAATCCTGGCAGCAAAACCACCAACACCCAGGGCAGTGTTTATGCACACACTGGACACCGGGTGTCCCCAGCCAACCACTTTCCTTGTAAGACTGCAAGCTTGGACCTGTTTAATGTCACATGTGAACCTGATAAGAAACCAGGCTGGAGGGTTTCCTCTGAGGATGCAAGGGCTGGAATGGAGATTCTCTGTCTAGACTGGACTGAGTTCTTTCTGAAACTGGGCAGGACACTCAGGCTCCCAACTTTCCTTCCTTCCTGGTGCCCCCAGCAGCCACTGCTGATCGCCCTGCCTCACAGTCAGGGAGGCTGTTGAGGAAGACAAGATGCCTGTTATTTCTAAGGGACATACTCTCTCCAGGTGGTACAGAGTGCAGACTCTCCCCTGAGAAAAAGAGAGTGAATGAGGACAGCCCGGGCTGCAGAAGCCAGTGTGGTCTGCCCATTGGGCAGCAATGGGCAGGTGGCGTTGGCTCTGTGGTCATTGGTGGGCACAGGGAGTCCAAATTCTTGCAGGGGAACAAATCCAATCTGATTTTACAAACATGACAATCTTCCTGGCTCGAAGCATCTGGTTATTCTTCTCATTCCTCCAGCTTGGCTCAGAGAAAGTTTTCTCAAAGAAGGATCCACTCAGCGGCTGCCCCTTACAGCTGCAGAAAATCCTCTTTAGTTTTGCCCTGAAGCAGATAGCTGCAGATGCAGCAAACCATCCATGAAGAGATGGGATTTATATTGACAGACACATGTTTATCCAGATCAATTAGGGAAAATTATTTTTGCAACACTCCTCAAACAAGGTTTGGCAGCTAATAATCAGTTTGAGTCGTGCAATGTGAATGCCAAAAATGTGAGATGAGATGAGAAAGCTACGTGCTAGATTGCCTCTCGGGAGAGCACTGTCTGGCCGGGAAGAGACACTGTGGTGATCCTCTGGCACAGGGGGCAGGATGCTCTCTAAATTACTCTGCATAATTAAGGAGAGATAAGTTTGACATCGGGAAGGGAGTGATTGGATTGGGCAAACTGACCACTGTGTGAAGGAGTGGCAGGAGAGAGAGAGAAAGCCAGCACTGCAGAGAAGGGCCTGGGGAATGCCCATGCCCATGTGCCGGGTGGAGAACTTTCAAGGGAGATCTTGGGTGCAGGGTGACATGGACCTGCCCACGTTGTCAGGGGAAACTGTTGAGAAATCCTCAAATGCTTGGTGGATGAATCTTTTCTTTTTGCTTCTCTGGATCCTCTCCGGACCCCTCTCCACTCTAGACTGGGCCCTGGGAGGCTGTCCTGCATGGACCTCCTTGCCCTCTGGCTTTTTTGAGGGTTTGGCCAATGGGGAGCACAATACCCTGAATGTGTCCCACCAATATTCGTAGGTTGAAATCCTAACCCTGAATATGAATGCACTTTACTTTGGGGAGTAATCAGGTCATGAGCATGGAGCCTTCATGAACGGGATTAGTGCCCTTATAAGAAGAGATGCAAGGGTTTGATCTTGCTCTCTACTCTCCATCACTTGGGGATACAACAAGAAGGTGACCATCTGCAAACCAGGAAGCAGGCCCTTCCTAGACACCAGATCTGCCAGCACCTTGATCTCGGACTTCCAGCTTCCGGACTGGGAGAAATAAATTTCTGTTGTTTATAAGGCACCTAGTCTATGGTATTCTTCTGTAGCTGCCCAAACTGCCTAAGTTGGGGGCTTTACTTGGCTTTGGCCAACAAGGAGCTTTCATTTAAGCCTGGGAGGGAGAAAAGTGAGGCTGGGGATACTAGTTTCCCTATCCCCCAACTGCTGCATTGCCTTGGGCTGGTTGGGTCTCTCGACAGAAGACCTCAGCCGTGATGGAGCGGCCTTTCTCCACAGCCTTCTCTGTCTCCTGGTTCCTGAAGCTGCTCCTTCCTTGGCCCCTGCTGTTAATAGCTCTAGGGAGTCACATAATCCCTTGGGGTTTCTATAAGCCTTGCCCATACCTTGACAAAATTTCCCTCCATTGAACACACCCCCAAATAATCCTGGTTTGAGTGAGATGGCTGTTTCCTGCTAGGACTCTGACAGACCCACTTGGGATGAGTGCTTTTCTCATGGAAGCCAGTCTAGGACATGCGTTCTGGGTCCTGGGTGAGCGGCTGAGCAGCAAGTTCACACTAGGGAAGAGTTGGCTTGTAGGTTAAAGCAAACACATTTGGGAGCTGTCTGGGAATATCCCAGCAGCCTGGCTGCCCCTTGAAGCCATTCCCGTTTGCAACTCCAAACTTCGAGGCTGAGTGGGGGAGGGATAGCATTAGGAGAAATACCTAATGTAAATGAAGAATTAATGGGTGCAGCAAACCAACACAGCACATGTATACATATGTAACAAACCTGCACGTTGTACACATGCACCATAGAACTTAAAGTATATAAACAACAACAACAACAAAAATCTACATACTTCAGTGTGAAAAAAAAATATCAGAGCAGTCCCAGGAGCTCACCCAGGCTAGGGCCCCTTAGGCCATTATGGAGAGGTCTTTCATTAACTGAGACTGGGAACAACTAGGATCTGAAGACACAGAAGGTAGGAGATTGAGAACTGCTGATGTGACCATTTTGCTGATGTGGAAACTGAGGTTATAAGAGGTTCAAGGTCACAGGTCAAGTAGACAGCAGCATTGAGAAAGCCATAGAAACGTAAAAACATGCCTTGGTCCGAGATCAGATGCTGAGCCCGAGTGTTTATAGGCCATGTCTAGGCAAGTCAGCTAGGAGGGTTCTGGGGTGCTGAGATTGAAAAGATGTTTCTCTGTTTTTCTGATTACAAAAGTAATTCAGATTCATTACAAAATATTTTAAAAATATGGCATAAAGTAAAAATCACCCAGAATCTTACCACTTAGACACAACTCATATTTACCATATTTCCTTCCAGGCTTTTTTCTTCAATATAGCTGCAGTCATTCCCTTCTTATAACTTTGTTTTCTACATTTTTTTCTTAGCATTATGAGTAAGCATTCTTTGTAAACGTGATTTTTAGAACTTCCTTATTTTGTCACATAGATTGCCATAATTTGTTTATATAACCAACTCGTAATCATTCCCATAATAGTGGCATTTACTTTTTTGGTCTCTAATTTTTAATTTTTTGCTATTATAGTTAATGATACATACTTATATATGTATGTAACTAATGTATACAAACCCTGTACTTACATATTTGTGTTCACGTACAATTATTTCCTTCATTTAGAGTCCTAAAAGTGGAATTACAGCATGATAGAAAACATGAACATTTTTCAGAGTCCTGATAAATATTGATGACTTGCTTTCCAGGAAATTGGTACAGCAGGCCCTCAAATATGGTCATTTTGTTCAACACTGTTTTGTTGTAATGTTGATGAAAAAAAAATCCATTCCCGGTTGGGGCCACTGTGTGTGTATGGAGTTTGTACGTTCCCCTGTGTCTGCGCAGGTTTTCTCTGGGTACCCCAGTCTCATCCCACATCCCAAAGATATGCTGCAGGTGAATGGGCGCCCTCAGTTGTCCCAGTTTGAGTCTGTGTGGGTGTGTGAGTGAGTGTGTCCCAAGGTAGGATGGTGTCCTGGCCAGGGTGGGTTCCCACCTTGTGCCCTGAGCTACAGGGACCGGCTCTAGCCACCCACGACCCTGACCTGGAGTAAGCAAGTTGGAAAATGAATAAATGAATGAGCATGAATTATTATAAAATAATAATTCATAAAGTCCACAATAATCCTACAAATGCACAACAATAAACAATTTGGTACGAAAGCGCTGAGCAAGCCACCGTATTTGTGACTGTTGGTGTTTGAACTGAGTGGTGGTAGGAGGTGCTTCTGACAATGTTTGCTTTGCATATATTTATTCCTTGATTTAACTCACTCACTGATTCACCAAAAGTTTAGTAAATAATTCTTACTTGTTTTTATTAATATTTATTAGATATATGTGTATCCTACATTTATTTCAGTGTTTGCTATTAGAGTGTTTTGGGTCTTTCTTTAGAAGTTGGGAATGATTTTGTGACCAGAATTATGCCATAGGAACTTAACTCTTGTTTATATCAATTAGCCCATGGTCAAACTGGTTTTGTTACATGTTGTTTTGCTGAAAATCTCAGTTTCAGAGATCCTATCAAAGACGTTAAGTGAGGACTTAGTGTGCTAAAAACATTTCTCCTGCCAGTCCCCTAGGACAGTGTGTGTCTCAATGCATGGAGTTTAGTAGGGGCTTGCTTCCAGGCATTGGCTCCACTCCAGATCCCAGCCCCTCCCCCAGGCCTTGCCTTGCTTCCGGGTTTCACTTCCATTGGTCTTAAAGGTGACCCCATGCCGATTAGTGAGCGCACGGTGTGCGTGAGGGTTCCAAGAGTAATATGTGCCTACTTTCTACTTTCCAGATGTTTCTGCCCTCTGGGGCCAATTCCACCACTCCCTGGAAAGTGATGTGATGACCCTGGGCTTGAGTCCAAAGAACATAGGAGAGTTTTGGCAGGTCGATGGTGTGTTGGTGCCAACCCACTTAGAGCGAAAACTGTAAGTTGAGTTCACGTGGATGAACATATCAGCATCTGCCTCACATGAATTCAGAGGGCACCACAGCCTCCTCTCAGAGACTTCTTGGGCAGCCAGATCCATTTGGAGGAGAAGTGAGCAGGGTGTGATTTAGAAAGTATTTATGTATGGGATGTTGATGGAAGGTGTATTAGTCCATTTTCACGCTGCTGATAAAGACATACCCGAGCCTGGGAAGAAAAAAAGGTTTAATTGGACTTACAGTTCCACATGGCTGGGGAGGCCTCAGAGTCATGGTGAGAGGCAAAAGGCACTTCTTACATGGTGGTGGCAAGAGAAAATGAGGGAGATGCAAAAACGGAAACCCCTGATAAAACCATCAGATCTCATGAGACTTATTTACTACCACGAGAACAGTATGGGAAAACCACCCCCATGATTCAAACTGTCTCCCACTGGGTCCATCCCACAACACGTGGGAATTACGGGAGTGCAATTCAAGATGAGATTTGGGTGGGACACAGAGCCAAACCATATCAGAAGGGTAAATATTTTCTAGATGTGGAGACCTGGAGACACTGGCCTGTGGAGACCATTAGTACAAAGTCAACAGTAGTAAAAGAAGTGGAAACTTAGCCTGTCTGAGCCTCAGCTTCCTCCTCTGTGTGGGTTAATGTTGGAAAAGTTTTCTTGGGCATTTTCCACCGAGCACACATTTACCCATGTGCACGAGTGTGCACACACACACATGCACACACACACAAATCCATCCCAAATTTATGTTCTATTGCATTATGAAGTTGCTGGATGGTGGATAAATCCCACCTCTTACCTATTTTAATTTTCATCTTCCTACTACTTATCCCGATGCTAGAAATGCATTTAGTGGATTATTAGAAGTAGCTATGGAAACCCTGGACAAGGCCCTCTCCCCATCACTACCCTGGGGCCTCACCATTGCCTGTGACTGGGTATAGCTCATTTAAATACTAACTTTAAAAATGCAATTAAGAAAGTAGATCTTCAGGGCTTGTGTTTGGGCTTATCCAGTATTTATGTAGTCATCTTGCATTGCTCTTCTCCCTGAGTGTGGGCAACTTAGAGTTGCTGGATGTGACCATCTTATAGATGTGGAAACTGAGGCTGAGAGAGGGGCCATGTCTAGCCCCAAAGCATTCACTTGGCGAGTGGTAAAACCAGGAAAACAATGCATACCTCCAAATTCCAGGCTGGTGCTTTACTTACTTTACCCATGATTTTAAAGAGGTAAACTCCCTTAGAAAATGTGTCTTAAACAAATCTTCCCTTTTTTTACCTTTTGAGAGGGGGTCTCACTCTGTCACCCAAGTTGAAGTGCAGTGGGGCCATTTCAGCTCATTGCAACCTCTGCCTCCCAGGCTCAAGTGATCCTTCCACCTCAGCCTCCCATGTAGCTGGGACCACAGGCGTGTGCCACCACACTCAGATAATTTTTTGTATTTTTGGTAGAGACAGGGTTTCATCGTGTTGCCTAGGCTGGTCACAAACTCCTGAGCTTGGGTAATCCATCCAACACAGCCTCCCAAAGTACTGGGATTACGGGCTTGAGCCACTGTGCCTGGCTACACAAATCTTCTCAATTCATAAACAGATGGAAGTAGTGAGAGGCGGTAGGTGTGGCCCAGAGTCTCATCCACTACAGGTTTCTGAAGCAATTTTGTGGATCTCTATAGTTCTGCTTAGAAATCAGTGGGGTCCACCAAGCCTGCCCCCTTCCTTCACTTCTGCTTTCATTCATTTATCCACTTAACAAACTTATGATGAGTACTCACCATATCTTAGGCTCCAGGCTCAGCTTAAATGAACGACCTGGGATCCTTCCAATAAATTCCCTGTCTTTGCCTTTTTTTCCTTTCTTAAATTACTCAGAGTTTTTCCTGTTGCTTTCCATCAAGAAATCCTAATAGGTGCAAAGAGTTTATACTATTTAGTGGGTGAAGCCCCTTTGAAAGATTTTAGGTGGGGAAAGATTTGAGTGTTATATAGACTGTGCTGATGGCTTAGAAAGAATGACTGACTTCCCATATGAGAAGGAGGAGATAGGCGTACAGCAGGTTGGTTAGGTAGTATTGAAGTCGAGGAAAGAAATACTGAAAGTCTAAGGTAGGTCAGTGATTCAACTAAAGGCAGGAGGGTGTAGTGATTAATAGCTTGGACTCTAACCACAGACCAGGGTTCAAATCCTGACCCTGCTGCTTACCTGGTGTGTAAACATGGGCAGTTTATTTAACCTCTCCAAATCTGTTTCATCCTCTGTAAGACAGACTGGATAACAGCATCTCTGCTTGTGAGGGATTCACTGAAATAACTAAAATGGAGGTGAAGCACAATGCCTGGTTCATAAGAAGCATTCAGTAAATACTATTGGCTATTGTTGGTGATAATGGTGATGATGATGATCATGACAGTGATCATTGATAGTGATGATAATGGTTATGATAATGATGATGGTGATGATGATGGTGGTGATGACAGTGATGATATTTATGATGTTGATGATAATGGTTATGATAATGATAGTGATGATGATGGTGATGATGACAGCAATGACATTGATGATAGTGATGATAATGATGACACTGATGATGGTGATGATGATGATGATAATGGTTATAATGATGGTGATAATGATGATGGTGGTGATGACAGTCATGACATTGATGATGGTGATGATGATGACAGTGAAAGTGAGCATGGTGATTGTGATGGTAATGATAATGATGGTTATAACTATGAAGGATGGAGATGATAAGTGAGATATGAGGGGAAAGGCAAGGATGATTCCTGAAGTTCTAGGCTAGGTGATGGCAGGATACCTTTTTGAGAAAAAAAAAAAAACATACAAAATGTATTCGTATGGTCCTGTGCTTTTTGGAATTGAAAAGTTGGATAACTTAATCCCAATCAATTAAGGTTGCCTTCTTTTTTCACTCTGGCTTTTTCTCCTGTATGCTATCTCTTTTATTGAGTGGTGCTGGGACAGCTTCAGGAAGGACCTATGCAAACTTCATTAGCTGTGTGTTTAATCTATTTCTTTGTAATTTTCAGAATATCTGAATTATATTTACTTTATGTTTTATTACATTGTCTTATGGTTATACATGGGAACTAACATCATTTGGCTGGTATCACATCTTATGCTTATACATGATACCAACATTACTTTTATAAATAGAAAGTAGCTACAGAATTAAATATGATGAAATCAAACCAAACTATTCTATTTAGTTAGATACCTGACAACACTTTTGTTTTTGCTAAAAAGGGAGATTAAGTATGTTAGAAAGGTGATAAAGACATAGTGGCAACAAAGAGAGACTTTTTTTTTCTTGAGACAGGGTCTTGTTCTGCCTACCCAGGCTGGAGTGCAGTGGCACAATCTCAGCTCACTGTAGCCTCAACTTCCCAGGCTCAAGTGATCCTCCCACCTCAGTCTCCGGAGTAGCTGGATCCACAGGTGCATGCTACCATGTCCAGCTAATTTTTGGATTTTTTGCAGAGATATGGTCTCAGTATGTTGCTCAGGCTGGTCTTGAATTCCTAGGCTCAAGCGATCCACCCACCTTTGCTGAGATAACAGGCATAAGCCAACGTTCCTAGCTCAAAGTGAGACTTTCTCCTTGAAGTAACCAGGTAGATTTGGGGAGAAGTGATAAAAGAATATGGTCAATTTTTCACTGTATGAGTCAATGTTACTTTATGCTAGATTTGTGGAGCACTGAAAGCCATGTCCTGAATGGCCAGTGATACTCTACACCATGGACAGTCCTGCTTCAAAAACAGGCTGTCATATTACACACCACGTGACTACACTATTCAGGACCTGTGGAAATGGACATCAACAGGTGGACACAGGTAAAAATTAGCTCATAACTAATCAGCTTGGCCTCTCAGCCTGGCTTCTGTAGGCAGGCAAAAGGGTAGGCATCACTAAACAAGGCTTCTATTTAGAGAAGGCATCCGAGCAGCTGAGTTTGGGATGGGCCAGGCACTGCAGAAGGATTGCTTAAATCTCCAAAGTCGACTTGTGTGTGACATCACTGGAGCCAAGGGGGCAATAGCCCAGCTCAGAGATAACCATGAAGCAATTAAATGGACAAGAAACGCTCCCCACTTCTAGGTGCTTCCACAGAGGACCCTCCCCACTAAGGAGGCAAAGCTGGTAAATTGGTCCCTTGGAAAAGAAGTGAGGATGAGAAACAGTTTTGTCATTATTTTGTTGAGTTTTTCTTTTTTGCCATTATTTTGATGGGTTATTTTGATGAGTGTAATTTTCCCAGTCCTTGTCCCATTCAATAGCAGTTTGGCCAAATGACTTCCAGGAAGACTAATAAGAACTAACATAATTATGGATACCAAAATTGACCTTTGCAAAATATTCACATCCTTTTAAAAATTCTCTTTCTAGGCTGTGACATTAGCAGTGATGCTCAAAATATTGGCAACATATTTTTTCAAACTTTAATTATGGAACATTTCAAATGTATACAACAGTAGAGGGAAGAGCAAATATAACAAGGCCCCTTTGTACTCAGCCAGCAGTTCAACGATTATTAACTGAGGTTATTTCATCTGTCAGCACGTCCCTCTTCTGGCACCCCCGTTAGGCTATTTTGAAGGAAATCCTATAATTATGTTATTTCATCCACAAATACTTCAGAGTGTATTAGGTTGAACCTTATGTCATTTCTGGTAGGTAAACATATTTATTTAAAGTTGATTTATTTGGGTGAGGATTCAGATGTGGTCCACCCATTTTGGCAGTGTCTTCATCTGCCTTTTCTCCTCCTTTCGCATGTCTTCATCTTTCTTCCCATGTCCTTTATGTTTACAATTATCCCAACAGGGGACATTTGGGAAGGAAGCACAGTAACCCTCCCTTATCTGCGAGGGGTAGGTTCCAAGACTCCCTGTGGATGCCTGAAACCACAGATAGTACCAAATCCTATGTATGCTATGTTTGCTATGTTTTTCTCCTATGCAATCACTTTTTTTTTTTTTTTTTGAGACAGAGTCTCGCTCTGTCTCCCAGGCTAGTGTTCAGTGGTGTGATCCTGGCTCATTGTAACCTCCCCCTCTCAGGTTCAAGCGGTTCTCCAGCCTCAGCCTCCCAAGTAGCTGGGATTACAGGCATGCGCCACTGCACCCAGCTAATTTTTGTATTTTTAGTAAAGATGGGGTTTCATCATGTTGGCCAGGTTGCTCTCGAACTCCTGGCCTCAAGTGATCTGCCTGCCTCAGCCTCCCAAAGTGTTGGGATTACAGGCACGAGCCACCGTGCCCGGCCCCTATGCAATCACATTGTATAATAGGGTGGGTGACACAGACAGTGTGCATATGCTTGACAAAGGGAAGATTCAAGTCCCAGGTGGGATGGAGAGGGACAGTGTGAGATTTCACTATACTACTCAGAATGGCGGTGTGCAATTTAAAATTCATGAATTGTTGATTTCTGGAATTTTTTACTTAATCTTTTCAAACTGTGGTTGACCTAGGGTAACTGAAACTGTGGAAAGTAAAACCACAGATAAGGAGGCATTACTGCCAATGTCTTTGGAGTCCCTAAGCTCTTCTGGGTGTTGTCTACTCTGTGAGGTTCCAACCTCCCTCCTGTAGACACTCAGAGACTGTGTATTGGCTACTGCCTTAGGAGCTTTTATTCTCAGGAAACTCTGATTCCCTGAAAAAAAGAGGTTCCAGAGACGAGAGAGTTGGTAGACTGGAGGATGCAAGGGCCTCCTTTGTGCTTCTGGGCCCAGCGGGGCTGACATTTCTAACAACACTTTGACCAAAGCTGAGAGGAAGCCTGGTCTGACCCTTAGCCTTGCCATTGCTCTGTGACCCTGGCCAAGTCACTCAACCTCTCTGGGCTCCAGTGTATTCAAATGCCACAAAACAGAACGTTTGTTCATTTGTTATTCCCTTTCTTTCCCACCATTAGAACCGAGTCTGCCCTATAGCAAAATGCCTAGCATGTCTGCCGAGCACTAGCTCATGTCTGCCGAGCAAGGGGATTGGGTGTTCTCAGGAACTTCTTGTGCTCCGAAGCCCTGCTGTTCTCCCACGCCCAAGACTCATGCCCAGTCTCGCCCATCTGAACATGTCTCACTTCCATCTCACGGCTGGGATTGTCCCTCATTCCTGACTGTTTGGCTGATTAAGAAGAAAACAACTGCAGACCCCAGTGGAGGGAGAAGGGGCAAGGATGCGGGAAGCCACTTCCCCATGTCCTTGACTAAACGTCCCCTTTTCTGGGTGATAGCCTGGGTCGCAGGGCTCAGCTCTATTTTGGTTGCCATTTGGCAGGTGTCGCCTTGCTGAGGCCTGGGCCCTCAGGGACAAGGGGCCAAAATCTGCTACAAGAATGGTAATTTGAGGAAACTTGGCCACCTGCCCTTGGGGCTTCGGTGTTCTTTAGGACAAGTTGAGTGATGATAGCATGGACTTAATTACTTTCTGGAGCCCTTGTCTCTGAGCTCTAACCCCTGTGTGAGGCCCCAGGGAGCCTAATTTAGGAGAAGGAGTCAGTGGGATGGCAGCTGTTGAGAGGGGTTGGCCGGAGAATTTAAGAAAAAGGTGCTTTGCTACACCTTGACTAGAGGCGGTGTTTCCTTCCTGAGGCCTCCCAGGAAAAAGGCTCAGTTCCTGGAGATAAAAGGGCCCACAGGGAGCATCTTGGCCAGCGACGACCTTCTTAGTACCCCTCTGAGGTGGTCGTTCTGTTGTGCTTGATGACTTCCAGTGACGGGGAGCTCAGTCTCTCTGGAGACAACCCATTTTATCCTCTGACAGCCCTGACTGCTGGTCAGTACCGAGCTGACTTCTACATAGCCCAAATCTTCCTTGACGTCACTGGCATTGCACTGGCTTCGCCCTGTGGAGCCACACAGAAAAAGTTTGAATTCTTCTTCCTTGTGACAGCCCTTCAGATATTTGAAAGCAGCTCTCATGTCCTCCTGAGCTTCTTCTCTATGCTAAACATAGCACTTTCAGCCATTGCTCATAAGACATGGCTTCAGTCCCCATCACTCCTCACCATTTTCCACTGTTTTTCACTCTCCTCCAAGGGTGGGGCTCTGGCGGCTCCGAATCGGAGCGAGGAAAAGGAGGACACTCACTTTATTCTGACCCCCCACCCCACATCTGCGATCACAGCTCTGCTTAGCAGACACCCCACACTCTGTACATGCAACAAACCTCCCCACGTCTTCCTCACACATGCTGCTAGTACTCTGTGCTACGCCCTCTGGGATTAGGGCAGCTGCATTTCAGGGCCCAAGCACAGAGCTTTCCACCATCTGTCCCCATTAAAATTTTGCCTTGTTGGATCCATGCTATATTGTTCCAAGATGCCTGGATATTTTTGGGTCCTAATTTTCTCATTCAACATTTGGCAGCCCTTCTCATCACAGTGCCACCCACGCCATTGATGAGCACGCTGTGTGCCTTACCCCAAGTCACTGATAAACACGCCGTCTGGGCTGGCACATGCATCCCTTTCAGGCTCGCGTGAAGCTGTTACTCAACACCCTTTTGGGGGTGGTCATTCAGCACATTACAGGTTGTACAGCCACATAGCTCCCATTTCTTCACCCACTCATAAGAGTGTTAGGGGAAGCCTGGTTGTGATCTAGATTTTCTGTGTCTACACACAACTCCTGGCTGAGGTGTCTTGTCTTAGGCAATGAGACAATGAGCTGAACTACCTATGCCCTGTGCACAGCTAGCCTGTGCTACCTCCTAGTGATCGCTGCCCACTGTATAGAAGGTTAGCAATCTCCAGGCTGCCCTGGAAGCCAGAAGGGAGGCAAGCCATGAGGCAGTGGCGTTCAGTGGGGCATCTGCTTGTACAGGGTCCCTGGGGCTGATTAGCAGGTGATGGAGACTCTGGGCTTCTGGCTGAGGTCACAAGGAAGGGCTGCATCCTGAGTGACAGGTGCAAGGAAAGGGGAGCCTCCAGCCTCGTGCAGGTCAGCTCCCCTGTGGAAGCTTTTCCAGAGGCTGAACTCAGTGGGTTCATAACTAGAGGGACAATAGGTCTCACATTTATCTGCTTTATTTTCCTTCCTCTTTTCCTTCTTTCTCTGCCTTCCTTCCCTTCCCCTCCTTCCATTGAAAAGTTTTTTTGCTCTGAGCATGGTCTCTGTGTTCACCATTGCCCTGTGTATTAGTCTGTTCTCACACTGCTGATAAAGACATATCCAAGACTGGGTAATTTATAAAGAAAAAGAAGTTTAATGGACTCACAGTTCCACCTGGCTGGGGAGGCCTCACAATCATGGTGGAAGGCAGAAGACACGTCTTACATGGTGGCAGACAAGAGAGATTGAGAGCCAAGCAAAAGGGAAGGCCCTTATAAAACCATCAAATCTCACGAGACTTATTCACTACCACGAGAACAGTATGGGGGAAACAAGCCCCATGATTCAATTATCTCCCACCCGGTCCCTCCCACAACAAGTGGGAATTATAGGTGCTACAATTCAAGATGAGATTTGGATGGGGACACAGCCAAACCATATTACTCCGGGTGCCGGGTGCAGAGACGACTGAGACACTGGCTTGTCCTCCATGTCACAGACCAGCGGGAGAGACACATGGCAATCACTAGCCTCCATGCCTGTGGTAAGGGGCAGGCTGGAGGGGCACACAGGGTGCTGTGGGAGCATGGAGTTGCTGGGTTGTCCCAAGACCTGCTGCTCTGCCCCATGGCCTTCAAAAACCATTGAGCTATCCCTGGAATGACCACACTTTGGTATCCAAATGTCAACTTCCCAGACTGACTTTTATACCTGAAGGAGAATAACGTTCGTCTGTTGGACCCTGGGCTTGCTCTTTGGTTTAGAAAATGTGTTCCCCTGAAGAGATGACTTTAAAGTCAGTCCAGCTCATTTTGGGATTCAAGGTGTGTGGAATTTGGAGATGATGCCTGATGGGCACCAAGTGACCATAGGTCAGTGTGATAGGTAGATTTAACCAGGCCATCTGAGGGCTGGGAGCTCTCAGTACCATCTGGAGAGACCCTAGACTCTAACATCAGATAGTCTGGGGTTTGCACAGTGGTCCTTCCTGTCACTGGCTGTGTGGCCTTGAGCTTCTTAGCCTCTCGGGGCCTTAGTTTTTCTCATCTGTGAAATAGGAGTAGTATTTTGCAGAATCACTGTGAGGATTAACGGACTGAACGCAGTACCCAGTACACAGTAGACTGTTGCATTTGTTACTTCACTGCCCTGCCTCTAACAGTACTATGAGCTCTTTTGAAAAAGCTGTGACTCTTTTAAAAAGGAAAAAATGCTGGAGAATGTGAATAATTTAGGTTCCATATGGTGCTTGAATTATGCTTTCAAAATGATTCCCAATTTGTGTTTCTCAAGCAGGTGACATTTTGTAAGTTTGCTTTTCTTTGCTGTTAGGTTTTGTTAGGAAGTCTTTGTAGAGAGGAAAATGCAGCTGCATTTCAAAAGTAAAAGCCTCCAGGCCTTGCCTTTGGGACAGCTGGGGCCCATAGACCAGAGGCCCAGCAGTGTTTCCTGACAAGCAGCGACAGGTGGGCCGAGGCCTGCCTTGCTCTGTGCAGTGAGTTGTGGCATGAAGCAGGGAGCTCCCGGGGTACCGAGCTGGAAGTGCTTTTGAGTGGCTAGCACCAGAGGAGGGAACAGTGCCATGCAGCAACACACAGGATGGACACGTGGCTTTGCCACTCACCTCTGGGCTACTGGCCGGGGTTCAGGCTGGAGGAGGCTCAGGGTGGGGAATATTCCTTCTGCGCCTCTGACCTTCACCTCCCATTCCCCATTTTCAATGCCAAGACCTGAGTTCCGTGTTCTCCATCCCAGCCACTGTCCCCCCTTCTCCTCTGGCAGGACTCAGGCCAGCCTTAGATGCCAGCTCACCACAGGTCAACCTGATCCTTGTCTGATGATCATTTCTCTCCTGGATTGGTCTCCTTTACTCCCCTTCCTCCTGAATCCCAACTTTGTGCCATTTCACTAGGATTTCCCAACTGTGAATTCCTGCGATATGGCCAGCTCATGCCATTCCACACCAAGTTAAGTCAGCAGATTTTATACTATTTATAGAATGACATGGAAATTCAGACCTGGCACCATGTCTGCTGGCCTGGTGGCCACAGTAGAATCTCTTTTCTCTTTCTTCTTTATTCCCTAAAGTCTTAAAGATAACTATTTTCACAAGCAATATATGCAAATATATTCTCACTGGAAAGAATTTGAAAAATAGAGAAATATGGCTGGGTGCAGTGGCTCATGCCTGTAATGCCAGCACCTTGGGAGGCTGAGCTAGGAGGATTGCTTGAGCTCGGGAGTTTGAGATCAGCCTGGGCAACATGGGGAGACCCCATCTCAACAAAAAATACAAAAATTAGCTGGGTGTGGTGGTGTGCACCTGTGGTCCCAGCTACTTGGGAGACTGAGGTGGGAGAATTGCTTGGGACCAGGAAGTCAAGGTTGCAGTGAGCTGTGATCACACCACTGCACTCCGGCCTGGGTGACAGGTGAGTCCCTGTCTTTAAATAAATAAATAAATAAATAAATAAAGGAAGAATACGTAGAGTAAATTATTTAAGTTCCATTTCAATCAATTCTGAATGTTAACTGTTTTATTCCAGTCTTTTTTCTCTGTATTTGTATACACTTTGTATTGTTTGTGTAAATACAAGTGCAGCTGTATATGTGTGCATCCAGTAAAGAGTTTAACCTTGCCTACAAGAAGGTCTGGTTTTGCCCTCAACTCCTAGGAGGTGATCTTTGTTTGTCTAGGGCCCCAAGCTTGCCAGATAGTAACGTGATTTCAGGTGGGGCTGACCACACCAGCAAGACCAACAGTGTGATTGAGGGTGGGGGCTTTGGATCATGCAGTATCAGTTGACTCGGAGACTAGATCAACCATGTGGGCAATCAATCCACCAATCAATCAATTACACCTATGTAATGAAACCTCAATAAATACTGTGAATACCAAGGCTCAGACAACCTTCCCTGTTAAGCAGTGCTCTGTGTATATTGTCACATATGGGTACCAGGAGACTAACATGTCCATGACTCCCTGGGAAGAGGACAATGACAGCCCTGCCTTTGGCACTTCTCCTACACTCTGTTCTATCAGCTTATTCTCTTGGCTGATTTTAATCTGTATTCTTTCACTGTAATATAAACTGAACTGCAAGTATAATCGCTTTTAGTGAGTTTTTTTAAGAAAATTATTGAAGCTGAGGGTTTTGGGAATCCCTCTGAGTATACAATTGGCGTGAGAAATGAAGATGGTCTTGGGGACAGTGCTCTCTAACTTTATGGTTGCCTAAACTAATTGCAGTGTGTGGTTTTACCTATGTATACATGTGCGTATTTAAATTACCTAATAGTGAATTCCATTCATGGTCCTGGGATTTGAATTTCATCTTTCATACGGTTGGAGACCTTCTTTATGCCTGTTGTGCCTCAGTTTCCTCACAAAATGGGGTTAGTAACAGGAGCTTCAACTATAGGATTGTTATGAGGAGTAAAGGAACAAATGTTTGTAAAGCTGTTAGGTTGGTGCCTGTTAGCACTTAGGGTTACAAAACAGATGATAATGATTTTCATACCAGACCATGGAAATCTACCTTGTTGCTTTTAATAACTGAATGGATATCATTTCTATTAGTTACCTCTGGGTTTCCCACAAAGAAAGTAGTAATTAGGGAACTAAAATGTGTTGTTGGAAAGTGACTCTTGTTGCACTACAAGGTTGAGTAAATTAGTCAGCTAGTCTAGAACAAAGTATTTATCTAGCACCAATTATTTATCTAGAAAACACTAAGTTGGCCCACACTATGTGCAGAGGCCCAGTGCTGAAAACTGTAAGGCTATAAAAACAGGTATATTGAGATAAGCAAAAAGGGAAGGGAATGAACATCCTTTGAGGATCTAGTAAGTGGCCAGTGCTATTCATTTGTTATTTTATTTAATCGTCACACCAACACTGGAGAAAAATAGTATGAGCTCATTTTCAAGAAGACAAAAAAAGAGTATCAGTTTAAGAAACTTGCTTAAGTTGACAAGGCCACGATATGTTGAAGGTAGAATTTAAGCCTAGATATTTCAAAACGTGTTCATTTTGAACAGCATTTCACTGCTGGGCGAGACACAGATCTTGCCTTAAAAGAACTCGTTGTCCCTTTGGAGGAGGGATGATAGGGGCGGGAAAGATGAGACACGATGCAATTAAAGAAAAGTTCAAACTCTGATAAGCACTTCTCCATTTGCAAAGTTTGTCACTCAATGGGCCACTGGAATTTTCAGAACGACTCAGATATAAGCAAACATTATAGTTTGCAGGTGAGAAAACTGAGGCTCAAAGAAGCTAAGCATCCAGCCCAGGGTCAGTATCTAATAAGGGGCAGGGCTGGTAGTTGAGTCTGCATTGCCGCATGAGTGGGTGTAATAATACTGTGAGTGACTTTCTCTATGAAGAGGGGAGTCCCAGGAAAGGAGAGACCTGGAGTTCTTGCCTCGCTCCTGACACCTTCCCACTGAACCCTGGAAGGTTGTTTGCAGATTCTTTAACTTTCAGCTCTTTCTCTTGTGACCTAGCTGCTGAAATCATTGAGACACTGCAAACGTATTCCTTTGGTCTTTTGATAATAGTGCATTCCAAAATTGAACATAAATTAAAAACAAAAGCCTTGATTAGTTTCCTTTACATCTTTATCTGCAACCAAATAAATGGCTGCCTCTGGAGAGTTTTCTTCATTTCTTTTCCAGGCATGAATCATCCTCAGATGTATGCCTCCTCCAAGATACAGTAGAAAATGAATGGGAATTTAATGTCAGCCAAGCATAGTAGGAAAAATCCAAGTCGAATACAGGGATGGCCACAGGGCAGTCAACAATGACTTAGAATGCTTTGCTTCATTCCCTAAGTGAGGGCTTCGAAATAGTGGCTGCGCTCTGAGCCAGCAGAAGAAGGTCATGAATGAAACTGGCATTTATTTTTCCCTGTAAACTTCCATTTATGAGACCTGATGGATTTACCTTCCTTGTGGTGAGGGCCTCTCAGGCAGGCTGGGGCACAATTATTGCAAGATAGCAACCCTTCCTGATCTGGAACAGCTGCCGCTGGCATAAAGGTAACCTAATTCTTCTGGAATCTGGGCTCTGTTTTTACTCTTTGGAACCACAGTTAAACCTGGGGCAAATATTGTAACCACCCTCTCGGGTTCTTGTTTTGAAGACCACAGGAATGCTGGGATTTTGGAGATTATTCAGGCAACATCTGCTCTGAGAAACCTCCACTCAGCGGGAAGCAATAACAATGAATTTGCCCAATTCATCTAAGTTACTTTCAATTGGGCACCTACTACGTCCCAGTCCAAGTGCTAGGAACTGGGGAAACAGTCATGGACAATACAGACATGAACCTTCCCACCCTTTAGAAAGCTTGACTACAGGGCCTTGCCGGATTGACATTTTAATTATAAGGTGTTTTTGTAGCTGTAGTCTCAGTTTACACATAGGAAGTATGTGGAGGAGGCATGGATTGGTTTTTCCTATCTTCCAGATGAGGGAAACTGAGGCTGGGGAAGGCAAAAGAGGGAAGGCTTGTGATTTGACAGTCACACACTGGTACTGGAACTGGGTCTTCAAGGTCACAACTTTGTCTAAATGCTTGGACTTCAAAACCAGTAAACTGGTTATTAGGGAAACTTTAGGGAAGTTACTTAATGTTTCAGAGCGCGTTTCCCCTCCTATAAGATGGGAATAAGATAATCTACTTTGCAGAGTTGTTGAGATGGCTGACTTAGATGACATAGATGGATATTAATAGATGGATGGATACCTGTAGATATAGATAGATACAATAGATTGTAATATGCTTAAGCACTGGACATACTGCCAAGAACGTAAGAATACTTACCACTGCAATAATAACATTGGCAGATATTTATTGAGTGCTTACCCTGTTCCAGGTAATTTCTAATATTATTCCTATTTTACTTTGACAAATTCTAAGCATAGGGAAGTGAGATGACTTGTCTGAAGTTACACGATTCATTGAAAAGGTCATAAAGCAAGTATTCAAAACTTAAAGTTCAGGTGTGTATTATCTAGAACTCCATTGTATATATCCCCCTTTTATTTCACCAGTGGAAAGAAAAGGCAATTAGTTTTGAACTACCAGAGGAAAGGATAAAACCTGTTCTCAGGTAATTTATAATGTTGCATAGCCTTTCCAGATATTGAGCTCTAAGTAGCCTCCTGAAGGACGACTGGGGTCTTGGTTTTTTCACCTGTTCCATGGTCATTGTGATAAGCCCTGCAGGGTTGTTGTGAATGGCCAAGGAAACGTTTTGGAAATCCCGAAGCGCTGTACACAATGAGAATTGCTTGTTCTCGTGTGTTGAACTCTAAGGGCCACGGCACTTTGTGCTCTAAGTTTGTAACGATGCCATTTGACACAGAGACAGATAAATCAGTCTGCTGAATCTACAGCCCCAAAGATATTTTACTCGGGCAAAAGGACACTGGCTGACTATCCAGGAAGGAGTAAACTGTTTAAATTAAACGCCTGGTTTATTGATATCTACCATTCAAGCCGAAGCGCTGACTTTAATCTCATTTTTTAAACACTTGTTCACAGCTGTTTCTTGTTTCTCATTTTGCCTTTAATCACCTGTCTGTTGCCTTAAAATAATAGTCAGTGTCACTGCATTGAGGTACATAATTCGAAGTGGAGAAAAAAACAACAGAAAATGGAAATTTCTTGTTTCTCAAGAAACAAGAAAAATAGAAGTACTCTTCACTATTACACCAATTTTCAGATGTGACAGAGAAGAAACTGCCGGTAATAATTTCTTTTCATAGATTTTTAAAAAATATTTTTATTGGAGTAAAATATATACAACATAAAACTTACCGTTGTAGCCATTTTTAAGTGTATAATTCAGTGGCATTAAGTACATTTGCATGATTGTGCAACCGCCACCACCATCCATCTGCAGAATTTTTTTTATCATCCCAAACAGACACTATGTGCCCTTTCTATAGCACAATAACTCTGCATCCCTCCTTCCCTTCTCCCAGCCCCTGGTAACCTCTATTCCGCTGTCTGTATCAATCTGGCTACAACTTTAGGCACCTCGTATATGTGGAATCACATAATATTTATCCTTTTGTGTCGGTTTATTCATTTACCTTGGTGTTTTCTAAGTTCATCTATGTTATAACATGTTATAGGCTGAATTGTGCCTAGACATGTGTGTATAACATGTTATATTTTGAAGTCCTAATCTCGGCATCTCAGAATGTAATTTTTTTTGGAGATGGGATCTTTACATTGATAATTAAGTGAAAATGAAGTCATTATGGTGGGCCTTAATCCAATAGGACTGGTAACCTTACTAGAAGAAGATATTAGGACACCAGTCATATTAGATTAAGGCCAAGGAGAGAGGCCTAAAACAGATCCTGCCCTCATGGCCCTGAGCAGGAACCAGCCCTGCTAACACCTTGATTTCAGACTTCTAGCCTCCAGAACTGTGAGAGAATCAATTTCTGTTGTTGAAGTCACTCAGTCTGTGGTACTTTGTTATGACAGCCCTAGGAAACAGCATGCATCAGAATTTTATTCCTTTTTTAAAAAGACCAAATAATATTTCATCGTATATGTATATCATATTTTGTTTATCCATTCATGTGACTGTTTCCATCTATTGGCTATTATTAATAATACTGCTATGAACATTGGTTTACGAGTATCTACTGGAGTCTCTGCTTTCAGTTCTCTTGGGTATTTACCCAGAAGTAAATCCATGTGCTGGATCGTATGATAAATCTATGTTTAACTTTTTGAAGAGTCACCACACTGTTTTCCACAGTGGCTGCACCATTTCACATTCCCACCAGCAAAGCACAAGAGCCCCAATTTCTCCACATCTTCTCCAACACTTGTTATTTTCCTTTTTTTTGGAAAAACTCATATCAAGGAGTTCTACTTCTCAAATGGCAGAATACGCTCTGTGATGGTTAATACTGAGTGTCAACTTGATTGAACTGAAGGGTGCAAAGTATTGATCCTGGGTGTGTTTGTGAGGGTGTTGCCAAAGGAGATTAACATTTGAGTCAGGGGGTAGGGAAAGGCAGACCCACCCTTAATCTGGATGGGTACAATCTAATTAACTGCCAAGCAGGCAGAAGAACGTGAAAAGGCAAGACTGGTTTAGCCTTCCAGCCTAATCTTTCTACTGTGCTGGATGCTTCCTGCCCTCCAACATCGGACTTCAAGTTCTTCAGCTTTGAGACTTGAACTGGCTTCCTTGCTCCTCAGCTTGCAGATGGCCTATTGTGGTACCTTGTGATCATGTGAGTTAATACTCCTTAATAAACTTCCCTATATATACATCTATTCTATTAGTTCTGTCCCTTTACAGGAACCTGACTAAAATACCTCAGAGAACAATGATAAACTCTGGATAAAATACAAAGATCAGCTCCTGAGGTTCTAAAAAGTGCATCAAAGTAGGCAGATTTTGGAGAGGGTCAGACCTTGAAAGAAAGGACAGGCACCCACTAAGTTTCTGGGGTTTATGGCTTTTGCTTGAAGGCAGGATGCAGTCATAGTGAAATGAACCATAGCCAAAATACCAACAGAAACCTGCCATATTCTTGGCCTGGGAACCAGAGCTAGGTTCCATTGGGCTTGTAACCACTGGGGAGTGAGGGTGGACACCAGGATGGGAGAGAGCTGAAGAAGAGGAACCCCCAAATTCCTTATATTCTCCCAAAAGCCTCTGGCTGAACCCTAAAAATGCATGCACAGAGCAGATGAAAATGCCTTCAGGGAAAGTCAAACAAAATCAATTGTGTTTGTATATATTGGCAGCAAACTGGAAAATAAAATTTCAAAAAATTACAATGTCATCAACAATTTAGGAATAAATTCAACGAAAGATGTTGAATCTCTACAATGGAACTCTACAATGGAACATATCCATAATAAGAAAAATGAAAGAAAACTTGAATAAATGGAGCCATATACCATATTCATGGATTGGAAGACTGAACAGTGTTGAGATGTCAGTTCTTCCCAAATTGATCTGTTGATTCCACACAATCACAGTCAAGAATCACAGAAGGCTCACTTGTACAAATTGAGCTGATTCTAAAGTTGGTGTAAAAAAATGCAAGTGACCTAGAATAAACAAAAACAATTTTGAAAGAAAACAAAGTTAGAAGACTCACACTATTTGATTTCAATATTTATGATAAAACTATAGCAATCAAGACAATGTGGTGTATGGGTAAATATGAATAATAGACATACAAGTCAGTGAAACAGAACAGAAAGTTTAAAATAAGCCTACATGCATATGGTCAACTGATTTTCAACAAATGTGCCAAGGCAATTGAAGGCGGGAAGAAGAGTGTTTGCACTCAATTGGTCAAAGCAGTTCACAAGGCTAGTTTAGATTCAAGGAATTGGAAAATAGACTGTACCTCTTGATGGGAGGGACAGCAAAATCATATTGTATGGGTCATGGAGACAGAAAGATGGGAAGGATTGGATCTATTTTGGCATCTACCACTGCAGACAACCTGGATGTGCCTTTGGGACCACTCATCGGACAATTCTGCAAATCTGTCCATGCCTCAGATCAAAAGGCCACATCCTCTGAGAAGCCTTACCAGATTGCTGTATCTCAAGGTGGCCCAAAATAACCATTTATCATCCTGCTCTGTTTAGCTCCTTTATAGCTCTTCTACAATCTTGTTCATGTATTTCTTCACTTGTTCGTTATCTGTCTTTCCCATTAGAATATAACTGCAGTTCAAGACGGCTTTACAGTATGTGAAAAGAAAAGAGGCTGGAAGAGTAGCTAGAGGCCAGACCCTGAAGGGCAGGAATACCCCTGTAAGGAGTTCAGACCTGATATACAGAAACAAAGACTCAGACATTTAGAACAGGGTGTGACCTGATGAAATTGGTAATAGAACCATATACGATATTCATGGATTGGAAGACTGAATATTGTTGAGATGTCAGTTCTTCCCAAATTGACCTGTTGATTCAACACAATCCCACTCAATGATGGTATACAGTATAGTAATAGAACCCTTGTTCTATTAGGTTGGTACAATAGTAATTGTGGTTCTGGCATTACTTTTAAATTATTTCAAAATCCCTGCTACAAGGGCACAGGAGTAGATTTCCCTGGGCCCCCTGTAGTGGCAGGTGGTGTAAAAGGACAGTTGGAGAACAGGGACAGAGGGAAGTTTGTCTGGAAGCTGCTGTGATAGCCTGAGGGAGAGTGGATGGCCTGGCTGCAGGGGACAGGGGAAATGCAGAGGCAAGTCCCTGAAGGCTGGTGTCGCCAGACCTTCTGATTTTTCAACAAAGTATGGATATTGTTCTTTGCAGACTCTTACAATTTTTCATTGCTGAAAACTAATAAAAAGGTTGAAGCTGCGTTGTGGGGGGAGCTATGGCTTAAATCCCACTAGACAGCTATGTAAGGCTGGTTGCCTCTCTGATAAGCATAATATAATCATGATTTCACAGGTGTTAACTGTAACTTAACTTGAATTCCTGGAATCCATGTTCTTGATCTGAATGGCTTATGTGTGCATCCCAAGATACAGTGCCAGGAGACAAGATCAGGAGGCATGGGGGGCAAGGAGCAGTGGGGAATGTGAGCCCCATGGGGCGATGAGACCCAGCTCCCTGTCTGTACCTGGGGGAACTTTGGATTCTCATATGTTATGAATGGTCTAGATGCAGCTCTACCACTTTCTAGCTTGGTGAACTTGAGCAAGCAATGTCTTCACTTCTTAGAATGTTGGTTTCCTCCTCTGAAAATTGGGAATAATAATCCCTGCTCCTCAAAGCTGGATGATGGAGAAAACAAGAAAATGTAATTACTTACATGGTGACAACTGTGTACCACATGCAGCTTTGTACCCTTTGCCTCAACCATTCACATAAGAGTCCAAGTAACTCTATGAGGTTATTACTATGTTTTCCTTTTTTATATGGGAAAACCAAGGTTTGGAGAAGTTAAACCACTTGTCAAGTCTACATAGCCACAAAGTAGCAGATCCAGAATTTAAACCCAGCCATAATTGGGTTCCACCCAATATGCTATGCCTCCAGATAGGAAAGTACCTGACACTTAGTAGGCCCTCAGTGAAGTCATTCATCCATTCAACTGATGTTTACTATGCATCTACTGTGTGCCAGGCAGTGTGCTAGGCTCTGGGGGTGGAGTGGCAGAATAGATAGGTGTGGCTCCTGCCCTCATTTGATATTTGTTGAGTGTTAGTTGAGTGCTGATCTGTGTTTGGGGGCAGGAGACTGTATTAAAAGGTAGGTTTTGCTTTTATTCAGGTTGGTGAGACCAACAGATCAGAAGATGAGGGCTATTGAAAAATAGTTTATTACTCACAGTTCTGGAGAGGGGGTGTGCCGTGCCATGCAGGGCCACATGGGGAAGCCCCAGGGCTGGTCCAGAAGCAGAGGGAGTGAGGGGAAAACATGGGCAGGAGCCCTTATTGTGGTTTTCTTGGGAATAAATGAGCGAGGCAGAGTGAGCAGGCTGAGCAGCCTGGGAATTGGAGAGTTTGAATAACATGGTGG
Organism: Homo sapiens; assembly: GCF_000001405.40. Taxonomy (NCBI): domain Eukaryota; kingdom Metazoa; phylum Chordata; class Mammalia; order Primates; family Hominidae; genus Homo; species Homo sapiens. The sequence continues at coordinate 8,583,596 of NC_000003.12, read as the reverse complement.
GCTCTGGGCCATAGGGGTCGGGATAATCCCTAGTTGCCTGGTACCTGGCCTTGGGGTGATTTAGGGCATGGGAATAGTGTCTTGCTCTGCAGAAGCCTGATAAAGGAGGCAGATGGGAAGTGTGGACTCAGGATTTATTGCATATCAAAGGCAAATGTATTTACTATCTCTAAGAACTGGCTGGCACTGGGAGGGTCAGTCCCTCCTCTGTCAGCAAGGCTCCAGATGCCAGCGTATCAAGAATTCAGAAAACAAGAAAATATAGTTAATTCAGAGACACATTCTCTGGCACGAAATAGACATGCTTCTGCCCTGCAGAAACTTATAGGCCAGCTTGAGAAAGGACAGTCCTGTTGGTAGCAAACAATAGCAAACTTAGATATAGGAATTCTTCTCCTGTTCATTCCTTTGTCAAATATTTATTTATTCATTCATGACAGTATTTATTGATTGCCTACTGCGTGCCTGCCAGGCACTGATCAAGGTGCTGGGGAATAAGGCACTGACAATCCCCTGCTCCACGGAGTTTACATCCTAGTAGGGGATATCATTAACAAGTAAAAAAGTAAATAAACAAGATGTACCTCCTATATGTGCCACACAGAAAACAAAGCAGAGGATGTCATGTGGAATGGCTGGTGGGTGATGCCTTTCAGATAAGGTGGTCAGGGTCAGCCTCTCTGAAGAGCTGACATCTGAGTTGATCCTGGATGGCAAGATAGAGCCTTGTGATGATCTAGGGAAGCAAGGAGCGTCCCAGGCACAGGGGACAGAAAGTGAGAAGGTCCTGAGGTTGGATCAGGGTTTGCCTGTTATGTCTCAGGCATGGTTAAAAGGCCCCATGTGGCTGGAGCACAGTGAGCAAGGGAGGGGGTGGTAGGAGATGAAGCTGGGGTAGTTTGCAGGTGCCAGATCTTTCAGGCCACGATAAAGAAGTTGGCTTTTATTCTATGGAGAGACATCACAAAGTTAAAAGTAAGAAGGGACTTGAGCTGATGCATGTTAAACATTGGCTTGTAAGGAATGGGTTATGGTGGGCAAGAGTGAAGACCAGGTGAGAGCCAGTTGAAGTCAGCCAGGTGAGCAATAAGTGTCTCCTGAGTGCCTGGAGCCGTGTCAGGGGGTGAAGACACCACAGTCCTGGTCCTCATGCGCTCATGGTGTATAGAGCAGACCACCAGGGACTAGACCCTTACAGAACTGGGGCACCCATGCATGAACCTGGTGTCTCAAACTAGGCCACTGGGTTCTCAAAGTGCCCAACTTTCTCTCCAAAATAACTCTCCTGCCAGGAGAAGCCAGCAAAGCCTGTTTGTAAAGTGGCCCTTGGAGAGCCTTCTGAAGGACTGAACACTCTGAGCTCTGCCTTCAGATGCCGGGGAAGATTCTGGGCCCTGAGCTTTCCTCTCCACTGCGGTCTGAGTGAAATATAAACAAGACTCCAGGGCCCCTGGAGTGTGCCTTGAATCTGGGTGGCTCTGCTGGGGTCCCGGGCCATTTTTTTCCTGCCTCTTTTTACAAGTTTCCATTGGGATACGTGGCTCTGAAGTATTTCCCCAGTCCAGTCATTATCTTAGTGTGGATTATTTGAGAATGGAGGTCATATTTCTCTCTTGTGGTTCAGCAAGCCACAGTCAAACTCTGGCTAGCACAAGGATTCCATCAGCTGGCAAAGACCAGGCTCAGTATGGATTAAACTAATTGAGGTGGCAGGGTTTTGTTGAGAATGGAGGACAAAATTGCATCGCAAGCAGAATCTAAGTGAAGAATTACAATAAAGAAACAAGAAAAAGGAGGGTTTGTTTAGAATCAGTTCTTCCTTTGCTTACTTAAATAGAATTCTGTGAACTTTGGTCCAAAAATGAGAAGAAAAACAACAAAAATATGGACAACAACATGATTAATAAGTGCTACTTGTTTCACTGGTTCTACCACTGCTCCTAACGAGGAGTAAAGTAGAAAGATCTCAGGAGCAGGAACCAGGGTGACTGGGATCCAGCCCCAGCCCTGCTCCTCTTACCTGCATGGTCTTGAGAAAGTCACATTTCCCTCCAGACCTGTTTCCTCATGTATAAAATTCCTACAACACATTTTATCATCTATGAAATGCAGTAACCCCTATCCTGTTCCGCCAGCCACCTTGTGACCTTGGGCTTTCTGAGCCACGGTTTCCTTATTTGCAGAAAGGGGATTACTTGCACCCCAACTTACCCATAGGCAAAACACCAGGCCATGACAGGCTCCCCTGGACATACTGTTTCTAGGCTGTATTACTGACAGTAACTAATGCCGACTTGCCACAACTGTCCTGGTATTTTCCCTGTATTTCTTTTTTTTTTTTAAGAGGTGGGTCTTGCTATATTGCCCAGGCTGGTCTCGAATTCTTAGGCTCAAGAGATCCTCCTGCCTCAGCCTCCTGAATAGCTGGAACTACAAGTGAGCATCCCCACACCCAGCTATATTTTCCCGGTTATAATTTTCCTCTGCTCCATGCTGAATATCTGGTGATCTATGATGACGCAGGCCAAAGAAATAAACATTGTTGTTTTTGAACTTTGTTTTCCAAGTGCCATGTGGACTGTCAGTTTGGGAAGAGAACAGGACGGAGCAAGTCCTCCCCAGTTATCTGAGGCCAGGAGCTGCCATAGATCGTTTTTTATGTGTATAATCTATTGTTTCCCAATCAGAGTTTGGTTAGACAGAAGGAACAATCTGGGGGTCAGCACCAGGTCCTTTTCAAAGCTGTTTCCCCCACCGGACATCAGCATTTTGCGTGGGACAGAAGCCTCATATCCTCTATGTGGAAGATCCTGAAATCTGGTCTGGAAACCGGTAGCTCTGGGGCCAAAATGCTGCTCCATGTGGTTGGATGGTTAAGAAGACAAACTTGAGGAAATCTCCCATAGTTCTTCTCCTACTCAACACCATGTGGGTTGTTTGGACAGAGTGTGGGTGGTGGTTTTCTTTTTCTATTTTTTTTTTTTTTTTGAGACAGAGTCTCAGTCTGTCACCCAGGCTGGAGTGCAGTGACGCAATCTTGGCTCACTGTAACCTCTGCCTCCCGAGTTCAAGCAATTCTCCTGTCTCAGTCTCCCGAGTAGCTGGGACTACAGGCACCTGCCACCACACCTGGCTAATTTTTGTATTTTCAGTAGAGACAGGGTTACACCTTTTTGGTCAGGCTGGTCTCAAATTCCTGACCTCAGGTGATCCACCCACCTTGGCCTTCCAAAGTGCTGGGATTACAGGCATGAGCCACCGCGCCTGGCTGGAGGTTTTCTTTTGCATGATGTGTGCAGAAAGGCTGGGCTGGGCAAGACTTGGAAAGGATAATTAAACGTGGCCTTGATAACCTTTGCCCAAATTTCCCGCCTCATCTGTAGGCACTTTTTGCAGTCCCCTCCAAGCCCCTGATGACAGCCCCTTTCCTGCCTCTTTGATTTGAACCATGCTGTCAAGTTGCCTTCTCTCCCCTCTCAAGGTCCTTCCTTAAGGAACTGGCAGACTGGGAGGGGCATGATGCTTCTACTGCTCTCTGTTAATGCTGCCAGTAGCCAGGAATGAGCCTTTTGGCATGGTCTGGTCTAGAGCTTTTTGCACCTGGTCGCTGGGAGCCCTAGGGGTCTGTGCAGAGGCCTTGGATGCTGCCATGAGAGGCTGATGGGTCGGGTGGTATTGGGGGAAGTCTCTAGCTCCCCTCTTCCTGCTGATTCTTGCAGCCCTACTTTCATTTACTTTATATATGGAGAGACTGTGTAAAATTTCATTGACATTAATAGTTCAAAAAATATTTGAATGTATCTGACTTAGCCCATTAAATGCTGCTGAAAGAATGCTCATCTCAAATCAGACTAGGAGGGAGCCATTAAGCAGGCCACATATGAATAGGGCTCTTGACAATGTACACAGCTCTTTCGTATTGCCTACCCCATTTCATCTACCTGAGAGGCGGATAGGACGGATAGTCCCATTGTACAGTTGAACATGAAGGTTTAGAGCCACTCTGTGGTAAAGCTCAGATCTGAACTCAGACTTTCTGCCTTCTTGGCCAGGGCTTCTTTTTATATCTAGAGTCCCCAGGAACTAGGTAGCCCTGGGTGGCTGAAAGAAGACTCTGGCTAGGAAAAGCCTAAGCTACTCTGCTGGCAGGGCCCTGATACCAGGGTGGCTATGGGATGGGTGTAGCGAGAGAGCATCAGAACGGTGTTCTAGTCTTCAGAGACCTCAGAAAGTCCCTCTCTCTAAGTAACACCTGGCACTGACTTCTCTGATGAGTCATTTGGTGCTGGGTTATAGTGTCTGCCATTGTTCCTCTTCCTAGACCTTTTCCTAAAACACAGCCGTTGAAACGCTTACAGGAGGGGAGAAGAGCCCAGATGTCTGGCCTCAAATTAGGGGCGTGTGTGTAACCCCCTTACTCCCCCACTCCCAGAAAGGAAGTCTGATGCTACATGAGTCTCTAAGATAGCAGTCACTAGCTCAAGTCCATTCTTTTCAGACAGCCGCTCATTTGCCTGCAGATGACTTAGTTTTTTTGGTAAAAGCCATCAGTGAGGAAAATAGTTCTAATTCTGCATTATAAATGGAACAGACAACACCCAGATTAGCCTTGTTTATTATTATAGTTATTTTTTCCTCTTGGAAAGTTTTCTAGCATGGAGGACACCACATTGTGTCATGAAACCTTTGCCTGGAACTGAGTTTGCCTTTAAACTTTTTAAGTGGAAAGAAGTTTCCTAGAGTGAACAGTGCCCTGACCCCTAAAGTGAAGTCAGTTCCCAAAGTCACTCCCCATGGACAATGGGTGGCCTATATCTGGGGCCATGTGCACATTCTCATGCAAGAGGATTCCTACTCAAGACAATAGAAAGCAATCACAATTTTAGCAAAGTCCAGAGGATCTCATTCTAATTTGTAGCTTGACAGCCCAATCAAATGGAACCAAAAAAATACATGTACCCAATCAGAAGGCACTTGTGTGACTCTGAATATGGAAGAAGAAATGAAAGTCAAAAGAAAAGCAGGCATCCATCCTGAGGACCGTAGTAGACTGCCAGGCATTTTTAGACTTGAATGATTCGACTTCTCATTGTTAATAGCGAGAGTCTCTGGGGCTATTTAAACTTTTGTTTCGTCATTCCAAGATAAGGTGTTTTAGATTTAGACTGTGGGTGTTCCCTCTAGAATTTTTGGCATTTTCTTCTTGGCCCCTATCTTTAATGACCCTTTGTTTAAAAAATGCTTTCCTTAAAAAATGTGAATATACTGGTGCATCCTGGCTCATTCTCTCAGACCCACATACTAATTTGGAATTTGTGATAATTCAGCCACTACTGAATTGACTTCCTTAAGCGAAGTGATACTGGTCATATATTGTATTTTACTTTGGAAAAGAAACAGCAGTTTTCTACTGCTGGTTCCAAATGAATTCAATTCGCTTACCAAGGCAAGACATGGAGTTTCTCCTAGATGGAAATGTGTTGGCTTCCTTGACTTAGAAATTCAACTTCTCATATCCTGTCACCTTGTTAGCTGAGGAGCCAAACATAATGTCTCATACCAGCTCCCTCTCTGAGGCTGGTTTCTTTTCTTTCTTTTTTTTTTTTTTTCTTTTTTTGGACAGGGTCTTGCTCTGTTACCCAGGCTGGAACAATCACAGCTCATCGCAGCCTCAACCTCTCAGGCTCAAGTGATCCTCCCACCTCAGCCTCCCAAGTAGCTGGGACTGCAGCCACATGCCACCATGCTGGGCTAATTTTTAATTTTTTGTGGAGGTGAGGTCTCATGATGTTACCCAGACCATTCTTGGACTCCTGGGCTCAAGCAATCCTTATGCCTCAGCCTTTCAAACTCCTGGGATTACAGGTGTTGAGCCACTATGCCTACCCATTTTTTTTTCTTTTTAAAGAGACAGGGTCTTGGTCTGTCACCCAGGCTGGAGTGCAGCGGCGTGACCACAGCTTACTGCTGCAGACTTGAACTTCTTTATACAAGTTGTTTCAAACTGATCTGATGTCACTTTATATATGACTTTTCACTTCACTGTACATACCACTCAGTTAAGAAACAATGTTGTAGAGGGCTGGAGAAACGCTACTGTGTTGAATGTATGCTGCAACTCTAAGATGAATCCCTATTTTAGGAATGCAATGTTTTTATTTAATGCGTACTTTGGAATTGAAGAAACAAGACTGTTAACTTCTGCCCTCCTTTTAGCTCACAGAAGACAACACTTTATTGACCTTGAAGACACAAGTTACATTTTTAAAATACTGTTCTATAATATCAGTCACACTTTGTATAAATAGAGACAATTTTCTCCCCAAGTTGTCTAATCTGCTAAGACAGGGGTTAGCAAACTTTGGCCCACCTCCTGATTTTGTAAATAAAGTTTTATTGGAACAAAGCCATGTCTAGTTGTCTACAGATTGTCAGTGTCTGCTTCCACATTACAACAGCAGAGCTGAGTAGTTGCAATAGAGCTCATGTGGCCTGCAAAGTCTAAAATATTTACTATCTGGCTTTTAATAGAAACAATTTGCTGACCACTGGTCTAAGGTTATAGGGAATGCAAACTGGCTGCCCAAAGGCCAGTTGTCCTCAACAACCATGTTTTGCTAGTGTTTTAAAAAGTGAGCCAAAGCAGCTGAGCCCCTGCTGTTTGGCAGCTGGCTTGCATCAGACATTTACCAAACCGCCTGGCTCTTGCAGGCACCGGCACCGGGATTTGATCCCTGGTTTAGTAGACTCAGAATGGGTGTTTGCTTGGGAGTGAAAGACCCAGGCTGTGTTCTTGGTTCTGCTTGGAGCTTGCTGTGTGATACTGATATAGCTACTTCTACTCTCTAAGTCTGTTTCCCCACTTCTTAGGTGAGAGGTCAGATAACCTGACTTCTAATCGGCCCTTTCAACTCCATTGCGCTCTGGCCTTGTTCCTCCAGGCTTGCTAAACCAGCATCCAGGCTTGCCGAATCAGCGTCCAAATTTGAACCATCTCCCCAGGTGATTCTTATAAGCACTCAGGTTTGAGAGGCAATTTTCTAGAAGATCACCTTCCTGGAGTGATGTTAGTGGTACGTGCTGGTCCCCGCTTTTTAAATGGAAGGCCTTTGGAGATTTCAATTTCTGAGTTTGAATCCTAGGGTGAGTTAGGTGAGACATAAAAGCATGGCCCTGTTAGTATAATGTTTCCCCAGCCCCTCCCAGGTAGTCTCTTAACACTTTGTGGGACCCAGTGTGAGTCTCCGGGTCAGTCCAGCCACTTGCCATTCTTAGAATATGCACGGTGCAAATACAGCACAGGCAACGCTTGGCTTTGAACTGGCAGGTAGACTCTACCAGAAGAGCATCTACATTCACCATTGTGTGTGTGTGTCTGTGTGTTTGTGTGTCTGTGTGTATCAGGATGCTGAAATGTCTCTCTTGGTGGAGAGGTAATATTTGAGCATTTGCTGGAAGGTCTCAGACTAGAAAGAAGAAAATTAGTGAGCAATTGTTCTGATAGATTTTAGGAAACTTACATAATAATTTTTTTTAAATTGCAGTTTCGAAGAGTAGAAGAGATTGCAAGTGAGTCATCTTCTTCCAGGGTTCACGGCTAGGTAATACAAACAACAGCAACAACAAGGGCAATGGCTGATACTTGCTGAACACTCACTATGTGCCAGGAGGTGTTCTAAAGCTAACCATGCATAAACCTATTAAATCCTCAGAACAACCTCACAAAGTAACACCATTACTATCTCCATTTTATAATGGAGAAACTTGGGGACAAAGTGAAATGACTCATCTAAGGTGCCCAGATTAGAATCAGAGGCAGTCTAGCTCCTAAGTCCATGCTGTTAATGACAAAGCTACACTGCCAGGCCTGTTGAATCTACTTGGTCAGTGAGTGGGAAAGACCACTCCTGCCATGACTATTTGTGGGAGGCTGAGGGATACCTTGGAAAGGAACACAAGGTGGGATTCTGCTGGGATTCAGGCCTGTCTTATTAGATAATTGTCTACTTGTTGCTCTCCTCTGACAGACCGTCACTCCTTTAGAACAAGAGCCGTGTCTGCTGTGTCCACTGTTGCATTTCCAAGGCCTAGCACAATGCTTGGGGCATAGTAGGTGCTGAGTAAATGCCCAGTGACTGAATGAATACAAGAATCTACTAATGAGTGAGTGAGCTTCCCATTGTTCAGAAGACAAAACACAGGGTCTGACATGAGTACGGTGTGATCAAGGACCAAATCAATTACATAGTCAGTTGAGACTCTGAGAACCTAAAGGAATAGCTGGAGGAATCAGTGGGGCTTCCTAAAGAAGGGAGAGCTTGTGCTAAACTTGGAAGGCAGAGGCAGCTGGAAGGAAGGCCTTTCAGGTGGGAATAAGCTGAAAGCTCAGTGTTTGCATGCTCTGGCCCAAGATGTCACAGACACCTCCCCTGCAGACAGAGACCACATGGTCGACATACTGAACAGACAAACACTGTTATATTTGGCCTGGGTCTTTGGTTGGAGCATGTTCTTCCCTCCAGCTTTGGCACTGGATGGTCCCCTTGTGTGGGCCAAGGATGACTGCCCGTCTGCTTTCTCCCTGTCCCCTTATCAGCAGAAAATGAACTCCGCAGAGCTCTCCTGTCAACTGAGGCACACACCATTCCCTTGTAGGGCAAAGGCTTGCGATTCCTTGTAACAATATTTCATAATTTATATATTTGATTAAAAACCGGAATCTGGGCCAGCAGCCTGCATACTCTAACATGTTGGGATCATTAGCTGCTTGTGTCACTCTTCTATTTTAAAACTTTCCATATTTGAACTCATGGAAGTACATCCTTCACATTTATTAAACTTTCCCCATAAAAACAGTTTAGTAAGTCTCCATCATCTTTCATAGAATTAAAAAAAATAAGGCCAAAATAAAACCCTCTGGACATTTCCTTCAGGGAATATCATTTTATTTAGGCCTTTAAAAACATTTGCCTTATCTTGCCAGTAATTAAAAAAAATTAATACAAATGAGAATTTTAGTGGCATTATAATTACTTCAAGATGAGCTGTGCCACTTGGCTTCTCTCCTGGCTCTGCTGCAGCTCTGTCCAGGCCTCCTGTGTGAGCTTCCGTTCCCCAACCCTGCACAGTCTTAGTCTCTTGGATTCTTTGGGTCAGTTCTCTTCCAGCTTCTCCAAGATTGCTTCTTCTCCATGCTTTGCTCCTGTTGCTCTCACAGGGACTTTTTTAAAATAAAGGGGACTGCTTCATGAGATTTGGGTGTGGCTGTCTTTTCTAATCCCTCCCCCTTCCCCACAGTGGTTGGCCCACGATGAAGGTATTGCCAATCAGAGTACCCTGCCCTCTGGGCACAGAGATTGGTCAAGGGATAAGCATAGGACTGACCCTTGTTGGCTGATCAAAGTTACCCCTGGGAAGCTCCAGAAAGAGAAGCTCCTTTTTCATGGGCTCACTGGCTCCAAGGACAAAAGTGAGCCCAGCTGCCACTGGTGGCTGTGTTTATGACTATCTGGGTAAGCCTACCTAAGAATAAAGCCAGTGTGGAGGAAGACAGAAGAGAGATGGAGAAAAGAAGCAGAGACTTAACTTGTGATTTGAACTACTGCATCCAATTGTTCCTGAAGCTAGCCCTTCTTCTGCACTTTCTGACTAGAAAGCAGATTCCAGAAAGCAAAACCCCTCTCATATTTTTTCTTTTCTTTTCTTCTTTTTTTTTTTTTTAGGTTTAAACCAGTTTTAATTGGATTTCCCTCACTTGCAACAAGGAAGACCTGAATAATATTGCTTCTGTCTGTATGTCCAAATACTTTCATTTTTCAAGAAGCAATGTTATACCAACGTCAGAACAAAGGAACACTTTATGCTGATCCTTGCAGTTTCCATTATTAGAGACCCAAAGGAATCAGACCAGGAGATCGTTTTGCTTTAAACTAGTAGAATCTGACCTAAGGCAAATATCACTTGAGAAAAAGGAGAAAACACATTTCTTCCTTCAACAGCGTCATCCCCATTCTTGGCAGAGAGAGATGTGAATGACCAACAGCCATGCCATTGCATAGTTTCATCTTTCATGTAACTTTTTCATATTTGAAGCCAAACATTTGGAGCCAAAGCCTGATAACCCAGCGAGTCAAGTGCTCATGTCACTATTGCTTGTGTCTCCATGGGACAGGCTTGATTGAAAATTGCTAAGACAATATTTTTAAAATGTTCTCACCACAAAAAATAACTATGTGAGGTAATGGATATGTTAGCTTGATTTAGCCATTCCACGATGTATACATATATCGAAACACCATGTTATAGACCATAAACATATGCAATTTTTATTTGTCAACTTAAATCCAAATAAACTAGGAAGTGTAATGGCTTCAGAAATGTGTAATTCACCCAAGCTACAACATGAAACATCTTGGGTATCCGTCACATTGTTTTTGGTTATAATTGACAAAATCCCCACTAATGAAAAGCTATATGTTGAAGAAATATCTCAAAATGAGGAAATGTACCACCCTACATAGAAAATAAGAAAATCAATTGTCTCATGTAGCAAGCAGTCCAGAGGTTAGTTCACTGTCTCCATGACATAACTTAGTACCTGGGCTCTGTTTAACTCTAAGCAGCATCATGGAAAGCTTATTGGCTTGGTTCGCTTGTCTCCTTAAGGTTCTAAGATGGTACCAGGAGTTCCAACACAACAACAGCCAGATTAAGAAGGAACCCCTTGAGAATGGCTGATTTCAAAGATGGGGCAGGAAAAATACAAGATGGGTATGTAGCACGTTATTGTGCCAGATGTAAAATGTGTTTAAAGAATGATGGGCCATGTCAAAAGGACATAGCAACCAGTTTGAAGGAGCTTTCTTTGGCCATAATTTGGGACAATTTGAGCATTAAAATAAATAAGGATGGTAATCAATTATAAACTATTTAATAAAATAGAAATCAATAACTCCAAGCTGATGTAAATATGTGAATTAATAAATGGGGAGAAGATAGTGCTTTTCCTTATAGTAGAATGCTAATAAACACTAAAGAAATGATTGAATTAGAAAAACCAACATTTGGCAACTATCATAATAATAATTAGTTCGATCAGTAAACGTCAATGAATACTAAGAATGAGTGAGTGGAATTTTGATGAAGAACAGGACATTGACATAGTCTCAAAGTCCCTAAACATACTTATTAAATACAAAGGACAAAGGAATGACTTTACAATGGAAAAATCTGGCTGATACTGGCATTATCAAATGTTCAAAATTCATGTCAACAGTAATGGAACAAATCAAAATCCTGTATCATCTGATTGGATGCAACAGAAAGAAAACAACATCACTTCTGTGGTATTCCTTCCAAAAAATGCATAAGCTGAATCTAATTTCGAGGAAATATCTGACAAACCTAATTTAATGGATATTTAACTCAACAACTTTAAATAACCTTTAATCTTCTAAGATGTCAAGGTCATGAACATTCAGGAAAGAACAAAGAACACTTCCAAATTGAAGAATAGACAAGATAACTAAATAGAATGAGTGATCTTAGACTGAATGTTTTTGTTATAAAAGACATTATTGGGACAGCTGGTGACACTTGAATTGGATCTGAGGATTACATGGTAGAAACACATCAGCGTTAACTTCCTGATTTTGATGGTTGTATTGTGGCTATGTGGGAGAATGTCCTTATTTGTAGGAATTACACACGAAAATATTCAAGAGTGATAAAGCATTGTGTCAGCAACACCCTCTAATAGCTCTTTGTTCTCTTCTTGTAACTTTTTTCGTAAGTTTGACATTCTATCAAAAGAAAAGAAAACAACAGCAGGGCTATTTACTGCACAGTATCTCCTTTCATTAAGGAAAAACACTTTTCTAAGACCCTCCTAAGGCGGAAGCCCCACTGGCTGGTAATAGAGGCGCATGGCCTTTCTCCAGCTGCAGACCAGGTTGGCAAAGCCAATTTACATAAAGGGGAGTGGGCTCTTCTCTCAGTCCAGTCGTTTCTCTCCATCCTCCCTTTGTCTCCATCCCCAAAGTCATATCTCACTTTGAACATTTTCTGCTCAGACTGACAAGTCTCCCTGACAGGAACTCACCCTCTCCACCCACTGCTTCCTTGCCACTAGGAAGAAGGAAGTGGGGTGTGGTGGCAATGTGTAGGCTGCCAGCAGTGTCTACCTCAGTCTGAAATTTTTATATTTGACCTTGGCCATTTTGGAACACAGTGCCATCAGCAAAGACGAACCATCCCAGAACCCCAGGTTGTTTGTTCTTTCATTTAGTTGCCAGGATTTGTACTAAGAGTTGGGGAAATAAAGATAATACGATTATTCTTTAGAAGTTCATAGGGGAAGGCTTTCATGAATAAATAATTATAGCACAATAAAGGCCTTGGAAGAATTACTGTAAGCCTGGGATATTATGAACTTACAGATAAAGGGCACCTAAAACACCCCAAGGGAAGGGTGAGGGAGGAAAGTCTTCCTAGAGAGTGGGAGGGGTGGGGATGGCAGCCCCTCTTCCTGCTGACATGGGAGATAGAATCAGGCAAGAGTTAACATGGATCTTTCCAATTCTGGTACAGAATCCCACTCAGCTATTGCAGCCCCCCAGCAGAGGCAGCAATTAAACACAGTGTGGGGAATTGCAGGCAAAAAGCACAGCGTGAGTGATGGTACAGAGGTGAGGAAAGCAGGGGCACACACTGTGACTGTAAACTGCCCATTTGGCTTCTGAAAGGATAACAGGAAGGAAGGAGGGTTGGGGCAGGAAAAATAAGAAACTCGACTGCAAGGTAAAACAGTTTCAATTTTTTTCTGTGTGTGCAACAGGGAGCCCCTGATTGTTCTTGAAGAGGAGAGTGCAAGATGAGGGTGTGTTTCTGAGCAATTCATCTGGAAGTGGTGGGTGGAGAGGGTGAGTTCCCGTCGGGGAGACTTGTCAGTCTGAGCAGAAAATGTTCAAGGTGAGATATGACTTTGGGGATGGAGTGAAAGCGAGGATGGAGAGAAAGGACTGGACTGAGTGACCCATCAGATATGAAGGCAAGTGGCAGAGATGATTCAGGTGCTCCAAATGCAAGGGTGGGTGTCATTAATAGACATGAGAAAGGCAGGGGCAGGTGCTGGGTGGTGCCCCATGGGGACTGTTGTGGGAGATAATGCCCATCCATGATGGTGTGACCCAGTGGACCAAGTCAATCATGCATTGTGCTGGGGTTTCAACAGAGAAGAGATGACGTATCTCATGATCTCCCTGTCCAGCCATCACCACCCCCTCCTTAAAGCTGTTTGAAGGCTCCCCCTTGCTCCTAGAACAGAGACCAGTCTTTTGAATTGCCCCAGAACTGGAGCAGGCTGGCCATGCCTGCCTCTCATGCCCCAGGCCCACCCTCCTCACCATGCTCTGTGCTCCTGCCACACCAGTTTTCTTTCAGTTCCATCCATGGGCCATGTTCACCACTGTATCTCCAACACCAGCAAATAGGTGTTGAATAAACTGGTGGGGCTTCCACCACAGGGCCTTTGCACATGCATTCATGTATCCATCTTTAACCATTGTCCTTCCTCTCTTTGCCAACTTAGAGGCAACCTATCCTTTTTTTTTTTTTTTGGAAACAGGGTCTCACTCTGTCACCCAGGCTGGAGTGCTGTGGCATGATCACAGCTCACTGCAGCCTTGACTTACTGGGCTCAGGTTATCCTCTAGAGTAACTGATACTACAGGTGTGCCACCATGCCAGATAGTTTTTGTATTTTTTGTAGGGGTGGAGTTTTGCCATGTTGCCCAGGCCGGTCTCGAACTCCTAGGCTCAAGTGATCCACCCGCTTTGGCCTCCCAAAGTGCTGAGAATACAGGCCTGAGCCACTATGCCTGGCAAGGCTACTCATCCTTTACAGCCCAGTTCAAGCATCACTTTCCCAGGGGCACCTCTCTCGATATTCCTAAGTCCAGTTTACATGCATTATAGTAACACAAATCTTCCTTTTATAGCATGCACAGTAGTGTAATTTTGCATTGACTTGTGAGAATATTTGCTTGAGGCCCATCTCCCCCACAGACCGTAACATCTATGGGCGTAGGGGTCACTGTTCTTTTTGTGCACCCCGCATCCCCTATATTCAGCATGGGAATTGGAACTTTGCCGTGCTCACTGAAATACTTGTGGAATGGATGAATGAATGATGAATTGGTGAATATTTCACTGGTGCTTCAGGAAAGTGCCAGAGAAGCAGGTTATGCTTGAGAAGCACCTTATAGGATGAATAGAATTTCAACAGCCAGAGTTGGTCTTCAGGTAGCCAGTCTTCAACTAGCAAAAGCAAAGGGAAGGGCTTGATCAGAGGGAGCTTCTGCATGCTTAGGAAGAAATAGGGAACTAGAAATCTAGGGAAATAAAGGGCTCCAAGGCCAGAAAGACATAAGCCAAGTTTTGGAAGGATTCAAATGTCCATGAGGACTTGGTTGTTAACTTGGCAGGCAATGAAGAGCCATGGAGATTGAGTGAAGGAAATGACACACTTGAAACTTATCTTTGAGAAGATGAACATGACGAGGAAACTGAGGGTGACTAGAGAAAGGAGCTGGGAGCAGAAAACCACTGCCTTGGGAGGATATAGCAATGGCTTTGGTGAAACTTATAAAGCACATGAATGGGGGTTTTCTAGGTACGAGATGGTCAGAGTGAAATTTGGATGGTGAGGTTAAAGAAAACTGGCAGCAGATGAGGAAGTTCAAGAAAGAAAACCACTGGCGACCAGACCGTAAGCTCCTAGGACTTGTGTCTTTTTCATCCTTATACTCCCAGTAGAAAAATATGTTTTTCTTAGAAACTGTGGGAAAGAAATTAATTTAAGAGCTGAAAATGTTCAGAGAGACCATAAAATGGAGATACAATTTGGCCCAAAGACCTATTCTACGTGACTCATTCAATGTTTAGTTGGCAACATTAAAAATTGAGATTTCTCATAAAAGTGGCATTGTTAAATTTTAGATTAATTTTTATTGAAAAAATTTTGTTTCTGATTGTTTTGGCATTTGAAAAAGTGCTGTATTTTTAAAGATCTGCCCACATTAGTCACCACATCCCATGTGGCACCCATTGGTGGAGCTTAGGTGGCCCCTGTTCAGTGGTTTCCCAGTACTGGTCTTATTCCCAGAGGGGTTCATTCGCTATTTTCCTGGGCTCTGAGGGCAGCTGAGTCAGGTCCCTGGCTAAAGAGAAGCTCATCAGTTCCCAGCAGGCCACTTTTCAGTGTACCATAAAACATGATACCTTTGTTACATTAGTGATCTGGGAGTATCTGGAATAGGCAGGTGGGGCGGGGGTTCTGTCCCAAAGCCTACACTCCCAGTGGAAGTCTGATGAGATACATTGATAGAGAGGCTCATTAGTATTTTACTATATTTTCTGCCAGCACTGGGTGTTGCAAAATCACTGCCATGGTGTAAATAATTAGATAAGGGTGTATGTGGAATTCACAAAACTTTTATTGATCTGTTTATCATGCCAAAAAAAGTTGTTTATTTAAAATTCAAATTCCACTTGAAAAAGAGGCAACAAGCGATAGTTGGGATCCCAGCCTGCTCCTGGAGGAGCTCCTGTGTCCACAAAAAAGCACGCACATTCTACAGCTATGCGATTTGCTCACTCGGAATTGCATTCTGGAAAACTCCTCCCAGAGTCCCCTTGCAGAACGCCATTTGTGTCTTTAGTTGGTTGTAGCTGGGAAACAACAACAGAAAGAAAAGGAACTCCATCCTAAGACTTCTTAGAATATTTTTGGTTTTGAAACTACTGACCCTCAAGGATCTACCACCACCCAACCTAGAATATATATCTATATATATCTCATATATATATTCTCACTGAAAAGCAAATCATTGTTTATTTCACTTGCTTGCTGTCACATCGGACCCTTAGGATGGTCTCGGCACACCTGGCTCTCCTTCTCGGTGGGATCCTGTGGATTCTGGCTGTGGGTGGGCAGCCCTTCAGGAGCGTTTGGACTTGCTGCAAGTTGGGCACAGAAGCTGACCCTTGGTGACGATGTACGCCCGGCCGCTCAGCAGCTGCTCACAACCCTCACAGACAAAGTGCTTTCGGTGCCAGGCCAGATCTTCCACACGCTGGTAGTCCTCAGCGAATATTATCTGGGGAGGGGAGCAGGAGAAATGCATGACTCAGTTTCTGTCCCTAGGTAGAGACGGTATATCTAGGACAAGTTATAGGGTGGTGGTTCATCCCATCCTATTCTTGTTTTGACCTTTTAAAGCCTTAGTGGAAAAATCTGGCATAAATTTGAGGCAGTAAGGATAATATTTGGTGAAGGTTGTGGTTGCATCTTAGCTTCTCAGACGGAATAAAAAAAATCCTCCACTACAGGCAGGTTTTACTTATCTAGGTATCTGTGATACTCTTTGGGTCAAATCTAAAGTTTAGTTCCAAGGTGGGATTACACACCCTGGTGAAGAAAGCTTAAGGATAGATAAACTGCCAATGGCCAATCATCAAGAGCAAGAATACAGAGGGTCACTTGGGCTTGGAATGAAGTGACACTTGGAATAGACATATTGTAAGGATCCCCTGAGGCTCAGGAAGTGCAGAGGAGCATAATGTTTAATGGGCCTTCTAGTATTGGAGTCAAACAAGAACTGGGTATGAGTTTTCACTTAAGACATCTACCAGCTTTGTGACTTTGGGCAAATTACTTAATCCCCCTGTGCCTCAGCTTCCACATCTGTAAAATGGGGATATAAATACTTTCCATCCCACAAGGTTCTATGATTGCCAAATGACCAACTACATATGAAAGGCTTAGAATGTTGACTGACACAAAGTCAGGGCTATCTAATTAGCATTGACCTTTCAGAGCTGCACTTTTCTTAAACGTGAAATGAGAAAAAATCATGCTTATCTCTCCCTAAAGGATTGTTGTGATATAAATAGCATGTTGTACGTAAAGTATGTAGCAAATTACTGACCCACCGTAAGCCCTTAATAAATGATAGAGAATTGTTATTGTGCATATACTGTTGTCACTTCAAAAATGAGGCTCCAGGGCAGGCCTGTGACAGTCCTTTTCCTTCTTAATATCACTTAATAACAGAGTTATTAGGTAAGAGGACTACAGGGTCTTAACTTCATATGGTGACCAATTCGTAGAAGGTGGTAGAAAATAGATGTTGGTTCAATATAAAGAAGACATTTCTAACCTTCATACATGCCAAAGATGAAGTTAGTATATTGCCTGCAACCAAAGGCATGCAAATAGTACATACTATGATCATAATTAGTATTGCCATTATTAATACACCTTAGAGTTACTTTCATCAAACCAGTATCAGAGACTTGAATCTCTTTCATAGCATCTCTATCATATTGTATTGTATTGTGTCATATTAATGTTAAGTCTCATATTATAGTATATTATCGTAAGACTAACAGCAGCTACCATTTATAAGTTCCTAGGTCAGGCCCTGTGGCAAGCATTTTCATGCATTATCTCATCTATCCTCATAGCCACTCTATGGGATGGGCGCTGGTCTCATCCCTATTTTATAAGTAGTAAAACTGAGACTCAGCTGAGGCTCCGGAGTTAGGTAACCACATGATAATAATAATAAGAGATGCAGATACAGGTTTGAACGTGGGCAATGCCTCCTGGTTCATCCTGCTATGTTCTGAGTACTTACTAAGTGCTAGGCATTATGCCAAGGACAAGATTCACCGGCACTGTGTCTGACCCCTCCCAACAATCCCATGGTTGTCTGCCTCATTTTGCAGATGAGAAAATGAAGGTTGAGAGCATGCAGTGAGGCCTGACTTCAGTTTCCCAATCTGTAGAACACATCATCCACAAAGCCATGCTCCTCTTGGCCTCTGGGCTTTTACCCTCAGCAGTGTCCCTCAAGCCCCCTAACCCATCTCGCGGCTATCTCCCACCTCATCGCAGCCGGAGCACCGGGGCCGCAGACTCTCGCAGTAATGGCGGCCGCACCAGGGTGCACCATCCTTCCAGAAGTAGATGAGGTCCACCAGCGGCTCGGAGCACTTGGCACACACAAAGCAGGTGGGGTGCCACTGCTTGTTGTAGCCTGCCCTGTCCGAGTAGACCACGGGGCTGTCAGGAGGGGCCGCTCCCTTGCAGAGCTCGCAGACCTGGAAGGATGGGGAAGGACCATAGGAGACAAGGAAGTCAGGAGAGCACAGTGACATGGGTTCGAATTCCAGCTCCAGCCTTTCTACTTCCTGGGTGACCTTGGGCAAGTCACTATACCTCTTCGTGCCTCAGTTTTGTCATCTGCAAAGCGACACAATAATATTGCCTACCTAACAGGCTATTCACGAGGACTAAATAAAGTTATTTATTTAGCACAGTGATTCCCAAATTGTTTGGTCTCAGTACCCTTTATACTCTTAAAAATTATCAAGACCCCTACAGAGTTTTTGTTCATGTGGGTAATAGCTATTGATATTTACCATAAGAGAAATTAAAACTGAGAACAATTTAAATTTTTTTAATTCATTTAAAAATGACAATACTAAACCTGTAATACATTAACATACCTATCTTGTTACTAAAATAACTATATGTTTCAAAACAAAAAAAGTAGAAGAAAATTTTAAGACATTGTTTTATATATCTGCAAATCTCTTCAATGACTTGCAGAAGATTGCTGGATTCCCATAACTGCTTCTGCAGCCCATCTTTTGCATGCTGTTGTTTTGGTTGAAATACATGAAGAAAATCTGAACTCACACTGACATAAAGTTGGAAAAAGGAGGACGATGCATTTTAAAGGACCTTCCAGGCAACTGTGGATATTCTTCTTTGATACTACAGTAAAATTTGACACAGGATACTTTCTCAAGTTAGTTGCAGTGTGAAATCTGAAAGCACATCAGTGAACCTTTCATATTTGTTTACATTAAAACCTGTTTGTTTACCTTGCACTTTGAATGGATCTTTTTACCCGTGCATGAAGAGTTTTAAATAATATTTAATAAATAATATTTTTGCCTAGAAGTGGTGCCTTATGCCTTTAATTCTAGCACGTTGGGAACTGGAGGTAGGAGGATCATTTGAGGCCAGGAGTTTGAGACCAGCCTGGGCAACATAGCAAGACCCCATCTCTACAAAAAAATTGAAAAATTAGCCAGTTGTGATGGTGCTCATCTGTAGTCCTAGCTACTCAGAAGACTGAGGTGGGAGGACTGCTGGAGCCCAGGAGTTTGAGTTTGAGGCTGCAGTGAGCTATGATCGTGCCACTGCATTCCAGCCTAGGTGACAGAGTGAGACCTTGTCTCAAATAATAATAATAATAATATTTGAGTAGTTCTAGAGTTACAGAAAAATTGCAAAAACAGCACAGAGAATTTCTATATATTCCACACTCAGTTTCTTGAGTTATTAGCATCTTACATTAATAAGGTATATTTGTCATAATTAATTAACCAATATTGATATGCTATTATTAACTAAAGTCCAAACTTTATTCACGTGTTCATAAACTTTACCCAATGTCCTTTTTCTATTCCAGGATCCCAGATTCACTTAACTGTCATGTCTCCTGAGGCTCCTCCTAGCTGGGACAGTTTCTCAGACTTTGTTTTTGGCCACCATGACAGTTTTGAGGAGTACTGGTCAGGTGTTTTGTAGAATGTCCCTCAGTTGGGATTTGCCTGATGTTACTATGATGAGTACGTTGGGAGGAAGATCACGGGGCAAACTGCTCCTCTTATCACATCCTTCAAGGGTACATACTGTCGCCCTCACTTGTCACTGTTGCGGTTGACTTTGACCTTCTGGTGGAGGCAGTGTTTGTCAGATTCTTCACTGTAAAGTGACTCTTCTCCCCACTTCCATACTATCCTCTTTGGAAGGAAGTCACCAAGCCCTCCATGTCTAAAGAGTGCTCCATCTCCTCCAGGGCCAAGTATCTACATAAGTTATTTGGAACCCATGCATGATTTTGGCAGATCCCCCAAAAGGACTCCATGTATGTTAGCTAACATTATTTTTTAAATACCTATGGAATTATCTAATTTATATCTGTTCTCTCCACTAAGCGGCTAGCTGCAGAGGGCAGAGAGAGGCTGCTTGGTTGCAGCTCTGACCCAGGACCCTCTACTGGGCCCCGCACACATAAATTCCCCATCAATAGTTGCTGAATGAAGGAATGCTCCACCCTGCCATGAGGCCTTTGCCGTTGCTGTTCAGGATGTCTGGTACATTGTTCCCGTTCCTGTTTGCCTGATTAACTCCCTTTCATTCTTCAGATGTGAGACTTAAAGATCTTTGGTTCTGGGAAATCTTCTCTGACCTCCTTCCAGGGGCAATTAAGTCCATAATAAAGCTTCTCTGCTTACCTTTCTCTGTATGGTTGTTTGATACCTGTTCTTTCTACACTAGATGGAAGCAGGAGCCACATCCAACTATGCTTGCTTTCACATCTCCTCGGTGCCAGGCACATAGTAGATGAACAATAAATATTTGGAAACCTCTGCCCTCCCACCTCATACTTCCTACTTAGGGGACAACAGATGAGTGTGGAAGACACTAGCAGATGATGCATCTGTCTGCACCTTAGAGACAGGTTTAGACTAAGTGCAGCAGAGAGCTGGGCTCCAGAGACAGTTGTGGAAAGTTCTTGGGAGCTTTCAAAACACTCTTGCCTTTCAGGGGCTCATCCATGTTTACTGAGCATCTACTGTGTGCTAGGCCCTGGACTAGATGCTGGGGATACAGCAGTGACCCAGGCAGATAATGCCAGAGCCTTCAGGGAAACTGGAGCTTTGTGTGTGTGGAGGCAGAAAATAAATATATAAAAAAACAGATGAGATAATCATGGAGTGTGATAAATACTAGGAAAACAATCACAGGGTAAGGGAATGGAGAGTGACTTTGGGGGTGGATAGCAGGGACCACCTTAGCAGGAGAGGCCTCTCTGAGGGATGAGGGGCTCTAGGGATCAACCACATTCCTATTTATCTCACAGCAATCCTCTGGATAGGAGATGTAGGTACACAGGAAATGCACTCATTTTATAGATAAGACCAGCGAGGCCCAAGGAGACAAAATAGCTTGTGAAGGGGGGCACAGCCAAGAAACAGAGCTGGGATTCAAACTGCCGCCCTTGGCTCTGTGGCTTTCTATGGGAACTGAGCTGGGTCGGGTGGGGAGACTAAACTCAGGGAATTGTCTGAAGGGCTAGGAGGGCTCCCAGGAGAATGCATTCTGGCATGGCAAAGGAGCAGCATGCCCAATGGCTAGAGGTGAGAAGCAGCTTCCCTACAGGGCCTCTCAGCAGTTAATGTAGCCAGTGCCTGGCTGTTTGTCATCCTCTTTCCATCTGGGGCTCCTTTATCTGTCTTTTACTGCCAGTAACATTTTCACTGGCCTGCTCAGAAACCATGACAAGGTGGACCTCAACTCATGTTGTTCCTCAGCTTCAGTTAGGATTGGGGCTTTGTGGGGAGGGTGAGTGTGCCTGGGAGAAGTTCTCTGTGAGAGCTCTAGATTTCTGTCTTCTGCCAGTTCCCAGGAGCAGTGAAAGTTGCTAAATGCTCATTCATTCACTGGTTCATTCAGGTATCCATCCATCGCACATTTATAACTTGCCTATTCTCATCCTCTAAAGAATGGGAACTTGACATTCTCAATCCACACAATCTTTTGAGTCATTTTGGAGTTATCCCCTGCTCCTGTAAGCCCCGATGATGATGGAAACGACAATGGCTGTCATGTCCCTACAGCGTGTCTGCATCCAGCACTGTGCTCAGGACTTTGCTCGCATTACTATTACCCCTTACATAAGCCCGAGAGAGTTATTTCTCCTTCTAGAGTTATTTTTCTATTCGGAAAATCATTATCTTCTCTCTTAGAAATTACAAAACTGAAGGTCAGGGAGATTCAGTGATTTGCTCAGTAATGCACAGCTGATGGGAGGCAAAGCTAGGATTTGAACAAAGGCCAAACCTGACTCCAAAGCCAAAGTTCTTTCTACTCCATCATGTGGACTTGAGATCCGGCATCAGTAAGCTACGGCCCATGGCCAAACCCAGCCACTGTCTGTTCTCGCAAGCCCCATGAGAATGAAGACTGGATTTTACATTTGCCCTCCAATTCAGTGAAATGTTTTCTCCCAAGAAAGAACCCCTTCTGCTTTTCTCATTAGTAGACCTATATTGGAAAAAAAAAAAAAAAAACTCTGTGCTCAATTATTATTATCTTTTGAATTTCATTTAAAAAACCCATGGAAAGTTGTTTTCTCTCTTGTTACATAAAGTGCCCACATGATATTGCAATTTTGGCTCTTGGCTCACATCTCCTAAAATATTTATCACCTGGCCCTCCAAAGAAAGTGTTTGCTGAGCCTGGCTTTAGATGCTAATTTAAACTTAGTAAGTATCAACTATGTTTCAGCCAAAATAGAAATATTTACTTTTTTGCCATGTGAAGACAGGGAAGCACATAAGAGTTTGCACACTTACTATTCTTAACTTATATACTTTGATTACATACTTAATATACTCATATATTGAAGAGGAAATAAACATTAAAATGGTGAAAATTAGGAAAAGAACACTGAATAACAAGGAACGTCATGTACTGATAGCAGTTTCTGAGCGTAGGAGCTCTTGAATGACTGCCTATATAAGGAATGTGTTTGGTCAACTAGATATATCTTGAACTGGATCCTGACTGTGCCTGATAATGTTCCTTAGAACATGCTAGATTTGTGGTTTCAGTTACACCCCCAAGAATGAGTGGTGTGAGTTTTTCGCTCAAATGAAAACCCTGTTCCTCTTCACATGATTGAGACTCAGCTGGCTTGGAGCCCATCAGGGGGTCTAGACAAAAAATCAGTGACCAGTCATCATCTACTTATTTTCACCCTCCCTCCTGCATAGCTGGGAACTGTAAACTCTTTGGCCAGGGCTGTCTGAATACAAAGTGAGTTGTCTGTCTGGCTTCTTATTTCTACAGAATGAAATTTCCAGCTCTTTCCCTCCCACACAAAAGGGACTTCGTGTCAGTTCACCAAACTACACCCCATTGGGTAACACCATGATATATCAATGGGGCTCCCCACTCCACATTTACAAATGTGAATTGACATGAAAGTAGGGAAAGGGAGAGGGATAGAAATGCACCTGGATTGGTCTGGGGAGCACCGGCAGGCACCCTGATGATACACTGAAGGAAGGAGGGGGATATCAGGTCCAAAAGGCAGTTTAGGGTGATCATGGGTGGCTTTGAACCCAGGTTATGGGTTGGGACTTCACTCTGGAGGCAATGGGTAGCCACGACTGGTTCTTTTTAAGACATTTTAAAAATATTTAAATTTTTTGTAGAGATGGGGTCCCACTATGTTACGCAGACTGGTCTTGAACTCCGGAGCTCAAAGGATCCTCCCGCCTTGGCCTCCTAAAGTGCTGGGATTATAGGCATGAGCCACTGCACCTAACCCGTTACTGGTTCTTGAGATGAGGAGTTCAAGGTTCTAATTTGCACTGTAGGGAGATATTCTCGCAGCAGTATGAAGGAAGGAAGGAAAATTCTTGTTCACAGAGCTTGTTTGCAACCTTCTCATCCGTTGGAAAGCACTTTGTGAAGCCCCTCTTGGAGGAGCATTTCTTCCCTCACTGTTCTCCCTAGCATCCCTGGCTCTTGGACTGGTTTCTACCAGTAGCCAGCCCCTTTAAGCAAACAGTATCATTATCACTCCATGAAAACAAGATGTCCAGGTAAGGAGCCCTCTCAACATGTGTCAGGATGAAATGTGCTCTTCTTGCCTCTAAGCCATTTTCTGTATCCTTAACTCAGTCATCTCAAAGGATGAGAGACCTGAGGTTGTCCTGGATCTATCGTCTGGTGGTCCCTCAGCCACGAGAGACAAGCTAGCAGCCGAGAGTCAGAATGCCAGCCTACTTGGGTCTCATCATCCTGGCCCTTTCTCAGCACAAACTTAGTCTCTCCCACAATTCTTTGTAGCGAGGTTTGCAATTTCTAAATTGCAACAGGTGGCTGAGAGGGGAGATACCAAGTCAGACTGCCTGGGTTCATAGCTGTGTGACCTTGGGCAAATGAACTAACTTACCTGTGCCTCTGTTTTTTCACCTGTTGAATGGCGATAGTAATGATAGCAACCTCATAGGATTGTGGTGTGAGTTAAATGACATAATGGAATTTTTGGACTTTATAAGGGCTCAATAATGATTTGCTAAAATCTCGTGTATTCCTTAACTCTGCCCACCTTGCAGGCTAGAAATGTAAAGCCCAGAGGGATTAAACCACTTTCCTAAAATGACAAAGATATGTTGAAGGCAGGTTTGGAGGCCTGGATTTCCTTCCATGATACCAAGGGCATGTAGACTAGCAGGAAGTCATTCCTGCCACTGATGAGCTCTATTTTTTCCCCTATCAGTTCTCTCCATTTGTGCAAGGCCAGAGAATCGAGTCGTGTGAGTTTTTCATCATTTGCCACTGCTCCAGACTCAGCTCCACTCATCCCCTGCTTGGAGGGCCTGCTCCTCCCCATATCTGATCCTGCCCCTGGAGACAGTGGTTCTCAGGGTTGAGCCTGCCTCAGTATCCCCTAGAGGGCTGGTTAAAACATATCTCTGCTCCCCCACCGCCACCACCTCCCCACAGTGTCTGATACAGTAGATCTGGGGTGGGGCACAAGAATTTGCAAGTTCCTAGGGGATGCTGGTGTGGTTGGGGCCACACTTTGAGAACCGCTGTTATAGACTGTTTAAAAATAACTTTATACATAAGCTCAGCAAAACTGATATCACCAATTCAGTTCAGTTACAACAAAGGCTCATTTGAATTCCTGGGATGTTTAAACTCAACACTATTTTTTAAGAAAGACCAATGAGGCCATTCTCAGGTTACTTCCCCTATTAAGGAGCTAGTATGGTCAAATGGAAGTTCTTTGGGACTATGGTAAAAGGCATGGAGAAGAATGCTTTATAATTAGCATATCAGTTGTTTCTTGTTCATGTTCCCAAATATCTAAGATTGGAGCTTGCTCGTGAGAACGTTTCCAACATTTGTCATGTGACCTTGTTTGCAGACTATTTCCCACCTGGGTAGAGGATGTGTGAAACAAACCTTTCAGAAATAGAACAAATGGGAAGTTTCTTCCTGTGCCAGTAAAGTGTTGCCTTGTTCCTTATTCTAATGGCATGAGATTCTTAATTGAAATGAAAGATTTTGAATATTGGGGCCTTTGCAATTTGTAAACACCTGCCTCAAGAAAGCTGAGGAACATTTTAGATTCAGCTGCTCAAAAGCTAAGACCCTGCAGAGTTGTGGGGTTCCCTCAGCCATGGGTGTTTAAGTCATGTTGGCAAATTTCTTGGATACCCTTCCAACCAACATAGAATTTAATTCCTTTTCCATGAATATGGTCCCACCTTAGTGACTCAATTCTATAGAACAGAACATGGATGAAGTGATGCTATGCAGCTCCCAGGGTAGTAATAAAGGCAGTGTTTTCCCCTGGGCTCTCTCTCTCAGTACACACACCTTGGGAGCCCTCAGCTGACAGGAAAGAAGTCTTGGTATCCTGAAGCTTCCATCTGAGGGCAACCACGTGGAGAGACCTCGGAGGTCAAGGAGGTCAATGGAGGGTCCCTGCTGTGTGTGTCTTCCCAGCCTCTAGCTCAAGCACATGAGTGAACGAGCTTCAGGTGATTCCAGTCTCTGGCCTGCAAGCTCCTCCAAGTGACACCGAATGGACAGAGACAAGCTGTCCTCACTGAACCCTGCCAAAATGGTGATTTGTGAGCAAAATACATGTTGGTTTCAGCCATATGCCTTGGGATGCTTTGATATGCAGCCCTAGGTGACAGAAACATCAAATGTGTACATGCAGAATTATTAAGGTTTCTGAAATAGGAGTAACCAAGACACAAAGTGTTTTAGGCAACAGCAGACTCGGGACAATGGCCAAGGGTTACTCAGCTGAAGAACTGTCTCGAAGGACTGAACTGTGTTGGCCTTCAGAGAGGGATCAGCAGATATGAGAAGGCTCTAAATCAGCAATAATCTCTGTCTCGGGTTTGCCAGAAGTTCTGTCTGAATTGTGTTGTTTTCCTCCAAAAGGCTCTTATCCAAAGGCCTATCCAGTCTAAACCCAGAGTGCCTCGTGGAAATCTCACTACTACAATACAGTAAATATTAACACAAGGGCCTTGAATTCAGGCACTGGGTTCTTTCCAACACAAATACTCAACAATTTGTTTATAAACAGCATCTCTCCATTTCCTCTTATGGTGACTATTTACCATCTTTGCTTTGCAGCCTCATGTATCCCAGAGGTTTTTATGTGTGTGTTTCTTTCTTCTGTAGTCTAACATCATTTCTGGCATCTTTAGCTCTCTTGAGTTCTGTTTCCCCACACTGTATAGTCTTCCCAAGGCTCCCTATGGTGCAGAATGGGCAGGGTGGGTAGGCAACGGTTTGGGTCATGTGCTTTGGAACATGGTTCATGCCATGGCTTCATCACTGGTGAAGCTCTTGGAAAAATCATCCAACCCTCTGAACCTCAGTTTTCTCATCTGTAGCACATCGTGGCAGGCCCTGGCTCATACGAAATGCCTTAGCCTGGTGTTGGTGGTCACTACTGTTAACTGACCCCTTCACCTTACATTTCTTCTTGGGGCAGATTATCCATTATGGGGCTCTCTGCCAAGCAAGGCAAAATATTAAACATTTCTAACTGAATCTCCCTCCCTGGTTATGTGATGAAGTGAGGGAGATGGAAAGGCTTCATAAATGCTACACGTGTAAGAGAACATCAGTGTGGGTTGTTCTCAAATCCAGCTCTGACAAGCATGGGCCCAAGGACTGGCTCCTTGCAAAAGGATGCTGCTTGGTCCACAGCTGAGCAGGGACGGAGTCTCAGATGTGTTCATTCCAATTGCAACGGCTTTGCCCGGGGCTTAGAACTGCGTGGGTGCTCCAGAGATGGGAACACCTGTTAATTAGAGTCTGTGTCAGGTTTGGAGTGAGGCAGGTCTGGATCCTAGTTCTGGATTAACTACTCACCATCTAGGTGACTAGACAATTTCCTCAGCTTTGTTTTTTGAAATTTTTGTTTTTGTCTGTAATCCACAGTAGCAAATACATTACACGTCCTGATCCAACACACACACACATACACACACACACTCCTGAAAAAAAAAAGCTTCCTGGAAAAATATTTACTACTCCTGAAACACTCTTCCCTTTTCAGTTAAAAAAAATTCTGGTTGTAGTCCACTAAATTGATGTATTACCCACTGACGGATTGTGACCTGAAGTTTGAAAACACTGTTTAACTTTGCTAAGAGTGTCTTTTAATTCCCTTGTTTGTAAAAAGGAGGATGATATACTTTGTAGGATAATTCTTAGGATTAAGTAAAATAACATGCAAAATATCTGGCACAGTGCCTGGCATAACCTAGGTAGTCAATGAATGGGAGATGACAGCATCATCATCATCGTCATCATTTAGCTCATATTAGCAAAACAAAATTGAGTAAAACCAAAGAGATTAATAAAAAGCTAAAACTATTCTTTATGATTCTTCCAGTTCAGGGGTCAGCAAACTGCATCCATCTGTGGGCCAAATCTAGCCCACCGCCTGTTTATGTAAATACAGTTTGATTGGAACACAGCCAGGGTCATCTGTTTAGATATTGCCTATGGCGGCTTTAGTGCTTCAAGAGCTGTGTTAATTAGTCGTGACAGAGACCATGTGGCCTGAAAAACCTTCAATATTCACTATATGCCCTGTACAGAAAAAGTTTACCAATCCCTGTTTTAATCAATGGAATAATATGCAGCCCACTCAAAAAAAAAAAAAAAAAAAAAAAAGCTCGTTGAAGGCCATGTGGCAACATGGAAAAGTATTTATAGTATAGTATAAAAAGTGGGAGAAAGGGAAGTTTCTTTGGAACAAAAAAAAAGATCTCCCTGAAAGTCACTAAAGTATCTCCACTGCAAAGCAAGAGGCAGGCAGATGCCGAGAAGCTGGTAACCATAGTGATTTTGCGGCTGCCCCCAGGCTCCTGCCCATGGTGCCTGAGCCAGGGGTGGCGGGACTGTGGGGAGCAGGGATTCCTCTGGGTGAATGACCCCAGGCTTGTCTCTGGGCCTCTTACCCTCCTGTCCTCCAGCTCAGATGGGGCTCACTAAGTGGGGAGGAGTGGCAGTTTCAAATTCCCAAGTGGGGCTGGCAGGAAAGCCAGCCAGCCTGCCTGCCGAGCCCACAAGCCAAACATCTGCTTAGACAAAGACTTGGAAGTCCCTTGCCCACAAATATGTCCTTCTATTGGGGCTGGAGTTGGGCTGAGCCGCCAGCTGCTGTAAGTTTCCATCTGAAAAGCAGACCTTTGGCGGGGGGGAGGGAGGGGACGGAGGCCTCCCGTCCCCCTCTCAGCATTCTTGTGGGGAAATGGGGCAGAGGGGTCAGACTGTGCTCCCAGGATCCTGGAGGATGATTTCGGACCATATTCACGCGTTTTTATGACTGTGGGGAACATCTTCACTTCTCTCAATGGGCTGTCCTCCTCTTAAGTTTGCTCTTTTGGGGCAGTCACTTGGCCTGAGGAAGGAGTGGTTGGGGAAGGGGCAAGACGGGGAGGCGCCCGGCAGGAATGGTAAATGCTAAAGAGTAGAGATCACATTAAAGGCTATGCTCTGGCTTTCTTTCCCCTTTCTTCAGTTACAAGTTCGGGGTGTGGAGAAAGGCGGAAATTCCTGGGCAAAATGACCATACCCGGGAAATCTGTGTATTTAATTTCTGAGAAAATATTCAGCGAGCTCTCTAAACGCAAGGCAATGGCTTGGTGGAGCTGCTAAGAGTCAGAACATGAAGATCATTGCCCACCCAGCTCAGGGGCCCATCAGTTCCATCCAGGTGGGGAGCGCAGGGCTTGGAGAGTGCGCGAGGGGCTCCCACCAGCCTGGTGTGAATGGGTCCAGGTTGCTGGAGTCGGCAGCTCCCTGGCCACGGAGATCTCTGATACTCAAAAGGCCCACAAGAACCCACAGTGGGTGGAACTGGGGGTGGACATGGGAATCCTTTCATTGTTCTCAGTACGCAGATAAGAGGCTCCCAAATGCTCAGTGGGCTGAGCTGCAAGCTACCCCATACACGGCTGCCCACCCTGGAGAACCTAAACACTCACATATATATCCCCTGGCATGGTCGGACCCACCCTGCCGAGGCCCCACCCCAACACGGCTTCAGACTTCACTCTGCCGGTGAAGCAGAAGGACTGGGGATTGAACCGAAGCCCCGCTCTCATCAGCACGTGGGGTAACCTCACTGCGCCCCAGGGTCCTCATCTGCGAAATGGGTATCACAACCCCAACCTCTCTCACTGGTTGTTACCAAGAGTTAAAGAGGTTTATTACTTGGGAGGTTGAGGCGGGAGGATGGTTTGAACCCGGGAGTTTGTGGCTGCAGTGAGCTATGATCCTGCCACGGCACTCCAGCCTGGGTGAGAGAGTGAGAGCCGTGTATCTAAAAAAATAAAAATAAAGAGATTGAGACCTTACACAGTGCCTGCTGCAGCCTCACAGTTTCCCCTTTCTTCCCTTGATTCTCAACTTGTCTTCTTTCCTACCCTCCATCCCCGCACAATGGGACATGTGAGGAAAAGAGGGAGACTAAATATTTTTGAATTGTATTGGCCTCACTGATGGAAAAGGGCTCGCTTCTTCAGGGGTGACAGTGGGTGCAGTAGCATCTGGCACTGGGATTTTTCAGGCTTGGTATTGCCCCATGAAGAGGGCAACTCTGACAACTTGGTGGCCGGAGGACCTTCCCATGATATCCTGCCTCTCCTAACCTCAGTGTAATAATAACACTTTCAGAGGACTGCCCTGAGGTAGGCATGGACAGCCACAGCTTTTGGTTCATTTCTGAAGTGGACCGAGGTGCCAAGGCTAATTTTAGGTGGCCCCGTCTCGTCAGTAGGGCCCGTCTGCTGGCCTGGGGTTGGGAAGCTGGGGGTGGGGTCAGATTCTGCTCACTGTGTTCAGATCTGTGTAACTGACAGCCCCGGCCATGCAGGTGGGCTGGGCTCAGACAGCAGTGTGTCCTGCAACCTGGCCACCACTGTTATCTGGGCTCACTCAGAACATGGCCCCTTAGTAGGAATTCCATACAGGCATTTTTGCAATAACGCTTCTCTGGTGTGGACATTTTTTTCCAATGAGGATGGTTAGGTGGGGGGCTGGGTGGGAGAACTTGGCAGGCTGACCCTGCCATTGCTCCAATAGGCCACCTCCCAAGGACTCAGAGGAAGGACGTCCCCCAGCAGGTGGACAAGGTGGGAGGGAGCCGAGGGAGCTCACAGCTGGTGTGTGTGTCGGGGGGTGGGTGTAGGGGAAAGTGGGGCCCTGGCCTCAGATTGCAGAGACTTAGTGTCATCAGGGATGGGGGCCGTCAAGGTAGGTTACAGAGCATAGTGTGGTAGATTCTGCACCTGTGCTTCCAGAGCTCTCCAGGAACAGGGAGGGTTATGCAGTATTCTCAAAGGTGGGCTCGCTTGGGGTAATCCACCCCCTATCCCACATAAATAAATACATACATAACCTTGGGAGGCTGAGGCGGGTGGATCACGAGGTCAGGAGATCGAGACCATCCTGGCTAACACGATGAAACCCCATCTCTACTAAAAATACAAAAAATTAGCCGGGCATGGTGGCAGGTGCCTGTAGTCCCAGCTACTCGGAAGGCTGAGGCAGGAGAATGGCGTGAACCTCGGAGGCGGAGCTTGCAGTGAGCCGAGACTGTGCCACTGCACTCCAGCCCGGGCGACAGAGTGAGACTCCATCTCAAAATACATACATACATAGAGCCAGCAGGCCAAATACATCTGGAAAATGCCCATGTTACCATCTAGACTCTCACTATAGGCCAAATTGGTGATATCATTTCTGTTGAGCTCACATGTAAGGCACTTTTTAACACTGTTAGCAGCGGTCCTCAAAGTGTAGCCCCAGACCAGCATCACCCGAGGACTTGTTAGCAATGCACATGCTAAGGCTCCACCCCACACCTACTGATAAGCTCTGGAAGGGGACCCAGCCTTCTGGAGTTGAACAAGCCTTCCAGGTGATTTCAGTGTAAGGACCACAGCATAGGCCTACTAAAGGCTCTGAGAAGTTCTGCTGTAAAGAAACTCACGTAGTTTCATGTTCACTCTAACGTCTCCTGAGCCAGCCACATGATCCTTTTATGGTCCAGAATATCTGGTAGCTCTCCCAGGAATAAGCTTTGGGAAATGGGAAAGAACATAGACTTGATTTTAGGCAGACGTTCAACTGAATCCCAGTTCTGAGGCCCAGCAGCCTGGGGAGGCACAGCCACTTCACATCTTGGGGCAGTTGTAAGCTTTAAATCAGATACTTGCTTAGTCCTGTCCTTGGTTCAGGCAATGCCCACGGACTTGCTGACAGTAACGACAAACACAACGAACACGATTAAGATGATAAACAGGCAGGTGTTACCGATACAGTTCCCGTATGTTCATGTCTCTTTTTGCCCTTCGTTTTTCTCCCGTTAATCTCTGTTCGGTTTTGGGGTGTCAGGCTGAGTCCTACAATTTCTTCCCCACACCTTTATTCTCAAGTTGAATGCCTGGACCACTTCTTGCAAAAATCATTGCCCTTTACCAGGGGAGCAGAAGTCAGGCTTCCTGCCTGATGCTTGGCTCTGGTAATTGTTCTATGCTGCCCTTTTATGAGAAAGGAGAGGGTGCAAGCATACAGGGCAGCCAGCACACACGTCCACTTGATGTGAATGCTGGTGAGGCAAGGCAGACGGGTCAGGGAGTGCAGCCCACACCCACTCCTAATGGCGGGGTTGCTGGGAACACACTGTCTGTGGCCTGTCAGCCTATCTAGCTACCCTTTTCAGGATTACCTCCCCTGCTTCAAGGAGGTAAAAAGGGAGTTAAATAAGGGCACACAGTCTTCTTCCTGCCTGGAACAAATAACAAGCCGGGTTTTACAACTTAGCATCTTATCACAGAAAGGGTATTGGATCCAGGTTCTGCCCCATAGAAACCGTGGGATCTTAGAAAAGTTACCTATTATCCTTGAATCTCACCTGTAAAATGGGTTTGGTAAAATTCATCCTACCAGACAACTGTAAGAATTAAAGATAGACCCTGACAGTGTGAGCATAGTGTTTGGCACAGAGCAGGGGCTTAATAAATGTGGAACTGGAATCGCACCGTCCGCCTAGGCAAATTGGCCATCCAAATAGATCCCATTTTTTAAGGCTTAAGTTCAAACTTTCATTCATGGGTCACATATTTATTGAGCAATGGCTATGTATATCAATGCAAATAAAGAGATGAACAAGACCTCAGCATCTACAGACGGTGACAGACATCGATTCACTAATTACATAATAATTAAAGTAAAATTGTGGTTGGGGCAGGGACATAGAAGTCTATCTTCCACAGCTAGCCCAGCCTAGCCCAACCAATAAAGGCTTCCTTTGGAATCCCTACTTATTTTCTGACTTTGGCCTTTTCCATTTACTGTCTAGTATTGCTATTTAAATGCTTCCCAAGTTCACAATCATTTCCTAAAGCTGACTGTAGGCAAGGACCCGGGTTCTTGGGCTGCCTTTGCCTTTGTTCCACACAGAACAAATATGCGAGGCTCAGTCAAGAATAAAACACGATGTCAGATCCACATGTCTCTTGGGAATGGCGATTTGGAAATGCTACAGTGACTTAGAGGTCTCCTTCCAACTTAGAATTATCTAGTATTTAGGGTTTATGAACAAACAGCTATTTGAGGGTGGACAGAAGCCAGGATCAGGGTGGGGCGGGAAAAGACCAGTTTATAGACCATGGTAACTAGATCTAATATTTTTTTCTTTTTTACATCCTTAGGACATGTATTCTTCCTGAGAAATGGGCCTTTTATGCGTCACTGCCAAATCTGTAGTAGAGGAAATAAATCTTGTTCTTTGGTCTTAGAGTTCTCAGATAAAACAGTTTCTTGGTTGGCAATCCCAGATGGTGCTAATAAGATGGGGCTTGGAGATGGAGGATGCAGGTTTTGGATGATTAGCTTGAGTGACTACAAGGGAGAAAGAGTCCGGCCCTCTCTGGATGTGGCAGCAGCTTTGTTTGGGCTGGCATTTCCCTGGGTCGCCTGGCTCATGTGTGACTGCCAGCCTGTTCAGCAAGGTAGATAATGTGCTTGGGGATCTCGTGTGCTGGGACTTCTATCTCCAAAAGTTAATTGCCATAGAAACAAATGAAGACACTTGGTTGATGGGGCAGGAGGAGCAAAAGGTAAAACAGGGGCTGGGGACCAGAAACGCAGTACACGCTAGACCCACGTGGTCCAGCCTCAAGCATTCCTTTCGCCTTCTGTGGGGCAGTTTAAGACAAACCAAGCCATGAGGCTTTCATCTCCCCAACTCTGGCTTCTCCTTTCTGTTTTCTCAAAATGGCCCCCAGTGACTCACTCCTCAGCAGCACTTCTTCCACACTGCCACTTCCTATGGGTTGAACATCCCCTCCAAACACTCAGGTTGAAACATAATCCTCTGCATGGCAGTATTGAGAGGTGGGGCCTTTAAGAGATGATTGGGTCGTGAGGGCTCAGGTCCTCAGGAATGGATTAATCCACTTATGGCTTAATAGATTAATGGGTTATCACACGAGTGGGACTGGCTTCTAAGAAGAGGAAGAGAGACCCGAGTTAGCACACCCAGCCCCCTTGCCACATGATGCCCTGAGCCACCTCAGGACTCTGCAGAGAGTGCTCACCAGGAAGAAGTCCCTCACCAGATGCAGCCCCTTGGCCTTGGACTTCTCAGCCTCCACAGATGTATGAAATACATTCCTTTTCTTTATAAATTACCCAGTTTCAGGTATTCTGCTATAAGTAACAGAAAATGTACTAAGACACTGCTAGAGGAAACTTTTGTAAGCACAGCATGGACCATGTACCTCTGACCAAAAGCCTGTCTATGACCTTTGGAATAAAGTCCTAACTAAGTTCATGGCATTCTGCAGTTTGGGGACAGTGTCCTCTGCTTGTTTGATTTCCTGGGGCAGTGCAGCTAATACAAGCTAATCAGTATTTGACTGATGAATGGATGGATGGAATGAACCCTCCAGGAATCCAGCCTCTGCTGCCCTCCCTAGCCTCATGTCCCCAGCTCCCCAAGCATGCCACACTTTCAATCACGTGGGACTTCTTTTAATCTTCTAAATGCACTGTGCTTTCTTGAACTCCTGGCTCTTTTTGCAAATGCTCACCTCTTTAAGGGGGTACACATCCTCCCCTCAAAGCCTGAAGGCTTGGATGACCCCTAGACATTCTTCGTAGACCAGCTTGTACCTCACCAACTTCTTGAAGCTTACCCTCACCACCAAGCAGGCTTAGATGTCCCTTCTCTAAACTGTTTCGGTTTTGCCTGTGACCGCCACTGGACTATGAGCCTTTCAAGGGCAGTGGTATTGTATCATTTTCCATGGGACAGTGCCTGGCACAGACTAAATGAGCAATCAATATCTGCTGAATGCACAAATTCATGAATAAATGCATGAATGAGGGAACAAAGCCCCGTGATGGGGCCCTGACTGTCCAGCCCTGGGCCTGCATGGTTTCAGCCTGGCTGGAAGCATGGGAGAAACTTACGTATTCCACTTCTTTGGACGGGTCACTGAGACTGCCGTTGGTGGTAGCAGCAGTGGTCTCTGCCCCCTCTGGCTTTTCCTGCTGCTTCCCCTCCTCCTTGGGCAAGCCACCCTGCCCCGGGAGGGCCACTTCTCCCACGCCGAGGGCCTCGCTCTTATATTGCTTGACAAATTCTTCCATCAGTTTCAACTCATTCTCCAAAAGTCCACGGCAGCGCGAGGGATCCTGGTCATAGATGGGGAGCTGGTGCATGAGCTGGCGGCGGCGGTAAAAGGCACCCTCTGTGCCTGTCACTGGCTGCTTCTCCTTGGGGATGAGCTCCATGTACTGCAGTCCCTAGGGAGGAGGAGGAGGAAGAGACAACATGATGTGGATGGGGCTTCATCAGTCAAAGAAACTATGACAGAATCTACCTAAAACTGAAAATGCATTCTCTTCCAGCATTCTCAGCAACTGAAAGACCCACAGTCTTTATTTTCTTAACTTAATGCAGTTAGATTACTTTTGTAATTTTAGAAAATTACAAAAGCAATACTGTCCATTGTGACAAATAAAACACACATGAGAGAAAAAACTTTAGTAAAGGAAAAACACGCATCCCTTAGCTACCTTGTGTATGTAGGGAGTGTTCTGTGTCTCAATCTTGGTGAAAGGGCCATGGAAATGTATCTGTGTCAAAGCTCATCAAGCTGTACACATCAGATGCACGCACTTTGCCATATGCATACTGTATGATCGTGTGCTACATGACGGCATTTCAGTCCACGATGGGCCACATATACCATAGTGGTCCCATAAGATTATCATACTCTATTTTCACTATACCTTTTCTAGGTTTAGATATGTTTATATACACAAATACTGACTGACCATTGTGTTACAATTGCCTATAGTATTCAGTACAGTCACATGCTGTACAATTTGTGGCCTAGGAGCAATAGGCTATACTGCGTAGCCTAGATGCGTAGCAGGCTACACCATCTAGGTTTGTGTAAGTGCATTCTTTTCTTTTTTTTTTGAGATGGAGTCTCGCTCTGTTGCCCAGGCTGGAGTGCGGTGGTGTGATCTCGGCTCACTGCAAGCTCTGCCTCCCGGGTTCACGCCATTCTCCTGCCTCAGCCTCCCGAGTAGCTGGGACTACAGGTGCCCGCCACTGCTAATTTTTTTGTATTTTTAGTACAGACAGGGTTTCACCGTGTTAGCCGGGATGGTCTTGATCTCCTGACCTAGTGATGCACCCGCCTCGGTCTCCCAAAGTGCTGGGATTACAGGCATGAGCCACCGCGCCTGGCTGTGTAAGTGCATTCTTTGACATTCACACAAAGACAACATCACCTGAGGACACATTTCTCAGAACGAAACCCCAGCATTAAGTGGTGTATGACTGTCCTTTGTTTTAAAAAGGATTTTAAAAACTTACACCTTATTGGCTCATGGTAACAGCTTGCCAACAACTTTGTGTTTATCGTTCCAGACAATAGTATATTTATTAAATAAGGGCACCCAGTCTTCTTTCTGCCTGGAACAAATAACAAGTAGGGTTGTACTTAATGTATTTAAATGCTATTTTCTGTGCGTGTGTACCATTTAACATGAGTCCTTGGTCAGTGGGTTCTGTTTCTCCTGTGACTGGGCCAGCCCATGTCATGGTGTGGGACAGGGAACAATCTTGCGTGTGAGAAAGAGACACTTGTTTGCATCTGCTATTGTGTGCTCTATCTGTTGGTTAAGTAGCTAGCTGTCTACTTGCTAATAATAATCATTATTTTATTGCTTATTCTCCAAGGAACACTGTAGTTTTCAATTTTGGATGGCAGTGGAAAGAAAAAGGAGTCTACATTTACTCATGGGCTAGGTTTTCCATCAGAATTTGAATAAAGCTCATTTTGCTCTGTTCTCTGACTTTCAATTAATGGTAATAATTACATTTACTAGTTTGCCTCTATCACCAAAGAAAAGTTGCTGCTTTTAAACCTCTTCTTTAGTATCATTTGCTAGACGGTAGCCAGTTGATAAAACTCTTAACAGTATAATGACAAAAGTTATGCCAGCTGGCTGCCCTCACAAAACCTGTGTCCCACTCGGCGCTCTCTTCTCACTGGCCCCACAATTGATAGGCTTGATTTCTACCTTCACTCATGGACTTACACCTCCCCCTGCCCCTGGAAGGAAAAGCCCTCTCTCTTCTTTCCTGTTCTTACAAGCAGCACTGTATGCTTTGGTCTCTCCCTAGTCCTTAACCATTCCTAGTGTATTTGAGCTGACCCTCTAGCGGGACAGTTCAATCCCTGAGGGCAGGCCATGTCCCTTCTACCATAGTAGCAAGAGCAAAGGCTCTGGAATCGGCTTGTCCTGAACTGAAATCCTGGTTGTAGGCATGCCGGCGGTGTGACTGTGGCCATGTCATGCCGTCTCTTTGCACAGGTTCTTCAGCTGTAAAAAGGAGGATCGTAAACCCTAGGGTGGCTATAGGATTACTTAAAAGAACCACAGCGCCTACCAAGCTGCTCCAACCACAGCCCATGGGCCACATATGGCCCAGGACAGCTTTGAATGTGGCCCAACAGAAATTTGTAAAAAATTCATAAACATTCTTAAAACATTATGATATTTTTCTGTGATTTTTTTTAAGCTCATCAGCTATCGTTAGGTGATGGTGTATTTTATGTGTGGCCCAAGACAATTCTTCTTCCAGAGGAGCCAAAAGATTGGACACTCCTGATCTACATGCTACTGACTTTCTCTTTTTTTTTGTTTTGTTTTGTTTTTTTGAGACAGAGTCTCGCTCTGTCACCCAGGCTGGAGTGCAATGGCCTGATCTTAGCTCACTGCAATCTCTGCCTCCCAGCTTCAAGCGATTCTCCTGCCTCAGCAGGAGAATCCGGAGTGGCTGGGATTATAGGCGTGAGCCATTACACCCGGCTAATTTTTGTATTTTTAGTAGAGACGGGGTTTCGCCATGTTGGCAGGTTGGTCTTGAACTTCTGACCTCCACCAACCTCGGCCTCCCAAAATGCTGGGATTACAGGTGTGAGCCACCGCACCTGACCCTGTTTGCTTTTCTATCTGTGGCTTTTCTCTTTTCAAATCTCTGATTACAGTTAGACTCACCAGCTACATATGTCAAAGTAGTGTCTCTCAATGGACACAG
Organism: Homo sapiens; assembly: GCF_000001405.40. Taxonomy (NCBI): domain Eukaryota; kingdom Metazoa; phylum Chordata; class Mammalia; order Primates; family Hominidae; genus Homo; species Homo sapiens. Next base: position 8,545,752 of record NC_000003.12, on the reverse strand, counting down.
TGTACAATAACCCTGCGAAAAATTACTAACATGCAGATTCCCAGGCACCAAGCCCCAGTCAAGATCTCCATCCAGTAGGTGAGGTGTGGGGTACAGGAATCTGCATTTTTAACAAGAATCCTGGTAAATCTGATGCAAGAAGTTGGCTCCTGGACTTTACTTGCACTACTGTTTCAATAAAATACTGGCAAACAAAAAAATTAGTGAGATAAACAACTGGGATTCTCGAGCACTGGACAGAGATCTGAGGAAAGGCCAGAGGACGATTCCTAGCTGCTTCAGGCTTTTGCAAAATGTAAGAATTCTCAAGGAAGAAATATGAATTTTGCTAATACCTGAGAGATGCCTAAATGAGCTCTTACTCTGCTCCAAGTTATAGTCAGAGATTCACATTCTTGATCAGAATGGTGTAATTTAAGTAGATGATCATTTTAGATTTGCTGGCTTTGCAACATGAATTTTGTTTCTCTCAAAACTGAATATTTTTATTTCATTTACCTCCTGGGCAACATTCCTAATTAAAAAAAAAGTCAACCTTGTCTAAAATCGCTTTTTCTTAGAAAAGTATAATTAAATCATTATGGACATAAGGTATTTCATGGTTTATTAATTAAAAAATATGCAAAGTCAACTTCTAATAGTAGAATCGACAAGGTCTCAGGTCAGTAACATTTCCCCATTAATATGACTGGTAACTGTCTGAATATTAATGTGTTCACAAGTAACTGTCCAATTTGGCCTCATTTATATATTTGTTTTTATTGAACGTAATTCTTATGCATGGGTGAGTCCCAGGGACGGGGAGATTAGGGGAAGATACAGGTCAGGACCACGGCCTGAGAAACCGTGAGAGGCAAATTGCTCATCCTGGACAACCATTTTCCATTTCTGTGCCTGACCCTGACTCTGAACCTTAGTACCCAGTCTCCTGATTCCTATCACTGAGGTGGCTGCTGCTAGGTTCATCCTCCTAGAACCCATCTGGCCCATAGCTTATCGCTTGGGGCTGGACTCATTTGGGAACTGTGGGAGTGAACATGGAAATTCATGCTGAAATGCATATTGTACAGACCCTGTTGCTGTCTGATTTTAGGGAGCAGTGGTGAGGAAGCTAGGGTTGTTGTGGGGTGGGGGAGTACAAGTCTAGGGCTTGGTACCTGCTGGGATTCATAGTAAATAAATTCTGGGAAACAGCATAGAAAGGGGAAAGGCAGGTGACCTGAGCTCCTGTGGGACTCCAATTGAGGGGTGGCTGCAGACGCCCCATTGGTCACTCTGCCCTAAATCCCAGAGGACACCTATCTGAGACACCTTCTGGCACTGTAAGCTCACAGCATACCCAGCTAATCCCAGGTATGTCTGCACACCTCTGAATGCTTTTCAAGGTGCTTTCTCAGACAGAAGAGAAGACCTGGGTGGTGGAGTGTCTGGAAGTCAGGGTTTTAGGTCCAGTTCTCCTGCTGCTCTCTATGTCAGACTGAGAAAGTATCTCCTGGGCCTCAGTTTCCTCATCTACAAAGTTCAGGGTAGATTATGTAATCCCTAGGGTTCTGACCGTCATGAGAAGTCCCTGGCAATCTCATTCAATGGTCACCATAACCAAGAGAGAGAGAAGAGCAATATCACTAACCCGAGGTTACAGTTCAGGAAAGGGGAAGGAGACGGTGGATTCCTGTCAAAGAGGCCAAGATAGTCCACCAACCATGTGGACGAGCAGAAGCCCCTGTGCATCACACAACTGCAGCAACATCTGGGAAGGGCTTCGTCCTGACCCCGTCTTAGGAGACTGGGGTATCTGGTAGTTTTCTTCTTGATCAGTATGAAATTACAGGTGGCTTTTAGCACAAATATGTCAGTCAGGTAGGTCTGAAGAACCTCAAACTTTAGGGTGCATAAGAATCACTGGGAGACCTTGTGAAAAGTTTTCTGGGTCTATCCTTAGGTTCTGATTTAGGAGGTCTGGAGAGCCCTAGAAATGAGCACTTTAAGCCAGGAGCGGTGGCACATGCCTGTAATCTCAGCACTTCCAAGGCTGACACAGGAGGATTGCTTGAAGCCAACCTGGGAAACAGAGAGACCTCATCTCTACAAAATACTGAAAAATCAGCCAGGTGTGGTGGCACATGCCTGTAGACCTGGCTACTTCAGTGGCTGAGGTGGGAGGATCGCTTGAGCTCAGGAGCTTAAGGTTATAGTGAGCTGTGATCACACCACTGCAGTCTAGCCTGGGCAGCATGTCTCAAAATCTATCTATCTATCTGTCTGTCTGTCTGTCTATCTGTCTGTCTGTCTATCTCTCTGTCTGTCTGTCTATCTATCTATCTATCTATCTATCTATCTATCTATCTATCTATCATCTATCTATCTATCTATCAGCAGTTTAAAACAGTTTCTCCTGGGTGGCTCTGACACAGGATACCCCAGGGTTGGGGCTTCTCTCGGGGCAGTGAGTGGGGAAAGAGGATGTGACCATCAGAGACAGTGAGAAGTGGCAGCCGGACGGCCAACAGGCGAGGGCAGGCACAGAGCCCTGCAGAGATGCGTTAGGGTGTAGCCTTGGGTGGCAACTTTGCTCACACCGTCCCCTTCCTATTTCTTGCCCAGGGCCTGCCCCTGCTTCCAGAATCTAAAGAAGGATTTCGGAGAAGTGGAAAGAAGAGCTTGGCTCACTCTGCCAGAGTGGGGATCAGGCCTGACTAGCATCTTACTAACACCAAGTTCCGAAGCAGCCCCATCCAGGCTGATTCGGCTCATGGGAGAGTAATTGCCCTTCCTGGGAAGACTGCTGACTTCTCCATGTTCAGCAGTTGAAGAGATGATAGGAACAGCCAACTCTTAGGGAGGGCTTGCTATGATCCAGGCACTCTTCCAAGTGCTTCACACACGTTAACCCATTTAATTCTCACAACAACCCTAGGAGGAAGGTACTAATGTTACCTTTTGGAAAACAGAGGCACAGAGAAGTTAAGTAACCTCCCCAAGGTCACACAGCTAGTATGTGATAGAGACAGCTATGAACCCAGCAGCATGGGTCTCAAGCCCTTCTCTGCTGCCTCTCTAGAAGACGGATGATTTTCCAAGAGGAAAAATATTCCCCAATCTCTGGAGGCATTTCCTTTTGTCATCATTTCAGAGTGAGCGGGCTGGGTAAGCATCAAGTGGTAACAGGATCCCCCATTCCCTGGATGTGTCTGTTTCTCTGGCTTTCCAGGGCCTGCACCCTTTTCTTCTGAGCTTTACAATAAATGGTGTGCTAGGGATCCTGGGGCAGCGGCTTCGCCAGCCAGATGTTAGTTGACCCCTGCGTTCACGGTGTCCTTTCACGGCTCTGCACTGGCATTGGGTGTCTGTGGCTGCAGGGCTAATGTGCTTCCTGGCTGGAGCCTTGGAGAAAGGGAGTTTCCCTTCCCAAGGACCCAGTGATCCTTTTGCAGCTCAAAGCTCCAGCTGGGGCTGGGCATGGTGGTTCATGCCTGTAATCCAAGCACTTTGGGAGGCCAAGGCGGGCAGATGGCTTGAGGTCAGGAGTTTGAGACCAGCCTGGCCAACATGGTAAAACCCCATCTCTACTTAAAAACAACAACAAAAAAATTAGCTGGGCATGGTGGTGTGTGCCTATAGCCCCAGCTAATTGGGAAGCTGAGACATGAGAATCGCTTGAACCCAGGAGGCGGAGGTTGTAGTGAGATCAGATCCTGCCACTGCGACAGAGGAAGAAGCAGTCACAAAAAAAAAAAAAAAAAAAAAAAAGCTCCAGCCTCTCTGTCTTTGCATGGTCAATGCCACTGCATCCAGCTGCCACTGGTGTGTACTTTGTGATCCTGGCCTTGCCTGGCTGGTCTGAGACTTCCACCACTGCTCCCTATTCACAAACGTTGCTAATCAAGCCCTCAGAATCCCTCTTAACACAGCCCTCCAAGCAACCACTATTGACTGGCACGGACTTGGGAAGGGGATGACAGGGACAGAGGTTTGGGCCGGAGTCAACGACCTGGCACTGCTCTGACTCTGAAACAGAATCTCCCAGGTATCTCTCTGATACCCGACTACGTCATGTTATCTACGTCTCATACCTGACTACGTCATAGGAGCTAAATCTTGTTCCCATAACCTTTAGCAGGAAGCATTTTCTCAGACCAGTTGGAAAGGTTGGTTTAGGTTTTATGTTTTTCCTAAGGACCTTTCTTGATTTTTCTTTTTTCTGAGATGGAGTTTTGCTCTTGTTGCCCAGGCTGGAGTGCAGTGGCACAATCTCGGCTCACTGCAACCTCTGCCTCCCGGGTTCAAGCGATTATCCAGCCTCAGCCTCCCAAGTAGCTGGGATTACAGGCGCCTGCTACCACACCCGGCTAATTTTTGTATTTTTAGTAGAGAGGGGTTTCACCATGTTGGTCAGGCTGGTCTCAAACTCCTGACCTCAGGTGATCCACCTGCCTCGGCTTCCCAAAGTGCTAGGATTACAGGTGCGAGCCACTGCACCTGGCCCCCTGAGGACCTTTCTGAGTTACTTGGTGCTCTGCAACCTGGTCGGGACATCTTGGGTGGAGAGGTTCCAGGAATCTGCCTGTATCAGGAAAGAAACTAAAAATGCAAAGCAAAGTGGAAGGGAAGGCACTCCTGTACCCTGGATTAGGCAGTGAAACACACATGGGCTCTGGAATCCGGAGACCCTGTTCTGATTCTTCTCTTCCTGATTCTTCTGCTGGCAGCCAAGAACAGTAAATGGGCTTCATCTGACAAGTCAACCCCAGTCCATAGTGGTGACCGAGAGTGCTATGTGAAGAAGGATCCTGAGGGCCGATAAGAAGTCAATGGGAAACAGTACTCTGACTGATAAGTAATGCCTGCCATGGGTCTGGAAGCAGAGGGCGAGGTATGAGTAAGTGCCACCCCTGCATTGGCTCCTCACGGGCCTCTGTCTGCTCCTCTGTAAAATGAGCCTGTAACATACTCAGCACATAGGGCGCGGTGAGGTGTTCATGAGATACACATACAAATGCTCAGTGGATGCTGGTCTCCTTTGTCTTCTCCCTCTTTCCTTCCCCCAAATCCTGGCAGCTTTCAAAGCCACACTCAAGCTGCTTCCTGTTCATGATAGCCTTCCCTGAAAATGCTAACCCAGGGTATCTGCTCCTTCCTGCCTCCCCTCCCACCTGCCAGTTCGCCTGGCCTGGCCTGGATTGGTAGGGAAGAGCCCAAACTTTGGAGTCAGGGTGGCCTGAGTTCAAGACCTGGCTCTGTCACTTACATCGGCTGTGGGACATTGGGCTAGCTGCATCGTTGCATCATCTCTCTGAGCCTCAGTTTCCTTCTTTGTAGCTGAGGGTAATGATAGTATACTTCTAACAGTGCTGGATAATTAGATGAGATTGTGCATGGATAGCTCCTAGTATGGTGGCTAGTATACAGTAAATACTTAACAAATATCCACAATTAGGCTTATTGTTATCAGCATTTGAAGGCTTAAGAATTGCTCAGACTTTCATTCTGGTTGCAAAGGATGAGAGATAGCAAAATTCGGTCCCATTCCCAAAATATAATCAGTCTTGATCATTCGGTAATTAAAAAAAAGTTGGTCAATTCCCAGCTATGAGTGAGAACATGCGGTGTTTGGTTTTCTGTCCTTGCGATAATTTGCTCAGAATGATGGTTTCCAGCTTCATCCATGTCCCTACAAAGGATATGAACTCATCCTTTTTTATGGCTGCATTGAACAATAAGAACACTTGGACACAGGATGGGGAACATCACACACTGGGGCCTGTGGTGGGGTGGGGGCCTGGGGGAGGGATAGCATTAGGAGAATACCTAATGTAAATGATGAGTTAATGGGTGCAGCACGCCAACATGGCACATGTATACATATGTAACAAACCTGCACGTTGTGCACATGTACCCTAGAACTTAAAGTACAATAATAATAATAATAATAATAATAATAATAATAATAATAATAAAAATGTTGGGAAGGTGAGTGGGAAGGGGGAGTTGTCCAATCTCAGAAATGGGACTTGCCCTGGACGCCCAGATGAAGAGCAGACAGAGGGGTTCTTTACAGCCATGTGGTTTTATGAGCCAGCATTAATCACTGCCTGACGATGGCTTCCCCTGATTAGTCTGGGGTCAATGTGTTTGGGGTTTTCACCAGCCGGTCCCTGAAGCCCGCAGCCAGCTCTTTCATGAGCTGCTTGCTTTAGTTTCCACTGACATCCTGGAGACGTGCTTGATAGCTTACCCAGACCTGGGGCTGGAGGGAGACCTGAGCTCTGAACTACCGGGCATGTCCTGGCTCTGCTGTTGTTCTGTGGCCACACTCTGTGGCCCGGGACAAGCCCCTGTCTAGTACTAAAAACTTTTGAAAGCCAATTAACCATTCTGTGTTTCCTTACATGTAAAACAACTCGGCCTTACAGGGTGATCGAGTCCATGGATGCTGAAGTGTTCTTTTAAAATGTGCTCTTCTTTATCAAAAAGTACAGATTAAGAAAAAAATCTTAGTCTCTTTTCATTTTATCTGGAAGGGATTTTCCCCCCTAAGGCAACAGCTTAGAACTGTGCCTCTGAAACTCTCTATGGCGAAGGATCAAGGTTTGTTTGTTTTTTACTTATTGCAGAGTGATTTGTGGTCTCTCTCATGTGATTAGAATGTAGCGCATACCCCATGAGATTTCAGTGTGAGTCTTACCACAGTGGAATTCTGTTCTGATATGAGTTCTCATCCCATCACACAGTTGCATGTCAAATTGCTGTAACATTTTCCCAACATATATTCTCAATTTCTCAACTTTTTTCATTGGGTCCAGGTCACAAAGACTGTGCGGAAGAGCTCCAGTCCACAGCCCACACTTAGAGCATCTCTGGCCTAAAAGGTGACATTGCACTAACACTCGTCACACCTGTCCTGCACCCTGCACCGTCCTGGGTGCAGGGATGTTACGGTTTACAGGACAGGCAGGGTGTCTGCCCTCATATCTAGGCACAGAAAAAAGATAATCTGTTTGCAATAAAAGTTGTTAAAGAAACGAAAAGAAATAAAAAATGTGATAGGATGGCAGGTGACATCTATTGTAAACTGAATATCTGGAGAAGGACTATTTGGGAAGAGCAAGGAAAGAACCTTTCAGAAAAGGAGCAGGACGTGCGAAGGCCCCAAGGAGGGCAGGAGCTTGGTGTGTTCTAGCACTGGAAGGAGGAAGTCAGAGTGTCTTAAGGTGTTGAGATGTTGGGAGTGAGAGCACAGTGATGGGAGCCATGGAGGAGCCTGAAGGATAGGGCCATGAAGGGCTCCAAAGGCACTCCTTTTCTTCCAGCAGATATTCAATTAAATGCCATGCTTGCATTTTTAAAATTGTTGAACCTTCTACAAATTGTATTAACATATAGAAATCATCCAGCCTCTTGTTACTCCACATGTAAGGTTCTGGGGACCAGTAGCATCAACATCACCTGGGAGTATGTCAGGCGTGCGGTATCTCAGGATGGCCCTGAACTTGCTGGATGCATTCTGATGAGCTCCCCAGGTGATATCTACCCATGTTGAGATTGTAGGAGCCCTGATCTGGTGCATTGGATCTTGAAGGTGGCTGCACGGGGAGTCATTTAAATGGTCACATCTGATGATTTGGATTTTGTAGTCTGGAGCTTCTGACTCAATGGTCTGGGATGAGACCTGGGTATGGAGACCTTCTGCAGGTCCCGGGGATTCCAGCGAGCAGCTAGGGTGTAACCTTGTGTGAGTCACTTGCTCTCTCTGGACCTGTGTCCTTTCTGCCCTCCTCAGGGTTTCTCTGATCATTTACTTGAGATTTCTCTGGTTGCTTTTGTTCAAGGTTATATAAAACCAGTTTGGCTCTCCCTCCTAAGACCAATAGGTTTCAGCATTTAGGCAGAAGAGAGAAATGTTTCTCTGCTCTCCTACAGGTTTGCAAAGGGCATATCCCAGGCTACTTCAAGGGAAAATGAATATCTTGCAGATGGAGATAAGCACTCAGAATTTTGAGTGATAAACTATCTCCTGTTCAGAAGTGAGGAGCCCAAATGGAACAATAAATGCCCCTGTACTAGAGCTGCAAGGCCTCTTGGGGTCCATATGAACACCTCTACCCATTTCATGGATAAGGAAAACCGAGGCCCAGATAGTCTTCATTTCTCAACATCACATGATATAAGGGCAGGGCTAAAACCACAGCCACTCCTGTCATTTTTGTGACCTTGAGCTCTTGCCACCCCATGTTTGAAATTCAGAAACACTTGACATGGCTAGTATTTATGAGGATAGGAAAACAACTGCTTGGTTGGGGAAGCTCTCTTACCAGTTTCTGGGTGACTCCAGGGGGAGCCCACTCGTAGGTGATGGTGTCAAAAGTGGGATCTTTCCCAGTAGCAATAGGGTTGGTCATGATCATCCGGTTCCTCTTGTAAATCCGGATGCCGTCCCCGCCTTTCACCCGAGCAGTGAGGGTGGAATACTTGGAGTCCATCAGCAAGCGGCCAATTTTCCGATCGTCTTCTAGGTCAGATGTTAGGCAGTGGTCCTCTTGGCTGCATTTGCAAGACTTGCATATTTTCCTGGGGGTGGGTGGATGGGGACCAGTGAGATTAACCTCCAGGAAAAAGAGGCACATTCTCCTGCTAGCAGCATCTACCCTTTTGAAAGCAAGCTAAAACTTTAAGTTGGAAAAACTAGCAGCGGACAAATGGTAACCTGAGACAAAAAGGCCTTTGGAATTGGGAACTGCATTTGGGAAATGACAGTGTTTGTATTAATCTATCAGTGAGGAATGTAGGATATAACTTGTGCTGGTAAAAAGAGTGGTATGTTTTCCCTCCTGGTGGTTGCCACGGCAAAGGCTGATTTGTTCATCAGAGATGCTCTAAAGCTGGGCTGGAGTCTGTGTGGCCCATAGCCTAAACTTGGCCCACAATCTGCTCTTGTAAATAAAGTTTTATTGGAACACAGCCATGACCACTCATTAACATATTGTCTGTGGTTGATCTGGGGCAACAACAGCAGAGTTAGTAGTTACAACAGAGAGTATCTGGCTTACAAAGCCTAAAATATGTACTTTCTGGCCCTTTACAAAAAAAGTTTGCAAACTCCTGCTCTAAAGAATTATTAAAATTGTTTTCCAAGATCATAGCCTCGGAGCTTCAGCAACTTTTAAACTCTTTAGCATAAATACTGCCGTTAGAATGCAGTGAATATTTTCTTCAAGAAATTTGTGAACAGGACCCAGCAGGGAGAGAGGTCAGAAAACCCCTCTGGCTGGGGAGATGGATGTGTATTGGGAAGGCTTTGTCAGAAGAAGGAAACACATCCTGGGGAGGGTTCAGATTTACTAAAAAGCCTCATGCTTCTCTTTGACAATTAAAAACAAAAATCTGTGGCTACTTGGTGTCATGCTGTTAAGGTTTAGAAATCAAGAGAGTTCCACGGCGTGAGAGGAAAATCGCTCCCCTCCCTTTCCGGCCTGTCACCATGGGCAGGCTGTGCTGGGTCTCAGATGCTCTTCTGCATGCAACTTGAGAGCTTGTACAGTAAAGTGAGCAATGTCAAGGCCAACTGCAGGGATGAGGGAGGCCCAGCAAGGGAGGTCACTGCAGCTGAATGATCGGCAAGGCTGAGGGAACCCTCCTTTTCCCTCCTACAGTCAGGAGGTAAATACGTCTGATCGAATATCACAAACGTTGATTGTGGGGCTAGTGGGGGCAAGCCCTGATGGTCTAAATTAGTGGTTCTCAACTAAGGTCAATTCTGTCCCAAAGGACAGAATTAGCAATGTCTGGAGACATCTTCGATTGTCCCAGTGGGGTAGAGGAGTGCTATTGGTGTCTGGTGGGTAGAGGCCAGGGATGCTGTAAACATTCTACATTCCACAGAATAGCTCCAACAACAAAGAATTATGAGGCCCAAAATGTCAATTGTGCTGAGAGGTTGGGAACCCCTTACTGAATATGAAGAGAAGAAGGCCTTGTTGTGACCTTTAAGGAGCTTACAGTTGGGATGGGACAGGGAGAGAAAATCAGATGGAAATTATATAAAGTAGAATACATTCAGGGCAGAAGAGAGTTGCCTAAAATCTGGGAGTAGTTCTACTGGCCTGGGCCAGTTCTCCAGGAGATTAGTATGTGGTACATAGAAAAAGGCTTGGTGCTTAGTGGTCATGAGTTTGGAAAACAGTGGGTTAAGGGAGGTTAAACACCTCTCTTTAGTGCAAAGCTACTCCTTTGACTTTGATACGGTGATGTGCAGCATGACATTTTGAATGCTACTGGAGAAGCTTGCAGTACAAGTTCACATTCAGTGGGCTGCAATTTGAGAGATGTTAAAATTGACAATCTCAAGGATGTGTTCCAGTAGCAAAAAGGAGAAAATGACCCTCAGGGTGCTGCAGGGAATAAATGAGAAGGTTTTCCTTCTCAAAAAAAATTAAATAAATAAAAATAAAAATGGGTTGTTTTGTTTTGCATTTTATTCACAATCAATAATATTCTCTTGCTTATCCATTTTCAGAGCCAGGCATGAGAAGCCTGCTTCTTTAAGAAGACAGGCACTAGGCAGTATCAGGGGAGTGAGAACAGCAGGGCTGGAAGTGGAAGGAGAAGGAAGAGGCAGAAAGTGAAGGAAATCCTGGCATAGAGGGACATGGAGGAACCTGACTCTTCAGTGTCCCATCTGACCTTCTGACCTCCCCAATACTTTCCATAAATGGAACTAGATGAGGAGGCTGCGCATAGCTTTTGCAGTTAATGTGGAATTTCAGGATGATAATTAGAGAGGCTGGGAATGCAAAACATTTCAAAACAAAAAAAAGTTAACAGATCTGAGATGTTCCTTGAAATGGTGTCAACACAATTTCTCCTTTTATTCACACTCTTCATGTGGCCAGGCACATTTCTAGGACTTTATACATGAGTGATCCACCCCTCTCACCCCACCCCACTCTTTCCAGGTGCCCAGATTATAGAGGACACAGGCACACCCCAAAATATCCTCAACGGTATTAAAACAGCCATTTCTGTAATCTGTCATTGGTAATCTGGGACTGAATTCTGTCCTGTGATGATTAGTTGAAGGGCTTTCCTATTAAACCATGTTGGTTGGCACTTTGGTCATTTAAATGTCTTACAAACAATTGAGAGTTTAAAACCTGGAGCATAAAAAAGTTTAACAGGATTTCCCTCCTAAGCTTCTGTGATGTTACTGCTTCAATTTGAGTCTAATTTAAGTCCCTATTTGGATTCTTCAAACCAAGGATGACACTTGATATGCAGGACCTGCAAGCTTCAATCTGTATTTCTCAAAGACAAATTCACTTGATGTTCAAATCATTTGTACGATGACAAGAAAATGGAGGGATTAAAACAATGCTAAGAGACTTCTGCTTGTTGCCATGAAAAATAGGGTCCAGAATTGTCCTCTCTTCCTGAACAACTGGAAAACCAGAAAAAATATACCAAATGATCATTTTCAGATGTTGGACAGCAGGGAGCACAGGATTGAGGTCCTTGAGAGAAGGGAAAACTGATTGAATTGACTCGGTGGGTGCATTTAGATAACATTTTCCCCTGGCTCAAGAAATATAAAAGGAGACGTCCTAGCTGTCTTCAAATTGCTGAGGAGGAATCAACGCTGTCCTGAGATTCAGGACCAGTGGGGTTGAAATGATAAGGAAGTTGACTTTCTTTCCAGGCCAGAAAGAGCTCAAATGGCCAAAATATAGTAAGTGTGGAGAACTCCTCCTAGGAGTGTTTAAATTATAGAAGGAGTTTTTGAAGGGGATAGAAGCCTGAGTTGGAGGACCTTGAAGGTCCCTAGCAACCAGAAGACGGTGCGAGCTCCTCTGAGGTTGGGAACTGTCAGGGAATGGAGTCAGGGAACAGTGTTCTGCTCTGAAAGCTCATAGCCCTGTGTACTGCAGAACGATTAGGAGCATGGGATTGGGATTCATGCAGATCTGAGTTCAAATCCTGCCATCTGGTAGTTGTTGCCCCATTGCCTACCTTCAATGTCCTGATCAACAAAATGGAGATACTAATACCTACTGCTTAGGTTTATTTCAACATTTAAATAAAAAAGATTTCATTCAGTTCATACGTAGTTATTTTTATAATTCCCATCTCATAATGGAAGTCAGTATTGCTGCGAAAACACCTTCCAAACTTTGTCCCCCCACTGAGCGCTCAAGGCAACGCTACAGCAGTGGTGATAAAAACTCTTTCTTTGCTATGTGCTCCACAGAACTTAACTTTCCTCTCCCAGGGCCGCAGGGACAGACTTACAGTCTGTTCCCTGCACACTCCAGAGGTGCCATCCACATAGATGCTGACATGAATGCTGCCCAGGGACGCTGCATTGTGGCAGCCTCATTCTTAACCTCAGAATCCTCAGTGGAAAAAAAGAAAGAAAACCTCTGCGAATCCAACTCCAGCTGGATCTTATGGTCCTCCTGTGCAGATATGAATACCAGGTCCTGGTTTTTAAGTACTGTGGACAGAATGACCTCTCTTTCTGTCCCAGGGGCCACTCTAGACCAAAACCCATCCACAGCGAAGTTGGTGCAGTGAGGGGAGATCACCCCATCCACCAAACCCCGAGGCATACCCCAAAGGCACAAGGGACCAGCTAACCTCTGCTTGGGTCTTCCCAGAGCAATTCTTGCTGGGCTGGGTTTGGTGGACTCTACCTTGAAATGGTTTAGGAAGTGCTAAACTCCTTCTTCACATCTTTACTGCCCCCGCCACACTCCCCCAAGGACTTTTTTCGTTTCTGAATTGGACCAAGCAGGAGTGCCTTCCCTCTGCAGCCATCCTTCCCTGACAACGCATACAACCAAAGCAGTCTCAGCGAAGAAAGCAACCAGGGTTCCCCGAGAGGACAGCCAAGTAACAAAGGCAGACAGGGACCCTCCTGACAAAATCTGTTACCTCCATGAATGTGGCTCGAAGCCCGAACACGTCCCCTTGCATCCCAAACATGCCACACCTCTTGCTGACTGCAGCTGGCCCAGGGACATCTGGAAAAGGAACAGAAAAGAGGGTGTTTTCCTTCCAAACATCTTGGACCGGAGATGCTTGACCTCTAAAAGACTTGGCGTGCTGGCAAAGGGACTGTGTGGGGTTCAAAGGGCTTGAGATCAATAAGCCATCACAAACTGTTTACCGGGAACTGAGAAGACCAAACAGGAACATGGAATGGGGCCAGAGGGTAGGCAATTGTGGAAGGGTGGGGCTCTTCCCAATAAGAATGCAATGGGGGTTCTTTCCCAGCCTCCAGTGCTGTTTCAAAACAGCAAGACTGGTTGGAAACGCCCTGCTGTGAGTGACCATCTATCTATTCCATCCCCCACCCTCACCCACTCTCACTTGTCACTGGAATGGAATCTTCAGTGAGTGTCTCCTCTCCCTCATTTATTTGTGATTTATTGATAGAGTGTGATTAAACCAAAGCTACAGGCACAAACAAATGTGCATTTTGCCAAATGTTTATAGCTTGAAGCATAACTTAAATATTTTGCTAAAACACTGAAAAATCACATGAGCACTTAAAATCTCCTTTGGAAGGAGAACAATGCATGAGACAGGTTTTATTACTTGCTACCAGCCAAAGGTACCAAAAGTGCATTTGCTGCTGCTGCTGAGGTGTTTAAACCCAAATGGCATCTTCAAACCAGAAGCGTCACCTGGGGCTTGCCAGAAATACAGACCCTTAGACCCGACTCCAGCCTGTTTGAATCAGAATCTGTACTTTAACAAAATTCCCAGGAGATCTGCATTACATTAACATTGGAGAAGAAGTGGGTTAGTAATATGGATCTGCTGGCTGAGAAACTTACCCAACTCTCCATTGGGGTTGGGGTGGGGACGACTTGGTACAGGGATGTACTTTATTATGATTTCACCTGAAGCAGGGCTCAATCAACTAGTAATGTAAAGGGATAAGCTTCTTATCCAACAAACATACCATTTATTTAGCATCTACTATGTACCAGACACAGGAATACAACATAAGACTCAGGTGTGCCCTAGTGGAACTCACTGTTAGCTAGGGGGATATGGAGAGAAAAACACATTCATCTCCTGCTCCTGTAAGGGGCAAGTCTGAGGTAAAGGAAGCTGCATGTTGTGTAGTAAAAGAGGCACGAATTTTGGAGTCTGAGAGACTTGGATTCCAAATCGAGCTTTTCAGTAACTTATTGGCTGCCTAGCCTTGGACATACTGAGCCTCAGTTTCCTTATCTGCCAAGTGGATACCGAGATAATATAGTAACGTGCAGGACCACATTAGGCACTAGACATGGTAACTGCTCTTATTTTGCCACAGATTTTAGAAGCACAGGGGAAAGTGTTAATAAATTCATATGGGAAATATGAGTTTATTAGAGCAGACTACTTCTTCTTAGAGGAGGTGACTTTGGATTTGGGCTGTGCAAGATGGACAGGCAGAAAAGGGAAAGGAGATGCCTAGCAGAAGGAAGAAAATGTGCAAGGTAAAAAAGGTATGAAAGGCATGATGAGTAGGGTATGCAATGTGAGCATGTCCTTTGGATGCTACTAGTCTACTCTCTTTGCATTTAAGAGGGAAAATACAAGCAGTGAAACTTGTGAAGCCATCCTCATTGCCAGTGGTAGAATTCAGACGTATGGAAAGAGACAGCTGTCCTTCACAATACTTCTCTTCAGCACCAAATCTTCTCACAATAATGCCTCACTCCATGCCTTCTATTTGGTGACTGCTGTGTACACCATGTCCCCACACACTTTGTCATTTTGTTCAATACATATTTACAGCTTCAGGGAGTGAGAGTCATGTTGCACATATGTGGAGTGTGGAGGGAAGCAGGTTTATATTTAGGCCTATTCAATGCTAGATTCATGTGAAAAGTGAAAATTAAGACAACACCCACTGCTAACTCATTCTCCTAAGCTGGGAGCTTTCTTTCACAGGTAGGACTTTGCTCCCTAAAGCCACTGGCATATAACCTTGCTCATTTCCACCTCCCCTTGACACCTTCAGTTCTCCTAGTTGAAATGCAGTGATCCTTACACACTTAATATTGGAGTCACTCAAAGTTTATTTTGGGAGATATACAACTTGTGAATAAGGCTTCATTGTTGGACCATTTCAGATATACTCAGAAGGCTGGAAACCGGAGAGGTAGGTGGAAGCATTTCCAAGTGGCAAAGCACCCTGCACACTTCAGCTTTATTGTTCTTCTAATGAGAGGCTGATTTAACCCTCATTCTACAAGGGGATTAGTTCTGATGCTTGGCTTGGAGAGTGGAGCTGCAATCTGTCTGCAAACTCGGGGTTTGATTTAGAATAGTGATGTAGGTAGCACAGCAGAGCAGAGCAGAGCACTCGCCGGTGATGCGGGGGTCTGGCCTTTGGGTGCCAACTCTGGCATTTATTAGCTGTGTAACTGGAGATGAGTCATTTCCTTGCCCAGCCTAAAGCATCTCTTCTGAAAAATAAGGAACTGGCTTGCACTGGGGTTGCCCACATTCTGTTCTGCAGGATCCTCACTTGGTGAGATGTTACGAAGTGGTTCCTGGTTGGGAGTGGGACAGAGAATTACCTGATCAAATACAAATGGCAGGCACTGGATGTGTAGAGGCTCCCGAGCCTTTAACAGGCCAGCCTACGTTAGAAGCAAGAAGTGAGGTAGAGAGCAAGCAACTGTTTCGGGTTTGGAGACCCAGGCTTTAGTCCCGGGTTTTAGTCTCAGTTTTTCCCCTTTCCTCCACTGTACTTGGGCAAGTAGGCTTGTTGAGTTCCATGACCTGCGTCATGGGGATAACAAGAATGCAACTTGCCTTGCAGGGTTACCAGGAGGTTAAACGGGATGCTGCCTGAAAAGGGCTTGGCACACACTTATTATGCACTGAGCGTTCTTTGTTGTTGTCATTAATTACATCTTGTGAAGAAAAGTTTGAGAGACCCTGAATTAGATATTCTCAACACATTTTTTTCTAGCTTCAAAATGCTAGGGGACTTCAGAGGAACTATTTTTTCTAAATACACACCCCCTATACTTTCTTATTCTCTACTTTTTTGACTTGTAAAAAGAGTTGCCTCTCTGACTAGGTTTTCCTACAAAATGTAAAAACAAAATAAGCTCACACATGTCCCATACTTAATGATTAACTCATTAAGTGAGGCCATCCCTAGCCCTTTGCCCTCGCGGTGCTCTGCTACCAATCACCTGAAGAGAATCGACGTTAAAATCTCAACAAGCACAAAGAAAGCCCATGCAGTCAGGCAAGTGAAGACACAGGCGACTGGCCTAGTTGGGCAAGAACGCTAAACTAAATGGAGGTTCAGGAAGCGAGAGTTGGCCCTGGTCTCCATCTGCTAGTGGGACAGTTTCCATGGCAACAGAAGTATGTGGGAGAGAAAAATAAATGGCCTTGCAAGGAAGAAATTGATTCAGGTCATCAGGCCACACTTGCAGCTAGTTTCCTGGCTGACTGTTTAATGCAATAAATAGTCATTTGTCCACTGCATGCCATTCATCCAGAAGCCAGACAGACCCCGCTATCTTCAACACAGAGAGAACGATCTTGTTTACTGAGGAGGGGAAAACATCAGTCAGCCACAGTCCCAAGTGAGATACTCTGGTTTATAAACAGTAGGTTTTTCTGATGTGGGCTCTGTCTCTTGAAAGACGGCACAGTGTCTCACAGTAGCTGAGAATAGAAGAGTTTAAAAGAAACCATCACTTAAAAAAAGGTTTCTTGGAATGCAGCATCTAATCTGTCCTTTCTCCCGAGAACAGAAAGAAATGTTTTGACGATTTTCCTTGGCTTGGGTTAGTAGGATGTGGTTCATTTGATATTATCGTGAAACTGAATGGTGGCAGGGACTTAAAAGGACTTAGATTAGACCAGGAGACCCCTGGGGATGCAAGGAGCAGGGGCAACTCTGGGACTCCTCTCTCAAGCATTTGCCTTCAGGTGAATCCCAAGGGAAGTCTTAGAGGGAAAAAAAATGTCACCAAGAACAATGTAGGGTTGAGAGGAAGAGGAATGTAAAAGAGAAAATGCAACTGGGAATTTAGGGATGAGCATGGGATTTGGAATTAGAAAATGGGGGTTCTCCTTCCAGCTCAGCTTCTTCCTCATGGAGTAACTCAATTGCCTCCTCTGAAAAATGAATTATCCCTGCCCTTTCTTTGTCTCAATAGGGCTGTTGTAAGCATCACGTAACATTAAAAGGCAGTAAATTGAAATAAGTATTTGCCATTGTTAAAAAAATAATTAGATGTGGTGGCTCATTCCTGTAATCCCAGCACTCTGGGAGGCTGAGGCAGGGGGATTGCTTGAGGCCAGGAGCTCAAGACCAGCCTGTGCAACATAGTGAGACCCCAATCCCTACAGGAAAACAACAACAAAAAAAAACTAGGTGTGGTAGTATGTGCCTGTAGTTCCAGCTTACTTGAGAGGCTGAGGCTGGAGGATCACTTGAACTCAGCAGTTTAAGGCTGCAGTGAGCTATGACCACGCCACTGCACTCCATCCTGTCCCCCCGGCCCCCTAGAAAAGTACTTAAAACTCAGACATAAGGCAGAAAGGTGAGTGGCACATCCTTTCAATGTCATATGGAGGCAATATGGCACTGGCTCTCCTCATCCCCATAGGATTATCTAGAGAAATTTACTTTGCTCAGCTCCAAGTCTTTCTGAAGTAACACGTTAACTTGCAGATCTTGGTCCAATAGAGACACAAACAATTTCTGTCCTTTCAAAAAAGATAACCCCAAATGTTATGGTTTACTGTTCTGGAAGACATTAACTAGTTTTGTAACTAACCCATCAATCTTGTCCTAACATTAAATTACTTATAAATACCTAACTCCTCAAGCGCTTTTTAAACTGGCCTAAATATCATACGGGTTCCCTCATTAATGGGTAGAACACAATCTTTGTTAAGTTTCACTTCATATTTGCACAACAATTGTGATTCTATCTTTTTGAAAGTGGTATCTTAGTACTATCACACGCCCTAATGATTACTCACAGGTTTCCTTTCTGAGGTGGTGCGTTCCAAATTGACACAAAATTCTATTCAATGCAGACGTGTCTTTTACAGGTTAAGTTCTATAAGCATACATGTTATTAAAGATTATTGGTCAACATGACTTGTTATTTAAAACAAACCCTTCCCTAGGGGTTCTGGGAGAGAAGCTGGAGTGAGATGGGTTGAGTGGAATAAAATTATCAGAAGGTCCAGGAAAGGACTGGAATTGTATTTAAAAATATGACCCTGAAACTACCCTACTGCCATGAATTTTACTCAGTGATTTTACTTAGTAATTCTCTTATTTAATAATATGACTTCCCACTGAAGTATAATTATTATCATCATTATTCCCAGTCAAAAGATGATGAATGACCTTGAGTCTGAGAGTGGAGAAGCAACTTGCCCATCCAGATGGTCTCCATTGGAGCTCCTTTGAAGGCAGTGGTGGTGGGGTATCCTAAATCTACCTTTTCCTATACTGGCCTTTAATCAAAAGTGTTTTATCTTTCCCAGTGATCATGATCATAGTTAACATTTATTGAGTACTTCCTATGTGCCAGGCACATGCCAAACATTTTCATGATATTTCATCTAAACTTCTTGACAACCTTATGAGATAATTTCATTAGCCTCATTTTCAGATAAGGAAACTGAGGCTCAGAGAGGTTAAGCTCTTCTTCAAGATTCAACAGCTAGTAACCTGTCCAAATTTGTCTCTATTTCCATATTATTTACTGTTTCCACCCAGATTCTCTTTCCAACCACCTGAGCCTCTTGCAGAACTAAATCCACGCAAACTCTGGGATTTTGCTTATGCTCATCTAAACCTCAGAGAACTTAAAACCTGCCGACTCTTTAGGGACCATCTTTAGTCCCATCTTTTCCATAATCAAAAGTAACAATAGTAGCTGTAACAAGTACTAGGATTTGTGGTTTTCCAGGCACTGTGTGAAGGCTGACCTTGTACAAATCTTACAACAACTCTACAAGGGAGGTATGTTGCAGTGGTTCTCAAGGTGTGGTCTCTAAGCAGCAGCACAGCAGCAGCGAACTTGTGAGCACTGCAAATTCTCAAGCCTCACCCCAGACCTATGAAATCAAACATTCTGCAGGTGGGGCCCAGACATCGCTGTTCAAGACCTCCAGGTGATTTTGATAAACAATTAAAGTTTGAGACCACTGATACATTGTTAGTGCCTCTAGGTTGCATATGAGTTAACTGAAGGGTAACTAACTGTCCTGGTTTGCACTAGACTGTTTGGTGCCTAGGATGTAGAACTTTTTAGTATGAAAACCAGAAAAGCCTGGAAAAATCCAGTATCTCTAGTTAAGTGGGGTTCAAAGGGGTCAAATTAAAGTGCTAGAGCTTAGATTTGGACACAGGTATCTGAATTCCAGATCCACATTTTAATTTAACCAATGCACTACAGTTCCATGCCAAAGAGCCTCTTCCAGATATTTTGGGGCCCTCACACGTTTTTCTCAACTCACACAAATGTAAAATTACAAATGGAATCAGTGCTAGGAAGGAGAAACAGTGTGTCATGAGATTGTCCTTTAGCAGGGGATTTTGCCTGTTCTGGGTGTGTGAGGAGGGGAGTGCTCCTTAAATTAAGTAAACACTCTGATTAGCACAAAATCACCTGGGATCTAGCTCAAATGCACACTCTGGTTCAGCAAGTCTGGGCAAGCCTGACATATAGTTCTACCTACCTCCCAGGAGAAACCATTTCTGCTGTCCCAGGGACCACGCTTTGAGTATCGAGGGGCTACAACAGTGGTTCCCTAACTTGTCTGCAACATTAAACTCTCCTGGGGATCTTTTAATGCTTCCAAAACTTGGGCTGCATTCCAGGCAAATTTTGCCACAATCTCTGGGGGTTGATTACAGGCATCAGTATTTCTGAAAGTTCCCAGGGGATGCCAATGTTCAGACAAGTTTGGGAATCATTTGGTCTCACCATTGTAACTTCAACCGTTCCAACTTGGACTTTTAGGCTCTCAGCTCATTGTCTTAATAATCTCCCTTCCTGGACCTTTGTGCACTGTTGTGAGGAATGTAAATTGGTACAGCCATTATGGAAAACAGTATGAGGTTCCTCAAAAAATTAAAAGTAGAACTTCCATACAATCCAGAAATCCCACATCTGGATATACATCCAAAGGAAATGAAATCAGTATCTCAAAGAGATAACTGCCTTCCCAAGTTCACTGCAGCGCTATTCACAATAGCCAAGATATGGAAACAACCTAAGTGTCTGTCAACAAATAAATGGAAAAAGAAAATGTGGCACATACACCCACGTACACACACACAAACACACACACACACAATGGAATAATATTCAGCCTCAAAAAGGAATAAGAATAATGCCATTCATGACAACATGGATGAACTCAAGGACATTATGCTACGTGAAATAAGTCAGGCACAGAAAGACAAATAATGATCTCATTTATATGTGGAATCTAAAATAGTCAAACTCATAGAAACACAGAAGAGAACTGTGGTTGCCAGAGGCTGAGGATTAAGAGAAATGGGAGGATGTTGGTCAAAGGGTACAAAGTTTCAATTAGGCAGGATGAGTAAGTTCTGGAGATCTAATGTAAAGCATCATGACTATAGTTAACAATACTGTATTCTATACTTGAAATTTGCTAACAGGGTAGATCTTAAGTATTCTCACCATGTAAAAAAATTAGTTTGATTAGTACACAATGTATATGAATATCAAAACATCAATTTGGGCTAGGCTCGGTGGCCCACGTCTATAATCTCAGCACTTTGGCAGGCCAAGGAGGGTGACTTGCTTGAGCCCAGGAGTTTGAGACCAGTCTGGGCAACATAGTGACACCTCATCTCTACAGAAAACTAAAAAATTAGCTGGGTATGGTGGTTCACTTCTGTGGTCCCAGCTACTCAGGAGGCTGAGGCGGGAGGATTGCTTGAGCCCAGGAGGTTGAGGTTGTAGTGACCTGTGATCGTGCCACTGCATCCAACCTGGATGACAGAGTGAAGCCCTGTCTCAACAACAACAACAACAGCAACATCACAAATCCATCAAGTTATACCTCTTAAAGACATACAATTTTTATTTGTCAGTTATACCTCAATAAGGCTGAAAAAAATTCCCTTTTCATAAGCAGCTTGTGGACCACCATTCCCTACAAGGAGAGTTTTTTACAGCAAGTCTGGCTTTTATTGTTGTCATTTCAGCATCAGCCCTGGCACAAGCCTGCCCCACAGGTTTTGGTGCCAAATGCAGTCATTCTCTTAACCAGACCGAAGGGAAACCACAACCCTTCCTCTTCCTCTAAATTTCACTGACTGGCTGACTCCTCTCTGGGGCACTCATGGATACTGAGACCCTCTGCCCTGCCTGAGGCGAGGGGTGGTCCCCAAACCCTCCCCAACTTCAGGTGGAAGCTTCGACTGAGGATTCCCACCAGATGAGGGGGCCCAACCTGGGAATGTGCAACACCCAAATGGTTGCAAGCTGCATGGGAAGTCTTTTTTTTTTTTTTTTTTTTCCTTAAGAAGTATGATTTTTCTGGGGAGTGCCCTGGCCAGGAAGGCTTTTTTCACTTTCCCACTTAAGAATCCTGGGGCCTATACCTACTATGTACCCACAAAAATTAAAAGTTTAAAAAAAAGGAAGACTGGGGTCTTGACAAGGGTCTGGACTTCTTCCATTGTTTGAAGCTCCCAAGAATTGAAGCAAGGAATTGCCAAAACAGGGTTACACAATCTTAACAGAGTAATGGAATCAACATACTTACCAATACGATAACTGCCTGTCCATAACTTAAAGTCTACATTTGTTGCCCTTCCTGAAAGTAAATCCTCTGCCTGACCTCTCCTCCTGAGACAGGTCCTGTGTGTCACCAGAGGAGGATGCCAGGGGGTTGGAAAGCCAGGGATGCTGAGGGAAGGTGAACAATGACTCTTTCCAGTCTATTTGCTCTTAAACATCAGGGTGACTTTTTGCATCCTATTCCACAATCTATATTTTTCCTGTTGTAATGTAAAACAAATGTTCCCCATCTTGCTCCCTCCAATCTTAAAGCAGAACCGCTGCTCCATGTTTATCCTTTGGCTTCTTGCTCACTCACCTCCCCAAGCTTTGGGAAGCCCCCACGCTAGGGCTTCAGGCTGTGGCCAAGAGAATCCTGTCTTCCCAAGTATGATATGAAAGAGTGAGACTTGCAGCCCACTTTTATGGCAGAAATCAACCAAAAAAATGACTTGGATAAAGTGCATCCTAAAACACAGTGAGTCTCACACAGACAGCAACAAAGACCTCGTTTACATTGGGGTCATATGACAGATGCTCTTCAGGGAGCTGTGTGTGCTTGTGCATGTGTGTGCATGTGTATGTGTGAGAGTGTGTATGTGTGTTCAAATCTACCATTTCTACTCCAGGGTTGCTCCTTGGGCATTCCTATTCCTCTGTCTGGACAAGCACAAATGTGAAGAAATCCCTTTAATTTAGAGACTCTTTTCCTGAATTGTGTAATGAAGATAAAAATGCACAGACTAAACAAATTGAGATGAGCCCTACTGATCTAGTACTTAGAATTCTATGGATGGAAACTTTTGTTTAGTTTTGTTTTGCTTTTAAAGATCAATACTATTTAAAGCAACAGAATGAGAACACAATTGGTGGATAATGTGCTGATGGCAGAAGTGCCTGAATCGGCAGCCCTTCAGGGTAAAGATTCCATGATTTTTCCTATTACATGGTTTGTGTGTGTTAAATTTATCCCGTGGACTGGTTGTAGTTGGAAGAGTCAGATGGATTTATCTCGTGATGTCAGGAGTTTCTGGTGTCCCAAATAAAATTTTAAGCAAATGCTGAATGAAAGAATAGTTTTTACTCTCTATGACAAATGATATATTCCCTTTAATTTTTAATTTTTAAAAATTAATTAAATTGTTCAATCATTCCTTTTTTTCTTTCCTCTCTCAGGATTAGTTTTTCCAGGTTCAACTCAAGGGAGAATTTAGGTTTGGGGCCAAATATACCATGTTCTCCTTAATGTTCCTCTCTCTGGACATGTCATGTCTAATGGGTGAGATTAAGTTAAAATCAGGTTGGTCACAAAGGAGGAATAAATTCACAGAAGCCCAACCTGCCAAGGTGGAGCATGTGAGAGGCTGGAGTGAAGCATGGTAGTCCCAGACCCTTTGGGGAACTGATGGAAGGGAACTGTTGCTTCTGTGACTCCCACAGCAGCTGTCCCTGAAGTCTCTGTTCCAATCACCGTGTTCAGGCTCCTTGAGGAACACACCCCTGGGGCAGTTCTGGAAAAGGCCGGCCAATTCCTCCTATCAGCTCCGCAGGGCAGACTCTTGACTTTCCTAGACTAGTTACCCACTCTCCTCCCCGCTGCAGTCTCCAAGCCACCATGGATGCCCTTTCATGGAACACTGCTGAGCTTGTAATCACTTGTGTAGCTCTGCCTTCCCCTCCAGGGGAGGGGATGATTGGAGACCACCAAGGCTGACATCATCTGTGAACAAAAGGGGTTAATCTGGCTATAAAAACAGAGTAGAAAAGTAAATCCATATGTGGAAAGGGAAATACAAAATGAAAGCTTTCTCTGTTTAAGACCTTGCTCCTGCCTCCCCCCAACCCATCTCTGCTAGCCAAGCTTCACTGATTTGAGACTGGTTCCAGGAAAGCCAAAACACCCAGACCCTGGGCCATGAAAGAAGTAAGTGTATAGAAGCCTGTGCTTCCTTTTGAGGGGTTGGGTGATGGTGGTGGTTCTAAAACTGTACTCCACCTGAGAAGCTGACCCCACCATCTGCATCCATCTTGAAAAAAAACAAAAACCAAAACCAAAATGAAAAAACAACTCTCCTTCTGATTAAGAATCTATGATTGCAATCACAGTTCCCTCGGTCATCTGGTCTACCAACCGAATCTACCAGCACTGTCTACCTATCATCACAGTATCACTTGGCATAAGGGAGAAGACACCATGAGTGCTCTGCTAGCCAAGATAGGAGACTATCTGCCCCTTTTTCTTTTTCTTCTGTCTGCCTTTTGGATAATTTTACTCTTTTGTATTTTTAGCACTTCCATCAAAAATAGACAAAGAGGTGATAAGACTCAAATCAGCACATTTTTCAAGGGTTTGCAACTCTTGGAACAGCCTGATGTGAGGGACGTTTGGACAGAGGAGCTATAAGCAATTCTATAAAATCATTCGCAGGCTGGGCTCCTTCTCCCAGTTGGCATGGGCGACAGCCTTTGAGAAGGGGAAGCATGGAAAAAGTCACAGGATCTCTCTTTTATCTGTCAAAGGGGATGGAGTTGGGGTCACTTTGAAAAAGAGGAGTATGGAACGAGGCAAAAAGTTCCAAATTCTAAATTCAAAGATTCATTGCTGGGTGACTGGATCTGTGTGATGGCACATGGAACATCTAGGAATCTGGCAGTCCTGGCCCAGGACACGGGCTCCTTGTTGAACATTCTGTTGGCAGGGCGAACACGAAGATGACTGAGGGGGAAAGGAAACCAGCCTTTTTGGCTGCCAGCTTCTTGCTGACAGCTGATGTTTACATGTTGTTGTATCCAAAGCAGGCCCACAAATCTTACGTATAAGGGACCCCACTGGACTGAAGTGATAGGATTTTTAAGGCTGAACTAATATTTTCCTTTGACACCAGCTCCCTTTGAACTAGCTACAGACACTGCTCAGGCTAACGTGAATAGTGAATTGTACAAAGGCAGACTGAGAAAACAGCCAAGAAGCAAAACCATTTTCCGCTGTTTCAGAATTGTCCACGTTTCTAGAAAAGTCAGCCCGTTATTTGAGGGGCTACCTGCTTAATTCAGTCAGTGAGAGGATGGTCCTCTGATCTCCTTCCATTTGTGGACTTTTAATGAATCTTTTGAGATCACTCAGAGTCCCAAAGGGTGGGCATTGTTTTAATTGCCTATGAAAGGGATTCCTATAGGGCAAAAGTTGACCTGGCATTTCTTGCCAAACTAAATGCTTCCAGAGGCTCCAACACAATTGTTTTTTCTCTTGGAGTTGTCTTTTTCTTTCCCTAGATATGCCCTGTCAGCCTTTCGGAAAATGTAGTAAAGCCACCAGCATCACTATGAGCCACAAGTTATCCAAACTCCCTGGGAATCTTATTTAGTGATTTACCAAGTAGCTTGAGGGAAATCAAGATAGAAGAAAATAAGGTCCCTGTGGGGACCCCTTACTCCCCTCCCACCCTGCCTTTCCTAAATTAGAACAAGCTGTTGGTGTCCCCAGGCCTAGTGTCTTCAGGTTACACTTGGAAATTAAAATCTAATTGGTTTTGTGGTTCTTAGGTTTCTGCCCTTAACAGACTCCTTCTCAAGGATATATCTGTAAGCTTGAGGTCAGCAATACCTACTTATTATACCTCCCTAGTTTTATAAGATGCTCCTGATTTTAGCAGCCTGATGTCTTAAGAATGTCATCCTGTAGGAATGTCATTTGGTGTGTGTGTGTGTTTGTGCATGCATGTGTCTGAATTCCAAATTTGCAGTCCTACTGATCTTTCCAAGGATAACACACTTTTATTGGAGTTAATTTTGGAAATAGGGGAGACATAACACACCAAGTTGGTGGATTTTTAATCTTGCCTGTCTGAATCTTAGTATCTTAAAAGGAAATGTGTTGTATAAACGTACAGCACTATTATTAAAAGTCTTAAGGCTTTGCTTATGCAAATGCTTCCTGCTGGGAATCTCACACCTAAATTCCTGGGTTAACTATTATGACAATGGAAGCATTGACACACACACACACACACACTCTCTCTCACACACACACGTGTGTGCACATGGAAAAGGATTTCCTTCAACCAACATTGGAGTCTTGATGGTAAAATACCACTTGTGTTTTAGTGTAGTGCCTTCAGCAAGATGTTTTCCTGGTTTTAAACAAGCATCCTTCTTATAAAAGACTCCTTTTTCTTTTCTTTTCTTTTTTTTTTTTTGCTATCATATGTTTTTAAAACTAACACTAAATACACTTTTTGGTTCAGATGTTTTATCCTTTCCTTGATTTTCCCCCTGCATAATGATCTAATTGTACACACTATATATACTTGGATTCTGCATGTAAGAAAGTCATAGATCTTTAGGACTAAAAGGAACTTACAGAGTATTTAGGCCACATTTTTCTAAGCTCAGTTTTATGAAACAGAAACTAGTGAACGGTCCTTCACGTTGCAAATAATTCACTTTCAAGGTCTTGTTTTTAAAACTCATTTGCCACAATTCAGATGTAAAACAGAACTACAGAAGCCAAGTTACTTTCCAGAAAATTATCTCTTGAGTACATTCAGAATTATTCATTTAACCATATGTCCCAGGAAAGATGCCAAATTCCTGCATACTTCTGAGCCTGCCCACATACAGTTCCTTCTGTTTAGACCATTTCTCTCTTCCTTTACCTAACAAACTTCTATTTATCCCTCAGACACTCCTATCATATGGTCTTAGAAAACCCCGTACCTTGTATTTTGTAGTATCTACCATGATGGTAATTATTTAATTATGTATATAACTCCTCAATGTCATTGTTTCCTGCTAGACTGTAAGCTCCATGAGGGCAGGGTCACTTTATGTCTAGTTCATTGCTCTATTACCAGTGTCTAGAATAATGCCTTGCACATAGTGGCTCCTCAATAAACATTTATATAAAACACCTTCATCTATGCTTCACCCATGCCCTCATCTATGCTTCATCTATGCCATCATCTATGCTTCTTGGCACATCAAAAGCTAATATATGTTAGATATCCTGCATCTGAGGATGATGCCCAAAAGGGGAGTTAGAAGGAAAGAGAGGCACCCTGGTTTCCTCTGGTTTCCAGGATCCTAGCCTCCTCTGGTTACGCCAGCCCCTCTGACTACCCCTTTCTCTGCCTTCCTCAATAACTTTCTTCTCTCCCCAAGGTTCTCCCACTGGCTCTTCTCCTCTCTTCTTAGAATCTACTCATAGTTTCAACTATTCTCTCCAGCTCTCATCTTTATCTCCAGGAGTGTTTTCAGCTCCTGGAATCTCTTCATGGATAGACGGATGAGACTGCCAACTCGCTCTCTCCCTGCTTCTCCTATGTTTATGGTATCCTTGCCTGTCCAGCCACCCAGACCTGACATCTGAATCCCAGTCAACTGCTCAAGGCAAGGAGACTTGGAAAGAAATGCTGTCTTCTTGCTGCAGAACCCAGTTTTCCTCATCAAGTGGTCCGTTTCTAGTTTGTGTCATCCCTTGTGTGGTATACTCAGAAGGCAGGAGATGACCCTCTGATGGGACAGCCAGTTTCTTGACCTTCTGGAAGATGACTCACTAGAGAGAGAAAATCAGACTGCTCTAGAAAAACTCTGCTGCAGGCTTCTCCATGAAATAGAATACAGACAAGCACTGGGAAATCGTGAAAACTCAAGGCAATCAGTGAGTCAGTAAGCCTTGCAGCCTTTCCATGGCATTTCTGGTCTGGGCTCATTGCTTTGGAATATCCCTTGATCCACTCCTGCCCTTGAATGATTTGCTGACAAAGTGTTGGGGGAGCTCTGTGCATGTTGGAGCTTAGTGTTGAACCTGAGCCCTGGCTACATTTTTACTACCTGTGTGGACCCTGGCAAATAGTTTCTGTTCTCTGAACCTTGTTTTTTTTTTTCATCTTTAAAATGGATCATAATCCCTATGAGCTTCATGAGGTGGTTGTAGGAATCAAATATTTTAATGTACGTAAGATGCTTTGAAAACCAAGAATAATTAAGCATTATATGTTTATAAAACCTCATGTTCCTCCTTCATGAATTTTGTTCTCCATATACCATCTGTGTGATTATTGACTTTTCTTTAAACACATGTTTAAAAACATATTTCTTGAAAAAAATTATCTCTAAAGTGTATAAAAATTAGATGGTAACCACAACAAATGCAATAAATATGAGTCATTAAATTCTAGCTAGGTATGATTGCCTTTTAAAAGTTCTGAGCCTGGGAACTACTTGCCAATTGTTTAAAGTGAAGTTCAGCAAGTGTTTGGGATGATAAAGGCGTTTTAGCATCAGAAGGAGACTTCCTCCTTGATATAATCAGAAGAATGAAAGAACTGAAATGAGAGAAAGATGCTGACTAACATGGTTCAATGTTGTCAGTGCATGCCTGTGTATCAACTAAATTCATCTTTAGACCAACAAGTCCACGACCCAAACTTCTGGAACACTGAAAACATGTTAGATATAGGTTAGACATAGTACAGGTTGAGCATCCCTTTTCCAAAATGCTTAGGACCAGAAGTATTTCAGATTTTGAATACTTTTCAGTTTTGGAATATTTGCATATATGTAATACGATATCTTGGGGACAAGATCCAAGCCTTAACCTGAAATTGTTATGTTTCATATACACATTATACACACAACTTGGGGGGTAATTTTATACAATATTTTAAATAATTTTGGTGCATAAAACAAAGTGTATGTACATGAGGTCAGGTGTGGAATTTTCCACTCATGGCTTCATGTCAGCACTCAGGAAGTTTCAGATTTTAGAGCATTTCAGATTTTCATACAAGGGATCCTCCCACTGTACAGAAGGAAAAGGAAGAGCTATGGGTTGAATTGCCCACATTTCATTCACATTCACCATGACTAAGTATGTAACCATGGGACTTAATCCCTCTGGATCTTAGTTTACTCATCTGCAAAATGGGATGATTGTAAAATTCAGCAAAAAATGATGTAGCACAATGCCTGGCACCTGGCCTGTGCTTGGTAAGAGCACTCACTATGCCTCGTGCTAGAGTAAGGCCTCTATTTTATCTTCACACATCAAAGGTACGACATGGTTGAAATTTCTGGTGTTTTGGTTCTGAGGAGTAGAGGATGACTAATAACACTAAGGATAAAACTTGGGGCCATTTTTCTTACTAGCAAACTAAAGAGGAGAATTAAAGTGAATAATTGGATCATTCGGATTTTAAAAATATCAACCAACAAAGCAATTTCTCCCTGCAAAACTTTGAATAGACCTATCCACTCCTTCAAGAGTGTTGTGGTCAACATGGTGTCAAGGGCTTGGCTAAAATTATAAAGCACTGAGAGGTGCTGATATTAAGCATTTTTTTTTTAAAGGAGTGCCAACTCTAAGTTTTCAGGATAAGAAGAAATATGATGAATTCAAGGCCTTCTCAGGATTTCTTGCACTTCAAAGAGCATGTACTTGGCAATGATTCCGCCACTTTCCTGAGTTTGGTCAACGTGGCTGAGGAAAGGCAAAAGTCTTAAAATCCAGGCAGATGGAACTTTTCCACTGGCCCTATTTTGGTATAAATATTCATCAAGGACTAGAAACTTAAAGTAGATAGCTGTCTG
Source organism: Homo sapiens (assembly GCF_000001405.40). Classification (NCBI taxonomy): domain Eukaryota; kingdom Metazoa; phylum Chordata; class Mammalia; order Primates; family Hominidae; genus Homo; species Homo sapiens. The sequence goes on along the minus strand of NC_000003.12, from coordinate 8,516,347 downwards.
AGCTATGAGAGGTTTGCACTAAATTTCAGCCAGTTTTCGGTTGTCCCTCCGGCTCTTGTCTCTCAGGAGGGCCAAGCCTCCTGAGATGCAGCTGCTGTTGTTCCGTGATCCAGGCCAACCGCTTCCCCAGACCACGGAAATCACTAGAGTTTGTTCTCAAGAGATGTCCAGCCAGAAAGAGAGGGCCTCGAGGTTCAGATGAAGGTTCAAGTTAGTTGTTTGAAAAAGGGAAATGAATCAAGGCCTGGCTCGTCCACCATCCTAAAGCCCATCTTTTTGTAGACAAGCTTGAAGAAGGAGAATAAAACTTGAAAGCATAAAAAAATTCAGGGTCTGGTTTGGTGCGCTGGCTTCCCCAATTTCTCTCACTTTCATTTCCTTTTCATCTTAAGATTCCTCCTAAATGCTACCACGAAGTCTCCTCCCCACTCCCCCCACCCACTCCTACTTTGCCAGTTCTGATCTTGGTGCAGAATGGGAAGGGGCCACACTGAGGGGTGCTTAAATAGGTTAATGGTCTCCCCTCCTCTATTCCACAGCTGTTTTGTTTTTGTATCCCCCGCTCTTAGGGTCTCTTTCCTTCTTTCTAACCCCTCAGAATTCCTTGTCCCTGTCAGAAAGGAGAACAAAGCTGCTCTTACCTCTTTTGATGCCTTTCCGTCTCCTATTTCCCGATTCCATCCCACTCCCTTTTCTATCCATTATTATCACTGAGCCCATAACATGTGCCAGGGTTCCAGGGCACACCCAAAGGGGAAGACGGAATGGTCTCTGTTCTCAAGGAGCATAACATGGAGAATTTCAGCATAAACAGGATATGATGGTACAGGAGTTAAGCAGGCAAGACAGCCACTGTAGATGCTTCAGGGCCATTCAGAAAAGTAAACGTGCATTCAGCAGGAGAGTAAGTCCACACGAGGACTTCACAGGACAGAGAACTTAGTCAGAACTGATGGTTTTATGGAGGAGGGCACTGAGGAAGGGGTGGGATTTGGGGCCGTGGAGGAGGAAACCCTCTCAGCACGCCCACAAGGAAGAAAAGTATGTTCAGGGAATGAGTGACATTCTGGGGCAGCAGAATGTTGTAGTGGAAGATGTGGCTGAAAAGGGACCCATCACAAAGAAACCTGGATGCCAGGCTAAATTCAATGGCAAGATTTGAAAGGGTCCTGGTGGCAGCTCCTGGAGACAAAGTTCTCCCCTAACGTGACACCTCCAGGGGGCTGCAGCAGGAACTCACTTTCCATGCTTTGGCCTCACATTAATCTGCTGCCTGGATACATATCACTTTCCAACTGTTTATCAAATACTGCCTCTATTATTATCTAACAGTACTTCAAAGGAAAACTTACATGCGGTCGAAATGCACCAATCTCCAGTATTCGCTCGATTACTTTATATGTATATCCCATGTGATCACCATCTAGATAAACACGTAGAATATTTTCAGTGGCCCAGAAAGTTCCCTCAGGCCACTTTCTATTCAATAAACACCTCTTCTTATAAAGGTGGTTGCTATTCTGATTTCTATCACTGTTGATTAGTTTTGCCTGTTTTCGAACATGGTAAAAATGAAATTACACGGTGTGTATTCTTTTGTGTCTGGTTTCTTTTTCTGTCTAACATGTTTAAAATTACCCATGTTGTTACATATATTAGATTTTTTGTTACTAAGTAATATTCTGTTGTATAAATATAAAATGATTGGTTTATTCATTCTCCCGTTGATGGAGATTTGAATTATTTCCAGTTTGGGGCTATAATGAATAACATGGCTCCAAATATTTTTGCCCAAAATTTTTTTGTGAATATCTGTGATCCTTTCTTTTGGACATACACCTAGAAGTGTAATTGTTGGAATACAAAGTGGATATATATTTAACTTTTTAGATACTACCAGACAGCTTTCCACGGTGGCTGTATCATTTTATATTCTCCCTGGCAATGTCTGTGAGTTCCAGTTGCTCCACATCCTCTCCAGCACTCTGTCCTGTTGGTACTTAATTTTACCATTCTGCTGGGTATGTGACACTGTCTCATTGTGCGTTTGTTTTTCTGTAATGAATAATGATGTTGAACATGTTTTCTTATACTTTCAGCTATTTAGATATCTTCTTTTGTGACATGCTTATTCAAGTCTTCACCTGTTTTTTAAAAATTGGATTTTTAAATTGATTTGTAGAAGTTATTTATATATTCTGAATACAACCCAGATCTCTCTATGTATGTATGTATGTATGTATCTATCTATCAATCATCTATCTATATACACAAATATATATACACACACACACACACATAAATATTCAAAATGAAGGTCAAAGCATCTATTTCTTGGGTTTCTTCCCACCTTCAGGGAGACTTGGTGTCAGCTCTTAGCTGAGTGAGATGGCCAGCAGACATCCCCCAGGGTTTGTCTGGGGATCAGTATATATAAATACTGCAAATATTTTCTTTCTGTGGATTGCCTTTCACTTTCTTAGTGGTATCTTTTCATGAAAGCAAGTTCATTTTAATGGCCAGCCTTCATAGTTATTTATTGAGTACTGCCTCCAGAGGAAAAGACACAAGCATGCAAAATTTGATTACCCTGTTACTGTTTTAGCATTCCATATAGTAATAAGCGATGACAACTTTACAAATAATTTTTAAAAGTTTTTGATATTACCTCTATTTATCAATCATTTCTTCTTTGCCTCCTTAGCCTTCTTTGATTTTGTATACATCCCTCCCTTTTTTCTTTGAAAGTCATGTTCTACATGTATGCATGTAGAACAGTGCTGATTTTTCTTGAGTGTTTATGACATGGGTTTGGAGTTCTTCTCTTGGTGCTTTAAAGCTGCCTGGCACCTCTTTCTTGCCATGATTTCCCACATTAAAAATCCTCTTACAAGAAACAGGATAGCTGGTGGCACAGAAGGGCTTCCCCACCTGAGTGAGGACAGGAGAGGGAATTATCCTAGCCAGGTGGAGGAGCTGGCACAAGTAACAAGATGGATCCCCAGACAAACCCTGGGGGATGCGTGCTGGCCATCTCACTCAGCTAAGAACTGACACCAGGTCTCCCTGAAGGTAGGAAGAAACCCAAAATATAGATGCTCTGACCTTCATCCTGACCAATATGTAGGACTTAGTAGGTTAACTGGGACTGGGACTTCAGAAAAAAATGGCCATTACCTCCTTGAATCTGCCAAGGAAATAAAGAAAACCAATAAGGAGAAGTTACATACAGAGAAATTTTAGCTCAAAATAACAAAGAGCTTTCCAATAATCAGAGGAGTTAAAAAAATTAGACATCTTCAGGAGGTGTGAGTGTTCCTCAGTGGTATTCTGACAGCAACTAGCTGCCCAGCTCATCTTGTGTTTATGGGGAAGTGATTCTACACAACACAGTTTTTAAAAGTCTTTCTGAACTTGAAAGGCCATAGTACCTTGAATTCTAATCCTACCTCTCCCACTAACTAGCTCTGTGACCTCAAGCAAGTCATCTGGCTTTGCTGGGTCTGTTTCCTCATCTGTTAAAGAAGGCAGTTGACCTAGAGAATCCCTAAGCCTCTTCCTACCTCTTAAAAGTTAATTTTAATTGCTGAAATACACAGTACAAACATTATTCAAATAAATATAGGATGATTTCCCCTGTGATGGTCCCATTTCTGGGCTGGGCTCATGGAAATGTGGAAGGTGGGTGATGACAGCCATTTTAATTAGCTGGGAATCTCATTATAGGGTTGTATCTTCCCCATGGGCCATTGAGGTCTGTTGGCTGTGTAGGAGGACAGATTAGAGGAAACAAAGCTTTTCCATCAAACCTTGCCCTTTCTTCATGTCCTTGTAAACACAGGGATGATCACCATAATGTTATTTTTCAGATAATTGCCAGGGAATCATCTGGGATTTTATTTTTCTCTGTTTAATGTACCATGTACAACTGACAAAAATCAAGGACAATCATCCTAGCAGCACTGAGATATCCAAGCCATATGTGTTTCATTTCAGTGCATCGCCTGCTCTAGAATACAGCAAGAAGGAACTCACATTTTCAGACCAAGTCAGATATTTGAAGTAAGAACTGTGTGAAAGAAATTGTTTTGATGCAAGATTCCAGATCTTGTTAACCAAGGTCCCATATTTCAGAATGCTGGTTTGCTTCCTCACTTCCTAACATCAAAAAGTCTTACTTGAGATTTCTTTTCCTCTTGTTATTAAATGGCTTCAGAGTGAAGCTCAGGGTGCACACACATGCTGTGGTGTTCTGAACGGTGTTTTCATGTTCTGCTCACATGTGCCATGTGCTGGATCTCACGGACGTATATGTGTGTGCACATACGTGTGTGTTCCTTTCTTTCCATATATATTGCATATTTTTGGCTACCTTTTTTTCCTGCTGTCAAAACACAGACCTGTATCTTCCTGCAAAAATTCAAACTCAACTTGGGGGAGTTTGCTGGAACTCCATTGCAGGGCTTGGGAGAGCCTCAAGTCACCATCATGAGAAGTTTTCTATGTGCAGCCTGACAGGCCTTGCTATCCTGCCACCCCAGTGGGTTTTGCTTGAGAGGAAGAGGAACAGGTTCTCAGATAAGAAGATAAAAGATGTGCATTTGTGGCTGGATGAATACAGTGGAATGTATTTCTCCACAGTCCAAGATGGGTGATATTCCCCAAGTTGGAAATCAAATAGGATGGAGAATATGGGTGTCAGATTCAGAAGGCATAAAACTGGACTATGGCCTGATCCTAACAGCTCATTCATCCTTGTCTTTCAACACTCAGCTCAAATGTCCCCTCTTTGGGACGCCTTTCTTGACCTCCCCAGGTAAGATTAAGTATTTCCTCTTCTGATCTCTCTCAGTCCCACACATGTACCCCGATCAAGGTCTTTAGGCACTGCTATGATTCTTTGATGATTTGATTAGGCTATTCCTTTTCTGAGACCATCAGATTTTAAAATTCCTTTCCTTTTATTTCTTCATTTCCCACCTCAGTCCCTGGCATATAATATTTGTGTAATACAGGTTTAGACAAAATAAATTCTTAGAGTTGGCCAAATCAAAGGTGAGTTTAAAAAGTTTCAACAAAGTAATGTGTTTATTCTCTTTACCATTTCACCTTCATTAGGTCTTTTAATGGTGAGGATGCCTTGTGTTTAACACACATTCCTTATATGTCAAGTACTGTGCCAAGAACTTAGATGATTGTTGTGAGTACAATAACTTTTAGGCCCCTTTTATTGATGAAGAAACTAAGGCTCAGAACTAATATGACTTGTTCGAGGTAATAGGAAATGAGTGGCAGAGTTGGAATTTGAATTGAGTTTGTTTACTCCAAGAGCCTCAGACCTCAATCCACTACAGCTGTATGTGTGTGCATATATGTTTACCTATGCATAGATGTGTATATTTGTGTGTGTGTGGCGTGTAATGCTGCTAATGCCTCAGCTTGATGTGGAAAGAGTCTTTATATTTTTAGGTTCTTTGTCTATCTGACATGAGAATATCTCTTCTTAGGAAATGTCTTAAATGCATAAGATAAAAATACAAAGAAAACCAATATTACTGAGATAGTATCAATATATAAAAACAAATTTGTGACTTACTAACAGATGTGCCTTTACTAAGTTAATGAATATGATCTAGCAGTGGGTATAATTATGGCCATTTCAGAGCAGGGATGAGTATAAATTGTAGGATGAGGATCTATCTCAGCTGTAATGTGATATAAAAATACCTGCTTTCCATTGGTATCAAAGGCATAGGAGCTGCTAAACTTCTAGGGCGTTTGTCTTTATTCACAGTAGAAAGAAATGCTAAATTTCAGTTATAGGTTAGGGATAAAAAATGCAATACTTTTCCTAATTTAAGTTCCCTGACACCCTCAATTCTATCTACAGATCCTAGGTTAAAAGGCTGTCCTCTATTCACTAACAAGATTTCAAAACATCTCTCTCTTATACTTCCTCTAAAATAAGAAGCCCCCAGATGCTGACCTCTGCCCACATTAGTGTCAGATCCTCTTAACAAGGAGACTGGCTGGCCGAGCCAGGGTTGGGGTGGGGAGCACCCGTGTGCCGTGGTAGGAGGGGTGGCTCTCCTCCAGGATGAGGGCAGAGCTGGGATCTACTTTGCCTTCACCTCTTTCAGCCAGCAGATTGCACGGGTCAGTCACCTCGATGGTCAGCCTCATGAATCAGTACCTAGAAACGCCACTGAGTCATACAGCCCAAACAGATGCTCTCTTCTAAGGGCAGGTTTCTTATGAGGTCATTAGTCAGCCAAGAGCCCTTTCCCTATGCTCCTGCCCTTTGGTGTCCCTGACATCAGTACTGTGAAAAATACAACCCAAACATTCAGCTGCCTCTGAAAACATATGCTGAGCAAAGACAACTGGTCTACCACTGTATCGCTGTAGGAAGGCTGAGGGACCACTGGCTGCTGGTGGGACCTAAGAGCTGCCAATAGTCCCCCTTGCCTCAGCCTCCTTTTCACTCAGTGCCACTGGTGGTTTCTTCCCAAAGGCCCTATTTAAAATGTGACAACTGGGAGGACTACTACACTCATTCTACTGTTACACTGTAGGGATGACCAGAGTTGAGATGTGGCTCTGAAGGTGTGTGTCCTGGAAAATCTGAGGGTGGTTGGAAAAGGAAGGAGAGGTATGTGTGTGTGTTGGGGAGGGGAGAGGTCAAGGAACACAAAGACTCACAGAACACTGACATTATTTGGCCTGTCTCCTGCCTTATGAAAAATAAATTCTACCAGACTCAAGTTTACTTGGCAGGGATCAAAGCTTTCCTATTCATTGTCATGTATTCAGTACTTAGCACAGTGGCTGGCACATAACAGATGCTAAATAAATATTTGCTATATAAAGAAATGAGTGACTGTTGCCCTATCTTATAAGCAAGACATTGGAGGGAAAGACTGGTAATGGAGCAGGGGAGGGCTGCTATGGAAAGGGTAGCGACCAAACACCCAAGACGAATTGTGGCTATTCTCATGATTTTGCAATGTGATGTGGCCTGAGTATATTTATGGCTAGGTCCAAGTTTAACTACAAAGAGAAGGTCCTGCAGTCTGAGAGCTTAGAAGCCCCATGTGATGTAGGTAAACTGAATTTGGTCTTCCACATCCCAATACTTAATAACCTATGGGATTTTTGCATCATGCTGATGAGAGGGGGTATCCATAACAGCAGGAGGAAATGTTTATCAAGGGTATATTATGTATCCAGGCACTTTATGCACTTTACCTCATTAAACTATCGTTTAAATGTAGAACTACGGTGAGCTATCTTTCTCAAATGAGGAACCAGAGGTCCAGAGAGGATCAGTAACTTGGCGAAGTTTGCAGACCTGGCAAATTGAAGAGCTGCAGGTCACATCTAGATCTTTGTGCTTGCAAATGTTGTGTGTTTAACGGCTCCTCGAAGTGGCTTCTGGACCTTGTGGCCAAAGCTAAGTTCACAGCCAAAATGTCCACCTGAACTTCTGAGTTTCAAGGTATGAGGTTGACACAAAACTGGGATACTCTGGGGGTGGAAGTGACAGAATACAGCAGACACTCTTTTCTCCTTCATTCATAAAAGATGCTGTGAGTCAATGTATCTTGGTTGTGGCACCACTCATGTAAATGTAAGTTTGTAAATTTCAGATATGCCATTTCTTATGTAAAGTTCAGATGTGCCATTTTTTTCTTTGTAAATTTCAGATATGCCATTTCTCCCCCTGTCCCATTTGTGACATGAAGGGGTTGAATGAGCAGATAACAAGATTCTGCTCAGCTCTTTTAGACAATGGCTCATTAGCCTTTGTCTCCAGAGATAAATTTTACAAAGGATTCAATATTTTTTAAACAGGAGGAGGAGACAAAATCTATACACAAAGCATGTGGATTTGAAACAGCCACCTTGAGTTGGACACTGGCACTCCTTTGTCCTTCAATAGAGTTACTTGCCAAATGGAGCCTTTGTTTCTTCTCCCTTAGCAATTATATTTCCTTTTAAAGCATGTCCCGGTGGGGGCCCAGGCCATGTTTGGCTTGGTCATGATTTATATATTATTGGGTAGGCCATGGGTCAGGCTGACTAGACATGTAGAAATGCACATGTCAAGGCCAACCTTATCCCCAGGGCAGAGTTTCCTGAAAGCTCTGGGACAAGGTCTCTAGAATTATTTTTAGAGTATTAGGATAACATGTATTATTCTTTAAAAGGTCTCTCTACTAGTCTTCTGCCGGGAGATGTCCATTAGCCTTCTGGAAAACCAGGAGAAATCAAGAAAGTCTTTATTCTATACCCGAGAAATGGCTCTGATTTGGTGTAGGTGACAGTATACTCCTGGTGGTGACCAAGAGATATCAAAGAGATACAGGTGCCTAGCAACATTTTGCAAATGCTGGGAAGCTTCTGAACCAGACTATCAATGAGTTCAGTGGGCTGGAAGAAATTGATCTGTGTATGAAAGTCACAGTAATAATCATAGTCCCTCCTCACCAGATTTCTGCTTTCTACGAATGCCTTCTGTTTCTTGCAGAGTGAAAAGAACTGAAGTTTTGGAGTCAGAGAGGCCTGAGTTTGAGTTCTTAATCTGTCATTATGTGACCTTAGACAAGTCGTTTCAAACTCTTAGTCTTAACTTACTCATGTGTAAAAAAGGACACCAATATTTTTGCATGGTAGTCCTTGAAGCTAAAGAGCTAACACACAGGAAAATGTCAATCATCTCCGGACCCTTAGAGATGTCTTTCCTTCCTCTCTTTTGCCTAGCCCCAAACTTGCCTGTCCTAACAGAGAACAAGTCTGTTGGGAGGCAAGAATCCAAATAGATAATAAAAGTAAGAACAGACTCCTTTCTCTTTTCTGAGAAAAAAATGTAAAAGGGTTTGCTTCTCATACAGAAGAGCAGATATGAGACAAGGAGTTGATTTGGGAGTTTCACAAAGCACTACAATTGATTTGTCTCTTCTGTTTTTGTGAAAACACAATTTCTGCATCAAATATACAGGATTAGATACTAAATTTGTGTTTCAGCCACTAAAGGAGCCTTGGTGAACACAGGAGACTCAACTTCATATGTAACTCTTTCTATAAAAGTTTTATAGAGAGCATTTTCTAGAGCTTTTGCAGATCTATGCTATTGCTATATGTAAACATCCAACAATGGTTTGGGACACACCAATTGTTCCACGTGGATTTAAGGAAATGTTGTGCTCTTGAAGGAGTCCTGCAAAAGTGGCTGGTGGCCCTGCACCTGGTGAGACAGTAGCAGCTGCTGGCCAAATCCTCTTCCTGTTATCAAATGGTAGGGGATATGAGGATATTTCTAAACGAAGGCTCTTCAAGAGCAACAGCTGTCTCTTCATTTTGGATGTCCTGAAAAGCTGCTCCACAATTCCGCTTTCAGTGGAACGAAGTTTTAAGCCTATTTTGTCATAATCATTTGTTATTTGGGAGATGATCTGGTGTAAAGGAAAAGTCAGTGGGCTGGAGGCAGAAGGAACCCTGGTTCTCATCCAAATTCTGCCACTTCCTAGGAAAGGTGACCTATCCAAAGTCACCCAGTGAGTAAACGCCTGCAGTTATTATAATGACTCACGCCCCTGCCAGAAATCTGTTCTTAAAATAAAGATTTAAATGGTGTTGGATGAATGGTTGGGAGATAAGAGCTCTCAAGGTCTGTTACTTATCAAGGCAAATCTCCACTTTATGAGACACAAACTATTTTGAATGTGCAAGCTAAAAAGAGGACGATTTGCCTTCCTAAAGTCAAATTGAATACTTCTCCTGGAGCCCTGTCAGCTCTAGTGAGTTGCGAGAGGAACTATTCCCTTACTTCTCTACTCTTTACCTTTTCCTCTTGGGAAGTGGCCTGCGTAAGGGCGGAAGGAAAGACACACACAAAAGCCTGTGTGCAGCCCCTCCTTCCTGGTCCCCAGCCTTTGCTGAATTCAGCCTATTCTTTTTTCATCCTTGTCACCTTTGGTCAGTTAGCATGAAGAGAGGATCAAACCAAGCATCCTCAGAGGGGAATGCCAAAGTCATTTTTCCACTTTCCAACTCGTAGGAGTGTTGGTAAGCTCTGAGCAAATTCCTAGCCTTGGAGCTGAGATGCTTAGATTAAAGCCTGAAGATAATCTGATGAAGCTCTTTCCTGCCTCCCACTACCACAGTGGCAGATACATTGGTGAAAGTCAACTGTCAGCCCCCAACTCCGCATAGTCAGACACACCTGCAGCTTAGGACAAAAATCTGCAATTCACAAAGTAATGGTTTCAGCATCTGTTTTTAGAAAGCATGTAAAAGGGACTTGGATAATTTCTGTTTTTAAAAAACAAGGCTCTATTATGGCAAAAAAGTTGCTTATACACCTATGGGCATGTCTCCAATGTCTTGGCTATTAAGGTCTTTAAGTGACAGTTTAATATGTTTTTAAGATTGAGAGAGCCAACGACAATTCACGAGGAGCTGTGTTTACATTGGATCAGCTCACCCGGGTGATGTGCCAGTAGTTTGGCACACTGCAGGAAGTGGAGGTGAAAGCAGGAAGGGCTGAGTACAGAGGGAAGGCCTAGCCTGAAGGACAGGAAAGCCAAGAGGGATGTGATGTAGAGAAGCATGGAGAGAGACATCCAGGTGGACCTGGCAATGGACTTAGAAGTACCATCATTTAATGCCCCTTGGGCATTGTGTTGAGGGGTGAGAATTTCTAATTGGATCCCTCTGGAGCCAGCCCACTGGTGACTGCACAGTCAACTATGAACAGGTTCCTAGCTCTCTTTCTTCTAATCCCTTCTAAATTCCTACAGATGGTTCCTTGACAGTCAAGGGGTCTGTATTCTTGCAGAGCCTAATAGGCTTCAGTACATTTTCTCTGCAACTTCTGATAAGGAGCTTGATCCCTCTGGGCCTCAGTTTCCTTATCTAAAAAGTAAGGCACTCCAAGTCCCCTTCGAGGCCTAACATTATATAACTCCAAAGTGAAATGCTCAATAACTGGCAATCCATGTTCAGAAGGAAAGACTGTTCCATGTAAGCAGATTTTGCACCCGTTGGGTGAGAATGAAGGCAACAGCATTTGGTCATTGTCTTAGCTTGTCAAAGCTGAGCAATGGCTTAGGTTCAGCTGAATGAAAGTTAGGTGCTCTTCAGATGGGGCAGTTATAAATAAAAGTGTCCTCATTCACCAGAAAATTCCTTTCCGCATCCATGCACCCACTGAAATGTACCGCCACCACCAAGGACTGCCATGGCTAACTCTGAGTGCCCATATGCTGAGCCTTTTATGTACATCATCTCACTTAATTATCACAGCCATCTTGGGAGGTAGATGCTGTTACTGTTTCTTCAACTTTCAAATGAGGTGAGGATACTGACTCAAAGTTAATTAGCTTGCCCAAGAGCACACAGCTAGTAAGTGGGGGAGCTGGGACTTAAACCAGATCTGAAGCCAAAGCCTGCACTAATAACTTGCATCCTTAATAAACAAGAACAAATCCATAGTCGAGATTGGTTTCACCCAGAAAAATGGCATTTGGCCTTCAAGGCCCTTTGTTACCAAGAAATGTTGGCGATTTCACCATTCTCAGGGAACTGTCTGTGCTAGGAAACCTTCTCTTTCCTAATAGAAAAAAAAAGATGGTTCAAGAGCAGCCGGTGGAAGCATTTTACTTAGAAAGAAAGAGAGAAGTTAGGGAACTTGTAAGCTCTGCCACGATGTATGTATGTGGCCCCCAGTGAGTCTCTTTCCCCAGCCTGTCTGGGGTTGGTTAGATGACCTTTAAGTCTACTCCAGTTTTTAGATTTTATGTTCTTTGCTGAAGATCTTTTTATGACTTTCCAGTTGGTGGGGATTCCCGCCCCAGCCCCCTCGGGGGTAGGGAAGCGGAAACAGCCTGTATGCCATTTTAAACCATTTCTCATTTTGTAAATAGGCCCCTTGTAGCTCTAAGAGTCTATGAAATTGTTTCAAAATGTCTAAGTGCGATTATGCATCCTGAAGCCAAATGTTATAAACCTCCCCCACATACTGTTGCAGATTTAAAAAATAAATATGCAGTAAAAGCTTTTCAGCGTGTTGCTGATATCACGTAGTACTTAATCACTTCTGTGACATTCAGTTCAGCAAGGGGAGCTTCTCGGCTCTCCTCCCTCCCCTCCACATTTTGAGTTGAAGGCATTGGTTAACCTACAAAATGGTGATCTTCCTCCTGATTGTCGCAGTCCCAAGAGATAAAAAAAATCTGCCCTTTCATCTCTACCCACCACATTCTTTCTCTAAGCCTGTAATTGGATCTAAATGGAAAACAAACCCTTTGCAGGCCAAGGAAGTTGGCACTAGGGGGTGACAAGAAGGAGAACATGTTCCACCTCTAATCAGGATAATCACACTCCCCTATGCAAAGGAAAATAAAAACAAGGCTTCCTCCAAGTGGCAACACAGGACTGTGGTGAGGAGGAGGAGTCTCCATATACCTCATCTCACCTCATACAGTAACTATCAACCAGCTTATATTAAAAATACTCAGAATCATTTCACTTTCCAGAGGACAATGGAACTCTGCCACCTTTAGCCGTGAACTATTCTGTGTCTGAACTTGGGGAGGCAGTTCAGACACACAAATATCAATGCTACAAGTTAAAAAATAATGCATAAAATGAAGCCTATGCAAACAGTGTGGTCTTAGCTGGACAGATATTCTCATGAGTCACCCACAGGTTTTTGAGTCCTGCTGTGTGGCATGGTGTGCTATGTTCAAACAGGGATGAACAAGACAGGTTTGCCCTCAAGGAGTCCAGAAAAATGTATAGAGAAATAAGAGCATTGCATGCATAACTCACTACTAGGTAGCAATTAATAGGTATCTTCTAAGAGTCTAAAATGTTATGGTAATTTCTGTAGGAGGGGAAATGACTTGATTCTGCAAATAGCTTGGCAAATGCAGTGAGGCATGATACATTCCAGACAAATGCCCAGATTCAATGTGACTTGGTACCCACATTTAGAAGGATCCACTGGACTCTGTGACAGGGTCTGGGCAGGTGGTCTACAGAAGAGCACAGCTACAAATTAGACAGTGCATGCTGTGCCTCTGAGTGGCTGTTTGTGTCTTTAGTTTGATTCTCACGTCTTTTGTTTTTCCCCCTCTCATTCTACCCTGCAGGTTAATGGCAGATATTTAAGGAAGACTTTGCCCTTCAAGACTAAACCCTGTGAAATCAGAGTTTAACAATGACTGCTTTGGGAAATTAACTCACAGTGTCAGTATCCCTGCTACCACTGCCATGAGGGAGGTTAGGCCTATCCTCCCCACATCAGAGACAAGGAAACTGAGGCTCAGAAAAGTGACCTGGTGAATCATGTGCAGTTAAAAAGTGGCAGGGACTGAGTCTGGATGCCTAGGGCTTGCCTTACAGTCAGCTGCCTGTTAGAACCAACTCTCTGTGACCCCGGGCCTCAGTTTCCCGATCTGTAAAGCCTAGGTTGTCTCTCTGTTCCCTTCCCGTTCACATGTTCTCTAAGTCTCCAGCCTGTGCCTTCTCCCAGCTGCATTCAGGTAGGCAACAAGTGGTATTGGAGCTATAGGCACAGCCGCAGGCTCCTGTGCAGGAGTTTACCCATGACCTTCTGGGCTCCGGGCCAGCCCTTCTTGTAAGGGAAACGTGCAGACCCTGGGGACAGAAATCAGTTCCCTTATGCTGGAACTGCTGCCACTGCCAACATCACCAACTAAAGAAACTGCGTGCGTGTGTGTGTGTGTGTGTGTGTGTGTGTGTGTGTGTGTATTGGGGGAAACACACAAAACACTGGGATAATAGCAAAAGGGAGACTGTGAGTAAATATTACATGCTCTCAACCCTTACTTCAGCCACCTGAGGACAGGGAGTGAGGAAGCTAGGGGTTTTTCCTTTACAGACCATAAGATTTCATATATATATATTATATATTATATATATTTTATATATAATATATATTATATATATTTTATATAATATATATTATATATTTTATATATAATATATATTATATATAATATATATTTTATATATTATATATAATATATATTATATATATTTTATATATATATTTTATATACATTTTATATATATTGTATATATATGTAAAACCTTAATTAAACTTTAACTAGCATCACCAAAGACATAAGACCCTTTGCAAATATTTTACACAACATTGGGTTTGGGGTGTGTGTGCCTGTTAGCTCAAACATGTATTCCCAACTATTTGTTTTCCATGCAGTTTTGGAATTTAAAGAGTTCCCTTCTCATTACCTTTTGGGAAGTTTCCGCGAACAGATGGGAAGGGGAACAAGAAAAAGTAAGAATCTGGGTAAATACAAACAGCTTTCCACTCACCTTTTTAACTCCTGGGTTGAGGTCCTTAGCCACCTTTGCCATCCTCTTCTGGGGTGGGGGAACAGCGCCTGGCTTCTCAGGCAGAGGCGCGAGGGCGCGCAGCGGGGACAGCGGCGGCTGAATGGCCAAGTTCGCGGGCCTGGGAGGGAGCTCTGTGCGCAGCCAGGCGCAGCTGGGCCGCTTTAATTGGAGAGCGGGACTCCCTCTAAAACCTCGCCAGCCACTCCGCGCCGGCGCTCGCGCGAGGCCAGCCAATCCCAGCGCGAGGCTGTCCCCCTCCCTCAGGGAGGTCTCTGCACTGTGGCAGCGAGCGGAGCTGAGCGCCGGCTGCCCTGACGTCAGCATGGCCGCGGCCCCTGACTACCCAGCTCCCTTCTATCCCTCGAGCGGCAGGAATCCGTCCCCACGCCCTTTTCCTTTAAAGGGCAACGGGCCGAAGGTGGGGCGGGCGGCGCGGCTCCCGCGATCCATTCAGGTCAAAAGGGAGAGTGATCAAACAGGAGAGCCGAGGTATTTTTAGTGAGCTGGATCCAGAAATAAATGCTGAGCTGTGCTCCCCTTCCCACCCTTTCTGCCTGGTCGTAGGGGGCGCGGGGAGGGCTGAGGGAGGAGGTGTTTTGCAGGAGCTGGCTAACGTTTCCCAAACCTGGGCGAGTTCTCCAATATCCAGAGAGGAGAAAAGATTCCAGCGAGTTATGATTTTTTTAAACTTAACGTTCGTAAAGTATTAAACTGCTTTCTTATAACTTGCTTTAACATAAATCCTTCTTATTCCATGAGCAAGAAATCACTGTCCTGATCTTAGAGATGCTCCTGTGGACATACTGTCTTGTTGTATGCTCATATTATCTCAGATATTATTATTATTATGACTGTAAGACGATAGATGAGGAAATAATCAGAATAACTGGTCCACAGCTGAATTACTGAGCAAGGCTTTAACCTGAGAGACTGAGAGTAATAGAGAGAAAGCTCATGGGGGCGTGGCGGGGGGGGGGAGGGAGGCGGCGGGCACAGGATTGTAAACTATAAACTAGGAAGTTAGTAATTTTTAGATAAATGGGGTCATGCAGGCCTGGACAAACAAGATTCCATCTGAGTTCACAAATCCATGGAATGTGGAGTCCTTGCAACGCATAACATAACTACTCTTATAAGACAGAATTGGCCAGGTTCCTCTCTCTATGCCACGTTGTTTGCCTATAAAGCCACATCTCTCTGCTGAGCCGGTTCCACAGACTTGGATTCCAGAGGCATTTCCCCCCTGCCCTGACAGAGGATTAAACACAAGCCCTTTTTATCCTAGAGAGAATACTGCTGTCTCTGTTGTGAGGTGTTCGGCCTGTAACCCGTCTTTGCAGTGCCCCCTGCCAGAAAAACCAGGGTCCCGTGGGCTAAAATAAAACTCGGTTGCACAGAGACTGAAGAGTGGTCCCGAAGTACACCATTCGGGAGGGATTTGGTGAGAAGGGGAGGCTGCAGTTCCCACTGTGGGGCTGTCTCTTGCTGGAGGCTTTTTCCTCTTGAAAGCCTCCTCCAATTTAGTTCTTATCATCATCTCCAGTCATCCCAAATCTCAGCCAGGGATCCTGAATTGTGACTTTTTATTACATATTCCTGGAAAGGGCTTTTTGTGGCTTATCTTTTCCAAGATGAGGGATGACCTATTTCTTTTTTCACAGATTTCTGCTATAATTGATTTTTGCCTTGTTTGCTCCCAGCTATGTCCTCAAACACCTAGCATGTGGTATAGGCACAGTACACATTTGGCAAATGAATAGAGGTTGGGTTCTGGCTTTTATTTTTTTTATTGATACATCATGATTGTACATGTGGTATTTTGATATATGCTTACAATGTGTAATGATCAAATCAGGGTGTTTAGGATTTCCATCACCTTGAACATTTATAATTTCTTTGTACTGGGAACATGTCAAATCACTTTTAGCTTTTCTTTTTTTTTTTTTTTTTTTTTTGAGACAGAGTCTCGCGCTGTTGCCCAGGCTGGAATGCAGTGGCGCGATCTCGGCTCACTGTGACCTCTGCCTCCCAGGTTCAAGTGAGTCTCCCACCTCGGCTTCCCAAGAAGCTGGGACTACAGGCATGAGCCACCATACCTGGCTCATTTTTGTATTTTTAGTAGAGACAGAGTTTCACCATATTGGCCAGGCTGGTCTTGAACTCCTGACCTCAAGTGATCCTCCTACCTTGGCATCCCAAAGTGCTGGAATTACAGGAGTGAGCCACCGCACCTAGCCTCTTTTAGCTATTTTGAAGTATACAATTCACTGTTGTTGACTATAGTCACCCTACTGTGCTGTTGAATGCTAGACTTTTTCTTGCTATCAGACAGTGTTTGTTCGCATTAACCAACCTCTGTTCATCCCCTCACACCCCAGCCCACCATTTCCCAACCTCTGGTAACCTTCTTCTACTCTCTACCTCCATGCAGTAAGCAGGCAAAGTAAGAATAGGGAGAGATGGTGCAATGGCACACCTGGCCTGGTTTGTCCAAACTTCCAAGGTAGGCTGCATGTTAAACCAGTATGTAAATAAACAGTGGCCAACAGAAGCCTGGCCTGGGAGAGGAGGTTTCCACATGAATAGTCCTTTCAGTAGCAAATCCTAGGAACAATAGTGCTAAATCAGGATGTCATGCCAGAAGCCTTTATATTTTAGAGCTGTGGGAACAGAAGCCAGGAATATAACAAAGGCAAGCTTTATCCCTTTCAAACGAGGCAAAAGCCTGCCCAGTGAAGTCATTTCCCACTCCCTTCCCAGCCACCCTCCTTGCCCCATCTTGAAAAATCATTGTTCCATGAAATAATACTAATTTTATTAAGTTAACACTATTTATTAATAGCTCCAACCACAAGAGTCTCTCCCCCTCCTTATTTTTACCCTTGGCTCCAGGTACAATTAAGGAGGCAGATATTGCAGCTGTTTCTCAGAATTTCTCAGAACACGAGTGTCAGGAGCTGTTGCTTGGGGTGGCTCATTCCCTTCTTTCTGGAAAAAGACCTGCTGTAGGCAGAGAGGGGATCCCTGCTATCTGCTAGAAGTTGCTGTCTCCTCAGCTGAGGATTCTGACTTTGACACTTTAAACCTTACACTTGACCCTCTTGTTCCAGGGGACCTATATTCAGAGACTTAACCGGACACCTGGACAGACCATTACAACTTGGGACTTTTCAGGAGAATGAGGGAAATGTAGTTATTGCACCTGAGCCTCACTCCAGCTCTGAGGTCCTCTTCACTTCTCTTTGGAAGAAAATTGGATATCTTTTCCTAGTTGAAAGAGTAGAGATCTGATTTCTCCAAGGATCATCGCTTTTTGACACGGGATTATTAGAAGCATTCATTCATCTATCAAGGAGTTTTGGGATACTTGCCATAAGCCAAGCCCTCTGATAGGTGCTGGAAACATCAAGGTAAATAAAAGAGTTCTTCTCCTTGGAGAACATATTGGTCTAATAACTACTTCTGGGGCTCCCTGGTTGACAGAGCCCTAATCTTACTTGAACTCCAAGACAACTAGTCTCAGAGAAAACAGAAATCCCAAACAGTCCCAGGGCTGTATCAAAGGTCATACAGCTGGCAAGTGGCAGAGCTGAAATTTAAATTCAGAGTTTTTAACTTCAGATTGCACCCTTTCACCTATACTGCACTGCTTCCATAATGATTGCAGATGGTTGATTATAAGCAAAACAGGAAGCACTTGGATTAAGATGCTGCTGTTGTTGTCATCATTATCACTGGGCTTGTCCTAACTGGGATTTTTGACTCTGAGTCTCGTATTCTTTTTACCATTCATGAACAAATTAATTAAAGAAACAAATATTGAATTGGGAAATACTATGGATTAGGCCCTGAGCTGAGGATGCAACAGTGAATAAGACAGGAAATGTCCCTCCCCTCATATAGCTTCTATTCTAATGTGTGTAGGGGAGACAGGCATTAAACAAGTGGATAGATATTTAGATAAGGTAATTAAGGATGGCAGTGAGTGCCTAGGAGGAAATAAATGGAGAAATTCATTGGACACAGTCATTTTAGATTAGGGGGTCCAGGAAGGTCTGGCTGAGCAGGTGGTGTGTGAACTAAGCCCCAGTGAAGGAGAATGAGTCAGCTGTGAGTACAGTCCCCATGGAGAGAACATTCCAGGAGGATGGGGTCATGAGAGCAGAGACCCTGAGATGAGTGCGAGTGTGGCATGTCTGAGGGATCATGAGGTCAGTGTAGTGGGTCAGGGAGAATGGTATGAGGAGCCTCAGGTGAGGCATGCAGGAGCTGGCTCATGTGGGCCCCATAAACCATGCTAAGGAGTTTATGTTCTCTCCTGGAAATGGCAGGAGGTTAGACATCAGTGCTTTCCCACTGGAACACAATGCAGGCCATGTATGTAATTTAACAATTTCTAATAGTCATATTTAAAAAAAATCAAAAAGAAAAAGGTGAAATAGCTATTATATATTTTATTAAACTCAATATAACTAAAATGTCATTCCCACCTGTGATTAATATAAAAATTATTGCGATGGTTTACACTCTTTTTTATGTGTGTGCTTCATTTTGAAATCTGGTGTGTGTTTTACCCTTACAGCACATCTCTCTTCAGATTAGCCATGTCACAAATACTCAATAAGCACATCTGGCTGGTGGCTACCATCTAGCTACCATCAACCACATCTGGCTGGTGGCTACCATATTGAGCAGAGCAGTTATAGAGAGTCTTAAGCAGGGGAATGACAATGTCTGATTTACTGTGTTACTCACAGCAAGGACACCAAAAGTACTAATGGAAAGCTATCAGTAACTCGCAACGTCTCACTCTCAGGTGGAGAAGCTGAGCAATTAGAAGCTGGTAATTGATTGGTGCAGTGTGGTCTACTATGTGTTCTAAATACTGCATTGGGAGGCACAAGTGATTTTCTCAGAGTCACAAAGCTAGAAAGGGGCAGAACTAGAAAGACCTTGAACCCAGTTCTTTTGGTTTCATGCCAACACCTTCATAAATCCCCAATAATCATGGCTCACAATGATGTTTTCACTGTTACAATGTAGCAAGCAGGGCCCAAGTTATTTCAATGTGAAAACATGAATAATATGTTGTTTGTATCATTAAATAGTACACTAGTTAAATTAAATTATAACCAAATCCTATTTGGTTATTATTATTTTTTTACATATTGTATTCATTAAAAACAACTAACACTTAAGCATCGGTAGACAGAAATGGTCCATGGAACACAGTATATCTGAATTAACAATATAAATATACATGAACCTTCTACCTTAATTTGTATCAACTTGGACCAACAGTTGTACCATATATATGTGAATTACTCACAACTTAAGTTTTTTGGTTTCTTTCCTGTCATTTTCATGGTAACCTTCACTTTAAAATAACTATCTAATTTTTTCCAGGTTTTTGGATGACCTCTTAGAACCAGGAAGGTTTTTGCCTATAAGGCTAAAACATCTGGATCAAAACAGAACATGACTGTTTGACCCAAGCAGTGTCTTGCCATGCAGTCTTTGACAAGGGCAGTGGAAAACACAAGGAAAATGTGTTTCTATGTTACAAAATAACAATAGATCAGGACTCTGGAGCCCTGCATTTTGATCCTGGTTCTGCTAAAAATGTGGCTGACCATCATCTTGCAATTCAAATTTGTCATGATTTACTGGGGGTGAGTGATAAACTTGCCCTGCATATCAGTCACACATCCCACCTGATGGTGCAATGGGGCCGTTCCCTTCTTTGACAGATTAATAAGGGAGTGGAAGGCACACATGCCTTAGTCCTAGAAAATCTGCATGTTTAGCTCCATCGCAGGGGCAAGCTGGGTGATTTGAACAAGATACTTTGGAGTCTCTGGGAGATGGGGATAATGATCTTAATTTCCCCTGTCTTACACAGTGTATCCACTTGTTTGTCTCTGTCTGTAATAGGCAGAATTCTAAGATGACCTCTAAAGATCTGGGCCCTTGTATTATTCCCTCTCCATTAGTATGGGTGGTACCTTTAACTTGTTCTGAACCAATACAATACAGCCAAGGTGTTGGAATATCACTCCCAGAATACTGTTGTGTCTTATGCCAAAGGTGAAAGGATTTTTCAGATGTGATTAAGATCCCCAATAAGGTAATCAAAAGGGACCTTTTCCCAAGGGAGCCTGACCTAGATGGGTGAGCCCTCTAAAAGACAGTATAGAAGTGAGAGACAGGAGTCATATTTCCTTCTGTCCTGCTGACCTTGAAGAAGTAGCCACCATGAGTTCTACATCTGCAAGGAAATGAATCTGCCAACAACCACGTGAGCTTGGAAGAGGACCTGAGGCTCAGAGGAGACCTCATACCCAGCTGACACCTGGCTCAGACCCTATGAGCCCCTGAGCAGAGGACCTAGCTAAGCCAGGTCTGAACTCCCAACCCATGGAAACCATGAGAGAGGAAGAGTATTGTTTTAAGCTGTGAAATTAGTGGTATTGTTACACAGTATAGAAAACCAATGCACTATCTTCCCCATCACTCCTGGTTCTGTTTTAAAGATTTAATTCTCTTGGGGTAAAAAAGCTCGGTACCTATTTTTAAAAAGTGAAAGACTTCATTTAATTGATTCTTGAATCTTATACTTTCCTGGGGCACTAAGTACCATAAACTGAGTATCTCCTTTTTAAAGCAGCATTTTCTGTTATTCTAGCATCTAGGAGATGACTCTAGCTATGGTCCTGGAGGATTTAACCATATTATACATTTAATTTAACTAGTGTACTATTTAATGACACATTCAGCCTATCCATCTTCTCAGGGTGTGTGTGCATGTGGTCAAGCCTCTATCATTTTTGTTTCGGGCAGCAGAATTGGAGAAGCCCCCGTTCTGGGTAGCTGGAAGGAAGCGAACACATGCCTTTTATTTCCAATGTGCCATTAGTGCTTTATAAGTTTAATCCTTAAAACAACCCCAGGGGCAAGTGTGTTATTCCTACTTGCAGATGAGAAACTGAAGCTCCGCTAGGTTAAGTAAGCTGTTCCAGGCCTCATTGCTAGTTGGGATCCAAACTCACACTGGGATTGCTCAGAAGACCCCTGGTTTCAGGGTGAGGACATAGCCTGGACAAGGATGGAGAGACTGGACTCCCAGCCTTTGGGAACTATTCTGGATGTTTTCCATGTGCCCCTCAGATTCACTCTCTTCCCTCCTCCTCCAGCTCTGTGCCCAGGAAGTTCATCCTTGGACTGCACGCATGAACGAGTTTGCTGTCTTCCCATTGGATTCAGCCAGTCCGCGGTCCTGGTAGGAAATCAGGGGTGGGTGTATTTATTCTCCCACTGCCTCCCTGTTGGGCTGGGCAGGGTTTTGGAGGGGGTGGCATCCCCCCTACCTAAAGCCACAGCTCCCATTGGTCTGGTGACTGCTCTCTCCCTTGGCCTCTTCCAGCCTAGGGGTGGTCCCTGCTTTCCGCTATTGTGGGAACCAGTGGGGAGTCCTTGAATCATGCTTTCTCCCTTACAAATAAACCCTTCAGCTACCCCTTTGAGTATTTGCAGCCAGAACACTAACCCACGCTGACACAACCGTGAGTTTGAGAGATGATCCTAGGGCAGCCTTAGCCGGCTTGCTCAGATATAGACTGCCCGGTATGTTTCTTTTATATTATCTTTGTCTATTAGTATGTGGATTAATTAAAAGAATTGGAGGCTTGGAAATGAATTAGAATAGGAAGGCCAATTAGAGGTGTTGGGAGGACAAGATAAAAATTTAGCAGCCTTCTAGACTGGTCTGTTGGCTGCTCTTGAGTCATGAGGAGACTGACTGCTGAGTTCTTCCTCAGCCACTGACAGTGACTTTAGGCACTGAGTCCCTTGTGCCAGGGTCTCCTCATCTTTAAAAATGCGGGCTCTTCAAGTATGGGAACTGCCTTATTAAAGAAATACAAAGAACACAAGCGATGCCAACAGTCACCACCATCAGTATTTTCATGGGGTCATGGAAAATAGCACCAGGGCCTATCACTGGGCCACGAGGCAACAGGTGGGCAAACACTTCTCGTGAGTGGTTTCCTTCACTTTCTGTTTTGTACTTTTCCCTCAGCTAATCTAATCCTGGGCCATCAGACTTCTTATGCTCAGGAATGCCTATACATAAAAATGACTTGTAAGTTGGAGATGCAAGAAAAATATTGTCATTAAAATAATTATCAATAAAAATTGCCCCTAAAAAATAGGGCTTGCTGTGAGGAGCGGATCTGGGGCTGCCTGCAAAAGTATGGTTTGAGCCCTGATGGCCCTTCCATGGGGAAAGGGTTCCTGGACCAGGGGTACCAGTTGCATTAATCTCCTCTTGATTCTTTGGGGATTCGTTGTAAGTGGCGATAGTAGGGAACCTAGAGCAATTTGCTGAGCGGGACCCTCTTACTGAGCCGAATCTCTGTAATTTGCTGACTTTCGTAGAGTTTGCAGCAGGATATAGCAAAGTCCTTGTCATTATCTACGTGTCCCTCAGGGAATGAGGTGTCACTATGACTCACTGAGAAAGTGTGTTGAACAGGATTAAGGAGCAATACTGCAGTTCCAAGTTCTTAGTCTAAGAATCACTTTGATTCTTGGGGGAAAGGGAGAGTAGTGGCAGGGGTGAAGTAGCTTGGAGGGGGCTGGCTTGTGGATTTACATTGGCCTGTCAAAGAGGGAACTGTCAGCTTCAAGGGACACGCTCAGGATAATTGGTACCAGGTGCTATTTCTGAGCTACCACCAACATGATGTTGCCAGGCTCTATCCACACAAAATTTCACTGAATCCTCCTGACACTCTCCTGAGTCAGGCGATCTTATCTCCATTTTACAGAAGAGCAAACTGAGCCCTGGGGAAGTTAAGTAGTTTTTGCAAGGTCACATAGCTGGTTGCAGAGCCCGAAATTGAACTCACATGGGTCAGACTTCAAAGTTAACACTGAGAAAAAGTAAAAACCATAGCTAAAATACCAGCGACCACTTCTTGGGTGTCTACCGTGTGCCAAGCTGTGCTATGCTACAGGATCTGTGATAGAGATAAAAACCACTTCCTCTCCTCCCTACCCATCACTTAACACCTGTGGGCTAATTGTAGGTGACCCTCAATAACCTAATTATGTAGCCTATTTAGAATAACATTCCATTTTAGAATAACCTTGTACCCACCAGTAAATAGGGAAAATTGGGCATGTTCCCATCAGGGAATCTCTAATTAGTGAGCGGAGGAGGGAAGTCTTATAGCACCTGTGTTCTCCAGGAGACTTTAAGAGACAGAGAGGAGATAAAATCAGTATAATTAAAGCCTTAGCATTTTTCCCATTATCACATTTTCCATTCTGTTTGCCATGTTGGCATTTTAATTCTCCAAAGCCTTCTGGGAAACATAATGTTACCTGGTAACATTGCCCCATGGGATGTTGAAATCATGTCATTTTCTAGAAAAAAAAAAATGGTGCAGACGCTTCTGAATGTTACCTGTGTCTGAGCTCCTATCTGTGACCCTGCATCATTTGTGATTGGAATCAATTTCTGTAGCTTGGGCTCAAGGCCAAAATTAGAATCAATTGTGAAGAAGGGGATGTCTGCCTTGATCCATTTTCTTCCAGTTTCACGTCCTTCCTCAATGATGAGATTACCTGCCCGAGCCCCTCCCTCTGACCCAGTGTCCTAGCCGTTTGTGTCCCACTCTGTGCTGCAGCCTCATTATTCATCTGCTGCCCATCAAAGTTTACCTGTCCTGCCTACTGTCCTCTCAGTGCCCTGTCTCACCTTCCCCTCGCTGGGTTGGGCAGCATACTTCTGAGGAAAGAGTGAGGGTTTCCAAGTCAGGCATATCTCAGTTCGAACCCTAGCTCCACCACTCGTTAGCTATGTGGCCACAGGCAAATTGACTTCTCTCCCGGGCTGTTCTGGCTGTGAAATGGAAATGATGAGCCCGGCATCAAGAGGGAGGTACCCAGCTGAAGTGAGATGATGTGCATAGAGCACCCACCCATTGCCTGGCACAGAGCCACACCCATAGTTTCCTGCCTCTCCCAAGATTCCCTTCCCTTTTAATGTCCACCCAGTTCTTCCTTGTTTGTCATGAATAGAATTCATAATAACAGTTCCCCATATTGCTTCCTTCATCACCAGGGAGATGAAACTGTCATGTCAGACTGATTCTGCAAAGATTCTTTTACATGCATATCTGCAACAGGCAGTAGCTGCGTGCAGGCAAGGGGGATTAGTAAGCATCTTCCCAAAGCAAACAGAGGGGCTGGGAGCTGGACAGAGCCTCAAAGGTATCGTATCCCCTAACTTTGTAGCATCCCAACAGGGTGTGCTTCCCTCTGCTTGGATGCTTTCCATGGCAAGCAGCTCATTTCCCCCACCCCCACCCCCTTTTTTTTTTTAACCAGCCAGTTCCAAGGACTTTTGGACAGCTCTGATTGTTAGAACGTTCTTCTTTACCTTGGGCTGACATCTGCTTTCCTGGGGCTGTCACCCTTCTGTGCTTTTCCAGCCTCTGGAATCTATTTGAAGGGCTCTCCCTTTCCCACATGATGACAGCTAATCTATTAGAAAGCTAGGATCATGCGCATGAGAGGCCTTCTCCTCCTCTCCTCTCCGTATTTTAGGCACTATGGTACTCTGCTTAAGTTTGATTCCACCATTATATTCCACTTTGTGGGCAGTGGCCCTCCCCTCCTATCTCAGTAAGCTGGTATGACCTGTAAGGGGGTAGAAGCTCCTGCTTTGGAGTCAGACAAATTTGGTTCAAATCCCTGGTTGGCTACTTACCATGATCCTCAATCCACCTATTATAAAATGGAGGCAATACTACCAACCTCATAGTCCTGGCACACAGATTAAATAACCAGCGTGCAGCCTAGTGCCTGGCATGGAGAAGGTGTTTGATACTTGGTAGCTGTATAATTATTTGCCAATTGCCAGGTAGTTAGCTATCATGTTTGGTTCTCTGAGAAACTCTTCCCAGTGACATTTAAGATTTTGCTCAGGCGGTCAGGAGATGGAGACCATCCTGGCTAACACGGTGAAACCCCGTCTCTACTAAAAATACAAAAAATTAGCCAGGCGTGGTGGCGGGCGCCTGTAGTCCCAGCTACTCGGGAGGCTGAGGCAGGAGAATGGCGTGAACCCGGGGGGCGGAGCTTGCAGTGAGCCGAGATCGCGCCGCTGCACTCCAGCCTGGGCGACAGAGCGAGACTCCGTCTCAAAAAAAAAAAAAAAAAGAGATTTTGCCCAGGCTGCATTTGGGAGTCCATTCTTCGCTTGTGACAAAAAATGGCATTAAATAATTGTTCCACTTATCACAACCACAGATTTTTAGGAGGAAAATAGGATAGTCAGCATGTTGCTCAATGGCCATTTTAGTTTGTTCACACAAGGCAGGTAATAATTTAAAAACATAATTTGGATTTTCTGTGGCTAACCATGCACATCCCAAGAGGCCCCTTGGGAATGCAGCAGAATGTCCAGACAGCCACGGGCAGAATTCCAAAGCTTCTGAAAGATGAGTGTGTTCGTGGCTGATGAACAAGGTATGAAGACACCAAATCCCCCTGACAAAGTCCAGCAATGCCTTGCTGCTGATCAGTCTTTCTGGAAAGACTGGATGAGCTCACCCAGAAGAAAAGAGTGGGTGGGAGATTTCAGGAAAGATTCTTACTTATCAGAAATTAAGCTTTAAAAGTTTTGGGCCTTCCTGTTGATTCTCCTAGCTTTTCTCACAACCCAAGACACATGGTTTAGCAATGACGTCATCTGACATGGATAGTCACACTGAAGTCAGAAGCTGTCAAACAGATCCTGGATTATGACGGAGGGTGGAAGGGATGTACAATTTGAGGGCCATGTGAGTGTGAAGTGAGTAATGCTTTGCAGTAGGGTGTTCCTCCCTATCCCATCATTGATGGGTAGCAAACACAGAATTAAACTCTTCGATATATTCAGAAATAGTTATTATGTGTTCCTCTAAAGACCTTACTATTTCCTAGGTAAAATTTACAATTCTGTAGTCCTACCTCTTGTCATGCTAGCAAACTACTTTTATATACTCCAGTTGAATATAAATGGCCAATTTCTATCATTTAGTTTGTTCTTTTTTTCATTGAATCACTCAGTTATTCAATCTGTGGAGCAGTCTTTCAGGCATTTAACAAATAACAATTGCACATCTCTTTCTGTATCAAGAGTTCTGCTGGGCATGCAGCAATGTAAAAAGACACACAGGATTCACTCTCTTGGGGAAGACAGATGTTAAACAAACAATTACAACAAAAGGTAATGAATGGGAGCATTGTGACAGGAAAAGAATGGGCCTTGAGGCAAGAAAAATTGAGTCTGGCTGGCGCTTATAGTTCTCTATTACCAAAAGTATCAGATTCCAGTGGCTTAACTTCTAGGACATCTAAATAAATAACTCCAAACACTCCTCCATTAGAAAGAGTAAGAGCTAACATTTGTGGAGCTCTTGCCATGTGGGTAGACACTGAGCCAAGCCCTTTACAAAGATAGTCACACTTAATCCTCCCAATAATCCTAGAGTTAGGGCCTCTGAGTACTCCCATTTCACAGATGAGGAAGCTGAAGCTCAAAGTGATTAAGCAACTTGTCTGTGGTCATGCCGAGCCAGGTGGCAGAGATGGGAGTTGAACTCTGGTCTCTCTGAGCTCCTGGTAATAACCATGAATGCTTGTCCCCCATCACATGCCTAGGAACTGGAAAAGCTGTGACAAAAGGCTTCGAGAACTCAGGAACTTCCTAGTTTACTCCCAAAGAGCCAGTAATCCTGCAGTGAGGCTCACAGCCCTTGGGTACAAGAGGAAGAATTGGGGTGACCAGGTCAGAGGGCATCTTAGGGTGAACTATGCTCCTGAGTCCCAGAAAGCATGAGAAAGGTTTTTCGGGAAGTTACTTATAACAGTAGAAAGAACGTTAGGCAATCCAACCCAGAAATGAATCAATCTTAGATTCACGTGTGCATTTTGATTGTAGCTGGAATAATATAAACCAAATTAGAAAGCTTAATGTCCACATGACATCTTTATTTGGTTGTAAAGCAACGCATTACACACACTCTCTTTCCTTTACAATGATCCAAAAAATAAAGTGAGTCAGTCATTTTTTGCAAAAATAGGTCCTGCCTTTCAAAAGAAAATAAATTGTTTTCTCAAAGAACATAACCTTCTATTTTTTCCCACTCCTTATGTTCCCGTCCTCCGTTATGTACCTTCTGTCTAGATGTTAGATCATTTTGAACTAATTTGGAAATCTTCATGCTTAATTTAGAAGTGATTCATCTACAGATCGTGTAGTACCTAAGTTTGGCCAGTGATAGGGACAGTTGCTAAGGGGGGGTGTTGATACAGGCTTGCCAGTAAGTGACCCATCTTCTATCATCTAAGATGTCACTGACTTGCTGCAGTGACTCAGGTGGAGTCTTCATAACTGTGAGTATGCTGGGGAGCATCCTCAGAAGCTTCTCTTGGTGTCCCCCACATGGTTTAGGATGGCTCTATGCTCAAGGCATGGCTGACACAGTGCTGCATATTCTAATGAAGGTGTGAATGATTCATGTTTCCCTGCCAGTTCCATTTGGTCATTTTACAGTTTTTTTCAGGCTTCATCCATATATCTTCTCCTTCCCCCAAAGGACTCTTTTACCCAATATCTCAATTATCACTAAAGTGGACTCCTTCTCATCCAGACTCAAGAGAAATGAATCTCAGAATCCAACTGTATTAGTCCATTCTCACGCTGCTAATAAAGATATGCCTGAGACTGGGTAATTTATAAAGGAAAGAGGTTTAATGGACTCACAGTTCCACATGGCTGGGGAGGCCTCACAGTCATGGTGGAAGGCAAGGGAGGAGCAAAGTTATGTCTTACATGGCAGCAGGCAAGAGAGCATGTGCAGGGGAACTTACCTTTATAAAACCATCAGATCTCATGAGACTTATTTACTATCAAGAGAACAGCATAGGTAAGACCCACCCCCATGATTCAGTTACTTCCCACCAGGTCCTCCGAAGACATGTGGGAATTTTGGGAGCTATAATTAAGATGAGATTTGGGTGGGGACACAGCCAAACCATATCACCAACTAATCTGCTTACACCTCATATTGCTACAATTATTGCCTGTTCCTGAAAATGATTAGTACTACTCTACTTGTGTCATACTACAACTACCACCACCACCACTTCTATTACTACAGGTAAGAAATATTTTGGAACAATTATCAGGCTACAGGCACTGGGTTGAGTTCTTTACATGCTGTATCTTTTTTTTTTTTTTGAGACGGAGTCTCACTGTTGCCCAGGCTGGAGTGCAGTGGCACGATCTTGGTTAACTGCAAGCTCTGCCTCCCGGGTTCCAGCCATTCTCCTGCCTCAGCCTCCCAAGTTGCTGGGGCTACAGGTGCCCACCACCACACCTGGCTAATTTTTTGTATTTTTAGTAGAGACAGGGTTTCACCGTGTTAGCCAGGATGGTCTCGATCTCCTGACCTCGTGATTCACCTGCCTCGGCCTCCTAAAGTGCTGGGATTACAGGCGTGAGCCACTGCACCTGGCCTACATGCTGTATCTTAATCCATCTTCATACCAGTTTTATGTGGTAGGTACTCTTTGGATCCCTATTTTGATTAGAAACAAACCAAGGCTCACATAAGCAAAATAACTCACCTAAGCCCCACCAGTAGTAAATTGCAGAGGCATTATCTAAACCCAGCTTATCTCGCACTATGACACCATCACTTTCTACTTTCATGATTTTTCACGCCACCTCTTATCATCTGTACTGTTATTTACTTAACATAGAGTTCCTGGCATGCACCACACTTGCATGATTAGGTTGCAAAAGCAGACAAGTCGTTTTGAGCAGGCAGTCCTTTGAACCTACCGATACTTCCACTGCCGTCTGCATCATCCATCAAAGTAAATCCCATGAAGGAAAACAGAAATCTTAGCATTAACATGAACTTGGAAGTATGAGTTTGTCAAGCTCTTGGTCTCCTCTGTGGCAGATAATTTTCTTATAAATCTCCAGGCATGAGAGTCATTTTCTAAGCAGCTTTTCTTCTTGCTACATGATTTTTTTTTTCCTCTACTGCACTACAATTGTTTCTTCTAGCGAGGACCTTAGTTCTTTCCAGGAGTAGTTTGAGGGCATCTGTAAGATTTTGTGCAACTTTATTTCTCTAGATTGAACAACTCTAACCTCTGCCTAGAAGGACCTGGTGGTTTATTTGGAAACTGGAAATTATTTCATGGTTTCCAATTACAAGGGGCCTCTAGCGAGTGATGACTACCAGCATCACCCTCATGCCCAGGCAAGAGTGGCTCCAGTCCTGAGGACCACACTCTGGCCCTCATCTAGGCTACCCACTCCTTCTAGGCCGGGCTTTAAGTACCTTAGTCCCCACTCAGGGTCTTTGAAGGGTCTTAATCCCACTTCCAGAGCAGAGCACACCTCTTTCCTGGGTTTATTTGCTTCCAAGATGAACCTCATAACAATTTACCCCAGGCCCAAGCAATAACCAAGAGCTGGCTGTGTATGGGATATAGATGGAGTTTGGGCATATATGTGAGCAAGACGCCTGGAGGTGTGGAACAGACCTAGAAGTGGGAAGAGTAGGTGGAGACAGACCAGGATCCAGAGAGAAGTTCAAGAACTTGGAATTCAAATCTTAACTGCCAAATTGTTTCAAAAACATTTGTCATGGTAGGAGGAGAGAACATATTTTTATTCAACAGTGTGTTCGCTTGATTTACAACTCTTACATATTTAGACCTATGCTATGTGGGTCTCCACTTATACCCTTTGCCCTGAGTTCACCAAGTGGTAGGGCCAGGTAGCTACTACTAGGGCAACGAGCTGTCCTGGTTTATCTGGGACTAAGGGGTTTCTCCGGGATGCAGGATTTACAATCCTAACAGAGAAAGTCCCAGGCAAACCAGAATGAGTTGAATTGGTCACTCTAGATAACCCACTATCTATAATATAGTGGCTGATATTGATTTGTATAACTGTACAGAAGTTAGCATCTTTCTTTATGGGGCAAAAGAACCTCCTTATATTTATGTTTTCATCATAATAACCTATTAGAAATTCCATTTAATGATAGCTTTGCTCTCAGAGTCAGGAGGTAAGTAAAGGCCACTTAGCCATGGGCAGGCCTTCTGTCTCCAGAGCAGGATGAAGCAGTGGCTTTTGTAAAATTGCCCAAAGTCAACAATGAGCATTCATCAAGCACTAGAAGAAGCAGCCTCATCAAAATTCTTGCTGGAAGTCAAAATAGATTGGAATGCCAATCTATTGGACTTTCTCAGACTGCCTTGTTTGTACAAGAACAAGAAACCTGGAGATGGTTCCATGTGACATGATTTCCATTAGTATCCAGTTCAGATGGCTACAATTGTCTAAAGTGACTCCCTTCTAGAGAGCCCACAGATAACTAAGAACTGTGGCTATTTTGGGATATTTGGTAATTGAAAAAAAGAGGGGGTAAAAACATCTTTAACCAGAAAACTCTCTAGGTCAAATTGAAAAGCAGGCAAAGTTAGTCTCAAGCCGTGCTGCTCCTTCTAGTTTTGCCATTGTCTTTTCTGAGCTTGTGGGAATAAGCTATTCATTCACTCAGCACATTAGGCCAAGATTACATTCCAAGCAAAAGGAACTGCAAAAACAAAGGCTGTGGGGGTAGGAACATACTTGAAGACCTGAAAGTAGACCGGCGGGGTGGGCTGGGAGAGGAGAAAAGTGGAAGAAAATGGGGCCTGAGTGGTGGGTCAGGGCCATATCAGTAGGACATTATGGGCCACAGTAGACTTAGGATTTTATTGTGTGTAATGGAAAGGCAACGTGGCAGGCTAAATAATGGTTTCCGAAAGGTATCCAGATCCTAATCCCTGGGACGTGTAAATGTTATCTGATATTACAAAACCAGACTTTGCAGATGCGATTATGTTAAGGATCTTGAGATGGGAAGATTATCCAGGTGGGCTCTGAATGTAATCACAGGTGTTCCTATAAAAGGGAGGTGAGGGAGAGTCAACACAGACAGAAGAGGACAAAGCAATGTGAACATGGGACAGAGATTGGAGTGATACAACCACAAGCCAAGGAATGCTGGCAACTTCTAGAAGTTGGAAGTAGCAAAGAATGGATTCTCCCCTAGAGCCAGGAGCACAGTTGTGCTGACGTGTTCAT
Source organism: Homo sapiens (assembly GCF_000001405.40). Taxonomy (NCBI): domain Eukaryota; kingdom Metazoa; phylum Chordata; class Mammalia; order Primates; family Hominidae; genus Homo; species Homo sapiens. The sequence continues at coordinate 8,484,747 of NC_000003.12, read as the reverse complement.
TTTAGCCCAGTGATGTGGATTTTGGACTTCCAGCCTTCAGAAACAGGAGATAAGTTGTTTCTGTTGTTTTAAGCCATCAACTGTTTGTGGTAATTATTTGTTAAAGCAGCTGAAGGACATTGATACAGGCAGATCTTAGCCTCAGGCTGGGGTATGACATGGTCTGATTTATGTCTTCCAATGGGCACTTGGAGCTCTTTGTGGAGTAGAGACCAGAAAAGGCAGGAGTAGAGGTGGAGAGATCAGCTGGGAGGTTCTTGCAGGCATGCAGATGAGACAAGATGTGGCAGTGGATGTGTGGAGAGCTGGAACATCCAAGATATTCTTTGGAGGTAGACTGAAAATACTTGCTAATAAATTGCCACTAGGAAAAGCGGGCTCTGAAAAGTCATCAAAAACTTAATCTGAGTGTAAGTGTGTGTGTGTGTGTGTGTGTGTGTGTGTGTGTGTGTGTTTATTCAAGAAAAAAAAAGCTTGTAATTTTTAAAAAGAAGCACAGTTTAAGCCAGTGGTGGGGTTTTAGGCTCTGAACTCCTCCAGATATGGAGAGACATGCTCAGTGGGTGGCAGGTTGTGGAGTTTCATTAGAACACATTCTATTATGCTCCTTAGCTGACCACCTGTTCTGTGTATAAGCTGTTACAATGCCTTTTTTAGAAGTTGATACATTGCAGGTCAAATCATAATATTGCCCATGCCTGCTCACAGGGAATTTTTGTGACACTCCTGGGTATGGGAGGCCTATGAAGAACGTAGTTTAGATGCTGCAATGTTGACATTCTTAGGACATTTCGAAGGTTTCCTGGCCTGGTGACCAAACTTTAGTATGTGTCTAATTCATCTGGTGAACTTAGAAATTATGCAGATTTGAGAAATGTAGCTCCAGAGATTCTGATTCACTATGTTGGGACAGTGATTCTCAATTTTAAAATAATTACCTGGGAAACTTTTTAAAATGCAGGTTCTGGGTGGAGCCTGAGATTCTGCATTTCTGATGAGCTCCCAGGTGATGCTCATGCTGTTGGTCTCTGGACCACACCTGGAGGAGCAAGATTCCTAGGAATTGTTTTCAGAGCTGTAAGCCCCTGAGTGCCAAGGTTGAGGCTTCCTCCAGTGTGGATGTGATACTACATGTGTTTGAAAACAAAGGCAGCTCTGGACACATTGCCAAGCCCTTTTGTAGGATGGCCCAGCTGTGGTCTTGGTTCAGCAGATCGTTTTCCTCTCTAAACCAGTGACACTCTGCATTCCCTCCTGCTGAGCTCATACATGTCTCCTTGCCAAACCCAACAGAGGCTGGCTTCCCAGACTGGGTTACGAGGCTGAGGTTTGCCAGGCTCAGTCCTTCCACAAGTGCCACTCATGGGCTAGACGACTTCCTCAGCCCAGTGGTGTCTGTCTTGTTCAGGACCCCATGTGGGCTGCACACCACCATCAGCATGCTGTTTCTAACACACAGTCCTGGCCATGCTCCTCCCCTACTTCCAACCCTGCCTGGGCCCCCATTGCCCTCCAGAGAAGGTCCAAGTTCATTGGTCTACCCACCAACCTCTACTTCCATCTCCAGCCTTTACCATCTGCTACCACCATTAGTTACTTGTTTCATATATGCATTATGTCTTCTCTCCAGGCCAGAGGACTCACAATTGAATTCAGAAACCATCCTCACACTATGGGGAAAACTACATATGGTAAGGAGAGAGAGGAACAAGATTTGAGAGGCAGTGCAACCTAGTGGATAAGAGCACAGGCTTTCGCATCAAATCCCAGCATGGTCATACTTCAACTGTGTGACCTTGAACTGTCTCTGGGCCTTAGTTTTCTTATCTGCAAAATAGGGAAAAGAAAACATTTCATTTAGGGCAGTCGAAAGGATTTAATGAGGTCGTATATTTGAAAAACTTAACTTTGTACCAGGCATGTAATAAGCACTCACGTCAGCAATTGATGTCCATCCCTCTCTTTCCTCTCTCTTTTCCCTTCTTGTACTTCCCCTTTTTTCTTGCTCTACCCTCAGGATCTTGGGGCCTTCATAAAGGTACAAGTCTTGGGATTTTCTCTAAGTGAAAATTCCACAAGTGTGGGAAGCATTGGTCATATTCCAGAAACTGTTTTTGATAATTGGCCAATAGGAACTGTTTTGAGCTGTCCACTTAGCTACATTAGCAGGAGCACTTTAAAAGGAAATGAATGAAAATGTTCATTATTCTGGCCATTAATCCATACTTGGAGCAAACAGGAATCTCTAAGTCCAAACATTTCCCCTGTAAAGCTTTGTTTACCTTGGAGACCAACATCAACACAATTAGGTTTCAATATCAACAACATGGGAGGGTTGGAAGTCAGGAACAGCGGATGCCTTTTATAAATCCGGTGTCCAGGGCCACAGTTAACACCTTCCTTTCTAGACTGGGAAGGGTTGTTTTGCTGTAGGGGGTAGGGTGACATTTCAGAGTTGCTCCATTAGATGAAATAATCAGGCACTGACAATCGATTGCAGATGTCGTTGTCAGTAGCATTATGTGGGATACTCCTTGACTTGGTGCAGATAAAGTCCAAAGATGAGTGTTTGCTAAGGTCCAGCCACCTCCACTGCCAGCCATATGGGGTATAATTTGTCTGTGGGTCACACTAAGCAAGAGAAATGCAGGCTTCAGCTAGGGTCAATTCATCCACTCAACAACAAATATTTTCCAAGTACCTAGTATGTGTCAATCACTGTTCTAGAGCCTGGTGATGGAGCAATGAAGGGAACATAAAAATCCTTGTCTTCGTGGAGCCTACTTTCTAGTTAGGTACATATTTAAATTAAGCCTACAAAATATCTACTTACCTCAGCCTGAATTCAAAGACATAAATGATTCCAGGTCTTGGGATTTGGTGGGCGAAGCAACCTTAAGGATTGTTTATACTATTGATTCACTGTCTTTCTTAGGAACACACACTTCTTTGAGAATATTATAGAAGATGTGAATCCTCATTCAATCTATGCAAACTTTCACCTTCAGTTTCTGATAATTCATCCCCCTTACCTCCCCAAATTCAAGCCCTAGGTTAAAACCTTTGATCTGGTTCTAACATCTTGAGACTGTTTCTCAGCATCCTTGCAAATAAGGACTTACTGAAAGATAATGGATTTTTTTTTAAATGAGGAACTTGCTCCCTCTCCAGGCAGCTCATTTCATCCTAGAGCTCTGACTGTAGACTACCAATTTCTTTTTTGACACTGTTCCGTGTCTCTAAGCCTTGAGGTTGAGATCTGGTGCAAGTATGTCTGGCACCCTATTCACTGCGTTCCTGTTTGTCTTGAAGGTGCAGAGAGAAGTACCTCCCTCTATCACTGATATGGTTTGACTGTGTTCCCACCCAAATCTCATCTTGAATTGTAGTTCCCATAATCTCCACGTGTCATGGGAGGGACCTGGTGGGAGGTAATTGGATCATGGCACGGTGGTTATTCCTATGCTGTTCATGTGATAGTGAGTGAATTCTCAGAGATCTGATGGTTTTATAAAGAGCCTTCCCCTTTGCTTGGCTCTCATTCTCTCTCCTGCCACCTTGCAAAGATGTGCCTTCTGCCTGATTGTAAGTTTCCTGAGGCCTCCTAGCCATGCGGAACTGTGAGACAATTAAACCTCTTTTCTTTATAAATTACCCAGTCTCGGGTATTTCTTCAAAGCAATGTGAGAACAGACTAATACAATCACCCTCCCAGGTTTTGAGGCTATTATGGGCTTGGCTACTATTCTTTTCCCTGAAAAGGAAAGGCTTCAGTAACATTGTTTCTCCTGGTCGCTCTATAAAGATACTAGCCCAAGATAGGCCTCCTTAATCTCCTCCATCCTCTGTTTACCTTCTTATCTGAAAATATTACTGGATTTGCAGATTAGCCAAAGGAAACAGAGACATGTTTTTAAGGCTGGCAACTTGCTTTTTGAACCTGCAAGAATTCATATGGCTTAAATGACTTCTCTGTTCCTTGTGTTGCACAGGAGGAAAGAAAAAGAAAAAAAAAAACTCTAACTTATGGCCAGGTAGAAGAGCCGTGTCAACAAGGTACCCTCACTCTCTGTGGAAAGCCAGTTTTTCTTTTAACCTGAGGTCCAGACCAAGTGAAATGGTTCAAAAGGACAGGGCCAGAGATCAAACTGTGAGAGCTCCTTATGAAGCAAAGGATAGTGCGAGACATCCCAGTACCTTAAAGAGCTCGCTGTTCAAAACAAATCTGCTGAGATTTGGAAGTGAGTAGGTCTTATCTATCAGACAAGAGCTAGGCAATTTTTAAAAGCATGGGCCCCTCAAGAATGGAAAGGTTGTATTTATTCTTAAAATCAGTGAAGCCACAAGGCAGAGGGGGTTGGAGTGAAATGATTTTATTTTCTTTAGCCTACTTCAAGCTGTTTTTGAGCCACATATACACATAACAACCACCGCCCTATTACTGTGGGCCTGCTGTGTGCTGTGGAGTTCTGTAAGAGCTGGGCTGTTCATTCTGCATCCGCACAGCATCCTGACCAAGAAGGAATTGTCGTCACTGGTCCTCTGCTTCACAAAATTAAATTAAGGATTAATTAATTAAGGATTCTTGGTTTATACACATACTAAAAATTTCATATTTGAATCATGTAATGAATACTCATGACCTCAAATTTAAAACAAAATCTCAGACTTTGACAATAACTTACCTGTAAAGTGTAGGGCTCTTCCCTCATCTCATCCCTGCCCCCCCATCATACTATTGTCCTGAGTCTCATGTCCGTCACCCCCACCTTTCCTTTTTATATAACTTTATTTCACCTATACATACTCATAAATACATGTGTCTATTCCATTCTAGTTGTTTTAAAATTTATATAAAAGGTGATCACACTTTAGGTAATTTTAGGGACTTGTTGTCTTTACTTAATACATTGCTGAGACCCATCTGTGTTGTTGCATTTCTCTGTAGTTTATCCATTTCGACTCTTACTATGTTCTAAGTATCTGCCATATGCTCTTAAATATTCTACTGTGGGAATATCCCACAGTTTATTCATTCATTCTTCCTCGAATGGGCTTTTGTGTTATCACCAGACTGTTGCTCTTGTTAACAGTGTGGCCTTGAACATTCTTGTGTATCTTGATTTTCCAAAGTGGTTGCACCAATTTACATGCTTATGGAAATATATAGATTATAGTCAGTCCAATGTTTGGAATTGTCAGTTTTAAATTTTTTTCCAAACTAATGAACATTAAAAAAATTGTGGTATTGATTTGCATTTCCTTGATCATTAAAGATTTTGAACAACTCATATATATATATTTGGCTCTATGTTTCCTCTTTTGTGAATTATCTGTTCCTTTCTTTTGCCCACATTTTCCTATTACTTTAGTTGTGCTTTACTTAGTGATATGGTTTGGCTATGTCCCTGCCCAAATCTCATCTTGAATTCTAGCTCCTATAATCCCCATGTGTCATGCAAGGGACCTAGTGGAAGGTAATTGAATCACGGGGGCAGGTTTTTCTGTGCTGTTCTCATGATAATGAATAAGTCTCATGAGATCTGATGGTTTTATAAAGGAAGTTCCCCTGCACATGACCTCTTGCCTGCCACCATGTAAGACGCACCTTTGCTCTTCCTTTGCCTCCTGCCATGATAGTTAGGCCTCCCCAGCCATGTGGAATGTGAGTCCATTAAACCTCTTTCCTTTATAAATTACCCAGTCTTGAGTATGTCTTTATTAGCAGCATGAGAACAGACTAATACACTTAGTGACTTTTTTATAGGAGTTATTCATATGTTCTTGTTACTAATCCAAAAAGAGAATTAATAGCTATATTTTCTCAGTGGGGAAACTGAATGTCCTAGAGTTAAATGACTTGGTCATGATCATGTAGCCATACATGGAGGGCCAGCATTCCTCCCAGGCCTGTCTGATTTGGTGTATATCCTAAATACCTGGTCCATGCTATCTTCCTACTGAGACGTCTATGGACCCGCAATGCGAGGGCTGATGCTTTTCCCTGCCATAGCACCAATGGGCTGGAGAGCATTGAAATGGTCCCTACGTCTTTGGGCTTAGTTTCTTCATCTGTACATCTGTGCTGTATTTTCTCCCAGTAAATCTCAGAGCACCTGTCCCCAACTTTTTAACTCTTCTTGTCATTAGGTTTCAAAGTGGCTAGTGTGCTGGGGGAGGGAATGGTCCCCACCAGCCTCCAATCCATCTGGCCAGTCCACAGCATGGTCTCCACAGTCTTGGATAATTGGGTCTTGACTGGCAGCTCCAAGTATCTTACTTGATTTGGGGTTTGGGAGGCCTGGGGTGAACAAAGACAGTCCTATTAGGTTGGTGCAAAAGTAATTGCGTTTTAGTAATGGCAAAAACCACAATTACTTTTGCACCAACCTAATAGCTTCTTTAAAATTCTTCCTTGATTGTCAATTGCCATGATACTTGGCTATCATTTCCTGAATGCAGTGGTTTCCAGGGAGCCATTGATTAAGCATGGCAGAAGGGAAAATTAAGAATGCTCATCATGGCCGGGCGCGGTGGCTCACGCCTGTAATCCCAGCACTTTGGGAGGCCGAGGCGGGTGGATCATGAGGTCAGGAGATCGAGACCATCCTGGCTAACAAGGTGAAACCCCGTCTCTACTAAAAATACAAAAAATTAGCCGGGCGCGGTGGCGGGCGCCTGTAGTCCCAGCTACTCGGGAGGCTGAGGCAGGAGAATGGCGTGAACCCGGGAAGCGGAGCTTGCAGTGAGCCGAGATTGCGCCACTGCAGTCCGCAGTCCGGCCTGGGCGACAGAGCGAGACTCCGTCTCAAAAAAAAAAAAAAAAAAAAAAAAAGAATGCTCATCATGACGGCTCTCATTTTTTTGTTCATTCAACAAACATTTATTGAGCACCTACAATGCTTCAGGCACACTGGGCAGGTGGTGCTCGTAGATGTCAGATAGACTTGAGTTTAATGCCTTTTACTGGCTCTGGGGACCTTGACCAAGTTCCTTAACCTCTCTGAGCTTCAGTTTTCCCATTATTAAAATGGGGGCTAATATCCAGGTAGTACTTTTAAAATATGTCTGCAAATTCTTTCCTCCTATTAAGAAGTGACATCAGTGTCTCCTCCCTTTGTGGGGGGCCTTTGTGGCTGCTTCAAAGAACAGAATGGGATGAAGTGATGCTGCATGGCACCCAAGGCCAAGTTAGAAAAGGCCATGCAACTTTGCACTCTGGGGCCTTTAGCCATGGTGTAAGAAACCCAGGACTCTGAGGCTCTCAGGTGGAGACCCCATGTAAAAAGAAAACACAGAGGATGAAAGATGGACAAGAAGCTCCCGCTCTTCCAGCCCCAGTTGTGGAGACTTCCCAGCACAACATCTAGACACATGAGTGAATACACCATTGAGATGACCCTATCTCAGTCACCATCCAACTGCACCCACATGAGGGCCCTGAGCAGAAACTGCCCAGCTGAGCCCAGTCAACCTCCAGATTCATATGCAAAATAAACGATGGGAATTTTTAAGCCAATATTTTTATTTTAGGGTTTTGTTATACAACAATCAATCACCAGGACAATCCACTTTGCAGGGCTGAGGACAGGTTAGAAATGATGCACATAAAGCCCACAGCACAGTCTGAATTTGGAGGTGGGGACATACTTTCATATACTCTGTCCTTCAATTCCAGGGTGATCCCGGGAAGTAGGCACTGGCTACATTGTTCAGACTGGGTCATAACGAACTGCTTGCCTCATTATCTGTCCTGTCTGGTGGCAAGTCATTGAGAAATTATGTCTACCTGGTTATCTCCTGTCCCTAGGTCTAGGGCCTGGCATGTGGACATTACTCTGACAATCTAAATAATCAGATTAGAGGAATAAGTAGATACTGGACAGATAGTCTATTTATTATGCAATTGCAGAAATAGAAACCAGTTCTAACTCTGGCTTTACTCTTTGCTAGCCCTGAGAACTTGGGTTGTCAGATTTTCATGGTCTTAGCTTCCTTAACCACATATGGCAGTCGCTGTGTGGACTATGGGAATCCACTGATGAATAAGACAGGTAACATCCACTGATGAATAAGACAGGTAACATCCCTGTGGTTCTTCTGGAAGGGAGAGATATCTTGTAAACATGCAAATAAATCAATAAACAAGATAATTTCAAATAGAAGTAACAGCTCCAAAGACAAAGTAAGTGATGGAGGTGGAGGAGGCTCCTGGTGGACAGGATTTTCCTGATTCTAGTTCCATGTTTCTCGTTTTTTTTTTTTTTCTTGATTACTGCTTTCACTTTCTGCATATATTCTAATTTAGGTCATTATAAAATGAATAACTATGGGTTATAAATTTGAAACTAACTCATCCCAGAAACAAAGAGTCAAGGCCAGGCTGGGAGAGGACAGTGAGCAGGATAATCCTGTGTGTGCCTGGGCTTGTGTTTGAAGCCCCCTCAACTCATGTCAATCGTCTTGCAACTGCCATGCTTACAGTGTACAATGAGTCAGGCATAGAGCAGAGGTTAGAAAAACAGACTCAGGATCTTGATTTCTAGAGTTCAGATCCCAACTCTGTCCTTCTGTTTTCTTTAGTTAATCATGAACTCGTTGTGCCTCAATTTTTTCATCTGTAGAATGAGACAAATGATAAAAACTGTCTCATAAGTTTGATGAATGAATCAAGTGAATTAAAGGGCTTCTAACAGTTCCTGGCACATGGCAATGTTTCGTCGTCATCATCATCATCATCTCACATGCATTGTCTTTGAATCCCTGAAAAAATATTCTGTGGTAGGGACTGTTCTCATTCCCATATTATAGATGAGGAAATGGAGGCTCTTTTGTGATAAGCTCAGGGGGCCATGAGCTCACTGAAGACAGGGACTGAGCCTCTTTGGGTCACTGTTATAGTCCTGCAGCCAGGTCCAGTGCCTGTCACATAGACCATGGAATGGATGAGTGACGTGTTATTGACAATATTTGCTGGGAGCTAGATAATGAGCACACCCCTGCCCATCCACCCCAGAGGACTGGGAATGGAGACCACTGAAGAGAAAAAGTGAGAGGGGGCAGAAGAGAATATTTGTTCTTTTGGGTTGGAAGAGCTTGTCTTTTCCCAGATGGAAGATCTCTCTGATTTCTTTGTTAGACCTCCAAGAGCTTCTATGGAACAGATGAGTTGTTCTTGTGGATCCTTCATGACAAGAGAGATAACAGAGGTACAATGAAGTTGGGAGACTCCCTGGAATGAGGAGGGTGGGTCCCCACAGTGATTGACAGAGTTAGATGTGGAACCCAAAGCTTGCAAGATCAGGCCCATCTGAACATTGGAACACTCTGATGCAACATATGCTATTCTGGTCCTTGGGCCAAAAGAAAACACCTTGTTGGAGACTTGTTTCTGTGTTTAGGGCTGGTGGTGCTCCAGGATTTCTTTTTGTTGAACCAAATAATGTCTAGGAGCAAGGCCTGTTTCTCTCAACCAGAATTTGCTAACCACTGAAACGGCCGAAGACCACACATTTCATGAAATGTGACCTAGATCTCAACAGGGTTGAGCAAGTCAAGTCAGACAGGCCACACTGAATGGCTTGCACCTGGGATAGCCCTGCTAGTGGCCTTGAAGGGTGTGAGAGGCAGGATCATGGAGGATGATCTGAAAAAGGAGCATGGAGAAGATCTGAAGGGCAGTTGAGGGTGGCACAGGGCAGGCCAGGCAGGTGTGCATTTTCACCTGAGCTCTGCCACTGACCAGCCTTGTGGCCTTGGATTTGAGGGTGACTTAACCTTTCTGAACTTCTGTTTCCTCAACTGGAAAATGAGATAATCATAGTACTTTTTAAATTGTAATAAAATACACAGAGCATAAAACTTAGCATTTAACCATTTCTAGGAATACCATTTAGTGGCATTAAATACATTAACGTTGTTGTGCAACCATCATCACCATCCATCTCTACAACTTTTATATCTTGCCAGACTGAAACTCTGTACCCATTAAAAACCAATCCTTCATTCCCTCTCCCTGCTGCCCCTGGCAATAACCATTCTACCTTCTGTCTTTATGAATTTGGCTGTGCTAAGCACCTCATATAAGTGGAATCATACCATATATATCCTTTCGTGGCTGGCTTATTTCACTTAGCATAATGTCCTCAAGGTTCTTCCACATTATAGCATGTGGCAGAATTTCCTTTTTCCTAAGACTGCTAATATTGCATTGTGTGGACAGACCATATTGTGTTTCTCCATTCTTCTGGTGATGGGTACATGGATTGTTTTCACCATTTGGCTACTGTGAATAGTGCTGCTATGAACATGGGTGAATACTTTTTTAAAAATGGAAATATTGAGAGGATAAAATGAGAGAAGATACATAACAGTCTTTTGCAGTAGACTTTGGCACATAATAAGAGCTTGTAAGCAGTGGTGGTAATGAAGGTGGTGCTTGCTAAGAGGAGGGAATGTCAGTGTTAGAAGCCTGCGTGGGGACAATAGGTGGGAATATGAGGGGGTTATCTGGCTACACGCACACTTGAGGTTGTACAGATCAACAGAAACTCATATTCATTCAGTCAGCACTTTTGTTTAGGACTAGAGACTGAAGATATAGACTAATATTAGTAATAGCAACCATTTATATTGCACTTACTGTGTACCAGGCCCTGGTCAAAGTGTTTTAAATATATTAACATATTTAATGTCCACAAGAAGCTGGTAAGATAGATGGCGATTATAAGCCCCATTTTACGGATGAGGAAACTGAGTCACAGAGCTTAATTAACTCTTCCCATGCCACAAGCTGGTCAGTGTTTGAGCTAACATTTTAATCAAGGCCATCCAGCCCCACACTGCCACTAAAAAATAAGTGAAGCCAATTCTCTGTCTTTGGAGGTTTCATATGTCCTGAGACAGACAGATGTTCAGTGTAGTCTAGTGAAAAGCTTCTGGATGGAGTCACGCCAAGTGCTGATATTTACCTCCAGGAAGAGATTCTGGATTGAAAGGGAAAATTTACCTCAATTTCTATCTATTTTATTTTTTTGAGGCGGAGTCTCACTTTGTCACCCAGGCTGGAGTGCAGTGGCGCAATCATGGCTCACTGCAGCCTTGGCTCAAGCAATCCTTCTGTCTCACCTTCTTGAGTAGCTGGGACTACAGGTGTGCACCAGTATGCTAGGCTAATGTTTTGACTTTTTTATAGAGATGAGGTCTCACTATGTTGCTTAGGCTGGTGTTGAACTCCTGAGCTCAAGTGATCCTCCCACCTTGGCCTTCCCAGATGCTGGGATTACAGGCATGAGCCACTATGTGCAGCCTCACTTTCTATCTTATTCCTTCATGTATTGTAAGACCTTTTTTTTTCATTGAGTATTTCTTAATTTGTTAATATAGAAATCACCATATAGGCAGATATAAAATAAGGAAGTATGACATAGATGTCGACAAGCTGTGGGTTGAGTGCTGCGGGAGCCAGGAGAAGATGGCACTTTCCTCTGAGAGGAGGAGGTGAAAGAGGGTATTGCAGGGTGAGTAGGAGATCACTGGATGCAGTTGAGCAGGTAGATGATTCCAGGAAAAGGGTACACTTGGATAGAAGCAAGTAAGAAAAGTGTTGGCCCAGGGTGTGCGGCATAGAAGGCACTTGGTGAATATCACCTTCGCAGTTTAGTGCCCCAGAATATAGAGGGTGGCTGTCTAGGCCTCTCTTCTGGATTCTACTCATCAATATTATTTTAGCTAGGATTTTTCAGTTGCCATTGACAGACAACCAAATTCTGCATTTCTCAGGGTACAACCCTGGTCACACAGGGAAAGCTGAGGTCACTCCTGGCCATCTGGGGAAGGGTCTCACATGGGGGTCAGTGTCTCCGCAGCCCTCTCTCAGCTTCCTCCCAGGTAGAGCCCTTCTCACTGGCTCCCCTTCCCCAGCCCCTCCCTTTCCTCCAGGGGCAGAAAGGAGAGGAGAGCTGCTGTTCCTGGGAGCTCCCTCACAAGTCTCAGACTCCCTCTGAGTGGACCCTGCTGAGCAGCCAGCCCGTCCTTGAACTGATCACTGTGGCCAAGAAAATGGCATGTGCTGACTGCAGAACCCTGGCTTGTCTAGGGTTCCCTTGGGACTGGGAGTAGAGCTCCCTGCTCCCAAACCACATGGACCCAAGTGGGAGAGAGTCACTCCCCTCCAGGAAAATCAGGGGGATACTCCCAGAAGGAGAGAGGACAGATGCTAGGCAGGCACAACTAAAACAGAACTGAAAAAGCGGTTTAAAAAAATTTTTAAATGCTTTTATTTATTATGATATAAGCTCAAATTGGGAGCCCCTGATATGTCCACATGGAAACTCCTTGATGTCTCTCTGAGCTTATGGAGCATTGGGATTAACTAAGGGAGAATATGATAGAACGTGGCTCTTTCTGTTTTTGTTTTGTTTTGTTTTGTTTTCTTTTTTCCTATTTTTCTTTCTTATCTCCATTTTCGGATATTTTCAGGGCTGGGGAAACGTGACCCTTGGAATATATTTTTAATATTGTTTCTTATCCAAGCAGCAACTTACTTTTATAGATTGCTTATTCAAATCCATTGTTGTCATTGTTTTCATTCTTGGTGTTTCCAAAGGTAAGCTCCAAAGGCTGGGTCAGCACAGTTTTGCGAGAGGGTAGAGTTTGTTCTCTAAGTATTTTTAATGCTTCAAGGTTGCTGTGGATGCAGGTCACGTGTCTCTAAGAGGTCTGGGGTGTCTATAGCAGCTCTAAGAAAGCCATGATTTTTTTACAGCATTCCTTTTTTGACTTGTAACCACTTTTCAACTGGTGTGATGGGGCCATAGGTACCCACAACATAAGGAATGGGAACACAATTAGGGATTCAGGCTTGTGTTCATATCCTGGCTCTACCACTGTTTACCTGTGTGGTCTTAGACAAGTTATTTAACCTTTGTGAGCTTTACTTTCTTTCATCTATAAAATGTGGATGATGCTGGTATTCAGAAGACTAGATGAGACAACGCATGTAAACTTAGCACAGAGAAAAAGCAGATCCACTCCCTGCCCCCAAGGAACTAATAGTAAAATTTCTAATGATGAAATGGACAAGCCCCTGTAATGTATTATGGTAAGGGTGCAAACACCAGTTTCTAAGAAAGTCTAGATTCCAACCCTGGCTCTCAACTTAACAACTATGTGTGCTTCGAGCAAGTTGCTTTACTTCTGTTTTACTATTCTTATCTGTAAAATGGGCATAAGGACACAACCTCACAGAGTCAGAAGGAGAATTAACACAACTTATGTAAATCACTTGGCAGAATGCCTAGCACATAGCAAGTGCTCAACCAACAGCACTATCCTTCACCTCCCTTAATTTCTGAGAGGCTGGGGCCAGCCTGGATCCCTGAGCTGGGGGGAGAATAGATGACACTGACATGGCACAGACCAGCTAAATTAATTGGGGTTGGGAAGAGAGGCTATTTTACAAATATCTCAGGCACTGTTGCTTCAGTGCTGAAAAATGCCGAAATCTGTACATCTGGATACCCAGAAAGTACTTACTAAATTATTTCCCCTTTTGTCCTTGACTTATAGGACGAATACTCTGCTATGTCTATAACAAGCATTTTTCAACACGTAGGGAAGCCAAGTGCCTATGGTCAGGAGTGACCTCAGTCTTCCCCGCGTGGCCCGAGTTGTGTCGTGGATGGCTAGCGCGTAACCCACACTGCTTCTCTCGCTGTCTGCGTTCCCAGGCAGCTGAGTGGAAGCATGTGTGGCATTTCACTGCCGTGACCCCATCTAAGAAAGCACTTCAGGAGCAATTAATTGCAGTGTATGAATCTGGATGGGAGTGCTTGCCTTCAAGAGTGAATAATTCACTCAATACAAATAGTACCCAGCCACCTTCCACTGAGAGAATGCAGTTCTTCATCCTGGCACTGCTGCAACTCCTCTGGGCTTGCTAAGTAAAAGGCAAATCATGTGGCAGCCATGGTCAGAAGCCATGGTCAGAAGCAAGAGTAAATGAAGACAAGTCTGGCTGGAGCTGAGACACTTAAAAACTCCCTTTGGAGCCACCAGCAGCAGTGAGTGAGGGTGAAATATGACATGATGTTTGTTGCTATTCACTTTCTTTTTACTCTAACTTGTTGCCTTGTTTTTGTGCATTCATTCTTGTCTTTCCTTCCCATCCTGTTTCCCACTCCATCCTCATTGTCTTTCTTATTGTCTGACCCAAGAGTGACTCTCAGGGCAATGCTGATCACAGTTGGCTTCAGAGAAGTGAAAGCTCCCCATTCCCCCTAACTGATCCCCACTAAGATATATTACTCACTATCTCCAAGCAAAGGGCCTCAAAGTCTTCCTCTGCCATAAGTCACTAGGATTTCAGCAGTCCCATCTTGTAGGGGAAATAGATCACTTGCAAGGCTAGCACTGAAACTAGTGGATGCTCAATGTGCTGTGATCAGCTATTGCTAGGTAACAAAAACCCCAGAATCTTATGGTATACAACAATGAGTGTATGTTTTGCTTATATATCTGTGCATTGGCTTAGCTGTCTGGGTTGGCTCTAATCCACATGTGTTTATTCTGGGATCAGGCCGTGGGGGCAACATATCCCTGGTGGAGCCCATCTCATGGGGATGGCCAAGTAGAGGAGAGTAAGCTCAACTGCACAGCACATTTCAAGCCCTTGAATCACATCTGCTATCATCCTGTTGGCCGAAGCAAGTCACATGACCAAGCCCAAAGAGAAGGGCTTGGGCCATACATTCTGCCTTTGTGGAGGAACTGCATGGCTTCATGGCAAACAGTGGCAGATACAGGGAAGGGTAAATAACTGGGGCTGAAAATTCAATTTATGCCAACTGTTAACAGCTAAGCATGAATTACGTGGCTTAGTCCAGGGAAAGTAGGGATGGAAGGGCCTGGCAGATTGAACTCATAGGATTCCACGGGGGAAGGTGAGAAGAATATAGGCAAAACCCAGGTATCTCTAGATAGGGCAGCAATTTGGACACCTGGAGACAATGAGAGGGCACTAGATACCCAAGAGTAATAGCTATCAAACTCTAGCATGTATCAGAATCATGTGGAGGGCTTGTTAACAAAGATTGCTGGGCCCCACCTCCAGAATTTCTGATGCAGTAGATCTGGAGTATGGCGTAAGAATTTGTGCTTTTAACAAATTTCTTAGTAATGCTCATGCTGTTCATATAGGAACTACACTTTGAGAGCCACATCTCAAGGGAAATGATTACTACTGAAGACAAGCTTACATTAGTTGTGGTCTTACCTAAGCTTTGTCTAACTCTCACCTTTAACTTTATGCCAATCCTGGTCCAAGCCTTTTGCCTCTCTTGGTCACTTATCTCTCTTTTAACTCTGAGCCCCTCACTTACTTCCCTCAGAGAGCTCCTCCTTCTCCTGTTCTCTAGCACCTTGACCTGTGTTCCCCTTTTTGCTCCTGGACAGTGCTAGAATCCAAGGTGTGGCATGGGTATGCCCAACAGACAGACTGCTTATAACCCAGGCAACTGAGTCATAACCTCCAGGAGGAAAACACTCCATCTTTAGAACAAAGATGACGAGTAGACATGAAAATAATATCCTAGGATGTATATGGGTCCCCTGGCTCTATTCTCTGATGGGTATTTTTTTTTTTTTTGCATCTGTATTACATCTTTGTACTTTCACTTCAAAAATATGTTTGGTGCTTAGGGCAGCCATCATAAGACACTGATTTTAATGACTTGTGAAGAATGAAAATGGTTACTATGTGGCCATAACAAGTATGTCTTTAAGCTTACCCAGGAGTTTGGGAAATGGTTGAACCTAAAACCTAACCCACTCTCAGAATTCACCCCAGTACTAGCATTGTTCAGAATCATTGTATGACATCCATTGAGCCCCACTCAATCACTGGACTGAAGTGCCTGAGAGACCAAGGTTATGGGTGCCCAAGGATGCCCTTAAGTTCACGTCTGAGTCAAGTTAGTGGTCTGAAGATGTTTTTAGCTGATTCTCAGAGACAGACACAAAGAGAGAGATAAGGTAGCTACTACACTGGGATCTACCAGTGGCTCCTTTATTGCTAGGCACCCCCTTTACATTTAGTGCCCATGTTGTGCACAACAGACTTTTTTTCTTTCTTCATTTTCCCACGAACACTAAGGTCTCAACCCACCGTGTTCTCTTATTCTCTTCTCAGTAGCTACCACTATATACCCCATACTTTGAAGCTTTCTTTCCCTAAGGCTAGCTGGGAAGTGGAGCAAGTCTCCTGACTCTCTTTTCCTGCTGCCCCAGAAGAGAAGTACACAAGGACTTTTTGCCTAATTTAATGCCAACTTCCAGGGACAACACAACCATACTGGGCATTGTTAACATTCCTTGACTTTCTTTGAAATGATAAATCAACATATCATGCTCTTTATTTTCTTGATAGGGAAATATAGGTAAGGCTGTATAAATTCTAATTGCTTTTGTCTTGGCCTTAGTGCAGACATCTTTAGTGAGGGGACCTTCCTTTCTGTAAATGAATAAATGATTTAAATCTCCTCTGAATTAGTTTTATATTGCTGTGTAATAATATACCACATACTTAGTGGCTTAAAACAACACACATGTTTATTACCTCACTGTTTCTGTGGACTTGAAGTCTGGGCTCAACTTAGGTCATCATGGGAGTGAGATTTGCCATATTCACCTTTGTCACTGGTTAGAAGCAAGTCACAGGTCTTACCCACACTCAAGGGGAGGGAATTACACCAAGGAATGAATAGCAAGAGGGTCTATCTGTCACATCCTCTTTCCAATCTGAAGATTCAGTGCAGACAAAATGATAGGCACCTCTTAGTTCCCCAACTCACTTTGCTTTTCTGAGTATGTAGCACTCTGGTTGTATGTCACTTAGATCTGGAGACTTCTTACTCCATTCAGAGATGAAAGCACAGAACATATCCACAGTGATCCTACGACTTAGGAAAAGGACTCCAAGACTGTCAGACATTGGGTGGGTGTTATCCTTACTGCGTATTTTATTTTTATCACTCACTATTAGTTCATTTGACACACTGATTAAACACCTGTTGGGGCTGGGCACCTTTCAGAGACTGGAAAAACAGTTGTGATCATGACAAAGTCCCTGCTTTCATGGAATTTACATCCTAGCTAGGGGAGAGAGACAATGAACAACCAAATGAAGATGTGTGTAAGCGAGTGACAAGTGCTATGATCACAGAACATGGATGGAATGTGTCAAGAGGAGTGCTTTAAAGGGGCAACCAAGGAAGGCTCTCTGGGGAAGTGTTTTTCGGGCTGAGCCTTGAATGATGACAAGGAGCCAGTCATGTCACGATTTTGGGGAAAAAGGGTTTAAGGTAGGGCAACAGCAAGTGTAAAAGCCCTGAGGATCAAAAGGAGTTGGCCTGTTAGGAATCGAAAGCCTGCTGTCTGGGACCGAGAGAATAAAGGGAGCTGGTGGAGGATGAGGTTGAGGAAATGGGCTGGGGGTTGATCTCTCAGGGTTTGTGGGCCATGGCAAAGAGTTTGGATTTGATTCTTGTGTGATGGGAAGCCACTGGAGGGTTTTCAGTAGGGGTGTCATGTAATCTGGTGTTTACTTTATAAGGCTCACTGTGGCTGCTTTATGGAGAACAGAGTTTAGTGCAGCAAGAATGGAACCAGGAGACCCGTAAGGAAGTTACAGCCTTTTCCAGGCAAAGGTGCTGTTGGCTTGGGTTGAGGTCCAGCAGTGGAGGTGGGAGGCCTGGTTGGGATTGGAATCTGCTGGGATTTACCTTGTTTTCCTTCTAACCTTGTGAGTGGAAAGCTCTCTAGTTGCTTACTATGTAAAGAAATCAGTTCTAAACTAAAAATGATCTTTTTTTAAAAAAAATTTTTGTGAATGTTTGGTAATTTCTGTAATAAAAAATTAAAATAGTCATATGGATCTTTCCCAGGAACCACCCTTGGGCTGCCCCCTCAGAGGCCCCAGCCATCAACTCTCAGCAGCACGAGGGCTATATCCTGAAATAATTAGAACTTTGCTGATTGAAGGATTCCACATGCTACACCCTACTGCAAGCTGCCTGCCCCTGTGGTGCAAGTGTGGGGCATCCATAAATATTTTTAAAAATTCCCACTAATGTTTCCAGGGCAAATGATGTGGCTGGATTTTTTGTTGAAGCTGGAAGCAAACACTTCTTGTTAATATAGGGGCACAGCCTAGCCTCATGGTTAAGAATGCAGAGTCTGGAGTTAGAGTATCTGGGTGTGAGTCTCTGCTCTGCTGCATAACCCTGCGCAAGTTACTTACTTCCCTGTGCTTCAGTTACCTCGTCTATAAAATGGAACAACAATAAAAGTGACCTCCTAGGCTGTTACTAGGATTAGATGAATTCACACTTATAAAGTGCTGTTAGAGAGTAAAAGTAAACGTCCTACAAGTGTTTGGTAAATTAAAAACAACAGGTCAGATATATCTTCAAGACCCTCATGATATGCAAGGAACCTATGAAAAATGCAAGTTGCTTCCTCCCCCTTTACTATAAATGTAAGCAAATTCATTGTGAAAAAAATAAACACATGGGATTTGAGTTCAGATGGACCTGACTTGACCCTCAACTCTGCTGTTTGCTGGCCGTGTGACCTTGGGTAGATCACTTAACTTCTTCAGTAGCGTATTTTCTTCACGGATAAAAATGGAGAGAAAAGAGTGGAGTGCTGCTGAATAGCGAATAACTGGCTCTCTGAAAAGACAAAAACCCTTGTTTGTAAAGTTTGCTGATTTCTGTGGTGTAAATGCATCCACTATAGCTAATTTCAAGCTATCTACATGATGTCAGTAAGCACAGGCTTGGGAAGAAATGCACACAAATCTGCTCTTGTAAGCCAGTCAAAAAATTACAGATGCTTGTGAGGTTTCAGAGAAAAATGAATGCTTATACACTGTTGGTGGAAATGTAAATCAGGTCAACCATTGCAGAAAACATGTGGTGATTCCTCAAAAAACTAAAAACTATGAGTTGGCTCCAGAAAACTCATGAATGAAAGAACTGTCTACCATATAGTGAACATTTAATATGCATATAGCAAACACTTAATATGCATAGAGCACTAAGCAAATCTGTGTAACATAGAGTATTTCACTTAATCTCTTAAATAACCCTATGATGAAGGTATTATTATTATTCTTATTTTACAGTAGAAGCAAATCAAGGCAGAGATAGGTAATTTGTAGTAGGAATGAAAATGACCCAGTCCAGTGCTTGGCCCCTTGGAGGCACTTTAGAAAGGTAGATATTAATATTATTGCTTCTACAACAGAAGGAGACTTATTAATATCTAGTCATTTCCATAATGTTCCATTTTTTTTTATAAAGTTCACTTCCAGTTGTCACATATCTAAAGGAACTGAAATATGTGGTCCTTTCCATTAAAATGAAGATAAAAGTATGAGGTTTAAAGAATCAGTCTCTTAGTTAGACAAAAGCTGAGGATTTTACTCTGCTACATGCTTAGAAGAAAGATTGGGGTGGAGAGAAGGTGTGGACATTTGTTGAGTACCTGAGGTTGCAAGAATTATTCTCACCCTGTCCATCATTTGACAGATGAAGATACTAAGGTTCAGAGAAATGCAGTGACGTGTCCAAATTTACTTTACTAGTAAGTGGCCAATGCTGGGATTTGAACTCCAAAGACTGGGCAGAACTGGGTTCTTTTCATTGTACCACACTGCCACACTTGAACTTCTCTGTGATGTGAACTTTGCCAAGGCTGTGATCTAGAACTCAGGTTGGAACTCTGTGAAATAATAAACAGAGCCTTGCCATTCATGGAGCATCCCTTGGCGGCTTGCCCAGTCCTTCTGCCTCTGACTACCATCTGTAAAAGCAGTGGTACAGCCAATGTCATTACCAGTGGCCTAGAAAAACATAGAGGCCCTGCTGAGGGCTTCTGGGGCTGTTTAAATGAAATTGCCCAGACCATGCCCCTGGGATGACCAAAGCCCTAGCCAGTTGTTGAGAGAAAATATCAGGCAGTGCTCCATTTCTGGTCACCATCTGTACACATTCCAAAAGACAACAGTCCATTTTAGTTCATGACCAAGTTAACTTTGCAGTGACCCAGCCCTGCTTCTCAGTACCGATGTTCACGTTATTTGCTTTAGGTCTAAGGCCTGTATTCAGAGCAATCCTGTATAAAACTTCTTTTCTGCATGGACAGAGGGCCTAAGTGGATGAGATGATATGTAAAAGTACCTTTGTAAACACTTACAAAAATCGGACTACTGTAGTACCTTGCATTTTTTGATCCAACAAAGTGAATGGAAGGGTTGTCTTTCATTCCCGTTTAAGGGAGAGAGCAAGCCAGTTTATTTTTCAAGCCTTACAAGGAGCCCTAGAATCTCAAAATGGAAGGAGTCTTCATTTACTTACTTATTCATTCTTTCATTCATCAAATCTTATTTGAGCATCTGCCATGTTTCAGAAATGGTTGGGTGTTCAGGTAAAAAGATGAATTTGACATGATTCCCATTACCACAAAGATTATGGTCTAGGAGGCAGCTTAATAAAACAATTCTATAATTGCATCCAACTGGAAATTGTGAAAAATATGATGAAAGAGAAGTACATGGTTCTATGAAAGCACTTAATAAGGAAGTCTGACTCAGATTATAGGGGTTATGATCAAAGGAAGGCTTCCTTCGGAAGTGTGGTTTGAGTAGTGAGATAGAGAATGAAGGTGGGAGGAGATAGGAGTCCAGGTACAACAGCATGTGCAAGGCCTAAAGGTCAAAAATACTACGGCTTAAGAGTGGGATGAAGATCAGAGTGACTGGGTTATTGAGTTCAAGTGAGAGGATAGGATAAAAAGAGATTGGAGAACGGGCACGGTCCCTCACACCTGTAATCCCAGCACTTTGGGAGGTCAAGGGGGGATCACGAGGTCAGGAGTTCAAGACCAGCCTGGCCAAGATGGTGAAACCCCATCTCTACTAAAAAATACAAAAGAATTGGCTGGGTGTGGTGGCGGGCACCTGAAATCTCAGGTACTCGGGAGGCTGAGGCAGAAGGAGAGAATTGCTTGAACCCGGGAGGCAGAGGTTGCAGTGAGCCGAGATCGTACCACTGCACCCCAGCCTGGGTGACAGAGTGAGATTTTGTCTCAAAAAAAAGAGAGAGAGAGAGAGATTGGAGAGGTAGGCTCAGTTCCGGAGGGTCTTGTCAGCGCATGAGAACAATGAGAAAGCACAAAATGTTTCTAAACACCATAATAACATTATCAATGTTGTTGTTATAATAGAGTTTCTGTGGAGGATAGTATGGGCAGCAAAAAAAGTGGGTGAAGTATGGGGCTCGGGAGTTCAGGTATGTCATTTCAACAGTCAAGGGGAGAGATGATGGTGACTTGGCCTAGGATGGAGGTATTGAAGAGAGAAGTGGAGACATTCAATTCCAGGGAGATTTAGGAGGCTTCATTGACAGGGCTTGGATATATGTATTTTTTTCCTTTAGAGAAGGGAGAAGAGGCACCAGAGATGAATTCCAGATTCATCACTTGTGTGAATAAATGGATGTTAATCCGTTCATTGACACTGGGGACACTGAAAAAAGACCAGATTTGTGGAGTTCATAAGTCAGCTTAGGCTAGATTATGCTGAGATAACAAATGACGCCCAGAGCTCAGTGGCTTACAGAAACAAAGGTTTATTTCTTTCTTGTGCTCTATGGCCACATGGATCAGTTGTACCTCTTTTCCATATCATTTTTACTCTGGCATCCATGATGATGGAGTAGAGGCATCTAAGAGGGTAAAGGAGAAAGAAGTAGGGCAACCACATGCTGGTTCTTAAATCTTTGGGGATGACACACATCCCTTTTTAGATTTCCTAGTACAAATCTAATCACATAGCCATGCCTGGGTATACAATCCTCTTATAGGTAGGGACACCCCAGGATGGGTGAAAAGTATTTTGAACTACAATAAAATTTACCAAAGGGAAATCTAACCTTCTCATCTGTAAAATGAGGATGATAATAGCATTTACTTCATAGGGTTCTTGTGATGAATTGAGTGAATTAATGCATGTATAGTGCTTAGGGCATTCGTACAATATAACCTGTGTCTCAGAAAGGAAAAAGAATTTGCCTAGCAATACCTGTTATATAACACCTGCTTCACCTAACTCCTGGATGTGTGGTAAGAATAAAATTCCATCTGACAAACATTTACTGGTTATACAATATGTATATACTCAGTGCTGGGCTGGGTTCTGGAGATTCAGATGAGAAGACCTTCCTTTTAAGGTAAGGAGAAGTGAGGCAAAGACATGGTCAATAAGTAAAACACCCAGGGGTCATGAACAGTGCTACGTCAGAGTGGCCAGCTCGGGACTTTTATATTTTTCTTTGGATGAGGAAACATGTCTGAAATCCCCAAGATTTCTCAGAAGTGTTGATCCTTGAGCTGGATCTTAAAACCTGAAAGGTCTCATCAGATAAGCAATGAGGGAAGGGCATTCTAGGAAGAGAGAACAGCATGTGCACTCACGGAGCCAGAGCTGCCTAGTACATTTGTAAATTTCACATGATGGGATGAAGTGGACATGAATGCCCATCTCTCCCCAGCCTGGGACTCATTCAAGCCATCATTGATTGATTGGCAAACCTAATGATCTTTGCTGAATGATTAGGCCAACCTAATGATCTGGTTTCACTGAAACCTCTCAGCTGGTGACCTGGCTCTCATTTTGTTCAGTGGGATGTTTGAACTGGAGGAGAGGTGGGGAGAAAGAGTTAACTTCAACTGGAGAGCAGTTTTGAGATAAAGGGGCTGGGGGTAGAGATACATTTAACAATTATTAAAGGGAAAGGAACTTTGAAGAAATGTTATAAAAGGCACTTTGAAGGCACATTTGGCTAAGGATGTATAGTACAATTCCCATCCTCAGTCTTCTCCATAGACCTTCAGCAAAATTTTACTTCATTGTCCAAATGCTATAGGGAATAGATTTGTGTGTCTATGTATTTGTGTGTTTGTGTGTGTTAGCATGTGTGTGTTTGGAATAAGGTGATACATTAAATTTGACTGTAATGCAATGGTAACCTGGCCAACAAGGTCCAGGTATCTTTGAGTCACAGGCTAAACAGCTCAGTATTGTTATAATACAGGCAGTGTTAGTATATGAAAATATGGAAGCAGTCAAGACTATTGTGAATGGCTTTGAACATCAAACCAAGAACTTCAACTTGAGCACCCAAAGTTAAAAACTTGACAAGCATACAGAACTAATGTTGTATGGTGGACTAAAGAAGTAGAACTACAGTCCTTTGGTAAAGGTGACTAAGTGTCCTCACATGCCCTCAAGAGGAACTGCCAACACTGGTGTGATTGTGGAATGAGAGAAAAAGGGGGAGAAATTGGTGCAGTTTCAAGATAAATAGTATTGCTTAAAAAAATAGCAACCACAACACAGTCTTGCCATGATATCTCTATGTGGTGTTGCCATGGAAAGAGCTATTTTCATTGGATGTGAGAGCAGGAAGCCATATAAAACAGAGAGAAATGGCCAGAATGCAAGCTTGAAATATCCCTGGGCTGCCACAACTTAGCAGCATTTTCTAAACAGGGCACTTTCTTTGTGTTTAGATGATAGGAATGAGAAAAATGAAAGGTCCCAATGATCTATTCCTTCCATTTTCCCACTGAAAAGAAAGTATGCCTAAAATCCATGGAATGAGGGAGATATTCCAAGTAAATGACAATTTGCTGAATGAAGAATGATCCCTAATGGCGAGTCTGTGACCTCATGCCCATCACCGACTTCCCTTTCCAACGTCCACCACCATCTTTAAATGATGTGCATATCTCATTGCCCTCTTTTTAAATGTATGCATTAAAATTATTTAAACAGTTGTGGTTGACTTTTTAATGGATATTTTAAGGGGCATGTTAAGGGGCTCCAGTGAGATCCAAAAGATTAATGAGGACATACAGATCTTTCCAATAAAAACATGTTTTTAAACATTCATAATATTGGGAAAAAAATAAAGCATAGTCAGAACTTGGAATGAGATGCTGGAGCCACCGTAGGTTTCTGATAAAATGATTAGTGCCCTAGAGAGTGGTGAAGTTTTGGGTTGGAACAGGAATTTGTAGAGTCTTGGGACTCGGAGCTGAGGGCTCCTGTTGAATGCACCAGAAACCAGGGAGGCAAATAATATTTTGTTATCATGATTGGCTCCCCTGTGGCCCTGTGGTCATGACCTTAAAGTTGACACAGTCCCTGAGGCTGAAGAAGGGAAGGGTTGTCCGTTTTAGGCAGCAAAAAGCTAGGGCATTAAGTCTTGTGTTTTCTGAACAACATGTGGGGAAAACAAACCTCAGCATGAGAAGGGAACGTGAAGACGCACCCATTCCAGAGAGAGACACAGATACCAACCAAATGTTAGTTTCCTGCCAGTTTTGAGCGATTGCTCCTAGTAACCTCTTGATTCCTCATATTAATAAACATTGGTTAGAAGGGCAAAGTGCACAGACTAGAACTCGACTGAAAACAATTCGGTTTGGTGTGGGAACGTGGGGTGTGATTATTTTCTCATGGATGATATTTCTTCTTAAATTTTTGCTTGTGACACAAGCCACGTGGGTTTGCTTTTTCTGGATAGCTGCAAGTCAAGGAAAAGGGGTAGAGAAGCCACTTGAATTCCTGGGAAATGTTGTAATGATATCCAATTTAATTTGACACATTTTTATTGAGTACCTACTATGCTCCACAGAAAATGCAAGGCATGATAACATAAAGAGAAGAAGCAAGTAGTCCCTTCTTGAAGAACTCACAGCCTATTGGTACAGATACATCCAGAAATGAGTATGGTTGATGCTAGAATCCTAAAACAATAATGTGAGGTGCCAGGACTGGGCATTTTGTATACATTTGATCTCATTTAGTTCTCAAAGAAATTCTGTGTTAGTACTATCATGATTCTCATTTTTCAGATGAGAAAACTGAGGCTACGAGAGCTAAACATGTTTCCAAGCATCCATAGCTAGTAAGTGTTGGAGCCAAAGTTTGAACATAGGTCTATCTGACTTCAGGGCCTGGGTTATTTCTGTTATACTCTGCCTTGGGCTGAGCTGGGGATCCAGGCAAGCTACAGAAAGAAGGTAACACTGGCCCTGAAGAATGAATGGGATTCATCAGGTAGTCCTTTGGTGTGAGGTTGAGTAAGGACCTGGATTTCTGGTAGATGGAACAGCCAATGCAAGAGTTTGGGGCCTATGCAAGGAATCTGCGGTGGGCCCAGTGTTAGCAAGAAGGGTCCAGAGAAAATTAATTTTTTCAACAAATATTTCACTGCCAGTCACTGGTGAGGCACTGGCCATCTACTGGTGACCAACATAGGACCTGCATCTGCCCTTAAGGGGGCATCCTGAGCCATAAAGTAAATGAGTCTAGGAACATGCCAACAAACCAAGTATATATCACTCAGGAATATGCTGAGAAACCAAATAGTGTCCTGTGAAGCAGATCATGGGGTCAGGCCTCTCTGATAAGGTGATATTTGAGCTGAGATGTGAAGACAGAGGATGAGCCAGCTCTGCAAAGATCACAGAGAAGGGCATTCCAGGTGGGGAGACCAGCAAGGGCAAAGGCCTATGGTGGGGAAACTGGGCCACAGAATACATCCTGATGATACATGGCATGTTTTCTCATATTTGTCATGTGATCACTCCAGGGGGATGTGATGTTTGATGCCTCCTATAGGCTCATTCAAGAGGAACCCTTTTTGGAAATTCTTCTGAAATGAGTGCAGTAGTTGTGGGTTCTGAATTACATGAAAACCACTCACGTGTTCAGTTCAGCTCCTTTTCCAAACAGACGGCCTTCCTGGCATGCTACTTCGGCTGTGCGTCATTACAACGTGCCTGCCGTATTTGTTCTGCTCTGGTCAGGTCCCCACCCCTTCCCATCTGAACAAAACTGCCAATGAGCAAATTGCCACTTTTTAACCAAAGGACACCAATTATGTTTCCCCTTTACTTTCACTGTGGCTATGAAGAATAAAACTTCATTAATCGTCTCCTAAGTGGTCCTTTCCTAAACCTAGGTTGAAGGAAGTTTTTCCTACTGACATCATCTCATGACTGTCAGCTACCATTAATTAGATGTGAATGTCTTTCTCCATCCACCCACCCAGCTCTTGGTTTGGAATGATTCTCGGAAGGCATTTTTGCTGTTTACCAGAGAGAGATGACTAGGAAATGTGTGGATTGCTTGGTTGTGTCCTATCTGCCAAAGAAAAACCAGGCAGGAGCTGTGAGGAAACAATGGAAAATGACAAAGAGCCAAGTCACATCTCTCTTCAGCTTCTCCTCCCTCCCTCACCCTGTGCCTGCTCTGCCTCCAGTTCACCTGCTCCTGAGCTCTGAGAAACCCTCTTCCTGTTTCCCCTGTCCATGGGGGTCATGTGACTCCATGGCTGACCAATCAGCCCCCTCACAGCCCTAGTTCGTGCATCTGAACCAGGCCATTGAGCTACACATCAGGAACTTGGGTTGGAAGTCTGGGGAAGAAAAGTACCCAACAACCCTTAGGGCTGTTGACCTGGGAGGCTGCTGTTGATGACATGGATACCTGAAAATAGTATGTGGATTACTGGATCCTGCTAAACCTGACTCTGGTACAATCCTAGACTTCCCAATTATAGGATTCAATAGGTATCATTTATTCTTCTCTGAAACAAGTTTGAATTTAGTTTCTATTTTCTTCAACTCAGAGGGTTGTGTTGAACATATGTCCATACCTGTTACGGTACCTTGCCTCTTGTAACCATCCCAACTTGCTTATTCCTTTCCTCATTCAGAAAACATTTATTGAGCTCTTACTGAATGCCAGACAAATGACCCTTATTCATTTTTTTTTTTTTTTTTTAGAGATGGAGTCTCGCTCTTTCACCCAGGCCAGACTGCAGTGGTGCTATCTTGGCTCACTGCAAGCTCCGCCTCCCGGGTTCATGCCATTCTCCTTCCTCAGCCTCTGGAGTAGCTGGGATTACAGGCACCTGCCACCGTGCCCAGCTAATTTTTTGTATTTTTAGTAGAGACGGGGTTTTACTGTGTTAGCCAAGATGGTCTCGATCTCCTGACCTCGTGATCCGCCCGCCTCAGCCTCCTTATCCATTTTTTAACCCCTACTTTTCTTGGCTGGGAGAGCCCCTAATTGTTCAATTTTGCCTTCTCCACAGAGCTGCGGGTCAGGCATGGTGAAACTTTCTATATTCCCCACAGTGGATCCAGTTCAAGCAATCCTCTTTATTTCCTTAACCACATTTTTACAAATTGGAAGGGGCATGTGACTAATTTCTGGCAAATGAGGTATGGGGGAAAAGCTAATGGGGTGGGGGCACTTTTGGGAATAAGATCAGGGCAGATGAAGTCACTTTTCTTCTAATGAATATTATCTCTACATGAGACACCAGGAACCATAGAAAGATAAAGGAAGAGAGAAAATGTAGGAAAAAAATCTGGTATTTGATGACATCATTGAGCTATGGAATTAACCAACTCTGGGTCCTCTGGGCATAAAATCATAAATTCCTTATTACTTAATACTTTGAATTGGTTTTTTTCTTGGTCATTATTGAAAGAGTTTTAACAGATACACATTCTCAGTAAACACTGCTGCATGAACTGGCTGTGGCGTGCACCCCCAGGCAAATGATCTATCTCAGTCAAAAGGTCCATGCAGAGTGAGGGTGTCATGCCCTATGCCTATGTCCGCGTTTGTGCTGTGTGAGCTTGGACACTCAGGTGACCAGGGACACTCAGTGGTAAAACCCAATTCATTTGAGAGGGGCAAGAGAGAGTTGAAAAATCCATTTGTTAATTTGCATTTGAACTCTAGCTCCTGTCTTAACCTTCTTACCCTGTAGATAACCCATCATTGGAAGCCAGTGATAACTAGAAGGTGACTGGGTGAGCTTGGAGCTGGAGCCAGGATGAGGGTACTTAGGCCTCTTAGAGTGGCTCACGTCACCCAGCCACAAAGGACTGAGGCCTCCTTCTCCAGCATCAGAGTGTACATACCAAAGGCCTGCAGTTCCCCAGTCTTTCCTTGCCCTCTCTTTCCCCAAGTCATTGTGCGTGCCATTCTCTCTGCCCAGGACTCTTTCCACAGCCAGCTTTATTTACCCAGCTGACTTCTGTTTGTCTTTCAAATATCAGTTTGTGGCATCTCCTCCAAGAAGACTTTCTTGACTGTATCCTCTCCCCCCTGGGGCTGTATCCTATCCCCTTCTCAGTTCCTTTGAAATGAAACCTTAGTGTTTCATTTATCCCATTCAACCGCGATTGTCTGCTGACTGTCCCCTTCTCAACTGTGATCTCCTGGAAGGCAGCGACTGTGTCTGTTTTGGTTCCTGCTGTGTCCCTGATTCCTAGGGTTTTGTCTGTCATGAGATGAGCAGTACATGTTTGCTGAATATACAATGAATGAATGGCCATGAAGATATTCACAGAGCCCCCACCTCCAACTCCAAGCTCTTACTTAGGCGGGTATTTCCAGTGACCGCTCATGACTGTGTTTTTGTGGGTCAGTTGCTGAATAGTCATCCATCTAAAGTTTTCATTCCTTCTGGAGTTGAGTTACTTAAATTCCCTTAGTTGGTAACTTCCAGCTACTCCAAGTTAGTCTGGGGACTCTGGTTTGGATTCAGACAGACCTGTGTTTAAGAGCCCACTTTGGTCACTTACAGGGTGAACTTGTGTGATTTTCTTAAAGTCCATAAGCTTTAGTTTCACCATCTGTAAAATGGGGCTGATGTTGACAACCCTATCTCATAAGGAGATGATGAGAATTAAATGAAAAGATGCACATAAAATGCTTCACATAGCATCCCCCAAAACACCAAATATTCAATTAACATTCTCAGTGGTTATTACGATGACACTTTGTGCCAGTCCTTAGGAATGGTGCTGGAGAGAGGAGTATTTCTCCTAGAATGGTAGAAAGCTGACATTTTATGCCCTTTATCACAGAGGAAGAAAGAATGCAGGGCTTCCACCTTGCATTTCCAATAATTATGGTTTTCCATAAATAGTTTCTTTTTTAAAAACAAAATGTAAGAATGTTTGAGTCCAGCCCAAGAATGTATGTTATGTTCTTTAAAAAGGAAATATCAACAGAGTTTTGGGTGACAACCAGTCTCATGTCGATCTTTCAAATAAAGCAAAGATGGAAAATATTTACAAAGGATTTTATCCGAGGGAAGTTAATTCTGAGTTTCCTTCTAATTCTGAGGACAAGGGGGTCAAATCATTTTGTGTAGCAAGACTTTTGGAATGGGCATTGTAAAAGTTGAAAGAACACAGCTGCTCCCTGTGGAGCATGGTGTGGGTGGCCTTGGAGAGGCAGCCAGGGTGGTGGGAAGACAAGGTCTGGACTCTACCTCCCCTTTGCATAGGTTGACATCTCTGAATCTCAGTTTGCCCATCTATGAAATGAGCATTATGGAAGGTAGCTGGCTAACAAGAGAGATGTGAGGACTGAGTATACAAAACACATTTTCCACAGCATCTGGCACATCACAGGTCTTCACAGATGTTGGTGTTTTTTTCTCAGTCCTCCTCCACCTCTTTGTCCTCCTCTTCTTCTTTAAAAACTACTTCCTTTAATACTATTACGACTTCTTCTATCACTATTATTACTACTTCTAGTATTACAACTTCATCTATTAACTACTTTCGTTTCTTTTACTACTAATTCTGTTTTCACTGCTGCTACTACAACTATGTCTATTACTGCGACTACCACAATTACTACTGTGATTTCTTCTATAAGTTCTACTTCTTCTACCACTACTGTTACTACTATATCTTCTTCTTTTTCTTTTCCTCCTCTTCCTTTTTTTCTTCTCCTCCTCTTTCTCTTCTTCTTCTACTACTACAGTAACTTCTACTGCTATTTATATTAATGTTGCTAATCCTCCTCCTGCCACTACTTCTATTACTACTGCTACTCAACTGCTACTACTTCTGTTATTACTTCTTTTCTGTTACTATTGTTTCTTCTATTACAGCTACTACTTCGATTATTACTACTACTGGTACTTCCGGGGCTTCTACTACCACTACCACCTGAGTTAATCCAATCAGCTCATTTTTTGAGTGGGATAAAGAACCCACACAAGATCAGAATTTGCAAGAGTTAGAAGTGGGACCAGAAATCAGGTCCCCTAACTCATAGACTCATGTTCTTTTCATTCCTCCATAATCTAGCATTGCAGGACTATGTATTACAATAGTAATTCATGATCATGGAAACTGAAAACAATTGACTAAATAAATATGAGGCTCAAGGGTATACTTACTGGCTGTATGATTGTAGGCAAATACCTCACTTTTCTCACCAGCAAAATGGAGATTATAGATTGCTTATTTCATCCAGTTGTTGTGAGGACTACATGAGTCAATACAGGCCAAGTGCTTACACTAGATACTGGCATGCTTCTAACCAGTGGGAAACTCACTTGTCCTTGTCCCCCTTCCCAGCCCTCTGCAACCATTTGTCTCTTTGGTTCTCTCTCCTCCCTGCAAAAGGAAGGAGTATCTCAGCCATTGCCTAGGCAAATATCAGACTGGATGACCAGATGATGTAGTTCCCTTACTCGTAGGCACCACTGACTAACTACTCCAACCATCTCTCTGTCTCTGTCTTTCCCTCCTTGTCTTCTTCCTTTCCCTCTCCCCATCTTCCTCCCTCTTTCCTTCCTTCTTGTCCAACACCCCCTTAGTCTCCTGCCCTGGTGGTGGTGTGCTGGGGCTGGAGCTGGGGCTGCTGGCCAGGGATGGCTGCATCTCCATAGGTGCTGGTGGGGTCCTTGATGCCTTGGAGTCAGCAGAGATCAAGAGCAGACACTGGAGTCTGCTCAGGTGGAAATCCTGCTCTGACAGTACCATCTTTATGGCCTTGGGAAAGTGGCTTAACCTCTCTCAGTCTCAGCTTCCACATCTCTTGTGAGGGCTAAATAACTTAATATATGAAAATCTCTTAGTACAAGGCCCAGCACATTTTAAGTGCTAAGTCAGAGAGAGTCCCCCTTCACATCCTCTGTGTGTGTGTATTATTGATGTGTGTGTGTATTATGGATGTGTGTGTATGTGAATGAGAGACAGAGAGAGAGAGAGAGCTGACACGCCAGGCATTCTCTGTTTATGCTTTGTGATGATGGGAGAAGAGGAACAAAAACCTAAGTGGAGGTCTGGATGGGGCCTACTGGAGCAATTTCTTCCAGCCCTGAGAGTGTGGAACATGATTAGAGACCTTCTTCCAGGTCTGTCTCCGCCTCCCCTTCTGTAAAGCCAGACCAGAGTGGAGCAAAGAGCCTCAGGGTGTGGGGGCAGCAGTGACCTTTGGGTTCCAGTCAGACTGTGAACAGCTCTGGGTCGCCACTGACACATTGAGAAGGAGAGGGAGTACCACAGAGCCAGCCTGCCGGGATTTGGGTCCTGCTGTGTTGTATCCTAGCTGTGGGACTGTAGGCCCATTGTTTGGCCTCGGCGTACCTTGGTTTCCTGTTTATAATGATGGCACTTAATTTATTGGGTTGGATGAGCATTAGAGTTAACATGTGTAAAGTACACGAAGAGCGCCTGGATATTGTTAGTATCATATAATTGTTCACTATTACAATTGCTATTAATTGTTGTTATATCATCAATTCTCCACAGAATCCTTTTATTCTATTTGCTCAGCCTTGCCAAGCCACCTCCCGTTGACCACACTGATACAGATTGGGTTTTCTGGAAGCAGACCCTGAACGTTTGTTAGTGATCAACACCAATGAAAGCGTGGGGAAGAAGAAGGGCTGGGCAGAGGAGAAGCTGAACTGTTATGCATGCCCCACAAAGACCTTCAACCCAGTGGAGGGCTTAGGAACTGGTACTGCCTGTTAGAGCTTTCTCCTGTGGTACAGAATGGCCAGGCCTTTATACCCCCACCTTGTTCAGTCACTGGATATAGGCTGCTCCCAGGAGGCCATGACCTTGTGTGGAATGGCTCTCTGCATCCGAGGCAGAGCCCAAAAAGCCAAGAGCTAGAGGTAGCAAATCCTTTCCTGAAGGAGGATCTGGGAAGTAGAGTTCTTGGTCTACTGGGACACACGCATTTTGAATTTTTAGGTATGCAAGCTTTATTGATCATTTTAAGATGATTCCTTCTGAGCGGTTTTCCAAGACTGGCCACAGAATCAAGAACACCCCCGAGCTGGAAGAGATCTTGCAGACCTTCTGTCAGCCCCTTCTTTACCACTTGGGATTTTGAGGTCCACAGATGGATAAGACCGGCCGAAATAAGTCACTGAGCTGGGAATAGAACAACTGAATTATGGATTTTGTTTTATTTCAAACAATTTAAATTTAGACATCTCACTGGGGCCAGTGGCTACTGTGTTGGACAGTTCCATAGCCTTAGAAGAGTGCATCCTCAATCTTACTTAAAACCCCTAATGGCATTACCTGACAGGCAACAGAGTTGAGGTCAGTTTTCTGCCCCTATTTTAGGTGTCTTTTAATATCCTTTGTTTGATTTCAATCCACTTGAAGGACTTTGTTTGCCGATCTGTAAAGATTGCTTACTTCCTTTGCTCTTCTGTGCCGCTTGCAAACGTCTAATTTTCTTATCTGCAGACTAGTAATCTCTTATATTTCATTCATAAGGCATTCATCTAAACCTTGCATTTCAGCTGCTTGAATTTTCACAAGGAACTAGCAATTCAACTCCCCAGGGGTTGATACTTCGGGTTCTCTTGTGCCGTTCTCCATCTCATTTTTGTGACTACGCATCATAATTCTTCCTCTATGAATAATCTTTTCTTCCTGCCTGGATGAGGTGGCTGCCTCTCCAGCCATCCACAGAGATGAAGTCTGATGCTCAGTGCTGGAAGTGATTTTGCTGTTTGTGTCATCAGTGATTAGAAAGAGTCAACCTGTTATTAATAATCAGAAAGCATCAACTTGTTTGATTCTGTCTTGGAGCCTTATGTCTCTGGTTCGGCTTGTGGAGGTCTAATTCTGGATACGAGATTGCTGGAGCATTTCCTGGTCGCTGCATCTAAATAAGAGCATGACTTCTATCTTTCACCTTTTTATATAGTGAGGGGAGAACAGGAAACCCAGGCAGGAGAGTTCATATGATTATAGTGGTTTGCTATTGTTTTTGACTATACAGCAATCCTCCCACTTTTTTTTTGGCAATAGCACCTTATCTTAGGCCGGGTTCCCCCAAAGCACATCCTGAGTGGGGATTTGGGTACAAATGAGTTATTAAGAGAGTGTTCCTGGAAGAAACTGGTAAGGCAGTGAGGAAGTAGGGCTGAGGCGAGGGAGATGCTGAGCAAGGGTGCCATTTAAGCAGTCCCAGCCTCAGCCCCATCCTATGGGAGCTCCGGAGTGTGAATGACACCTGACTTGAGGCAAAAGGGCTGAGTTTTCCTGTTCCCCCACCATGGGTCTCCCATGTGGGTATAAACACCCAGGCATTCTCAGCTCTCTGAGCTTGCCAATGGCTCCAGCAGCCCAGGACTATTCTTTGAAGAACATTGGTGTTAGTTACTGGTAGAGACAAAGCTGTGGGAGGGGAAGAGAAATGGTCAAAGGGATTCCAGGGAATCTGGGTGGAGTGGGCAGAAGATGTGACCACTGCATACCTCAGTTTTCCATTGAGGAAATGCCTCTTTTGTGTTCCTTTTGGACTCATCAGTCAGGATCAGGGGTTCCCAACTTTGACACTACTGACATTTGGGGTGGATTCTTTGTTGCAGGGGGATGCCTTGTGAGCTGTAGGATATTTAGCAGCATCCTTGGTTGTGAAATCCACTGATGCCCCCTGGTTGTGACAACCAACAATGTCCTCAGACAATGCCAAGTGTCTCCTAAGGAGCAAAATGACTGCTGATTCATAACCATTGGTTAAGATGAAATGCCAGAGAATGGACTTGTGACCCAAGCTGGAATAATCAGGCTCTCCCTCCTTGGAATTTAACTCTTGAGCTGAGGGATATCCTAAAGTGACTGGGCAGGAGTTCTTGCTATGTAGATGCTCACAGATGCTCTGGTTTCTGGATTCTTGAGGCTTTCTTTTCCTTTTAGTTTTCCTTTGATTCTATTATATGTCACTCCAATACCTTTCAACAAATTCTTTCTATGCTTAACTTGAGTCAATTTCTGGTTGCCTACTACAAAAAATTCTTAATGAACACAATGATTAATCTGTTACATCTTATGACTTGATAACTCTAATCTCAGAACATATAGGTATCTATAGACATTGAATGGAATGGAGAAATTAGTTTGACCACAATCACTTCTCCTTTTTTCTAATCTTCCACTTTCTATTTCTCACCTTCACATACATTTGCTTTACATTTTTCCTGGCACCGCAGGGTATGCTGGATTTGTTAACTAAGACAGTCAGCAATCTCCTCTTGAAGAAAGCCTCTTTCTTTGCTACTTCACCAAGCCTTGGTGATATGGTTTGTCTGTGTCCCCACCCAAATCTCATCTTGAACTGTAGCTCCCATAATTCCCACGTGTCATGGGAGGGACTCAGTGGGAGGTCATTGAATAATGGGGGCAGGTCTTTCCCATGCTATTCTCATGATAGTGAATAAGTCTCATGAGATCTGATGGTTTTATAAAGGGAAGTTCCCCTACACAAGCTCCCTTGTCTGCCACCATGTAAGATGTGACTTTGCTCCTCCCTTGCCTTCCACCATGATTGTGAGGCCTCCCCAGCCATGTGGAACTGTGAGTCAATTAAACCTCTTTTCTTTATAAATTACCCAGTCTTGGGTATGTCTTTATTAGCATCATGGGAACAGACTAATACGCTTGGTGACAGAAGAGTCTATTGCTTCAGGATACATCATCTTACAGGAGACGTATAACTGGATTTTTTTTCCCCAGGGATTTATCTTTTCCATGTCTAGATACAGTTCTTCCTCCCCAAAAAAGGAGTTGTTAATGGTTTTTGGACTTGGGCTGTATCCATTTTCTTTCCCTGGAAAGCTATCTAACACTGGAATTATTCCACTCCCAGAGATGTATAGTATGGACTATTTTGATGTTGATGATGGCCCTACCAGGGATGTGTGCAGCTGAATGTGTGAGCCCTCCAAGTCCTTCCCATTAAACTCCTAATATGTCATTTTCTCTTAGTTACAGCATGTATGTAGCTTTCTGAGTTGGCGTGGGGCTTTCCTACTGCAAAACATTAGCGAAAAGCATTAATAGTAGGCTGGCAGTTTTCAGAAAAACTTATCAAATCCTTATGTTTAAATCATTAGGAGTCATTTTAGCCATTTGAGAATGTTCTTTGGGAATTTGCCATTTTTAAAATATTTTCTTTTTTAAGGATTTAAGAATCATAGTCCTAATACTAATAATTACATAGTATCTCCTTTTTTCCCCCTGGCTGCTAGGAAGCTCATAGTCAAATTTGATGCTACTCATAGATTCTAAGTCATCTCTACTATTATGCTTCATATTTCCTTTCTCACTTTTTCCTTTTCCTGAATTTTCTATTCCTATTAATCTTATTATACTCCTTATTGTAGGATCCCCCAAAGCTCTTCGGAGAAATAAATAGGGTATACATGTACAAAAAATTTTTAGTTAATTGTTGCTCCTGTGAGGCTGATACTATTCTGTCAGGCATCACAGCTGTGGCAATACCTGATTCTACTGTTTTGCCACTTCTAATCTTTGGGTTTAGCAGATGGACCAGGCCCAGGCAAATAACAGACACTCGTTCAGTGCTTGATTATGTTTACTTTGTTTTGTTCATCTTTGCTTCTCTGGATTGGAAAGGGTCATGAACTGAGATACTTAGTTAAATTTAAAATGAAGGAGGGGCACTTTACATAAGAATCATAAACTGGTGGCTTGGATGAGGGCTGTCACAGCCCGTGGAAGTGTTTCATTTGCCTTTTTGTTTGGTCTGTTCAGTGTTTTAAGTGGCGACATAGCAAAGCAGAATTTACACTTTTTTTTTCTGTATTTTTTCTTTAATTTTTTTATTATTATTATTTTTTATTATTATGATACTTTAAGTTTTAGGGTACATGTGCACAATGTGCAGGTTAGTTACATATGTATACATGTGCCATGCTGGTGCGCTGCACCCACTAACTCGTCATCTAGCATTAGGTATATCTCCCAATGCTATCCCTCCCCCATCTCCCCCCACCCCACAACAGTCCCCAGGGTGTGATGTTCCCCTTCCTGTGTCCATGTGTTCTCATTGTTCAATTCCCACCTATGAGTGAGAAAATGCGGTGTTTGGTTTTTTGTTCTTGCGATAGTTTACTGAGAATGATGATTTCCAATTTCATCCACATCCCTACAAAGGACATGAACTCATCATACACTTAATCGTAAAACAAACACTGTAAGCCTATCACCTTTCACTCCTTTGGATTTGACATTCGGTGTTACTTCCTTGCCCTTGTCATTGTTTGCATTTGAGACACTTGCTTTGTGGTTATTAACCCATTTCACTAGTAGGTAATAAATGTATACCTCTAATTTAGAAATAGGTTCTGAATTAAAGGAAATGTCCAATATCGAAGAAATTCCAGATCCACCCTGAGTACCTATTTTGCTTTCTCTTTGTAAGCTCTGACATTAGATTTTTAATGGAATACTGTCTAGTGCTGAAAGTCTAACTTTGAATGCATTAACCTCTGCAGATGCATTACACCTTGACTTCTAAAAAGAGGCAACTTTCTAAGAGTGTATTTCAAGTGCCTTTAATATCCGAGACATAAAATGGCATCATATGTGTGTATGTGTTTGCATGTGCTTACTGTGTGTTGGGGAAGTGGACTGAATGTTCTCTAAGCCCTTCCAGTGCTGGGGAGTTCCCATGAGACCCTGAAACAGCCTCTGTAGCTCTCTGGGCCTCAGTTTTTTTTTTCTGAGAGACTTTGACAGCACGGATTCCAAGTCTTTGCCAGTTATGAACTTTTGTAGAACTGTCATTGCCTTGGAATTTAATTAATCTTCAAAAAGGTATGGTCTATCAGGACAGTGAAAAGACAACGGGATAAAATATTTACAAATATTTTACCTATCTAAAATATTTTATTTTAAATAGATGATTTAAAGTAAAATATTTTATTTTAAATAGATGATTTAAAGTTAAAATAGTTTATTTTAAATAGATTATTTAAAGTTAAAATATTTTATTTTAAATAGATTATTTGAAGTTAAAATATTTTATTTTAAATAGATTATTTGAAGTTAAAATATTTTCTTTTAAATAGATTATTTAAAAATATTTTCTTTTAAATAGATTATTTAAAAATATTTTCTTTTAAATAGATTATTTAAAAATATTTTCTTTTAAATAGATTATTTAAAAATATTTTCTTTTAAATAGATTATTTAAAAATATTTTATTTTAAATAGATTATTTAAAAATATTTTATTTTAAATAGATTATTTAAAATTATGTAAATATTTATAAAATATGTATAAATCACATATCTGATAAGGGGTTAGTATCAGGGATATATAACTAACTTACAACTCAACAACAAAAAAGACAAATTACCCAATTAAAAAATGGTCAAAGTTCCTGAATAGATATTTCTCCGTAGCAGATCCACAAATGGCCGGTAAGGGTGTGAACAGATTCCCAATGTTATTAGTCACTGAGGAAATAAAAATCAAAACTGCAATGAGATGATACTTCACACTCACTGGGATGGTCATAATAAAAAAAGGAAAATCACAAGTGATGGTGAGTATGTGGAGAAATTGGAACCCTAATACATTGCTGACTAAAATGTAAAATGGTATAGCCTGCTGTGGAAAACAATTTGACAATTCCTCAATAAGTTAAACACAAACTTATTATGTGACCTAGTGATTTCACTCCTAAGCGTATACCCCCAAGAATTGATAACAGATGTTCAAACAAAAACTTGCACACTATTGTTTATGGCAGCACTATTAACAGTAGTCAAGAGGTGGAAATAACCTACATCTATCAGCTGATGAATGGATAAACAAAAGGTGATCTAGAATAAATCACTGGTTCATTCTACAACATGGATGAACCTTGAAAACATTTTGCTAAGTGAAAGAAGCCATATGCCAAAGGCCATATATTGTATGATTTCATTTATGTGGAATATCCAGAAAAGACAAATTAATAGAGAGAAAAATCAGATTAGTGGTCGCCAGAGACTGAGGGGAAGCAGGAATGGGGAGTGGCTACTGAATGAGTATGGAGTCTCCTTTTGGGGAGATAAACAATTCTGGGACTAGACAGTAGTGATGGTGGCTCCGCATTGTGTATGTATTAAATGCCCACTGAATTGTCTACTTTAAAATGGTTAAAATGGTAAATTTTATGTTATGTGTATTTTACCACATGCATACACAAACCTTTCCCAGGTTACAATAAGGCATGGCCATTTTTGTTTCAATAGGATTTGTATAGATTCTTTAGATATGGGTGTATTTTTAAAACTATATAGACTATTATGAGTTTAACACCACAACTGCCCATAGTGTGATCTGTGGATCAGCAGCATTTCCATCAGCTGGGAGCTTGTTAGAAATATAAGTTCTTGGATCCCTCCCCAAACCTAGTGAGTCAGATTTTCTGGAGGTGGGCTCAGCGATCTCTGCTTTAACAAGCTCTCCAGGCACTTCCTATGCACACCAATGCCAAGTTTGAGGAGTATTTCTTTACGATTCACTAGGCCATTGGTTCTCAGCTTTTAGTGTGAGTAAGAATCAACTGGAGAGTTTGTTACACAGGCAGGTTCTTGAGTCCAGAGACTATGATTCCTTACATGTGGATGATGTTCAGAAACCTGCATTTCAACAGGCATCAAATGCAGGTGGTCCAAGGACCAATTTCTAAAATGCAGAAATAATGAAGAAAATTGATTTTTCAAACTTTATTGTGCATGAGTGTAAACTGGAAAGTTTGCTAAAATTGCAAGTTTCTGGGACCTGCCTCCAGATGTTCTGATTCAATAGGTCTAAGATGAAGACTGAAAACTCACCTTTTTAACCAATCACCTCAGTTAATTCTGAGGTCAAGAGACCACGTTTTAAAAACCACTGCCCCAGACATGAAGCTCCCTGAGGACAGAGGACAGCTTTCAAGTGATCTTGCTAGGCTAGAGCTATGGCTTCAATCTAATAAAATGGAATTCACTGGAATGGTTTGCATGTTCAGGACTTGAGCCCAGATCATCAATTACATCAGTAAAAAATCCAGGAGATGTGACTTACCTGCCATTCACGTAAAAGATACAAAGCAAAAAGAATCCCTCTGTGGTTGTATTCAG
Source organism: Homo sapiens (assembly GCF_000001405.40). NCBI lineage: Eukaryota > Metazoa > Chordata > Mammalia > Primates > Hominidae > Homo > Homo sapiens. The sequence goes on along the minus strand of NC_000003.12, from coordinate 8,445,391 downwards.
TGTTATATACTGAGGAAGCTAAGACAGACTTAGGCTTACTTAATAGAAGTGTTGTATCTAAATAGTTGGCATTCAAACTGTACACAGAATATCTTTAATTCTAGATGTTACACACTGGAGCGGAAAGTGAAACTAACATTTATTGAGGCGACTACACATTTATCTTATTTATTAAACTATTTTATTCCATTGAATGCTCATCCTATTACATAATCTTTAAAAGATTATACCCATTTTAAAGGTAAGCAAAATTGAGGCTGCCATGAAGGAGAAGTAGCTTGCCCACTGATTTTCTACTTTTCTCCAGAGTACCTTGACATCTCTTTTGCCACCAGCACTGATAGCCTCTGTGCTGGGAGATGCTCAGTACAGTCAAAGGGGATTGGTTCCAGGGCCATTGCGGATACCAAAAACTGCTCCTGCTCAAGTCCTTTATGTAAAATAGCATATTTGCCTGTAACCTATGTACTTTAGATTACTTATAATACCTAATACAATGTAAATGCTACGTAGTTAGTTTATATTTTATTTATTTAATGTACTTTACAATTCGTATTATTTGTACATTTTTTGGAGAATATTTTTCATTTGGTTGAATCCGCAGATGTGGAACTCGCACATATAGAGTGCTATAATCCCACTCTAGCAAAGTGTCCCAATGCCCCACTGTAAGCCCTGTCATATTGGGAGGTCATCCTTTGTAACATGGGAACGAAGCTGCACAGCTTCTGAGTTCAACATTTCCTCGTGGAACGATTCCAGCCCAGCGCTGGGATGACATACTGTTTGCTTTGCGTCTCTGGTATGTGCCTGGTGAAATATTTACCAACTGGTCCGCTCTGTCCACAGAGCGGCCGTGAGACTGTCTGTGTTTGCTCCAGTCAGCTTCCTGGCTCAGCCTGTTTCCTTGGCAACGGCCTTTCCTGTCAGCAGCCTTGAAGGAAGGTATAAAAGAGCACACTGTTAGGAATTGCTGTCTGGGGCCCAGCGGGGTTAGGTTTGCCTCCTGGATCCTTAACAAGGAAAGAGGAGTAAGTTCTTCTCTTAAGCATTGCCACTTGCTTTTCCTGTGTCCTGAAAACTATCTTTTCAGCTTTGTGTGTTACATCAGCCAGGAAGGTTACACTATGTGATCTGGTGGGAGTTGGGGACGTGGGGGGGATGGAGGAGGAGGCATTTCCCCACAAAGGACTGTAATTGAATCCTGTGATGGTTTTGTAGTGTAATAATCTGATTTTGATTTGTCAATTATTTTCTCTTCTCTTAAATAGCTCTCCCACATTTTCCTTCTCTGCTTTATTCAGACCTAAACATTCCTGACTTAGGAAGCTTAATGTCCCCCAGAGTGCCTTCCCCGACCACTGCTTTACCCCACCAACCTGAAGCCACTGAAGGTGTTCCTAAACCTTCAGCGGACTGAATTGCTCCTTTGCTCTGGAATTTCTGGTGACTCCCTGTTGCTACCAGATGAGCCCCAAGACCCCTATGATGGAATCCGATGTTCTCATGCTTGAATGAGCCCAGCACTGCCCAGTGGAGGTGATTGTAAGCCATATATGTCATCTTAAATTTTCTAGCAGCCACACTAACAAAGTCAAAACAAATGAGTGAAGTTAATTTTAATAATATATTTTATTTAGCTCAGTATAACCCAAATATTATCATTTCAACAGCCAAACAATGTAAAAATATTAATGAGGTATTTTACTTTATTTGCTCCCACTGAGTCTTCAAAATCGGTGTGTATTTTACACCCACAGCACATCTCAGTTCAGACCAGCACATCGCAAGTGCTCAGGGGCCTGTGGCTCTGTATCTAGCCCCTGCCTACCCTTCCTGCCTCTTCCTGCTCCACCTTCCCAAACCCTACAAGTTTCCCAGTCCCTCACATGCATGAAAACTTTTGCCATCCTGTGACCTTCTCCTGCCCTTTTGCTCCATGCTGTGCTCTTGCACTTCTCATTCCTGTTGCCTGGCTGCCCTTCTGTACTTGAACTTCTATTCATCTTTTAAACCCATGTTTAACGTCTTCTTTTTCCTTCCCTGTTTTATCTGTCCAGTAGCACCTTGTGTGTATCTCAGATATAACACTAAGTGTGTTGTATTCTGATTATTCGCTTAGAGGTCTCCTCTACCACAGGGAGCAGTTGTAAAGGCAAGGGCATGTTTTGGTCACGTTTGTGGCTCCTGGTAAATATTTGAATGAATGCATGAATGAGGGAATGAGGACATGGAAAACTGCTTTGGTGCTGATGTTAGGATGTTCCAGTTTCTCTTCTGCTGTATGAGGAGCAATGCTTCATTCCAAACTACTGTTGTCCCTGTACTTTTGGTGTTTCACTGGGAGAGTTTGAGCTTAGCTGAGCTTTCTACATCTCTTCATGTGCTGTTTTTCTTTTTTCTACCTACATTCTCACTCACTTTCTGTATCAGACAACATATACACTCAGATCTTTATCCAATGCCCAATGACATTGAGAAGCTAAATAGGTTGATTTAAAACCACACAAAACACTCCCCCTCGGACTCCCCCAAATGAAGTGCAACCTATACAATAAACGTCAAAAGTGAAAAAACAAACCCAAACCAAAACCTTCTGCTGTTTCTGGCAATCCAGGTTACTGTTCTCCACTACTGGCTATTATAATTTGCTGCTGTAAAATCAAGGAGTAATTATATTAGAATAATGGAGTTTAATGAACTAAAGAAATGCCCTGGTCTGCCTTGGAACCTGTGGCTGTGGTGTTTCTGTAATGGTGGTAGCGGGTCATGTCCCTGGGATAGATGTCATGGTATAGATGAAAGAGCCCAGGTGGAAAGTCAGAGAGTCCTGGCTGCAATCCTAGTTCAGCCCCTTCCTAGCTGTGTGGACTTGAGGAGGTAACAACCTCTTGGGCCCTCAGTGCTCCCACCTGTGAAATGGGGATAGTGGTGGTCCTGCCCTGCCGGGCATGTTCTGAGAATTAACTAAGATGCTGTGTGTTTGAGATGCAGGCGCCAGGACACCAGAGATGTGGCGTCTCCTTTGGTGACAGTTATAAAAGTCAGTCCTGCTTTACCTAGAGTGATCTGCATGCCACATTCCTTAGCTTTAAGACTTTTCCAGGGCTGAGTCCAGGAATTCTTTGGGATCAAGATTCCTTGGCTTCATTTCTCCGTTTCTAACGGGTTTTGTGTTTGGTGACATCTAGTGGTTGAATGAGGTTGTTGTCAAAGCTGAGTGCAAGGCCTCAAGTTTTCCCTCCCTTCTTCTCCACCTTCCCCAACCCCGGGGTCGCATTCCTGAAAAGCTGCCTCCTTTATCTGTCTTTCTTCAGTTTGCCTCCATGTGTCTGTGGCTCCATCTCTCTCTTGAGTCAGGCAGCATCCCAGCTCCAACACTCCTCAGCAGTGCAACCTGAGTGGCCGCATCCCCCATTTCCTCCCCTTTGGATGAGCACCACTTGGTGACTAGAGTAAGAAAGTGAGGCTGATGGCTCCCACTGTATCTCCCGTCTCATCAAAGTGTTCCTTTGCCTATGTTGACTAAAGAAAAAAGAATTGAGCCTCTTAATTTTTTTTTTTCTTGAGATGGAGTCTTGCTCCGTTGCCCAGGCTGGAGTGTAGTGGTGCCATCTCGACGCACCGCAGCCTCCACCTCCCGGGTTCAAGTGATTCTCCTGCCCAGCCTCCTGAGTAGCTGGGTCTACAGGCGTGCACCACCATGCCCAGCTAATTTTTGTATCTTTTTTTTTTTTGTTGGAGAAACGAGGTTTTGCCATATTGGCCAGACTGGTCTCAAACTCCTGACCTCAAGTGATCTGCCCGCCTCGGCCTCCCAAAGTGCTGGGATTACAGGCATGAGACACCTTGCCTGGCCACCTTAATGAATTAAAGTTAGTTCTATTCAGAAATCTTGCTGAGGGCTATAGACAGAGGCCTATAGGCTGGGAACAGCGCTGTCAGAGTTGCTTCTGCAATGCAGTATTCCCATTCACAGTTTATATACAGGTGGTGAAGATTCAGGGCGTTCAAAATCACATCAAAGTTTGGGTGTGAGAGTGCATCTGATGACAGATTGCAGAGGCATAATCACAACACCCCGCCCCCAAGCCAGACGTTATCTTACCTATAGGGCAAGGCAAGGATTACCATCATTCATCTTTTTTTTTTTTTAAATTAATTTATTTTTTATTGATCATTCTTGGGTGTTTCTCACAGAGGGGGATTTGGCAGGGTCACAGGACAATAGTGGAGGGAAGGTCAGCAGATAAACAAGTGAACAAAGGTCTCTGGTTTTCCTAGGCAGAGGACCCTGCGGCCTTCCGCAGTGTTTGTGTCCCTGGGTACTTGAGATTAGGGAGTGGTGATGACTCTCAACGAGCATGCTGCCTTCAAGCATCTGTTTAACAAAGCACATCTTGCACCGCCCTTAATCCATTTAACCCTGAGTGGACACAGCACATGTTTCAGAGAGCACAGGGTTGGGGGTAAGGTCACAGATCAACAGGATCCCAAGGCAGAAGAATTTTTCTTAGTACAGAACAAAATGAAAAGTCTCCCATGTCTACCTCCTACTACACAAACACGGCAACCATCCGATTTCTCACTCTTTTCCCCACCTCTCCCCACTTTCTACTCCACAAAACCGCCATTGTCATCATGGCCCGTTCTCATTGAGCTGCCGGGCACACCTCCCAGACGGGGTGGTGGCCGGGCAGAGGAGCTCCTCACTTCCCAGTAGGGGTGGCCGGGCAGAGGCGCCCCTCACCTCCCGGACGGGGCGGCTGGCCGGGCAGGGGGCTGACCCCCCCACCTCCCTCCCGGACGGGGCGGCTGGCCGGGCAGAGGGGCTCCTCACCTCCCAGTAGGGGCGGCCGGGCAGAGGCACCCCCACCTCCCAGACGGGGCGGCTGGCCGGGCAGAGGGGCTCCTCACTTCCCAGTAGGGGTGGCCGGGCAGAGGCGCCCCTCACCTCCCGGACGGGGCGGCTGGCCGGGCAGGGGGCTGACACCCCCACCTCCCTCCCGGATGGGGCGGCTGGCAGGGTAGAGGGCTGACCCCCCCACCTCCCTCCCGGACGGGGCGGCTGGCCGGGCAGAGGGGCTCCTCACTTCCCAGTAGGGGCGGCCGGGCAGAGGCGCCCCCCACCTCCCAGAGGGGGCGGCTGGCCGGGCGGGGGGCTGACCCCCCCACCTCCCTCCCGGACGGGGCGGCTGGCCGGGTGGGGAGCTGACCCCCGCACCTCCCTCCTGGACGGGGCGGCTGGCCTGGCGGTGGGTGACCCCCACCTCCTTCCTGGACGGGGTGGCTGCCGGGTGGTGACGTTCCTCACTTCTCAGACGGGGCGGCTTCCGGGTGGAGGGGCTCCTCACTTCTCAGACGGGGCGGCCGGGCAGAGACGCTCCTCACCTCCCAGACGGGGTCGCGGCCGGGCAGAGGCGCTCCCCACATCTCAGACGATGGGCGGCGGGGCAGAGACGCTCCTCACTTCCCAGATGGGATGGCGGCCGGGAAGAGGCGCTCCTCACTTCCTAGATGGGATGGTGGCCGGGAAGAGGTGCTCCTCACTTCCTAGATGGGATGGCGGCCGGGCAGAGACGCTCCTCACTTCCCAGATGGGATGGCGGCCGGGAAGAGGCGCTCCTCACTTCCTAGATGGGATGGTGGCCGGGAAGAGGTGCTCCTCACTTCCTAGATGGGATGGCGGCCAGGCAGAGACGCTCCTCACTTCCCAGATGGGATGGCGGCCGGGAAGAGGCGCTCCTCACTTCCTAGATGGGATGGTGGCCGGGAAGAGGTGCTCCTCACTTCCTAGATGGGATGGCGGCCGGGCAGAGACGCTCCTCACTTTCCAGACTGGGCAGCCAGGCAGAGGGGCTCCTCACGTCCCAGATGATGGGCGGCCAGGCAGAGACGCTTCTCACTTCCCAGACGGGGTGGCGGCCGGGCAGAGGCTGCAATCTCGGCACTTTGGGAGGCCAAGGCAGGCGGCTGGGAGGTGGAGGTTGTAGCGAGCCGAGATCACGCCACTGCACTCCAGCCTGGGCACCATTGAGCACTGAGTGAACCAGACTCCGTCTGCAATCCCGGCACCTCGGGAGGCCGAGGCTGGCGGATCACTCGCGGTTAGGAGCTGGAGACCAGCCCGGCCAACACAGCGAAACCCCGTCTCCACCAAAAAAATACGAAAACCAGTCAGGCGTGGCGGCGCCTGCCTGCAATCGCAGGCACTCGGCAAGCTGAGGCAAGAGAATCAGGCAGGGAGGTTGCAGTGAGCCGAGATGGCAGCAGTACAGTCCAGCTTCGGCTCGGTATCAGAGGGAGACCGTGGAAAGAGAGGGAGAGGGAGACCGTGGGGAGAGGGAGAGGGGGAGGGGGAGGGGGAGGGGGAGGGAGAGGGCAGTGTGTAACCTTTGTAACTTCACTTCAGCCTCTCATCATTCATCTTTTAAGGAATACAATGACTCAGGCAAGAGATGCAGGAGGCCGCGTGCTATAGCCTGTTCAATGTTGAGAGCATTTTTCTGGAGAGCTGCATGTCATCACAGAGTCAGGGTTTTTGTGAAATTCTGCTCACAAACAAAAGGGGGCAAACTCGACTTCTTAAGTTTGGTGCTTTATCTCACACCTGGAACTCCATGACCTTCTTCCCCCTGCCTGGCAAAGTCATTCCTGGAACCTTGCCACCCACAAGCCAGTGACTCTGTGAGTCCGCCCTGCCCTGATCAGACCCAGCCAGGCACTTGTTCCTCTCGCGCCTCCAGACACTTCTTATTTCTCTTTAACTCCTTTTTCAGCCCCTCATTTAATCAACACTAATTACCAAAAACCCACTGCATATCAGGCACCTATTATACTGGATTTTAGAGTCATATATTCACATGCCTGTGTTCCCCAGTGAACAGTGAAATCTTCAACTCTCCCTTCTTCCCCATGTCCTCACTTTCTCTTTTATATTTCAGATGCCAATGCACAATTGGCACACAGCATGTTCTAAATCATTATTTTTAATACCCTTTTTCCAGTGTGAAACTCAAAAGAGTCATAAATGTGGAAAATGTCAGCCCCCTTGACCCTTGAGCAGATGAATGCGATTGGCCGCTTAGAACTGGACTGCTACCCTTAAAAGTATACCCCAGGTAGCCATGCATTTGACCAAAATTCGTAAAGCATACAAATCTATGGCTAGTTCAACTTAACATGAAATAGCAAAAGAAGCAACCAGATAGTTGGAGGAAATGTGCAATGAGTTTTTTGGGGGGGTTTAAAACTCAGGAGAATAGAAAGTTGTAGTATGGACTTTAACCATTTCATCTCCCTGCTTTAAAAAACATTAAGCTCAGCCAGGTGCAGTGGCTCACGCCTGTAATCCCAGCACTTTGGGAGGCCGAAGTGGGCAGATCACCTGAGGTCGGGTGTTCCAGACCAGCCTGGTCAACATGGTGTAACCCCGTCTCTACTAAAAATGTAAAAATTAGCCGGGCATGGTGGCACATGCCTGTAATCCCAGCTACTCAGGAGGCTGAGGCAGGAGAATCGCTTGAACCCAGGAGGCGGAGGTTGCAGTGAGCTGAGATAGCACCATTGCACTCCAGCCTGGGCGACAGAGTGAAACTCTGTCTCACAAAAAACAAACAAATAAACAAACAAACAAAAACAAAGAAAGCTCCCATTTGCAAAATACAGTGATTTTTAATTTTTTGACTGTACCTCAGTTGTAAAACAAAAAACCCAAAAAGTACAACAACGAAGAATCTCTCAGCTGTGTGTCACTTACAAATAGTCTATGTGTCTTAAATCAGTATATATTATTTCATTGTAAAGCACACACAAGTAGAAATTTAAGAATAATGAGAAAAAGTAAACATAAATAAGAGATGAATGTTTTTCTCCTATACCCCAGGGGATCATCCCAGTCCTCCTCTTGGGCCACTTTGAGAAGCACTTATTCTAAAAGGTCTGACTTTCAGTCCTGGTTGAGAGAATAAATTCACAGTACTGAAGGTCTGTCTCCTCTTAGAAGTTGTGCATTTTACCAGCAGACTTTTAATTTAAGTCCAAAGGAATGAATTTTTAATGATAAAATTTCAGACACAGCAAGGGGGCTGGAAAACTTCAGACAGAGGAAGCTTTCCTTTCTCATTAATTCTGCAAGATTTATTGAGTGCTTCCTATGTACTAGGCTCTGCACTAGGCACCAAGAATATTGCATGAACAAACATCCAAGCCTGCTTTCCTGTTGGTAGACTGGCAAACACCAGTTTCTGATCAGCCTTGTTCACAGGAGTCATTGCACTTGGTCATGAGCTCTTCAACGAAAACCCTGGAATCACTGGTTTTTACATTTTCTCCATTCCTTGCTCAGTGAAATATCCCTCGGGGGTGTCACAAATGCACATTTCTCAAGATGCTTCTCAGAATTAAAAGAACATTGGAGACGTGATGAAAGGGTGAATGGCTCGCTCAGAATTTAGCGGGGTTGCCAGACCATGACACAGATGTCCCCTAAACCATCTGGGAAACTTCAAAAACATTCTGGCTTAGTCTTCTGGGGACTTTGTGTCCCATTTATTGTGCAGAAGGAGCAAACTGTGGCCTCTGTCAGTGTTTCCGCTGGGTCCTTGAGGAGCTCTCTGTGCTGATCTGATATGTTATGGTTAGGACTGCACCAAGGGGCAGGCTGAGGAATCTCCACGACTTGATGCAGAACTTGAGCCACCCGGCAGAAATCTGGCCAAAGTGCCACAGTTCGAATTGTTTTTGGTAATAGAAGTTAGAAGAGCAATAGAGAGTGAAGAATTCCTTTGGGCATAGATGGTCATTCCCCTTTGGAAATGAAACTTTGTTAGTTACTCTAAATGGCCTGAAAATTAAATAGCTCTGTGTGTGTATGTGTGTGTGTGTGCATGCGTGTGTACGTGCTTGCTTGCACCTGCAAGTGTGGGTGGTTATGGGGACATCTGGGAGGCAGTGCAGGACACTTCTTTTTTTTGTTTTTGAGACGAAGTCTTGCTCTGTCACCCAGGCTGGAGTGCAGTGGCACCATCTCAGCTCACTGCAAGCTCTGCCTCCCAGGTTCACACCATTCTCCTGCCTAAGCCTCCCGAGTAGCTGGAAATACAGGCGCCCGCCACCATGCCCAGCTGATTTTTTGTATTTTTAGTAGAGACAGGGTTTCACCGTGTTAGCCAGGATGGTCTCGATCTCTTGACCTCATGATCCGCCCGCATCAGCCTCCCAAAGTGCTGGGATTACAGGCATAAGCCACTGCGCCCAGCCAGGACAATTTTTAAGAACCCAGAATTGCATTGAGTCCTGGCTCCACCAGTGCATAACATGAGGATTACATAAGGCATTTGGTGCCCCAATTTCTCCATCTGTAAAATGGGGCTAGTTTTGTCAGGTTTTGTAGGTTTGCAGATTTGTTGTAAAGATCAAACAATCTTATCTAGTGATTGTACAATTGATGTTTTAAGATCTCATAATTCAAATGCATCTTCCAAGCAACAATGTTACAGTAGTTTGCTAGGCCTGCTCTACAAAGTACCAGAAACTGAGAGGCTTCAACAACAGAAATTTATTGTCCCCCAGGTCTGGAGGCTGGAAGTCTGAGATCATGGTGCATGCAGAGCCACAATCCCTCTGAAGGTGCTAGAGAAGGGTCTGTTCCAGGCTTTTCTCTGAGCTTCTGGTAGCTCCTCAGTTTCTGGCAGGAGAACTCCAATCTTCACATTGCGTTCTTCGTGTGTGTGTGTGTCTTCACTTGAAGTTCTTTTCATATGAACACAAGTCACGTTGGAGTAGGGGTCTGCTCTACTCCAGTGTGACCTCATTTTAACTAATTGCATCCAATGATTTTATTTCCAAATAAGGTCAGATTCTGAGATACTGGGGATTAGGACTTCAATACAGGAATTTTGAGGGGACACGATTTAACCCATAACAAGTGTCTTACTACGATAATTCATAATAATTTTTTTCTTTTGAATTAATGACATGTCTTATAAGTTATGGCACCTCAAAGTCACTGAAAGACAGTGGATTAATCCCTATGAAGCTCTTAGCCCAACACCTGCTGTATAGTGAACACTCAATGAATGATAATAATTGTCATTACTAATACGATAGTGAGCGTGTTCTCTGTACCTCAGTTTTGTTGTCTGTAAAGTGGGAACAAGAATACCTTCTTGGGAGAATTCTTGCTGCGCTTGAAGGAGGCATTGTGTTTGCTTATGGTCAGCACTTGCTGTCATATTTAGGCACTTAGCAATCCCTTTCCTTTCTTCTTTCACAGCGTCTAGACCGGGATGCAGGCTAAGTCCACAATGCTTAGTATATTTTTATCACTCAATAACTCTATGTTGGGTGAATGAATGGTGAACGAGGTGATTGTAATGATTGGGTTTCTTTGGTTGAAAATAACAGAAATTTAAATTAAAATAGCTTAGTCAAAGAGGGGACTTCACTGGCTGATGAAACCAAACTACAGCAAGGGTGGGGATGGGACTAGCTTTGTGACAATTGGGACCAGGCACTCAGAGGCTGGCAGGGTTTCCTTGTTCTTCATCTCTCTCTCTCTCTTTGTCTGCACGATGGCTTGAATTTCTCTTCCTGGGTGCGATTCCTTCCACATCGTGTGGCCATGGCTGCCTGAAGACCTCTACCCTCATCCTGAGAGCTTACCAGACAGAGTGGAGGGCTTCTAGATTCCTCTAGAAAAATGTCAAGGAAGGACTCTGATTGGTCTGAGGAGACTGGATAAAAGCTCATCTCTTCCACCCAAATCCATGTAGACTGAGACACTACAATTAATTCTTCCAAAAACATAGTACAGTGATGGCCACTGGGGAAATATGGTGTGGACACCCACCTTAGCCAGTGCCACCTACAGCAGTGAGGATTGAAAAATTGAAGCTAGGAGACATCACAAGGCAACACTGGTCGCTGATAGCCATTATGTGCTTATTTGCTTATTCAACAACTTTATTAAGTGCCTGCCCCTTCCCAGGCTTTCATCCAGGGCCATTATGTGCATTATTTAATCGAGCCTTACAATTCTGTCAGATGGGTAGAGTAATAGTGAACTAGTGAGGTGACCCACATGTAGGGAGTTAAAGTACCTTGTCCCAGGTGACCCTGATAACAAATGGCAGAGCTAGGCTATAATCCAGCTAAGTCTTTGGAAGATTTGGATTATGGCTTCACCACCCATGGTCTCTGTGACCTTGATCCCTCAGTTTTCTTATTTTTCTCATTAGTAAAATGAGGATTGTCACAGGACCTATATGATAGGTTACAAAAATTGACTGAGATAGCTCGTGTACAGGGCTTGTCATAGAGTGTAGCCCATAGTAAGAGCCAGATTTATATATCACCTATTGTTGTGTTTTGGTTGTTGTTGTTAGTACTTTACTATTATATATTCTCCAAATCCCTGTGCTTCTCTCTGTGCTTAAAAGTGTTACATGTAAGTAGCAGAGAGGCAAGTGGTGTAAGACTTGCAGAGGAAAATGTTATTCAGAAGGAGGTGGTCAGGGAGGACTTCCTGGGTGTCATGGTCCCCTGCAAATTCATATATTGAAACCTCCAAGGTGACTATATTAGGAGGCGAGGTCTTTGACAGGTGATTAGGTCATGAGGGCTGACCTCTAATAAGTGGTGTTAGTGCCCTTTTAAAAGAGGCCTGAGAGACACCCATCACCCTTCTTCCATCTTATGAGGACAGAGTGGGAAGGTGCCATCTATGAACCAGAAAGACCTCACCAGACATCAAATCTGCCAACGCCTTGACCTTGGACTTGCCAGCCACCAGAACTGTGAGAAATATATTTCTATGGTGTATAGGCCACCCAGTGTATGGCATTTTGTTATAGCAGCCTGAATAGACTAAGACACTGAGGGAGGATATAGTCCAGCTACTCTGTTCTGAAAAACCAGGAGATGGCTAGAGTTTCCTCTCTGCTGCCAAGAATAGTGGCACCCGATTGCCTGGGAAGGAAGGTGATATGGTTGATCTTACATTTACTTTATTCTGCTTCCAAGGAGGCTGATGCTATGGGTCTGAGGCTCTAGGATTCAGGATTCAGGACTCTGATGTTTTTACTGGGAGATCCATTTCCTTCTTTACTCTGAGGCATCGATGGGGAAAGGGGCCCTCTACTTTGCCCCACTGGGCTACCCTTCAGTTAATATTAGTGAATCTTAGCACCCCGTCTGTATTTATTTAGTCATGGGCCTGAATTGTTCCTCCTGCAGCCAGTACTGTCTGGGAAACAGTGGAGGCAGCAGTGACTACAGGGCCTGCAAAAGCTGCTCAGCAAACAGGACACAGCCTCACTTGCTAGCCAAGAATTCAAGTCACCCTGAAGCCACACAGACCCTAAGATGCCCACAGTCTCAGCTTTCTGCATCCTCAGCAGAAAGGCTCCCTTACCTCGTCCCCTTCCCATTCCACGCCCAGGCTCACCCTCTATGTTCCCCTCCCTTCTTCCCTCCCTGCCTTCTTCCTCCCTTCTACTTTCCCTTATCTCTCTCTCTTGCTTCTCTATCTCCAACTTAATTCCCTTTCTCTCCTCTCTTCTCCCTTCCCTTCCTTTCTCCCTCCCATCCCTATTCTGGCAAAAGCTGAGCTGGGGATCTATTGTTGCATTCTTAATGGAAGGATTATTCAATTATTAGAGGCAAATGAAAGCTACCAGGTCTCCTCTCCACTGCCCCACTGCTGGGACATTTATTACATACCATCTGAACTCTGCTGCATGCGCACTTGTGGCTCAGCAAGTGGGCACAGAAACAGCCCTCCACTCTGTCCTGTGAGTTCGTGCATCACAACCACCTCTGCTTTTAGAAGCTTCAACAACCACTTTATATGAAAGGATCAATGAGGTAGCAGTTAAAATGTCCAATCAGACAAGAAAGACCAGCAGATAAAATTGGGAGAGAGACATGACCCAATGGGATTCCAGACACAAGGCACTGTCGGGATGCTGAGCTCACCAGATTCTTGTACTGAGTTGACTGGAGATGGAGGTCTGTATCATTGTATTTCTGGCTGACCTCATACCCTGAACACTACTCATCTAATCAGTGAGAAAGTGTTTCTAACATCTCCTCTGCTAATTAATGGTCCTCTAGAGCATATTTAAATAGAGATGTTTGAAATGCTTGAGGTGGCAGCTTCTGGAGATTGAACTCCTGATTAGAGTCCATCAGATGCTAAACAAACCTCCCTGGGGTATGGATTCCTGATTAGGGAACTTCAAATGTTAATAAACTGTCCCAAGAAGTAGATTAAAGGTAAGTTGAATACTTACATATTTATATCTATAGCTAGTACTCTCTCTGTCTCTCGTCTGTGTTTATAACAAGTACTTTAAAGTAATTTAAAATATCTACCTTATCCTCATCCTCATTGCTCATGTGGTAGAACTTTGTAAGTACAACCTCATGTCTAGAAGACATAGTGCATTTCTGTTTTCTTTGCTTTTTCACTATTAACTTTACTCAGATGTCACCAGTTTCTAGGCTCATGCTTTTGTTCTGTTCTAGGATCTAATTCAGTGAACTTCAATACATTTAGCTAGTGTATCTCCCTAATCTCCTCTGGTCAGTCTGTCTTTGTTTTCCATGACTTTGACAGTTTTAAAGAGCACTGGTCAGGTGTCTTGAAGAATGTCCCTCAATTTGGTTTTGTTTGATATTTTCTCATGATTAGACCAGGGTTATGGACTTTTGGAAAGAATATTACAGAGGGGAAATCTTCTCATCACTTCAAACCAGGGGATACAAGAGAGGACTTGTTAAAAGTAGTGTTTGCCAGCTTTCTATTTCCCCCATTCCAGGCTCTTTTCTTTGGAGGAGAGTCTGAGAGTTGAGTCCACACTCAATGGGAGGAGGGTGATGTTTTACCTCTTCCTCCTGGAGGGGAAGCTATCTACTTATATTATTTGTAATTATTCTACAGAGGATGATTTATCCCTTCTTCCCATTTATTGGCTTATTCTATTGCTTGTATCAGTATGGACTCATATATTTATTTTATACTTTGGATTGTAACCTAGTACTATGCTATTTATTTATGCTTTGTTCAAATTGTTCCAGGTTTGGCCATTGGCAGCAATTTCAGATTGGCTCTAGTATTAGTTCCCTATTGCTGTTGTAACAAATTACTATAAACTTCATGGCTTAAAACAAGACAGATTTATTATCTCACAGTTCTGGAGGCTCGAAGTCCAAAGTCTCACCGGGCTAAAATCAAGGTGCTGGCTGGGCTGCGATCCCTTCTGGAGACTCTAGTTGAGGACCCCTATGTTTGCCTTTTCCAGCTTCTAGAGGCCTCCCCCAACATTTCCTGGCTCATGATCCCCTTTCATCTTCAAGACCAGAAATTCCGTCACTCAGTCCTCTGCTTCCATCTCTGACTCTGACCTTCCTGCTTTTCTCTTTTACTTATTAGGACGCTTGTGATTACATTCTCTCCACCCCCCACCCCAGATCACCCAGGCAGTCTCCCTGTTTTAGTCGACTCAGGCTGCAAAGCAGTCATAACAAAATATCACAAATAGGGTGGCTTAAGCAACAGAAATTCATTTCTTACAGTTCCGGAGGCTGAGAAATCCAAGATCAAGGTGCTGTTTGATTTAGTACCCAGTAAGGGCTCTTCTCCTCACCTACAGACGGCTGCCTTCTCACTGTGTCCTCACATGGCAGAGAGAAAGTGCCAGTGAACTGTCTGGTGTCTCTTGTTATAACACCATGAGCCCTCTCAGCTTAGAGCTCCTACTCTTATGACCTTATTTAATATTAATTATCTCCTTTATGCCCTATCTCCAAATGTAGTCCCATTAGGGATTAAGGCTTCTATGTATGCATTTGGGCTGGGGAGGCACAATTCTGTCCATAGCACTTCTCATCTCAAGATCTGTAACTTAATTGCATCTGCAAATTCCCTTTGCCATGTAGGGTAACAAAATCACAGGTTCTGGGGATTGCAGTGTGACCACCTTTGGGGGCTGCTATTCTGCTGCTGCAGCTCCTGTGTCCTTTTGATATGCCCCCATCAGATTTCTTTTTGTGTTTAATTAATTTAAATTAATCTTCGAGCTCCCAGAACACAGGGTACTAGTACGTTCTATCTCATGATTATTGCAGCTCCTCTCTCTGGGGTCTTCCTAAGGTCCTGAGTGGCAGGAGGGTCTTAGATGGCTCCTCAGGGCCTGCAAAGCCTTAGTCTACTCATTACTCTGAGATGACCCAGTATTCTAGCTCACCAAGTCCATTGACGTCTGGTGTCTCTGCTCTCAAGCCTGGGGCTGGGCCTAGAGCTTGGGGTCCCACTGGTATCCTACCAGCCCAGGGTGCTGCTACTCTTGGGAACCTCTGCCAGTCTTCCTTCCATCTTTCTCCCTACCCTTAAGACGGAATGTTCACTTCTCCCTTCCTCCTCAGGGGCATCTAATATAATCATGACAATTAATTGATGTTTTATAATATACAGGAAAAGCTGTTGCCATCAAGCAGGGTCTGCTTTCTTAAAAATTCTCCAAGTCAAGGACACACATGTGGTCCATGAGGGGACAGGGAAAAAAATAAGTGAAGAAAAAAACATAATATCTCAATAAATTGTCTTGTTACATTACATTAGGGAAAGGTTTTGGAAAATAAACTAAACAAAGGAAAAGTCCACTTGGAGAATGGGCGTTTTCCTACCCTGAGTAAGCACTATCAGCTGTGAAGGGTATTTTTCAATTATGAAGGTCAATACCAGGTGGGTGTGTTCTAAAAATTGTACCCGGGATTGTTTTAATCAGGTATTGTAAGATACAAGATGCTGAAATGATCATCGTGAGGGAATAATTTATACTTACAGACCTCGAGAAGCAGGAGGCAAGTATGTCACGCAGGCCCACATGGAGATACACCAGGGCCAGTCAGGAAACAGAGAGAGGGAAGGGGAGAACATGGCCCAGATCCAGTATTGGGGTTTTCGTGGGAAGGGATGGGTGAGACAAGGCAGGTACCCTGAGTAAATTTAGGACTGAATGGTTTGAATAATTTTGGTGGACTCTGGGCTATAGGAGTGGTCTTCAGTTGTCCAGAACTTGGCCCTGGGGTGATTTAGGTAGGGGAATATTAGAAATACTGGTGTCTGAGAGTTTGATAAAGGAGATGATTGAGGGATATGGATTTGAAATTGATTGGTTTGCATGAGAAAAATGTACTCACAGAGGAGTCATTTTCTATGCCTCGTAATTAGCTTTCCTCAGAGAGGCAGTCACTCCAAGAACAGGACCCCAAATGCCAGAACACCAAGATAATAAAAAAATGTATTCAATACAGGGGTCTGCCAGATAAGGGGTCAGCTGGCTGTGGCTGTAATAAGGGAGGCGGAAGCATGAGACTTTTCCTAAGTGGGGTGGTGGGTTTTTCTCAGGAAGATACTTTTGTGCTCTCCTGTTTAGATGTTGAGTACTTGGAAAACTTTTGTTTGCAAAGCTTTCCTCCATGAATGGGATGTTCATCTTCTGGCACTAAGTTATCTTTGAGGTGGGGTGGGGTAGGGGGGCCCACCAACATGTTGACGATTCTAATAAACCAAACTCTCTTTGCTCTCATCCTCCTGAATGTAGAGGGTGGGTGATGCATGGAACCTCCACAGGCAGAGTTCCAAGGCACGCAGGTCTCCTTGTGAATGGCAATAAAGTGAGCAGATGAGTTCTGTCTTGTCTATGTGTGTTTCCCTATGGCTCCCACTGCCTTGAGCTTATGCCTGCCAACTGCTAAGGGAGGCTGGCTTCACTTGAGTTTTCCTAGAGTGCAAGTTTTTATTTGGGGAATAGATGAAAGTGTAGTGGGGAGGAGGTGCTGCAGGGAAGGAAAGGCGATCAATAAGACCTGAGGGGTGAGGGATCTGAGTGTATAAATACCCTGAGGCTCCAGAGATGAATAGCACTAGTGACAATGGGCTAGACCACGCAGAAGTCACAAATACACCTTGAAATGTCTTTTGCTTAACACGGAAAAAAGGTATTTCTTGCTCGCACAGAGTGTGAAGCAGGTTGGATGGCCTTCCTCCGGCAAGCAGCCTTGCCACTTGGAGCATGCAGCCCCCAAGGCAGATAGCCAAGGCAGAGAAAAAGATGGAGTAGGCACACTGGCTTTGTAGGGGGGCACACAGATATTGGAGCATTGGAATATCTGCTATGCTTGGTAACTTGGCCATGCAGAGCTGGGGAGAGATGGCCAAGGAAATTAGATCCAGACATGTCAGACTCCAGAGAAAAGGTTCAATAATTCCCTGCATCGGGATCACGTGGGGCACTTTGTAGAACTCTAGATTTCCTAATTCCATCTCAGATTTACCAAATGATCAGGTTGAACCATATGAAATTGCCATTTAGGAACTTAAACACTGTCATGTCTGGACCATTTCATAGGATTCAATCTAAGTAGCCTGTCTTGGGGATGGGAACCTTGTTATTAAGCCTCCCAGGTAATTCTTATGCTCCATATAGATGGTGACTCCCTACCTTGAAGTCCAAGTTCTTATGCACTGTGTGCCACCACCTCTTCTGGGAGGGACACTGATGAGCACAAGAAAAGGCAGGTGCCCTGACTCTGTGTAGCCAAGGGCTATTTCTTCATCACCTCCCTGCTTCCTGGACTTCTTTAACATTTTAAAAAGAAAGGCTTGCCTGGGTGTGGTGGCAAAGTACTGTAATTCCAGTACTTTGAGAGGCCTAGGCAGGTGAATTACTTGAGGCCAGGAGTTTGAGACTAGCTTGGCCAACATGGTGAAACCCTGTCTCTACTAAATACACAAAAATTAGCCAGGTGGGGTGGCAGGCACCTGTAGTCCCAGCTACTCAGGGGGCTGAGGCAAGAGAATCGCTTGAACCCAGGAGGAAGAGGTTGCAGTGAGCCAAGATGGTGCCCGTGCATTCCAGCCTGGGCGATAAAGCAAGACTCCATTTCAAAAAAAGAAAAATAAATAAGAAGGAAGCCTTTTTCCTTTTAATCATTATTTCTTACATGTCCACTTGGCCCTTGGAGAAACCCAGGTCGTGGAATTTAAGCACTTTTGCCTTCACTGGTCCCGTCCATAAATAGATAAATAAATAAATAAATAAATAAATAAATAAATAAATAAATGCCTGTATAAAAAATGTGGGCAGAGAAACTCCTAGGGTCTCTGGTGGGAAAACATGCCCCATCTCCATGTAGCTAAGCCTCTGACAGAGTTAAGTTGCCTTACGGGGTGATTGTTTGGCTAGATGCTGAGGAATTACAAACCTTCAAAGGCCTTGTTTGCAGGCTGGGGTACCACTTCTCC
The DNA here is from genome assembly GCF_000001405.40 of Homo sapiens. NCBI lineage: Eukaryota > Metazoa > Chordata > Mammalia > Primates > Hominidae > Homo > Homo sapiens. The sequence continues at coordinate 8,427,078 of NC_000003.12, read as the reverse complement.
TCAAGGCATCTTTGAAATGCAAACTTGTTCTCTCAGCAGACTCCACACATCTCAGCCTTTAAGATAAATGCTTCAAATGGGCAGCAAACCCACTTGAGTTTGGTGCCTGGCTTTCCAACAGATTAATTATATCGACTGCTGGCTGTTTGTTTGTCTTCGTGGCCATCTCTCCCATGTTGGGTCACATTTGCTTTTTCCAACCATCACAGCAACTGGGGCTCTGCCTTGAAATAAACATCGACTCAACACACTGGTGCATGAGAGGTGATTGGAACCTGTCTGATTTTACAGGAGTGGCCCTTGTGGGGCGAGGATGGAATTCCAAACCCGTTTCCTTTCTGATGGGTTTTGGGGTTCCCGTGGGGCCAGGAGTCCCAATGCTCCCTTGAAATGAGTGGATATCCAAGCTAGCAGGGCAGAGAAGGGGATGTGGCAAAACGAATCCACACCTGCTGTAGTTGAATTTGCTCAGGGCAGCTGAGACGCGTGGTCCTGAGTCTCCAGTCACACCCCTTATGCACAAGCAGTGTGGCTTTGCTTTGAGGGGGTCATTTGCTTCTTTCCCTCTCTATGTTCTCATCTGCAAAACGATCATGATAACAGTGACTGATATTTATCAGACTCTTAAGATGAGCCAGGCCCTGCTCTAAATGCTTTGAAAGTGGTATCCCTTTGAATCCTCACAGCAGCCAGGGCTGAGGGTTTGTGAGGTGAGTTGACTGAGCGAAGATCAAGAACTGAGAGCTGGTCTGGGCTCAAGGGTCAGGGCTGACTGACTTGGAAGTGGTGCTGTATCTCAGAGTGGCCATCAGAAGTTCTCAAGCTTGATGTTCTGAGATTGTGGATTCCACTATAGTCCTGGTGGTGGTCATGTTTTCCCAGGTGTGGTGGAAAGTTCTAGTCAGGATGTTTGCAGCATAGGGTAGTGGCTATGCACACAGACACTAGAGCCAGCCAGCCTGCACCAAATCCTGTTTTGCCACTGACTGTGTGACCTTGGGCAAGTAACTCCATTTTTCTGTGCTTCGTTTGCTTCATCTGCAAAATGTGGCTGATACTTGTCTCTTAGAGCTACTGCAAAGATTCCAAGAATTGGTGCTTGTAAAGCATTCAGAGCAATGACTTGCACAGGGAAAGCACAATGTGCTTGTTAAAATACTTAATTATCCCTTGCAAATAGCCATGTAATTCCAGAGACATTGATGCCTTATGTTAGCTTATGCTGGTGGGTGTTTGTGGTCTCATCACCTTGAATGCAAAAGCTATCACTTCAATTCCAATGGAATAATTAGGTGTTGCTAGACTGGGAAGGGGGAGGGTATATTACTTCTTATGACCCATTGTACCTCATTTTATTTTTTAGTTAGCAAGAACAAATTCACAACTGAGTGAAAATAAAACATAGAGAGTGCTTTTTGTTAATAAGAATGTTCTAATTTTGAAAAAAAAATGTAGCACCTTCATTTAGTTCTTATGAAAAGCTGCTCTTCGCTGGGCAGGGGGCCCTTGGTGTGTTTATGAGGATAGGTCCTTCAGGATGAGCCTTCCTCTGGGTGGTTTTTGGCCCCAGCTTCTTAGGGAAGGGGCTCAAGGAGCTGATTGGTGCAGGCCTGCAAGGAAGAATCATCTCATACTCAAGGCTAGAAAATATAAATTAGAGCTACAATAAATGAATATCCACACTGGCAATATTGAGAAAATTGGCAGATGTCCTTTTAGGAGCAGTGAGCAAAAGAATGCTTAGACCTGCCTGCAAGGCCTTGAAAACTGCTGCAGGCTGGCAAGTTGCTTCTGGCAAAATTAAGAAGTCAAATCAGCCTGAGACTCTTCCAGAGAATGGCTATTTCCAGGTCAGTGCATCTATTTTCTCATATTGGTGTACTCCTTTCTAGGTGCCTCCTAGCCTGGGCCAAGATGCCTCCCAGTGACTCCTAGAACTGGTCCCTGGCTGCCTATTCCTGAGACCTGGCCCCATGGGTCTCAGCATTCCCTTCCACTCCACTCTTGCCTAAGGCTGGACTGGATACTACCAGATTTGCAATAGATTGGGTGTGATGCTCGGTTTACCACTTCCCTTCCACTCCACTCTTGCCTACGGCTGGGCTGGATACTATCAGACTTGAAATAGATTGGGTGTGATGCTTGGTTTCTATTTGGTGACCAAACATGGCTTGTTTTTAGAATGAAAGGGAAAAAGAAGTGGGTTAGAGAGCCACAGAGTCATTGTTGAGAGAGGAGGGCTTGCCTGTGAGTGAAAAGTAGAAATATTAAACATGTTACCTGGGATCAGTTGAAATTATTAAAAGGGTTTGTAAAGATGCCAATGGTGACTGTTTTAAGTGCTGTGCCGGGCATGCTTTATATTTTATGACTAATCCTTCCAACAATTTATTACATATATTCATTTTGCAGATAAGAAAACTGAAGCTCAAGGAACTACGTAGAGATCAATCTTACTGTCTAGCTTTCCAGATGATAATAGACACATGACCCAGCTTCTTCCATCATGCTCGTTAAAACCACCAGCCAATCCCCAGAAACAGCTTCCTAGCTAAACCAGTAGCTGATAGCTGACGCATAAGTGAATTGAGACCAGAAGAATCTTCCAGCAGAGCCCAGCCCAAGTTGCCAATTCTTAGAACCATGCACTAAATAAATGATTATTGTTTTCATCCATTAAGTTCAGGGGTAGTTTGTTATGCAACAAAATCTATCTGATATACTTAGCTTCAAGTCATGCCCATTCATCCCAGAATTGGGTGGTAAGTCTAGAGGTAGAAGTTAGGACAGGTAAATTAGAGACATCTTTTTCCTTCTTCATGGTTCCCAGAGAGTGCATTTTCACAGCTTTGTGCCACAGATGCATAATGCTGTGATTGTTTGTGAACACCTCAAGAAGAGCTGGAGTCTTACCACCATCAGTGAGAACTGGAGTTCAGTCCCAGTCCTGACACCAACTTGCCAAGTGATATTCAATGATTCCCTCAACCAATTTGGTCTGCAGTTCCTTTCATATTTAAGAAGATTTCTCCTGTCCCTAATATTATGTGACTCTGTGATGCATCGCTAGAATGGTGGTCATACTGTCCACATTTGGATAATTTATTCTAGACCACCGGAGTGGCACAAAATTATGTGACAGATTTTTTTAGTGTGACTTGTCAGCACAAAAGGAAACAAACCGTAAACTGGCTAGTGCTGCAATAAAAAAAAATCTTTTTACTGACAATATAGCCAAAAAAAAAGTCTTAACTATAAAACTACAAGTTTAGGAAGCGAATACTCAAGTTTTCTGACAAATAAGGTTTGCATTATAAAACAAAGGATTTTTTAATGAGCTTTTTGTTGAAATTTATAAAACCACATTGCTTTTGGCTGTTCTGTTAGAGGCAGAAAAAAGGTTTGGTTGGCTGACTTCCATGAGCTCTATAAAATTTACTAATTTGTTCATTCATTTATTTGGTGAGTGTTTACTGAGCCAGACATTGTTCTTATACTGGGAGTCAGAAATTGAACATGACAGACAAATCCCAACCTTCAAAGAGCTGACATTTTAGTGGGAGAAACAAATCCATGGTTAAGCATTAGCGTCATCTAGTGATTAGAGCTATGAAGAAAAAAAAATTTAAGTGTGAAGAGATTAACGCTGGGTACATGTTTTGTGAAAAGTATAAACATATGCTACTTTGATGTCTTTTCACCCTTCTCTGCAATTTCTTATTCATTCTCAAATGCAGTCATTGGCACTGAGATGATATCAGTATTTACTGGTGCTCAGCTCATAGGTATCACTAATCAGGAATAACTCAATTATGTGAAAATAGGTAAGAAAATCACTGTTGACAGCCCACATTGGAGTATAGGGTATATGTGAGGCTGGGGTCCAGTGGCACCAAACTGTGGCTTCTTACAGAGGGTGATGTTCTGTAGAGGAACAGGTACTGCACAGGGATTGGAGAGCCCTGTCTTCTGGTTCCAATTTGGGACTGGCCAGATGTGTGACTTCGGACATGTCTCGGACTCTCTGTTTCTTCACTTGTATAATAAGGATAATAACTATACTTCCTACTTCTCCACATTGTTGCAAGATCAGATGAAACGATGAAGCAAAAACATTTAGTTAAGAAGCAAAAACATTTGGTTAAAGTTATTTTCCACCTAGACTTTGTATTCCCTGAGGGAAAGGGCAGTGTTTTATTCATCTTACAGTAACAGATCTTGCATATATCAAGTCTTCAGTAAATGATGGTTGAGTAAATGAATTTGTGAATGAATGGGCCAGAGAGCAAATTATAAAAAGAAAGAAACTCAGTGCTGTGGGACTCAATTTCCTCATTCTGCATAGCAGGGCTCCCATGTATAGTTGTGCAGGCTGTGCACTGCACAAGGAAATTTGGCTGAGGGAGGTAGGAGAAAACTGAAACCCAAATTCTCCACCTGCCATGTCGTGTTCCTGGCCCAGAGCGAGGAGTGCCTTTTCTAATTTTCACAAAGGCTCCTTATGGGCTAGCAGTGGCCCTGGATAAAATAATGGAGCTGAACTCTATTGCCTCTATAAATAATATTTGATAATCATGGGCTAGAGCCCCAGAAGCTGTATCTTTTTAAAAAATCTCCAGATGACATAGATTTTCCTCCTACTTTGGGTACAATTGGGTTAGCAGTCTCTCAAGGCCTTCTTTTTTTTTTTTTTTTTTTTTTTTTGAGACAGAGTTTTGCTCTTGTTGCCCAGGCTGGAGTGCAATGGTGCAATCTTGGCTCACGGCAACCTCTGCCTCCCGGGTTCAAGCAATTCTCCTGTCTCAGCCTCCTGAGTAGCTGGGATTACAGGTGCCCACCACTATGCCCGGCTAATTTTTGATATTTTTAGTAGAGATGGGTGTTTCGCCGTGTTGGCAGGCTGGTCTCGAACTCCTGACCACAGGTGATCTGCCCACCTCGGCCTCCCAAAGTGCTGGGATTACTGGCGTGAGCCAGTGCGCCTGGCCAGGCCTTCTTCATTCTAATAGGAGGTGATTTTGAATTACTTTGATATTTCTTGAATTTATTTTCTAGTATTTCATGTTTATATTCTCTTTGTTAGTGAGCACATAAGCTGCAATCTCATGGTGTCCTTACCCACCCTTCCTACCATCTGTTTTCAGCTGAAAATAGATGTTGGAGCACGTGAAAAATGTGCTCCCTGTTCAACAATTAGGAACATTCATGCCAAGCTAAGGAAAACAAAAACCATAAAACAAAAACCTCTCTGGTCTTCTCCTCTCAATCTCCAGCACTCATGTTTTTCCTGACTCGATCAGCAACATCAGGTCAAATTGATGAAAGCAGGGTTGTGTAGACAAGGCAGCGTGGCTAAGACAAAAACCTCATGATAAAACTTATCAGGGAATAATTTATCTGCCTTCATGTCCTTCTCACCCTCTGCATCAGTCAGGGTCAAATCAGGAGAAAGAAACCACACAGTAACTCGAATGAGAACCATTTGCCATAGAGTTTCTTAACCTCAGCCCCACTAACATGTGGGGCTGAAGGATTCTGTATTCTGGGCACTGTCCTGTGCATTTTTGGATGTTCAACAGCATTTCTGGCCTCTACCCACTAGATGCCAGTAGCAACCCACCTCCTACCCCTACTGCAGTGGTGACGACCAACAGTGTCTCCAGTCATTACCAAAGTCCTCTTGTCTGTGAAATGCACCTCAGTTAAGAAACACCGCTAAATCTCTGATTATTAACTAAATCAGAGATGATCTATAATGGTGTAAAGAGAATGCTGCAGAGTATCCTAGGACTGAAGAAGAATCCTAAAGGAGGATCCACTTGGAAAGAGTCCATCCCTCAAAGCTGGGATTCAGAACTTGCTGAAGATGTGGCTACAGTCCACTGTGTGGGGTGGTTCTCTGAGTTACCCTGACCAGAGCTGGTATGCAGTTACAAGCAGGAAGTAGTCCTCTGAGCAGGGGTGAGTAGAAAATGGAGGAAGAGACCAGCAAGCAGGAGATACCCCTCATAAGTGCAGGTGGACTGAGGCTGGGAGCAGATTGCTAGGGGGCCTGCAAGACTCACTGGAAACCCATCCCTGGGGATGTTGCTGAAACTCCATGAGGATGAGCGCCAATGTTCTCTCCTAACATGTTGCTGGCAGCAGCTCTTGGTAGAAGCCAGAAGCCAACAGAAGAGCACCAGAAGAGAGACTCCCCTTCTTCCTGCAGTGTCTCTCCAGCATTCTCTACTGACAAAGTATTGCATGATGTCATCTTCAAAGAACTTTTCACAGAGCAGGCAATGAAAGATGGATCTATAGCTAGCTGAAAGGCAATAATACATTGGTAATTGGCACAGGTTTGTACTATATACTCCTCTGAATCATTTCCATAGCATTCCACTTGGCACAGATCTGGCGCTTAGTAGATCCAAAATTAATGTTAACTGACTGATTGAATGAATTCATGATTGCATGCATGCATACATGAATGAAAGACAGGGTTTGCTTTTCTTTCTGGCAACTGTTTTGGAGAACGCAATTTTCTCTAGTTTAAATTTTATCTACAGAAAATAGTAAATGACAGTTTTTACTCAACTCACCCCAATCCCACCCTCTCATGAAATTTAAAATTAATTGAATTATCCTGTTCTGTCTTCCCAATTCTCACATAACTGATCACTTTGATAAAAAGTCATTAGAGTAGAGCAATTCAGTGGAAAAAATTAATTAAACTAGTTTGAATTGATCAGTTGTTGATTAAGTCCCCCAGTTGAGTGTTGATATGATAGCCAAGAAAATAGAAGATGTTTATCTATTTTTAAGGCCAAAGTATTAACCAAAGTATTTCCTGCTGATAAAATCATACAACAAAATTGTTGCACAGAAGGCTAAGAGTATGAATAATACGAACATTAGATTTATTTTTAACTTAGGCACCAAATGGTTAGTTGCCCATTGCAGTACGGTAAGTTAGCAGTAACTGGGGGCTAAATTACATTGTGAGGAAGACTGGTGGACAGATAATTAGATTGGGATGGAATGAAGGTTTGCTTGGGCCACATACTAATGCACTAATGTGGACAAGTCACCCAGCCTTTCTGGGGTGCCTCTTTCTGGCGTGCGAGAATAAGCATACAATTCACCTAGCCCACGTGGCTTGCGGGAGAGAGTCAAAATAAGGTGAATGGAAAAGTACTTTAGAAAGTAAAACTACCACACATATTTGAGGCTCTTTTTAATAGTTCATGGTCACAAGGTGGGCATTTAGGAGTTGTTCCAAGTTTTTAGGTTCCTAAAGATTCTGAGCACATTGGAGCAGCAGCTGAAGTGCTGAGAATGTATTTCCATTTTCTAATGTAAGGCAGAAGCCCTGGGAAAGGATTTTAGTTTTAGGATCATACACATATCATCTCTCACAAGTGTCTCAGGGCCTTTGCACCTCAGAACCCTCTGCCTGGAATTCTTTCCTTCCCCCTTTTCCTTCCTAACTCCTACTTGTCCTATTGGCCCGTCATCACTTCTTCAGGGGCGTGTGAGCTGACCTCCTGAACTGGTCAACTCTCCCAATCACATGCTTTTGTGTGGTACATAAGAGCATTTAATTAGGAGAGTTGTATTGTGTTGACCGTATGGGAATTTTGCATTTTATTGTGATTACTTGATTAATGTCTTTCTCCTCGACCAGGATATAATTTCCATGATGCCAGGAACCACCTCTGCTTTTGCCCACAGTAGGCTTTTTTCCAGGTTTTTAATGACTATTGAATGAATGAGTGAATGAATGAACACATCATCCAGAATTTCCTAGAGCTTACTGGATTTTGATATGTGGGCCAAACTTTGAAAGACATGGGTGATACTTGGTTTTCTAAGGCTATAGAAAGAACATAATGATAGACAGTTTGCTGGCATATCCTTGGTGTCCAGCACAGTCTCTGCATGCAGTAGGAGCTTGTATCAGTCCATTCTTGCATTGCTATAAAGAAATGCCAGAGACTGGGTAACTTATAAAGAAAAGAGATTTAATTGGTTCGTGGTTCTTCAGGCTGTACACGAAGCACGATGCTGGCATCTGCTTGGCTTCCGGGGAGGCCTCAGGAAACTCACAATCATAGTGGAAGGCAAAGGGGGAGCAGCCGCATCACATGGCTGGAGAAGGAGCAAAAGAGTGGGGAGGTGCCACACACTTTTAAATAAACAGATCTTGTGAGAACTCACTAACATGAGGGCAGTTCCGAGGGAGGGACGCTAAACCACTCATGTGAAATTCACCATCACGACCCAGTTACCTCCCACCAGGCCCCACCTTCAACATTAGGGATTACGGTTTGAGATGAGATTTGGTGGGAACATAGATCCAAACCATATCAGAGCTCAGTGAGTGTTTGTTGAATGAATGAACATTAGAGCCAGAAGTCTGGGGTTTGAGTTTTGTCTCAAATTGACAGGCTTGTCAAACTTGGTGAAGAAGTTTAACTTTGTGGGAGAGGCAATGCTATACCATAGATTGAAAACAGCTCCAGGGGTCAGTATTACTGGGACCAATCTTCATTTACTAGATGTATGACAAGACACGTAACATTATCATGCACAAATGTGCTTATGTACAAAAAGGAGGATAGTATCAAAATCCCAGTATAATTTCAAGTATTAAGAGACAGAAGCTATTCAAAAGCCCTTGCATAACACAGCACACATTGGGTATCAGTAAGTATTTGTCACAGTCCTTTTCTCTCTCCTAATCTCCATAACATAGGGATGACACTACTGACCTCAGAATGACCACATCTCACGTAAGATCATGCGCACCAAACACTTTATATAACCTGGTGTTATATAAAGTTATATTCATTCCCAGTTGGTTTTAAAAGAAAAATATGTTGCTCGGTGCAGTGGCTCACGCCTATAATCCAAGCACATTGGGAGGCAGAGGCAAGAGGATTGCTTGAGGCCAGGAGTTTGAGACCCTGATCTATAAAAAAAGAAAACAAGGCCGGGCATGGTGGCTCATGCCTGTAATCCCAGCACTTTGGGAGGCCAAGGCGGGCATATCATCTGAGGCTGGGAGTTCAAGACCAGCCTGACCAACATGGAGAAACCTCATCTCTACTAAAAAAAAAAAAAAAAAAAAAAATCAGACAGGCATGGTGGTACATGCCTGTAATCCCAGCTACTCGGGAGGCTGAGGCAGGAGAATAACTTGAACTTGGGAGGTGGAGGTTGAGGTGAGCCGAGATTGCTTGCACTCCAGCCTGGGTAACAAGAGCGAAACTCTGTCTCAAAAAAAAAAAAAAAAAAAAAGAAGGAAACAAAAACAGAAAAGAAAATTATCCAGGTGTGGTGTATGTGCCTGTAGTTCCAGCTACTCAGGAGGCTGAGGTGAGAGGATTGCTTGAACCCAGAGTTCAAGGATGCAATGAGCTATGATTGAGCCACTGCACTCCAGCCTGGATGACAGTGAGACCCTGTCTCAAAAAAACTAAAAAATAAAAAAGTGCAGAATCAGCATTAGCCACAAGGTGGCACTGTGGTAATAGCTTTGATTTCGGGGTTTTAGCTTAACAAATTAGCACCTTAGTATACCTTTTAAATTTGAGTCCTGAGGTGAGAAGAACGGGTTGCATTTAAGCGAGAAGCGTTGCTGTATAATAATGTCTGTTGTAAATGATATTTTAATGTCTGAGGTCTTTACTCTGGAGAATCAGGAAGGAAAATTTTAAAACATTCCTTTAGATTCTTAGTTTGGAAACTTAAGAACCTCAAGAACCAGGTAAATGAGGGATAAAAGCTTTTATTTGCTTTATTACAACATAATCTTATCACAATTTATAACTTTTTCCTCTCGGAGATTGCTATAGTTTGAATGTTCTTCCTCCCAACCCTCATGATGAAATTTGATCCCCAGCGTTGGAGGTGGGGCTTGGTGGGAGGGGTTTGGTCATGGGGGCGGATCCCTCATGGATGGCTAGGAGCTGTCCTCATGGTAGTGAGTTCTTGTTCTATGGGTTCCCTGAAAAGCAGGTTGTTAAAAAGAGCCTTGCGCCTCCTTTCTCTTTTGCTGTCCCTCTGCCCATGTGATCTCTGCACACACCAGCTCCCCTTCCCTTTCTGCCATGAGTGGAGGCAGCCTGAGGCCCTCACCAGATGCAGACGCCCAATCTTGAACTTTCCAGCCATCAGAATCATGAGCCAAATAAACCTTTTTTTCTCCACATTACCCAGCCTCATATATTCCTTTATAGCAACACAAACAGACTAAGACAGAGTTCTATTTTGTTTCCTCAAATATTCTGGCAACTTATGCTTATATCTCCTTTTTTCCCTTGTGTTTGATAAATATATTATTTATCTATGAATTTGGCCAACAAATATTTCCTGAATATCTTGTGTGTGCCATACAGTGTTCTGGGTGATTGAAATAAGGCCACACATAGAGAAGGCAAAGCTGCATTTCCTTTCATTATCAACTAGTAAACATATGAACAAGTAATGAAATTTCCAAAGGGTGGCTTAAGGGCATGTGTTCACATGCACCCACTTTACATAGGGTGGTCAGAGAAGGCCTTTCCAAGCTAGAGGGGTTTGATCCTCAACCTGAATGATTAGAAGGATCTAGGCAGGAAAACACCTAGGAGAAGAGCATCCCAGGGAAAAGCACATGGAAAGGCCCTGATGTGGGATCAAACTTGTCATATGCAAGAAAAGAACCTCTCATAGGCCAATCATGGTCAGTCATACTCCAATCATCTAGAGCTTCATAACAGATGATTCCCAAACTCAATAGTTTTTAACAGCCTGCCTATATTGCTGACAATTTTGTTGGCATTAGGAATTTGGGAAAGGCTCAGCTGAGTGGTTTGTTTTGGTTCACTTAGCATTCATGAGGGCAGCTGAGGCTGGAGGATTCGCTTTCAAGATGGGTCTTCCTTTACATGTCAGACACCCTGATGCTTCTTGGTCTCTTTCTTTTCTACATGGTGTCACATCCCCAGAGTCTTCTCACATGGCTTGGGCTTTTCACAGCAGGACAGTCTTGGAGTTTTTGCAGTTCTCACTTGGGTGTTGGCTTCCAAGAGACCAAGATAGAAGCTGCCGGTCTTCTAAAAGCCCAGGCCCAGGGCTGGCATATCATCACTTCTGCCCTATTTACTGGTCGAAGAGGCCAGTCCTCTTTCTTCAAGGGCTGAAAAAATAAATCTCTCTTGAAGGAACAAGTGTTAAAATAAATTTATGGCCATCTTCAATTTGCAAAAGATCCTTAAAACGTTAATAAAAATTTCCCATAAGAGGCTGGGGCTTGACTTTCACAACCTAATATCTTGGATCCGGTCTCCTTGCCGCATGAATATCAGCCAACAGTTTTGGAGAGTTTTCCTTGGGATTCACACCCATAACTAAGAAGGTCTGCCCTGAATAAAATCCACTCTATCCATTGCTTGCCATGAGCATTAGCATGGATGTTAAAGTAAGTGTACAGGAGATTGCTGAAGTCCTCATTGTGAATCTGTGACTTGGGACTGGAATGGAAAACACAAAGCAGATGTCAGCTTCTGTGCATGAATTTTCTCATACAGAGTAGTGCTAGGATAATTTTAGAAGAGTAGCGAAAAGGCAACATATGATTACAGTTCAGATACTGAGGGTGTTTGAGCTAGAAATAGTCCAAGAAACAATTATAATTTTATATTGGTCAACACATGACCTAGCTCAAAGAGAGCTTGATTTGTTAAATGTGTCCCCTAAGGAAAGATCACTGAACCAATTGGAGTTGGAGTCCCTCTCTTCTGACTGAATCTTAAGGGAAAAGAAGAAAAGGGAAGCAAGCTCCCCCATTTCTGTCATAACAGGCATTGGGGAGAAGGAGAGAAACCACTGGGAATGGAAAATTTTCTCTGATCTACAGGAGCTTTGGAGTTGAGTTGGGGAAGTGGTGAGTTGAGGATAAAACAAGCTGACTCTGATATACTCAAGCTGGCCCAGAATTTGTTCTATATCAGTGTGGCAAACAATACAGCAAATCATTTTTGTATTGACACATGTCCCAAACCTAATGTTTGCCTAATGATGGTAGCTGGCTTCACTCAAGAGGCAATTGAACTTAAAAATGTTTGCTTAATGATGGTTGCGCTAAGTCAAGATAAAATTAAACTTGAAAAAACATAAACAGAGTTTACATCCACAGTGCTTGTGTATTTCCCTAGGTGACTTATTTATTTTCTTTTGATGCCCTTTTGATGTTGAGACTCCTAATTGATTCTATTAAATAAGCAGCTCTTTATGTCCCTAATTGATATGTCACCACAGGCAGAATTTTCAGTCTGCTGTTCACTTTTGGATGTCTGGAGAGATACAAATGAACCTCTCATTGTTCTATTGCTTCGTCTAGAGCAGCATTTTTGTTATTCATTATTAGGGGTTACAATCTTAAAATGGGTAGATTTACCTGAATGAAGACTTTCATAGAAACACTAGGAATTGGAATTAACTAAAGAAGTCAGCTTGTGGTCATATTGTAATTGGCCCTTCAAATCCCATGCTTAGGAGGCTATCTCTACATATAAACCAATCACCTGCATATAATAAGGCATGTTTCTGGAGAGCCTGACTTTGCAAAAACCAACAATTTAATTAATCACCTTTCTCTGGGCTCTTAAATTTTATATAAATAAAAAGAGAATGCACCAAAAGTTGCTCTTCTGAAATCAAATCTAGGATTGGATTTTATCTTAGCCATCAGCTGGTGGGTTCCAATGGAATCCTAAGTGTCATTCCTGCTGGTGTTGGTCTCTTCTTGCTCATACTGCCCCTATTCCTTAAAAATCACCCCACACATTTTGCTGTCTTGGCAGGGAATTTTCATGAGCTCATGAACAAATAATCTATCACTTCAGTGGCTGGGGTGTCATAGAATTTTCTTTTTCATTCTTTTTTTTTGAAATGGAGTCTCACTCTTTAGCCCAGGCTGGAGTGCAGTGGTGCGATCTTGGCTCACTGCAAACTCTGCCTCCTGGGTTCAAGGCATTCTCCTGCCTCAGCCTCCCAAGTAGCTGGGACTACAGGCACGCGCTACCACACCTGGCTAATTTTTTGTGTTTTTAGTGGAGACGGGGTTTCACGGTGTTAGCCAGGATGGTCTCCATCTCCTGACCTTGTGATCTGCCCGCCTTGGCCTCCCAAAGTACTGGGATTACAGTTGTGAGCCACCACGCCTGGCCTTTCTCTTTCTTTTATCTTCTGCTGTGTTTACTAATATGTCCATAAAACACTGAGTTCCCCGATGGGCCCAGTTGCCATTTCTGCCGTCATCTCTCTCTCTTTCTCTGCAGCCAGGCCTGAGTGCTTCCTCAGTTGCCAAACTGGGTGTCAGCCATGCTTTTGCGAAGTGTGGAGAAAGCTGCACAAACACAAAATCTAGCATGATATCTTTTTACACTGAACTTGGCACCCACGTGGGGTCCAGTCTCATAATGCTTATGCTCCAAAGAGTGAATCAGATCTTTCAGTTTTCTCCCTCTCCAGGGTGCTAAGCTGTGAGTCCATGGGGCTAAACTTGGGACACGTCAGAGTGAGAGACAGCCTGCTTCATTTGGGCACAACCTGCCACTCTGACCACTAGACTCTGAGGCTGGGTCCAACAGGAATATGCCTGATTCCTGTTGGAACGTCCTCTTCCCAGGAGGTTTCTCACCCTGTCATTCCCTTGGACTTCTGGCTGTCCCACCTCAACATCTGGCAGCAGTTGGCCAGACATACCAGACATGGTCAAAGTTTGGATTCAAGCTGGAGTGTCCCTTTCCTCTCTCCCAGATACATGGTTGGTCACAACATTTCCTTGATAAGATCTCTTTCTTACCCCTCCTTTCACTTCCTTCTTCCCTTTCCTTCCCTCCTTTCTTCCTTTTTTTTTTTTTTTTCAACAAATATTTATTAAGTGCCTCTACAAGACAGACACTGATCTGGTCACAAAGGATAAAGCAGAGACTCAAACAATTCTTATTTCTTTGAACTTTACATTAAACAATAAACAAATAAGAATATATGCTAGATGGCAGTAAGTCTAACGAGCAGAATAAGCCAGAGAAGGGGGGTTAGGGAGTGCTGGGATGGCGTGGGGACAGGGTAGAAAGTATTGCTATTTTTAATGGGAGGTCAGAGAACTAAAGGACGTGGGGAGGAAACCACAGGAATATCTGGGGAAGAGTCTTCCAAGCAGAGGAACGGAGGATGCAGGGGCCTCAAGGCAAGTGTGGCCTGGTGTGTTTTAGGAAGCTCAGGGAGGGTGGTGTTATGCGGAGGGATAAGTGGGGGTGTGGGATGAGATGAGATGGGCAGAGGGGAATCATGAGGCCATCGGCTTTGACCCCAAGTGTGACAGGGGCCACTGAGGGGGAGTTTTTGCCCATGCTTTCACCCCAAGTGAGACAGGGGCTACTGAGGGGGAGTTTTCCCCCATGCTTTCACCCCAAGTGAGACAGGGGCCACCGAGGGGGAGTTTTCCCCCATGCTTTCACCCCAAGTGATACAGGGGCTACTGAGGGGGAGTTTTCCCCCATGCTTTCACCCCAAGTGAGACAGGGGCCACTGAGGGGGAGTTTTCCCCCATGCTTTCACCCCAAGTGAGACAGGGGCCACTGAGGGGGAGTTTTCCCCCATGCTTTCACCCCAAGTGAGACAGGGGCTACTGAGGGGGAGTTTTCCCCCATGCTTTCACCCCAAGTGATACAGGGGCTACTGAGGGGGAGTTTTCCCCCATGCTTTCACCCCAAGTGATACAGGGGCCACTGAGGGGGAGTTTTCCCCCATGCTTTCACCCCAAGTGATACAGGGGCTACCGAGGGGGATTTTTCCCCCATGCTTTCACCCCAAGTGAGACAGGGGCCACTGAGGGGGAGTTTTCCCCCATGCTTTCACCCCAAGTGAGACAGGGGCTACTGAGGGGGAGTTTTCCCCCATGCTTTCACCCCAAGTGAGACAGGGGCCACCGAGGGGGAGTTTTCCCCCATGCTTTCACCCCAAGTGAGACAGGGGCCACAGAGGGGGAGTTTTCCCCCATGCTTTCACCCCAAGTGAGACAGGGGCCACTGAGGGGGAGTTTTCCCCCATGCTTTCACCCCAATGTGAGACAGGGGCCACCGAGGGGGAGTTTTCCCCCATGCTTTCACCCCAAGTGAGACAGGGGCCACCGAGGGGGAGTTTTCCCCCATGCTTTCACCCCAAGTGAGACAGGGGCCACTGAGGGGGAGTTTTCCCCCATGCTTTCACCCCAAGTGAGACAGGGGCTACTGAGGGGGAGTTTTCGCCCATGCTTTCACCCCAAGTGATACAGGGGCCACTGAGGGGGAGTTTTCCCCCATGCTTTCACCCCAAGTGAGACAGGGGCTACTGAGGGCGAGTTTTTGCCCAGGCTTTCACTAGATTGCTCTGGCTGAGGTGCTGTGAAAAGAATGATGGAGACAATGGGTAGATGCAGGGAGGTCAGCTAGGGGGCTGTTGCAAAGATTCAGTTGGGAGACGATGAGGGATGGACCACCCTGGCAGTGGTAGGGAGCGGGGAGTAATTGCCTCTCTGTATCTTCAATACTGTTGTGTTGTTTTTGAGACAGGGTCTCACTCTGTCACCCAGGCTGGAGAGTAGTGGCGTGATCATAGCTCACTGCAGCCTCTATCTCCAGGGTGCAAATGATCCTCTCACCTCAACCTCCCAAATAGTTGGGACCATAGGCATGCACCGCCATGCCTGGCTATCTTTTTTTTTTTTAATAGAGAGGAGGTTTTGCTGTGTTGTCCAGGCTGGTCTGAAATTCCTGAGCTGAAGCCATCTTCTTGTCATGGCCTCCCAAACTTCTGGGATTACAGCAATGAGCCACCATGCCTCACCACCGGCTCTGTATGTCTGAAAAGTAGAGCCATTGGGGTCACTGATGAATTGGTAATATAAAAGAGAGATGAAAGAAAGACTTAGTGATTTCCGGGCTGCACCAAGTAGGAGAATGTAGCCCTTGACTTAGGTGGGGAAGATGTGTGCCAAGCAGGTTTTTGAAGTGGAGAAGCTTTTGAGGTTTGAGGGTGCTTCCAAGTTAGTGAACACATCCATGTGCTGGGAGGGTAGCTCATCCCAACTCCATGGGAACAAAAGCACCTGCATCTGGAACACTCCAAGACCTCACTATCTGGCTGTTCATTCGTATCCTTTATAATACACTGTAACAGTAAACATGGCACCGTCCTGAGTTCTGTGAGTTGTTCTAGCAAGTTATCAAACCTAAAGAGTGATTCTGGGAACCCCTGAACTTGTTGTCTGCTGGGCCAAAGTGAAGGTAGTCTGGGGACCCCATTTCCGGCCAGCATCTGCAGTGGGCCCAGTTTTGTAGGACAGAGTCCTTAACCTATGGGGTCTGTGCTTACTTGGAATAGTGTCAGAATTAAATTGAATTGTTGGACACCTTACTGGTGTCAGAGAATATGAGAATTTGTGTTGGAACGATGTATTTGGTGTCAGAAAAACACAGAGAGCCTAGTGAAGTACTTAGCTCACAGTAAAGTAAATAGGAGCTTATATTATTGTAATGCTGTTGCTTCCTGCCAAGGTGAAACGTGGAAGTGTGGGCACCTGTCCGCTGTCAGATATATGGATGTACTTGGGCTTCGTTTACTTCTCTTGAGAAGATTCCACTCCTTGAGAGCAACGTGTCTATGCTGAGCCTGTCACACGTCTGAAAACCTCACTGTGTGGCCAGTGCCTTGGATGCAGGGCAAATGATAAATGGGCCTTGTGCTGCCACCTTCCTGGCTGGGTTCAAAGGGAAAGCTGCCCCTCTGTGGTAGTGCCACCAGGTGAGAGGGAGGGCTGTGTCTGTGTAAATGCACACCCGTTTATCATACCAGATGTGGCAAGCTGCCAGTCCTGCATATATTTGTAAACAAAAGGATTTTGAAAGCAAGGCCCAATGGAGTAGGCAGGTATCATCAGCAAGGGCTATGACTTTTTGCTTTTTAGCCTGGTATAAATTATATAGGGTTACCTCTTAATCACACCCTGTGAACCCATTATGTTACTTAATCTTCACAAACACCCTTAAGAAAGTGGGGTGTTAGGATCACCAGGCATCCTGGTTTTCGTGTGCCAATCCCAGCCTATGCTTACTGTCCTGATGCAAGTATAGTCATGTGTCATGTAATGATGGGGATACCTTCTGAGAAATGCATCCTCATTAGGTGATTTCATTGTTGTGCGAACATCATAGAGTGTAGTTACACAAACCTTCGTGGTGTAGCTTACTACACCACACCTAGGCTAGATGGTATAACCTATTGCTCCTAGTCTATAAACCTGTACATCATGTGATTGTACTGGAGCATGTACCATGAATGGAGCTTGCAGGGCTGGAAGTTGCCCTGGGTGAGTCAGTGAGTGAGTGGTGAGTGAATTTGAAGGCCTAGGACACTACTGTGCACTACTAGAGACTTTACGGCCATTGTACACTTAGGCTACACTAAGTCTATAAAAAATATTTTTCTTTCTTCCATAATAAACTAATCTTAATTTATTGCAACTTTTTAACTTTATAAACTCTTTAATTTTTTCAACTTTCGGACTTTTTTGTAATAATACTTAAAACACAAACATATTGTACATCTGTACTAAAATATTTTCTTTATATCCTCATTCTATAAGCTTTTTTCTATTTTTAAATTAAAAATGTTTTTATCCTTTTAAAATTTTGTTTTAAAGTAAGACACAAGGATGCACATTTGTCTAGGCCGGTAGAGTCAGAATCATCAATATCACTGTCTTTCACCTCTACCTCTTACCCACTGGGAGGTCTCCAGGGGCAGTAAGACACATGGAGCTATCATCTCCTAGGATTGCAATGCCTTCTTCTGGAATGCCATTTGAAGGACCTGCCTGAGGCAGCTTTACAGTTGACTTTTTTTTTTTTTTAAATAAGTAGAAGGAGTATACTCTAAAATAACAATAAAAAGTAAGGGTAGTAGGTTTGCTTACAGATGTATCACCACAAACATGTGAGTAATGTGTTTCACTACAACGTCGCAAAGGCTGCTGTGTCACTAGGTGACTGGAATTTTTTAGCTTCATTATAATCTTATGGGATCACCATTGTATGTGCACT
Organism: Homo sapiens; assembly: GCF_000001405.40. NCBI lineage: Eukaryota > Metazoa > Chordata > Mammalia > Primates > Hominidae > Homo > Homo sapiens. The sequence continues at coordinate 8,408,962 of NC_000003.12, read as the reverse complement.
CCATAGTTAATCGACATGTCATTATGTGGTACATGACTGTCTTAGTAAAAGACACCTTTTTTCTTTCCAAAGTGCACTGGGTTGGACAATACATAATATGGTCACCTGAGATAATATCTTTATTTTGTGGAGGAGGAAACAGAAGTATAGAGAAGGTAAATTATTCGCCCAAGGTCACCTAGCAGGTGAGTGATGGAGCTGGATTTTAACCCAAGTTAGTCTCTGGCACCCAAGTCCTTCCTGCCAGAGTCTTCTGCTTGTCTGTACAGGGCAATGAGCACATCTCCCCACGGTTAGTCCCTCAGGGAACTAGAAACTCACTGGAGTGATGTGCTATTGTTTGGAACACTCTTGTTTGGAACCCCCTTAATTATTATTATTTTTAAGAACAATTTTGATATAAGCAAGTCTTGTTTCTTTGAGTATAGATTTCATTTTTGAAAAGACCCTAAACACTTTGAGAGCCAAGTCTTGTGAATAAGGTGGGAAATTATGCTGGGAGACACCAGTTTGGAGCCAAATCAAAGGCTGAGTTTGAATTGCTGGTGAATTGTTGTTTGTTTGTGTGGCTGATGAAATTGGTTTTGAAAAAGAATTCTCAAAGAAGCTGCAAATGTTTTGAACAGTGATGGTGTCATTTGATTTGGTTTAATTTCTCAAAGTAACTTATTTTTCTTTAAGTCTCATTTTATCATGCCTGTTAGATGTGACATATTATGTCTAGTCTTTTGTAGCTAAGCACATTTAGCTTAGAATGAGTGGATGGGCTTGCCTAGGTGGTTGAAATTCTTGGCTTTGAATGAAGAAAATCAATCAGTCCTTTCTACAAAACTCAGGTTTCTATTAGCTAAATTCTCAAGCTCCATGTTCTACCAAATGAATTCTGTGGGTTTGATTGTTCTATATTTTTAAAATAAAAAGTCTAGGTAACCTATATTTGTAGTACTTAATAATTGAGTGATAAAGTTTTGGATGGTCTATCTATTAAAAATAACCATTATAGATTTTATTTACACTTTTAAATTTATAAGACGTTAATAATTCTATTTTTTTCTATTTAAATTCAAAACAACCAAGGGAATGAAGTGAGTCAGGTATTATCATCCCATTTTACAGGTAAGAGGAGGAGCCTCTGATATTGTGTCTTGTTCAAGGTCACATAATTATCGTAATTATAAGTGGCAATGTCTGGACTTGAGGATGCCTGGGGTGTTTAATTCCTGATTTAACTTCCTTTCCATTGTAGTATATGCCTTTCTTCTTCATTGTTTTGTCCTCACAGGTTATTGACCGTTTTAGTTCTTTATTAGTTTTCTATGGCAACTGTAACAAATTGCAACAAACTTAGAGGCTCAAAAAATGTATTCTCTCACAAGTAATAATTTTGGCTTCCTTCCTTATGGAGGCAGTGGATTCAAACTAACTCTTATGGCACCCAATCAAGGCATTGGCAGGGCTGTACTCCCTCTGAAGCCCCTAGAGAAGAATTCATCCTTTCCTTTTCCAGTTCCTAGAGCTGCATTCATTGTATTCTTTGGTTCATGGCTTCCTTGTCCACTTTCAAGACCAGCAGTTGTAGCATCTTCAAATCTCTCTTTCTCTGTTTCATCTTCACATTGTCTTCTCCATGGTGAATCTGTCACTAACTCCTTTTTTAGTGTGATTGCATTTAGAGCCCGTTTGGATAATTCAGGATAATCTCTCCACCTCAAGGTCCTTAATTAACTATATCTGCAAACTCCTCCCTTTTTTGCCATATAAGAAAACGTTTACAAGTTGCAAGGATTCGAATGAGGATCGTTTGGGTTTTATTTGGCAGGGGGAATTATTCAGTTTACTACAGTCTACCCTTTGAGATTCACATCCTCAAAGATTCACATCCATTCCATACACAAAATGCATTCAACCAACATTCCCAGGTATCATCCCATTACAGCATCAACTCCAGTCCAAAACCTCGTCTAAATATCATCAGTTCAAAAGTACCAAATCTCATCATCTAAATCAGAAATAGGAAACACTCTCTATATGTTACATCATGAGGAAAATTTCCTCTCCTTCTGTGGACCTGTGAAACTAGAGGATATGTTCTCTGCTTCCAAGACACAATGGTGGGACAGGCATAGTGTAACAGCTATAGGCATTTCCATTGCAAAAAGGAGAATACGAAAGGGGAAAAGGAGTCATTGATTATGAACAATGGAAAATCCAGCAGGGCAAGTTCCACAGAGGCTTAGAAATAATCTGTCTTTGTCTTGTGGCTCTGCCTTCTCAGCCTGAGGCTCCACCCTGGGAGTCATTCTTCCTTTTGCTTGAGGTAGAACTGGTTGATAATAGTGTGAGCTTGTTTCCTACCTGTAGAATTTTGGGAGTCTTATAGGCTCTTTTCAGGTTGTTCTCTCTGTCCCTTTCAGTTCAATCTGGCTGTTTCTTCAGATATAACACTCTAAAAAGCCTGTGGGTCTCCCATGTATATTACAGGGATTCATGCCGTTAGATAAGGGAATCCTCCACAGATATTTTCTGGAGAATCTCATCTCTTTTCCTGGCTTCTACTGAGATAGCTAAGGGGATCTGTGAGTCACATGACTAATCTCTAACACAACCAAAATTTGTCCAGTTATACCCTTGACCATCCAGAACATGATTTCTCGACAGTGAATCTCCTAATTTTAGCATCTTTTGGAAGCTGGATAGGTTGAGAATTTCCCAAGTAATCAAGTCCTGGTACCTTTTTGCTCAACAGTTATTCTCTCATTTTATCTCTTTCCTTACATATTTTGCTATAATTGGCAAGAAGAAACCAGGCTGCATTTTTGACACCTTACTTGAAAATCTCCTGAGTTAAATATCCATGTTCACCACTTACAATTCATGTCTTCCACACAACTGTAGGGTGCAATTCAGTCTGGCAGTTGGCCACTACTTAACAAGGGCCACCTTACCTCCAGTTTCCAATAAGATGTTTCCCACGTCTGTCTGAGGCCTCAGCAACTGTGCCGTTAATGCTCATATTACTACCAACGGTCTACTGAAAGCAATCTAGGCTATTTTTTTTTTTATCATCAGTCTCAAAATTCTTTCAACCTCTACTCATTACTCAATTCTAAAGCTATTTCTACATTTTTAGAAATGTATTACAGCAGGTACCAAAATCTGTATTTATTTTCAATGGCTGCTATTACAAATTACCACACACTTGGTGCCTTAAACCAAATATATATGCAATATATATAATTATGTAACTATATTTTTATAAATTATAATTTTTATTATAAATTATATATAAATATAAATATATAATATATAATTTATAAATATGCTTAAAATATATAATCGATATTATTAAAAATATTAATAAGATAATAAGATAATGTCAATCATAAAATAGCAATAATATTGATAATATGTTATATATTATATACTATAATATATTATATATTATTATAATATTTATAAACACAATTATATTTATAAATATGTAATAATTATATAATTATAGGAATACATAATACATTATATAGCCTATAAATATAGAATGTATATTTATTAATATATAATTATATTTAATTAATATTTAATTAATATGCAATTTATATATATAAGTCTCACTGGACCAAAGTCTAGGGCTGCACTCCCTCCAGAGGTTCAAGGGTAAATTTGTTCCTCAGCTTTTCCAGCTTCTGGTGACTTTCAGTAGTTTCTGGCCTATAGCTGCATCACTCCAATCTCTCCTGTCATCGTCACGTTGCTTCTCTTCTCCTGTGCATGTGTGTGTCAGATACCCTTCTACCTCCCTTTTATAAGAATACATTTGCTTGCATTTAGGGCCCAGCCAGCTAATTCAGGATAACTTCCCATCTCAGAATCCCTAACTTAATCACATCTACACAGTTCATTTTTTGTCATATAAAGTAACATTCACAGGTTCTAGGGATTCAGGTGTGGATATCTCTTGTCGGGAATTATTCAGTTCACCACAGGTTTATTTTCCATGTGTTCATCTTGCCATGGTCACATGATATTCAAGAAGATCCATCATGTAGCAGTGGAGTACCCACGTGTTCGGTTGCTGTTACCTACGGATGTCTTGCTCCATTCTCTCAATCTCTTGTGGTATCAGACCCATGCTCTAGTCACAGAGTAGCGTAGGCTATCCTTGTCTGCCCTGACCATGGTGGTGGGTGCATGATCCAAGCCAGCCAATCAGAATTATTCCCTGAGATTTTCACAATGAAGTAGAGAGAGAAATTTTATAAAGATAGGAGACTGGAGCTGCCTTTCTGCATCATGTTCTTAAAACAGAGAGGCATTCACCTTGCAAATTTCTCCTTTTTTAACTCCTGAAATACATAAAATTTTCAGGGAGGAAAGTCTACTCCTCAGAGACACACAAGCCTGGCTACATGCCTAGGTGCAAGATGGTCAGGAGGTAAAGGTGGCAGTCTTGATGAGTCTGAGCCCACTGAGAAATTTTAATTTTTTCAACAGGCTATTTTGGCACATTCAATAAACAATTAATCACCTCTAAACCTGTATTCTCCTTCATAGCTACACAAAAGATACTTCCAATTCTAGTCATAGCGTGCACTGATTTTTGCTTCCTGCTGAACTCCACTAAAATAATAGAAAAGGAATTAAAATGTTATAAACCTACACAAGCAGTATAAGAGAGGAAACAATAGCAAATTAAATATCTCCACAAATGTTTGGAAGATGGAAAGCAGATGGATGAATGTTAACTGGGTTGGCAGAGCAAGAAAGCTGGAACAAAGTGCCTGGAGAGGGGAATCTCAGTGAGAAGCAAGCCAACTTTTACCACAGAATCCTAGAGAGACAAGAAAATTGGAGCCCAGAGATACCTCTAAAGACAGATATGAAGAATCAGCTCAGTAGTGGTTAGATCTCATATTATGGTTATCCACTTTTTAGTAGCTTTTCTATATTTAGGTTTATCTCAATTTATGGGTATTGCTTCCTTAATCCAAACTCTAATTCTCAGCTTCCCCTATAGCTAGACTACAGTCAAGCAATCTGGTTGTGCCAACCACGCACACACATAATTTTAATTCAGGTGTGAGCTGAGGAAAGAAGATCTGTGTGTGTTTCTATTTTTGAAGGAGAGAGCTCTCAGGATTTTTGTGGAAGCAATTGGCAAGTGCTTCTAAGGTTACATTTCTCATACAGAATTGTCATTGGTGATGGTGCTGGTCAGCACCGTGATAATCTACTTTAGTGCTCAGTAGGGCAGCAGAGTCTGTGTGAAGTTTTCTTCATCAGGATTTTTTGGTGGGATAAGTTTTGGGCATAGCTCTAGAAGCTTAGCCTGGAGCCTAGGTTTTTTTTTTTTTTTTGAGACAGAGTTTCGCTCTTGTTGCCCAGGCTGGAGTGCAATGGTGCAATCTCAGCTCACTGCAACCTCTGCCTCCTGGGTTCAAGCGATTCTCCTGCCTCAGCCTCCCGAGTAGCTGGGATTACAGGCTCCTGCCACCACGCCCAGCTAATTTTTTGTATTTTTAGTAGAGATGGCGTTTGACTATGTTGGCCAGACTGGTCTTGAACTCCTGACCTCAGGTGATCCACCCGCCTCGGCCTCCCAACTGGAGCCTAGTTTTTAAACCATCCTCAAAATTTAATGAACTACTCACCATTTAATTAACTGATTTCCCAGAGTCCATTTCTATTGACTGCAATTTAAAACAAACAAACAAACAAAAACCGCCAAGCCTCAAAACAACCCTATTATTACTGCATGTATAATAGATGGTTTTATACGATGTTCTTTCCCATACGACCAGATAATGGACTACTTCCTGCCCAACTACAGCATCTATAGAAAGGAAATTTGTCTCTGGAGAAACTCAACCAGAGGGGAACCAGATGGAGACATCAGGAGTAGAGGAGAGCAGGCTTCAGATATTAAAATAAAGAGACTTCTTAATCCTCTTCCCCTTCTCAATTCTTAGAGTTGAGCAGGCAGAGTTAAAGAGATTTTTCTTAGCAGAAATCAACCACTCTAACAGGAAAAATCCTCGAGTGAATTAGATAAGTATCTATCTTATCACCTTCCAGCAGAGCCATGCCTACTCACAGATAACTGCGAATCAGCTTTTTATTGCCTCTTTCTTAAATATTAATGGATAGGTCGGGATCACCAGACTTTTGAGAAAAGCTTCAATTCTCAAATGAGAACGACCAAAGCAAATACCAGAAGAAATTGAAATTGATGAATCTAGTGACAGTGAAGTGAGCAGAAGGCAACTTAATTAAAAACACTATAATATTTTCAGAAAGAATGAGAAGACATTTTGTCGATGAATCAAAATAAGATGCTATGTTTTAAAAAAAAAGCTGGAGAAAAAAGAGCTCTTGGAAATTAAAAATATGACAGCAGATAGTCAAATAAATAAGCAGAAGTTTGGAATTTGATGTTGAGGAATCTCCTAGAAAGTAGGACAAAGAACCAGACACAGAGAAGAGGAGAGAAATGATAAGAAAATCAGATAATCAATCCACTGGGTCCAACATCCAATCAAGAGAGACACAAAAGAGGAGGAATTTTAAAAATTGTATATACAGATACTGAGAACTGACGAACTTAAATTTCCAAATTGAAAATATTTCATGTGTATTCAGCGCATGTGTAGCCTGCACCAAGGCACATTGCTGTGGAATTTCAGGATACCAGAGAAGATGCTGAAAGTTTCCAGAGAAGAACCAACAATGTTACATAGGAAGGGATTAGGAATCACAATGAAATTCGACTTCTTAGCAGCAAGCTTCAAAGCAGGAAGTCAATGGAGCAATGTCTTCCAAGCTGAGGCAATTGTTTCTAACCTAGACATCAGTCTGCCTCCAAACTGTCAATCAAATGTAAAGGTAGGAGGCACACGTGGAATATAGGTGTCTCAAAACATTTACTTCTGGGAAGGAATGGGACGATTTGCTCCAGCAAGCAAGGGAAAACATCAAGAAAGAAATTTTGAGATCCTGGAGACAGGGGATCCATCCCTGAAAACAAAAAAAAAAATGCACAAAAGAATTCTTAGGACAATAATGGAGGGACTTCCTAGAATAACAACTGTTCCAGAGGCTCAGTGAATAGGAAGAAAGAACACTTTAGCTAAAATAAAAAAAAAGAAGGAAAAGAGCTTCAATGAGCAAATGAAGCATTGATAGATTTCTTAAGGAGTTGAACATTTTTGAGAGGTGTTTTCTAATTCCATCAGAGAGTCTGAGAAAAACCAGTGATACTTAGAAAAATAATTAGATGAAAAATAAAGGCAATCACTAACTTTAGGGAAAACAAACATTTGTATAAGAAAGGAAATGTTGTCAGAGTATTCTATTGGTTTCATCTGTGAATAATAGCAGTTTAAACAGTAACTCTTGATATAACCAACATTATGATAAAGCTGTATTATGAATAAGGTAGAAGTGAAATGTAGGTGGAAAGGGTAAAGGTATAGGCTGTAACAGTGCTAAAATTTTATTTTTCTGTAGAAGGAAATTAATAGAGAATTCTTAAAAAATCAAATACAAAGTAAAAAAATAAATATGTAGAAGCAAAAAGATAAATATTGGAAGAAGGTGCTAAAAGAATTGAAAATTCTTGGCTCTGCAGAGCAGGATTTAAGGGCAGAGTAGAGTACTGCTCCTTTGCATAATAAGCCTTATGAGATTGTTTGGGTGAGATTTTCTTTCAACTATGAACATGCATTACTTGATAAAAATTCAAAACCATCAAAACCTTGAAAATTTTCTTAGATAAACAGGAATTCTCATACTCTGTCAGTGGGAGTATAATTAGTGCAATCACTTCAGAAAACTGGCAGTATCTACTGAAGCTGACTGCACACACACTGTATGAACCAGCAAGCTTGGTTCCAACAGAAGTATGTACAGTTGTGTGCCAAAAGATGTACAAGTATGTGTTTAGCAGTACTATGCATGGTAGCTGGGGACTGGACAAAACAAAATGTGCATCTACAGTCCAGTGGGTATTTCATATTCGTGGAAGGGACCATGATATAGCAATGAAAATAAATCACTGCTACCTGCCACAATGTGGGTGAGTCTCACAAACATTGTGTTGAGCAAAAGAAATCAAACACAAAAGAGCGCGTGCTACAGGATCCTGTTGATATAAAGTTCGAAGCTAGGGAAAACTAACCTATGGTGACAGAAGTTAGGATGTTGATTACCTTGGGGAAGAGGTTGGGGAGGATAGAGACTGAGGGGCCTGAAGGGTGCTTCTGGGTCCTGGACAGTACTCAAATCTTGATCTGGCTACTGACACATGAGAATATTCACATTGTAAAGTTTCATCAAGCTGTACTCCATCAATTACACTCTTCTATATGTAAAATATATTAAAGTTCATTTAATAAACTTTTATTACTCTTTAAAAGTTTATTAGATAAAACACACATATTCCTACAAGAGCAGCTCAGCCCAAGGAGAAATGGCCATCTGGACCAGAGAGCCCACTGTGCTGGGAAAATTAGGGAATTATTCATGAATTTATGAAAATACATGTAAAAAATAACAGCCAGTTGAATGTGTTTATTTCTCAATTCTTGCCTTTTTACTTCGATTTAAGGATTTTGCAAATTTGTCATTTCTGTGTACATTCTAATTTAAGCTGCCTCAAGGCTTTTTTGGACATAATTAATAGTGACTTCAAAACAATTTGAAACATTGTAATGGCTGCAAGCTTCTTCTTCTGTTTCCGGGATGGTCTGCTCAGGATTTTAGGTGCAGTTCTGTTCAAAAGGTAACAGAACCGGAACACAGGATGAGTAAATACAGTCTAGTTAAACAAAACAAAACAAAACAAAACAAAACAAAAAACAGCACATAATTACTGGGTTTCATTGTGGGAGGAGGTGGGGCCAGAATTCTATTTTGCCCTTTCATGTTGTGGAAAGAATCTCAGTCCTTGAAATGATATAATGGATCAGTGATCTTGGTTGTTTCCAAAAGTGTTTAAGAAGAGGGGACATTCATCTTGGCTTTGACCTTTTACATTATTAGTATTAGAAGTCTTCATTGTGCAAGGCTTGGAAGGAGATGAGAGGGAACAAGTTTCCTTCTTCTGACCGTCACATCATCACACTACAAAAGCTCTTCAATTGCAGGCATTTGCCTTGCTATCTTGTTCCCAATCGAGGGAAAGCAAAAGGAGACACTCTTGAAAGTTCAGCCACTTACAACGAATTTCAATGGATACAATTGCAGAATACCTTTCAACAACCAAAGTTGGCTGGTAATTAGGCTCTCATACACCACAGATCTGTGCCTGCAGTCAGCAACCTGCAAGAGAAGCCCTTCTCATGAAATAGCCAAGATGGGGGTATCCTGGGCGGGGGCAAGGGAGCACTGATGGGCATTGCCAGGGATTCTTCAGAACACAGAACAGAACTCGGCTACCATCAGCTGCATTTGAGTTCCTCCTTTTCCCGCAAAGACTGATAATTATACTGGGGGCAAGTGCAGCTGTTTAATAAGATGAAGGATTACGTAAAATGGTAGCAATTGTCCATTTAAATGCCCGTGATTATCATTGGCCTTACGATAGATATAGTATCTTGTAATATATTTACTATGTATAAAAACTATAATTATATACAGTAAAAACATATGCAATACATAATTATAATACTATAATACTTAAAAAGAGGTAATTTGTGGAATAAAGAGACTTGGATTCACACCCCTGGTTTTATTATGTTGGTGCAAAATAATCATGGTTTTTGCCATGAAAAGTAACTTTTGCACCAACCTACTAACAAGCTGTGTGAATTTGGACCACTTTCTCGCTTCCTCTTTGCCCTCATTGCTACCTCTGCTACATGAAGGTAATTTGTGTCTGCACTGAAAGTATTGTTAGGACCAGCACATAGTAGGTGCTTACTAGATACAAGGGATTTTCCCTCTTCTTGCCCTGTAAAGTTATCTTTTGAACAAATCATAAAAGAGTTACTCTCTGTCCAAATTCACGTTTTGGAAAAGCTGGAATAGGGATTTATGCCTCTGTGCTTCCAACTCTAGCAAAGAGAGCCACTGGAGTCATCTCTTAAAACTGCACCTCCGATCTTGTCACTCCCAGGCTTACAGCGCTTCTTTTGTCTCCCTTAGCAATGGGATAAAATCCAAGATTTTGTTGTAATCTACACAGCTCTTCCTGGTCTGGCTCCTGCCTGCTTCTCTAATGCCATCTCCAAACGTTTAGATTTTCTCCTTATGTTGAGACCACATCAGCTGCCTCTCTGGTCCTTAAAGATGCCAACTTGCTCATGCCTCAGTGATGTGAACTTGATGTTCCTCCTGTCTGTATGGCTTCCTTTGCCTCTTGGCATGGCTGGCTCCTGATCAGCCTCCAAGTGTCCACTTGTCCTGCATTTCCCAGAAAAAGGATCCTGAGATAGAGTTTCACATGAAGGATGTCCATTGTGAAGGGCTGTTGGACTCAACTCCTGTGGAAGGAAGGGGAATGGAGCAGGAGTGGGCACAGGGAGAAGTGGAACAATGGAGCCTATTGCCGCATTGGCCCTACAGGGACCCCTGGAGCTGGAAGGGTCTTTCAGAGTTGCTGCCAACTGGTGCTGTGGCCAGGCCTTTGTACTCTTTTATTGATCAGTCTTAAGTGGGGACCCCTCTCCTGCCAAGAAGGATGTGACCTTGGGGAGGTGACTCTCGTCAAGGCAATCCCTAGTAGGACTGATAACTGAAGGCCAAGTGTTGACAGTACTCCCAGGGGCTAGGGCACAAAAATGCCAAGTGTTGACAGTTCTCCCAGGGGCTAGGGCACAAATACTTCTTGAAGAGGATCTGGGGCAGCATGGCAGCATCCACCACACAGCCTTCTCTGACCATCTGGTGTCTGTCCTGACGTTTTCTATCTGAATATGCTGATTATATCTTTATTTTCTTATTGTTTTCCCCACTGGGCTGTGAGCTCCACGAGGATAAAGATTATGTTTATCTTTTTCCCTGTTGTACCAACAGTTCATTGCATAGGGCTTAGTATGGTAGGCACTTAATATATATTTCCTGAATGAATGAATGAATAAGAAATGTTTAATGATAACCAACCTTGCAGGTTGCTGACTCAGATACAAACCGACGGCGTGCAGGAGTTCAATTCCATCCAACTTTGGCTGTTTCACATATTTTGCAATTCTACCCATTGGCTGAACTTTCTAGAAAGTTGTCAAGACACACACATTTGTCTGTGTCTTAAAGTAATGCTGAACTTACAAAAGAAGGGTCATGTCTGCCCAGTCTCTCTGCCATTTATTCTTGGATAAGATTATGATCAAAATCAACTCTGTGTTCTTTTTTTTTCAACTTTTAAGTTTAGGGGTACATGTGCAGGTTTGTTACATGGGTAAACTTGTGTCATGGGTGTTCTTAATACTTAGATATTTATGAATGAGAGAAGAATGCCTGGTGAAATGGCCATAAGAGTGATAACTCTGGAGACAACCTGCTCCTTGCCTCCAGGAGCAAGCAAGATGTAACAGAGACAGCCCTGACCAGGTTAAAGGACTCAAGGACACTTGCAGTTCCAAAGCAGAGTGTCTTCAGTGAGCTCAGGACAATTAAGCCTCATTCCCAGATACTGTTTTCTCTTCCCTGCTGCCTCATTCAATATGGATACTTAGAACCCAAATATAGTCACGTGTCTCTTAACGACATGGATATGTTCTGAGGCGATTTTGTTGTTGTGCAAACATCATAGAGTGCACTTACACAAATGTAGGTGATATAGCCTACTACACACCTGGGCTGTGTGGTGTAGCCTGTTGCTCCTAGCCTACAAACCTGTGCAGCATGTTACTGTACTGAATACTGTAGGCAATTGGAACACAATGCTAACTATTTGCATATCTAAACATAGAAAAGGCACGTCAAAATACGATATAAAAGATTAAAAATGTCACACCTGTATAGGGCAGTTACCAATGAAGTTCACAGGACTGGAAGTTGCTCTGGGTGAGCCATGAGTGGTGAGTGAATGGGAGGGCCTAGGACATTAATGTGCACAACTGTAGGCTTTATAAACATGGCACACTTAGGCTACACTAAATTTATGTAAAAAAATCTTTCTTTCTTCAATAATAAATTAGCCTTCGCTTTCTGTAAGTTTTAACTTCATAAGGTTTTAAATTTTTAAATTTTTGACTGTTTTGTAATAACACGTAGCTTAAAACACAAACACATCACACAGTCATACAAAATATTTCTTCTTTATATTCTTATTCTATAAGCTTTTTCTATTTTCAATAAAAAATATATATATTTATCAATTTTAAAATTTAAAAAGTATTCATAAATTAAAGTCTAACAGCTACACGATATGTTTTATTACAGGCATGGACTGATTTATTTCCACATTTCTTTATTGACAGATATTTAGGTTGTAACTCCAATGAATTTGTTATACATAGAGCCTTTGCTACAGTTTAGGTTATTACCTTAGAGTTGTTACAAGTTGAATAATGGGGAAAAGAAGTGAACATAGTAATTTATTTTATGTATTTCTTTTTACTTATTTCTTCTTACTTAATATGCTAAATTACTTTACAAAATAGGGCTTCCAATTTTCTGACTCACAGTGGGTCGTGGAAATGCCTGTCTCACTGCACTATTTTAAATATTCTTATTTCTAAAAGTGAATTTAATAAATACAAATGTTAACATTTTATTGTTTTAAGTTTCATTTATTTTATTACTACTGAGCTTGCCAATTTTTTTTTGTGTTTTATGAGTTTTCTATTCATCTCGTTTGCCTATTTATTTTAGGGATGTTGATTAAAAAAAATTTTTTTTCTTTCCATATAGTCTTTCTTAAAATTTTTTTATTTCAATAGCTTTAGAGGTCCAAGAGGTTTTTGGTTATGTGGATGAATTGAACAGTGGTGAAGTCTAGAACTGTAGTGCACCCATCACCCAAGTACTGTGCCTAGTACCCAACAGGTAGTTTTTCATCCCTCACCCCCCTCTCACTCTCCCCACTTCTGAGTCTCCAGTGTTATTATGCCACTCTGTATGCCTTTGCTGTATACCCATAGCTTAGCTCCCACTTAAAAGTGAGAATATATGATATTTGGTTTTTGATTCCTGAGTTACTTCATTTAGAATAATGGCCTTCAGTTCCATCCAAGTTGTTGCAAAAGACATTATTTCATTCTTTTTTATGGCTGAGTAGTATTCTATGGTATATATACTGTATTTTCTTTATTCACTCATTGGTTGATGGGCACAGAAACACACACATTACCCTAGGTCTACCCAGAGTCAAGATCATCGAAATGCCATTAAGTGTTAGGAATATTTCAGCTCCATTAAAATCCTATAGAGCCATATGTGGTCATCGTTGACTGAAATGTCTTATGTGGTGACTGACCATAGTTTAAAACCCATCAGGAAAAAGAAAAAGAAAGTACCATAAGGATTGAATTGTGTTCATGAATCTGGGTTGTAAACAGTAGTTCTCCTGCTCCTGTGGCAAGCTAGAAAGTACCTCAGGGCAACGCTCCATTGTGTTGCATCTCTCTGGTTTATCATGGGCCAAAAAGTAGCTTTGCAGATGGCTTCATACTCTTTGCTGCAGGCCAGGAAACATTTACTTTGCATGCATTTACTAATTCAGACTTATTTTTTTTTTATTTCAATAGCTTTTGGAATATAGGTGTTTTTTTTTTGTTACGTGGATGAATTATATAGCAGTGAATTCTGAGATTTTAGTGCACCCATCACCCGAGTAGTGTACGGTACCTAGTGTGGAGTTTTTTATCCCTAGCCCCACTCTCAGCCTTCACTTTCTGAGTCTTTAAAGTCCACTATATCTTTCTTATGCCTTTATGTCCTCATAGCTTAGCTCCCACTTATAAGTGAGAACATAGAGTTTTTGGTTTTCCACTCCTACTTACCTCACGTAGAATTATGGCCTCTAGCTCCATCCAAGTTGCTGCAAAAGACATTATTTTATTCCTTTTAATGGCTGAGTAGTATTCCCTGTTGTATATGTACCACATTTTCTTTACTCATTAGTCAGTGGGCACTTAGGTTGCTTTGACGTTTTTGCAATTGTGAATTGTGCTACTATAAACACACACATACAAGTGTCTTTTTCATATAATGACTTTTCTTTTGGGTAGATACCCAGTGGTGGGATTGCTGGATTGAATGGTAGATCTACTTTTGGCTCTTTCAGGAATCTTCATACTAATTAGTATATTAGAGTTTGTAGTAATTTACATTCCCACCAGCCATGTATAAGTGTTCCCTTTTCCCCAATCCATGCCAACAACTATTGTTTTTTTGACTCTTTAATAATGGCCATTCTTCCAGGACCAAGGTGGTATCTCATTGTGGTTTTAATCTGCATTTCTCCGATAATAGTGATGTTGAGCATTTTTTCATATGTTTATTGGCCATTTGTATATCTTCTTTTGAGAAATGTCTACTCATATCTTCTGCCCGCTTTTAAACAAAACTGTTTTTTTTTTTTTCTTGGTGATTTGTTTGAGTTCCTTGTAGATTCTGTATACTAGTCCTTTTTGGGATGTGTAGTTTGCAAATATTTTCTCCCATTCTGTGGGTTGGCTTTTTACTCTGATGATTTTTTTTTTTTTTCTGTGCAGAAGGTTTTCAGTTTAATTAGGTTTCATGTATTTATTTTTGGTTTTGTTTAGACTTTTATATTTATTAATCAACTCTTTCATTGGGAAAAAAGAGTTACCTTGATGATGCTCAGGGCAGGGAGGGCTGGTCAATAGTTTTGTTGGAGCTAGATGTGGTAGACTGTGCCTTCAGTTCCAGCTAATTGGGAGGCTGAGGTGGAAGGATCCCTTGAGCCCAGGAATTCAAGGCTACAGTGAGCTACTGCACGGCACTGAAGCCTGGGTGGCAGAGCCTGACTCTGCCTATCAAAAAAAAAAAAAAAAAGAAGAAAAGTTTGGTGGGTTCGTAGTATTTTTTTTTAAATTTTAGTTCATATTCGAACAACAGAGGAGACAAGGGGACACAGGTAAAGTTTGCCTGTAAGGTTAAGGAGTATTTTGTTTTTCATTCATACAGTTAACTACAGAATATTAAGACGTGGTCAAGAGTGACTGTATATTGGGAGAAAAACGGGAGGGTCTGGACAAGAATGTTGAGTGGCCACCTTGAGGGCACAGGCTAGGCAGGGTAAATATGAATTTATGAATGATTTTATTTTCTTTTGTTTTTCTATTTTGTCAAGTTTTCTGCTTTGTGTATATATTACAATTGTGATCACTAACAAAGCTCTTACTAAAATAGATGCAGTTTTGTTGAACTACTTTGAAGACAGAGGTCAAAGAAAGAATTTTTTGGTGAATCTAAGTTGTTTTATTTAAAAAAAAGAAAGTTCTCCCAGTATGCATTTACTTAGTGCCTGCCTTTTGCACTGCAAGAAGCAGTCATTTTTTTCTTGAAATCATCATTATTTAATACTTTTCCTGGTGGATAAAAAGATGCAGAACCAAAGAGCACACCCAGTTTAAGGCTCATACTTGTATAGCCCTCTAGGAGTGTGTTAATCCTTTTGCATTGCTATAAAGAAGTACCTGAAACTGGGTAATTTGTAAAGAAAAAGGGGTTATTTTGCTCATGGTTCTGCAGGCTGTACAGGAATCATTGTGCCAGCATCTGATTCTGGTGAGGGCCTCACGAAGCTTCTTCTCATGGCGAAAGGCAAAGGGGGAGCAAGTACATCACATGGTGAGAGACGGAGCAAGAGACAGTGGGGGTGATCTCAGACTCCTTTAAACAATCAGAACTCACAGTAACTTATTACCACAGCGAGGGCACCAAGTCATTTATGAGGGATCCACCCCCATGACACAAACACCTCCCACTAAGCCCCACTTCCAACATTGGGAATCACATTTCACCATGAGAATTGGAGGGGACAAACATCCAAGCCACACCAGGGAGGGAGGCTGTGTTTAGGTGAAGCACACTCAGCCACCCGGGGAGAAGCTGGTAGAAGGGAAATGCCTCCGGATACTTGAGTTCAAGTCATCATCTACTGTGTCCTCTTCCATAAGAAGCTTGACCACTCCGAGCCTCACTTTCCTCATCTACAAAATTAGTGCCATGACATCGGCCCTCCAGGTTGCTGTGGAGCTCAGTAATAACCTATGACAGGCCAGCAATTGTGCCAGGGTCTTGCATAGCTCTTTCCATTTAAATGTGGGAATGAATGTGGGATAATCTATAGGAAATTATGTAAGTGAAAGAGTTTGGTAAACTGTAAAAGGCTGTAATAAGTAGAAGTTCCTTTTATGACCTGAGTCTCAAGGGTGTTCTTGCCTCATGGAAACTGTTGTTGCAGCTTTTGAGACCAGCTGACAGTAAATGGTATCACTTAATGAGAATGAGGAGGCATGCATTTTAAAAGAGACATTCACTTTGGGGTTTATTGTTTAAAGTAACTAAAGCTTGACTTTTTTTTTTCCCTATTCAATCAGGAGTTTTTTTAAAAAATTTATTTATTTAGTTTTATTATTATTATACTTTAAGTTTTAGGGTACATGTGCACAATGTACAGGTTAGTTACATATGTATACGTGTGCCATGCTGGTGTGCTGCACCCATTAACTTGTCGTTTAGCATTAGGTATATCTCCTTATGCTATCCCTCCCACCTCCCCCCACCCCACAACAGTCCCCAGAGTGTGATGTTCCCCTTCCTGTGTCCATGTGTTCTCATTGTTCAATTCCCATCTATGAGTGAGAACATGCGGTGTTTGGTTTTTTGTTCTTGCGATAGTTTACTGAGAATGATGATTTCCAATTTCATCCATGTCCCTACAAAGGACATGAACTCATCATTTTTTATGGCTGCATAGTATTCCATGGTGTATATGTGCCACATTTTCTTAATCCAGTCTATCATTGTTGGACATGTGGGTTGGTTCCAAGTCTTTGCTATTGTGAATAGTGCCGCAATAAACATACGAGTGCATGTGTCTTTATAGCAGCATGATTTATAGTCCTTTGGGTATATACCCAGTAATGGGATGGCTGGGTCAAATGGTATTTCTAGTTCTAGATCCCTGAGGAATCGCCACACTGACTTCCACAATGGTTGAACTGGTTTACAGTCCCACCAACAGTGTAAAAGTGTTCCTATTTCTCCACATCCTCTCCAGCACCTGTTGTTTCCTGACTTTTTAATGATTGCCATTCTAACTGCTGTGAGATGGTATCTCATTGTGGTTTTGATTTGCATTTCTCTGATGGCCAGTGATGATGAGCATTTTTTCATGTGTCTTTTGGCTGCATAAATGTCTTCTTTTGAGAAGTGTCTGTTCATATCCTTTGCCCACTTTTTGATGGAGTTATTTGTTTTTTTCTTGTAAATTTGTTGGAGTTCATTGTAGATTCTGGATATTAGCCCTTTGTCAGATGAGTAGGTTGCGAAAATTTTCTCCCATTTTGTAGATTGCCTGTTCACTCTGCTGGTAGTTTCTTTTGCTGTGCAGAAACTCTTTAGTTTAATTAGATCCCATTTGTCAATTTTGTCTTTTGTTGCCATTGCTTTTGGTGTTTTAGACATGAAGTCCTTGCCCATGCCTATGTCCTGAATGGTAATGCCTAGGTTTTCTTCTAGGGTTTTTATGATTTTAGGTCTAATGTTTAAGTCTTTAATCCATCGTGAATTAATTTTTGTATAAGGTGTAAGGAAGGGATCCAGTTTCAGCTTTCTGCATATGGCTAGCCAGTTTTCCCAGCACCATTTATTAAATAGGGAATCCTTTCCCCATTGCTTGTTTTTCTCAGGTTTGTCAAAGATCAGATAGTTGTAGATATGTGGCATTATTTCTGAGGGCTCTGTCCTGTTCCATTGATCTATATCTCTGTTTTGGTACCAGTACCATGCTGTTTTGGTTACTGTAGCCTTGTAGTATAGTTTGAAGTCAGGTAGCGTGATGCCTCCGGCTTTGTTCTTTTGGCTTAGGATTGACTTGGCGATGCGGGCTCTTTTTTGGTTCCATATGAACTTTAAAGTAGTTTTTTCCAATTCTGTGAAGAAAGTCATTGGTAGCTTGATGGGGATGGCATTGAATCTATAAATTACCTTGGGCAGTATGGCCATTTTCACGATATTGATTCTTCCTACCCATGAGCATGGAATGTTCTTCCATTTGTTTGTATCCTCTTTTATTTCATTGAGCAGTGGTTTGTAGTTCTCCTTGAAGAGGTCCTTCACATCCCTTGTAAGTTGGATTCCTAAGTATTTTATTCTCTTTGAAGCAATTGTGAATGGGAGTTCACTCATGATTTGGCTCTCCGTTTGTCTGTTATTGGTGTATAAGAATGCTTGTGATTTTTGTACATTGATTTTGTATCCCGAGACTTTGCTGAAGTTGCTTTTCAGCTTAAGGAGATTTTGGGCTGAGACAATGGGGTTTTCTAGATATACAATCATGTCGTCTGCAAACAGGGACAATTTGACTTCCTCTTTTCCTAATTGAATGCCCTTTATTTCCTTCTCCTGCCTAATTGCCCTGGCCAGAACTTCCAACACTATGTTGAATAGGAGTGGTGAGACTTTAAATCACCACATTAAGAAATAATAGATCCTTGATTGTAATTTTTATTAGTTTTTGAACCTGTTTCCCATCCAGAGAAGAGGGCTATGGTACCATTTCCTATTCCCTTCTCTGTTAGGGGTTCTCTGATATGACTTAAGGGCCTTAGGAAATTGCACACAATTTTCATCTGAAATTTAAAACCTTGATTTCCCTGTTGATTTGAGGTGTGCTAACCCCTGGCATTTATTTTCCTTTCCTCTCTTCCCTGTTCCCTCAGTTAACAGAGTTAACAATCCTGCTACCCAGAAGCAGTCACTGCTAGTATTTTGGTGTACCTATTGCTTATTTAATTCACATGTATTCCCAGGTACACATGCACAATATGTTGGCATTGGGTTTCGCAGTATATATTTGAGTAGTCAAAGTTTTGCCATAAATTTTATATCTTGAACATTTTATTATATCTTTAAATACTCTTCAACAATATGATTTTTTGTGATTGTGGGATTTTCTATCCATATGAACATACTGTAAGTTTTAAACTAAGGTCATATTGTTAGACATTTAACTTTCCAACTTTTCACTATCATAAATAATGCTACAATGAATATTCTAGTATGGAAATATCTGTAGATACATCAATGAAAATATTGAGTCAAAGGGCAAGGATATTAGAACACTTCTTACTACTTACTCCAAATAGCCTTCTAGAAACAATGAACGCCTTTGTCTCAATCAGCTGTAATGAGTATATCTGTTTCATCAAATTCGCCTTTAAAAACACTTCTCAATTTGTTGTGAAAAATACTACCTTAAAAATCCCCTCCAAACCCCACAATCCCAGTGAGGCTGCACATTTTTCATGGGTTTTATAGCTACATTATATCACATGCCTCCCATCTTCTCTCTTCTCCTGGCCCTGGGGGGTGACCTATGAGAAGCACATCAAGGGGGTCCCAGGCCTGTGGCTTCTGGTTGGCTTCACCCAGTGGGGAGCCCCAGCAGAAGATGGGGTTAGGGAAGGGAGGAGAGAGAGGTCCTTTGGTTCCTTCCCTCCCTGTGTGGTCACTTGTGACACAGAGCCCCGGTCCTTCCGAGGTAGCTCTCTCCACACAACTATCTCTCCTTCTGTGTTCTGGGACCTACTCTCTCCTTTGTCCATTTGTGCCTAGATATCCAGACAGCTCCACTATTGCTAGTCTAGGTTCCTGCAATATCCCTTGAAGTTTGAAATGAATCTCTTTGTGGAGAAACCCTTCTTGAATTGATTTTGATGTTGCATCTGTTTCCTGTTGGGACCCTGACTGATAAACATGATCTTATTAGCACTTGCAGCAGACTGCTCATATTAATGGGTCATCGCCCCTAGCCCACAAGTCATGAAGTTTATGCCCAGGGAGATGAGTGCCTAAACTCTACTGATTTCTCTGGGATATGCTGACAGAAGGATGGAGGTCTGAGAGGTTTTATTACCAGGGGATTTTCAGGAAAGGTAATTTCTAGCAATGAAATATAACCCACTGCCCAAGAAGCATCAATAATGCTTTGCTTGGTCATCAGTAATAGAGTCTTCCAGATGCTTCCTCTCTTTTATGTAGCTGGAGCACATAGAAGAAAGTGGGCTTGGTTATCAGCCAGACTGGGCTCACATCTCAGCTCTGCTCCTTTCTAGTTGTATGACCCTCTGTAAATTATTTAGTCTCAGTAAGCCTCACTGTGAAAGTGAATTTTATGTGTCGACCTGACTCCTCTCAGATGTGAGGTGCCTGGATTAAAGAGTATTTCTGCATGTGCCTTTGAGGATGTTTCTGGAAAAAATGAGCAACAGTGGGCTCAGTATAGTGGATGGCCCTCCCCAGTGGGGGTGAGCATTATCCAATCTATTGAGGGACTGGGAAGAACAAAATGGTGAAGAAAGGAGAAAGGCATCTTTTGCTTCCTGCCTGCTTGCCTGAGTTGGGACTTTGGTCTTCTTCTGCAGTTGGACTGGGATTTACACTATCATCTTCCCTGGTTCTCAGGTCTTTGGACTCAGACTAGAATTACAGCTTGCAGACAACAGATGAATGGGAGACTTCTCAGTTTCCATAATCACATAAGCCAATTCAGCCAATTCTTTATAATAAAGCTCTATGTGTTTGTATATACATACAAACATGTGTGTGTATATATATGTGTGTGTGTGTGTTATGTTTCTCTAGGGAACCCTGTCTAATACACTTAGTGTTCTCATCTGAGAAATGGGAGCAATAATAGTAGCTGCCTCAGCAGTTGTCATGAGTTCATTCTTTGTGCTCTCCATTTTTGTTTCAGAAGATTAAATGCAATAATACATGTAGAGGGATTAGTAAAAAGGGCTGAAAATAGTACATGTAATAATAATAAATAATGATCAAATTATTTTTATTACTTAACATTCAGTTAAGTTATTGTGTCTGCCGAAAGAGAAAGATTAAAGACGTATTTTCTCAGTTGCTATGCAAGATTCCCTAGCTATGCGTTTTAATTTTGATTCTGCTCCCAGAGGACCACAGAATTGCATTTGAGTCATGTGGCTTCTGATGTTTCTTCATTCATGAACTGGAAAAAGATTCATGAACCTCTCTTTGGGGCTTCCTGTACATGTTCAAGAATCACTTATAGTTCAGGGTTTGGGTATCCTCTGTAGTATCCCTGACAACTCATCGTGTAAATTCTAACTGGAAATGTCCTGCAACACAAGACTTATTCCTGTGGAGTAATTGGTTCCATGTGTGCATAGTTCTCAAACCATCTTATGCACTTGGTTAGGTAGGTAGATCTTTGCCTTCTCAGCTTCAGCTCTACTGTAATTTTGAGCTGGATCATTCTTTAT
The DNA here is from genome assembly GCF_000001405.40 of Homo sapiens. Classification (NCBI taxonomy): domain Eukaryota; kingdom Metazoa; phylum Chordata; class Mammalia; order Primates; family Hominidae; genus Homo; species Homo sapiens. The sequence continues at coordinate 8,387,531 of NC_000003.12, read as the reverse complement.
TGCGGGGGGGTGCCCTGTGCATTGTAGGATGCATAGTAGCATCCTTGGCTTCTACCCACTAGATGTTAGGGGCACACTCCCAGTTGTAACCACCAAAAATGTCTCCAGACATTGACAAATGTCCTTTATGGGCAAAACCATTCTCAGTTGAGAATCACCATTCTTATTAAATATCTTCAGATTTTCCCACTGTTCCCCATGGACCATAGTTTTGGCCAACTTCAACAACCTGAGCTCTCTCACCTGGTTGCATTTTAGTTTGTCAGTGGTTTGCTAATGATGCACAAAGACCACTATAACTGACTGCAGTTGGGCACATTCCAGGCATGATCTGAGGAGCAGGGTGAAACAAGACATCTCCTTCTATTGCAGCCCATGATCACACTGGGATTTTATTTTAGTTATGTATTTATTTTTGATCAACTCAACACATCTTTAATTCTCTTTTTACCCACAGTCAAAGCTGACTGTTGAGGACTTTTCTTGGAAATTAATGTGAAAACTGTAATAACTCCACACACAGTTCCCACAGGCATAATCAAGATCATAAGGCCCAGGAGCGAAGGAGAATCTGTCTCTTTTTGCTTTTCCATAAATCCCGGGTGTTTAAGGTAGTTTTGGTACATAGTGGATGCTCCATAAATATTGTTGACTGTGTCAAGGATTCTGAGACTACTTTCAGGTCTGATAATTTGCTGGAAGAAGTCACAGAATTCAGGTAAGCTATTATGCCCATGGTTATGGTGTCTTTCAGAGAAAGGATACAGACTAAAATAAGTAAGGGAAAAACGTGTGTGGGGTGGAATCCAGGAGATACTAGACACAAGCTTCCAGTTGTCTTCTCCCAGTAAGAGCATATGGAAAACTCTTAATTCTCCTAGCACCGGGGTATGCTGATGTGTACAAAGTGTTCCCAACCAGGGAAGCTCAACCATGACTGGATGTTCAGAGTTTTTATTAGGGGTCAATCACATAGGCATGAAGTACCCAGTTGAGCAGATTTAGCTACTCAGTCTCCATCCCCTCCTCCCCATCCAGAGGTAAAATTGATACAGTATTGCCCAGGGCTCCAGGCAAACAAAAGCAGGCCTTTACCATGAGTCACACTGTTAGCATAAACTGTCTAGCATGGTTCAATTCCCCAGTGATACAAAGACACACTTACTAGGCAGAGTGTTCCAAAGGATTAGAGATGATGATCTCCCAGGGGCAATTGGGGCCAGTTCTTTCTTTGGAATGTGTAGAGTTTGGGTACCTCAAACCTGCTGAGTTTACTGCACAGGCCAAGGTCATAAGCTCTAAGAGGGAAGGGATCTTTGCCTCTTTTTCTCCTTAATAAATCCCAAGGGTTTAGGGTGATCCCAGACACAAACTAGTTGCTTGTATTGAAGTTCTCCACCAGAGAGACAGAACTAATACATGAGTACGTATGTGCATGTATGTGCATATGTATGTATGTATGTATGTATGTATGTATGTATGTATGCATGTGTCTTAGTCTGTTTTGAGTTGCTATAGCAGAATACCAACCACAGACTGGGTAATATATAAAGAACACAGATTTATTTATTACGGTTCTGGTGGCTGAGAAGTTCAAGACTGAGAGCCACACAGATGGCAATTACTTTCTTGCTGCATCATCCCATGGCGGAAGGCGGGAAGGCAAAAGAGGCCATGTGCATGAGAGCATGAGAGGGCTGAACTTGCTTTTGTAGCAGGCCCACTCTCACAATAACAAATCACTCTCACAATAATGACATTAATCCATTAACTTAATCACCTCTCAAAGTTACTACCTCTCAACACTTTTGTATTAGGGATTAAGTTTAAACGTACAACTCTCGGGGACACATTCAAATCATAGCAGTATGTATGTGTGCATTTGTTTTTTGGCTTATGCCATTGAGAAGGCTCACAAGTCCAAAATCTGTAGGACAGGCTGACAGGCTGGAAACCCAGGAAAGAGTTGCAGTTCAGTCCAAAGGGCAGTCTAGTGGCAGAATTTCCTCTCTTTTGAGAGACATCAATTTTTTCCTTAAAGCTTTTACTTGATTAGATAAATTCATATTATAGAGGGCAATGTGCTTTACTCAAATTCTATTAATTTAAATGTTAATCTCATCCAAAAAAACTTTCACAGAAATGTCTAGAATAGTGTTTGACCACATATCTGGGGAGCATGGCCTAGCCAAATTGACATATAAAATTAACCATTACAATGCTATATAAACATGGTTGACAAAGTATGGACCAAGCTTGTTCAACCCGCAGCCAGCAGGTTGCATGTGGCCCAGGACAGCTTTGAATGCAGCCAACACAAATTCGTAAACTTTCTTAAAGCATTATGAAATTTTCTTTTGATTTTTGTTTTTTAGCTCATCACCTGTAGTTACTATTAGTGTATTTTATGTGTGGCCCAAGGCAGTTCTTCCAGTGTGGTCCAGGGCAGACACAGGAGGGACACCCCTCCCACAGACCATTAAGACTGGCAGAGACCAAACCAAATTCGTGTTACTGATAAAGCAACTGAGACCCACAGTGATAATTACCTACTTAGTTTCACTTGGGAATGGAATCAGCCCCAGAATCCAGTTTCCTGACTCCATTTACCTCTCTCACTCTCAACTCTTCCCAACCCTTCTTCCCCTGTAGGGACCTTTGAAAGCCAAAGCTTCTGTTCCCGTTGTCCCCAGGGTTGAGGTAACAACAGGAACTACTCGAGTCTTCTCTTTCATTTCAGCATCACATTCTCCTTCCTACTTATTTCATCTCCAGGAGCTTTTCCCCAGGCCAGTTCAGAGTAACCTCATTTATTGGACTGTATGATAGATTTTTAGTGAAATGGCACCTTCTTCTTTCCTTAGAAACAAGTTGATACCAGTGAGAATGTTTTTCTTGTCCCCTTGGAAAAAAAAATAGGCATCAAATAAAAACAGTGATTTTCTCTGTAACTAAATCAGACAGTGTATCCCCCAGGCTACTGACACAGGAGAATCTGTAGGAGAAAAAAAAATAGCAAATATTTTCAGCCAGGGTAATTCACAGTGAATAAGACAGCAACATATTCCAATTGATAACAGAAATTAATTCAATATTTCATGTAAGGGCAGAAGAGTTCATATCAAATGTGGTCCCCAGATCCCAAATTGAAACTATTACAATTTCCTCTTTCCCTACTAGGGGAAACACTTCACAGTGATGCTATTGCCATTATCCTTTATTTATTTTTTCATAAAGAAAGACTTAGCAATTTGTGTGTTGTTGCTTTCCTAAAATCCTCAGGTCAAGATTTTAAGGGACGCTCAAGCCATTAGAAGTTTTACCACTTTAAAAAAAATTCAAAACATTTAATGTTTTGCTGCTTGAAGCAGATGATTCCAAGTGGCATTCTGGAGTTATGCTTGTTGCTGCAGCTGCTGAAAAAAATTCTTTCAGTGATCAGTTCTCACCGGGGCAGCCACAGCCACAGCATGGAGCACTGGGAAGGAGTAAGGCTCTAGGACTACAGGATGGCAGTGTTTGGCCTTGGAACAGTGTTGGGAAGGCCATGAGGAGGGTGACCGCATCTCCTGGTTCTGTAGGTGCTTCTACGTTGTCTCAGTTTATTCCTGTTGTCCTGCCCTAGCTTGCACGGCACACACACCTTTGCTCGGTTCCTGGAATATGTCTATTAATTTTCTTACTTGAGGCCTTTATATTTTCTGATCCTTCAGCTTGTAGTGCTTTAACCCCAAATACGTACATGGTTGGCTCTTTCATAGCCTTCAGGTCTCAGGCCAAATTGTCAACTCCTCACAGATGTTTCTCAATTATTCTCCATTACAGCAGTGCTTGTTTTTTCCTTCATAGCATTATTCAGTTTCAATTACCTTGTGTATTTTTATTTCCTGTCACTCCACTTCCCCTGCCTTGGTGTCGCTAGTGCCTAGAACTATGCCTAGCCAACAGGAGGCTCTCAGTAAGTGTGTCAAATACATAAAATGAATGAATGAATGAATGAACTGGAGGGTGCTAAATGAATAGTTAATAGAACAAATGTTCTAGCAGTGACAATAGATAAATTTTCCAATCTCAGTGGCTTGATAAAATAAAAGATTATTTTTTATGAATCTCAGTCCAGTCATTGATGGCAGGGTGGCAATGCAGGGTATGAGGGCTTACTCTTTGCTCCATAGAGCCACTCAGGGACTCAGGCTGACAAGGAGTCTTGCCACCTTCATTAGTGGCTCCCAAAGACATTGACATCCAGTCAACAGAGGTGGGAAGAGAGAGAGGATGGTGAATTGCTCAGAAAGTGTTATGGTCCTTATGGACCACTTCTGCCTCTTTCTCTCACTCTTTTGCAGGGAGGATTGGGGGATGGTGAGTATGAGCTCACCTATATGCAAAAGAGGCTAGAAATGTAGTGGGCAACTGCTTCCCAGCAACTACCTTATGAATGGGAGCACTAATTTGTAGCAGATAGCTAGACCTCTCTGCCACTCCTGCTACAGCATTCAGTGCCCAGTGCCACTGCCATTACATCAGGAGTTCTTTGAGGGCAGAGATTGTCTCTTTCATTAGCTGAGCTGAGGGTCTAGCACAATGAATATTTGAATGAATAACCAACCATCTCTTGATCACCAACTATATTTATGGTGCTGGGTCAGGCATGAAACTTAACATGGTTTGAGAACATAGGAAGAGTCCCATAGAACCAACAAAGGAATCCTTTGTCCTTTGAAGAAAAGACAGTCCAACCCCTGACTCCATTACAGTTTCCACTAAAAGCAGAAGATAGCTGGGCAAGTTCTGAAGTGACTTTCCCCACCCAGAAGGAGCAGAATACAATAAAACATTCCAAGAATAAAATCCATCAGCTCAAACACTGTGCAAGGAAATGGCCTGTAACCCTACTTTTTGAGTCTTTCATTGTATTTTGCTCCTTAGAGAGCAGTAAAAATCATTTCAGAACATGATCTGTCATCTTCCAATCTATTTCCAGGGAAAGAAAATGTATTTCCATTCTACATTTTTCTTGACCTCATGTTCTGTTTCATTGTGTGTGATGAAATGGGGAAAAAAAATCAGATCAAGTCACCCAGCACATTTTAAACTCCTATAGGTTAGAAAAGCAGGAAGTCCTTGAATTGAGACCACTGACTGAAGTCACAACCACTCTTTTGTCAGGGGGTGGATTTTTCTGAGGATCCTAGACTCGTGTACTATTGCAGAGATTCAGCTCACAAAGTAGAACATCACATTGGCCATGATACTATACTGATAGGCTTTCACTGTTTTTCTCCTGCATGTGATGTGGAAGAGTTTTGCTGAGTCCTTATCTGAAGGAACAAAGTCGGGAGAAAAATTTTTCCTATAAGATTGTATAGTTTTTGCCAATTCTGAAATCTTGAAAATTTCAGTGGCTAGCTTGAAAGGGAACATCCAGATACGGTTCTGGTGAATTGACACTATTTTGTGTATCTGATGCCAATGATACAGAGAAAACTCCATTTCCATGTCATGCCCCATCCTTCTTTTATTCCCTTTTACCCGCATTTTGGGTCATCACCATAGCTGATTGGCACTCTCTGGCTTTTATTGTCTCCCTATATGTCAATAATAATGCAGTCTGTCATTGTGCCTTACAATTTACTGAGTGCTTTTTACCCAATGTGTGTTGTGGAAACCCTTTGAAACCAACAAAGTGCTATGTAAATGGCTGAGAATTTCACATTCTTAAAATCAGTCAATTGGCCAAGAAGCAGTGTGTCTGATGGCATTATTATTACTTTTAATGTCTCATTTCTATTCTTATAAAAATCCTCAAAGGTAGCCCAAAGTGGGTATTATCCCATGATATGTCACAGTGTCTTGGGCAGTAGTTCACAGGTGAGAAAATGGGGCTGGGCAGATAGCCTGTGTCATGGAGCTGTTATATGACAGAGCCTACCTTAAACCCTCCTAGTCCTATGAAAATTCTGGTGGTCTGGCTCTGTTCTGAATCTAGTGTAACATCGAGAAAACTCTCTTATTGCTGTTACACACATTTCTGAAGTATTTCATTGTGGTGATGAACTCATCCCTGAAAGAAAGGCAGTGTGGTCTACATCTTATTCAGCTCAGACTGCTATAACAAATTACGAATTTTGCCAGGACACAGACATTCAGTTCATAGCATTCTTCCCCAGACCTTCCAAATACATACCGCAAATACACTTATCCCACCCCAACAGCCCCAGATAGCCTTACTCATTCCAGCATCAACTTTAAAATCTAAAGTCCAAAGTTTATCTAAGTGTCAACTATATCAAGTATGGGTGAGACTTGAAGTGTGATTCATCCTTAGGCAAAATTGTGCTAAATCTGTGAACCTGTAAAATCAAACTCTTCCAGCCTCTGTCCATCACCCAGTTCAAAATCCACTTCCACGTTTTCAGGTATTTGTTACAGCAGCATCTCACTTCTTAGCACCAATTTCTTGCCTTAGTCAGCTTGGGCTTCTATAACAAATAAATATAGTCTGGGAGGCTTAAATAGCAAACATTTATTTCTCACAGTTCTGGAGGCTGGAAGTCCAAGACTAAGGTACCAGCAGAGTCAGTGTCTGGAGAGGGCTCTCGTCTTGATTTGCAGATGGGTGCCTTCTTTCTTTAACCTCTTGTGGTGAAGAGAGAAATCATCTTTCTCCCTTGTCTGTTCATTTACGGGCACTAATCCCATCACGAGGGCTCTACCTCCATGACCTAATTACCTCCCAAAGTTCTTACCTCCTAATACCATCACATTGAGGGTTAGGGTTTCAACATATGAATTTGGGAAGAACTCAAACATTCAGTCTATAACACATACAGGCAGAGCACAGGCTGTCAGGACAGACATATTCAGGTTTAAATCCAGGCTCCACTGTACAACACGAGGCAATTCACCTCATACTCTGAGCCTTACCTATGCCCTACAGAAAATGTGAATAAAATGCCTATCTTCATGAAGTCCTTACAACAACTGGAAGTAATGGAGTTATGGTGACTTGTCCCAATTGCTATTGTTGTGAAACAGACATTAGTAACTTGATGTCCCCACACAATAGCCATTTCATTGTGCTTGTGATTTCTGTGGGTTGGGAACTTCTATGGGCATGGGTTGAGGGTAAGAGGGTAGCTTGTCTCTGCTCCAGGATGTCTGGGGAAACAGCTGGGAAGACTTCAATGGCTGGGGGTGGAGATCTATTGCAGGTTTGTTCACTCACGTGGCTGGTTCCTGGTTGGGATGATGACAAGTTTGGGCTCAGCTGGGGCTCTCAACTGGAGGACCTATTGGCCTCAGTGTGGCTGGAGCTTCTCACAGCATGGTGGCTGTGTTCCAACAGGGAGCATCCTGAGGATGAGCATGGCAAAGGAGCCGTACAGAAGCTGGGAGGCCTTTTATGACCTAGCCTTGGAAGTCATGTTATGCCACTTTCACCGTAACTGATCTGACATGTACTTTATAATGCAGTGGCATCAATGAAAAGAAAGGAGCTCTGCTGAAGCTGGTATTTTTATTTAAACATCTCATTTTACAGTGGCAGGTCCCTGTGGCAGGCTCCAGGTAACATAAAGCCTTTTAAAAAATTATGAAACATCACCAAATACAGAAAAGTGCACATATGTAAATATACAGCTGATTAAATTTCAATTAAGCAAATCCCTTTGTAGTCACACGTCAAGAAACAAATGGCCAGAAATGCAGAGCCAAAGCATGACTGCCTCAGTCATAATCTCTCTCCACTCCCTCAAACTGACCGTGGGACCAACTTGTCTGATAACCATTGTCTATGTTTTATCTGTTTTTGAACTTTATGTACATTGAATAATAATGCCTGTATTGATTTGTGTCTGGGTTTTAAATTTTTCTTCCTGTCAATATTAGGTTTGTGAACTCTATATATATTGTGAGTGCAGCTGTGGTTTGTTTGCCATTGCTGGAGAAAGTTCCTTTGTATGAATATTTATTCATTCCACTGCTGATGAACGTGGGTTGCTTCCAGTTGTTTCCAGAAAATAATGCTGTATGCACATTTAAAAATATGTATTTGTTGCACCTGGACGTGTGTTTTTCTTAGTTATCACCTAGGAGAGTATGTTCAGCATGAATATAGAGTGATAAGCTATTTTTCAAAAGGGTGGCACCCATTCTCTTTCCTAGAGGAGCACAACAGAGTTCTGTTTGTTGACATCTTCACCAATACTTGGTATTATTAGTCTTTAACTTTTATCATTATGTTGGGTATGCAGTGGTACATCATTGTGATTTTTATTTGTATTTTTCTGATTACTAATGAAGTTAGTCATATTTTCATGTTTATCAGCCATTTGGACATAACTTTTGGGTGAAATGTTTGTTCTTATCATTTTCTATTTTTCTTTTGGGCTTGTCTTTTCCTTATCGTCTTTCCTTATTGATATATAGTACAGGGTTTTAAAAAATATGTATTATAGGTAGATGGTCTTTGCTTGTTATATAAATGACACATTCCTTTTCTACCCTATGGCTTGTCTTTTTATTTTCTTGATTTGTGTGTGTGTGTGTGTGTGTGTACATTTGTGTGCTGCCTCTTTTGTTCACCTTTATGCTATAACCATATTAGGCTTATTCACATCGTATCAATAGCTACAGTTTGCTCATTTCATGGCTATTCAGTATGCTAGTGTTCTTAATTCTAATATAGTCCACTTACAAATTATTTTCCTGAATGGCAACTGCTTTTTGTATTTTATTTAAAACACTCCTTCTTTATGCCAAGATTATGCATGAAGTTTATTATCTTCTAAAAGCCTTTGCCTTTTTTATTTATATCAGGAGTCAGAAAATTATGGCTGGCAAGAAAATCTAGCCAATGACTTGATTTTGTAAAGTTCTATTGGAACACAGTCAGTCATTCACTTACCTGTTATCTGCGATAGATTTCATGCTTGTATTAGTCAGTGTTCTCTAGACTAGGGACAGAACTAATGGAATGCGTGTATATATATATATATATATGTGTGTGTATATATCTCTATATATATATATATATGAGTTTACTAAGTATTAACTCACACAATCACAAGATCATGCAATAGGCTGTCTGCAGGCTGAGGAGGAAGGAGAGCCAGTCTGAGTTCCAAAATTGAAGAACTTGGAGTCTGATGTTCGAGGGCAGGAAGCATCGAGCATGGGAGAAAGATGTAGACTGGGAGACTAGGCCAGTCTCTCTTTTCACATTTTTCTGCCTGCTTATATTCTGCCACACTGGCAGCTGATTAGATTGTGCCCACCCAGATTAAGGGTGGATCTGCCTTCTCCAGTCCCTGACTCAAATGTTAATCTCTTTTGATAACACCCTCACAGACACCCAGGATCAATACTTGGTATCCTTCAATCCAATCAAGTTGACACTCAGTATTAACTGTCACAATGCTGCAACCACAAAAGTGAGCAATTCCAGCAGACACCATAGAGCCCATGAGCTTAAAATATTTTCTTTTTTTTAAATTATACTTTAAGTTCTGGGGTACACGTACAGAACGTGCAGTTTTCTTACATAGGTATACACATGCCATGGTAGTTTCCTGCACCCATCAACCCATCACCTACATTAGGTATTTCTCCTAATGCTATCCCTCGCCCTGCCCCCACCCCCTGACAGGCCCCAGTGTGTTATGTTCCCCTCCCTGTGTCCATGTGTTCTCATTGTTCAACTCCCACTTATGAGTGAGAACATGCGGTGTTTGATTTTCTGTTCTTGTGTTAGTTTGCTGAGAATGATGGTTTCTAGCTTCATCCATGTCCCTGCAAAGGACATGAACTCATCCTTTTTTATGGCTGCATAGTATGCTGTGGCATATATGTGCCACATTTTCTTTATCCAGTCTATCATTGATGGACATTTGGGTTGGTTCCAAGTCTTTGCTATTGTGAATAGTACCACAATAAACATACATGTGCATGTGTCTTTATAGTAGAATGATTTATAATCCTTTGGGTATATACCCAGCAATGGGATTGCTGGGTCAAATGGTATTTCTAGTTCTAGATCCTTGAGGAATTGCCCACTGTCTTCCACAATGGTTGAACTAATTTACACTCCCAATGTTTTTACACAACAGTGTAAAAGCATTCCTATTTCTCCACATCCTCTCCAGCATCTGTTGTTTCCTGACTTTTTAATGATCACCATTCTAACTGGTGTGAGATGGTATCTCATTGTGGTTTTGATTTGCATTTCTCTAATGACCAGTGATGATCAGCATTTTCTTATATGTTTTTTGGCTGCATGAATGTCTTCTTTTGAGAAGTATCTGTTCATGTATTTTGCCCACTTTTTGATGGGGTTGTTTTTTTTTTCCTTGTAAATTTGTTTAAGTTCTTTGTAGATTCTGGGTATTAGCCCTTTGCCAGATGGATAGATTGCAAAAATTTTCTCCCATTCTGTAGGTTGCCTGTACACTCTGATGATAGTTTCTTTTGCTGTACAGAAGATCTTTAGTTTAATTAGATCCCATCTGTCAATTTTGGCTTTTGTTGCCATTGCTTTTCGTGTTTTGGACATGAAGTCTTTGCCCATGGCTATGTCCTGAATGGTATCGCCTAGGTTTTCTTCTAGGACTTTTATGGTTTTAGGTCTTATGTTTAAGTCTTTAATCCATCTTGTGTTAATTTTTGTATAAGGTGTGAGGAAGGGATCCACTTTCAGTTTTCTGCATGTGGCTAGCCAGTTTTTCCAGCAGCATTTATTAAATAGGGAATCCTTTCCCCATTGCTTGTTTGTGTCAGGTTTGTCAAAGATCAGAGGGTTGTAAATGTGTGGTGTTATTTCTGAGGCCTCTGTTCTGTTCCATTGGTCTATATATCTGTTTTGGTATCAGTACCATGCTGTTTTGGTTACTGAAGCCTTGTAGTATTGTTTGAAGTCAGGTAGCATGATGGCTCCAGCTTTGCTCTTTTTGCTTAGGATTGTCTTGGCTATGCGGGCTCTTTTTTATTTGATTTGATTTGATGTGAAGCTTAAAGTAGTTTTTTTCCAATTCTGTGAAAAGAGTCAATGGTAGCTTGATGGGGATAGCTTTGGATCTATAAATTACTTTGGGCATTATGGCCATTTTCATGATATTGATTCTTCCTATTCATGAGCGTGGAATGTTTTTCCATTTGTGTCCTCTGTTATTTCCTTGATCAGTGGTTTGTAGTTCTCTTTGAAGAGGTCCTTCACATCCCTTGTAAGTTGTATTCCTGGTATTTTATTCTCTTAGCAGCAATTGTGAATGGGAGTTCACTCATGATTTGGCTCTCTGTTTGTCTGTTATTTGTATATAGGAACGCTTGTGATTTTTCCACATTTATTTTGTATCCTGAGACTGCTGAAGTTGCTTATCAGTTAAGAAGATTTGGGGCTGAGATGATGAGGTTTTCTAAATATGCAATCATGTCATCTGCAAACAGAGACAATTTGACTTCCTCTCTTCCTATTTGAATACCCTTTATTTCTTTCTCTTGTCTGATTGCCCTGGCCAGGACTTCCAATGCTGTGTTGAACAGGAGTGGTGAGAGAGGGCATCCTTGTCTTACGCCGGTTTTCAAAGGGAATGCTTCCAATTTTTTGCCCATTCAGTGTTACATTAGCTGTGGATTTGTCATAAATAGCTTATTATTTTGAGATATGTTCCATTGATACCTAGTTTATTGAGAGTTTTTAGCATGAAGTCGTGTTGAATTTTGTCGAAAGCCTTTTCTGCATCTATTGAGATAATCATGTGGTTTTTGTCATTGGTTCTGTTTATGTGATGGATTACATTTATTGATTTGCATATGTTGAACCAGCCTTGCATCCCAGGGGTGAAGCCAACTTGATCATGGTGGATAAGCTTTTTGATGTGCTGCTGGATTCGGTTTTCCAGTATTTTATTGAGGATTTTTGCATCGATGTTCATCAGGGATATTGGCCTGAAATTTTCTTTTTTTGTTGTGTCTCTGCCAGGTTTTGGTATCAGGATGATGCTGGCCTCATAAAATGAGTTAGAGAGGATTCCCTCTTTTTCTATTGCTTGGAATAGTTTTAGAAGAAATGATACCAGCAACTCCTTGTAGCTCTGGTAGAATTCGGCTGTGAATCCGTCTGTTCCTGGACTTTTTTTGGTTGGTAGGCTATTAACTACTGCCTCAATTTCAGAACTTGTTACTGGTCTATTCAGGGATTTGACTTCTTCCTGGTTTAGACTTGAGAGAGTGTATTTTCCCAGGAATTTATCAATTTCTTCTAGATTTTCTAGTTTATTTGCTTAGAGGTGTTTATAGTATTCTCTGATGGTAGTTTGTATTTCTGCGGGATCAGTAGTGATATCCCCTATATTATTTTTTATTGCATCTATTTGATTCTTCTCTCTTTTCTTCTTTATTAGTCTGGCTAGCAGTCTATGTATTTTGTAGATCTTTAAAAAAAAGCTCCTGTATTCATTGATTTTTTTAAGGGTTTTTCTTGTCTCTATCTCCTTCAGTTCTGCTCTGATCTTTGTTATTTTTTGTCTTCTGCTAGCTTTTGAATTTGTTTCCTCTTGCTTCTCTAGTTCGTTTAATTTTGATGTTAAGATGTCGATTTTAGATCTTTCCTGCTTTCTCTTGTGGGCATTTAATGCAATAAATGTCCCTCTACACACGGCTTTAAATATGTCCCAGAGATTCTGGTAGCCTTTGTTCTCATTGGTTTCAAAGAACATCTTTATTTCTGTCTTCATTTTGTTATTTACCAGTAGTCATTCAGGAGCAAGTTGTTTAGTTCCCATGTAGTTGTGTGGTTTTGAATGAGTTTCTTAATCCTGAGTTCTAATTTAATTATACTGTGGTCTGAGAGACCGTTTGTTATGATTTCCATTCTTTTGCATTTGCTAAGGAGTGTTTTACTTCCATTTATGTGGTCAATTTTAGAATAAGTGTGATGAAGTGCTGAGAAGAATGTATATTCTGTTGATTTGGGTGGAGAGTTCTGTAGATGTCTATTAGGTCTGCCTGGTCTAGAGCTGAGTTCACGTCCTGAATATCCTTGTTAATTTTCTGTCTCGTTGATCTGTCTAATATTGACAGTGGGGGGTTAAACTCTTCCACTATTATTGTGTGGGAGTTTAAGTCTCTTTGTAGGTCTCTAAGAACTTGCTTTATGAATCTGGGTGCTCCTGTTTTGGGTGCATTTATATTTAGGATAGTTAGCTCTTATTGTTGCATTGATCCCTTTCCCATTATGTAATGGCCTTCTTTGTCTGTTTTGATCTTTGTTGGTTTAAAGTCTGTTTTATCAGAGATTAGGATTGCAACTCCTGCTTTTTTTCTGCTTTCCATTTGCTTGGTAAACCTTCCTCCATCCCTGTATTTTGAGCCTATGTGTGTCTTTGCACGAGAGATGGGTCTCCTGAATACAGCACACTGATGGATCTTGACTCTTTATCCAATTTGCCAGGCTATATCTTTTAATTGGGGCATTTAGCCCATTTACGTTTAAGGTTATTATTGTTATGTGTGAATTTGATCCTGCCATTATGATGCTAGCTGGTTATTTTGCCCATTAGTTGATGCAGTTTCTTCATAGTGCCGATGGTCTTTACAATTTGGTATGTTTTTGCAGTGGCTGGTACTGGTTGCTTCTTTCCATATTTAGTGCTTCCTTCAGGAGCTCTTGTAAGGCAGGCCTGGTGGTGACAAAATCTCTCAGCATTTGGTTGTCTGTAAAGGATTTTATTTTTCCTTTGCTTATGAAGCTTAATTTGGCTGGTTATGAAATTCTGGGTTGAAAATTCTTTTCTTTAAGAATGTTGAATGTTAGCCCCCACTCTTTTCTGGCTTGTAGGGTTTCTGCAGAGAGATCCACTGTTAGCCTGATGGGCTTCCCTTTGTGGGTAGCTCAACCTTTTTCTCTGGCTGCCCTTAACATGTTTTCCTTCATTTCACCCTTGGTGAATCTGATGATTATGTGTCTTGGCGTTGCTCTTCTCAAGGAGTATCTTTGAGGTGTTCTCTGTATTTCCTGAATTTGAATGTTGGCCTGCCTTGCTAGGTTGGGGAAGTTCTCCTGGATAATATCCTGAAGAGTGTTTTCCAACTTGGTTCCATTCTCCCCATCACTTTCAGGTACACCAATCAAATGTAGATTTGGTCTTTTCACATAGTCCCATATTTCTTGGAGGCTTTGTTTGTTCCTTTTATTCTTTTTTCTCTAATCTTGTCTTTTCACTTTATTTCATTAAGTTGATCTTCAATCTCTGATATCCTTTTTTCTGCTTGATCAATTCAGCTATTGTTACTTGTGTATGCTTCACAAGTTCTCGTGCTGTGTTTTTCAGCTCCATTAGGTCATTTATGTTCTTCTCTAAATGGTTATTCTGGTTAGCAATTTGTCTAACCTTTTTTCAAGGTTCTTACCTTCCTTGCATTGGGTTAGAACATGCTCCTTTAGCTTGGAGGAGTTTGTTGCTACCCACCTTCTGAATCCTACTTCTGTCAATTCATCAAACTCATTCTCCATGCAGTTTTGTTCCCTTGCTGGTGAGGAGTTGTGATCCTTTGGAGGAGAAGAGGCGTTCTGGTTTTTGGAATTTTCAGCCTTTTTGAGCTGGTTTCTCCCCGTCTTTGTGGATTTATCTACCTTTGGTCTTTGATGTTGGTGACCTTTGGGTGGGGGTCTCTGAGTGGATGTGCTCTTCCTTTCTGTTTGTTAGTTTTCCTTCTAACTGTCAGGCCTCTCTGCTGCAGGTCTGCTGGAGTTTGCTGGAGGTCCACTCCAGACCCTATTTGCCTGGGTATCACCAGCAGAGGCTGCAGAACAACAAAGATTGCTCCCTGTTCTTTCCTCTGGAAGCTTCCTCCCAGAGGGGCACCTCTCAGATGCCAGCCAGAGCTCTCCTGTATGAGGTGTCTGTCAGCCCCTACTGGGAGGTGTCTTCCAGTCATGATACACGGGCTTCAGGGGCCCACTTCAGGAGGCAGTCTGACCCTTAGCAGAGCTCGAACACTATGCTGGGAGGTCTGCTGTTCTCTTCAGAGCCGTCAGGCAAGGACGTTTAAGTGTGCTGAAGCTGCACCCACAGCTGCCCCTTCCCCCTGGTGCTCTGTCCCAGGGAGATAGGAATTTTATCTATAAGTCCCTGACTCGGGCTGCTGCCTTTTTTTCAGAGATGCCCTGCCCAGAGAGGAGAAATCTGGCAGTCTGGCCCCAGCAGCCTTGCTGAGCTGCCATGGGCTCCACCCAGTTCAAACTTCCCTGCAGCTTTATTTACACTGTGAGGGGAAAACCGCGAACTAAAGCCTCAGCAATGGCGGACACCCCTCCCCCCACCAAGCTCCTGCAGCTAGTTCGGTGTCTACCCAAAAGGCTGCCCAGTTTTGTGCTGGAAACCCAGGGCCCTGGTGGTGTAGGCACTGGAGGGGATCTCCTGGTCTGTGAGTTGAGAAAACCATGGGAAAAGCCCAGTTATCTTGGCTGGAGTGCACAGTACTGTCCCTAATGGCTTCCCTTGGCTGGGAGAGGGAGTTCCCAACCCCTTGTGCTTCCTCGGTGAGGTGATGCCCCACCCTGCTTCGGCTCTCCCTCCTTGGGCTGCACCCGCTGTCCAACCAGTCCCAAAGAGATAAACTAGGTACCTCAGTTGGAAATGCAGGAATCACCCACCTTCTGCATCAATCTCGCTGGGAGCCGCATACTGGAGCTGTTCTTATTCGGCCTTCTTGCCAGCAGTCCTTAAAATACTTTCTAACTGGCCCTTGACAGAAAAAGCTTGTTGGCTCTTAATTTAGATCCACAACATATTTGGTTGAAGTTGGATTTTTATATTATCAAATGGACTTTTCACTCCCTAGTGGAAGTCTTTCCTTCTTTCCACAAACATTCATTTAGCAGCTACTATGTGCTAGGCATTGGTGATACACAGAAGAGAAATATGGCTTGCATCCTTCAGGATTTCACAGTTTGGTAGCATTGCCCTCAACTTGCATGGGCTTCCCCATACCAGCAGAGCCATGGGTAAGCTAACTCAACAAACACTTCCTGAATAGAACCTAAAATGTGCCAGATGTTATGTCAGGGATAAGAGACTTATCAATAAACAAGCTCTTGTCTCAGCTCTCAAGGGATTCCTAGTCTTGAAGAGTGGCCACACAGAGAGGTGAGTCACTGACACCATGATCAGCCAACACCATGACATACAGTGAGTACTCACAGATATGGCTGGATGACAGAAGTGCTGTGAGAACCCAGAGGGGTCAGAAAAATACCATTTTTATTTTGGCTCATGAAATATGACTAAGATAGAAGTAGCAAAAAAATCCTGATCTTCATGTTATCTGTAAGGAGACTGTGAAACCACCCCTTTCTTTTTCTTGGCAAGCCTCGCCACATACCCGGCTATGAGGAATGTGAACACTGGTCATGGTGCTCATTAAATTAGTCATCTTGATAATTACAGGATCTCAGAAATAACTACTAATCAGCCTGAAGAGAGCGCTTCTCTCAGGATTCACTGAAAATGCATCTAAGATAAGGTTGTTAACTCTGCATATATGTTTAAAGGAAGTTATATATGTTTTTTAAAAGTTATATATTTCCTTAAGGGCTCTTACTAACCTAATATGGTATCAGAATGGCAGTTCAGTATTCCTCCCCTACTGCTTTAAAGCTCTATGTCTTGGGAGCAGATGGTAAGGTATTTGAAGTCTCTATCCATAGAGGAATTTTTTCCCTCTCTCAGTAGACTGTTGTGAAACAGCAGGTATGAGAGGACATTTGTCAGGTGGCTGCAGTTACAAAATAAAAGTACTAACAAAGTCAGCTTATTAGAAAAAAGACAGCCAGGCATGAAGTGGTTTATGACAATCCAATAATTAACCAGTGGCCAAAGCCTGTGCTTTTCACATTTGAGTGATGAATAAGAACCTTCCGCATGCAGTAGTAAATCCCAAGTTGAAATATAAATATTACTTGCTTTATTAAGAGGTTTGATCTCCCAGGCTGTTGATATTGCTAATATTTTATTTTGGTTTTATATCTTGGTGTTTTCACTGATTTGATTTCAAATAACCAAACTGGTTATTTTATTTGCTTTTAATTGACTACATGACCCCATTACACCACTGGTTTTCTCTTTGTAGACTCTCCCATTTCTTTTTTTTTTCTTTTTTAAATCTAGAAATCTAGAATTAACTAAGAGTTTAGGAGAACGGTTCTGCATTTTGCCTGACTGGAACAACTGAGGAAGTGAGTAGGTTGGAACATGACTTATTTGAGATTTCTACTTCGAATTTCTTTTTCTGAAGGTCTCTGGGTTGGGACCATGCTCACTTTGATAGGAAGGAAGTGATACTGTAACTCTGTGCATCAGTTAGTTGCATGATAGGAACGATGACTGACTTACATTATTTAAAATTCAATTTACATGTTCTAGTCTCTTTGTCCATGTAATATTTTTAGATTGGCTTCCTACCGGGGAAGGGTTCCAAACAGTAACTTGGCATCGAGCTTTTTTTTAAAGTATAGAATGGGGTGATGGCAAAGTTGCAAGCATTGGTGAAATGCCAACTGTGTGCCAAGTACTGAGCTAAAAGTATTTAGTGTAGCAGTTGGCAAATTTTTCTACGGAAGAAGAGAAAGCAAATATTTTAGGCCATGTCACAATTACCCATTTCTGTAGTATAGCATGAAAACTGGCATAGATAATACTTAAATAAATGGTGTGGGTCTTGCTGTGTTCCAATGAAACCAAAACCAGGCAGTGAGCTGGATTTGGCTCATGGGCTCTATCTTGTGAATCCCTGATTTAGTGTTGGGAAGGGTTGTGAGAAGTCATCTACTCATCTCCTGTATCCCAGGCTATTGCAAACCTTGGCCCTTAGATCCCAGGGTTTTCCAATGTTGGCTGGGCCTCTGCTACACCTCTTCCCTTCAACCAGAGTAGCACAATCAAATATCCATCTATATTATGGGACTTTGCATAAGATTCACTTGAGCAAAGCATTTCTCAACTAGTTTTAAAAGATTTGAAGACCCTCAATTTTCATCCAACTTTACAGTTGAAGCATTGAGGCTGACAGAAGCTGATTTCCCCCTAAATAATGCGTTTAGTTATTGTCAGAGCTGGGACTTCTACTCAGCACTGGAGACTCCCAGACTCTCAGTTCTAACTACACTGTACGGGCTCCATACTGTCAAAATTCCCACTGAAGGAAGGACTCGTGTCTGCTTTTTGTTTGTTTGTTTTAAATAACAGCCACTTGCCAGCATGAGCAATTTGTGAACAGAAATCATAATATCAAGAGACCGTATGACATTTTTCTGGAGTTGAGAGCGTCAACAATTCTATGTACAGTCTTAAAGCAGATTTTGAACACATATTCTATGACCTTGTCCTTGTGAAGGGTCATACGATCACATCCATACCTTGGATGGTGGGGGGAAAAAAGGTCTGTAATGTAATTTTCTGGAAGCTGGTGACAGCTAGTGTTTATTTTACATCATTATCCTGCTTCATATAGATCCACCCAGCCATTATGTTTCCCTAAAGTCTCTGCCTCAAATATAAAATCGAATTTTGAATTAAATTTAAAAATCTATGATGCTTTTGGCCTTGATGGAAGAAGTGGTACTAGATTCTCCCCATAGCACAGCAGGGAAAACCTAAGAGCCGGAGAACAGAGATTTGTCTGGTGCTGCATGCCCGGATCTGCTACTCAGGTCTGGTGTCCCAGGCCAGTAGAGGTCCGATCAGGTGAAGGCCGTCAGTTACCCAGCCTGGGTGCTGACTCTCACAGGACTTCAGCCCAGCCACCACCCTGGAGACCATTATGGAAATTTTGTGAAACTTTCTAAAGAAGGCAAAAGCCCAAATCAATTTTCAATTTGTATCTCTTCCCCTGAATATAGCACACTGAAACCTCAAACAAAGGTTATTTCAGAAAGGAAACAGAGATGTCTTACTCAGTTAAAGCAAATATTCTTTCTGAACTTTGGCCAATTCCTATACATTCTGTTTATTCTGAAGAGAAGAGGGGAGATAAATAACACAATAGAAAATTCTATTTCAGATAGCCAATTATGAATATGCCCTCTCATGTAAAAATCACATTGTTTTATATGTGTAAATTTAGAATATTTTCTACTGCTTTATTCTCTGGTACAAAATATGGTATTTTTACATAATCTAATTAATGCATTTTGTTGTTTTTGGTGTGAAGCATCACATTGCATTATTCACTTAGAAGACCATATATTAAAGCTCTCTTGATGGAATTCCATTTTGTGCGTATGTCTGCAGTGTATATGCAGTTTGTGCATGCATGTATGTAGTGTGTATCTAGAATTTGTGTATTTTCTCAAGAAAGTAGCATTCAGTAAAACAGTTTTATTTTGCTGCATTGTTTTTATAATTCATTTGTTTTAAGAAAGCAGCATCATTTATGTGAGAATTAATAACAGGGCTTGTGGAAGAAATTGTAAATGTTTTCCTGATGGCTTTTTATATGGCTTATTGTTATTTTTAAATTGTCTTTTAGTTATAGAAGAATTATGGCAACATTGTAGAAAGTATTGAAAGCAGAGGGGAAAATATACCTAGATGTGCAGAGGACTTATAGAAAGGTTTGGATAATTTCAGTTTTCACCTGGATTTAAATCTTGTAGCCAGACTTCTCTGCTTCAGAATTCCAGAGAACTTGATGAACTAGGAGTATCCCCAGCCCCCAACCTGCCTAGATGACCAAGGCACCTCAAGGATCTCTGGGTGGATAAATAAGAATTTAGAGAGCTGAGAAGAGCAGAAGGTGATCTAACTGGGGGGATAAGAAAGCAAATGGACCAGTCTGGAAGCAGGACACAGCACAACACGTTTGGCAAACCAAGGAAGGTGCCATAGACTTGGAATATAGGGTCCCTGGAGTGGAGTAGAGTGGGGAAGGAGTTGAGGTGAAAGGGAGTTTTGAATCAGATTGTAAAGAGGCTTAAATTTCATATTCTGGAGTTGAGGCTTTACTTGTTGGGCAAGGAGTGGAGTGAAGCCCTATCAGAAGCACCTGCCAGAGTCCTGGCTCAAATTCCTCCATCCCAGAGAAAAAGAAATAGATAGGTGGTTATAATTAGCCAAGGAGAAGGCTCAGCCCAGCCATGGCGTGGGGGATGGGATCACAAAAGGAGATGTCCACTTTTCTCTCTTTCTTCTTCATGTCACCTCGTTTCGCCAGGAAACTGCAGGTGCTGCCCACCTCTCTGTCTCCAGCGTCTGGGGTCGTCATTTTAGCCTGTATTCAGGAGGGTAGGAAAAGAAGGCAGCCTGGAATTTAATACGCAATTGACGCTTTGACAGCAACACAGCTGAGCCTGAAGGACCAACCTGAGATGGTTTTAATAGCTGAAAGTGACCAGCAAATTACACAATCAGACTGAGATGTCATTAAGAACATGTCCACCCAGGGAGCCACAGGAATTCTACAAGGGACAATTGGTGATAATTCTTAAAAAAGATAAAAACAGTTCATATTGAGACTACAACAAATTGAGACCACAACAAATTGAGACCGACTTCTAAATAGGTTATAGCACACAGTGATAGGAAATTTAGGTAATGCACATGAGAAAGGATTTATAGAAATGGGTAAGTGTTGGAGTTTCTGTATTATCAAGAGATTACTGTTTCTAGGGACTGAAGGAAGATTTTTTTAAAAAAGAGTCAAGATAATATGGTTTTTTATTATTACGCAGAAGATCCTTCAGTATTTTGCTCAATTTTATAGTGCAATAATATGATTTTGTTGTCTTAATAACTTAATAATTAAAAAAACCTCTTTCCCTATTGAATTGAAATGAGTGTTTTTAGTCTTATTAGTTTTCCCTATTATAACTGTTAAGGACTCCCCCACTGGCCCCCCTCTCCCCTCAACCTGATGAACATTTCAAGTACATTTCTCTGTGGAGAAACTCCTTTAATGGTTGCAATCTATCAAGATGTTCTTTTGAAATTATTACAAAGAAGCATTGTTGGTTAATCAAAAAAGGAAGAAAAATAAGAGGGAACAAAGAAGACACTGTAAAGGAAGCCTGTGCTTGCTGGGCTCTAGATTGAATAGTCAGATTTAAACCCATACTCAGAGAGAAGCTGCAATGTGGGCAACCGCCACACTCATTTTACTCAGCATTCCTGGAGGGCAAGAGGGCAATTCCTAAGGGCCTGTCTATGGGTAATCTGCATTTTGTTAACTTTTATTTTAAGGGAGGGAATGGATTGGAGAGGTAGAAGAGATAGGAGAAAGATGACTCAATAAATGGTTTTGATTTTTGGCAGAAGAAGGAATGGATAGAGGATTATTTATTCAACACACACATACCGGAGAGAACTCATTTTTTTCACTTTTATAAAAAAAGAAATTTTTATCATGACCACTAATGAAAAAATACTATCAGTCATCATAAATAGAAGATTCACATTAATGCATGTTAAAATGTATGTAGTTATTACAATTAAAATAGTTCAGGTTCTGCCTAAAATAATCTCTAGTACCACCCATGTGGGGTTATTTTAGTGAGAGAACTAGTTTTACTCGCTGCCATAACGCAGCTTAAAAAAAAAAAGGTATTAATCTCTATTCTATTGTCATCTAATTTTGAACATAGGCGTTAAGTCCAAAGTTAGATTCATCAATCATAACACAGGAAATGTTACTGACATCCATTAAGAACTCCGCAGTTGATTAGCTCACTTGATTAAATAGCGGTGCAGCTAATGGGAAAACAGGAGAGGAGCCTGCCACTCTAGCAAAGAGAATTTCCAGCTCTGCGTCTCCAGGGAGTAAGAAAAGAGAAATGGAAAATAGAAAACAAAGCTGGCTGCTTCAACAGTAACTCAGTGCTCTCCATAACAGCAATCCCATGCATGGTCTCCAGAGGTACATCTCAGTTCCCTTTTCAATACCCAAAGGTAGGGATTTGGCGCTTTTTTTTTTTTTTTTTTGGTGGGGATGGGTAGGTGGGGGATAATTGTAGCTGTCACTAGAAAAGTAAAACCCCCAAGTTAAAAAAAAAAATCACAGGGTCTGATGTGAAGGATACCTGAATGCTGACATTAACCAAATGTCACCTTTTTGGGCAGCTGCATAGAAATAATGTTGAAATGTTCCTCTATTTTTTTTAAACAGCAATTTTCCTGAGAGATTGGAAAATCAGGAGGAGGCAAGCCGATGACATTTTGATTGCAGGCCCCACTCGGAGAGGCATTGTGGAACTTTCTGGTTAACAAAGTTAAAACCAAAACAAAGTAAATGACGAATCCACCACCTCAATCTGCATTGTATTTTTTGTTTTTAAAGAAAATGGTAAAACTTTTGCTGCTGCTTTTAGTGACTGAGATTTTCAAGAGTGGATTGAAGAAATTATTATCAGTCTGTTTGGCAGCTAAGAAACCTGCTTTGAGATGGGTAGTTGCTTATTAATAATACTGCTTTCCACTTCAGCCTCATCTGTAAGGCACTGAACTAGCTGCTACTGGGTCTTCAACCTACCTTCAGACTTCTACTGCATGAAGTCTTTCCACATCTACTGTGAGATGGATCACTTCTTCTCCGTTCCCAGCACTTTTTGGGTATCTCTCCTATGTCATAGGAGAGACATTACATCTATGTAATAGATGTAATGATGTTGTACAAGGCTGAGCAACCTCAGCCTTGCTCTAAAATTATTTACATCATAGTTTACCATTCTTTGAGGGTGGCACTTTGCATTTCATAGAATAATTGAACATTTAGAGAATTAATTGAATGAATGCATGGATGCAGAGTTGGATGGAGGAATGGATACATGATGGTAGATGAATGAATGGATGGATGAAGGGACGATTGGTCCAGGAGGAAATAGAAAAATAATTGCAACTATTCTTTTCTTGGAGGTGCACTGGTGTCCAGTGAGCATGTAATGCAGGCAGTACTGCTAACACCTACATAACATGCCCCGCATCAACTAGAGCTTCGCTTTACCTCCATATGAAAAAAAACTTATTTTCCAAAAATAATTTTTAAAATTTAAAAATCTGAAAAAAGAGAAGAAGAATTGTGACTTTTACAATACTTGACATTAGATGGATAGAGACTTTGTCATCTTTCTACAGACCTGGATAATGGTTTACTGGGTGATGGTGTTGTTTAAAATATTTTTTGCTCTGTTTTTTGTCATTTTCCTTTGAGTCTACCTTCTATTTTCCTTCATAATCTAGAGGTAATATTTGCCATAGCTTCACATGTAGACTGATTAGGAGGGAACTACAGGGAGAGTTTTATTTTAAACTTATGACTTTTTTTTCCATCACATCTTGAGATAGTCACATAAAAACTTTATGGGACACTATTGATAAATTGTAAGAACATAATAGCCAAAAGCTTTTTCTTTTTCTTTACTTCTTTTTTTTCTTTCTTTGTGTTCATGGCTGTTCTTAATATTTATGCTAGTGGCTTGTAAAAATTAAGTTTATTTTGATTTTTTCTGTATCTTTTTTAATAGAAAAAAAATGACAGAGTAGTTAAAATTTACCCCTAAAGCTATGGAAATAAAAATGATCTATCTTCCAAGTCACCTCTATAAATGTTCTTTGAAATTAAACGGACTGTCTTGAAAACAAGATTGCCAGTTTCCTATTCACTCATAGATGTAATATCAATTGTGTCTCCTATTATTGCCTTTCTAAGTCTTTCGTTTGTACAAAAACCATGTTTAAAACATATCATCATCCAATACAGTGTCTGTAAGAAAAACAAACCATGATTGATTTGGATAGATATGAATGTTAATATCTTTTTCTTTGAATTTCTGGCTTGCATTTTTATTAAAAGTATGATATTAAATATATATATGTGCACCTGATGATAAAACAGGGTATAAGTGCTGATATATTTTAGAGGCAAGAATTGATGAAGGATTGGGAGGTGAAGGATTGGTGAAAAATTGGGAGGTGAAGCAGTATAAAAATGAGTATGAAACCTTCTTAAAATATTTAGCATTACTGTAATAACTGTAATGAACTTGTGACCCAAGTAATTTATGGTCAGAGTGGTGTTAAGTGTTGGTAATAATAATACTAGGCTATGCTGCAAGAACAAATAAACCCTGGTATTACCTTGGTATAACACATCAAAGATAGATTTCTCACTCTGGCAGCCTCTTCCATCTTGATTATGACATCTAGTATTTCTAGATCATTTCTAGATCACCAGGGTGGGAAGAGAGAGCTGGAGAAAGCTCACCAGCTCTTATTTGCATCAGCCTAGAAGGGACATGTACCATGTCCATTTACAGTTCATTGACGAGAACTAGTCACAGGGTCTGAACCCTGAGTCCAAGGAAAGCTAGTGTTTTCATCACATAATCACGGAGACATAATCCAAACTATGATTCTGATTTCAACCTGGACCTTGTATACAACTTGGGAGCACATGCTAGTCCTGTCATTTCCTAGCCTGTGAGTCCAGTAACATTCTGGGACTGCTAACTCATACCTAGAAAGAGCTCTTTTCCTCATTCTAGATATCCTACTCCTACCACACACCACCCACATAGAGCAGAGGTTAGGGGTAGGAGTGGTATAGTTCATTAACTCTCAATTTTTTTCTTCACAGGAATTAGCATGCATGTGGGGGATTTTTTTTTAAATTTTTGTCTTTTAATCTTTCTTCCAATCCCTCAAAGATTGGGAAGAAGACTTGTGGCAGTTGAAGCATCTTTTTGCAGGATACAGAAAGGAAAGGGACTAAACCAGTATCTATTTTAGCTAGCAGGGGAAAGATAGTAACTCCAATATGTTAACAATTATTCTACATCACTGTCATCAACAAATGTATGCTCCATCCATCCATCCATCCCTCCATCCTCCATCCATCCATCTAGATTGTAGTGATCCTAGGCCAAGTACAGGGCCCTTGAAAGTTAAAGAAAAATCTCTTAGACCTGGTTAGTCTTTTCTTATTACCCTTCTCCTTCAACAGACAAATTGTTTTGTCTATCTTGGTTTTGTTAACATTTTCATGTGCATCAACTCTGCTAAATTTCAGCCTCCTTAAGGCTTTGAAGGGTTTGAGTTTCATTCACTTCTGTATTGCCAGCATCAAGTCAAAACCTGACTCAGAAGGGGTGCCATAGATATATTTGGGGTGCATGAGTGAATGCTTCTCTCCACTCAGCCCTGCAAAACCAGTTTGGTTGGGAGCTGAGTTTATTGCTCTAACAGCCTCTTCACAGCTTTGTCCCAGGAAGTTCTTTCCACCCTGAGGTCCCTGTCTTTAGGAAATGAGTGATTCTGATGGTGGCCTCTAGATGACCACACCAACAGTCAGGACCGAAGTTGTTGTTAAGAGTTTGCTTCGGAAAAAAAAAAAATCCTATTTGATTCAAAATTTTCTATAGCCCTGTGTAGGAATTAGCTTAGGAAAAAAAAATGCCCCTCCTTTCTGCTTTCTTTGCGTGCCTCTCTTCCTTCAGGCTACTTCCAAGTTGTCCCTTGGCCATCATCCCTCTCATCCATACTGAGATCCTACTTTTTTGTGGCTGGAGCTCTCACCTCCATGTCTCCTCTTTCTATTTTCCCCCAAATATTAGGCCCATATTTTCAACTTCTATCTAGACACATTGACAGGGTATTCCACCCACACCTCATGCTCAGTGTGTTCCAAACAGAACCAGACTTATCTGTTTTAGTTAAGGATATGGTTTGGCTGTGTTCCCACCCAAATCTCATCTTGAATTATAGTTCCCAAAGTCCCCATGTGTTATGAGAGGGACCCCGTGGGAGGTAATTGAATCATGGGGGCTGTTACCCTCATGCTGTTCTTGTGATAGTGAGTGAGTTCTCATGAAATCTGATGGTTTTATAAGGGGCTTTCCTTGTCATTCACTCTCATCTTCTCTCTCCTGCTGCCCTGTGAAGAAGGACATAGTTGCTTCCTCTTCCACCATGATTGTAAGTTTCCTGAGGCCTCCCCAGCTATGCAGAACTCTGAGTCAATTAAACCTCTTTCCTTTATAAATTACCCGGCCTCAGGTATGTCCTTGTAGCAGCATGAGAATGGTCTAATACAGTTAAACATACCACATTCTCTCTCCACTCACACTCAACACCCCAGAGTCATGTTCAGCTGTGCTCATTTGCCATCCTCCCACTTCCAGGGCTGGTCCATTGTCAATGCTGTCTCTTCTCCAGGGTGACTCACCCATCATTTACTTTCACTGTTAGACCTTCGTACCCTCTTCTTGCTATGTTTTGACTATATAACTTCTATCTCTTATTTTAATTTATTTTTAACTCTTCCTGTTCCTTCTAGAGAGTCCAGCTAATGACATTTATAAAATCACTTCTATATTATAATACTGTGAATGGTTCTATTTGCACTCCAAGTAACTTCCAAATACTAGTGTAGCATCCAAGCCTTTGGCCATCTGTCTCCAACCTTACCTCCACTCCTATAGTCTTCAGCCAGACCACACTACTCTTTCTTTGACACCTCAGACATGGCTCATGTCACTTCTTACATATGCAGAGAAAGTTACTCAAATCCTTATGTGAAGACATTCTAGTTACTCTTCAAGTGCCAGTTCAACTGACTTTCCTAATCTCTACAGTGGGATTCAGTCTTGCCTTCCTATAATTCCAACTCAGGTGTAGCAAGAAGATTTCATCTCAGGAACAAAATCTGGTTGGTTAGTAAAAGCTGACTGGAGAATTGTTTTGAGAAGGATTCTGAGGCTGTATCTAGGCTCAACGGGAAAGATTGTCATGTTCATTAGCAATGTCTGTCTAGAGCATGAAAGAGGGATTGAGACATGAATGTTGCCTAGATGCCTTCTGTGGTCTCCCTTTGTCTTCTCTTATGTATGCAATGTCACTTACACTAATTGTTAAGTTCTTTAAAGGCATAAATTGTATCCTGCTGAATTATACACCCGATTTTTTTTTTTTTTTTAGAGAGAGTCTTGCTCTGTCGCCCAGGCTGGAGTGCAGTTATATACCCGATTCTTGAGTTTACCTTCGCCATGTCCTAAGATCATTAGACATTCCAAAATGTTTGTTAAATAAATCCCCTAATGCTTGATATGCTGTTTAGTTATAAAAGATTGAAGAGCTGTGAGCCCAGCTGTGATTGCATTGATCAGGCAGCTGTATTACATTACAGTGTCTACTCCTTCAAGTATCAGTTTGCTAAGGAATCTGACTGTGCTGACTTGAGAACTCCTTCTGCACTATTACCTCTGGTGATTAATGAGACCAGGCACCACTGGATGAATGGATGACACCCAATACTCCACTATTACCTGTAATGGAATTAACTTACAAGTAGCATTGATAAATTCTAGTTTTAGGCTTACTTTCCATAGGCCAGCAAAGCAAGTTGTCAGCTACTAAGTCCCTTAGCCAAAGTAAAAAGCCAAGAGCTGACTTGAAATACATCTTAAAGGAAGGCAATATTGATTTTGTGATCCTTAAAATGGCCCAAACTTAAGATAATTTAAAAATTGTGCAAATAACTATAGAATTTTAACTTCTGGGTTTTGTTTTCCCAGATATATACCTTAAGTATTTCAATTTGTCTTATGACATGGTTTTCACAAGCTACTTCATTCTGCTCCCTCTCCTCTGAATATCTCTATCTGGTGATGTACCCAGAATTGGTAAATATTCTAGATGAAGCCTGACCAGTCAAGATCAAGGTCAAGATCAAGAATAATATCTCTGTGGTCCTGTACTCTATATTTCTGTCATTACAACCTAAGGACACATTTAATCTCTCAGTGGCTACATTACATGTATCATGAAATTGATGGACACTTGAAATTCCTCATCAGTAAAAAATATCTTATTTCAGCTTGAATTGGATAGGCCTTTTTCTCTTTGTCAGAAGATCTAGTGCTATCTGGCCTAGTCTTTAAAGGGAAATTATTGGGAAATGTCAAGAGAGAGGTGAATGTCTGGCCACAGTACGATGTCATTGAGATTCTATTTCCGTCTCTTCATCCTTCAGCTCCACATTTTCTGTACTGGCTACACTCTCAGACAGTCTCTCCTCTCCTGGAAGCAGGATGACTGCAGCATCTCCAGCATAAATTGTTCTTGGTTCAAGTTTAACTGCAGAAGAAAAAAGCACCACTTCCTGAAAGTCCCAAATAAACCCTGGAATTCATTTTGTTAGAAAAAACTTGATTGTGTGGTTTTTGAACAAATCACTGTGTCTTAGAGGATTCAGTGAGCTGACAGACCAGCCTGAGTCATGTGCCTCAGCACTGGAATTGTGCTGGGGACCATATGTTTTGAGTAGGGGAGAGGATAGTTCTCTTCAAAGAGGTGAGGGCACTATCACCAAAAAGGCGGGAAAGATGCTGCACAGACCCCAAATAGCCAATGGTCTCTGCAACACAATTATTCTTTAAACTTCCTAAAGGCAGAAATTATGGCTTATTAATTTTTTAACACCCCCATCCTACCTTTAACAAATGAC
This sequence comes from Homo sapiens, assembly GCF_000001405.40. Classification (NCBI taxonomy): domain Eukaryota; kingdom Metazoa; phylum Chordata; class Mammalia; order Primates; family Hominidae; genus Homo; species Homo sapiens. Next base: position 8,359,043 of record NC_000003.12, on the reverse strand, counting down.
ATAATAAATGTTCCAGAACTGGTTGTTGATTGAATGAGTGCATGAACCAATGGCAGCAAAATGAGTAAATTTGAAATGGCTTAACGTTAAAAATATCTTTGTCTCTGACTTGATGCCTTATAAAATATAGATCAAACTAACTTAAAAGTGTCAACCATGTTTACATGAAAGAAAACAAAAGTATGAAAAACTTGATATGGCATTACAAGGACAGTTTTCTCTGCAGTACTAGTGAGGAGAAATGATATGTCTTAAGTGCAGAGAAAGCAGAACATTTTCATCTGGGACAAAAGAAATGAAAACAGCTTGATTGACAGCCTAGTAACATTAATAAACTTCGAAGGTAGAGAGCTGCTCTTACTTTAAACATCCCAGAGCAATTCTATCAGAAGAATAAATACTCTGTATTCCAAATTCAAACACTTTCAGTTGCCTTTGGTTGAGGCAATTGTATTCTAACAGCAACATGGCAGCTTTAACAAGGTATTTACATTTCTATGTAAAATCTCAATATTCCCTAACTCTGATTCTATCCCCTCTTTCCTTTGAGGGTGCTTTATTTGACACAGTGTGGTATTGGATCCTGTAGGTACCCATATCCCCTGGCCTCTTTACCATTTGAGTGCACTCTGGCCTGACTACCAATTGCCATTTCTACATCTCCATCCAGGGTTCTCTCTTGACTGCTGGAGCAAGATGCCTGGTGGGCTGGGAGGGCCAGATAACGAACACCTTTGTGAGCTTTCCTCAACCAATGATGGACTGGAATTGGTGGATAGAGCCTCCAGAGGGCTCTTGTTCACCTCCAATCGGGATGACTTGGAGACGTGATCTAACACTGACTTCCAAAGATTCATCAGAATTAAGCTCCAGTTTCCCATCGTTCCAACTTGCTCAATCACACACCAAATGGTTTTCTTCCGTTCTCTGCTTTACCTCCCCCTCACTTTCCCGTATCTTCTGAGATTACTCCCAAATAAACTACTTACATTTCAATCATTCCAATCTTGTCTCAGGGACTGCTTCTTGGGGAATCCAAAGTACAGCAGTTGTTTTCAAGGAAGAAAAGTTATTTTCAGCCCTTAGACTGGGTTAATCAAATGTCCTCAAATCACGAAGGCAAGTGTCCCAGTGAGGACAGGGAAACACACAGGCATAGGTTGGGTGGGTAGCCTGGAGATGCGTGAGGATATGCTGCCCCTGAGGCCTCAGCAATGGCTTTTATGGTGGGTTTGATGCCAGCCAGTGAGGGGAGATCCCTGGACAGCAGCAGGACCTCAACCCTAGGGAATGTTCAGGCTCTTGACACCATTGGAAGAATTTAAGGATGAGTCAGAGAGTAGCGAGAATATAAGAGCTTTTATTGCAAAGCAAAAGTACGCACTCAAGAGAAGAGTGCCCCACAGGGTATGAACTTTCCTTTATTATGGGTTTTCTTTAATTAGAGGGTGGTATTCATTAGATTCTATAGAAGGGACGGGGATTTCCCTGAAATGAAGTGTCATGCATTGTTATACCAAACCTGGGCATATTCAGAACTGTCATGGTGCCCATGGGTGTGTGATTTAGCATGCTAATGACCGTATAATTATGTTCTAGGTGAAAACTGGGTCAAATCTAGTGCCATGTTGGGTTTGGATTTGGCCTGTTTTAACCAGCTTTTGCCCACATCCTGTTTGTCAGGGACTTATCAGCCCCTTGCTGCTACAGCTGCAGTTGGTTTTAACAGTTCCTTCCTCACCAGTCATGTGAGTCTTTTTTTTTTTTTTTTTTGAGACAGAGTCTTGCTCTGTCACCCAGGCTGGAGTGCAGTGTCACAGTCTTGGCTCACTGCAACCTCTGCCTCCTTGGGTGTTCAAGCAATTTTCTTGCCTCAGCCCCCTAAGTAGCTGGGATTACAGGTGCCCGCCACCATGCCCAGATAGTTTTTGTATTTTTAGTAGAGGTGAGGTGGGGTTACACCATGTTGGCCAGGCTGATCATGAACTCCTGACCTCAAGTGACCCGCCCGCCTCGGCCTCCCAAAGTGCTGGGATTACAGGCATGAGCTACCACGCCCAGCCTCATGTGAGTCTTTAATGGCTGCCTTGCCTTAGTTGTTCCCTCATGACTGTCCTGTGACCACCCTGTTATTCCTTTCTCAGGTTGAGATGGGAAAAGCACTGATGTTCTCTAAAGCATGAGAACTGGGAGCAACTGCAGTCAATGGACACCCCTGGATGGATGTTCCAGGGAGGAAAGTCCATGCCAGAGAGGAATGTGGTCCACGATATCTCAAAGCTGGCTGTGAACCCAGGCATGCCAGCTCTGGAGATCTGGCTTTGACCCAGGGATGGGCACAATTTCTCTGAAAGGGTTAGATAATAAATGTTTTAGAACTTGCAGGCTGTATTAGAGTTTTCTAGAGGTACAGGACTAATAGGATAGATGTATATATGAAAGGGAGTTTATTAAGGAGTATTGATTCACACGATCACAAGGTGAAGTCCCATAACAGGCCGCCTGCAAGCTGGGGAACAAGAAAGCCAGTCCCAAAACCTCAAGAGCAGGGAAGCCGACAGTGGTATAGTTCAGTCTGTGGTCAAAGGACCAAGAGTCCAAAAGCTAAAGAACTTAGAGTCCAATGTTTGAGGGCAGGAAGCATCCAGCATGGGAGAAAGATGTAGGCTGGAAGACTCAGCCAGTCTATTTCTTCCATGTTCTTCTGCCTGCTTTTATTCTGGCCCAGCTGCCAGCTGATTAGATTGTGCCCACCTAGATTGAGGGTGGATCTGCCTCTCCCAGTCCACTGACTCAAATGTTAATCTCCTGTGGCAACACCCTCACAGACACACCCAGGAACAATACTTTGCATCCTTTAATCCAATCAAGTTGATCACAGGCCATAAAGTTTCCCTTACAACTACTCAACTCTGCCTTTGTAGCAGGAATGCAGCATTTGACAACACCCAAACAAATGAGCATGGTTGTGTTCCAATAAAATTTTATTTATAAAAACAGAGGAGGGTCAGCTTGGTTCTTTGTAGTTTTCTGATCTCTGCTCTAACTCCACTGCTTAACATTTTTATATAAAAGGTTGTTTTTGGATACAGGAGCCCAATTGTGAGGTTTTGGTGTGGGTTTTCTGACAAGTCACACGTAGTATGTACTTCTTTGTGGTGGGATATTGGGGGATAGAGTGTGAAGAACAGGGGGATTAGGGTATAGTGTGGGAGGTAAGATGGAAGAAAAAGGAAAAAGCAGAAATGGGAACTGCAAGTTCAAGCATAGTAATTCAAGGCAAAGGTGGGAGAGAGAAGCACTAAATTCTGACCAATATTGTAGGGCAGCTATAAGTAGAAGGAACAGGTTTAAGAAATGCCATACAATTCAACTTTATAGGATTCAGGCTTTATAGTGTATGTTGTAGCAGCCACATTTAATAAAAGTATGTTTTTCATTATATTTTTATTACACATTTAAAGCACATTAAGGCCCAAACAGCTATTGAAGAAGAAAAAAAAATGGAGAAACATTGGCTTCACAAGTAATCACATCAGTTTTCAGGAAGGCTGTATTTTATGAAGACAGAGAAAGATGCATGGCTGTTGTCCTTCCCAGTTTTATACTAACTCATTCTTCTTCAGGGAACAATATTAATAGATGTTTTGCTACATTTGTCTGCTGTTGAGAGAGTAATCCTCCCCGCAACCTTTTCTTTTCTTTTCTTTTTTTTTTAAATCATGGATGTTTAATCACTTGCCTTTGAGTTGCAGGCAACTGTTTGGCATTTTTAGTCTGTAAAAAATCTGCTTTGTTGGGGTTTAAAAAAAATAAAACCCATTTCAAGAAATTGTAGCTTGAAATTATTTCGGGCTCTGAGAAGCTATGTGAAATCCAGTGATATTTGACTGCATTTTAATTCTTAGTCTCTGGGGCCAGGCAGAGTTGGTCAGAGACAGCAGGGATGCCATGCACAGTTGTGAGGTTGTGCGTTACACAAATGCACCTGAGGCTGAAATGTAGCCTGTGCTCTGCCTCTAATCCTTGTGCCCTCTGTCTTGGAGGAAAAAGCATTTTTTAAAAATTCTGAATGTGGTGACCACTTACAAAATGATGGCCTTTGGGACCACCACCAGTCAGAGGTGGTGATTTTTTCTTATTTGTGTTTTCCAGTAGTGGGGACAGGGATGTGGAGCTTTGCAGATTGTGTATCATTGCATTTAGGATTCTGCTGATTATAGGATGCCCCACTATTTTACGAACAACTAGGAAACACAAGACGCTGCCAACCAAATCCTGATATGCCATTCATTGATTGTAAGACAAATGCCGGTTTCAAAGATGCCAAAAAATGAAAAAGATACAATGCAGTAATTCATCTGCTGGAGAGTGTGCACCTTTCTTCAATAACCGTGAAGGTGCCAGTGCAGATGAAGATGAGGATGAGGATGAGGTTGGCAAGCCTGTGACGGTGAGGTTAGTAAGCCCCAGGGAAGGTTTCCACAAGATTTTGTCTGTTTCTTGGTATAAACAGTATCACCAAACTCTCTGTTCTCCTATAGGATGTCAACTGATTGAAATTCTAATAGAAGTAGAAATGTGGAATGTTAGAGCTCAAGAGACCCCCGGGAGCATCTCATGCAGTGCTTCTGAAAAACTTGGCCCCTTGGGGACATTTATCAATATCTGAAGAAATTGTTGGTTGTCACGATGGGGTAGGGGTGCTACTGGTAGCTTGTGGGTTGAACCCAGGGATCCTATTAAACTCCTTCAATGCACAGGACAGCCCCCACAAGGAATTATCTGGCCCTAAATATCAATAGTGTTAAGGATTGAGAATCCCTGATGCAGTGGGAGGATGTATAGCCGAGATATAAGAACCCAGACATCAGAGCCAGGCAGACCTGAGTTCAAATCCCAGCTGTATACTTAATTTTCTGTGTGGTCTTGGGCCAGTTAATTAGTCTTGTTAAGTCTCAGTTTTCTCTTCTGTAAAATGAACATCATAGCCTCTATTTTAGAGGGTTGTTGAGAGCATTAAATAAGATAATTAAGGCAAAGGTTATAAAGACAGCACAGCAACTAAATCTAAATTCAAATGCAGTTGTAAGTGCTTTTATCCATACTAACTAAATTGGCAGGGAAAGTTTGAGGTAGGGATTATTATTATCTCCATTTTGCAGATAAAGAAATTGAGAAAAATAACTTGCCCAGGTCATTCATGAGTAAGTGGTGGAGCCAGGATTTGAATCTAGATCACGTGTTCCCAAGCAGCCCAATCCACCCTATAGTGCCTAAGGACTTAGGAAAAAGAGGCTGCTAGTAATATCGTTATTAATATTATTCAACCCGAAGCCCCTACTTACAGATGGTGACTTGGCAGGTTTCCTCTTGAGAAGACAGTTGACTTGGCAAGTTCCTGGGTCTCCTGCCCCACCAGAGGATAAGTTTCTTTCTCTTTACCATGTGGTCTTTGTCAAGGAGCCAATATGGAACCCAAAGTGGGGCAGCAGGAGAAAAGCCAGACCATACCCCTTGCTGAGTGACTTTGAATATGTTTTGTGACTCTAGCTCTTCTCACTGAGATATTGGGGAGGTAATCACATCTACCTCACAGGGTTGCTTGGGCAATGAAATCAGGTTTCAGCTAACAACACATACCTGGGCACTGGGCATGTGGGCTGAGTACCAGGGTCCTGGAGTCACAGGGAGCAGCCCGCCATGATGGACATTTGGAGGTAGAAGGAACTGGAGAGTGGCTTTCGAGATGGCCTTGCCAGTCCCTTCTGGACCTTGGAAGGTCTCAAAGAAGTACTCCTGGAAACTATGGGAAAAGGGGATAGTCCTGGAGTACCCTGGCTTGGTTCTGGCTTCTCAGACTCACTGATGTGAGATAAATGCTTGGGGAGGAGGATGAGGGAGGGAGGAAGGGAGGAGGGGATGGAAGAGAGAGGCAGGCAGGCCTCATGGAGGAGGTTGGACTCCCCAGGGCCCTGAAGAGCTTCTATTAGGTGGTGGCACTACTAATGGATGTAAGCACATGCATATGACCATGGAGGCAGAGGGAAGTCACACAAGACATACAGCACAGAAGGCCTGGTGAATGGGCATCCTCCCTGACACACGACAGGGACAGAGTGACAGCATAGAGCATGTGGGAGCTTGAGGTTTGAGTGAGAAAGGTCTAAGGGAGGCGCTTTAGATCTCAGAGTTGTGAGGAGCCTTAGAGCCCCCCCACCCCATCAAGCTCAGGCTGGAAGCACTTCCATGTGAACTGGGAACCTGACTTTGCATTTCCCCAAATGTTGTTACAAAGAGGCAATATCGTATAGTGGTTAGTAAGTAACAAGCTCTTTTGTCATACTGCCCAAGTTCAAACCCTGCCTTGGCCACTTGCCAGCTCTGTGGCCTCTAGTAGTAACTTAAACTTTCAGGGCCTCAGTTTCCTCATCTGTAAATCTATCTCCAAAGCATGTCAACTGGATTAAATGAGATACTGTGTTAAAGCCCTTAGCCCAAAGTGAGTGCTCAATAATGTTTACTCCTTTTCCTATTATTTAATAGAAATATTATTGTTACTGTTATTAAATTTATTTATTCCAGCAGAAGCCATGAAAAAGTTATGCTCTGGACTCATTCAAGCCAGGACTAAAATCCTATCTGTCTTCCCATTCATGAGCCATGTGATAGCAGGCCAGTGACTTCATCTTCTGAGTTCATTTTCTTACCTGTGTAACAAGGAACATGATGCCTGCCTTACAGAGTCATTTGGGGATTAAAGCAGTTAACATTCACAACACATTTGGTGCTTACTATGTCCTTATTACCTGTCAGTTTCTTTCCCTTCCTATCTCCCTCCCCCACTACCTCATTGTCCCCAGAGGTGAGTCCTCAACTCACCTGCCCAAGATCACACAGATGGAAAGTAGTGGAGGCAGCCTTGAACTCGGGTCTGTTTGGGCCCATCTCTCTTGCTTTTCCCAATTGATCATGCCTGCCTATTGCAGGAAGAATAGGGGGACAGAGGAAGAGTGACCCCACCTGGAAAATTTATAATTCATGGGAGGCTCCGGGGAGGGGCACCTGAATTCTGAGATGCCTGGGCATGTCCAATATCTTCTTCATGGAAGCACTAGATGCAATAACAAGAATATCCATGCCATTTGTGGGACTCTTGCTCACGTGTTATTTCATTTGCTTTTTCTGGTCACCCTTGAATGTAGGCCTGGCAGATATTCTTGTGTTCACTCTATAGAGGGAGAAGTGGAAAAATCAGGAAGGGAAGAAGCTTGCCCAAGGTAGAGCAGGATTAGGACCAGAACCCAAATCTGGGCCTCAGTGTCCCCAGTCCAGTGATCTTTCCACTCTTGAACGTAGATATTCTCATGTTCATTTTATAGAAGGAGAAATGAAAAAATCAGGAAGGGAAGAAGCTTGCTCAAGGTAGGACACATTAGAACCAGAACCCAGACCTGGGTCTGGGTGTCCCCAGTCCAGTGATCTTTCCACAACATCCAGGTGCCTCTCCTTACTCTCTTGCACTTGGCTTAATTAACCCTTACTTTCTGTTCCCACACACTCCCCACTTGTGCTCACCCTCATCCTGACCCAGCTGTAGATTCATCTCCTGGAAGATCATTGAATCTGGCTAAGCTCTGGCATTACAGCAAATAGAATCAACTTATGCTTACTCCTTCCAAATTCTCCACTGACGCAGCTATAAATTGAATAATGACAAAGCCCAAATAACCTGGCAGTCAAGACAATTCAACTTGAACTGAACATGCAGGGAGTAGATAATACAGGAGGAAAAAATCTCAAGCTTGATCCTCAAAATGTGAATCTGTTGTCCACCCTCCCCTATGACCTTAAGCCTTACCAGGGTCTTGGACTGAACTAGCTGTGTGGGAGCTAGGAATACTGTGACTGAACAGACATGGTTCCTACTGACAAGCTAAGACTGACTTAAGCAAAACAGGAATTTATTGGGTGACTTAACTAGAAAATCTAGGGGTACCACTGCATTCAGGTATGGCTGGATCCAGGGACTCAAATATGACCACTGAAAAATCTCTCTCTCTTTTTGAGCTTTGCTTTTCTCTGTGTTGTCATTTTCTCAGTCAAACCCTCCCAAAGGGTGACAAAAGTCATCATCAGCAGCACTGTGCTTACATAGGAAGCAGACTATGCCACCACCATAGTAATCCCATCAGGAGGAACATATCTTATTTTCAGTACATCTAGCAAAAGGCTTTGGTTTTCTCTAATTGGGTTAGGCAGGTTGTGTGCCTCTCCAGAAATAATTGTGTAGGCTGGGATATGTGTATTCTCATTGGTCAGGTTTGAACTATATGGCCATCCCTGGAGTTGGGGGGGTGCATGGGGTCAGATTCAAAAATCATATTAGTTGAAAGTAAAAGAAGAGATGGGTTCTATGACCAGGAAAAGGGGTTATGGACATCCTACAAAAGAGCAGGTGGCCAGTACATCTCCTAGCCTCGGCTTTCTTAAAATTTCCTTTAAAGATTATAACCTGATGTATACCGTTTGAACAGTATTTCTTGTTTGGTCTGATCTAATTTCCTGATGAAAAACTGGATAAACTCTTTCTGCTTTATTGGTTTATATGTCCCAATTACATTATATAATATCAGTAGCTTCTTTCTGATCTGAAAGTAAAGTTGAAGGTATTGTTTCCTGAACACTTATTGAGAGTAAAGCCAGTTGGACTTCTGGGTTGGGTGGGGACTTGGAGAACTTTTCTGTCTTACAAGAGGTTTGTAAAATGCACCAATCAATGCTCTGTAAAAATGCACCAATCAGCACTCTGTAACTAGCTATAGGTTTGTAAAATGGACCAATCAGCACTCTGTAAAATGGACCAACAGCAGGACATGGGCGGGGACAAATATGGGAATAAAAGCTGGCCACCTCAGCCAGCAGTGGCAACCCACTTGGGTCCCTTTCCATGCTCTGGAAGTTTTGTCCTTTTGTTTTCCACAATACATCTTGCTGCTGCTCACTCTTTGGGTCCACACCACCTTTAAGAGCTGTAACACTCACTGTGAAGGTCTGTGGCTTCATTCCTGAAGTAAGTGAGACCACAAACCCACCAGAAAGAACAAACTCTGGATACACTATCATATGCCAAAAACTGGACTTGATTTTCCTAGTGGAATTTGGTGTTTACCTCCTGTCTTAGACCATTCAGGGTGCTCTAACAGAATATCATAAGCTGGGTGGCTTATAAGCCACAGACATTTATTTCTCACAGTCCTGGGGGCTGGAAGTCCAAGATCAAGGCACTATCAGATTGGGTGTCTGGTGAAGGCCACTTTTTGGTTCACAGATGGTGCCTTCTCCCCGTGACCTCACATAGTGGAAGGGATTAGCTAGCTTTCTGGCGTCTGTTTTGTAAGGACACTAATCTCAATCATGAAGGCTTTGCCCTCATAATCTAATCACCTCCCAAAGGCTCCACTTTCTAACACCATCACCTTGGGCATTAGAATTTCAACATATGAATTTTGGTGGGACACAAAGATTTGGACCATAGCATCTCCCCAGAAGTCATACTTTTTTCTTCTAGAAACAGCTCTTAATATTTGACTGCAGACCAATTCCTCCTGCACACTGTGGATAGAATTCCACTTCAACTTCATGAAGGAAGTGTGTATGGGACACAGATTTTAATCTCATCAGTGCATCTCATTTTCTTATCCACAGAGATAGGTTCAGGGGTGAATGTGGGAACTAAGCCAGTCCAATCAGAAGGATCAGAGGCTTTTCTTTGAAACAATTGAAGAACATGTTCTATCTTTCCACTGGTTTTAAGGAAGGTGGGGTGGGAGGGTGGCAGCTGCCTGGTCATGGCCAGGGGAGAACATGGAGGCTGAGTCACGGTTGAGAGAAACTGAGGTAATGACCTTGACCCTAATGATGAGATCTTAATCTTGCTATGCCTGAGGCCAGAGTAATCTGACTTTTCCATTGTTTGAGCCAATTCATTTCATTTATTGAGGTGAGCTGCTGTTATTTGTAGTATAACAAACTCTTGATGTCCCCCAGATCCAACAGCTAGTGAGTGTCAACATTTGAAATGAAATTTGCTTGGTGCTGTTTTGTGATACTTTGAATTGTTTTAAAATCTCTTGCAAAAACTTTCAACTTATTTTAAATCTGTAATTATAGAAAATAGACGACACTATACTGTCTCCTAAATACCCAATTTACCTAACTTCTCCTTTATCCTTGTTCACACCCTTACATTGTAGTTTGGGTCCTTTTTCACATCTCCCAGCCTTTTTTTTTTTTTTTTTTCTGGTCTTTTTTGTTTTTGTTGTTGTACTGTTTTTGTTTGTTTTGTTTTTAAAGCAAACAAATTAAAATAGGATGGCGTATAATACAATGCATGCATTTAAAAAGTACAATGTTATATACATGTGAAATGATAACCAAAATAAAGATAATGAACATGCACATGACCTACAAAAGTTTCCTTGCTCCTTTCATAATTCTTCCTCCCATCTGCCCTGACCCTATCCCCAGCAATCACTGGTCTGCTTTCTGGCACTATAAGCTACTTTTTATTTCCTAGAATTTTATGTAAACGAAATTATACATCATGCCCTCCTCTTTTTGGATTGCTTTCTTTCAAAGTGATTATTGTGAGGTTTATTCACATTTAGTGTATAACAGTAGTTCATTACTTTTTATTACTGTTGTATTCTATTGTGTAGATGTACCATGACTTGCTTATCTATTGATATATGTTGATGGGCATTTGGCTTGTTGCCAATTTTTATACATAAGGCCACTATAAACATCCACATATAAATCTTTGTGTGAGCATAAGCTTTCATTTATCTTGGGTAAATACTAGGAGTGGAGTGGCTGGAGCATATGGTAGGTATATGTTTAACTTTAAAAAGAACTGCCACACTGATTTCCAAAGTGGTTGTACCATTTTACATTCTGACCGTGAGAGTTCCAACTTATTTCATGTTCTCATCAGCACTGAGTATGGTCGATATTTAAAATGTTACCTGTCTTGCCAGGTGTATAGCGGCATCTCATAATTTTAACTTATGTTTCCCTAATAACCAGTGATATTACATATCCTGTGTGCTTATTTGCCATCCATACATTTTCTTTGGAAATAGTTTAGAAATCTTTGCCTAGTTTTAAAATCAGTTTTTTTTTTAAATTTCTGAATGTTGAGAGTTCTTTATGTATTTTGGAGACGTGTTCTTTATTATATATGTAATTTTCAAATATTTTCTCTCAGTCTGTGGTATGTCTTTTCATTCTCTTTTTATTTGAAAAGCTGACTTTTTTATTATTTAGGTGAAGTCTAATTTATCTTTTTGTTCTTTTATAACATGTGCTTTGGATGTTATATATATACAATTCTTATTTAACCCAGTGACAAAGGCTTTCTCTTCTGTTTTATTCTAGAAGTTTCATAGTTTTAAGTTTCACATCTAGATTTATGATACAGTTTAAGTTAAGTTTTGCATATGATGCAAAATGCAAATGCAATTCAGGGTATAAAGAATAGTCACTTAAACAAGTGGCACTGGAATAATTGGACACTTGGATGCCAAAACAACAAAAGGAGGATGTTGATTCATACTTCATTTATTGGGTGCTTTATAAATGTAAATATGAAGACCATTTAGGTAAAATTGATTGATAATGTTATTTAAGTCTATATCCTTACTAATTTTCTGTCTACTTGTTTTATCCGTTATTTTAAAATATTGAAGTCTATGATTATATTTGTGGATTGATTTGTTTGTCCCACGGTTGTAAAAAACTTTTGCTTCATGTTTTTTGAAGCTTACTTATAAGGTTTATAAACATTTAGGATTGTTTTATGATCTTGATGAATGACCCCTTTATTATGATGAAATGACATTTGCTGTCCACAATACTTTTCTTTTCTCTAACATTTACCTTCTCTGTCTAATATTAATAAAGCCATCATATGTTTCTTTTGATTAAGGCTAGCATGTCATATCTTTTTCATTCTTTTAATATTAACATATTTGTGTCTTATATTACAAGTGTGTTTATTGTAGGTAGCATATGGTTGTGTCTTGCATTTTTGTCCAATTTGAAATTGTCAGCTTTTTAATTAGGGTGTAACATTAAATGTAAGAGTAACACTTACATTTAATGTTATTATTGATATGCTTAAGTTTAAACTGTTATCTTGCCTTTTGTTTCCTATTTATCCCATATTGTCTTTGTTCCCCCTTGCTATGGTTTCTCAATATAGTTTGTCTCCACCAAAACTCATGTTGAAATTTGATCCTTAATGTGGTGGCATTAAGAGGTGGAGCCTAGTGGGAGGTGTTCAGTTATGGGGACAGATCCCTCATGAATGGCTTGGTATTGTTCTCATGGCTGCGAGTGAGTTTTCACTCTCTTGAGACTGTGTTAGTTCTCTTGGGAATGGATTAGTTCCTGGGAGAGTGATGTCACAAACCCAGGATGTCCCTCAGTTTTTTCTCTCTCTTCAGGTGTCCACTTCCCCTTTGACCTTCTTTGCCATGTTATGATGCAACACAAAAGCTCTCAGCAGAGGCCAGGGACATACCCTTGAACTTCTTAGCTTGCAGAACCACCAGCTATATAAGCCTATTTTTAAAAAATAAATGACTCAATAGCAAGTATCCTTTTATAGCAACACAAAACAGACTAAGCCATCCCTTACCCTTTTTTTCTGCCTACTTTTGGATTAATTGAATATTTTTAATGAATCCCTTTTATCACCTTTTTTGGTTTATTATCTGTAACTATTTTTTGTGTTCCATTGATATTTTTTCTTAGTTTATGGTATGCATCTTTAACTTACTACATTCTACCTTTAAATAATACAGTTCCATTTCAGGTATAGTATAACCTTATAGAAACATACTTTCATTCCTTCTCCCCTCATCTTTGTGCTATTGTTAGCATATATTTTAATTTTACATATATTATAAACCTCACACATTTCTTTTGTTTAAGCTATTATGTTTAAGGATACTTAGCTAAAAGAATATCTTACATAACTACCCATTTAGTTACCATTTCTAATGCTCTTATTCTTTGTGTAGATACATATTTTTATTTCGTATATATATTTGTATTTTATATCATATTTTTATTTGGTATATATATGTGTATATAAATTTATTTATTTAATTATTTATTTATATTTATATCTGATATTATTTTTCTTCTGCCTTAAAGACTTTCTTTAAAACTTATTATAGTCCCTGTTGACTAATGATAAATTTTTTTTTGTATATCCAAACATATTTTTATTTCATTTTCTTTTTTGAAATATATTTGCACTGAGTATAGGATTCTAAATTTACAGTGTTTCTGTGCTTTAAATTTGTTGTTCCACTGTCTTTTTGATTGCATTGTTTCCAACAGGTAATCTGCTGTCTTCCTTATCTTTGTTCCTCTGTGTGTAACAAGTCTTTTTTTCTCTCACTGCTTTTAGGATTTCCCCATTTTCACTGATTTTCAACAATTTGATTATGATGCTTTTTGCTGGGTTCTTTTGATGTTATTTTTTGATTCTTTGGTTTACTGATTTTATTGAAACTAAGTTTATAGTTTTATTTAAATTTGAAAAAATTTGGTCATTATTTTTTCAAGTATTTTTTCTGTTGTTTCTGTATACATCCCCTTTTCATCAGAAACTTCCTAAAAGCTTTCAAATGACTTGCTGATATTTGGTTTAAAAAATGTCTATGCTCTTTATTTCTTGTTTTTTGATAATTTCTATTGCTATGTCTTCAGGCTCAGTAATATTTTACTTTTTAAAAATCTAACCTGCCATTAGTCTCAACCTGTGTACTTTTCATCTCAGAAATTGTAGTTTTTATGAAAATATGGAATCAAGTTATAATAACTCTATTAATGTTCTTATTTGCTAATTCTAACATCTGTTTCAGTCCTGGGTTGGCTTTGAGTGATTAATTTATCTCTTTATTTTATAATATATTTTTTTGCTTTTTGCATACCTGCTAGTTTTTATCTAGGTGTCAGATACTGTAATTTTGTCTTCTTAAATTCTAGATATTTTTGTATTCAACTATCCCCCACCTCTCACTTTATTAAAAAATCAACCCCAAATGGATCAAGAACATAATATTAGACCTGAAACTATAAAACTACCAGAAGAAAACATAAGGAAAACACTTCAGGACATTAATCTGGGAAAAAGTTTTATGAATAAGACCTTAAAAACAGAGGCAACAAAATCAAAAATAAACAAATGAGATTATATCAAACTAAAAAGATTTTATACAGCAAGGGAAACAATGTAGTAAGAAGACAACCTACAGAATAAGAGAAAATATTTGCCAACCATTCATCTGCAGGAGATTAATGTCTAGAATATACAAAGAACTCAAACAACTGAACATCAAAAGTCATACCAAAATAAAATCTCCAAAATCAAGTAGTCTAATTTAAAAATAGGCAAATTATCTGAACAGGCATTTCTCAGAAGAAGACACACAAATGGCTAACAAATGTATGACAAATGCTCAATATCACTAGTCACTGGAAAATGCAAATCAAAACCACAGTGAGGTATCATCTCACCTCAGTTAGGATAACAATTACCAAAAACACAAGAAATAACAAATGCTGGCAAGAATGTAGAGAAAAGAGAAATCTTATACACTATTGGTGGGAATGGAAACTAGTACAACCATTATGGAGAACAGTATAGAGTTTCCTCAAAAAACTACAAATAGAACTACCATATGATCTAGCAATACCACCACTACTTTCCTTACCAAAAGAAAAGGAAATCAGTATGTCAAAGAGACATCTTCACCCTAATGTTTACTGCAGCACTATTCACAATAGCCAAGATGTGGAATCAACCTAGCTATCCAACAATAGATGATGAATAAAAAAATGTGGTACATATACACAGTGAAATACTCTTCATCCATAAAAAAAGAATGAAACTCTGTCATTTGTGGCAACATGGATGGAACTGGAGGACATTATGTTAAGTGAAATAAGCCAGGAACAGAAAGTTAAACACTGCATGTTCTTAATCATATGTGGAAGCTAAAACAAAGTAGATTTCATAGAAGTAAAAAGTAGAATAGCGGATACTGCAGGCTGTGAAGAGTGGTAGGAGTGGGAGACAAAGATTTGTTAAAGGATACAAAATTATGACTAGATAGGAGGAATAAGTTCTAGGGTTCTATAACACCATAGTATGATTATAGTTAAAAATAATATAGTATAGAATTTCAAATAGCTAAAGGATGTTGAATTCTTCCAACACAAAGAAATAATAAGTGTTTGAGATAATAGATGTGCTGATTATCCTGATCTGATCACTATATGTTCTATATATCCCAACATCACTATGTAGCCCATAAATGTGTACAATGATTGTATGTCAATAAAAAATTTAAATTTAAAAATTATGAGTTAACTCCTGATGAAAGCAGAGTGTTGCCCATTTTTCTTCCAGAACACCAGCTTCTCTCTTTTATTATTTTGGAAACACTGATTTCTACCTAAAATAAGTTTGTATAGATTTTGACCTCTTTGGGGATTAACTGGCAATAAATTAAGTGTTATCTTATTCAATAATGAGGAAGAGAGAAGAACTTCTGTCCTGTAAGAAATATCATGGGGAAATAAACATCTCCTAGTATTTTTCCTGCAATGTCCCCTCAGGACCCATTATCATTTCATGATGTGATGCAATGGGAGGTGTTCAGGTCTGGAGGTAGGAAGCATGCGTGCTCAACTTCCAGCCAAGTCAGCAATTTGCAAAATGACTTGTCTCTGGGCCTCCATGACCTTGGCTATGAAACAGAGGAAAAATACCCCAACTCATCTATTCCTCTGAATCACTGGGAAGGTCAAACACACTTATAGATATGGGCATAACAGGAAAAGGTTAAAAGCTGAATCTAAGAAGGTTATTCTTTAAGAATTTCTTTTGATAAGTTAGGTAGAAGTGTCATTTTACCTTTAGAAAGAAAGCTTTGTCTAAGGATGCCATACTCAGGAACATTTTATTAAAGGAAAGACCTGGGATATAGTAGGAGAAACATGGTTTTGGGAGTTGAAACCAAATGGGTTCTGTAGCTTGATATATTTACTTATTTACATCTTGTTTTATTCCAGAGCTCACAATTTGAGCTCAGCCTTCCCAGCAATAATCATGAAGGAGCCTGGATCCCATCCCCCAGTCTAGCTAAACTGTTCCCCCCAGATGAACGTTTTTATTCCTTGGCTCTGATACTGTGTCTGAAATATCTCAACCCAACGGTATGTGTCCCTCCAGAATTGGCCCAATTATCTTCTGGGAAGGATTCCTAACAGATTCAGATGTTCTTTTATCTATGCATCGTCTGAACTTTATGCTATTGATAAAAAGCTTATTATATTATAGGACAATTACTTTTTAAACATTTTTGCTATGTTGCTATATTTTGAATCTTTCAAAAGCTGGGAAGAGGTTTAATTCATCTTAATATCTCAAACTCTTTGATGCTTAAAACATTTGAAACAGTTTTCATAGTTTTTAAAGAAAAACCCGTTAGGTATCTTATTACATTTCCAAGAATCTTAAAATGATGCAATGGGGATAAATTAAAATAAAACTCCCCAATTCCTCAGGCTCTTGCAGTGCCTTACTCTAGGGGTAACCACCACTGAAAGCTGAGGAGTGTAGGAATCTCATTCACCTGTCCAAACTCAAGGAATAGACTTGGAGACACGATGAACAGCAGAAGTGAGATTCTTATAGCAGTCTTGCAAGACGGGATATCTGGTAGGCAGGCACACCTGGAGCAGTTACGGCAGGTAATTTATCTCCTAGCACGCAAGTCCCTCCCCCAGTTCCTCACTGGTTGAGTACTATGGGGTTACAATTTTGCCAGACATTGCCTAAGTTGCATTATCCCCCTTATAAGGTTATACCCCGTCCCCCTCCCCGCTTAAGTTTTGATAAGGAAACTTTCTTCCCTTTTATGAGCTGACCCCTCCTCTACATTCTGTTCGCTTATCGTGACTTTCTAGGAGCATGAGCCATGTGGTTTGTCAAGTCCGCAGGCTGGCTGCCAGTACTTAGATTTATTATGCCTTGAGAATGGACCATTTAAAATGTTTTCTCACAGGGAGCAGCACCCTCCAGACATCCATATGATATGCATGGGTATGCTTTATAGACACATTCAACTTCCTAGGAAAGACCAAACGGGATGATGATTTGCTTATTTCACAACTTACATTCTTTGCTGAATATGTTTTGTATTATATTTTAAATATTTTACTTATTTATCAGTTTTTCTATTGACAGACATATTTTCAAGTTTTACTGTTAAGTACAAGGCTGCAAAAAGTATCCTTGCACACTTTCAATTTACTTCCCCTGAAATTTGAAAATGTTGCTTTCTAAGTGACTTTAAAATGTTTGATTTATTCCCTCTCCTTTTTCACCAAGATAACAAGAACTTTAAATTTCAAAATGATCAGTTTGAAGAGTTGGCTTTCACAACTGTTTCCAAATAATCTTTCCCTATTCTAAACCTAAACATCTTAAGACACAATTTCAAAACATTTTAGATATTAAACTAGTTTGTTCTCTAAGCTTGCTGATGAGTTGAAATTTTTTGAAAATGATTTTGAAACCATTTGAAGTGTTCCAAAATAACTTCTAAATATGTTGAGGCACTTGCAAACTCATCAAGCTTTTAAAAATATTTATAAAACATTTAAATAAAAATGATTAGAAATTGCATAAAAAGCACAGCATGTTCATTATATAGCTTTGTCATTGCAATTTTTTTTCCAGATTCTGTCTTCTAAGATTAGAGAATACATTTTGAATATGTTAGTTGTTTTTCACTGCAGGAATATAGACTATTTCTTGAACTCCTGGCCTCAAGCGATACTCCCGCCTCAGCCTCCCAAGTAGTTAGAACTGCAGGCATGTGCCAGCATGCCCTGCTAGTTTTTTCATTTTTTGTAGAGATAGGGTCTCATTGTTTTGCCTAGGCTGGTCTTGAACTTCTGGCCTCAAACAATCTTCCTGCCTTGGCCTCCCAAACTGCTGGAACTGCAGGCAATAGCCGCTGCATCTGGCTTGAAATATAGGCTATTTCTTATCATCCTGCTATTCTCTCTGCTTTTCTCCTATCTGCAATTGAACTTCTTTTTTCTTTACTCGTTGAATATATATTTCTTGAGTGCCTACTATGGGTTGTCCAGTGTTCCAGGTGCTGAGGACACAGCATTGAATATGAGACAAAAATGTCTACATTCACGGAGTTTGCATTTTAGTCGGGGATTTTTTTTTTTTTTTTTTTTTGAAACAGAGTCTCGCTCTGTTGCCAGCCTGGAGCACAGTGGTTCGATCTCAGCTCACTGTAACCTCCACCTCCTGGGTTCAAGCGATTCTCCTGCCTCAGCCTTCCGAGTAGCTGGGACTATGGGCGTGTACCACCACACCCAGCTAATTTTTGTATTTTTAGTAGAGATGGGGTTTCACCATGTTGGCCAGGATGGTCTCCATCTCTTGACCTTGTGATCTGCCTGCCTCGGCCTCCCAAGGTGCTGGGATTATAGGTGTGAGCCACCGCGCCCAGCCAGTGGGAGAGATTTTTAAATGTACAAATTGATTATGAAAAATATAGAAAAATAGTGACAAATTCTAAGGAGAAAAAAAGTAAGGCAAAGGAAAAGCATAGGAAGTATTGGGGTAGGGCTTACAATTTTAGATAGGGTGGTCAGGAAAAGGCTTACAGAACATAACTTTTGAATAGAAGAACTGGAGGAAGTCAGGGGTTGTGTCATGTGGATATTTGAGGAAATAATTTTGAAGAGCAAATGCAAGGGTCCTGAGGAGAAATATGAATATGTCTGGAGGGTTTCAGGCACAGCTAGGAGACAGTGTGGCTGATGCAGAGTGAACAACGGGGAGAGTAATGGCAGGCAGATAACAGAGGTGCAGCACATCATTCAGGACCTTATAGGTCCTTGTAAAGACTGTGCAGTGTTTCTCCCCATTGTCTTAGGCTTGTTCTCCAAGGGAAATGGGAGTCTCTTGGAGAGTTTGGACTTGATCTGAATTATTTGACTTACACTTTGATAGGATTGCTTCAGCTGCTGTGTTGAGACGTACAGGTGGCTAAAGGTAAAAGTGTAGGCTCAGTGGGGAAATAAAGCAGTAATTCAGGTGAGACAGGATAGAGGTACAGTGGAGGTGTGGAGCAGGGGTTACAGTGTAGGTAAGATGAAGCAATAATGGAGAGGATTTGCTGGTGGACTGGTTAGGAGTTATAAGCAAAAGATAGGAGTCAATGCTTTAGGTTTAAGCCACTGAAAGGGTGGGTTTGACATAGAATGTGTTGTAATGTAGTGTAATGAGAAGACTATGGTAAGAGTGGGTTTGCAAGGGAACATCAGAAATTGGTTTGGGACATTCTACATTTGAGATAGCTTTAGATATTCAAATGAAGATGTTAGGTAGGTGGTTGAATGTATACGTCTGAGTTCAGAAGCAAAGCCAGGACTGGAGATGTAAATTGAAGAGCCAATAGCACATAGATTACATGTAAAGCCATGAGGCTGGACGAGATCACCACACATGAGTGTTAATATGCAGGGAAGGAAGTCCAAGAACTGGGCTCTAGTGTGTGTCAGCAGTTTGAACTTAGGAAGATAAGGAAAACCAGGAAAAGAGACTGAAACTTCCCAGTTAGTGAAACAGGCAAGGATGCCCTGTCCTGTCAACTGAGCAAGAAAGTATTTTAAGGAGCAGAGAGGATAAACAGACCCAAGCATACATGCTATTAACACTTTTCCTGCCTTTATGTTAGATCAATCCATGTTCTTAAGTTAGTTGAGCTTAACTGACGTTAGTATCTTTGCTGGAAGCCAGCAACTCCGATTCATTGTCCTATGGCTTATAGTTAGTGGGACAGCATCTGGGCAAAGTAGGGACCCAGTAACTGCAGTGCCAAAACTATTTGCAAATAAGCAATTCCAGTTTCAGAGGCAATAAATGTTGAAGTCAGCCATTGTGTAAGAGTCTTGAATTGATTTAGGACTTTTGCAGAAGGACATGCTCCCAACAGAAATCAGTGCAGTGTTTCTCTCCATTTTCCAGGCAATGGGCCTTCCAAAACCAGTAAGGCATTCCTCTATATTGGAGGATCTTGAGAAAGTACATAATTGAATACTCATAATTCTTAGCCTCAAGTAATACCACCTGCCTTATGTTCTGTAAAAGGTCAATGAAATTTATCACCACTGATTTTTATGATTACAAAATATCTTATGCAAACAATCCCTAAATCTATGAGTCACTCTCTGAATATTGACAAACAGCCTATTGTGTGCTCGGAATGGGGAGATGTGCTGTGGAGAGTTGAAAGCACTGATACTCATTGATATGCATATGCAAACTTACCCCTTTTCTTTCTAGTAGCAGACATTACTAGTTGATTGCCAAACTCTATAGTGCTAATCCTGAATATGATATAAAATCCTTCTCTAGAAAGCCATTAACAGTTGGAGTTCACCCGTGAGATGAGAGTCATTTGCTGTTCCATATATTGGATTTCATGAAATGGGTACAGTGAGGCATTTAGAGCAAAATGGAGCACAGTCATAAGAAATGGAAAGCAGTCTCCTTTTTATGTGGACAGGACATTGGAAATTAAGTCAGGAGCACTGGGTTCAAGCACCTGTTCTGCTAGTGGGAATGTAATTTGGGGCAAGTCACTTCAACTTCTGGACACTTTTATTTTGGGTAGCCTTTATGCAGACAGAATATTTTTACAGCAGGAATTTCTTAATACATGGGATATTGGAGTAGATTAAGAGGTTAATATTTCTCCTCCCCAGGCTCCTGCTGTTAAACCTCTGTTGAACTTTTTCTGTACCATGCATTCGGCTAAAGGGCTTTATCTGCATCAAACAATTTAATGTTCCCAATGTCCCTATGTGGTAAGTACTACTGATATCCTCCTTTGTCGGTGGAAAAAACTAAGGCACAGAGGGGTGAAGTAATTTGCCCAAAGTCCCACAGCTAAAGTACCTGAGTTTGAATCCTAACCCAGGCTCTCTGACCTCCAAATGACTCCAAAGTTCACTTACTGAACTGCTGCACTGTGCTGAGGTCCTTGCGGCTTTCAAACTTTTTAAAAAGAAAGTAGTGTTGCTGTGGCTAAAGCCAGGGACGTGGAGCACAAGATTTTGGCATCTCTTTTATGCTCCTCCAGGACCCCAGTTCCTCTGAAGCATTTCTGTAAAACCTGAGGAATCCAAGAAACAGCCTGAGAACCCTAGGCTGAAAGACCTCTCTGGCTTTTCAGCTTCCATGTTCTCTTTGTAAGTAACTAATATAGCAGCATAAAATATCAGCATTAATTCTTCTGCCCTCAAGGGGACCACTTAAATCATAGAGGATGCTAACTTGAATCCTGGCTTTACAAAACATAGCAATTAGGAAGTGATTCTTCAAGGCTGTTCTGGAAGCTGCCAAGGATGTTGTTTGTTAAATTATTTGGTATCTTCACTCTGGGGACCCTGGGGAGGCATCTTTCTCTGGCCTCTGTGTTAAGAGCTCCTCTTGAACACTGGTATGCTTTAGTCGTATGGACCTTGAATCTCATAACCTACTGTGACTTCCTTGGCATATTGACTTTTAGAAAACTCAGAGCCAAATTAGTGGCACAGTCATAGGGAGTTTACTGAATTAGCTTATAGCTCTAAATCACTTTCTTTTCCTTTTGTCTAATTTTTCTTCCTTTTAATTAATTTTTCTGTGACGTGCACATTTTTGGAAGCCATCTCAAATCCCTTTTGGAATAGAGTGGGCTATAAATGAAGAAAAATTATTCTCTTCAAAAAAGAATTCCCTGCAAATGACTGTATTAATGCTGGGCTCCCTTAATTAGTTTAAAGTCTTGGATGAATGAGTTTTTCATTGCTTTTCATAGTATTTTAAAGTTCATCATAAAGGTAGAATCTAATATTGCTGGAGATAAAAGGAAATAGGATCGTATTCAACTACTTCCAAGCTGTCATAATGTATACTGGCCAAAGTGGAGTGCAAGAGTCATCATTCAAGATGAAGGAATGAGGGTGAAGCAGGAGCAAAAGAAAATAGATCTCAAGAAGAGAATTCCTATTAGTTGAGTCCCTATTTTGTGCTAGAGACTGTGCTGGGTTTGTCATATACATTTTATTTTTTAAACCTCATTGCACATTTATGAATTGCTATCCCCATTTTACTGACGAGAAAACTGACATTCAGCGAGGTTAAAGGAGAGAAACAAGAATATGGTGGTTCGATGTCTTCCAGAATTCAAACTACGATCATCTCTCCAGCGGATCTCGCTGCCTGCACTCTAGCGCCCCCTACAACTTACTCTTCACACTGCAGTCAGAGTGATCCAAATTGCAAGTTTGCTCATACTATCTGACTGCTTGACACGTTATGTCTTCCTGTTGTTCTTTTTTTGTTTGTTTGTTTGTTTGTTTTATTATACTTTAAGTTTTAGGGTACATGTGCACATTGTGCAGGTTAGTTACATATGTATACATGTGCCATGCTGGTGCGCTGCACCCACCAACTCGTCGTCTAGCATTAGTATATCTCCAAGTATCCCTCCCCCCTCCCCCCTCCCCCCACCCCACAACAGTCCCCAGAGTGTGATGTTCCCCTTCCTGTGTCCATGTGTTCTCATTGTTCAATTCCCACCTATGAGTGAGAATATGCGGTGTTTGGTTTTTTGTTCTTGTGATAGTTTACTGAGAATGATGATTTCCAATTTCATCCATGTCCCTACAAAGGACATGAACTCATCATTTTTTATGGCTGCATAGTATTCCATGGTGTATATGTGCCACATTTTCTTAATCCAGTCTATCATTGTTGGACATTTGGGTTGGTTCCAAGTCTTTGCTATTGTGAATAATGCCGCAATAAACATACGTGTGCATGTGTCTTTATAGCAGCATGATTTATAGTCCTTTGGGTATATACCCAGTAATGGGATGGCTGGGTCAAATGGTATTTCCAGTTCTAGATCCCTGAGCAATTGCCACACTGACTTCCACAATGGTTGAACTAGTTTACAGTCCCACCAACAGTGTAAAAGTGTTCCTATTTCTCCACATCCTCTCCAGCACCTGTTGTTTCCTGACTTTTTAATGATTGCCATTCTAACTGCTGTGAGATGGTATCTCATTGTGGTTTTGATTTGCATTTCTCTGATGGCCAGTGATGATGAGCATTTTTTCATGTGTCTTTTGGCTGCATAAATGTCTTCTTTTGAGAAGTGTCTGTTCATGTTCTTTGCCCACTTTTGGATGGGGTTGTTTGTTTTTTTCTTGTAAATTTGTTTGAGTTCATTGTAGATTCTGGATATTAGCCCTTTGTCAGATGAGTAGGTTGCGAAAATTTTCTCCCATGTTGTAGGTTGCCTGTTCACTCTGATGGTAGTTTCTTTTGCTGTGCAGAAGCTCTTTAGTTTAATTAGATCCCATTTGTCAATTTTGTCTTTTGTTGCCATTGCTTTTGGTGTTTTAGACATGAAGTCCTTGCCCACGCCTATGTCCTGAATGGTAATGCCTAGGTTTTCTTCTAGGGTTTTTATGGTTTTAGGTCTAACATTTAAGTCTTTAATCCATCGTGAATTAATTTTTGTATAAGGTGTAAGGAAGGGATCCAGTTTCAGCTTTCTATATATGGCTAGCCAGTTTTCCCAGCACCATTTATTAAATAGGGAATCCTTTCCCCATTGCTTGTTTTTCTCAGGTTTGTCAAAGATCAGATAGTTGTAGATATGCGGCGTTATTTCTGAGGGCTCTGTTCTGTTCCATTGATCTATATCTCTGTTTTGGTACCAGTACCATGCTGTTTTGGTTACTGTAGCCTTGTAGTATAGTTTGAAGTCAGGTAGTGTGATGCCTCCAGCTTTGTTCTTTTGGCTTAGGATTGACTTGGCGATGCAGGCTCTTTTTTGGTTCCATATGAACTTTAAAGTAGTTTTTTCCAATTCTGTGAAGAAAGTCACTGGTAGCTTGATGGGGATGGCATTGAATCTGTAAATTACCTTGGGCAGTGTGGCCATTTTCACGATATTGATTGATTCTTCCTACCCATGAGCATGGAATGTTCTTCCATTTGTTTGTATCCTCTTTTATTTCCTTGAGCAGTGGTTTGTAGTTCTCCTTGAAGAGGTCCTTCACATCCCTTGTAAGTTGGATTCCTAAGTATTTTATTCTCTTTGAAGCAATTGTGAATGGGAGTTCACTCATGATTTGGCTCTCTGTTTGTCTGTTGTTGGTGTATAAGAATGCTTGTGATTTTTGTACATTGATTGATAGACCGCTAGCAAGACTAATAAAGAAAAAAAGAGAGAAGAATCAAATAGACGCAATAAAAAATGATAAAGGGGATATCACCACCAATCCCACAGAAATACAAACTACCATCAGAGAATATTACAAACACCTCTACGCAAATAAACTAGAAAATCTAGAAGAAATGGATAAATTCCTGGACACATATACTCTCCCAAGACTAAACCAGGAAGAAGTTG
The DNA here is from genome assembly GCF_000001405.40 of Homo sapiens. Taxonomy (NCBI): domain Eukaryota; kingdom Metazoa; phylum Chordata; class Mammalia; order Primates; family Hominidae; genus Homo; species Homo sapiens. The sequence goes on along the minus strand of NC_000003.12, from coordinate 8,334,453 downwards.
AATCTCTGAATAGACCAATAACAGGAGCTGAAATTGTGGCAATAATCAATAGCTTACCAACCAAAAAGAGTCCAGGACCAGATGGATTCACAGCCGAATTCTACCAGAGGTACAAGGAGGAACTGGTACCATTCCTTCTGAAACTATTCCAATCAATAGAAAAAGAGGGAATCCTCCCTAACTCATTTGATGAGGCCAGCATCATTCTGATACCAAAGCCAGGCAGAGACACAACAAAAAAGAATTTTAGACCAATATCCTTGATGAACATTGATGCAAAAATCCTCAATAAAATACTGGCAAAACGAATCCAGCAGCACATCAAAAAGCTTATCCACCATGATCAAGTGGGCTTCATCCCTGGGATGCAAGGCTGGTTCAATATACGCAAATCAATAAATATAATCCAGCATATAAACAGAGCCAAAGACAAAAACCACATGATTATCTCAATAGATGCAGAAAAAGCCTTTGACAAAATTCAACAACCTTCATGCTAAAAACTCTCAATAAATTAGGTATTGATGGGACGTATTTCAAAATAATAAGAGCTATCTATGACAAACCCACAGCCACTATCATACTGAATGGGCAAAAACTGGAAGCATTCCCTTTGAAAAGTGGCACAAGACAGGGATGCCCTCTCTCACCACTCCTATTCAACATAGTGTTGGAAGTTCTGGCCAGGGCAATTAGGCAGGAGAGGGAAATAAAGGGTATTCAGTTAGGAAAAGAGGAAGTCAAATTGTCCCTGTTTGCAGACGACATGATTGTATATCTAGAAAACCCCATTGTCTCAGCCCAAAATCTCCTTAAGCTGATAAGCAACTTCAGCAAAGTCTCAGGATACAAAATCAATGTACAAAAATCACAAGCATTCTTCCTATTGTTCTTAAGATAAAAACTAAACCATGGCCTTATGCCTGCATGGTCTAGCCTCTGTCAACTTTTGCAGCCTCAACTCTCACCACACTCTTCTTTTTCTCTTATTAGCTGCCACAACAGATAGCATGTATTAGAATCATCTAGAGAGCTTGTGAGAACACAGATTGCTGCACTTCTGCTCCCCAAGACTCTGATTCCGTAGATCTGGGATGGGGCCTGACAGGTACATTTCTGATGGTTTCCTAGGGGATGCTGATGCTGCTGGTCTGAGTACTACACTTTGAGCAGCACTGCCGACCACATTTTAGTCCAACATTGAGCCTTTGTATCATGGTCAGCAAACTTTTTCTGTAGAGGACCAGATGGTAATACTTTCAACTTTGCATTTCATTTGGTTTCTGTCTCAATTACTCAATTATGCCTTTTCAGCTCTGCCATTGTAGTGTGAAATCAGCCATAGACAATACAGAATGAGTGTAGTTGTATTCCAATAAAACTTTATTTACAAAACCAATGATGGGTTAAGTTGTTTGTGTATACAAACCATGAGCTGAACAGAGCTTGTGCACATGCCATTTTTCCTCTGAGTGGAATGTTCTTCCTCTCCTTATTTGCCCAGTTAACTCTTTCTTGTCTTCACTCCTCATATCAATCATATCCTCCCCTTACCTTTCTCAATTCCTCCCAGGCATTCGTAGCATTATTCACTCATTCACACATTCAATAATATTTAACAGATGCCTTTTTAAGTGCTAGGAACTATTCTGGGTACTAGGGATATGCAAAAGAGGAAGACAAGATTTTCGTTATTTTGGGACCTCCATTTATTTCAGTCGGGGAAGATACACAATAAAGAGGTAGACAAATAGGAAGTTAAATAAGATTCATTGGAAGATATTAGAAAAAAATGAAGTGATATGAAAAATCAAATGATGACTTAGGAAGGAGTCCCTCTCCTTAGTAGTGACTGGCATAGTTCAGTTTTGTATTTGTTTTTAGGACAATTTAACTCATATGGTTCTCCTTCATCAGGTTGAAAGTTTTATGAAGCAGCACCTCTACCCACTATTGTTTCCTTATTGCCTAGCAAAGAGCCTAATGGAGAAAAGAGCTCTATAACTACTTACAAAATTGAGTTCTGGATTTAATGAGCCACCTCTGAAACTGTTTTATTTATTCTTGCATAAAATTCATATTCAACTGTGTTGATTCCTGGGATATAAGATTTGTTTGTTCATTAATTCATTGATCCAATATTTGTTGAACACTTATTATGTGCCAAGCTCTGCTCTTGGTCAGGGGACAAATGAATTGTCTAAAACAGAAAAAGATTCCTGCCTTCATGGAGTTTTTACTTTCTAGTTGAGAGGCGGTGAGGCAGAGAGTGAATACTCAAAACATATACCGTATGAGATATAAATCAATGTAAAAGACAAAAATCAAGTTGGGAACAGGAGGTAGAGAGTGTTGGATGGGGAATACTATTTTAAATTGCTATTTTAAATAGAGTGGGGAGTAAAGTATTGCTGATAATGTGACATTTTCATGGAGACCTGAAGAAGTGAAGGAGTGAGGCAATGAACCAAGTAAATATCTGAGCATTCCAAACAGAGGGCAAGTAAGTTCAATGGCATTGAGCTGCCTGGCACATGCATGGAACAACAAGGAGGGCTTGGTGGCCAGCGTGAGTAGACCTCACCTGTTTTGGAAATCAGCTCCATTTCGGACGTTAGGTCTTAAATGAGACCAGTGGCTTTATTTGGAGGAATTACTGGGTAAAGTTTAACTGGATCATGTCTTTTATATGGCATGTAATAGCATACATTGCTGGTTATTTTCCCATATCCATTTTTCCTTCTCCTACAGTAATGGAACTTCCAATTTTAGTGAAGGATCTAACTCTTATAATAAAGGCATTTTCCAGCCTCCTTTGCAGCTGGGTGTGGCCACGTTGCTAAGATCTAGCCAATAGGCAGGATACAAGTAAAAGTGGTATACACAACTCAAGCAAATGTCTTTAAGGGGGAAGAACACATTTTTTTTCCTTTGTCTTTTTTCCTTCCTGCTGGCTAGAATAGGGATAAAATGGCCAAGACTCCAGTAGTCATCTTGGACCTCACAGAAGTGGCCACATTCCAGAAACAATGCAGCAGAAGGCTGGAAGGTGACAGAGTCCCTTAATATCTGCAGAGCCACATATTGGCCCTAGACACTCATGTCTAGAAATTTTATGGGAGAGAATAAAACTTTCTCAGTTCTAAGCCCCTCTTAATTTGGGTTTGAGGTCACTTGGGTCACATGCAGCAAAACCTAATTATAACAAATACATCTGGATTTTATGGAGCCATGGAGGTCTGAGAAAATTGAGAACCAATATAGTGTTTATAAGCCCTGAAACTAGATAAAGTCAGAATGATAATGGTGTATGTGTTTCAAAATAAAATTTCTTTTATTGTCTGTTTTTACTAGAATGCAATACTTGCTCATTTTAAAAAGAGCAGACAGATAAAAAGAGCTTTATTACTTCTAGCCCAGGGGGTCCACCACCACCCCTTGTGATTGCCCTACCCTACACCTTTGTAAACTGTGCCCTTGTGAACAAACCCTCCAAGGAATATGTATATTGAGTGTGTCACCTATTTTGTGCTGAGCTGCTGATTGATGGGATCAACACCTAACCACTATGTGTTAATGAAATCAGTAATATTTTCAAAAATATTTTTTGTTAAAAACAACGTATACTCATTCTATCATATAAAATCCTGTGTTAAAATTCTTTTAGTATGGCAAAATTAAACCCCTATTTAGACTTGCTTAAAAAATAAGTCCTAAAATATTTATTCTATTATTCATATTTCAGGTTTAAACTATTACAGAGGGGGGAAGATAGGACCTTCTTCAATGGGCATTCACCGTCATAACTTGAGCCCTTGACCTGCACAAAATCTCATGATATATTTGTATTTGTGAAGATGGGTAATGGTTTCATTTATTTTGAAAGTTAATTTTTCAAAATTATAAGGACATAAATTAAAGGCACTTCGAGTTATATTGTAAACCAAATAAATTAGTTCTAGTCTTGACGTGCATAAATTACACCTTGGTATTTAGGAAGAGAAATGCTCCCCATGGCCATTGACGGGCCCTCACCCTGTAGTATAAAAATCAAAGGTACAATTTGAGAATAAAATACTCTTTATGAAATAGAATGTCAAGAGCTCCTTGTTAAATTTGCTGTAGCAATTAAGTTCTCAGGTGAGAAAATGCCTCTTTTTCAATGTTTTATTAACTCTGTCATTCAGTACTCCATTTATAGGGGCAACTCTTCACAGTAAGTACACATTAGGATGACTTTTCACCTCCATTTAAATGAAAAGTTTGAGAGGAGGAATTGGTTCCTGTCCACTCACTTGAATAGTAATAGAGACTGGATCTGTGCCAGTTTGCAGAGAGGAGAGGACAGGGTAAGAAAAGTATGTGGCCAACATGACCCAGGCTGGCAGCACAGAGGTGAAGACATCCCCAGGGGCTGCACGTCATCTGGAGCAGGTATCTCCAAGTGCCACTGACATTTTCTCCTAAATTATGTCACTGGCCCTTGTTTCCATCCAAGCTTCAGATTCTGACTGATCAAAAGTTTTGGGTAAAAATGTGATAGTTTTTGTTGTTTATCTTGGTTTTTAGAGCAGGAAGAGAGGGTATGTGTGTGTGAGAGAGAAAGACAGAGATAGAGACAGAGGTGACAGAGACAGACTACTATAAATGCAACTGTCTTTGGCTTCTATAATCATTGCCAGGAAAATAGTCACATTAGGGAGGTTATCTCCCTCTGGAATAAGGAGCACTAGGTTTGGAATTAGGCAACCCTATGCTCAAATTTGACCTTTAATGATGACCCAAAGTGCACCTTGAGTAACCTTTTTTAAGCCTCAGTTTCTTCACTTATTAATTAGTGATGCTGCTTTCACAGGGCAAATGTTAGGTTAAATAAGTGAATTTCATGTAAGTGAAAATACTTGCTAGGCTATAGAGCATGTCAATGTCCTCCAGCAGAATGTCCTCCACCAGGAACACACCTGCCATTGAACAACTGGGGTTCAGTTCTCACAGGAGGGAAGGAGAACTGTTCCACAGGGAACTATAGGGTATCTCAGTAAGGGGGTGTCAGGAAGGACTTCTATAAGATTTGGCTTTGTGTCAAGGTTTTGAGGAGGCTTCTCTCTGGATTGGAGGCTGTCAAGCAGTGGGCAATGAATGCATACCTTAAGTAATCTTATCTAGAGGGAGAACAGATTAGAGTGAGGCTGAAGCTGTAATTGATAAAGAAGAAGCCCTCACTCATGTTAGTCAGGAAAGGGGCTGTCTGGTTATTTTTGTGGTCTGGGCCATCGTCACGCTTTGTTTGTGTTCAGACATAATTACATAATGGTCCTGTTTTTGTCTTGATCGTGTCTGGTTATGGAGTGGCTTTGTCTGATGTTAATGTTCTGTGAAATTGTTTATTTTCAACAGGAGAACACCAAGGTCTAGCCAGTAATGCCCTGTCAGGTCCTGGATGCCAGGGGCTGCTTTTCTCTTTCTCAGGCATTGTAGAAAAGCAGGATGCTTTGTGTTTGCAATTGTACAGATACACAGTAGGTGCTCCTTCATGTATGTGTGTATATGTGTGTGTGTGTGTGTGTGTTTGTGTGTGTGTTTTCAAGCCTCAGCAGTGTGTGGGGTTGCCATTCACTGGTAAAAACACATCTTTTAATCGATTGAGATATTGATGTGGTTTAGTAGCCATGCTATAGATATTCCAGTGTCCTTACTGAATATTTCCCCTTCTCAAGGAAACTTCCTTGCTGAGGAGAAAGACTATGCTTTGTGCTAGGTGGATCCTCCCCCTCATTCATCACAGCTGAATGCTTCAGGGCTGGGTCCTGACCCAGAAGCAGCCAGTCCATAGGATGAACAGACCTAGGACCCTGAGGTCGGCTTGGACCAACCAGATTATTTTCTCAGAACTGGAAAACGGAGACTGAATCAGCTAATGACAGGGAGCAAAAGGCCATAGAGTGCATGGGGAAGAAAATGGGAAAACTGAAATGCAAACTGACATTATTAGGGTTATGAGAGAAAGCCCAGACGGATAGAATAAAGAGAATAAGAGAACAGAAGCCCAGAGAGAAGCAGAGTTTCCATGATAGAAGGACTGGCCGCAGGGCTTTCTCAGGACCCACCACTTTCCAGTTTTAGCCTTGACCATACTATGGTAAATTTATTTCTCATGAACTAACTCAAATGGACTCCTGTGTTCTGCAACAAGAGTGGTATTGCCTTAAGTAATTGTCTGCAAGGTTAGAGATGTTAAGAACTACAGATATCATCTAGCCTTTGTTTTCCAGTTGAGGAAACTTAGTCTAAAACAAATAAAATTACCTGGTCAAGCTCCCAGAACACGTTGGTCCTTTAAATAGACAGAATAGATAATTGCCTGCAAGTGATTTGAAGAGCACTAGAAAGACCTTCTCCTTTCCTCTCTCCCCTCCCCTCTAGCTCCTCAGGCTGTTTGTTGCAAAGGTTAAATTAGTTTGCATGTGTTTAATCCTTACCACAGTGCTTGGTGCATAGTAAGAGCTGAGTACATGGTACCATCACAAATGTGTTATAAAGCCACAGTTCTGAGTCATTTATGCTGGGTTCCAGAGCCAGGGGGAACAGGTGGTGGTCTTAATGAGACCTGGTAACTAGGCTGATTAGATTTACCGTAACACAGCAACCAGAAGATATGATCAACAGTACTAGATTGATATCATTTGTGCTGATTGTTGGAAATAAAAACTATCTTACATTAGTCTAGCATGTACATTAGTCTAGCATGTCTACCTATTATAGTTCCTTTCACAGACACCTACCCTGTTACATTTTCATCTTCATTTTACAGATGTAGAACCAAAGGCTCAGAGCAGCTGAAAGACAGGTAAGGGTGCTCTCCTTGTAGGGAATAATGGGAGAACCCAGGGCACTTGGAGGTAGGCAAGAGTGTGCCAAGGTGCGGTGAACTTTCTCCTAGCTTTACCATTTTGCACAACACCAGCTCTCCATACCCAGAAACTTGCAAATAAAGGGCACTCTCTCCATCTGGCTGTGGGTGTAATTCTTCTCTGTCCAGGCTTAATGTCACCAGCATGATTAGCGCCTGTATCAGGAAATCGTGACCCACTCTTCCCATTCATCTTTGCCTCTGCAGATGATGAGGAGAATGGCAGTTTGAGGTTGGAGAACATTTCTCCCATTATGAAAGCTCCCTTTGTGGGGCCAGCCCAGCCTCCAGGTCAACAGAGGTAGGAAAGAGGTTGCTATGTGAATTTTTGCAGTGTAATAGGTGAAGTTTATTTGAAAACTTCTTTTGAAAGCTTGGGATATGTGAAGTCCCATTACTTTCAAATAATTGTTTGAAAAGCTATGGGTTCTGGCTATATGGATTCCTGTTGCTCCTTAGGAACAGAACAAAGGGTGCTGAACTTGGGAGGCGGGCTGCTTGCTAAGCCTGGTCATGGTCAGGGGTTTGTCCAGTCAGACAGCCACACCTTTGTTAAAAGGAGAATATCTTTTAACAAAACGACTCTTTAAGAAACTACCTATGTGGACTGAATAATTACATTTCCTAAGCTTTCTGACAGTTCTAAAACTAACTCTCAGCATATTTTTAAAGCTTAAGATATTGATTTTGATCAAAGTACTTTTATTCACATGTGAAATTCACTTAAGAGACATCTACTACTAGTCTGAACCTTTGCACATAACCCCACTGAAGAACATAAGAACTTAATTGTAACATAAACTTTGGTAGCTGTTTCATGTGTCAAGTACCCAATATCTGTTTATACTTATTGCCATTTTTAAAAATAAAAAATAAAGTTTCATCTAAATATTTCATCTAAAGAATATATATTTTATATTTATAATACACAGTAAATATAGTTTGGAATTTATACAAAATGCATCTGTGTAGAATCGTAAAGTCAATCTGGATATTAAATGGTTTTCTTCATATCTTTTGGACTATGAAGACAGTTGAGTAACACTGAAGCATCCTAAGTAATGAGGTATTGTTAAGAAGAAAGAAGGTCTGAGATTTTTTTTTTTCCTGGAAAAAGTTAGTTGAAAAATGTCAACTACCTTTGCCTGTTAGGGTTAATTTCCTCATGTTTTTACTGATGCTGTTGTCCACAAACAAAGCAGTTTACTGCTTGGGTGTGTGTGTATGTTTATATATATCTTTTCAAATGTGTAATATTTTCCATAAATGTAGACAGATACCTACTTGAGTATTTTTTTTTTCCAAGGCAGAAGAATTTTTCTTAGTACAGAACAAAATGGGGTCTCCCATGTCTACTTTCTACACAGACACAGCAACAATCTGATTTCTCTTTCCTTTCCCCACACTTCCCCCCCTTCCACTCGACAAAACCGCCGTCGTCATCATGGCCCGTTCTCAATGAGCTGCTGGGTACACCTCCCAGACGGGGTGGCGGCCGGGCAGAGGGGGCCCCCACTCCCAGACGGGGCGGCCGGGCAGAGGCGCCCCCCACCTCCCTCCCGGACAGGCTGGCCGGGCGGGGGCTGCCCCCCACCTCCCTACCAGACGGGGCAGCTGGCGGGGCGGTACTTGAGTATTTTTGAACTGACTTCACTGTAATATCAGAATTTATCTGATATTACAGCTATCCATCCACCCTGACAATTTGACCCTTCTCTCCTGGTTTAAAATCATTAATCTTTATTTCATGAATCAAACCAGAGAATTAAATGACATCTTGGTGATATGAATAGTATAGATTCATTTTCAATAGGTTGCTTTGATCTTCTTTTTTATGAAAGTGTCTTTATCTTGCCAACATGACCTTCTTTTCAGCCTGCTATTATCTGAAAAATAGCCTTTGCTATTCTTTGGAACTTTTCCACTCTCTGTGGCCTCCAATGAATTTATCATTGTTCAGACATTTAGTTTTGCTCCCACAGAAGTATAGAAGTATTTTTTTTTACAAGTCTCAACATACTTTCCAAAACACAATAGCGATTGTTAGCTAATCATTATTGTGTGTGGAGCAGACAAAAGCTCTTTAAAATGAGTGTAGGTTTGTTCTCTGGCAACAAAAATTCAGACTCATTTTTTCCCATCATTTCCTGGCAGCAATTGAGGCTGCAACTTGACTTGAACCTCTGATAAGAGACAAAAAAAAAAAAAAAAAAGAAAGAAAAAATTGAACGTTAGTGAGAATCATTTATTATGTTTCGTGGACATACAGGATTTTCTGAAAAGCCTTTCTGTTTGGATAATTTCCCATAATAGGACTCTTTTCCACCCAAGGTGGGAGCCGGTCGTACATTTTCCTAGCCTCTCTTGCGGATGCAGTCATATGGCTTAGGCTCCCCACCAATAAGATGCACACACAGAGGAGATTTTGATGTGAAGTGACCAGAGGAAGCAGCAGAGCACGAAGTCCATTTACTGGCAATAGTGGTGGTAGAGGCATTCGGCTTTTGGAGGCAGGTGTAGGGGAGATTCTTGGTGTTTGAGGCCTGACTGTGGACTGAGCTGCAGTGTCTGAGTCCCAGGAGCAGTGGGACCTCTGCTGGCGCAGTTCAGAAGTGTGGTTGCTGCACAGCCTCTCAACCACTGCAGACTCTGAGCTACCAGATGTCTTTCAATACATTCTGCTGTTTCCAAATGATGCAATCAATCAGACATATCTAGGTATTTTTACCTTATCAACACTTGAATATGATTTTTTAATGGGAAAACACATAAAGGAATGGTGTAAGAAGAATCTAAACAATTTTTTATGGAGTCTTACCAAACAGTGAACTTAGGTGTATGTTTAATTAATTACAGCAATTATTTAAAAAAAAAAAAAGACCTTCTTGCTTGGGACAAGCACACTCTTTTAGTCAAGGGCGGTGGCTAGAGGCAAAGTACCATCTCTGACTCTGGGCTCTTTGGGGTCATTCTTTTCTTAGGTTCTACCTTTGATTTGCCAAGCTTTCATTTGTGACAGGACCTTTATGTCAAGAAACAGCCTAATCACTGGAAGACAGCTTGGGGCTTATGTCTCTCTGCAGTTTAAGTTCATTTTCTGAAATGTGAGGCTTTCTGCCCTAACTAATACCATCAGGATTGCTGGCATCATGGTGTTTTGTGGTTCTGTCCTTGAGTCTTTCTCATAGTCTGCTGCTTTGAGTCTTCCACTTAAGAAGGACATCTGCTATGGGTTGGCAGAAAAGCCATGGTGCATCACAGATTGAGTGGACTTTGCTCTACTCTGCTCAGTGGTGCTGAGCTCTGAAGCCTCCAGTTGGTCCAGGGATTGGGTCATGCTGACCTGCACCACATCCCTGAGCTGCCCTTGGATTCTTTTCCTAGGCGACACCTTCTTTTGTAGTTATTTGCCTTCCCTAGAGTGTGAGCTGCTTGGAGGCAGGATTCCTATCTTGGCTCCTTCTTTGGCCTCAAGCTACAGAATGGTGCTGGACATAGTCCCAGTACTTAAAGAGGCATCACAGGCCCTGGTGTCCCAAGGGACACTGGTCTTAGCTGCATGAATCCGGAGATGCTGGCATTTTCTGGCCATCTCTCTGTTCTTGCTGGCTCCCGGGGCCACATTGACCAGGAACCGAGCCCATCCATTTGATCTCCCTGGGAGACCTGCTTTTATTTTATGTCTGGGATCTCTCACAAATCCCCTTCATGATGCTCTTTGCCTATCAGGCTATTCAGGTAGCTCCTCTGGCCTTTTGGGGCATGTACTTGTTTGGGCCCCTAAATAAGAAAAGATTCCCTTTTTTATGATTTTTGCCTTTTCTCCTTTTTCAGAATAAGTCTCATCTCTTCTACAGCTGCTGGGCAATGGACAAAAGTTGCTGTTAATTGGCTAAAGCCACACTCTACATTTTAAACCACGGTGGTCCTAAGAAACAAAATAAATAAACAAAGGCCTCTGGAATCCTTTACATTCTATGTATTCATTTTGATTGGATTACATCTGCATAAAGTGCAAATAGTTGCTTGAAAAATAAAATATTTATTCCACTAGTTAACTCTATAAATACAGGTATCTGAATACTCAGGATTATACCCAAATCACAGAATATTAAAATGTGACAACCAGAAAGGACCTTAAGTCTTTTCTTATACCATGTATCTGACAAAGAACATGTATCTGTAATGTAAAGAACTTGTACAACCGAATAAGAAGAAGCAAAATATCCCAGTAAAAGTGGGCTAAATATTTGAGCAGACATTTCAGAAAGAAATATACCAATGGGCAATAAGGACATGAAAAGATGGGCAGAATAATTATTCCTTAGGGAAATGCAAATGAAAAACATAGGGCATAGGGTGATGATACTACAGAACCATTAAAATAGCTAACATTAAAAAGATTGACGACACCAAGTGTTGATGAGGATGGCAGGAATCAGAGCTCTCACACACTGCTGGTGGGAATATAAAATGTACAGCCACTTTAGCAAAAGCTTGACAGTGTTTTTTAAAAGAGTTAAACAAACACCTGTTGTATGAGCCAGTCATTCCATTCCTAGGTATTTATACAAGAAAAATAAGAACATATGTCCATGTGAAGACTTATATCCACATTCTCATGCCAATTTTATTTCTAATAGCCTGGATAGAAATGACCCAGATATCCATTAACAAATGATGTTATACTCATACAATGAAAAACTACCTAGCAATCAAAAAGAATCAACTGTGGGTACACACACAACATGAATGACTCTCAAAATCATTATTCTGAGTAAAACAGGCTGGGCCAAAAAAGGGGTACATAACATATGATTTCATTTATACAACATTCTAAAAAATGTAAGTTAATCTTTAATGTCAGAAAGCAGGTAAGTGATTGCCTGGTACAGCAGTGGAGGGAGGGATGAATTTCAAGGGGCACAAGGAAACTGTTAACATTTATTTTACTGTATATATTGCCGTTGTCCAGATTACATTTAGCATATTTTCCCCTGATAAGTAGAATTTGAAAGTGCACTTCCTTTTTCACATTTCCTGCCTACATTATTCCTAATAAGAAAATTGCTTGGATGCTTGTCTTTTCTACACAATTACAGTTATTTTCGTCATCCATTATAATTTGCCAATTAATAAGAATCTTTTATACTTTTTCTTTTACTCAACCAGACTGTATATGCCCATTCATTATGTGTATACCTTTTATTTTTTTTCCCTTTTAAATGAACCAGAAATTCAATAAAAGCAATGTAGTGAAGGAAAACAGCTTTGTCTTCCAGAAAGGAGTCACCCAATAAAATTATAGCTTTAATTTTCAGCCTGACCTTTCTTGTAATTTGTTTGAAATTTTATGATTTCAAAAGAAATAGACTGTTCACTGAGGAATGCACTGTCCACCTTCCCAGGGGAGATTTTGAAAGCCAAAGCTCTGAGTCTAATAACCTAATGGCAACAGCAACGTTGCTATTTGTTGTCCGTTTCTACCTCTATAAAGACTGGTCATATAGTCTTTCAGTCATCATCATTTTCAAAGTTACCTATTGGCATTTCCCTGATTAAAAGAATCTTGGTACAGTCTAGTATTTCTCAATCTTTCACATGCATATAAATCGCCTGCGGATCTTGTCAAAAGGCAGGTTTTGATTCAGTAGGTCTGGAGTGTGTCCTGGGAATCTGTATTTCTAACAGGTTCACAAGCGATTGCCCATCCTCCTGGTCCATAGACCACACTTTGCATAACAAGGGCATAAATAATACCAAAATAGCACAAAACCCTCATATTATTCGAGTTTTCTTTCAAAGTAAATTCCACTCTGTCAAGAGATAACAACTCAGCTTAGAAAATATTTAAAGTAGAACATCCAAAATCTTGCCAATATCTTCGGATTTTATTATCAAATAGTCATCATGGACATATTGTCTATTCTTTCTGAAGATGAGACCAGCCAGGAAGCCGAGCCAGCTAAGGGGCCTAAGGGAGTACAGAGAGAGAGGGATACTAGAGTGTCTCTGACCTATGCTGCATGTGCAACACGAGGATTGTCTTTAACGTGGTAGATTGAAGCCTTAGGCTAATTTTCAACCCTTTCTGCATCCATACCCTTTTCTCTGCAGCTTTGCAGTGGAATAGTGGCAGTTCTACTCCTTGACTTTGGGCTTGGCTGTAACTGGCTTTAGCCTATGGGATGTTAGCATATAACATGAGCAGAGTTTCAACTTGGACTCGTGCAGTGGGACCTCAACCTCCTGCATTTTTACCTTTGTTGTGAGAACAACATGCTCAGGTGAGCCTACTGGTCTCAGCAGGAGGGTGAGAGGCGTGCGGAACACAGCTGCCTCTGGCTGAATTAAATGTAAATCAATTTACTCCAGCCAACCTTCAGACACTTCAGACATACTAAGTGTTTTTTTGTTGTAAGCCACTTGAATATGAACTCATTTGCTACACAGAAATAGCTACCTGACTCACTGGAGCAAGGGGTCTGATACAGTAGGACACTGAAGATGGATAGTGAGTTACTGAGGGCAGATCAGGAGTTGGAGATCTGAAAAATGTAAGAACAGAGATAGGAGGTGATATGGTTTGGCGCTGTGTACCCACTCAAATCTTATCTTGAATTTAATCCCCAAGTGCTGAGGGAAGAAACTGGTGGAAGGTGATTGGATTATGGGGGAGGTTTACCCCATGCTGTTCTTGTGACAGTGAGTGAGTTTTCATGAGCTCCGATGGTCTAAAAGTGTGGCATTTCCCCCTCTTTCTCTCTCCTGCCACCATGTGAAGAATTTCCTTGTTTCGCCTTTACCTTCTGCCATGATTGTAAGTTTCCTGAGGCCTCCCCAGACATGCGGAACTGTGGCTGAATTAAACCTCTTTCCTTTATAAATTACCCAGTCTCACATAGTATCTTTATAGTAGTATGAAAATGAACTAATAAGGGAGGTCAAAGCAGATGAAACAGAATGGAGTCAAGGTTGATATCAACAGTTGGATTTTTAAACATTTTTGGTATACACTTGTAGAGTAGATGAGATATAAAGGTGAGCTGAGATGGGATAGATGGAGACTGTTTTAAGCCAACCAGGACTGGGTCTGATGTAACAGGATGCTTTTTTCTCATTGAGTTCTTGGCTGCTTATGTCATGGAGAGAAGATAAAGAGGGCTGGGAGAAAACACTTAATTGATAAAGTAATTAAATTTGAGCATGAATTAACTGAAAACATGCATCTTCTCCTGTTGCTTACCTGCTTGTGAAGACAAAGCAACATTTTTTCTCCTGTATTTGATAGAAAATGCAGAGAGATCTCACCAAACCACTAGGCATGTGGTATTTGGGCTGTTAGTCATAGGTTGCCATACCCCACATATAGGAAGTTCTTGACATTCTTGTAGTCGTTAATTCACTGACTGACTCATTATTTGAAATGTGCTTGTCACGTTTTTATGTGCCCTCATGGATTTGACATTCTTGCATGTGAAACATGCATCTATCCTTTTATTATAATTGTTATAACAGTTAAAAAGGAAAAGCACAATGAGATCTTCTATGCTTGGAAGAAGGGGGTGCTTACAGTTTGGGAATCAGTGAGTATTTATTTGAGAAGAAATTGTATTTAAATTGAAATTTGAAAGGAGTGGGAAGAGCAGTCTGTGTGATGGGAACAGTACGTGCAAGGGACCTTAGGTCATGTGGAAAATGGAAGATGGTCCTTTGGAAGATGTATGACCGATTTGAGGAAATGAAAGGTCAGTTTGGCTGAACAGTGAAGAAAAAGGGCAGATGCCTTATTGGCATGGCCAGGTTAAGAGTTTGGATTTTATTCTAAGACTAATTGAGAGTAATTGAAAAGCTTGAAGCAGGAGAGCAACATTATTGAGTTTGTGTTTTAAAAGATTACCCTGGCTATAATGTGCAGAATCCATCAAAAAGGGATAAAAATGGAAGATGGAGCTTGCAGTGGTCCATGAAAAAGAAAATCTTGGCTTGGATTATAGTGGTGGTAGTGGATTTGGAGAGCTTTGCCCTGGAGTTATTTAGAAAGAAGAATCAATGGTTCTCGACATTGTTTAGGGTGTCACGAGTAAGGAAGGAGGAAGACTGTCTCTGACCTGGTTTGCAAAAACTGATTATGCCATTCATAGAGACAGAAGACTTTGAAGAAAAATGGGTTTGGGCATAAGATCAAGAATTTAGTTTTACATATGTTGATTTTGAGGTACTTGTGATATAACCAAGGGGAAAAATCAAGTAGAGAGTTGAGCATATTGTTTTTTAGCTCAGAAGAGAGCTATGAGTCGGACACATCACTTTGCAGGTTATTGGCATAGAGATGGTAGTTAAGTGAAGGGTATGAAACTGGGAGAAGAGATTGTAGAGACATCTTTGAGGACTATCAACATTTTAGAGGGAATTAGTGGGCAAAGGAGGCCAAGAAGGAAAGAGGAAAACTGCAAGAATGCAGTGCCATGAAAGCAGATGGTAAGCTATATTGAATGCACCAGAGAGCTAAGTCAGCTGAGGCATGAAGCAGGTCTGTTGAAGTTAGCAATGGGGAAGTCATTAATAAACTTAGAAAGAGTCACACAGCAAGATGGAGGCAGGAGCCAGATTGTAGTGGGATAGAAGGGAGCAGAAGATGAGAAAATAAAGATGTAAATGTCTGATTAGAATGAGAATATATTCTCCAAGCAGCTACAATTTCTGTTTTTGGGAGAAGCAAGCTTGATGTGTGTGGCAATAGGAAAACACCAACATGAACTGAAAAAGTATGCATGGATAGCTCAGGAAGTTAATAAAGTCTTTACCATTGCAATTAGGAATTAAATTGCATTCGTTTGATTTCAAGATTTCATGATTTGGATAATGGCTTTGCTCAAAACTACCTTTAATTTTTTCTATGAAAGAAGGGTAAATAATATTTGCCCTTGTGTAAATAAGATTAAGGGGGATGGTTGCCATGCTCAGGAGGAGACAGGTTTCGTGCCATCTTCACAGAAGACCATAAATCTGATGATTGCTCATTTTTCCCATCTCTGTTGGATACAAAGTTCCACGAAGAAAAAAATCTCAGTTGCAGCTTCAGCACCTGGACAGCATTTGGTACAGAATGGGGTTCAATTACCCTTTGTCAAATAAATGAGTGCTAGTTTTATTTTTTTTTCATGTTCTAGGAGTTACTATAGTACTTGGAAGTAATACAGAGATATCTTAGGAAAAATACTCAATTTTCTTGACCCTTCTGTGTGTAACACAGGCTTGACATTTTACCAACAAGCCCAAGTGAGTGGGGTTATACTGCTATGGAAAACATGCCATCGAAACGAGGTCAGCATGACTTAAGCTGGGCCAGATGGGATTCTGCTTACAGGAAACCTTGGGTAAATAGCAAGTGAGTGGAGTATTGCAAGGTATAATTGTTTGCATTTGCTGGCAAACCCCTCCTATTACCCAGCCGCCAAAGGATGAATGCTTTGAATTTGAGTATGCAGACCTGAATGGTACCTGAGGCGCCTTAGAAGGTTAGAAGATTCCCCCCTTGATTCCTCTGTAATGCCAGCAAGGATAAGAGAGATGCTAGGCTTGGCTGTAACAAGTACTTTCACTTTTTACTTAATCAGAATTTGCATTGTTTTCTCATTACAGTATTAAAGTGTGAATTTTGCCTTCATGTGCTGTGGAAATGACAAAGCCCCATAACAGTTGGTTTTATTCGTAGCACCTTCCGTTTTAGAATCTCTGAGGATCTCATAAGCTGATAATGTTCTTTCCAAATGAGCTATTTTGTAATCACACTCCACATGATTGTTTAAAATGATTATTATTGTTTCACCTTAATATAAAAAGATTTATTTGCCAATAGAAAAGCCAGTTTACCCAGGAATACTGGTGTTAACTGCCTCTTGGCTCATCAAGGTCTGTGAGAATCTGGAGACTGTGAAATGCAAATGTTAGTCTCTGGTTCTGTATAATTTTAACAAAATGAGGAGCTGAATTTCCATATTTAAAGGTGAATTTTGCTATTCTACCTCAGTGCTCAGAGTGGGGTGGAACCTAAGCAGAGGAAAGAAAGATGAAGAAGGGAAGGGTTCTCATTTCGTGAAGGTATAGTGGGGAGGACAGAGTGAGACCTGGGCATGCAATCTTCCCTCTCCTTGCCCCAGGGTTTAGGATTCGAATTGTCTTTCCAAAGGCTGTGAAGGCTTCTCTTGTCCAGCTTTTCTAAATTTTCACTATGTCCTGGACATCAGCTTCTGTTTTGTTCTGATAACTTCTAAGCAAGTGTCATCTTGCTGAAGAGCTCGTGTCACTGGCCAATTTAAATGTCTCTCTTTATTGTCCCAATCACCACCTGATACTCAGTGATATGTACCTGACAATATCCAGACTACTTTGAAGTGAAAAACGTGGTGATGCTTGGAAGTTTCTGTCTTCTCATCTTTGTACTCTCTCATACCAGGACTACATACGTAGGTAAGGGCTACAGCGTTTTTCATTAGCCATGTAAGATGACTTTCCTATTCTGAACTCAGCTCCTTTTCATTACTGAGATAACTAACTCTCTAAATAATGGTGAACAGACTTTTTTTAATAAAGAGACAGGGAGGAAATATTTTAGCATTTGTGGGCCATATGGTCTGTGCTGCAACTACTTAACCCTATCATTGTAATGCAAAAGCCACCATATGCAATATGTAAGTGAATGGCTGTGGTTAAGTGTCAGAAAAACTTTATCTACAGAAACAGGTGGTGGGCTGGATTTAGGTTATGGGTCATCATTTACCAACCCTTGCTCTAAATCATAGATCCCATTGTTTCTTTATCTTCATAATGTGGGAACAGGCCTACATTGGACCCTAATATTCCTTTGGAGTTCTGACAACTCCCAGTTTATTTTGTCATTTTCACATATTCAGTAGAGGATGCTTAGACTTTTGGAGGGCAATAGAGCCATCTCAGTGGCCCATGAGGCTTTCATGATCTGGCTCTTTCTGATCTAATCTTCTACCCCCTCTTCTTTCCCTGCTCTGCCTCAACTCTTCTGGCCTCCCTGTTGCTTCCCTAGCACAACAGACATGCTCTTCTTCAGGTCCTTGGCACTTGCTCTTTTTTTTTTTCTGTTTGGAATGCTTTCCCCCGCAGATAGTCACAAACCTTATTCCTTTTTCTTTTTTCTTTTTTTTCTTTGAGACAGAGTCTCACTCTGTCGCCCAGGCTGGAGTGCAGTGGCGCGATATCCGCTCACTGCAAGCTCCACCTCCTGGGTTCACGCCATTTTCCCACCTCAGCCTGCCGAGTAGCTGGGACTACAGGCGTCCGCCACCATGCCTGGCTAATTTTTTTTGTATTTTTAGTAGAGACAGGGTTTCACTGTGTTAGCCAGGATGGTCTTGATCTCCTGACCTCAAGATCCGCCCACCTCAGCCTCCCAAAGTGCTGGGATTACAGGCTTGAGCCACCACGCCTGGCCTATTCCTCTTTCTTTAGGTCTCTACTCAGATGTCACCTACTGAGTGAGACCATTTGGTTGATGTCTAGTCAGAAACGTAGGAACAACTGTAGGTATTTCAGAGAATTTAATAGAGGAGATTGGTTACAAAATGAAAACACTGGAGGAGCAGAAGGGATAGATGAGCTCATGCAGAGATTAGCTGCAGCAGGAGGGCTGAAGGCATAAGGGGAGATGGTGTAACCAGAGTCCAGGCTCTCTGTGCCACAGACAGGCTGCTGCTGGATCTTCTCCCACTCCCTCTGGCACTCAGGAGCTAGAAGAGATTTGCTTCTGATATCACGGCTGCCAGAGGCATTAAGTGCTGTGCAGCTACTGCTGTTGGTATCATTATCTGAGCAGGGACTCAGCAGCCCTACACTCTGCTGTGGTAGCTGCAGTTGCTTAAAACACCATCAGGAGCTGAAAGAATGTCGCTTCCCCTTCCTCTTGCCTTTCTCTTTTCTCCATTCCTTGACACCCATTGCGGGAGCCTACTGGCTCCCAGCTGCAAGGGACTGTGGGAAATGTAATTTGCAGGCTTACAGGCCCCTGCTGCAGAGAGTTGAGCATGGAAGGACTGGAAGAAAGGAGAAAAACACTGGGCCAGTAACCAGCATGCCCTGTACACTCTGTCTAAAATCATAACTCCCAACAATTAATTCCTTTTCCCTGCTTTATTTTCCTCCTTAGCATGCATTACTGCCTGGTACACTATAGATGTACTCACTTGTTTGTCTCCTGATTCCATGAGTGGAGACTCCACTAGGGCAGTAATTTTGTTCACAGTTGTACCTACAGTGCCTAGAATAGTGTATCATAGTGGGAATTCAATAAATATTTGGAGAATGGGTAAATAAATCTCTTAACAACACCCAAGGGCTACTTCTAAAAATTATGTGGTTCACTGAGTGGAGTTTGACACTCTTAAAGTATCACAGAAAATAAGAGGTTAGAAGAAAGTCTGCCTCGCTCTTTCTTTCTCTATCTCTCTATTCTCTTTTCTCTCTATATATGCATACTATATTTATATTTTTTCCTAGAATGTATCTGCTTCCAGACACTGACCATTTTTGTAGTCATTGAAAACCTGTTCAGAGAGGGAATGCTACATCTAAATGTACTTCTTTAGTTGTTTGGCAAATGTTACAGTGCCTTTAGAGAGAATTGTATGAGTTTCCTGGGGCTGTAATAGCAGAGTTGCATGGACTGACTGGCTTAAACAACAGAAAGCCACTTTCTCTCAGTCCTGGAGGCTAGAAGCTGAGATCAAGGTATCAGGAGGCTTGGCTTCCTCTGAGGCCTCTCTCCTTGGCTTACAGATAACCATCTTCTCCCAGTGTCTTCACGTGGTTATCTCTTTGTATGTCTGTGTCCAAATTCCCTCTTCTTGTAAGGACAATAGCCATATTAGGTTGAGATCCATCTTAATGGCATTATTTTAGTTTAATTACCTCTTCATAGACTTTATCTCCAAATATAGTCAAATCCTGAAGTACTGGTATTCCAGACTTCAACATATAAATTTTGGTGGAGACATAATTAAGCCCAAGGTAAATCTTCCCCCAAGTTTTGTATGTTGCAGCCTGGGTTTCATCTTTACAATTTTTAAACCAATGCTTACAAGTCTGAAATTGAAAACCTTTTGAACTTGCCATCTTCCAAGTCTTATTTTTCTAGTTTCCTCCCAAATAATTGAGGGAAAATGGTGATGTGGTGCTTCTTATGTTGTTTTTCTGAACAAGAAAACTTCTATGGATGTCTTCAGAGGTGAAGACTGAACAGATTTTTTTTTTTCTCTACAAGCACCCTGTGGAACTGATTGGATGCTGGTATCTATCAAGAGATTAGACTTCAGCCATAGCAACAAAAAAAATCTGCCTTCTATTGGCAGGGAATGGAGCCCTGTGCCCTGCCTTGCTCTTTAGTCCAGTGATGAATGTTTTAACACACTGATAAAGCAGTTTGCATAGCAAGGGACACCTTGGATCATGAGATTACACAGCACTCCTAGACTGGCAAGGCTGGTCTTGTGCTCATAAGTCAGTATTCCATTAGGGGAGACCTCCAACTCAGCAGCTGATGGACAAGCCGGTGACTGTGAGGTAGAGAAAGACTCAGTAAGAAAACATACCCTTTTTGACCTTGATGTAAATCGAATCTGTCACGGAACACACAGTTGGGTTCTCATCTTGTCTGTTTGCAGCCTTGTTCTACGAACAGCCTACCAGATATCTTTCCATTCTCTCCCTGAATATTGAGTGACCTTGGAAACAGCCTAATCTGTCTTGGCAGATTGAAGATAGAGAAAACAAGCAGGGGAAACAGGGCTGCTGTTTCCTGCTATTGATCAGTGACTTGAATTAAAGCTCATTATGAGCTGGAGAGATGTGTCAGACTCGGGTGTCAAGGGTGGAAAAACTCAAAACAGACTCTGGCAGCCAGGAGAAGTGATGAAAACAAAGCACACACACACACACACACACACACACACACACACACACACACACACACACCAGAAACCTTTGTTCCTCTCTTGGGTTCATTTACTTTTGGTTTTTGACCATTTCTCTCCAATCATAGGACTTTAAAGGCTATAGAAAGAGATTCCTCCTAGAAATCAGTCATCTAGTCTAGTCCAATCTCCTCCTTTTAAATATGGGTAAACTGAGGCTCAGAGGGATGAAATGACTGCCCAAGCCCCAACAGGGAGTTAGCAGCACAGGTGGGATGCTTCACCCAATCTGACTCAATTGAAATTCAAGTTCTTTCTGCCACATTTTGCAGCTTCTCCCTCTGTCCGACACTAGGTCTCAGGGTCCCAGCAATTCGACTCTTGAATGTCAAGATCCTGGCTCCAGGAAGAGCAATACAGCATCCAGAAATGAGCCAGAACTGAGAAAAAACACACGGGGGGTTGTGTCCTCACTGACACTTATTAGACATGTAAGTTTGGGCATACCATTTACCTCCCTTGGTCTTACTTTCCTTATTTTAAAAATGGACATGCTGATGCTTGTTCTTGGTTGTCTGGGAGTATGATAGTTTGGTATCAGTCTATGAATATACTTGTAGATGTTAGTTACAGTGTGTCTCTTCTGGGAAGAGTAATCTCCCACTCAGTTCATATCCAATAATGTAGCCAGATGTAATTAATCAAATGGTCCTAGCAGGCTCAGGAGGCCAGACCCAAAGCTGTGCATTTGTGATCAGGAGAAGGAGGAGTGGTATATTAGTCAGGGATCTCCACAGAAATAGAACCAATAGTATATGTAGACATAGAGAGAAAAAGAGAGGAAATTATATTAAAGAATTGGCTCACATGATTGTGGAAGCTGGAAAGTCTGAAATCTGCAAGGCAGGCTGCAGGCTGGAGATCCAGGGAGAACTGATGTTGTAGCCCTCGTCTAAAGACAGACTTAAAGGTCTTTAGAGAAAAGACTGAGATTCCCCAAGGAATGTGGAATTCTGCCTTTCACACCACCTTAAATTGGATGAGGCCTACCTACATTATTGAGGGTAATCTACTTTGCTGAAAGTCTACCAATTTAAATGGAAATCTCACAAAAAAATTGCTTTATAGCAACAGCTAGACTGATGTTTAAAATTAAAATTTACAATTACAAGTGGGAATTTACAAGTCTGCAGCATTTGAGAGATAGAGGTCAGAATGTCCTACATGGGAACACAGGGAGGGGCAAGTCCGGGGGGCAGAGGAGCCGGGCAAATGAGATTTAGCCCAGAATGCCAAGCCAATCTAAAGCACCCATTTTGTTGAGACTCATACTTACCTGTGCAGCTCTGGGAGATGCCAGGGTTCTGTGTTCTCCCCATTTTTGACCAGAGAAAACATCAATAAAAAGAGAGAGAAAGTAATCCCCTTTGCTGCCACTGCTCTTCTCCAAATATTTCCAGAGGGAGCCAGTCTTTACTGTCTCCCAATCCCTTTTAGCACTGTTCCTTACTCTTCCCTCTACCGCTGCCTCCCTGCCAAGAGGCAGCACCATTTCCAAAGACCTTCTCTGTCTGCAG
This sequence comes from Homo sapiens, assembly GCF_000001405.40. NCBI lineage: Eukaryota > Metazoa > Chordata > Mammalia > Primates > Hominidae > Homo > Homo sapiens. Next base: position 8,312,023 of record NC_000003.12, on the reverse strand, counting down.
GAAGAATGGGTCCTAAACTCAATGTTTCCGTGCGAGGAAAACCCAACCACAGTCTGAGTGGAGGCAGACATTGAGAAAGAAAACCTTAAATATGTCTCTGGAGGTGCGCATGCTGCCCGAGAACCATTGTGTAGTCAACATGCCACAGATACATTCTGCAAAATGTCATTTCCTTTAAAGGTCACAAGCTCTATTGATTTCTAATTCATTTTCTTTTGTGTGTGTAGCAGATTCCAAACAACTATTGCTTACATGATAGATTAGATGAGTCGATGGTTTAATATGGGAAGAAGGTCTGGGAGTTCTTGTCCAAGGGGAGAGAAAAGGGGAATTTTCTTTAAGGCTACCACTATCAATGATAGTTCTGTTTTTTATATTTTGCCTATTAATCATAGTTTTCCTTCCTTCCTTCCTTCCTTCCTTCCTTCCTTCCTTCCATTTCTTCCTTTATTCTTTTTCTCCTTCCTCCCATAAATATTTATTGAGTGCCTGCTATCTGCCAGGGTATTGTGTAATGTTATGCGCAATAACTATAGACTTACTATTACGAAATTTATATTTTAGAGGAAGGGTGGCAAAGACAGACATTAAAAATATAAAGTCAACAATATATACAGTAGTTAGAAATTATGGTAAGTGCCATGAAGGAAAGGTATAGGGGCCGTGAGAGCCTAGAGCAGGAGGACTTGATCTAGATCATGCTGTGGGATAGTGAAGAAGGAGGAACAAGTGACATCAGTACTGACAGCAGAAGGAAGAGAAAAGTTTGTTAGGTGAAAAGAAAGAACAGAACATTCCAGAAAAAGAAGAAGTATATGCTGATGCCCTGATGTGGAAGGGAATTGCCCCCATTAGGAGCAGAAAGAAGGTCAGAGAGTTCTGGAGAGTGGTGGGGGGAAGGTGGGAGATGGGTGGAGACAGGCGGGGGCTTTCCTATCAGGTTAGATATATCCAGGGAGGCCATTGAAGGTTATAGGTTGGATAGTTATGATCAGACTTGGGTTCTGAAAGACTACAAGGCTGACATTTGGGTACCGATGGGTGGTCTGGAAGGGGTACAAGAGGGCTGGAAGAGAAATGATGATTGGATGTGGTTGATTTCCATGGAGATGGAGAGAAATATATGGAATCCAGAGAAATTTAGGAAGTAAAATCAGCTGAATTTACCTAGCCTTGGACAAGGAAGTGAGTTGATTGGCTTGACCTCAGTTTTATCCTTCATACAGTGGTGCTGATATTATTACTTGGCTTACTTTCTTTCTTTCCTTTTTTGTTTTTTCAAACCAACAAATTTTCTAGTTTAGTGGTTTATTCCATTCTAAATGTTTAATAAACTCCTGTCTATACCAGCAGTAGCCAATTAATGGCCTGAAGTGTTAACGCTCACTTCCAACTGAGAAATTCTTAAGTCATGATAGTATTTTTCTATGATTTCTTGAAATGTAAATTTCCCCCGTCTTAACAGGCATTTTTCTCAGCTTTATTCAGGTATAATTGACACACAAAAATTGTGTATAATTAAGGTGTACCACATGATGGTTTGATATATGTATATCTTATGAAGTGATTTTCACAATCAAGCTAATTAACATATCCATTACCTCTTATAGTTACCATTGTGTGTGTGTATTGTGTGATGAGAATGCTTAATATTTAGTCTTTTAGCAAATTTGAAGTATACGATACATTATTATTAATTATAGCTACTATGTTGCACATTAGATCTCCAGAACGGGTTCATTTTATAATTGAGAGTTTGTACATTTGACCAAAATCCTCTCATTTTCCCCACCCTCTAGCTTTTAGCAACCACTTTTTTACTCCTTGTTTCTAAGACTTCAACTTCTTTGCATTCCACACGTAAGTGAGATCATGCATGCAGTGTTTGTCTTTCTGTGTCTGGCTTATTTCACTTAGTAGAATGTCCTCTAGATTAATCCATTTTGTCACAAATGGCAGGATCTCCTTCAATTTTAAGGCTGAATAGTGTTCCATTGTGTATATGTACCGCATTTTCTTTACACATTCATTCATTGGTGGACACTTAGGTTGTTTTCATATCTTGGCTGTTTTTAAAAATCCTGCTGAACATGGGAGTGGAGATATCTTTTCAAGATAGATTTTAGTTCCTTTGGATACAGGCCTAGCAGTGGGATTGAGGGATCATATAGTAATTCTATTTTTAGTTTTTCTGAGGAAGCTCCATAGTGTTTTCAATAATGGCTGTATCAATTTACAATCCCACTAACATTGCCAGGGTTCCCTTTTCTCCACATCCTTGCCAGTACTTGTTATTATTTGACTGATAATAGCCATCCTAACAAGTGTAAGGTGACATCTCATTATGGTTTCGATTTGCCTTTTCTTGATAATTATCCATGTTGAGCACTTTTATATACTTGTTGGCCATTTGTCTATCTTGTTTTGAAAAATGTTTGTTCAGATCCTTTGTCCAATTTTTAATCAGATTATTCTATTTATATGTTTATTAATTGCCATTGAGTTGTATGGTTTTCTTATATATTTTGGATTTTAATCCTTTATCAGATATATGGTTTGCAAATGGCTTTTATTCCACAGGTTGCCTTTTCAATTTATTGATTTGTTTTTCTTCTTTTTGTGTGCAGAAACTTTTAATTTGATATAGTCTCACTTATTTATTTTTGTTTTTGTTGACTGTGCTTGTGGTGTCATATCCAAAATATAATACCCAAGGCCAATGTCAAGAAGCTTTTCCCATATGTTTTTTCCTAGGATTTTTATGGTTTCTGATCATGTAAGTCTTTAATCCATTTTGAGTTGATTCTTACATATGATATAACTGTCTAAATTCATTCTTTTGCATGTAAATATCTAGCTTTCCTAACATCATTTTTTTGAAGAGACTATTCTTCTCCCATTGTGTATTCTTGGCATTTTTGTCAAAGATTAGTCAACCATATATTCATGGATTTATTGATGGGTTCTTTATTCTGTTCCATTAGTCTTTGTTTTTATGCCATTACCATACTGTTTTGATCACTATTGCTTTGTAATATTGTTTAAAAGCAGGTAATGTGATGCCTCCAGCTTTCTTCTTCTTGCTCAAGATTGCTTTGGATAGTTAGGGCTTTTGTGGTTCCATAGGAATTTTAGAATTGTTTATTCTATTTCTGTAAGAAATATCATTGGAATTTTGATAGACATTGTATTGAATATGTAAATTACTTTGGGTTTTATGGGCATTTTAAGAATATTAATTCTCCCAATTTCTAAACCTGAAATATATTTTCATTTCTTTGCAGCTTCTTTAATTTCTTTCATCACTGTTTTATATTTTTCAGCATACAGATCTTTCATATCCTTGGTTAAATTTATTTCTAAATTTAGTGTTTTATTCTTTTTGATGCTATTGTAAATAAAATTTTCTTTACTTCTTTTTTAGATATTTTTGTTAGTGTACAGAAACACAACTGATTTTTGTATGTTGATTTTGTATCTTGTAACTTTACCAAATTCATTTATTATTTTTAACAGGTTTTTGGTGAAGTCTTTAGTGTTTTCTACATACAAGATTATGTCATCTGCAAACAGAAACAATTGTATTTCTTTCTTTACTATTTGGATGCCTTTTATTTCTTTTTCTTGCCTTATCGCTCAGGCTAGAACTTCCACCACTGTGTTGAATATAAGTGATGGGAGTGGGCATCTTTGTCTTGTTTCTGATCTTAGAGCTTTCAGCTTTTTACCATGCGTATAATGAGAGCTGTGGGCCCTCACCTACTTTCTTTATCCACAAACAGTTCTCCAATGTCTCTCAAATATAGCTCACTCTACCAGGCACTGGGAGTATGACATGAGCAGTAAGTCAGTCCTGATCCCAAGGAACTTACAGTCTACTGGAGGATCATCAGGCAATTGCCATAAAGAGTGACAGATACCATAATTCAGATGAAGAAAGAAGGGTTAATGAAATCCAGAGGAGGGGCACCTAGCTGCTCTGGGAAGTCAGGGAGGGCTTTCAGGAGGAGGCAATGTCTCAGCTAACCATTTAATCATGTGTAAGTGTTTTCTAGGTAAAGGCAGGTGTAAAGGGTGGAGAAAGGGCCATGTAGAGATGAGGTAACACTTTATAAAACAGTGATTCTTACTAAGTAGCAATTTTGTTCTCAGAAAGTGTCTGAAGACATTGTTATTGTCACAACTGGAAGGGGTGCTACTGGCAACTGTTGGAAAGAGGCCAGGGAAGTGTCTGAAGACATTGTTATTGTCACAACTGGAAGGGGTGCCACTGGCAACTGTTGGAAAGAGGCCAGGGATGTTGCTAAGCATCCTGCAAAGCACATGACAGCCCCACAGCAAAGAAGGATCTAGCCCCAGATGTCAACAGGGCTGAGCTTGAGAAGCCCTGCCATACACACTTTACTTTGTTTGCTTAAAATTATGTTTGTTATAGGAGGTTGATTTTGTTTACCTAAGCTATAAAATGATTCCTGACCTTATTTTAATTTAGACCGTAACTACAAGTATTTTGTAGATATTGTTGCTAATCAGAAGAAATCCTTAACCCCCGAGTCTAGTTTTTTCTTTTTTGGTCAGGGAATGGTAAGCAAATAAAGAAGTTTCTTTAATAAATTTATATCAAAACACTGCATGTATTAGTCTGCTAGGGCTGCCATAACAAAATCCTATAGGCTGGGTGGTGCAAACAACAAATATGTACTTATTTATTTTCTCACAGTTCTAGCTGGCAGGGAAGTCCAAGATCAAGGTCCTGGTAGGCTTCAGTTTTTGGTGAGACTTCTTTCTGAGTTGCAGACGGCTGTCTTCTGAGTACTCACATGCTGGAAAGAGGGAGAGAAAAACAGAAAGTGGGAGTGGACAGGGAAAGTGTGAAGAAGGACGGGGAGAGGAGGGAGTGTGTATTAGTGCTCTGGTATCTCTTTCGTAAGGACATAAATCCTGTAAGATCAGGGCCCCACCTTTATGATCTTATCTAATTTTAATTATTTCCTTCAAGGCCCCATCTCCAAATACAGTCACCTGGGGGATTAGGACCTTATCATATCATGTTTATTGGGTAGAAAACACAAACATTCAGTCTATAACAGAACACAAAGCCTCATTTTTTCACAATAGCAAATGTTCAATGCATCTTAAGCAGTCATTAGCATCACAGAGCAGTGGAAGTGCAGGTGCAAGTCTTCTGGACCTGTAGCAGGTGTCAGGGCCAGGGACTCAATTCCTTCCCAGCGGATCTTCAGGTCTCCACTGAAATGTGACTTCCTCAGGAAAGCCTTCCATGTTCTCCTGGAATGAGTTCAGCTCCCCTGTGGTTCACTTTCACAGGGCTCAGAACGTTACCTTCCTCACATTGATTTCTGGTTGCAATAAATGGTTAACTTCCTCCACTGCTAGACTCTAAGTAAGATTTACAAATGCAGAATAGAATATCAGTCTTTTTCCTCCATGGTATCTCCATCCTGAGCATGTGTTTGTGAGATAAATGAATGCTTAAAATCAAGACCCTAGTTCACTTCAGATAGCAGACAGGGAGGTTGTTAGACATCAGTAAAGAGTTTATACTCTGAAAGAGAAGGAGGTTTTAATCTTAGTAATTTATTTGACTGCTAAATAGGGAAACCAAAGCTAAAATCCAGTTGAGTACATTAGGCTAACATGGTTGGTGTGCAAACACATGCTAGGGGCTCATCCAGCTGTGGGTTTATTTGTCCACCAGCCTAACTTCAGGCAGCACCCAAAGTTCAGACTCAAGTTGTGGGCAGTCTACTGCTTTGGTGGGGACGGTGGCTGTGGTGCCAGATGGGGCCACTTGGCTGAGGGAGGGCATCAGGGCTTTCAGTTCAGGAGAGCTGATGGATGTTGCTCTTCTCTGTTGTGTCACCAGAATTCTGTGCCTTGGGTTGGGCTTACTTGCATCTCTGTGTATCACTCTGCTGCTTCAAAACTCATCCCTTCTGTTGATGCTGACCTGAGGAAGCTTGGGAAATGTTTGCTGCATTGGGTGGGATTGATGAGCTGGCTTTAAAAAGAAGCACGAATGCTTTACCAGGACTCCAAAATCAACAACAACAGAATGTCTTTCTAGGATCACTCAAATGGACCCATTTATTCTTTGCATACTCCTCCAATTTTTGGATACACTTTTCAGTTTGGGAAAAAAGCACAGAATCCTGCATGTAAACTTTAAGACAACGGGATGTATCACAGTGTTTGTTTTCAGACAGTAGTATGCCTTTAGGATAGTCTGAAGAACTGGTTAAAATATAGATTCCTGAGTCCCACCACCAGAGAATCTTGCTCAGCCAGCTTGGAATGGAACCCAGGAAACTTCAGGTGATATAAGGCAAGGGGTGTATGCATCACACCTAGAATAATGGTCCCTGCTCCTGATGAACACACCAAGTACCCAAGAAGGGCACCAGAGTGTGAAACAAGCATGGTTAGGTGATGAGATGGCCTGGGTACAGTCACCTGTTAAAGTGCAGATTCTCATTCAGCAGGTCTGGGGAAGGAGGCTGATATTCTGCATTTCTAATGAGCTGTGAGAAGGCAGTTGTTGCTGGCCCCTGCCTCACACCTTGAGTAGCAAAGATGTAAAAGAGTCACCAACGTTAGGGCTGTGGAGTCAGATGGGCATAGGTTTGGATCCAACCTGTTTTCTCACTGTGTGACCAGCCTCTCCCAATCCAGGTTTACTTGTGTCTCAAGTGGGAAATGATGCAGAAATTAAATGTGACAATAATATACATAAAGCATTCAACATATTGATTAACATGCCATTAGTCTTCCATGAGTGCAAGCTGCCATTGCAATTTTAATAATAAATCCTGCTAATTCAATGTAAATTAGTCAAAGATGTTTGTTTTATCATCCTTGCCATTTTATTTTGCTAATTTTGTTTCTATGCAGATTGAGGCAATGTTTCTATATCTATCATATAACACATCTGGAAGATAAGAAAATGGAGTCATTTCCCTACCAAACACCCAGCCCATGCAGTGCTGTGACCATAGTCCTTAATAAGATGTTGTGACATTAATGAACATCAAGACATCTGAATGAGGGTTTATTTCCCCTGGCCCCAGATATTGGCCATTATGTTGACAGAGCTGGTGCACCCAGATCTGGGTTGATGTCATTTAAAACTGGGAGATTACTCTGAAAATTTCAGCCCAGGTAGGCTGTTTGACATAACAGGAACCAGCATCCCATTGGGTGAATTGTTTGGGTTTCAGCTACTTGATACACACATTCCAAGTGTACCTAGTGATGTAGTAGCCTGTTTTGTTCTGCCCTAGTTTGCTCGGATCATCTTTAAAGTTTATCTTGGAAAAAGCAAAGGCCCTGAGGGCAGGGTGATGTTTATCTGGTGGGCAGATAATGTGGCATAATAGGTAATCCCTGAGATTTTGGAGTCCTGTAGACCTGGGCTCAAATCCTAATTCTACGACTTAATACCTGTGTGACCTTGCCTAACCTCTCTGAGTCTCAGTTTTCTCATAGCTTCACCAGTGGGAATTCCTTTTCTAGCAGTCAATGGCCTTAATACCATGTGCCCTGTCACAGGTGAAGCTAGAGTCAAGTACATGTGGCCTTAATATCATGTGCCCTGTTCTAGGTGAAGCTAAAGTACTGGTCCCTGCAGGTCAACTGTGATGGTTTAAGCCATTATTCCATGTCATTGGTACATGTTTTGACTAACAATATAAATTCACATTAAAAACTTTATTTTAAATACAGCCTGCTAGTGTTTGAGTGTCCACTGGGCTGGACACTGGGGGTGACTGAGATGTATAAGCCGTGGTCCCAGCTGTGATGGGTACACCAAGTACCCAAGGAGGTGAGCACATGTATTCAAGCCCCAGAATGCAGAACAAATGGTGCTAAGTGGAGAGAGCAGACTTGGGCGCAATTCACATGGGTGATGTGACCTTCAGGCTGTGTTGGGTTAAAGGGGAAGGAGGCCAAGGGCTTCCCACAGCTGAAATCCAACTCTTGGTCTTGTCTCTTTGATCTTGTGTCTTAAACTTCTGACTGGGTTCTTCCTAGCCAAGCCCTGCTTTACTGTGCAACATATTGCAGGGTCTAAATGATGGCAATGCATCTATATATTAAATTACAGTGATCTGGAGCATTTTGTTGCACACAGGCATCAGCTAAAGGTTTAAATTCTCTCATTAGAATTTTTATACCCTGAGGTGTGCCACTAGGAAAATGGAACTCACTGTTTTTCTTCTCATCTGAGCAAAAGGGTGACTATTTTGTTTTGTAATGAGTGCATAGCATGGGCCATTGGCTGGAGTTGTGATAGCCTATAAATGATTTCCGGTGTGATTCAAGCCTCTTGAATCCTCCAGACCTGCCTGTCTGGGTGGACAGGGATGCTGTGTTAGACATGGCCAGGAGCCAGGGCTCTGGAGTTGGATGGGTCTGGATGAAGTGTCCTTCATCCAGCAGCTGTGTGGCTCTGAGCAAAGTACAAAATCTCTTAGTGTCTCAGTGACCCAGCTAGAAAGGATAATTGTGATTCTTAGAATTAAGTGAAATGGTGCACTTACATTAAAATGCTAGGCATGGAGCCTGACACACGGTAACAGCTCAAAATCTTGTTTTATGGTCTTAAAATTTGAAGAAACCTGGAAGAAGTCTAACTGTTACTCTTATGCAACCATTGTGAATTAGGGCTGAAACAATGCCAATTCAGCAATCAATTGAAGATGGCCCTGTATATTTCTTATGGCTTCTATAAGGACCAAATGAAATAGCATAGACCTATGTCTGGATTCTGGAAGGTCTTCAATAAATGTCAGTTTCTCATTCCTTCTCATCAAGAGCAGATATCGTCTCTATCTGGATTAACAGTCATTATTCTGGGCTCCTTCCCACCCTGACTCTTCATGCATTAACCTTGCAAAATGGGTTAAGAGGAGTCTGTGTTATCAAAGCTCCCTTGAATACACCTGTGAGCCATATTTGGAGATTAAATCAAATGTTATTAACTTTCCAATTACTTCCAGGTCAAAGGTGATGTTGCTGAAAATACGGCCAACATAGATTTCTAGTATAATTATTCCTTAATTCGATGTGCGTACCTGAAGTAACCTGGCCTGCTCTACTTAAATAATTCAGTTCAAGGGCTACCTGGTGTACAAGCTGTAGCATCTGACGTTAAAGCGTCTGCAGCCTATTCAAGAGCAGGTATGTAAAAAGCATGAAATAAACTTTAGTGGAATAATAGGCTGTGTGTCTCGGCCATTCAGTGTTTATAAATAGCAAGCACCTACTCTATGACTGATGAACTCCTATTCATCCTTCAGCCAGACCCAGATGTCAGCTCAGAAATCAGTTCTTGGAAGCTTTTGTGTACCACCCTTCTTATATCCCCGTCCACATGCTCATGGTGTAAGTCCCTACCATCTGCTCTCCTAGGATTCTGTAGTTTTCCTTCTTAGAGTTTATCTCTGTTTACTTGCTTACCATTCTATCTTCAGTGCCAAGCAGCTTGGCACACAGTAGGTGTTCAATACAGGCTGGTTAATCAGCTGGCTGCATTCGGTGGAATGGGTTGTGGCTTTCCTGTGGGTAATGGCACAAATTCCATGTGGGAAAGAAATTGCTAACAATAAAACCTAGACCGGAGGAGTCTGACCAATAGTGTTTTCACTACTTATGGCAAAGTCACGTTCCCACAGTTGATTCTCCAGACCAGGGTGCGACATATGGGATAGTGGTTTCTTTAGGATTTAAAAAGCATTGGTACAGGAAGACATTCTACCACCTCTGAGTTCCAAGTGCTGAAGAAATGGCAAAATTCAGTTGAAGAACAGACTTCTGTCCAGTAGAGGGAGCTCCCTCATTAAAAAGTCACACGTCCTTGCTGAAAAACTCTGGGTTAGGTTTTCATAAACTTCTCTTTCTTCTTAGAATCATAAAATCTCAGAAATAGGAAGGACCAGAAATCATCTCGTCTAACCACTCTCTCAGAGTGAGAATTCCCTCTAGAACCAAGGCTGTTAGCCTGCCTCTCCTCTTTTAGACCCTTCCCTTTCCTCACCAAGATGCCCCCTTCTCTCTTTTAGAAGTATTTATTAAACACCTACTGTGCGCCTGGCACTGAGGTTATAGAGACCAACACGACGAGCATGTACCCACCTCTTTTTCTACTTACAGCCTTGCTTGATTCCCTCCCCAGTCCGGGAAGCTCCTTACTCCTTGAGGTGGGATGTTCTGCTCACTCTCTCTCTGAGATGCTCTGACTGTTCTTTAAAAATTTTTTTTTGAGAGATGGGGTCTCACTATGTTGTTCAGGCTGGTCTTGAGCTCCTGGCCTCAAGTGAGCCTCCCACCTTGGCCTCCCAAAGTGCTGGGATTACAGCTGTGAGCCGCTGTGTTTGGCCTTCTGACTGTTCAAACGTTCCTTCCATGAAGCCAGAATCTATTCCCTAATACTGTCCATCCTTTGATTCCAGTTTTTGCTTCAGCATCGTAACTGGCACACAATGGGCTTAGAGCTATGTGAGCATTCTGCCCCCTGAGTTCCCTTCAGATATTTTTAAAACTAGCTTGGGCTCCCTTGAGTGGCTTCTTTCATTGCCATCACTATTTGATCCCGACCTTGGATTATGAACCTTCCTTTTGAGGCCTGAGGTGGGCTGCTTGAAGTCCTAGCAGCTAATATGCCTTACCACAGGCAGAATTTTACAAGTCAGCAAACCTGGACTTTAGCTTCCTTTGTAACACTTCTGAGTCCTCTTCCCTCTTCCAAAATTTCTATATTTAGGAGCTCAGAGTGGTTCTGTTACCATTTTGAGGTTGACCACACCCAAACCTCATCTAACGTGTCTGTTTACTACAGGTATATGGGAATTCAATGAAGAACACTTCCCTGGGAGAGTAGAAGTTTAAAAGGAAAGTGTAGGAGACAGCCATCTGAACCTAAGCAGTGCAGTGTATCAGGAAAAATGGTCTTGAATGGAAAGAACAAAACCAAACCGGAATAAAGAATCGCCACCCAAACAGGAGAGAAATCAACAAGAGGGCACCTGGCTAGGCCTGGCATGTGGCTGCTGCTCAGAAAATTTAAAAAATGAGTTTGAATGAATGAATGGATGAACATATTCCAAATTTCCTGATCCTGATGAATGACATTCTTAGGTTCTGAGAACGTATGAGTGGGCAAACTTATTTGATAGCCTCTGAGGAGGTGTGGAAAATGAAGGGAGTACTGTATGATGAGATGAGAAGTATGTTGTGATAAAAATATATATACAAGTATTTATAGATTATTATATATGTACATAGACCAATTGTACTAGATTTCAATGCAATATGAACCAAATTGACTAATGGAAAATATCTTAAGGATTATCAAATTTAGGGTGGTAAAGAGGCTTAAGCCAGTGTGCCAGTCCTGTTCTATTGATAGGGCTTCTCTATGGAGAAGAATTGTGACACTTCATTTTGGCTCAGTTGAAAATGATTGATTAGTGATGCCTGCCGTGGGTCTGGGAATGGGTCATGGCGATACACATGTCAGGGATTTGTTATCCCTGAGTGGTCCAGTGGTCTCTCTCTTCGTAGGGCAGAGGCTTACTCAAAGTCACACAGCAAATTTACAACAAGGTATCTGGGTGTCTTAACTCAATTCCAGTGCTCATTTCCACCACATTGCCCATTCTGACTCTTTGAGTGTGTCCTAGCTTAATATTCCTCTTATTGGGGGAGAAAGAAGCAGTGAGAGAGAATTTCCTCTGAGAGAAAGTGGCAATGACATGCTCATTAATGTAGTGATCATGTAGAGTCATCTTGACCCACTTGAAGGCCTGGGGGTCTACCCCTCTTACACCACGCTGACTGAGTGCCAGATAGGATAGAATGGTGGTCCAAACCCTGCAGAGGGAAGTAGAAGGTGGGTCAACAGACATTGGATGAGCTTAACTCACAGATCAGAAGTGACTGAGTCAGCCGGGTGCTAATGTGTTAGGGCTGGGAGGAGGGGGGTCAGGGGCAATCTTGAAACTAGGGAGAAGACTCCTTTTTTGTTTCTTTCTCACAAGAAGCCATAGCCCTGGGAGGAACTTTTCAAAGAAACTGCAGGAGTATAGAGACAGCACTGGGAATCTTCCCAGCCTTCATTTTCTTTCTGCCAGCATTCACTGAGTATCTGCTTTGTGTAGGGAGATCAGGTCATGCAGAAGTGGGGATGGTGCCTTCATTCTACCTTTCTAAGAGCACTGAGAATTTCAGGGATACCATGATCACTTGGTTTTCTTCAAACACTGTTTGTTTGTTTGTTGAGGGGAAATTTCTTCCCCCCAAAATTAAAGAAACTAAATGGGGGCTGGTGTTTGAGTTAAAACTAACCAGAGGCCTCCTTAGCATATATGGCCCAGCCTTTTTACGTTGGACAAGATACTTAATCTCTCTGTGCCTCAGTTTCCTCATCGGCAAAAATGTACCCACCTCCTAGGTTGCTGTGAGGATGAAATAAGTGGATTTATGCAAAGCATTTAGATGGATGCCTGGTACATCGTAAATGCTACATATGCATTGGCTATTTTTTAATTAAGTAAAAACTGTATATATTTATGGTATATGACACAAAGTTTTCATATATGTATACACTGTGGAATGACTAAATCAAGCTATTGATATTCATATGCATTACCTCACATACTTACCATTTGTGTGTGTGTGTGTGTGTGTGTGTGGGTGTGTGTGATGTGAACACTTAAAATCTATCCTCTTAGCGTTTATTAGCCCTGCAAACTTGGGTTAACACTGTAATTTTTTTTTTTGCCTCCTTGTTTTCATACTTTTTAAGATAACTTATACCATGGGTTTCCCCATGGAGAGAAGGAGAAATAGGTATATAGGAAAGAAAAAGACATCTCCTTTTTCTGAAGCTAAAGATTTAAAACATTTGAGATGAACCTTCTAAATCAAGAATCATAATCTTCAATGACTTGACAGTGCAGCCACAGATTGAAGTAAGTACTTTGCAGAATAGAATCAATGGAAGAACCTTAGAATTCTAAGGTTCTCAAAACTTGGTTGGAATGACCTGGTGCATATTTTGAAGCACCAATTGTGCTGTTATAGAATTCTCTCCTGGGGAGATAATGAACTGATAAGATTTTTTTTTCTGGCTACCACACTCATGGGTTATCAGGAAAGCCCAGGTACCAGAGAGGAACACAGTCATATCTGCAGTAGGCACCGCTCCTGGGTCAATAGCTTCGTATTGTATAGGAGATTGGCACATTGCCAGTTGATTCTCAAGGTGTTGAGATGGCCTTAGTTGATGAAATATTGATCTCAGGCTGTTGGTTTCAATGGAATTCAGGAGTGAGTTGCAATAAAACAAGCTTGTATTCAGTTCTCTAGAGAGTTGCCATTCTGTTAATTTCTCTTTGCATGTAACTTTGCCTTCCATCCTGAGAAAACACAAGTTGCCTTTCTTACAAAACGGACCTTTATGGAACGACAGGAAAATGTGTTAGGAGAAAATAGCAGAGGAAATCCACTTGAGACCTCCAGTGTTCTTTCTGCAAGCTCTGCTAGGTATAGAACGACTCCAAGGCAGTGATGATTTTCAAGCCAGGTTGTAACCAAGGTCACGTGTTCACTAGATTGCCTTATAACTGCAGTGAGATATTTCAAATGTTGGGTAATCAAATCTGATGCAGGAAGAAGAGCTTAAACTTCCAAATTAGGTGCAATACAGGCTGTCTGTGTCTTTGAGACTCCTGAGGTGAGACTGAGCTGAGTGAATTAGAAGCAGGCTTTACTTTGTTTCCTGGTGTACTATCAATTAAGTAATTTCCAGAAGCAACGGCACAGATGGCGTTTTACTTAGTTTTATAGGGTAGTTTTCTACCCTTTTTTATAAAAGGAAATGACAGCAGGAGGCAATAAGACTTTCCTTATTACCCTTTTTGTACTTTCTTAATGAGCCTATTTTGCTCCTACTCTGTGTCTTCCTGGATACGGAGGACAAAAGCATTTTGTCCAGCCAGGTTCCATATTCAACCCTCAATCTATATTCATTTTTTATAAAAGATTTGGCATAATATCATAGGAAGCATTGTTTAAGAGCCAGCCCTCTAAACTAGACCTACGTCTACGACATAAATATGCTTGATGGTATCAAATATGCATCTGGACTTCTTAAGACACATCTTAACCTATATTCATCTGCTATGGACTGAATTGTGTGCACCCCAAATTTCTATATGGAAACCTTAATCCCCAGTGCAATGGTATTTGGAGATGTGGTCTTTGGGAGAAAATTAGGTGGGGCCCTAATAATGAAATTAATATTCTATTGAGAAAGGACACCAGAGAGCTTGCTCTCTGCCTCCCCCCTCCCTCTCTTTGCCATGTGAGGATACAGCAAGAAGACAGCCATCTGCAAGTCAGGAAGAGGGCCCTCACCAGAAACCAACCATATAGGCACCTTGACCTTGGATTTCTAGCCTCCAGAACTGTGAAAAAATACATTTGTGTTGTTTAAGCTACTCAACCTATAGTATTTTGTTATGGCACCTCGAGCTAACTAAGATAGCATCTTAGGTATTACGAACTTAAAAATAGCACAACTAATGCACTGTGGGAGTGCTGGGCTGGGCTGAGTTCTCTCTAACAGAGGGAGAAAGCACCCGTCACTGATAGCCCTCTGAGCCCTCAATTTTTTCCTCCTATGCCACAGTGTCTTGAATTCAGTCAACCTTTGTAGTTTATTTCTTTGGGATTTATAGTGATTTTCTTCTTTGTGGTAGCCCTTTCTTTTATTTTTAAATTTAAATTGAAAAAGGAATACATGTACAAGGTTAGCAAACAAACAACAGTAATAACATTACAAGTGGGCATACAGTGAAAGGAAGTCTCCATCTCACTCTGTATCCCAAGATCTCCAGTTTTCTTCTCCAGAATCAACCACGGTTGACAATGCCTTTGTGTATTTTTCAGCTATTACATGCATATAAAAGCATACATGTGAATACCAACCCTCCCTTTTTAAATACACATGTATGCATACTATCTTCAGTTTTCTGTATCTTGCTGGCAGTGTTAAGCAATGCAAAAACTACTGATAAATTAATACATCAAAGGTGCAACATTTATTTAGGACAGTTGCCCCACTGACTATAGGAACACTTCAACCTAAGGAGGTACAAAGGGACAAAAGGAGGCTGAAAGTGAAGGTGAGGGGTGTTAAGTACAGAATTCAAAGTCTTTGTAAGGGTTGGCCAGTACAAACCCTTAGGTACTGTGGAATTCTATGGTAATGTTATAGCAATATCTCATCGCAATCACTTCACTGTTTCTTTCTTATCTTTCCTGTCTTATCTTAAATGCCACATCAGAAAAACCTCCTCTTTCTAAAATAGCTTCCCTACAGCTCCAGCCAGAGGATTAGCATAGCTTTCTCTGTAGCCTCAAGCACAATTTCCTTCAGTTTGCATGACAGAAACAAGAATAATTTTTGTATCTTACAAATGTGAAATATTTGATCACATTAGAATATGCTCTTTCAAACCATCACCTTTCCTCGTCATTAGAAATTTTGGCATTTACTCCCTTCTATGTTCAAAACCATGCCAGCTAGACCCTGGGTCAGGGAAGATGGTGACTGGGTCTTCCTTGTTTTTATATCTTTAGTGCCTCACCCAGGATCACAGTAAACATCTATCAAATAAAGTCAAGAGTACAGGAGAATGCAGCCTGTGATGGTGAACAAGCTACAGGAAACCCAGTTGGTAACTTGAATATAGTCAACCCACATTTGAAGTGACCCAACCTTCACAAGATTCTGTGCTGTCCTCTGTGAGCATAGTCACAAAATCTCACATAGGCAATTTTTGAGGAAGCCACTGTTGGTACAATCTGTGTCCCTGTTCCTCTCCATGACTTTATCTGGCTTAAAATGCCAGATGCAGCATATTTTGACTCAGCATTTTGATCATGATCAAGGGATGAAAATGTTAGGTATAAACACCAGCTGCTCTGACTATAGTTCAACTGGTCTCAATCACTGCTTAATCTAGGAAGGTTTGCATCAAGCAAGAGTGGATTTACCACTGTGTTTGTTTTGTGCCTAAAAGGAGGTCTTTGGGTTTCTCCGGGGCTTTCAATAGGGTCAAGAGGATCCTCTAATAAATTGTTCTGGGGTAAGGACCTTATCTGGGGCTTCCACCTGCTCATCTATGAAAAGAATTCAGGGTCCCAGTCACACTTGCATTTTATTTGCAAGAGAGAGCTACTCTCTGCATCATCCCTCTTCTATAAGCAGAATGTAGCAAAGAAAAGTTACTACTCATCTGATCTTTCCCTATGACAATATTTTCCCAATATTGTCCGTTGGAAAAATGTTTTTCAATATTATCTCCATTTAATGTCTCTTCTAACAGATTTCAAATTATTTGAAGCCTAGAAGCAATTTAAAAGTGATTTTATGACATATATTAAATATTACCAATTAACTATCTTAGAGAACTTGAAATACAGATTAAAAATTCAAGGGTAGGATTTTTACCCTGCTGACATTATATTTTATTGACTATATTTACATAGAAGCCTTTTTCAGAAAGTTAAAATTTTAAAGTTATTTTTACTGAGCCTTATAGTGACTTTCTCATATCCTTTTACAGTTATTTTTATTGCCTTTTTATAGTGTCCATGATTGAGATGACTGCAAACCACTTCTCTAACCACTGAGAGAAGAATTCATAACCAGACTGTCACCAAACCAGGCTGCCATCTTTGGTGTGTGGCCTCTGAGAAAGAAAGAGATGTATTGCTAAATATTTAGTTTGTTATCTTCCCAAAACCTCCTGTCTTTAATTCTGCAGGAATAAACAAATCGAGTGAAATGATTTCCAAACTGCTCATAATATTATATGATCCTAAATTATTCTAACCCTTAATGCTGAAGAGAGAGAGTACATTATTTTAATCCATTAAGAAGGCAATAATTGGGAGTCTCAATCCTTGCAGGAAATGAAACAATTAAGAAATCACAAAAATCAAAGGCAGATAAGATGTCTAAATATAAACAGCAATGACATCCAGAATGCCACAGTTAGGTACTTGTTACTAAGTACCACATATGCAACAGGTAGCTACAGAAATGCAGAAATGTAGCTGCCTGGCACCAGAAGCATATAATATTTTTTTTGTTCTTGTATCTTTTAAACCAGGAATTCTTTCAGGCTTTTGGAAAAATGTTGACCATGACTTTCTAAAGGCATGCTGTATAGATAGTATAAGGATTCAGATATTTTGTGGGTTTTTTTTTCATCTTTTTATATTACTTATCACTGTTTTTAAGATATTGGGGCTGGGAGGAATTGGGAGGGATTTGCCAAGCAGACAATGTGAAGAAGACAGTGACAGTTCACACACAGGGCATGGCATGCTCAGTGTTATCTGGTAGTGAAGATGATGAGGGCTTGAATGCTTCTGAGACATGCCTCAACATTGTGCTTTACGTGGGGAGGAGCTGTGTGGTTTTTTGTCAGATAGGCAGCTTAGAAGGGCCACCTGGGTAGTCGAGTGGAGAAAGAATGCACCCAAGAGAGACTTGGGGCAAGAAAGAGACTGTTGGAAGACTATTGCAGGAGACAGATGAGAAGATACTGACAAAAAGGACTCAGTGCAGAGATTGGAACTATAAGATATGGTGGCAGGTTGCCTGTGGACAGTAAGCATGTGTGTGAGAGAGAGAGAGAGAGAGAGAAGAGAGAGGGGACAGTAAGGAGAAAGAGGAGGAGGAAGAGGAGGAGGAGGAGGTAGACGAGGAAGGGAAAGAGAAGAAGAGAGAGAAGGAAGAGGCAACAGGAAAAAGGGAGAAAAGAAACGGAGGAAGAAAGAAGAGGAGGAAAAGAAGGATTGGAATATTTCTGAGATTCCTATCTTTGGTAAATATTTGACTGAATTTTTCCATTAACCTTGCTCTTCTATCTCCATATACATTAGACATCCAAAAGAACATCTTATCATTTTGCTCATTTATATGTTTTGAAGACAGTTTATTTAACCAGATTAAAATGTGCAATGACTCCTTGGCTCCTTACCATGACATTTAAAGTTTAGCTTCTTGTCCTTCTTTTTGTCTCTAATTTTCAAGTGTCCTGATTTATTATTTATTAAACAAAGGTTTATGGAGTACTGATTCTGTGCCAGGCATTGTTCTGGGGGCCTCAGGATATGATGGTAAACAAAGCAAACAAAATTCCCTGGCCTCACAGAGCAGCCTCTCTTTTGCACTCTTGGAATCTCAGAGCTTTGATTAAGTTTTGCAGGAGAGTCAGGCTGGACCACTCCCAACCACCACTCTATTTTCCTTGGAAGAAATTAAGACCTAAAACCTACTGAAGAATAAATCTCATCCCTAAGTCACTCTTGTTTTGCTTTTCTCTCAAAGAGCCTCATTTATGATATTGAGGACTCAGAGCCTCCCTGAAGCTTTGATGTTCATAATAATCAGGAATTGGCCCCAAATCCTAGAGAAGAGCCCAGCCTTAGCTTTGTGGCTAATTATTTATTTAGCAGGAGGCAGAAGTTCTTCTACAATTGGGATGTGGTAGCACAGTGTCCAGAAAAAGTGCCTCCAATTGCAATGAACCAATGAAACTTTTCTTTCACTCAACTAGGGAAAGTTTTGTTTTGCTTTGTTTTAATTTTAAAAGTGCTAAGTTTTCAAAAGATCTTTGAAGGAGAGGCTGGCCTGGAACTGGGAGGCCAGCCATTCTAAATGTTAGAGGATCACAGAAGTTGGCAGACCAAAGGCTGGAGAAAGCATGTGTGTGGGGATATGGGAGTGGAAGGCATGTTTCTTAATCACCTGAAGAACCAGGCCTGTGGATCCTTTGTAAATATATGAGAGAAACAAAATGTGATGAACTGGATTGCTTGCTGGTGTCCTGGTGCCTGATGAGATTAGAGAGCATTTTTTCTATTTCCCTTAATGTTTCTCTGCAAGTTCCATCTCATTTCTTGCTTTAATGGTGACATTCTTTATGCCTAAACAAAACCCCTACTGTTAGAACTCAAGCCTGTTACCTCCACTGCTCTTCTCTGCCAGGATTCCAGTAGGAGGGAGTAAAGGAGCGCCCTGCTTCAGGCTCAAAGACTATGTCAACCACCAGCAGAGGGGCCCACCCTGACTACCAGGCTCTGGCTGGCCCACTGGATGGAGACCACAACTCTCCACTCCCTCTTTCATAACTCCAGGATCCCAGATTGTGTCACTGGGATGTGTGCACTAAGAAGGCAGCTGGGTTTATTTTAGCTCATTGCAATTTGATGCACTTTTGTTCTGCACTGTGCTAGCCACTGACTCCAATGAAGTGCACCAAGTGGCATCTAGTCATTGGGTTCATCATGGGTAGAAAGCTCTATTACAAATAGAGGAATGTATAAAGCGCAATGGCAAGATGGTTGGAAGAGCAATTAATTCTACTGGTAGTTGTAGAGCAAGGTTTAGCAAGGAGGTGACATTTCTATTGGGACTTTAAGGATGAATAGATTTGCCGGGGATACAGGAAGGGTGGTATTCAAGAATGAAAGAACATGAAGAAACTCTCACTGGAAACATTCCAGACTATCCATAAGTCCAGGATCTAGTGTATTATCTCTATATGCTTGACACTAATGAAAGACAGCTCTAAATATAGGCTTGAATGCCATGCTGTGGAATAGTATGGATTTGATATTTAGAGGGAAATCAGAGGTCTGTAAGCAGATGAAAAATGGAATTGATTCTGGTTTTGGAAATACCTCTCTGGTAGGAATGTAGAGGGCAATTGTAGAAAATACAGAGATGAAAGCAAGGAGCCCAGTTATAAGATGATTGAAATAACGCAGGTGAGTCATGATGCGAACTTGGGGAGAGTCTTACCTCCAGTCTGAAGCTCTCTCCTGAATTTCAGCCCTTTATCGCTAACTGTTTACTTGATATCTCCACTTACATGTCTAATAGATATCCCAAATTCAGCATGACCAAAACAGATCTCCTGATCTTGCCTTCCTCAAACCTGCTCCCCACAGCCTTCCTCATCTCAGTTGACGGCAACTCCGCCCTTTCAGTTGTTCAGGATGCAATCTTGGAGTTTCCCCTGATTTTTCTCTTTCACACCCGCATTTAGCCAATAGTAACACCCCACTGGCTCTACCCTCCTCACCATCTCCCTCACTCACTCCCCTCCTTGCCTGCTGGGCTGACACTTCCACAAACACCCCACTGGCTCTACCCTCCTCACCATCTCCCTCACT
Source organism: Homo sapiens (assembly GCF_000001405.40). Lineage (NCBI taxonomy): Eukaryota > Metazoa > Chordata > Mammalia > Primates > Hominidae > Homo > Homo sapiens. The sequence goes on along the minus strand of NC_000003.12, from coordinate 8,291,743 downwards.
CACTCCCCTCCTTGCCTGCTGGGCTGACACTTCCACAAACACCCCAGCAAACTCCAGCCTTCCTTTGGGCCTCTGCTCCAGGTGATCCAATCCTGCTTCCCCCAGATATCCACCTGGACCACTACTTTAATCCCATCACTCACTGCTCAAACCTCATCTTCTCAGGAAAGCTTGCCCTGTCCACCGTATCTAACAAGACTCCTCCTCTTCCCCAGTATAGCTCATCCACCTAACTGACTCTCTTTTTTTTTTTTATTATTTTCCATAGCATGCATCACCTCCTAGCATGCTATGTAATTTTCATATTCATTTTATTTATTGTTTATTGTCTGTCTTTCCACACTCAAATGTAGCTCCAATGTAGGCTTCTTGGTCTGTTTGCTCACTACTATATCTCAAATCACCTAGAATGCCTGACACAGTATAAGGACTCAATAAATACTAGATGAGTAAATGAATGGGCAGTTTACTGGAAAAAAATGACAGATGTAGATTAGCAGTATGGAAATTGCACCTCTTCACATCCCTTTGGCTTTGAGGGTGGAGAAAAGAAAAGAGTAAAAGAATGATCCTGGGATCCTTAGCTTGGGATGATGCCTTTACTTGATATGAGAAAGGCAGGGGAAGAAATATATCTGGGGGGAATTAATGAGTTCTACTTGGGTCATGCTGAGTCTGAATGCTTGTGCAATATGCAAGTTCAGTTTCCTGACTTATGGATTTTTCTTAACAGAGAAATCAAGCTAGAATTAAAGTTTTGATAGTCACCAACTATGCAGGGGATGAGATCTCTCAGAGAGAGGGAACCAAAGGAAAGGAGAGAAGGAGTTGAAAAGATGCCACGAAGCACCACCTTTATTTATGGGGCACACTCAGGGAAAGCCAGCATGCGCTAGTCAGCATTCTTGAGTGCACAGTTTGGTCCCCTTGGCTTACTTAGACACTTCTTTGGAAGCTGGAGAAAGAGGCAGATGGGTGAGGAGGGAGAGTGAAATCATCTGAGCAACTTTTATCACACAGATTGGGTAAGTCTGAGTAATATTTAAGTTTCCTCCTAGGCCTCTGTGTCCTCCAGCTATCCTTGTCCACAGCTTCTTGAGTCTTACTTGCAGAATGTGTGCCTCAAGCTTTGGGGTGACTTCCCTATGAAGACTGCAGACCCTGGAGCCCTATCCCAGAGCACTAAAAGCACAAGCAATTGTTTTCTTCACTGGCTGAGTTGTCATAAAGGCAGTCTTGCCTATATCATATGCATTTCACATTCCATGATCTGTCTGAGACAATTTGCTACAAAGCTTCAGGTTCCAATTTCTCAGAACAGTCAGAGATCAGTTAAATGAATTTTGTGTGTTTACAAGAGCTGATGATACTTGCTTCAGCAAATGACTCTTTAAGGAAATTCAAACAAAAAGCCATTTTCTTTTCTGTTTCTATTCCTTTTTTTTTTTTTTTTTTTTAGAAACTTCTCAGGGAAAAGGCAATGAATGTATATGCAAGGTTTTATATTAGCTTCAGAAATCAAGGCTGGATGGAAGGCACACGTTTGGGCTTGCATTTAATAGTCACCACTACTGAAAGCCTAGGACCCTGATAAATGCCTGCACCTGCGTCTTAATACCATGGGAAGCTATTGTTAAACTGGTTGTGCCCACTCAAGTCTGTGAGGACCTTTTGAAAGAGTAATTTTAAAGAGGGAATTGATTTCTTCACTTCATGGGCAAGTGCAAAGAAAATCTGGGGCGTTAGTTTTTCTTCCTCAGTAGAGAAAGGATTTTCTAGATGTGGTAGCCATTACCTTCAAGGCGGGTCTTCAGCCCTGCTGTGTATTTAACAAGCTATGTATTTGGGTCTCTTCCCTTTCCCAGCATCTCCCTTTCTTCTTCAGTTGTCACCTACTTAGCCACTAGAGCTGCCGTGGTCCCCTCTGTCTTTTCAGTGCAGATACAGCTGCTGCAAATGGACAATGTCATGTGCAGATATGTCTCATGATTAATAGCAATGATAGCAATAATGACAGTGCTGTTATTGTTGTTGCGGTAACAGAGGTATCTGTTAACTAGTGCTACAATAATGGTGCATAACAAAGCACTTCAAACTCTGTGGCTTCAAATAATAGTTATTTATTCTTACTAACCTGGTGGTGGGTGGCCTGGTAATGGGTTGTCATAGGCTGGGTGAGGCTGAGTGGTTGTGTTCATGGTGCTGATCCAGCTGGATTTGGTTGGGACTGGGGAAGAGTGGGAGTTCTTCTCATGGCAATGACAACCATGTAAGAGAGTAAGTGACACTGCAAAAATCACTATTGCATCAAGTCTGTGTACATCCCATTAGATGAAACAAGTGACTTGGCCAAGTCTAAATTCAAAGGATGAGGAAGCATAATCTGCCTATTATGAGAACAAAGAAAGTCAAGTGGCCAAGTCTAATATCAATCAAGCAGGTAAGTATATTTCTTGTGTGGGAGGGCAGTAGGGGATGGATATTTGGCAAACAGTATTCCATTCTATCACAACCATCTGCCAGTTGAGGGGCATGTGCGAGGTTCCAACATATTTATTAGCTTGCTTATGCATTCAGCTAACACTTATTGAGCCTCTACTAAGTGTCAGGCATGGTGCTGAACACTAACATTATCATAATGCAAATGCAGAGGAAATTGGAGCCCATGAATCCAGAGATCCTGCTAGGAGATCCAGCTGATGCATAATCTGATGGATCAAGAGGCAGATTGAATCCTGGGCTCTGGGAAGGGAGTAGGTTTAAGGTTGTGGAGGTCTATATCTTGGGGGCAGTGAATATAGTTGACATTTTTCATACTTCAAAGACTAAGCTCTTTCTACCAGCCTCTGGCCTTCCAAGAGACGCCAGGAGAAATGATCTTGGTCTATAGAGAATATGCATACCTGGAGTCATAAGTTCAGAAAAGACTCATCATAAGTGTATTGGAGAGACTGACTGCACCAGATAAAGAGGTCAACCAGGACTTTGTCAGATCCAGACATCAGCTCTCAGGATTCAAGGCCCCCAGAGAGATGGCTGCCATCCTAGGGAATTCTAGGACTTAGTGATATTCAACCCAGTAGAATGTGACGTGACAGTAGCTTCCAGAACTCATGGAAGTAGTAGATAGGATAACTGGATGGTGGAAGAACTAGGCCTTGTGTCTATATTTTCTGTAGTTGTTATTGATTGATACATGTAAACTTGATTTTTAATTTGGTCATGATTGATACTTAAAGGTATTTTTAATTGATTCATATACATGTTTCTGGTGGCCATTCTGATTGTGTTTCATAAGAAAAGAATAAAGCTAAGTAGGCAAATATTTCATCCACTAGCATCAGTGTTGTACAAAGTGCTAAGACCTACTTCAAATGGGGAAGCTCTGTTAGAGAATCAACAGATTGGAAAATAAAATAATTAATGAGCTGGGAAGGGAGTTTTCACTGAGTCTTTTGGCAAAGGGATAAAGTAAAGGTTGGTGAGTATTGCTGGATGACAACAGTCATCATGAAAAATATAATACAAAAAATAAAACTGAGATGCATTTTTTTTTTTTTTTTTTTTTTTTTTTTTTTTTACTGATTTGGACAGTACTGATTAGACAGTAAACTAATTTTCAAAGTTTCACTGGATTGAGGCCTAGGAAGTCCAGTGTTAGCACCTATGTTTTATGAACACTTTATGTTTCATATGTTTAACTCCATACATAGAGTGGATAAAAGAAAAACATGCAAATTTATGCAGAATCTGTTGTACCATGTTAAAAAAAACTTTTTTTTTTTAACTATGGCAATGACTTTTAGAAGCATCTCTAAGCCCCTATATAAAGTTTTCTCCTTAAGGAATGTGAATCTACCATTTAAGGTATCTGTAGAGCAGAGAGGTCAGCAAATCCCAGGGTGAGAGCAAAATCTATCCAACCTGTTTTTGTAAATAAAATGTTATGGCTTTTTTTTTCTTGTTGTTTGCTTTTTTGAGACAGAATCTCACTCTGTCACCCAGGCTAGAGTGCAGTGGCATGATCTAAGCTCATTGCAGCCTCCTTCTCCTGGGCTCAAGTGATCCTCCGGCCTCAGCCTCCTGAGTAGCTGGGACTACAGGGAGGGGCCACCACCCAAAGCTAATTATTTTAATTTATTTTTGTAGAAACAGAGTTTCCCCATGTTGCCTAGGCTTGTCTCAAACTCCTGGACTCAAGCGATGCACCTGTCTCGACCTTCCAAAGTGCTGGGATTACAAGCGTGAGCCACTGCACCCAGCTATAAATAAAGTTTGATTGGAACACAACCCTGCTGCTTCATTTACATACTGTCCATGGCTATTTCTGTGCTATAGCAGCAGTGTTGAGTAGTTCTTATAGTGTTCTTATGGCCTGCAAAGCCTAAAATATTTGCTATCTGGCCCTTTACATAAAAAGTTTCTTCCTCCTGCTGCAGAGAGAAGACTGGGTAAATTAGCACGCACATACCTGAGGGTAAGAGGCAGAATTTCTTTTGCTTGTAAGTAACAGGATCTTTTCCAGAGCCTGGGTCTGAAGACCCCAGGTGTAGATGGAACTTCAGTTATGACTGGATCCGTGAGTTCAAAGGATGCCACTGCTATGGTTTAGATATGGTTTGTTTGGCTCCTCCAAGTCTCACATTGAAATTTGATCCCCAGTGTTGAAGGTGGGGCCTAATGGGAGGTGTTTGGATTGTGGGACAGATTTCTTATGAATGGCTTTGGGGCCCTTCTAGCAGGAGTGAGTGAGTTCTTACTCTTAGTTCCTCATGAGAACTGGTTGTTGAAAAGAGCCTGGCCCCTCCTCTTCTCTCACCATGTGATCTCTACATGCCAGCTCCCCTGCCCAGTGGAATCTCCTGCAGCCCCTCACCAGAAATACATGCTGGTGCAGTGCTTCTTGTACAGCCTGTAGAACCCTGAGCCAAAAAAATGTTTTTTATTTATAAACTACTTAGCCTCAGGCACAGCCTCTTTACAGCAACACAAATGGACTAAGACAGTAACCAAGCCTCTCTTTTTCCCCACCTCTTGCTTCTGCCTTCTGCTATATTAGCTTCATTCTCAGGCAGGCTCTCTCTACGTGGTAGAAAAGATGACTATTATTATAACTGGACTTATACAGGATCCTTAGATTTTACAGCTACTGAAGGAAAGATATCCTCTTTTTCCCAGCATCTATTACAGCCCCTATGCCCACTCCACAGATTGAGCTTGGTGCCCAACTGGACCAGTTGCTGTGCTCAGGAGGGTAAAGGCGCTGTACTAAGCATGTTGTGTTGCATGCTCTTCCTCCACTCGGGAGTAGAAGAGAAGGGCCGTGTGTCTGATAGGCCCGACAGCAGGCGGAGAGGAGTTCCCAACAGAAATCAAAGCAAAATTAAGGATAGCTGAAAAATTTGAAGACAGCCTAGAATTCAATAATTCTTGGCAGGCTTATATTTCTATTATTTGGCCTCTCACTGTGATTACTCCCAGCTGCTTAGTTTTCCATCTTTGCCTGTCTTGCATCTTGAAATTCCTTTTTTTTTTTTCTATTATTGCAGTTTACCCTTAAACAATGGGAAAGTTAGGGGCACTGATCCCCCATGCAGTCAAAAATCCAGGTGTAAATTTTGACTTTCCAAAAACTTAACTGCTAATACTGTTGACCAGAAGCCTTACTGACAACATAGAGTTGATTAATACATATTTTATATGTTTTATGTATTCTATACTGTATTCTTACAATAAAGTAAGCTAGAGAAAAGAAAATGTGAGTAAGAAAATCATAAGGAAGAGAAAATATATTTACTATTCATTAATTAGAAGTGGATCATTATAAAAGTCTTCATCCTCATTATCCTCACATTGAGTAAACTGAAGAGAAGGAGGAAGAGAATGGGTTATTCTTGCTGTCTCAGGGGTGGCAGAGGTGGAAGAGATGCATGATCTAGGCTCATTGCAACCTTCCCCTCCTAGGCTCAAGTGATCTTCCCACCCTAGCCTTCTGAGTAGCTGTGACTACAGGTGGGCACCACCACGCCCAGCTAAGAAAATCATAAGGAAAAGGAAATACATTTACCATTCATTAAGTAGAAGTGGATAATCATAAAGGTGTTTATCCTCCTTGTCCTCACATTGAGTAGACTGAAGAGGAGGAGGAAGAGATGGGTTGTTCTTGCTCTCTTAGGGGTGGCAGAGGTGGAAGAGATGCAGAAGGTGGAAAGGGAGGTAGGAGAGGTAGGCAAATTTGGTGTAACTTTTATTGGAAGAAAAATCCATGTCTAAGTGGACCTCAGCAGTTCAAATTTATTTTGTCCGAGGGCCAACTGTCCTTGGCTCCATACTGTTCAGAATCTATATTTTTTCACTCCCTCCAAGTTCACTTATAGAAGACCACTGTATGGTATAGACCTTAATGTACACATGCAGCATTTGACAGCTAAAGTAACTTAGCGTGGTACAGTAAAAATAATTTAAAAATTAATATCAGGCAATATTCTCCAACTAATACTCGTCATAGTGAATTTTTTTCTAAACCCCATGTTTGTAAACCCAAGCACCAACTCTGTATAATATTCTTGGTCAATTCTTCCTCTTCTTTTCCTTTCACTAAATTCCAGACTCTAATATTCCAGAGTTTAGGACGTTTTGTCCCTATAATATTTTTACTTTCCCTACCTTATCTCAAATTATGTCCCTAAGCAATTCATACCCTCAAAACCTTTTAAAGAACTTCGTGAAGCAAAATTCATCCTGGAAAGGTCATCAACCTTATAATACCAACATACATTTTCAAACTATTATGCCATTGTCACAATCGTTGTAGTAGTTATTTTAACATTGATTTTACCACCAGAATAAATTCCAAGAGAGAAAGAAAGAGACGTAGGGGCTGTAGAGGGTTTTACCTGCTTTCACATGCGTATTATTCTTGCTGTTCAGAAACTATAGCTTTCTTAAATGGTCTTTTCTATGAAGAAACTCTTTCCTGAATCATTCTTAAAATACAGGGGCTTATGTGGCCAAAGTCTGAGGTCATTTGCCTTTCTTTTGCAATGAGAAGAATATGTCTCAGGTGGTTACTGGCCCAAGAAGGTGAGTAATATGTGGAGAAGTCATGAATCCAAGCCACAATCTAGAGCCAAGTCCAGGAGTCTAAAAAGAGCACAGTCTAGATCAGTCAAAGCACATTTGGCTCCTGCAGAGTGAGATTAATGTTTATTATTGTAAACTATGAAACTTTCAAGGATGCCTGTTACACAGTATTGTTGCAGTAGTAGCTTAGCTGACTGATACATGTAGACTGAGAGTCAAACCCAGTTCACGTCCACAGATTTGATCTTTGCTTTATCACTCCTTCTTCTTACCTCTAAGGGCACTTATTTTTGTTTTAGCATACTTAGGCACTTTTTCTCTTTCTCCTTTTAGAATAACAGTTTCTAAAGGACAGAACATTTATCACTCTTGTGCCCTCTAAATCTCTAGAATAAATCTTTGTACCTGGTTGGTGTTCAATAAAAATTTTTGGTGAATGGTAAATTTGAGTCTCAGATTCGTGATAGCCACACATGGAAATTATGTCCCGATTACTTGCTGGTAAATAAATATCACTGGTTCCAGGTGAGACCAAGTGAGATTTAGGAATGGATTGGCACAAATTCATCTCCCTAATAATGACAAAGCTTAGACAACAGAAATATGAGGTGAACCACAGTAATTTGCTTGTACCACTAATGCCTCACCATTATTTCACCCTAGTGTAGGAAGAGAGACATTTTTGGATTCATCTGAAAGACTCTGTGATTATAATAAGTGACTGCAATAATATGGATATAGTTTACGGATACTACTCTTCGCCTTCCCCCAAAAAGCCATTCTGTCTGTTGAGAAAATTAGGGAGTATTCTTGTCTCTGTTACTTAACTCTTTTTATTTCCAGGTTTTCGTCAGATAGGATTCCTTCAAATGGGCAAAAAGCCGGATATACTGGTGTGTAATATGCCACTATGCCTGTGTGGCTCTGTGACTTCTGGTGGTGTTTAACTGTGCTAACAAAAACATATTTCAAACTACAAAAATGGGAAGTAAAAATATAAAAGAACACTTTGGTACCTCATTTATCCTCAGAGCAACACAAGAATAAAATATTCAGCATATCAAGGTGAAAATGTTATAGGTCAAAGATAGGTGGGGGCGGAGTGGCTAAAAAGAAGTCAGCCCACCCAGAACACTGTGTGATGATTATTTGTCTTGAGCCTGAAAAAAACTTTGGCTGCTTTTAGTTAAATGGAAGTAAAAATAGGGAAGGCTATTTTAGACAAAGAGGCTCAAAATAGGGTTGTGATCATCTTTTGTCACATGATACCAGAGAGAACAGATGTGGAACTCTTCAGTATGTTCAAACAATCTCTGACTTGGCAAAACCAAACAACCTGGTAGGACCTCAGAACAAAGAGAGGATGACATAGTTTTAGCATTCATCCAACCATGGAATAACAGGAGATTAAAAGTGTCTTGGTTATGCCTAGGTGAAGACTTCTTAGCAAAGCCCCCCTAGTGACTTCCATTTGCAGAATAGGGTCAAGAAAATATCACTGTGGCCCTTTATGTGACTTAAAGCCCCTATGCTCTGTTCAGAGTCTTCAAGGATAGGGTTTGCTTCTAGAAATATGAGGCAGAGATTGTACACATTTCAAAGATACCCCTGGAATTGTCAAAGCATCTTGGCACAGGCTGGCTGGTCTACCTCCCTGGGGTACTACAAGATGATTCATCTCAATTATTCCACCAGAGACCAGCTTCTGACCTTCAGCCTTGCATAAGCAGAAGTTCACTCTGATTGGTGACTCTTGGGGAATATTAATCACAGAGATATTGAGCCATTCAAACCTTTCTGCAAATGTACAAATTTATATAGAAGAACTGGAGCAGTCAGGGAGATTAAATATCCATGTTTGCCTAACCAGCACATCTTAAAATCTCTGATTCATTTATGTCATTTTTTCAGCAAACATTCACTGAGTGCTTGCTATGTGCCAGGCATGCAGGAAGCCATACTAGAAGCTGGGATGTCATAGTAAACAAACAGACTGACTTGTATCCTCAGGAAGCTAATATCCTAGGAAGTTGGACAAGTCAATAAACAAATAGTTTTAGATACTGAAAACTGCTAAAAGTCATTTAAAAGACTATTATGAGAGTGAATGGGGGTGAGGATAGGGGATTGCTACCTGTGATTCTTGATGATATTCATCTGTCTGGTTTCATCTGATCCTGAGGACCAGCTCTAATCCTACTTATATTCTGATTATGTACAGAGCCTGTAAATACCCTTGTTTGCATAAGCTAGTGCCAGTTAGGTTTCTATCATTTCTAGCCAGGGCCTTAAAATGCACCTCATGATTAATAAAGTAAAATCTGAACTCTTTAGCTTGGCATTCCAGGGACCTCTCAATCTAGTCCCAGTTGACATTTGTAGCCCTAATTCCTGCTACACTGCCAAAGCACTGTCCAATCTGCCTGTACCTGGTCCTAACACAGCTTATCTTCTCCCAAGTCTTCCTTATACAGAAGAACAGAGGAAGTGGCTTGGAAACTTCTGTTGGGTCTCTCTAGGGCGCTTCCCAGTATCTAGAATTCTCGCTGCTCCAATCCCTCTGACCAATGTCCACCTGTCAAATGTCCACCTGTACCTCAAGGCCCTATTCACATTGTCCTTCCTCCAGGAACACTTTAAATTCTTCAGCTAAAATTAATCTCCCACTTCTCATCGCAGATTGAATCTCTTTCAAAGCATTTAATAAAATTTACCTTGCAATATAGTTCCCTATATTACGGGTCTAATTGTACCACTAGAATATGAGTCCCTGAAGAATGGCATCTCTGCCTTTGTATCATCCTCAGTGCTTGGTAACACAAATTAAATTCATCTCTCTAATATGGTAGTCTCCTAGAAGTTATAAAGTGTTGCATAGAGTTAGGGATACCGAAAGCAATAGCAACCATATACTGTGTGCTTACTTGGTGTCATGCATGGCGCTAAGTGCTTTAGATGTCACATGCAATCCTTATTTTGGCTAAGCTTCTCTTACAGGAAATCCTTGAAGTCTTGGTGGCTTAATACGGTAGTTGATTTCTTGCATATTCATGAATACAGTATGGGAATTTGATTGATGAATCTCTTCTCCAAAATGACTGAAAGACCAGGGTGCCTTCTACTTTCCAGTCTGTGAATCCCTGGAGCCTAAAGCCATTTGCTGCATCTTCTTTATCAAGAGGCTTGTTGTGTGAGCCTCACGTGGAGGTTCCTGTGGGCCAGGCCTAGAGGTGGTGGATATCGCTATCATCCACAGTCTGTTGGTTAAAACTCAATCACATGAACCCATTCACATGCAAAGAGATCTGGGAAACAAGATCTACTACATTCTGCTCCTTCTGCTACATTTTTCAGATTACAAGATATGGTTCTCATATCAATCTCCCACTACTGAGCAAATGCATTAATCCACCCAGGGTCTCTCTCTAAGCCTCTCATTCTTTCCCAGTGTATCTGTTGTCTCTGAGCATAGCAGAACCCATCATCCCACCTGTGGCTGGATCTATACCCTTTCTCATGAAGTCCTCTGAGGCTTGGCACATCCAGACCCACAGCACATGATTTTGTGGCTTATACTTGGAGGACCATGATGTTTAACAGCTGTGGGCCTCCTTCTCATGGTAAATAGAGGCAATGCAGTTGGGGGGCACTTGATGCAAGGTCTCATCTGGGGAAAGGATTGGGAAGTAGAGGCAGAGGAAGAAAGTGGGAGAAGGAGTCCCTCTTTCTTTCCCACCATGAAATATAGCTCAGCCAATATTGAAGAGTAAGCATGGAGAAATAAAATGGATACTGCTCAGCCCATTGCTTGTAATTACACTTCTAAGGAGAACTGGAATTAGGAATCACTGCCGACTCTTAACTTTCATATACTACCATCAGTGGATTTATTACCTTTTCTCTGAGAACATCCTTTGTGTCCTCATGTTCTATGCTGTGGAAAATTCTGAGAGGCTTTTATCAGTTAATGTCTCTGCTGACAGTCCATCTGGGGAGGTGAAGCATCCACACAAAAATGACAACAGGTGACAGGCCACAGCTGAGAGTGTTTTTGGCAGTCAGGGAAGGAACTGACTGTGTGGATTGAAGCAGCCAGCAAAGGCTTCCTGGAGGAAGGAGAGCTTGCTTTGAAACTGGAAAGATGGGATGAGATCGTAACAAGTGAAGAAGGAACAGCAGGGTGTTTCTAACCAAAATCAAAGCGTGAAGAGTCACTGGGGATGGAGGCACACAGGGGCAGCCAGGGATCAGGCAGGATGGAGATGAGACTGGCCTGACTGCAGCCGAGGCTGTAGTTGGGGGAAGCTGTGGGATGGAAGGGGTCAGATTACAAAGTGCCTTTGGAAAGCAAGGGGAGAAGATTCAATAACTGCGTGGAGGGTTACACTGCTTTATTTTCTGGTGAGGGCTTGCTCTTCCCTGACAGATTAAAAGTGAGGACCAAGGGGGCAGCTATAAAGCTCTGGCTTGTTGAGGCCTTGGTGGACCTTGAAGGGCCAGCATTTAGGAAGAGCTATTCATCTATTGCTCCTATAACCCTCATCCTTACCCTGAACACCATCACCACCACCCCCGCCACCCCCACAGACAAACATTCCTCCAATTCCCAGTCCTCAGAGCATTCATGCATGAGGTGCAATCCTAAGGCACAGGTTCTGAAAAGGGACTAAGCTTGAACATATGTCCATCCAACTGAATGAGTGCAGAACTTAATTAAATTTGAGTTAACAGAATAGTGAACTATGACACCCCTTGCCTTTTTGCAGCTCTGGTAGTGCATACTGCTACTATCAGGCACCAGGATGATGCTGAGATGCATCCCCTCTAGTATCCTTTAGATCCCTTTGCTAGTTTATATCACACTGTCTTCCAGAAGCAGGAATAGCCCTTCATAGCTGTGCAAAGGAGGCTGGGGTTGGCGGGGAGCAGGGGCAGAGCGGGCAGGCTTTGTACTCCCACACTGGCCAGCCGTGAGACGCGACTACCTCTAGGAGGCGGAGTAACCTTGGACAAGGCTAATCCTCTGGTCAAGGGCAATTCCTATGCAGCACTGCAGGTGGGGAATAAAAACTCTGGATCTGAAAGATTAGTGTAGAACAATGGGTGTAGAACAGTGGTGTAGAACAGCACCCACTGATGTTCTTTATGGCAAAAAGAGACACGTAGGTTTTTGGACCCATTTTGCCAGTTCCTCAGAAAGCCTGGAAGTGCCTGAGAATTTACATCTCCCAAGGGCAGCCCTTAACCAATGACATATAAACACCCTGGCTTCCTTCACCCCCATTCCAAGGTGTGACCCACACTGTGTCCAGAGTTCCCCTGTAGGACTGAACCACATCTCCTTCTATTGGAGGGATATTCATTTGATATCCCACCCTTACACGGTCTCCCTCTTTTCTGGGTCCCACATCCCTATTCCAATAGCTACTGGCTTTTTCTGGAAATGCTTCATAATAAATCACTCTCCCCTGAGTTCTCAACTCAGTATTGTCTGCAGGGGGAAACCAAGACAACCAACTTTGTGCCCTGTGGGTATATATATATTCGAGACTGAGTCTCACTCTGTCACCCAGGCTGGAGTGCAGTGGTGCGATTTTGGCTCACTGTAATCTCTGCCTCCCGGGTTCAAACAATTCTTGTGCCTCAGCCTCCTGAGTAGCTGGGACTATAGGCGTGCACTTTTTTTTTTTTCTTCAGTAGAGACAAGGTTTTGCCATGTTGGCTAGGCTGGTCTCGAACTCTTGGCCTCTCAGAGTGCTAGGATTATAGGTGTGAGCCACCGTGCCCAGCCATCCTTAGGGTATATTATTAAACTTCTATAAGTCTCTGTTTCTTTATCTGCGAAATAAGCATAACAATCACAATTAATTTGTAGAGTGGTGAAAACTATGAGAAAGTGCCTTGTACAAAGTAGGTGCTGAATAAAGAAAGCTATTCTTGGTGGTGGAGTAACACATGTTGTTGGAGAGAACAGCACCTCCAGATGGCGCATAATCCTGGCTGACAAGGGACAGGCTTGCACTCCTAGAGTTGGACGTGAAACTCTTCCTACTTCCACAGCCTCGCTTCTGCTTCTGCATGTTCAGCTTCAGTCACAAGCGTTGGCCACAAATAGGTTGCCAGCAAGCGGCTCTACGACACTGCCTACATTTTTTTTCTTTTTAAGTGTAAAAGGAGGAAATCCCTAAAGGAAAGATTCTGAGTGTTCTTTTGAGTTTCTGTATATTGAGTATCCCAATTAGCTTCTCCTTAAAGAGCACCTCTTGAACTAATTAAATTAACTTGAGATGAAACTTTGACTCGCTTTCACATGCCGCTCAAGTGGAAGTGCCTGATATTCAAGAATGTAAATTTCACAGAAAATTTTTAACCATGTTCTTCACTGGGAATCTTGGTGGGGGAAAGAAGAAGTGGGTCCCCCTGGGGTTGCCTCTCTCCTGGATCAAGCTCTCCTGTCTCCTCACTGTTGAGGGGCCCATTGCTCTACCCACATGGCAGAGTGGTGACAAGGAACCTCTTGGGGTTCAGGCTCTGCAGCACTACACTGGGCTGTGGTCCTGACTCAGCTGCCTAGACTTGAACTTGCCAAGGTGGCTCTGCTCCATTGGTTGTGGATGCCTGAAGAAGTATTTTAAGAATTCTGAGTTCCTTTTTGGCCTCAGTGAAAAAGAATGCAGAGATGGTTATGTGAACCCCGAATACCTGAGGCAGGTCTCAGTCAATTTAGGAAGTTTATTTTGCCAGAGTTAAGGATGCATGCCGGTAACACAGCCTCAGAAGGCCCCTGATGACACGTGCCCAAGGTGGTCCTAGCACAACTTGGTTTTATACATTTTAGGGAGACACGAGATATCAGTCAATATATGTAAGATGAACATTAGTTGTTCGGGAAAGGTGGGACATCTTGAAGCAAAGGCAGGACAACTCAAAGTGAGGAGGGGGCTTCCAGGTCATAAGATAGATAAGAGACAGATGGTTGCATTCTTTTGAGTTTCTGTTTAGCTTTTCTGAAGGAGGCAATCAGATACGCATTTATCTCAGTGAGCAGAAGGGATGACTTTGAATAGAATGGGAGGCAGGTTTGCCCTAAGCAGTTCCCAGCTTGACTTTTCCCTTTAGCTTAGTGATTTTGGGGCCCCAAGATTTATTTTCCTTTCACAGTTAGCAATGTCTGTCATGGATATTGGATAGGAGATCGGGCTGTGTGTTTGCCAGCCTGACTTAGAGTTCCATGTTTCTGCAGAGATTCCACAGATATGTCAGATTTTCCATGGGTACAATTTTCTTACCACTGTTATATATTACTATATTATATACTGATATTAGATTATATATATGTAAGTTGATGTATATATATAATTATATATAATGTATATTATATTTCATATATGTAATTTATAATATATTAATGCATATGATGTATATATGCATAATAGAATCACATAAAAGGAGGAATATGAGTAATGCCATTAATCAGTATTCCTTTAACTTCTTCCAAGTCCCCATTCTCGAGACTAATTCAATTATCAGCTAAAATTACCTTTACTTTCAAACCAGATTACCTTTAACAAATTATTCCATTTTTTCTGTGACTTGGTTTCCGCATCCATTAAGTGGAGGTAATGAAAGGATCCACTGCCTAGGGATCCAAATGAGAACCAAATGAGTTATGAATGAATGACACTTAGAAAAGTGCCTGGTATAGAACTAGATTGAGATATATTAGCTGTTATAATATTAAAATTGTATTATTGTTTATCAAACACCCACTGTTTGCCATCAGCTAATGTCTGCAGAGGCTGTTCTTAGATCTCTAAGGTTATCGACTTATCTTCTTTTTCAATCAGGAGCAGGAAAAATAATTTTAATTTTTATATCAGCACTGCTGATTTCCTTCTGAAGTTTCCAGGCCATGGAAACCCCAGGGAGGAGGATTCTTCCTCAATAACAGTGAGACCAAGAGAACTAACACAGACGTAGTCTAAGTATTTTGGCATAAGGCCTGGAAGATGAATTTAAGAGCTTAATTTCTTTTTCACTCTTTACCAGCATGTGAAAACTAAATTTAAAGATATGTTTTAATAGCTAAATATATATATATTTATATAAATATATAGCTATTGAAAACATAAGATATATTAGCTATAAAATTATTTTTATATATTTTAGCTATTAAAATATATATAAGCACATATTTTTAGCTATTAAAATATATTTAAAATATATCTTTAAATTTAGTTTTCATGTTTTTAGATATAGGGATCATTGTTGATATAACTTCATTTTTGCAAAACAGTATGGAGTTATAAAAAGAGCAAGAGTTTTGGCGTCATACAGAATTGTATTTGAATCCGGGACCTGCCATGTGATGTCTGTGAAACTGAGAGCTAAGTTACTTTACCATATGCCAAGCCTCTGTTTCCTCAGTTGTAGAACTGAATACTAACTGACTCCTGCCAATCACAGGTCTCTGCACAGTGGTGTTACGAATCTTACTGTTTGGGGGAGGGTTGTGCTTTACAATTATATTTCTGAGGTTTTGCAAATTTCTGAAATGCCTTCTGAATCCTTATAAAAGAAATAAAGTTGTATCTAGCTGATCTCAAATATAACATTCTACTTAAAGCCTTTGAGCACTGAAAAACCTGTGTAGGCACATAAAATGATTTTGTTCAGATTACAGGATCATTCCCAACCCACGACAGGCCTCCATTGCCTGTGCTCATTGATTGCTGGAAAACAGAATCCCTTTCCCCACAGAAGCACCATTAGGTGTGAATTAGTTGCCCAGAATAGCCCATGAATGCCCATTCAACACATAAGCCCCCTGGAAAATAGAATGTAAGACTGTATATAAACTACACTAGGTTTATATAATTCTCAGTGTACTTGGGTTTCCTTCTAGCTGTCACTTACTAACTTTGGGATCTTATCTATGCCTCAGTTTGTTCATCTGTCAAATAAAAATGAAAATGCCTCCTTCATGGGGTTATTAGGGAAGATAAAGCCATGTCTGGCCCACAGTAACTGCTCAAGCAATTGCAATTGTGCCTACTCTTCAATTATTCTTGTTATTCTTATTTGAGCCAAAAACATCCACATTTTTATGGAAAACGTATAAGGAGAATTTCAACCTTTGATTTCAGGAATGCTTCTCCCTTCCCTGGGCTGCTCTGACACCAGTATTTCCCCAGATCTTGTCTCTGCTGGTGGCTCCCACAATCTGGGGGAAATGCCCCAGGAGTACTGAGTTTGGGAGAGGAGTAAAAGGAAAGTCTGAGGACTTCAGGATGTGGAAGTCATAGATGGCTTAGCCAGGTAGCAAGTTGCATTGGGTTGAATCTCAGCACCTGGAAACTCCCCATCACTGCCTTTCTCCTTCACTACCCCAGAAGTGGAGACTGGTTGTACTTCTCCCTGCTCCTCCATGGGGATTTTTCTCTTCCGGTAATCTCAGGGTTCCCCTCTACTCTCCTGCTAGTCATGCAAGCACTGGTATCTTTCAAGATTTCTTTATTTTAATTAATAAATTAATTATTCTAGAGATAGGGTCTCACTCTGTCACCCAGGCTGGAGTGCAGTGGTGCGATCATGGCTCACTGTAGCCTAAAACTCCTGGGCTCAAGCGATCCTCCAGCCTCAGCCTCCTGTCTAGTTTTCTTTAAATGGTTTGACTTCATATTAAAATTTTTAAAATTTTATTTTTAAGTTTACAAATGACACTGTTTCCTGTGCACAGTTTTATGAGTTTGGACAAATGCGAAGAATTGTGTAAGCACCACCAAAATCAAGATGCAGAACATTCTTCCCCAGAGGTCCTCCACATTACCCTTTTGCAATCCTCTTAGTGTTTTATGCTCCCGATGAGAAAACGACAACAACAACAACAAAAAAGCCACACAAACAAAAAAAAACCTCTCAGGTAGAGGGTAATTAATTTTCTTTGGCTACTAACTTTTTACTCTCCCCCCACCGCACCCCCCCCAGAAAAAGCCTTTTGAGAAAGACGGAGTCCCTTAGGAGATGCCAGTGGACCACAGCAGAATGTAATGTATGTGTCCATCACTTTCTAGGTTCTCCAAGATCTCTCGGGGAACCAGAGCTGAGATAGGTGCTCCAAGGCAATGGGCCTCTAAAGGCAAGGGGCCAAGATGGATCACAGAGACCACTGGGGCTCAGCTTAAGGGAGCCAGTGGTACCAAAAACAAAACCTCAGCATTTTTCTTCTGGAATGTCACATACAAGCCTGTTATGAAAAACCCTGGACTGTGACGGAATGAGCAGAAAAGTGAAGACTGGCTCAGAGCAGAGAGAACAGGAATAAAAGAGGGAGAGGAAATAGGAGAGGGAGGGCAAGATGAGCTGGATGAACTGGAAGGCAGAGTTTCAAGGTTGTTTTATGAAAGGGCTTCCATCAGGACCCTGTCTTCTTTGCGCGTGTTAGAAGATGTAGCCCTCTTCTCCTCCTGCAGCCCTGCACCCATGCTGGGGTGAGGGGAGGATGACAGGGGTCTATGTCCCTGACCTCCTCAGCAGGAAATCCCTGAGCAGGGCCCAGCCTTGCACACCCTTTCAGCGAGACTCTGATTTACAGGAATCAGAAGTAAGGGTTCAATTAATCATTCCTCAATTACCCGGCATTGCAGAACTTTTGCTGGATAAAAAATTATTTGTGGAAAATGCATCAGCTTCAGCTATCAAACTTTTTGGCAGAAATATTAAAAATGCAGACAAAATTTTCCATTAGGACACTAGCTGTCCATATTTCTCGATGAGATCTTATTATCGAACCAGAGGTAAATGCTTGTACTTCAGTCGCTAGCAGCAATTCTCTGCCTTTGTGTTTCAAATTTCACTAAAAAATCTCAAATGTCAAAATGTATGTCACTCTCTAAATAAAATTTTATACCAGAAAATGGGAGGCATGCTGCCGCTGAATCATTTGATGGCATGTCTGACAGGAATACTGATGCCTTGAATGAGCAGGCTGATGAAGACTGAGAGGGGAAGTGGGAATATTTTGCCAGGCATGAGATTTGAGATTTGTGTCTGGCAGTGTTGAATTTCCTCACTTGCTCTCGTACCACCTGCGACAAAATCACACTCTGGATCAGAGTTCCTGTGTGTATGTCATCTTTGTCATCTTTGTCCTGGTGCAGCATCCTGTCAGCTGGGAATATGGGCCAGTATTTTATTATCTAGCAGCCTTGAGAGGGGTTTCAAAAATGATAATTTTACTTTTTTTGTGTGTATGGAGCTTCATGACCGCTAAAATTTGGGGACATATAAAAGCCACTTAATACACAAATCCATCGAGTTGATGAATTAAATATGCATAGCTATGACATAGAGCAAACGTTTTTCTTTTAATAAGAGTTCCATGGCAATGCTGATTCTTTACTGTTGTTGGCAGGGCAGGTAATACACCTTAGTGGAAAGAGACCAGACTTTGGATCTGGGTTCGAATCCATTTCTTCTCTGCCCGTTACTCTTTGTGCAGCCTTAGGAAAAACCTTAGGAAAAGAAAACCTTATGAGTCTCAGCTTTGTCTTTTGTAAAATAATTGTAAAAGTATCTATTTCATAAGAAGAAGGATTCAAGATAACATATACAAATGTACTCAGCATGGCACCTGGAATATCGCAAGTGTTCAATGAATTCTACTCCTTTTCCTTTAATTGTTTGAAATTTTTAGGCAATGAACTGCTATACATCAGTAAATATTAAGGGAGATGACTATATAAGATATTATAAAGTAGACATAGCAGAAATGGGTAAAACCAACTGTGATAATCATATTTAGCTGTTCACTGGATACTTTGGAGTCTATTCTTTATCGATACAGGGTAGGATTATATTTTGCCATATCATTTTAAGTTAGATGTGGCCATGTGGCTTAATTTGACCAATGAAGCTTGACATGTCATATGAGGGAAGGTTGAAGAAGCAATATGTAATTTGCCGTGTCCTCGTCCCACTGGCTTAGCCATTGTGGTACCACATAGCTAGAGCAGAGGCAGCGAGCACAGCCTACCTGAAGACCAGCAATGGACAGGTATCATGAATGAATACAAAACTTCTGATGTAAACCCTCTGATATTTGGGGGTTGTTTGTTATCACAGCATAACCCAGCTTATCCTGACTGATATAACAAGGAACTATTTGGTTAGATTCACTGGTTTTTATCCTGCTCCCCTCATCTCCCCCCAGTAACAAGAACATTATACAAAAGTGTTAGAAGAGTAATTGTGCTAGATTTCACCATTGCAATAATTTAGAAAATTTGGGGAACTATTATATTTTTATTATGGCTTAATTAAAGACTGTGGCTATTTTGGAAAAGTTTCTATCTCACCAGTGATCATGTCAAGGATGGAAATTTTCATTAATCCCATTCATTGCTACAGACCTACAGAGTCCAATATGGCAGCCACTAGTCTTGTATGGCTATTATGCTTAAATAAAATCAAATGTGGCTAGTGTGAGTATTCCTTACTCACACTAGCCACATTTCTTGTGCTCAATAGTCTCATGTAGATAGCACAAATATAGAACATTTGAATCCTTGTAGAATATCTATTGGGCATTCCAGATAGGGACAACAAAAATTCTCTCAATGTATGTAAAGTTCTACACAATTGAAGCATCCCTTCTAAACAGATGGTCACCTCTTAAGCCCTCTTTCACAGAAATTGATTGGCTACTGAACCTTATTCTCTAGTTGAACACCCTTAAAATGCAAAGGAAGAGAAGATTGACTCAGGCTTCCCAGAGAACACGCACTCAATACAGCCATTGCCAAGTGCTAGTATAATAACGAGTATTACTGGTGATGTTCGAGATTAGGGAACTGATATGCATTGTCTCTTTACAAAGCAGAGTTTCCCCATGGAAACAGAGAGGCAATTTGGGCTGCAGTGAAACAAAGGTGAGGCTGGATGATTCTCATTTAACAAATGGCCTTTCCTATCAGGCAAGTGTTGTTCTCTCTTTATGGAAAAATTTACAAGGCCTGTGGATTGAATAATCCTCTCCCCAGACAAAATTAATTAGGCTAAAGACCTCTCTCAGTTAACATTAAACTTAGGAGTCAATACGGGTATGTTAGTTAGGATATACTACGTCACCCTGCTATAACAGCTTCAAGGATTCAGTGCCTAAGACAGTACAAATTTATTTCATATTCATGCAAGTCCTCTGGCTGTTCAAATGACTGTTCAGAGCAGTTGTTCTCCATTTTCCACAATCCAGAATGCCTTCCATTTCATCTTGAAGCCTTCTTGCTAATCACTGCCGCAAGAAAGGAGTGCTGGAATGTCCCACACCATCAGATCTGTGCTCTAGCATGAAAGTGACACATGCCACTTCTCCTCATAGCCTACTGGCTGGCATTAGACACATGGCCTTCCCCATATGAAGGGCACAATCCTCCATGCACCCCAAGGGAAAGGATGACTGGACATGGGTGAATATTAGAAGCCTTTATCACAGAGCAGGAACTGCATTTCCTAACCAAATACATTAAATGTGCAGGTCTGATGGCTGATGTTTTTCAGAACAATTTTGGAACGTTTGTAATGAAATCAGGTTTCCATAATTCCAAAATATTCTGCCAGCTCATGAGATAAGTAAGAGTTGAATGCTATGCTTTCATGAGCCTGAGTTTTCATTTCTGGACCAAACTCTCACCCATATTCTTTGAGGCAGAAAAAGAAAAAAGTGCCATAGCCTGTGACTTTAACCAAGTTACTTACCTTTTCTCTGAAGACATAAAATGAGATGGCCAGATTAGATTATTCTTTGTCCCTTTCCAACACTGTTTTGGTTTCTATAGATTTTCTTTTTCTTTTTCCTTTTTTTTTTTTTTGAGATGGAGTCTCACTCTCTTTCCCAGGCTGGAGTGCAGTGGCACGACCTTGGCTAACTGCAACCTCTGCCTCTGGGGTTCAAGCAATTCTCCTGCCTCAGCTTCCTGAGTAGCTGGGATTACAGCGCACCACCATGCCCTGCTAATTTTTGTATTTTTAGTAGAGACGGGGTTTCACCATGTTGGCCAGGCTGGTCTTGAACTCCTGACCTCAGGTAATCTGCCCGCCTTGGCCTCCCAAAGTGCTGGGATTACAGGCATGAGCCACTGTGCCTGGCCTTTTATTTTTATTGTTAACTCTTCTTTCTTCAAGATCAAAATTGATATTAGCCATCTTTTTTTTTAAAGTCAGGTCTATTAAGGTATAGTATACATATTATAAAATTTTCTCTTTTGAGGTGTATAGTTCCAAACATTTTTACAAAGATATACAGTTGTGTAATCACAATTATAATGTAGAATAGATCTCGCAAATCATTTCTTGTACCTCACTGTGGTCAGTCTCCTTTTCTCATTCTGGTTTCTGACAACACTGATTTTTATTTCTACCCTTATAGTTTTGCCTTTTCTATTTTGTCAAACAAATGGAACCACAGAGTACGTAGTCTTTTGGGTCTGGCTTTTGTCACTTAGCGATTATCCTTGAGATTAATCTCTGTTGTTGCATGCACCGGTAATTTTTGTTGTTGAGTACTACTTCATTGTACCACAGTTCGTTTACCCATGTACCACTGATAGACATTTGAGCTGTTTCCAGTTTGGCAGCATAAATGTTTTTAAGAGGAGAATTGAAATATCCTATTGTTTGGAGGATGGTTGGGTTAGGAAAAGGACAATAAGTTGGGGCAGTGGCTGTGGATTGAGGAGATGCATATTAGGAAAACTGAAGCTCTTCTCTATCTTAGGTATGTGAAGATTTCTATGTAAAGAAAATTTGAGGCTTACATGACCACTGAAAATGGGGGGACAGGGGACAGAAATCATGACGGAGACCTTGTGATCTCAAGCTTGCAGCTCTGATCCAAGTGGCTCTCAAGAGTTCACCTGGAAGCTTCTGTGGATTCCTTGAGTCTCTGGGAATCTCCTACAGGTATCTCTACCTATAGAAGTGGTTCTCAATATGTGGCTGCATCAGTATCATCTGCTAACTTGTTAGAAATTCATTTTCTCAGACTCCACCTTAGACAACCCAAATCATACCCTGGTCATAGAGCCGGCCAATCTGTATTTTAACAAGTCTTTGGGGGGTATATTGATGCACACTAGCTAGAGAACCACAGGGCTATAGCATAAGTACAGGGGATCTCCAGTACACCCATCCAAGAGCTACTTCAACGTTTGTGTTTACCTATGAATCTGCATGCAAATCTCACACAAGCGCCTTTCATTGACAAAGTCTAATCAGGAAACTTATGGGGAAAGGGATTATGGGGAAGTGTAGTTTTCAGCTTCTCTTCTGAAATTCAGAGGATGCTCAGGAAGTGTTGAAGCGATGGTAAGTTGATAAGGAATGACCTAGTACAATATGGGAAAGTCGACAGGATTTTTGAATAACAGATGTTGGAGATGAATAACAGCGAGGCGTTTGCAGCTGCTTACAGCTCTAAAACCAGTTAATCACCTTGTTTCTTCCTTTTGCCTAGTTAGGTAGTGCCTCAATGAATTTTATCTAAATGTTCCTGGTTCATCAATAGTAGATTTAGTGGCTACTCTTGTTCTATTTCCAATTTCTGAAGCAATTATGCCATCTTCTTTTCCCAAGCATAGACGAGGTTGCTATTTCCAACTAAGATGGTTTCTTCCTCATATGTGTAAAATTCAGTCATGATATATCTATAGTTTTTCTGCTTGATATTTTAAGCCAAAGAGAAAAGTAAATAATATTTAAGGAACTTGTAAACTAAGTGTGTAGCTATTTTAAACAATTCATGGTTTTATTTAATGAGCTTCAGTACCATAGGATGAGAGTTGTTCCCAAAGGGCCTCAATCAACCAGACTATTGAACAGAAATGCAGAATGTAAATTGGTTCTTAACTAAAATCATACTGCTATTACTTTTTATGGAACCCATAATTTCTGGTAGAGAGCAGGCATATAGAAAACCATTATTACGAAAATGCCTTCCAGGATTCGACCAACTGCATTTGGATAGCAAATGGATACTTTGAGGGTTGATTTGTATGCTACTACTAGTTGGGTAGGGCTAAATATATGCCACATGGTTCTTAATAATGTAGCTTTTCATGGCTTTGAAGGTTCCACACACCATATTTTAGATCCATTATGCTCATATTTATTTATTTATAATTTTAAAGACAGAGGGAAAATTGGTTTTCTTGCATTTACATACTTAGGGTAGATCTTGTCTTTGAGAAAGATGGGGTGAGATGTTTGTGGAAACAGACATGAGAAAAAGGAAGACAAATTATATGGTATTTCTCTCCTGGTAACTGAAAATAAACAATTATTTGAGGCTAAGTTTATTGCTCCCTTTGTACTTCTCCAGAGTTGCTGTGGAATTTGGAAGTCAAAGTGGAATTGATTGCTGGATCAATGCTTGTACAACTGATTTCAAATATTACTTGTATGCTGATGATTCCAAAAATGCAGAGCTTCAGATGCAAATTGCCACCTGCCTGCTGGACCTTTTCACTTGAAGGTCTCAGCCTCAGGATGTGTCAGGGTAAACTAGGTAGACTGTTTTGTACTACCAGAGAGGCATTAGTTTTACCTTCCAGAAATAGTCAACCTTTCTTGAGGACAATATTATGTCTTAATGATTATTCTCTCACAAGTCTTCGAGCACCGTACACTCTTAACAAATTCTAATTGATAGAAAAATAGTGGTGGCGACTGCAAGTGGCTACTCAGCATGAAAGGGAGGAGCTGATGAAGACATTCAGTCTGCAGCCTCTTGGCCACTCCAGGGCTTAACTGAGAAAGTAGAAGGCAGTGTGGTACATTGAAGACTACATAACCGCTCTACGTATTCGCAGTTATGTGTTCAAATTCTGATCCTGCCAATTGGAAACTTTTAACGACTTACTCTCAGCTGTGAAATGAGGCTGATAACGTCCACTTTACCAAGTTTTTGAGAGACTTGAAGTTGGTTAAGTATAGAATGTGCCCAAAACGATACCTGGTACTTAGTAGATGCTAGCTAAATGATCCATATGCTCATTCTAGTTCAAATTTGTATGCTCCCTTATGCTTTGTAAGGGGTTCTCATGCTTTATCACACTTGGTCCTCACAACCACTTCAGGGAGTGAGGGGTGACTATAGTCTCCATTTTGAAAATAAGAAAAATGAGGCCAGAGGTCCTCAGCTGGTAGCTGGGGAGCTAGAACTAAGAATTGCTTTTTTTCTGACACCAAATCATTCTTCCATGTCAGCCATTTGCAAAAGCATCCCAATTCTACATCCAAGGCAGAATCAGTTTGTTTCCCACCCCCTCTACTTCTAAAGCTCCTTAAGTACACTCTGTATATGCTGCATCCTAATGCTGAACACATTTCTTTATAGTTATAAATGGGTTTAATTTTCTCAAATATGATGAGTTATTTAAAGCAGACCTATGACTATCTCAGTGCGCACAGTGTTTGACATGTAGTAGGTACTCAATACAGGTTTGTTGAATTGATGAAGGCAAGAATCGGAATGTAGCAGAGTCAAAAGTTTTCTTAATTAAAGAAAAACGGAACTGAAAGCACTGTTTAGCATATTTTCCTAAAGCCAGCATGAGCACTAACAAGACAGGAAGCATCCATCTGCAAGTAATATGCACAACCTGCCCCACTGAGAATGTTAATTATGTTTTTAAAGGGAGACAGGGAGCCCTGGTGGTTTTTTTTTTTTTTGGCACAAAACAGTAGAGAAAGTGATGGCCCACAGAAGGAATGCTAAATAGTTTCTCCAACTTGTGTTGCCAGCTCCCTGTGCAGTTCTAGGAAGGGGGAGGATTCCTGAAAGGCAGCTCTCATGAAAATTTATCTGGGAGGGATATTTGATACCTGTTGCTCAGATCATGATTCACCCTCCTTGCCCAGGCATTTCTTCAACACTTCTTATGGCCTTCTCCACGTTCTCTCCCTGTCTGAATCCTTAATATCTTCGGAACTTTGCTCTGTACACAGCTCCTCTCTACTCTCATATATTCTTTGTGGGAAATGGAAATAATTCCATGTATTTACAAGGTCAGTTTTAAGATGCATTGTTAACATTTTATTTTTTAATTTTTATTTGTTTTTTTTTTTTGGAGACATAGTCTCACTCTGTTTCCCCGGCTGGAGTGCAGTGGGGTGATCTTGGCTCACTGCAACCACTGCCTTTCGAGTTCAAGCAATTCTCATCATGCCTCAGCCTCCCAAATAGCTGGGACTGCAGGCATGTGCCACCATGCCAGGTTAATTTTTGTACTTTTAGTAGAGACAGGGTTTCACCATGTTGGCTGGACTGGTCTTGAACTCCTGGCCTCAAGCAATCCACCCACCCCGGTCTCACAAAGTGTTGGTATTACAGGTGTGAGCCACCATGCCCTGCCTAACATTTTAATGTGCCTATTTTTGGACCCAGTAACCCCGCTTTTGGGTTGTCTACCTTACAGAAATTCTATCTGTCTATCTGTCTATCTATCTATCTATCTATCTATCTATCTATCTATCTATCAATCAATCATCTATCTATCTATCATAGGCTTATGTGCAATAATAAATCTAAAAATATCTTCAAGTTTCATCAATAAAAGACTGTTTACATAAATCTGGGTATAGCCATTTTATAGAACTGTTAAAATGAATAAGGTAGATCTCTATGCAATGATATAGCTGTATAATGTTGAAAAGGAAAGTTCCAGAATAATGTATATTGTAAGACCCTCATTTTATGTATAGAAAAATACAGAAGGATATTTAACAAATATTTATTCAGTGTATGCTACATGCCAGGCAGTGAACAGGAAAAAAAATCTGCTTTTGTGGAAGTTCACTTTTCATGCAGAGAAATGGGAACAATAAACATAATAAATAGGAGAGCTACCTAATATAATAAAAGATAACATAAGCAGTAAGAAAAAATAATAGAGTGGACATTGATAACCGCTGAGGCTTAGTGTGATTGGTCCTGAAGGAAGGGATGGGGGATTCATTTTCTACTTTATTTACTTCTTTATTGCTCAAAAGAGTATGTATTATTCTCATTACTATTTAAGAAGTTACAGGGTTTCCCCACTCTCTCCTGTATCTTCAACTTCGCTCATTCAATTAGATCTTTCCCTTCCTTTCACTTTTAAAAACTCAGGAGTTTCTTTTCCACTTAAAAACAAAAACAAAAGAAAGCAAAATCCTCCCTTATTTTGAAGTTCCCAGTGTTTACAAGGCCTCATTATTGGCTTTTTTTCTGATGTCTTCCTAATTTGGATCTCCATTTGAAGCTTTCTTTGTAGTTTAGACACCACGTGACTGTCCCTTTGGGATATCAAAGTGAGCATATTTAAAACTGAATCTGTTATGTCCCTTTTAAGCTATACCTTCTATGTTTTGTTCCATAATTGGGCACTACCATATAACCATCAATTAAGATTGAAAGCTGGGAGTCACCTGTTGTGGAAATTTATCCTATTCCTGTCTATAGCACTAGCACAAGGCACAATGTCTGGCACCTAGTGGGGTACTCAACACACGTTTGAAAGTAGGAAAGAAAGATTAATTGTGGCTTCATGAGTTTACCACAGTGTGTCATTTTCCTGCTGGGCAGAAAGAAGTTTGGAATTTCTCAGCTACTTTGAAACTATGTAGGTTCATATAACTAATCCCAGATAGTGGAGTGTAGATAGTAGTGAAGTGCTCCACTTTTGAGCCTAGCCATAAAATATCCCAAGGATTCCATGTGATCCTTCATATGCTCTCGTACTTTTCCTATCTGCATCGCTGAAAGTAATGGACACCAAAGCTAGGAGGAGAACGGCACAAACATGAAAGGAACTGGATCCCTTCACCATCATTTCTTGAAAGAAAGCCATGCAAAAAAGCCACTTGTCCAGGAGCATCCACATTAAACTTTCCATAATCAAGGTATAAACCCGTATTGAATTAATCTACTAAGGTTATGAGGTTGTTTGTTGCAGCAGGTAGCATTAATTACTCTAATACAGGCTTCCTGTGGACTTAACATTACATAATTGTGCAATTTAACGAGAATATGCATTCTTAGACATGAGTACAGTAACTAATTAGCATTGTATTTGACAATTTGTAGCACGGTTTTACAGAGATGCTTCCCAACACTGTATCTTTACAATACCTCTTCCATTTTTTTTCAAATGTCCTTGTGCTCTTCTATGCTCTGAACTCTAGGTTTATCCACCTATGATATACACTGTACATGCAATAACTGATTCATTCTTTTGGCTAGAGTAAGGTTTACATTAACCTTCTTATGTGCGATGGTTTCCACTATTCCTGAGCTGCCTGCTGATCTTTAATTTTTGTTTCTCAACTATTTCCTCAAAACTTTTTCAGCTACCCTACATTTTATATCCATTGTGATAAATATTAGATATTGGTAAGTTCAATGCTCCTTTTGTACACCTGTTGTCATCCATTATGGATCAAAACTGTTCACCAGATACAAAATAGATAGGAGGTGAGGCCACAGTAGAGGACACAGCATGCATTGCAAACCTACCTACTTGAAGACAGCATGGACCGTGCTCACTGGTTGAGAGGGGATGACAAGTCTGGCCCCTGAGCTTTCCACGGGCTGAGAATGTTTATAGCTGTGCTGAAAGCATCAGGAAATACATACACATGATAGTACTTATCAACAGTGTACTATCATAAAATGTTGCCTACATAACCAATATTTAGAAAAATATTTCAGAGGCAAACAGCTATAAGTCAAACTGGTACTGGCGGGATATTGGTGGGGGATATAGGTGTATCAGCCTGCGTTGCTCTACAGTTATAGCGAAAAGATAGCCAAACTTGGCTATGAATTATATTGTAGCAGTTTATATCTGGTTGTGAATGGACTTGGAATAGGTCCTCAGTCTGAAGAACAATTGGCACCTGAAACAAGGATGCCTATAGAGGTAAAGGTTGCCTGATTTGTAGACTGTTGGTCAAGTCTTGAAGAGTTTTATCTATGGGTAGCCTTGCAACTCCCATAGGAGTTTGAATGTAAAGTGGGGATTCTTACAAAAGTGAAATTGTATGGGATTTGTAAAAAATCTCTTAGGTAAATTCCATGGCTTTACTGACTGGGTCTTTTAGTCTTCTAAAATATGTCTTCCTCTGGTGGTTATAAGATAGCAATTAGAAGACATACAGTTTGAGTTGTACTGGGGTTATGAATGAATTCCATTGATCATGGTTATTAGCAGACAGAAAGGAGATTCTTGAACCTGACACCTTGCTGGATTGAACTGTTGTCTCATGCTGTGTGCAGAAGCATGAAGCTGTCTAGGGCCACAAGTACTCCCCGTCTCCTGGCTTACCATTTTATTCTTACAAATTGCTGGCATCTCTTTACATTTGACCCCAAACCATACATGATGACTCCTTACATCCTTAATTTATTGTTTTATTCACTCATTATTCTCTCTCAATTTTAAGCTTTCTTAGATCAGTGGGGCACTGGGAAAATACAGTTTTCATATAATGTACCTACAACCATACACAACAATATCCTTTGAGAGAAAAGGCCATCTGTTTGAGTGATTTTTATTGTCTTCTCTTTGCTTAAATGTTCCAACAAATGACACTGGAACAAATTGACATCCACATGAAAATAAGAAGAAGGAAATCTGACAAAAACCTTGTACTTTTTGCAAAAATTAACTCAAATGGATTGTAGACATAAGTGTAAAATAAAAACTATAAAACTCATAGAAGCCAGCATAGGAGAAAATATAGGTGACATTGGGCTTGACAATGACTTTAGATACAACATCAAAAGCATAATCCATGAAAGAAAAACATTGAGAAGTTGAACTTAATTACAGGTGGAAACTTCTGTTCTGTAAAAGACAATGTTAAGAGAATGAAAAGATAAGTCACAGACGGAGAGAAAATACTTACAAAACACATGTTTGATAAAGTACTGATATCCAAAATATACAAAGAATTTTTAAAACTCAACAATTATAAAACAACCTAGTTAAAATTGGCAAAAGATATAAACAGACACCACACTGAAAATATATACAGATATCAAATAAGAATATGAAAAGATCCTCAACATCATATGTCATTAGGGAATTAATTACAAATTTGACATCAAATGTACCAACATCCACATAATGGTATTCCCAGAAAAAAGACAGACAAAGTGTGTAGAAAATGTTTGAGGAAATAATAGTCTAAAATTTCACAAATTTTATTCTAAAAAGCCCATTTATCTACACATCTAAGAAGCTTAATAAATTCTAAATAGGATAAATTCAAAGATATGAACCCTGAGACACATTATAATCAAACTTTCAAAAGCCAAAGATAATCTACACAGCTGCAATACAGAATTGACTTATAATATATGAGGGATTGAAAACAGAATAAATAATCAATTTCTCAGCAGGAACCATGAAGGCTGGAAGGCAGTGGGATGACATATTTAAATTGTTGAAAGAAAAAAAAAAACCTTTCAACCACAAATTTTATACCTGGAAATATTAACTTTCAAGGACGAAGTAAAAATGAAGACATTCCCAGATAAAGAAGTTCTTTACTATTAGGCATGCTTACAAGCAATGCTAAAGGAAGTTCTTCAGGCTTAAATGAATAGACACTAGTCACTACTCATTTGAAGCCATATGACGAAATAAAGAACACTGGTAAAAGTAACTACGTAGGCAAATAAACTATCCAGTATTATTGTAATTTGGTTTTTCAACCAAAATTAATGCTGTTGATGTAGAAATAATTTGATAAAGGTTTATTGGAAACCAGATTTGGGGGTCTACCTGGGAAGACATACCAACAAAGTTGGGGACGTTCCAAAGTCTGCTACAAGTTGGAAGGCTTTTATGGGAACATTTAGAAGAAAGGAAGAGGAGTCCTCATACTGGAGTTGTCCTTTTCATTGGAGGGTGAACTAAAAAGTTTAAATCATTGGATACAGATGACAACATATAGGCTAAAATGTCTACATGCAAGATAATCCGTACAACTTCATGATACAGAAACAAATCAGTGTCTTTTTCAGTGTCAGCAGGCTATTCGTGAGGAACTCACAATAAGATTTAAGGGACTCATGATAAGATTCTTTATTCAGGGACAGGATGTAAGCCATGATTCAAGCCTACCAAATGTGACCTATAGGTTATCAGGTTTGTAAGTCCTCTTTTATTCTATATGATTTAAAAGAGAAATCTATAAAACAGTAATTATAAATCTATCTGATTGTGTATGTAATATATAAATACTTAATTTGTGACAATAACAGTATAAAGACGGAGGGACAGAGATGTATAGGGGCAGAGTTTTTGTATACGATTGAACCTTCATTGGTATTAATTCAAAGTAGTTGTTCAATTTTAAGGTGTTAATTGCAATACTCAAGGTAACCACTAAGAAAAGAACTTAACAATACAGAAAAAAAAAATGAGAAGGGAATCAAAATGGTACACTACCAAAAAATCTATTAAATTTTAAAAAAGGAAGTAATGGAGTAATTGAGGAACAAAAAGTGTATGACATACTGAGGACAAATAGTAAAATGGCAGAAATGCTTTTTTTAAATCAGTAATTACTTTAAATGTAAGTGGATTATTTTTTCCAATTAAAAGGAAGAGACTGGCAGAATAGATTAAAAATAAAAACATGATTTATCTGTATGCTGTCTACATGAGAATCACTTTAGATCCAAAGACAAAAAAAGACTAAATGTAAAGAATGTAAAGATATATTTTGTGTAAGTAGCTCATACAATGCCACATTATTCAGATACAAAAAGAAGTACTGACACATGCTACATCATGGATAAACCTTAAACACATTACGTTAAGTGAAAGAATTCAGATATAAAAGGCCACATATTGTATGATTCCATTTATATTAAATATCCCAAATAGACATTTCTATTGAGACAGAAAGCAGATTAGTAGTTGTCAAGGATGTGGGGTGAGGGTAATAGGAATTACTGCTTCATAGGTGAAGGATTTCTGTTGGAAGTAATAAAATTCTGGAACTAGATAGTGGTGATGGTTGAACAACATTGTGAAAATACTTAATGCCACCGAATTGTATACTTTCAAATGATTACAATGGTAATTTTAAAAGTATATTGTACTACTAGATAAAAGAAAGGAAAAAACACCATACAATCAGTGGAGACTGATTCCGAGATAATCCAGAAGTTGGAAATAGTAGAAAAGGATTTTAAAATATTATTATAACTATTTCCAAAGGCTTAACAAAAAATATGCTAATAGTGAATGAAAAGATAGTATTAGAGCCAGATAGTTCAGAAAACTAGACCTCAAGACTACACACACACACACACACACACACACACACACAAAACTATCATATATCAAGAGGGTTAAAGTAATGGGAAATTAAATGCTCCTCAGTATGACAGTATGAGTTTAAGAGATGTTATCAGGATACTGCAAAACTCTATGTGGGAAGGAATAGAGACAACACTTTCATGCTCCACTGTAGTAAACAAAAGGCTTTATTTCTGGTCTTGAGACTAATCTCTTTCATCCTAGTAAATTTAATGCACTAACAGCTTTTACTTCAGGCTGTTTGGGATTAAAGATTAGAATGGGATAATGTCACAGGGGGTCTTTAGTATCCCCATCTGGGCTTGTATTATTTCAGGGTTGAGGCTTTAAAAACCAATGTACTTTCCTCAGATTACCTCCTATATCATCAATCTTGCCTTCAATTCCCAAACAGTGATCAAGACAGAGATATTTGGCTTTAAAGAAAAAGTGGAGTTTGAGCCTGAAGAATCTCTGAGTATCTCTGAGTCCCTTCTTGCTCAGACAACTAAGACATTTTCCCTGTTTCTGGTTATTAAAATTCATCATTGGCTCAATATTTATTTGTCAATTTGAAATTGAACATTTAGTTTCCATTACCCCTCAATAGTTTGTTTTTTAACCAGAAGCCATAGCTATGTTCTCGCTAGTGACAAAATGCTAAACAATAAAAAGTAAAGCTGCAGTTATCAAAGCAAGAATAATACCTTTAGGCCAGGTGTGGTGGCTCACGCCTGTAATCCCAGCACTTTGGGAGGCCGAGGTGGGCTCATCACTAGGTCAGGAGATTGAGACCATCCTGGCTAACACGGTGAAACCCTGTCTCTACTAAAAATACAAAAAATTAGCTGGGCGTGGTGGTGGGTGCCTGTAGTCCCAGCTACTCGGGAGGCTGAGGCAGGAGAATGGCGGGAACTCGGGAGGCGGAGCTTGCAGTGAGCCGAGATCGCACCACTGCACTCCAGCCTGGGCGAGAGAGCGAGACTCCGTCTCAATAAAATAAAAAAAAAGAAAAAAAGAAAAAAAAAAGAATAATACCTTTAAAATATGTACTATTGAATTTTGTAGTAGACTGAAATTAGTTATCCCAGGGGTGAAATCTCTAAATGAGCAAAGGGTTGTTGACTTTTTCTTCAGGACGAAAGAACATAAAAATCTGATTCTTTTATGCATTGTCCCCCACAAACCAATAATATGTTCAACTAATTTGTTTTGTTTGTTCAAAAGGCTGAAATGTATCTCAACTGAAAATGCAACATTGAAAAATTATTATTGCTTTCATACATAATGATGCCTAAAGTTAAAAATATAACCAAACCTGGTTATAAATCTTATTATCTGGCAAATAAATAAGACCTGAGATAATGACTATATAGGTGGATATATCTCTTAGACTTAAGTTTTGGCTTTTGATCTATATTAATTCATAGTTAGCCACTAAGGTAAGAATGTGATTGTTCAGAAATGATATTGAATGCTTTCTTATAAACTTAAATGAAGTCAGGTAATAGCAAAAAAAACTTATTTTAAGTGTATATCTCTTACAACTAGAATTTGAAGTGCGAAAAGCAACAAACACATTTCTCCAAAAACCCTGTTTTCTGACTTTTTCCTCCAACTCTACGCTAGGAGCTATGTATTCTACCGGTAGTTTTTCTGTGGCACCCTAGAGTCTGTAAGGGAAAGTCTGCATTTACTTGATATGGCCACTTCCATTTTCTCGTATTAACACAAAAAGCTTGCTATCATTTGTTGTTGCAGGCATGACAAGTTGCATTATTCACAAATATTTATTTCTGCTCCATTTTTGACTGACTTTTCTGTAGTCTTAATATGCTATCCTGCCTCATTGACATTTAGCTCAACCATGTGACTTTCTCTGGCCAAAGAAATAGATCTGAACAGAAGCTTTAAGTAGTTTGTCTTTGCTACTCTTGTCTTTGCCCTCGCATCATGAGATCAGAGT
The DNA here is from genome assembly GCF_000001405.40 of Homo sapiens. Lineage (NCBI taxonomy): Eukaryota > Metazoa > Chordata > Mammalia > Primates > Hominidae > Homo > Homo sapiens. The sequence goes on along the minus strand of NC_000003.12, from coordinate 8,258,341 downwards.
GTTCCAGACCATGGTTTTTCCTTAGACCTGGGACCTAGTATGAGAAGACATGTGGGGCTGAGCCTAGCAGTCACAGCCAATTCAAGTCTGCATGCAACACAAGCAAGAAATAAATGGTTTTTTTTGTTGTTGTTGGAAATCACTGAGCTAATAGGATGCTAGATACTTGGCGAAAGCTAATACCAAAGAATACCAACAAAGTAAAACTTTCCTTCTCCTCAGCATGCCTTCTCCTTAGTAGACATGTTGTTTATCTAGACTTAGTCTTTAATCTCTAACAAATGAGGAGAGGAAATAATTTAATCTGCTTTCTCATTTAAATCGTACAAACAATCCAGTGTGGTAAAAGTAAAGTCTTCCTTCCTTCCTTCCTTCCTTCCTTCCTTCCTTCCTTCCTTCCTTCCTTCCTTCCTTCCTTCCTTTCTCTTTCTTTCTCTCTTTCTTTCTCTCTCTCTTTCTTCCCTCCCTCTTTCTTTCTTTTCTTTCTTTCTTTCCTTCCTTCCTTCCTTCTTTCTTTCCTTCTTTCTTTCCTTCCTTTCTTTCCTTCTTTCTTTCTCTCTTTCTCTCTTTCTTTTCCTTCCTTCCTTCCTTCCTTCCTTCCTTCCTTCCTTCCTTCCTTCCTTCTTTCTTTCTTCTTTATGGAAGAAAAGTAATTTCCACAGCCTGCAGCTGTTCTGTGGTTCAGTTTAGAATTTTCAGCCCAGGCACTCTGATTACAGAATTGAATTCCTAGCTTGTTTTGTGATCTTCACACACCTCATTATAAAATCTTCACATATTGTATTTCAAAGATAAATTTAGTCTAAAGTTTGCATGACTTGATGTTTCATATTGTCCTAAGAATCGCTTTCCACACGTTGACCAGGGTACAAGATTCAATCATGTCAGACTTCACAAGGTTGGTAGTGTCTTGAGTCATGGAGACAGACAACATCAGAAAGACTTTGTTCTGCCCTTCTTTTGGGCTCACCCTGACTAGCAGGTAATCTTTGAGGAAAGCTTTTATTCTTGATTTTTTTTTTTTAATCCTGAAAAGGGCACAATGATTAATGAGACAATTGCCTGCAAAGCACTTTGAGCTCTGGGGAGCCAACAGGTGATTTAAGTTCAAGGAATTATTCCCCTACATAAGTCAGCACTGTTTTTAAACAGAAATCTTCTTTAAAGAGTAACACTAAGGTTGTGATAAAAATAAACAGATGCCAAGCAGTTCAGTGAAGGTAAAATGTCTCCTCCCACACTGAGATGTGAGAAGCCAGCAAAAGAGAAACATAGAGCCAAAAGTTTAGCCAGAAAGGACCTCAGACACCACCAGGTCCAAACCATTTATTTTTAACACATGAGGAAACATGTCCACAGGGCACTCGCCCAAGGACACACAGCTAATTTGGATTGACAAAGTGGAGAAATATTGCTATATGGTGGATCCAGACATACATCATCAGGAAGCAAGAAAGGGAGGTGCAGCAAAGGCTAGGTTCTTGTGTAAATGGGATATCGCCAATGAAAAGGCAGTACTTGAGTCAGTTCTCAATGACTGGCAGGATTTGAATAAGTGCAGGAACAAGAGAGATATACTTCCTGTGGCTAAGACTATGCAATCTCAAGTTTAGCTGTCGGAATATGCACAGTAAGAAATATCACAACATCTAATACTATAATTTGCAGTAGGCTCCCTAGAAGATACAAGACCCATGATTTATAGATGTTTTCTCAGGCTCTTTTCTCATGTCAATCTTCTTTCCTTCTGCTAACACAAATAATAGCTTGTGTGTGAGAAGCATTGGACTGAGTCCTAAGACTTTTGGAAAAGGAATGTAAGTGAAAGTTAATAAATTATTCCTATCCCAAGGAGATAGGAAACTAATAAAAATAGGACTATCTATCATTTAGCTATCTCTCTCTCTTTTTTATTTGAGACAGAGGTTTCTCTCTTGTCGCCCAAGCTGGAGTGCAATGGCGGGATCTTGGCTCACTCAACCTTCGCCTTCCAGGTTCAAGCTATTCTCTTGTCTCAGCCTTCTGAGTAGCTGAGATTATAGGTACCCACCATCATGCCCACATTTAGGTATCTCTTTATAACCATATTTTTTCTATCTCTGTCTCTATCTATGTTACCTATATCTACCTTTACTTACCTTTCTGTTATCTACCTATTATATCTATCTACCTACCTACCAACCAACCAACCTACCTACTTACCTAGCACCATATACTCCCTTGTTACTGAGTAGAACTTGAGAACAGACATGGTGATGAGATAATGCCGTTGTTGTTCAGAGGAGGCAGAGATTAATTCCAACAGAAGAGACAACAGTAGAAACCATAACAACATTTATCTTGGGCTTACTCTGAGCTAGGCTATGTTTAAGGGCTTTGCATGCATTAACTTATTTAATCCTCACCACTATCCCATGTGGTAGTTTGTATGTCAACAGGAATTTATCTTTTCACATCTCTTGGCTCTGTTTTCCTCAGTCTTGGCTGGATTGTCAGCAGACTCTCCAGAGTGGTGGCAAAGTTGCAGTGCCGTATTGAGCCTACTGAAGCCTCAGGCAAAAGGAAAAATCAGCATAATCCAGATCCTATCTTTGTTTTAAACTTTGATGTGTTGTTTATTATATTTTCATGCATTATTTTTTATTTTTTAAAAAGTTAAACTTTTACTTGATTCCTGAGTTTTTAAATAACCCACTTTAGATTTTGCATGCGAGCAGTGTCTTGCTCACTTCACCCTAGTTCCAGCCCTGAATAACAACTTTCACTAGTTCCAAAAGAGCTTTCCTTCCTTAGCTTCCTAGTTCCTACCTCTCCAAGATATGACTGTCATTGGCCTGGCGTTGGTCCCATGCCCATCCCTGAACCATTCATCAATGCTTAAGAGGAAGGCAATGCTTTGATTGAGTGCTGCAGCTGGGGTGGGATCAGTCCCTTTCCATCTTGAGAATCTTTGGAGAATGGTGTCTTATTAAGGCCTGCTGGAGGCAGAACCTGAAAGAGGAATTCTCACTAGATTGATTGGGTTGCTGCGGGGAGAGTTGTGCTCCAGAGAAGGGGGACAATACTACACAAGAATGTGGTTTCAGGTGAAGACTAGCTTCAAGGTGATCTCACTAAGTAAGGCAAAGGGGGCTGCTTTTTGTGTTCCCATGCCTGTCAGTCATTGGCAGAGGTCTAGTGGTGGCAGAGGAAGGCAGCTCTGTTTGGCCGAGTACATTTTTTTAGAGAATGTGATAGCTGTGAGTTGTTACCTGCCAACACACAGCAGCCAGGGATAGCTGCATGGCCCAGCAAAAGGGTCTTGCCAAGGTACCACCAGTGTCCACTCTAAGGGGTGGTCCCTAAAGATGCAATCAGTGGAAATGGATGCTAGTTAGTCATTCAACAGCTATCCTCTATACTTAGCTCCACAGCAAAGGAAACAGAATTGATTGTCCCTTAATGACATCTGTTTCAATTTTTAAAAAGTATACCATGCACACACTTTTATACATCCTCATCTGGAATATCGAAAAGCAGAAGCTCCTGCCTGTGCTGCCTTCTTGCTGCCAGGCTTGTAAGTAAAAGCTTTTAGTGGAGAGCTGACAAGCAGTGCTGCTCACCTGAGCTCACCTCCCTGCTTTTGCACAACCCACCTGAGTCACAGCACATCAATGAATCATGCTGACAGGCCATATGCAGGCCCAGGGGTGGCTCAACAAGATGGCATTATGATGAGCAAAATGGACTTCTTCCTTGAAAATTCCATTACAGGAGGTGGCATAGCATTTAGAGGTTCCATATCCCAGGAAACTGTGCTGGTGCAGCGAACTGAAGTCAGAGGAGGAAGGAAAAGAGACCTGTTGTCAACTGCGTGCCAAGTGAGGGAGCCTGTATAAATGCTCCTCTGTCAGTGAGGGGAGTGCCTGTCATTAGCTGTAATTGAATGCCTACAGAGGCAGTAATTACAAATACCAGCCAGGCCTCACAGGCTCATCTGTTTTTGTTTGTCATCAGAGTAAGGGTATTGATCATGATTAGGGCCCTTCTTGCCTTTGCATAGGGACAGGAAATTGGATTAATAAAACCTGGCACGTATTGTGTAACATACACCTGTAGGGAAGGCAGATCGGAAGTGCTATAAAATGGCAAGTGCTTGATTTCCTTGGGTTCCCAGGCTGCTGGCACTTGTGGGTACTTCCTTTGCAAGATCTTATGCTCAGATTCTCCATCATCACAGCATCCTTCCTTTTGCTGGAGCCAACAGAACCCCACAAATAAGAAGCAAACTGAGTAGCTCTCCTCTTTTGTTACCTCCATGCAGGCACCTTCAAAAGAATGTTTGGGAAGACAACTCATTACTCCGAAAATTGGTAAATAAAAGGAAGAGCCAAGCATTTAACTGGCTTTTGCTACATGAACTGTGTCAAGGTAACCAGAGAATTGGTGAGGCGATGTTTCTCTTTACAGAAGCTGTCCAGCTAATCAATAAAAAATAAATGGTAGAACTAGAGAATGGTTCTCAAATACCAGCGTGCATTAGAATCACCCAGAAGGCTTGTTAAGAAAAGACGCAGGACCCCACCCTAGAGTTATGGTTCAGTAAGTCTGGGGTGGGGCTGGAAAATGTGCATTTCTAAGAAGTTCACAGGTGATGGTGATATTACCAGTCAGTGACCACCACCCTTTGAGAACTACTGGATTATAGCACCATTGTTTTGCAATCTTAACGAAATAACCAAGTGAGGCGTGATCATCAGTGACTGCTAATATCACAAAAAAAGAAGCAACTAAACAGTATGTTTCCTGATGGAAATACGCAAAACCACCTATGAGGAATTTTTGTCAGAATATTGATCCTGAATCAGTCAAACAGGATCAACCTATCAGCTGACAGGAAATACAGGGAGCAGAGGAGCAAGGCAAACAATGTCACCACAGAGATGCCAACAGCAAAATTCAGCCTGTGGGAAACTCTTCAAGGCAAACAACACAGTTATTGTTTGGAAGCAAAGAAGAAGAAGGGAAATGTATGGATTCTAAGAGACTTAAGAGTCACAAGATTCCAGTTATTAAACCTGTTTAGATCCTGATCTGATCCAAGGAATTGTGAAACAAGCAGAATAATTGGAAAGCTGGCCAGATATTTGATGGTATCAAGGAATTACTGTCACCATCCTCTTCTTCATATAGCTCAGTTCCTTCTCAACCTTTAGCTCTTAGTTTATTTATTTATTTATTTTTTAGTGTCTTTACTTTTATTTTATGTGTTTATTTATTTTGAGATAGAGTCTTGCTCTGTTGCCCAGGCTGGAGTGCAATGGCATGATCGGGGCTCACTGTAACCTCAACCTTTTGGGCTTAAGCAATCCTACCTCCTCAGCCTCCCAAGTAGCTGGAACTGCAGGTGCACACACCACCACACCTGGCAAATTTTTAGATTTTTTATAGAGACAGGTCTCACTATATGGCCCAGTCTCATCTCAAACTCCTGGCCTCAAGTAATACTCCCACCTTGGCATCCCAAAGTGTTGGGATTACTGGGGTGAGCCCCCATGCCTGGCCAACTCTTAGTTTAAAGGTCACCTTTTCAAACAAGTTTTCTCTGATCACCTTACCTAGATAGCTCTCCTTCTCTATTTTAGTTTCTTGTTTGCTTATGGCATAGAACTGATCACTGGCTGTAATTATTTATTCATTTGTTTTTTGTGTGTCTCTCCTACTACGCTGTAAACTCCATGAGGCCCCTGTATCTTAGCTGTGTGCCTAGCCCCTTGCTAGAAACACAATAAATAAATAAACAAACAAACACAATAATTATTTTCTAAATGAATTATCAATAAAATCTTAGAGCATTTTAATGTTTTCAAATTATTTTTCCATACCTTTTTTTAAGTTTTATTTTAGGTTTGGGGTACCTTTGCGGGCTTCTTTATATAGGTAAACCCATGTCACAGGGGCTTGTTGTACAGAATATTTCATCACCTAGGTACTAAGTCTAGTATCCAATAGTTATTTTTTCTACTCCTCTTCCTCCTCCCACCATCTACCCTCAAATACGCCCCAGCGTCTGTTGTTCCTTCTTTGTGTCCATGAGTTCTCATTATTTAGATGCTGCCAAGGTTGTGGAGAAAAGGGAACACTTACACACTGTTGGTGAGAGTGTAAATTAGTTCAACCATTGTGGAAAGCAGTGTGACAATTCCTCAAAGAGCTAAAAGCAGAACTGCTATTTGATCCAGCAATTCCATTACTGGGCATATACCTAAAGGAATATAAATCTTTCTATCATAAAAACACATGCATGTGAATGTTCATTGCAGCACTATCCACAATAGCAAAGACATGTGGTATGGTTTGGCTCTGTGTCCGCACCCAAATCTCATCTCAAATTGTAATCTCCGTAATCCCCACACGTCAAGGGAGGGAAAATGTGGGAGATGATTGGATCATGGGGGTGGTTTCTTGATGCTGTTCGCATGATATTGAGTGAGTTCTCACAAGATCTGATGGTTTTATAAGGCAGCTTTCCCTGCTCTTGCTCACTCTCTGTCGCCTGCTGCCACGTAAGATGTGCCTGCTTCCCCTTTCACCATTATTGCACGTTTCCTGAGGCCTCCCCAGCCATGAGGAACTGTGAGTCAATTAAGCCTGTTTTCTTTATAAATTACCCAGTCTCAGGTATGTCTTTATAACAAGGTGAGAACAGAGTGATACAACACGGAAACAAGTTAAATGCCCATCAATTACAGATTGGATAAAGAAAATGTGGTATATTTACACCGTAGAATACTATGCGGTCACAAAAAGGAATGAGATCATGTTCTTTGCAGGAACATGGATGGAGCTAGATACCATTATCCTTTGCAAACTAATGAAGAAACAGAAAATCAAACACCCCATGTTCATACTTGTTTTTGATTAAGTTTCATATGAACTTATCAGAGTCCTGTAAGGTAGGTAATGATCTTTTGACATCTTTTTGATGAAATCAAATGTGCTGATTGACTTTTCCAAGATTTAAAATTTTGTAGAACCAGCACGGCCAGGACAAAATCCAGTCTTTCTGATTCCAAACCTGATGACCTTTCTATCCCAACAAGTTTTCATTCAGAGGTGTCTGATTATTAAAAATAGTCATTTTAACAGTTAGACACACACTTGATGGTCTTGGGGAAAGAGAGGGGATGCTGTCTGACATGTTCTTTCTCTGTGCTGATAGAGACAGGCAGGGGTAGCAAACTTCAGAGATGTGCACATTTGAGTAAGTGAAGTAACAGTGGATGTGGTAAGTGAGCATCCTTGGAGTAGGTTGGTTTGCCCTGCCAGCGTGAAGATAACCATTTCAGTTTCCTAACCATGTTACAGTGGAGTCACCATCTCATTTTCAGCAGGATACTAACATGTTCTGAATCTCCAATCTCCCTATCATCTCTATTTCTACCTCCACCTCAGTCTTCACTACCATCTCCATCTTCATCTCTATCTCTGTCTCCATCTCCACTTCTATCTCCATCTCCATCTCTATCTCTACCTCCACCTCCACCTCACCTCCATCTCAATCTCCATCAGTATTTCTATCTTTATCTCCATCTCCATCTCTATCTCTACCTCCACCTCCACCTCACCTCCATCTCAATCTCCATCAGTATTTCTATCTTCATCTCCCTCTCCATCTCTATCTCTACCTCCACCTCCACCTCACCTCCATCTCAATCTCCATCAGTATTTCTATCTTTATCTCCATCTCTATCTCTATTTCTATCTACCTCCATCTCTAATTCTATTTCCATCTCCATCTCTATTTTTATTTCTATCTCTATCTCTCTTCATCTCCATCTCTATCACTATTTCCATCTCAATCTCTATCTAGCTCTATCTCTATCCCCAGCTCCTGCCATCTAGTTTTCTGCTCCCCTTCATAGCAACCCTTATTAAAAGAATTGCCCATAGTGTTTCTTTCCACTTCTCATCTCCTACATTTTCCTCCATTCACTTCAATTTGGTTTCCCTTTCCTCCGTTCTGCTCAAACTCTGTTTGATAAAGTGACCAACAATTTCCATACTGCCAGATCCAATGCTCTGTTCTCATCTTACTGGACTTCGGATGCATTGGACACTGACCAATCCTTTTGCATTGAATTGTTACTCTCTTGCTGTATTAGTCAAGATTAATTAACTGTCATATGAAATAATAACAAAATCTCAGTGGTTTAACATGATAAAAACGTATTTCTTGCTCATTATACTGGCTATCGTTAAACAATAAAGGAGACAAGAACGGGGATAATTGTGGTGGAAGATTTTTATGGGGTGGGTTTGGAGTAATATGCATCACTTCTATCCATATTTTATTTGCCAGAAATCAGTCGTTTGGTCCTACCTGGAAACAAGGGGTGCTAAAAAATATAGTCCTGGATGGCACCTGCTTCCCAGCAATAACTCTACGCTATGGAAAGTGAGTGTGAGTCTTTGGTGGCAACTAACCCATCTTGGCCATAGGTGAAAAGGCAGGCAGGCGCCAGGTCATTATGTATGTCTCTAGGTCTGCGAGGCAGTGTTCAGTGCAGTCTCTTCAAGTCCTATCTCTGTGTTGGGCGATAGAAGTCACTTTCTCCAGAGTACTTTGCCTTTCCTCCACTGGAGGTCTTGGCTCTTTTTCAGGCCACCCCACAGGTAAAACTTTCATAGGAGACTCCCTATTACTTTTGCACCTAGATCTTCTCTAGGAAATGGACCATTGAATTCAAGCTTCCATTTCACTAGCCCCTGGAACCTTAATTGTCCTAATACAGAGGAACTGAATTTCTGCATGGGAGGCACATTTTCATAGCTCCATTTTTAAAGAACAGTATCCTGTGCTCTTTGGACTCTGGTATATACCATTTGGATCATTTGAATCATTGAATCCAATGAAAGGAACATTATTACCCAGCATTGTACCACAATTCTTTCTATATTACAGTTAGAAATATATATGCGTATACACACACACACACACACACACAGAAACACACATGTGTTACAACATTTGTAGACGGTTACTAGCTTTATTACGTACAGATGCTTACAAAAGCCACAAGAGCTCTCATCATGCTTCTCTTTTATCTCAAGGGAGATTCATTACATGGCTGGTCTCTCCATTGTCTCCCCATTGCGTTACAGGAGGTAGCTCAGAGCCAAACACGTTCTAGCATTTGCATGAAAAGCGAGCACACTCAAGCCAGGCAAGTCATTTGCAAAAAGAGCCCCTCGCCACCTCCCAGATGGAGTTGCTGGATGAAGGGCATCATATTCTTCTTGACTATGACCTTACTTAGACCTTGGAGAAAGTGTCCTTACAAACTGCCCAAGTCTTCTACTCTAGTGCAGACATACTTTACTCTAAAATATTTATTTGATAGGGAATGATACCAGCATAAGATCTGTTATCTATTAATGCCAACTAAAATTCTTAGAGCACTCCACTCCTTCTCAGAATTCTTGAGACTGTCACCCCAGATCATTCACAACGATTGCACTGTAATTCCTGAGATAGTGAACGTTGCAAGGTTTAGGGTGCCTAAGGCTGCAGTATGGCAAATCCCATCTCTGGCTACGTTCTCTTTGGTGCAGAATAATTCAATTGAACAGATTCATTCAACACACAATATTCTATGCCCAGTACTAGAAAACTAGGAATAGGAGCAACACATAAAATAACATAGTGGATGCTATGGTGCCTGTTCAAGACTAAAGGTCTTAACTCTAGCCACCTGTTGTGGGTGCTGCTGGCTGACAGCCTTCAACTGTCAGCCCTCATTAGAAATGGACTCAGCTAGTGAGAGCTGCCTCATTTAAGGCCATACCCCCTTCTCATAGTGGCCCATATATAATGATTGGTCTGAAGTGTTATCCCTAAACGGCCATCCCAGCTTCAGAGATCTCCACAGGGTTGGCTTCATTGAGACTGCACTGCAGCCCCACTGTTCCTTTTGCCCAGTTCTACTTCTTCCCTTCTCTTCCTCAGGTAGTGTTCTCAGAGTATTCCTCAGTAACCTTCCTGCAATCTAATCTCTATCTCTATTAGCTGTTGAGGGACTCCTCTGATTGAGGAGGTCACAATCTAGCTATAGAAATATATGCAATGTGTAAGTGACTAACAGCAATTCTTCACATAAGTGCTGTACTCCAATTGGAACGGAAGCCAGTACTATGAGAAGGATGAAGGAGAAGCAACACACAACTGTTCTGCTCTGATGCTGCTCTTCAAGACAAGAAGACATGAGCTCTGTCCTAAATGGGGCAAAGATGTGAGATAATTACCATTTTGCAAAGATGGGATGTAAAAGGAGGCCAAAGGGCCATTGATTCTTTCCTTACTTCTTTTTCAGACCTTCTTCCTCTTTACAGTTGTATAATGTCTTGATTTTTATTTCAAATAGCAGGTAGGCTTTCAACGACTCCCAGGTAGACGTTATATATTCTGCCATGGAGCTAAAAGGACAAATCTCAAGTAATGGGTTTTGGAAGATCAATAACCAAGTTGTTCCCAGAGTTGCTGAAGCAAGTTTTACATTTATAATGTAAAACACAAAAGGCTCAAAGAAAGAAGAGAGTCGCTCTAAAGAGAGCTAGATTACATCATTAAAACTTTAATTAACCTGGTGGCTTTGACTTCAGAAAATCCATGGAGACTTCTCCCTAGTAGGAAAGAAGAAATTTAATATTTTATGTGCAAATGTTTTTGCCTTTTTTATATTTTAGTATGCAGTGTCTTTAGTGGGTTCTTGTCATGCTCGTTTTCTTCTAACAGTTTAAAATTGGAAATTTATGTTTTTCTAATGTATGTGATAATGTATATGAAACAAGATTTTAAAAGACCTTAAAACTTAAACAAATAAAAAAATTTACAGAAAGTAAAATACCCAGTGTTTGAATTTTACAAGCCTTATACAGGGGATGAGGTGAGGGTAGTAAAAGCATTTTTAAATGGATATAACTAGCTTCAAATTTGTTCCTTTGGGAGACTGAGATTTTTCTGTTGAATAATTTATTTCAACAGGATTTTATTGGGCAGCAAAATATTATGCTAGGTGCTCTGAAAGGACCCCAAATAAGAACTCATCTGTGCTTCTAACTTAATTAATTCAAATTTATCTAATGCTCAGTTATCTGCGACTACAGTATCCTGTTAAATGTTCATGGGAACAGACAAATGTATTAGCATGTACAATTACCCAGTAAACAGCACAGAGTTAAACCTGCCAACACCAGGGACACCTTCAGATTCTTCTTCCATCCCCATTCACTGGCACAGATTTGAGAATTATCTTAAGGGCCCAAACATCCACATATACAGTTTTCTTTTTCCTTTAGTCTAGCTTTATGATCCAGGATTTAGTATGCATGAGAAATTTTTGATCAAGTTTGAGTAAGTTGGGGTTTAGTTTTAAAAAATATAAATGATTCTGTCTTTATTTGGCAGACATTCAGGGAATCAGGTATTTACAACATCATTGTAAGGCCTGGTGGGTTAGACTCAAGGCAGTGCCTTGAATTATTCAGGTATAATAATTCAGGGCCACTCTGCTATTATAAACACACAGTGAACTTGAGGGGCTGGTGAGGACACTAAACTAATCGGCAAGGCCTTATCCACTTGCCTTAGACGGTTTGGTTTGCTATAAGGAAACACGATAAACTGAGTAGTTTATACACAAAAAATATGGATATTTCTCATAGTTCCGGAGGCTGAGAAGCCTAAGATCAAGTTGCCAGTAGATTTGGTGTCTGGTGAGGGCCCACTTTTTATTCATAGAGGGCACCTTCTTGCTGTGTCTTCCCATGGTAGGAGTGAGAGGTATCTCTCAGGTCTCTTTTATAAGGGTACTAGTCCTATTCATGAGGGATCCATTCTCATAACCTAATCACCTTCCACAGGCCCTAGTCCTAATACCAGAACCTTAGAGTGGAGATTTCAGCACATGAATTTGGAGGGGAGGGAAACGTGTAGACCATAGCACTCTTTCAGTGGGTAAGAGAAAAGAAAAAATGACTGGGACACTTATATGTTAATGATTGATTTTTGTTCCCAAACACAGTGAGGTAGAAAAATAACTAATCCAACTGAGTGTACTGGTTAGCATTTTTATGTGACTATAAATTGTGGTAGTGGGAGTTGGGTGACTCTGTGGCCTAGAACATAATGACTTGGCTACAGCATCAATTATTTTCACAAGGTGGAGAGAAAACAGAAGAGCAAGAGTTAATTATTCCACCTGGGAGCGGAAAATTTTCATGACATTTGGATAGAAAAGCACAGGACTATCATGGTGTGTGAGGGATGGCATGGAAAGGAAACAGCACTAAAAAGTATTTTTTATGGTATTTGAAAAATGCAGGGAGAAGACTTTAGAGTTATTTTGAAATTATGCTTTGGTTGTTGGAAATTTTTTGTAAACCTTAATATTGCTGTAAGTTGGATCACCTAGATTCTGGCTCTGATAGGGTTACAAAAATAGTGCTACAAGTATTCATCCTTAAGGATTTTTTACATCTGCTTGCTTACACCTCAATAGTCTCCCTCCTGTTTTTTATAGTAATTCATGTTTATGTAAATTTTCATGTTGCATAGCGTAACTGGAGTACACGGCTACTGAGCAAAGAGAATTGGAGCAGATAAGCCCTAAAATGCCCCCTATTTTGGGAAGTTTCTCCTCCCTGAGTTCTCTTCCACATGATCTCTATGTGAGGTAATGAACACAACACTTCACCTCTCTGGGTTTCCTTCTCAAAACCTGTAACCTCAGTGTAATCATGAGAAAAATATCAGACAAATCCCAGTTGAGGGACATTCTTCAAAATACTTGACCAGTACTCCTCAAAATTGTCAATATCATCAAAAGCAAGAAAGTACAAGAAACCATGACAGCCAAGAGGAGCCTAAGGAGGCATGATGACTAAATGCTATGTGGTATCCTGGATGGAATCCTGGAACAGAAAATCAACGGTAGGTAAAGACTAAGGATATCTGAATAAAGTATGGACTTTAGTGAATAATAATGTATCAACAGTGGTCCACTATTGTAACAAACTTGACACACTAAGGCAGTATGTAAGGAAAGAAACTGGGTGTGGAGTATATGGCAACTCTCTTCATTATCTCCACCATTTTTCTGTAAATGCGAAACTCTTCTAAAACTAAAAGATTTAAAATAAAGATGATCAGTGAAGGAGTTCCCTGGAAATGTTGTCATTTACAATTTGACTTAACAATGTCAACCATGTCCCTTAACCCCCCATTCCTCCTTCATCCCTAGGTTGGGTATTTCTAGGTGGTCTGTTTATTCACCTAACACACAGCAGCACCACCACCACTACATATTTCTTTCTTTCTTTATCCTAGAGAAAGAAAGAAAGAGATGGGAGACAATGAAGGTACAAAGGCATGGAATATGTATGTTGATTTGAGCAAAGATCTGAAACAAAATACAATTTCATCTAAGAGGAAAAATCCTGGAGGCCATATTCCTGTTCTCAATTTCTCAAGGCTTCACCTAGGAAAGTCATCATGGCCTTTTACCAAGTGGATCAGAACAGCTTATAAATGAGAGTCAGAAGCTTAATTGCTGCTGATTCAGAAGACAGTTGTAGGTAGATATGGAAACATAAGTTGGATTGATTACATTATCTTTGGCCATGACAGTAAACCCAAACAATGGAGGCTTTAAAAAGCCTACATTGATTTCTCTCAAATGTGAAAGTAGGAAGTCCAAGACTAATCTGGCTGCTCTATTATTACAATCAAGAATACAGATTTTTCCCCTCTTGTTGCTTGGGATTCTACATCATGACGCAAGATGGTTTCTCCAGCTTCAGTCAACAGGGAGAAAAAAGTGGAAGGAGAAGGACATTCTCTGGATGTGGTAGTTTTTTTTATTCTTCTTTGGTTTTCCTAGAAGTTTAAATCACTGCATCCACTATATTCTATGAGCGAATCACAAGTCACAGGGTCACTTCTGGCTGCAAGAGAGGGTGAAAAATGCAGTCTTCATTACAGGTGGCCATGCACTCAGCTAAAAATCCAGGTTTCCATTAATAAAGAAGGAGGAAACTTATACGGGGGAAAACTAGCAGACTGTGCCACAGAGGAGGACCAGGCAAGGTCCACAAAGAGATGTTGTTTCTTTCAGCCTGCACTGGCCAGGAGCTTACTAAATATAATTTCCTCCACTCAGTACCCTTTCCTACCTTCTCCCTTCCCCTTTTCCTGGACTAATTCTACTCAATATTCTGGTCTCAGCATACACAGAGCACCAATTTATTTTGAAATCTGTCTTAGTCTACTCAGGCTTCTGTAACAAAAATTCAGGCTTCTGTAACAGTTGGATTACTTATTTTTCGACTTCAATGTATTTGGGAACAAAAATCAATCATTAACATATATATGTCCCCAGTCATGGTTTTCTTTTCTCTTACCCATTGAAAGAGTGCTGTGGTCTGAGTGGCTTATAAACAACAGAAATGTGTTGCTCACGATTCTGCAGGCTGGGAAGTCCAAGTGGTGAGGGGGCTCTCTGGGGTTCCTTTTATAAGGGCACTAATCCTGTTCTTGAGGGGCTCTCCCCTCAATGACATAATTACCTCCCAAAGACCCACCTCCAGATATCATCACTTTGGGATGAGGTTTCAACATCTGAATTTGGGGGGAGGAGGGATACATATATTTACTTTATAGCAAAAGCCTTCTTTGACCTTATGAGTTGATGATGTTGAAAGCCTTATTGTCCAGGTGAAATGTTCCTCTTTTGTGCTCTCATTATACCTACACTTACTCTTTGGTAACACTTGACTCATTTAGTGGCAATCACCTGGGTCAGCTGTCTATCCTCCCAACTAAACAATGCTCCCTGAAGGCAGGAGCCATACCTAACTTACTTACCATTACAGCTACAAGGCCAAGTAAATGGCCACTGAATAAATACTACTTGAACAATATGTATATGAATGATTTATTAGTTTCTCCATTGGACAATTAGCTGCTGTGAATGCTCATGCTTGTCTTTATTATTTTGTCTTCCTAGTATCTATCACAATGTATACATAGCTGAAAATAACGTAACTGAATTTGAAATAAATCTCACATCAAGTGTGAATACTGTCAGCCCTCTGAATCCACAGGTTCTGTATCTGTGGCCTCCACATGCACAGATTCAACCAATTGCAGATCAAAAGTATTTTGGAAAAAAACAAGAAAAACTAACAATACAACAGTAAAAAATAAGACAGATAAAAATACAGCATAACTATATAGCATTTACATTGTATTAGGCATTATAAGTAATCTAAAGATAATGTAAAGTATAAAGAAGTATATGTGAAGGTTGTATGTAAATACCATGCCATTTTATATAAGGAACTTGTGCCTTTGCAGATGTTCATATCTTGGTGGGAGGGGAGTCCTGGAAACAATTCCCCATGGATACCAGTAGACACTATACTATCAGTATGACTTATCACTGTTGATACTTTGATCTGTTGCTGAGGTATGTCTGTTACGTTTTAACACTATAAAATTACTATTTTTCCTCCTTTTTTTATGCTGTATGCCTATTAAGGAAATCACTATACCACTATGAGCAGGGCACACTGTAGGTGTGGGGTGTCATATAAAGGGGGGGCTCCCTTTATTTATCTGCAAACCCCCACTGCAGTCATGAGAAACATGGCCTCACCATCTGCCATTGTTTAATTTTAGTACACATGTATAGACGTATCAGAATGGTTCATCTTTACTCAATGGGAAATAAGTTTATCAACTAGAGTACAGTGCTAAAGTACAATTTATTCTGCCTTTAGTCTTATAGACTCCACTCATTTTCAAAGTTACTTAGATCAGCATCTCTCTCCCTAACCCCTTTCAGTGAGGTTGTTTCATACAATTGTAATACTGTTAAAACGTCACATTCTGGATTCCATCCTGGAATCTTCAACCTCTTGAATGATTTTTAAATGTATAACATGTAGACTATTGTTAACAAAATTGTATTGGATTAGGAAATTTTGTTAAAATCCCTCTTATCGAAAGAGGTAATTATATGAGCTGAGAGATAACATTAATTTGCTTCACTATAGCAATTATTTTACTATCTATATGTATCCCACAATGTCATGTTGTAAACCTCAAATATGAACAATAAATTTAGTTTAAAAATCTGTAGACATTAAAGTTCACTCTGTGCATATAGTTCTAAGGGTTTTGACTAATCTGTACTGTCATGTACCCACCATTATAGTACCATACAGAACAGCTTCACCACCCTAAAAATACCCTCTATGCTTCATTCACCTAGTCAACCCTTTTCTTCATCTTTGAAACCTTTGGCAAACACTGATCTTTTTACCATTGCTATAGTTTTGCCTTTCCAGAATGCCATATAATTGTAACCATACAGTATGTAGTATTTTTAGAGTGACTTCCTTCACTTAGCAGTATATATTTAAGAGTCATCTGTAACTTTCCATGGCTTGATAGCTAATTTATTTGTATTCTGTTATATGAATAATGTATATCCATATAATATATGTAATACTATATATCCATATAAACAGAATAAAATATAATTTTAAGATAAATAGGTTATATGGACATAGCACAGTTTGTTAATCCATTCCACATCTATTAAAGAACATCTTGCTTGATTTCAGTGGTTAGTGATTATGTATATAGACGCTGTGAAGATTCACAGGTAGGTTTTTGTGTAGAGTTTTATTTATTTTTATTATCCTTTAAGTTCTAAGGTACATGTGCACAACGTGCAGGTTTGTTACATATGTATACATGTGCCATGTTGGTGTGCTGGACCCGTTAACTCATCATTTACATTAGATATCTCTCCTAATGCTATCCCTCCCCCCTCCCCCCAGAGAAGTTTTCAAATCATTTGGGTAAATACCCAGGAGTGTGATTAATGGGTTGTGTGATAAAACTATATTTAGCTTTGTAATAAACTGCCAAACTTTCTTCTAAAGTGGCCATATCATTTTGCATTCCCACCAGCAGTATCTGAAAGTTCCTGTTTTTCCACATCCTTGCCAACAATTGGTATTGTTATTATTTTTAATTTAGCTATTCTAGTAGGTATGCATTTGGTGTCTCATTGTTCAATTTATAATTAACTAATGACAAATGATATTGAGCATATTTTTATATATTCACTTGTCATCTGTATATCTTCTTTGGCAAGATGTGTGTTATTTTTAATCTGATCAACTTTTCCAACCCTGTCAATCTCTCTTTGCTTGTTATTGTGGCTTTTGTCTGATTTTATTATTAGCAAAAACACAAAACTCTTTGAGACCTTCAAGAGGGTTATGTGCTTAATTGGAATAAATGGCTAGAAAGAACCTGTTTGGAACCTGTTGGCCTGCAGTGACTAATGGGTGCTGAAACCTAGTCTTTGAGTCCAGAGTTAAAAGGACATGAAATAATTCAGATGTGACTTGGAAGGATCTCTCAGTGGTCCCAACATCTTTCTTCAATCTCTATCATTTTTATATTTCATGGCATTCGTGTTCCTATTTGTCAGTTAGAGATCACTTGGCCATCTCTTCTAATGGCCAGTAGAATCATTCTGGGAGCACATCATCCTGGCTGAAGATCTAAGCAGTCCATGGATCTGAACCATCTCTCATGAGAAGGTATTCAGAATTAAGACAATTAGAATGGTTCAAGCATCATTCTTCCTCTCATATTTGTAGAAATTCTAGTATTTGTTGCATACTCACTTAGTTCTAGTTTGATGGATGGACTTGCTGAAAATCTGGCAGGACTGTTCAAACTCTCTGGCAGCTATGAGGCTATGGCTCGCCATCTAGAGTACAGCTTGGGTGGCAAAGAAAACTCTTGGCATGCTGCTTCACTAAGACTTGTAAACAATAATTAAGTGGACTGATGTATCATAATTCTGCTGTTTCATTTCCTTCTTTCAAAATACATGAAGGAGTTTTAGTTCTGGATGATAAACGACAAGAATCGTAGCACTCTGCACTTAAACCAAATGAGCTCAATGAGGGTATACAATTCTTGCAATTACAATTTTACTGCTTTGCATATATTCACAATGGAAGAAGAAAACAAGGAGACACAGGCTTCTTGGCTTGCTGAATGGGAGCTCATAAAACTTTGTGGGGTCTAGTTGTGTGACCATTTGGAATCCAGTCCCAGCTCTGTCTGCGGCTGGTTCTATCACCCTGGGTGAAACATTCACTCTCTGAGCATTAGTCCCCAGGTTGAAAATGAGTAAGTGGAGGCAGATGATATCTGTTTTCCTTTCAGATGTATTAACAATATGTGATGATAATACATTCCAAGAACAGGCTGCAGTCCTTGTGCAAAGGGGAAACAAGAAGAGCTGGTAGTGGGGCATTTATGAGACATGTATTGACTCTAGTCAGCCACCAGGGGACATCCAAGAGCACATCTACATAGCTGTACAGCTCAAAGTTTGTAAATCAAATTCTTATACATTGAATCTTTCTTTCCTAGTGACAAAGTATCAGAGCTATAAACTATCAGGAAAAAAGTGACTCCTAGAGATAAAAAATGTATGATCCAGGATATTATTAGTTTTAGCAGCAGTATTTAAAGGGAAAGTACTAAATATATCTTTGACATTATTTCACCTTGCATTAAATTAGACTTGTGGTAAGGCAAAAATTATATAAGTTCATGAAAATAACTTAATTTATTTTGGTTATGTTTTTATGTTTGCAAGGGTGGGACCAGGGTGATTTCAATGATCACTGTGGCATATTGAGCATGCCACCCCAGGCATTCAGAATTGCCATTCCTAAGTTTTGTGGGTGTTTAGCATTCGAAATACAGCTTTCAGTCTGTGACATGGAAATCTTTTGATGTCTTAGGCTTCTGAATTGAGAAGGAGTGGGGCCTTAAATGGGGGACAAGAATTCAACTAATCAGAACAGTGTAAGCCTCATTAGAAACTAGCAAATTGGCTTATGGACCGTGTGCCTCAATCTCATATGTTTGATTACCTGAGTCAGCCTTCCCATGTCAGGCAACTCTGGGACTTAGGCCAAGTTAAGGCTCAGGCCACAGGTTATGGGGCCATCTACTCAAGGAAACCTCTTAGTACAGCATCCTCTACTTCTTTTCAGAAAATCCTTTCCTCTTCTTGTTGACTTTTCATTTAGACCATCACCTGCCTAGATCCCTTGACTTCTCACTCAGGCTTTCCTGTTCACCAATGTTGCCAACTCACTCGCACAAGCAAATGCATTTCTATGTCTACCTCTGGATGGCAACCATTCTCATTGCTCACCTCATCCATCTACGCTACCAGAAATTCTTCCAAGCTCCCACAGTTGTATTTATAGATTTACTCTTGTATTAATAGTTTGGCACTTAGTATCGTGTTGATCTTCACTGACTGTTAATTGAACAAAATGAATTAAACTCAAGGAAAGAAAGAAAATCAGACAGACAAAACTTAGACTAAATTTCTGGTGAATGTAAAAGCTACCATGTAAGAAAAAGCTTTAGCTTCCAGAAGAGGTACTTAAAAAAAAAAAAAAAAAAAAAAAGGAGAGGAAAGAGAAAGAGGAAGAGGAGGAGGAGAAGCAATGATAATTTTGTGCCAGAGAAAACTGGAGCTAAAATTTAGAAACAGACTCACATGCTATCCTGGGCTTCCAACTAGAAGAGAAATCACAAATATTTGCATTGCATAATATGTCGATATAGCCTTACATGAACCCACCACATAGCTCATTTATTGTCAAACATCTAAAACTCAGCCTTTAC
This sequence comes from Homo sapiens, assembly GCF_000001405.40. Lineage (NCBI taxonomy): Eukaryota > Metazoa > Chordata > Mammalia > Primates > Hominidae > Homo > Homo sapiens. The sequence goes on along the minus strand of NC_000003.12, from coordinate 8,238,555 downwards.
ATACAGATAGGTTCTTCAAATGCTGTTTGCTTTGCATATCACAGAAACAAATAAAATATAATAAACAATTTCTGCTTGAACTAGCCTCTGGTAATTAGGACAGGATGACTGGGCCAACTTTAGAAATCAAAATAACTTACAGTTTCCAGCATAGCTGATATTCAGCCAGTCTAACCTAGCAAAGTCCTAGTGAAGTGTTGTTTATGGCACATCCATTCTGATTTGGTTCTAACTGTCTGGATTGGGCAATGTTTCTGCTGTATTGTCTAGTACACGTTTTAACTCTCACCCTTAATTTTGAGTAAAATATTCTCCATCCACAACTTTCTCTTAGAGAAGGCAGCTAAAATGTATGAATGACCTGTTACGTGCCTTATAACTTCCATTTAAGGTAGAGTATTTGCCTCATGATATGCATGTGAAATTGACGGTTCTGTAAAGTCAAGTGTTACTTAAGGGCACATTCTTAAGAGGCCACGTCGAGAGCTGAATCCTGGCTTGTACATTTTATTCTCCTTTTATTCTCCTTAAGTAATCACATTCCTAATCTTTCCCTACCTTCTTATGAGAGTCCAGAGTTATGTAAAAGTATGTATGTCATCTTCACATGTTTAATTAATTCTGCCCCAAAGCAGGCATAAGGTGAAAGGCATGAAGTAAACTCATAGTTCCAAAACTTCAGGGATAAAATCACTATATTGTTGTCTTTTTGTTACTTTAAACATTACTATGTTTCTAGTTAGAAGAAAACACACACATATACACTCTCCAAAAACACATAATGTGGCTACTGCTGTCTTTCATTGTCTTTCTCTCATAGTCTCTTCCTGTGTAATTTTCTGAACTATTTCATGCCTTACTTTTTGAATCAAAAGCTAAATTTTGTGGCAGCAACTATATTTTTGCAGCTCATTTGATCCATTATTTCTATTTGCAACTTATTACAGTCTACCTTCAAGTGATATTACAAGGCCACACATAGTGCAAGAATCCTAAAACAGGGTACTTCCAATTCCTCTCTTTTGTCCTTTGTGCAATTGTCATCATACATTTTTACTTTTACAAATGCTGCAAACTCTGCAAAACAATGTCACAAAGTTTTCTTTAGTGGATTTTCTTTTAGCGCCATTACAAGAAAGAAAAAAAAAATTATGTTTACTTTTATTTTGGCCATTTCAGATCTCTTTATTTCTTTATGTAAATGCAAGTTTCTGTCTGATTATGCTTCTGCCTAAAGAACATCCTTTGAAATTTCTTAGAGTACATGATTGCTGGTGATAAATTGTATGTTAATATATGAGCCCAAGAAAGCCTTTATTTATTTATTTATTTATTTATTTTATTTTGTTTTACTTTATTTTTTTGAGACAGAGTCTTGCTGTGTCGCCCAGGCTGGAGTGCAGTGGAGCAATCTCTGCTCACTGCAAGCTCCACCTCCCAGGGTCACGGCATTCTCCTGCCTCAGCCTCCCGAGTAGCTGGGACTACAGATGCCCGCCACCACGCCTGGCTAATTTTTTTTTTTTTTTTTTGTATTTTTAGTAGAGATGGGGTTTCACCGTGTTAGCCAGGATGGTCTTGATCTCCTGACCTTGTGATCCGCCCACCTCGGCCTCCCAGAGTGCTGGGATTAGAGGCATGAGCCACCGCACCCAGTCTCTTTTGACTTTATTTTTAAGTAAATGTTTATTTTAGGACAATTTTAGTTATATAGCAAACAGAAAGTTCCCATATGCTCCCCATCCAGTTTCCCATTAACATCTTAATGTTATGTTAGTATGGTACATTGTGGCATAATGTTGATTAAGTTATTATTACCTTAGTTGCATATAAAATTCCTCATGAAATATAAAAATATGTAAAAGTTATATTGTCATCATTACATTTGTATGGTATACCTGTTAAAATTAATAGGTAAATATTAATTGTTTTATGATGGTTACAGACTGATTTACTTAGCTTTTACCTAATGTCCTTTTTCTGCTCCCGAATCCCCAGAATCCCACCGAAGATACCACATTACATTTCGTCAACATGTCTCTTTAGGTTCCTCTTGGTTGTGACAGTTTCTCAGTCTTTCCCTGTTATTGATGACATTGACAGTTTTAAGAATTACTGGTTGTTTGGTAGACTGTCCTACAGTTGAGTTTTCTCTGATGTTTTTCTCATAATTAGACTGGGGTTGTCCATCTCAGGCAGAAGATCACAGAGGCAGTGTCTTTTTTTAAATATTTTTTTCAATTTTTAATTAATTAATTAATTTATTTATTTATTTTGAGATAGATTCTCACTCTGTCTCTCAGGCTGGAGTGCAGTGGCACAACCTCGGCTCACTGCAACCTCCGCCCCCTGGGTTCAAGTGATTCTCCTGTCTCAGCCTCCCAAGTATCTGGGATTACAGGCACGCACCACCATACCTGGCTAATTTTTGTATTTTTAGTAGAGACAGGGTTTCACTATATTGACCAGGCTGGTCTCAAATTCTTGACCTCAGGTGATCCTCCCACCTTGGGCTTCCAAAGTGCTGGGATTACAGGCGTGAGCCACCATGCCCAGCTAATTTTTGTATTTTTAGTAGAGGCGGGGTGGGAGTGTCATTTGTACCACATCATATCAAGTTTAAATACTATTGGTGTGACTTGTCGCTATTGATGCTGACCTCGATCACCTACCTGTGGTAGCATTTGTCACCACAATTGTGGTAGCATTTTGACACTATAAAGCTATTTCTATTTTTCCCCCTTTCCATACTGTATTCTTTTTGAGGAAGTCACTATGTGCACCACACACTTGAGGAATGGGGAATTATGCCCCACCCTGTGAGGGTAGAGTTTCTGCGTAAGTTACTTGGAATTCTGCATAAAGATTTCCATTGTCTCTTCACTCTTATTTATTATTTGTATGTTCAACTATTTACTTATATCAAATGGACTCAGAGATGTTGATTTTATACTTTGCATATTAATCCAGTACTATCTTATTCTGTTGCTTTAACAGTTCTAGCTTTGGCCATTGGGAGCTTGAAATATTTTATCCTACTCTTTTCTCACTTGCATGGTTTCTGATGAGAAGTCTACTGTAATCCATATTCTTGCTCCACTATAAACAAAGTGTTTTTTCCCTCTGGCTTCTTACAAGATTTTCTCTTCTCTTATTTACTCGTTTATGTTCACTTTGAAGAAAATATGTTTAAGTGTATTTTTTGGCATTTATCCTACTTGGTGCCTCAGAGCTGCCTGGTTCTGTGGTTAATTGTCATTAGTTTTAGGAAGTTCTTGGCCATTATTATTTCAATTATCTCTTCCACTCTGTTTTCTGTTCCTTCTCCTACTGGCTTTCCCATTTCAGTTATATTACTCTTTTTGAAATTGCCCCACAGTTCTTGGAGGTTCTAGTTTTTTATTTCTTTGCATTTCAATTTGAAAAATTCCTATTGACCGTTTTTAAACTTATTTATTGTTTCCTCAGTCTGGATCAGTCTACTTTCAAGCCTACCGAAGGCATTCTTTGTTTCTATTACAAGGTTTCTGATGTTTGGCATTTCCTGTTACTTCTTTCTTAGAGTTTCCATTTCTTTGCTTGTATTGCCCACCTGCTATTTCCCCTTGATCTTTGCAATTTACTCAGTGGTGACATCACCTGCTAACTCAAAATTAAGGCTCAAAACATAAGCAAGTGGGATGGAAAGATGGGATGTAGGGTCCCTGGGCTTGGATCTGATGTTCAACTCTATTGCTCTCTAGATTGTAACTTGGGACAAGTCTCTTAACTTTCTCCTAATTTCTGTTTTCTCACACTCTAAAATAAAAGTGAAAACATCTATATCTTAACCCTGCAAGAGGATTAAATTAACTTGTGAATGTGACAGAGTGCTCTTCAACTCCAAAGTTCTGTGGAAATGTTGACTCTTATTATAACATCACATTCTACTCCCCTGGAAGAGATAGGCCAGAATAATAGACCCATTCAACTTTGATAGTAAATTTTCTCTCAGTGTTCATATGTGTTCATTCTCATGGTGAGTACATAGATTTGAGCAGTAGCTTAGTTTGTTAATCTGTGTCTTGACATATTTGACTGACTAAGAGGATTTTCTTTTCTTGCAAGCTGAGAAATGGAAAATTAGAAAGCTTTAAGATCTCAGACTTAAAACAATGGTCAGTGGAGGAAACATAAACTTAATATGAATACCATGGAGGTGTAGCAAAAACCAGATTATTTTATAGAAAAAAAATTATAGCCTGAAAAGAAAACATATTTGTATGTTTTCGGAAGACTTGCTAGTCCCAAATTTACCTTCTGGCTGAAAGGTTTTATGGTGTGGAGATGAATTTTCTTTGCTACTTTTAACTAACTCTCTGATTTTGATCTGCAACTCAGCTCCATTCTGATCGAAACTGAAACAATAGCTAGCTTACAAACAATAAATGAGAACTGTGGCCACAAATCTAATGCTGCACTTGAGGTGACAATGATGTGACAAATCTTTCTTCACAGCTTGAGTTGACTGTTTTATTTGGTCATAATTTTCATGGACTTATGTTGGTATTTGTATATTTCTACTCCATCTCCCTTTTGATTAAAAGGGTATTAGAATACAGAGGGGTGTGTGTGTGTGTGTGTGTGTGTGTGTGTGTTTATATGTGTATGTGTGCATGCAGGCATGAATGTACACATTGGAAGGCAAAATTGGCATCAGCCAAGCATTAAAATTCCTTCTTTCATCTTTCAATTGTGTCCCAAAGAACTGTGTTTATGCCTCAATATACCAACTCTTAAACTACCCATCCCCCTAGAAAAATGCATTTAAGGTTAGAGATGACCTCAACTTTTATTTGGCATACATTAGAGGGCCTAAAAATTGTTTTGTATATAACAAGTGCTAATTAGTGTGCCCATGTTGTTTATCATATACCTTTGTCTATTACAATTTCATAAAAACAGAATAAAACAAGGACTATCTAGGGCAAACCAGGATGTATGGTTACCCATCAACATACATTGGCTGATTCTGAACTGAATCACAGTCTTTCCTATGGCTAATTTTTTTTCCCTCAGAACTTAGTGGAACAGTCAGCCTGGTCAAAAGAAAAAATGTCGTACTTGATTGCAATAATAATGTGAATCAACTTTGATTGAGCCCCTATGTTCCAGGTTCATCTCATTAAATCCTCACCACAACACTATGAGATAGATGTGGCTATATTTCTCCTCTTATTGATGAGGAAACTGAGTCTCTCAGATGTTGAGTAACTCTCCCAAGATTGCACCACTAGGTTCACAGTGCTGGCTCCAGATTCAGAGTGCCCAGGTTTGAATCTGAAATACAAAATGGGCATGGAATCCTAGTTCAAGAAATATCATGGGCATCCGTGAAACAATGTATTTAAAAAGTTTTGCAAATGGTAAATTACTCAAATGTGAATTGCATGCCAATGTGTAGTTTTTTGCAGGATATAGTGCCAGAGCAGTGGGAGGTGATTTTATCCCCAAGGAAATTTGGCAGAGTCAGGAAACATTTTCAGCTGTCACAAATGGGAGGGGGGATTGTTATTGGCATCTAGTGAATAGAGGCTAGGGACACTGTTATACATCCTACGATGCACAGGATGCCCTCCCATAATAAAGAATTATCCAGCCTCAAATGTCAACCATGTCAGGGTTGAGAAACTCTGTGCTATAAAAATACAGATTAAGAAAATGTGAACCTTGGCTTTTAAAAGCTCACAGCTTAAGTGGGGAAATAGACACATAGGTAAATATGAAAAATACAATGCAGGGGCTGAGGGCAGGGGCTCACGCCTGTAATTCCAACACTTTGAGAGGCCTAAGAGGGAGGATTGCTTGAAGCAGGGAGTTTGAGAGCAGCCTGGGCAACAAAGCAAGAATCCTGTCTCTACAAAACAAAAACAAAAACCAGGCAGTGGTGCAGCAGAAGTGGTTCAGTGAGATGGAGAAATTCAGATGAAGAGAGGGAAGGGATGTAGCACCATCTTGAGCTATTTAAGGGCTGTAATGTGAAAGAGGGAGAGGGCTTTTTATGTGTAACCCTAAGTGGTAGATAGATTTCAGCTTCAGAAAAGATGAGCCAATAAGCTCCTTGCAGGTATGAAATGTGTGTGTCTCTTCAACAGTTACATCCTCATGTCTAGAACAGTGCCTGACAATGGAGTAAGGCTTAATAAATGCTTGTCGAATAATAGTGAAATAGATAAATGGATGAACTCAAGCATCCAAGGGCAAGTTTTGAAAGTTAAGATTGAGTCCCATCAGAAGATTATCTGATTTTATGACAGTAATTCTCCAGGATTTGGGAAAGAGAGCTCTTCTCTGTGGCTAGTTACCAGGTGAGGTTTGCAGGAAGGAGAGAAAATGGAGCCTCTTTTCTGCATCAGAAACGATTATGAACAAAGATGTAGGCTTTAGCAAACTAGAAGTGTGGCCTTCTTCTAACAAAATGAGCCCTATATGAAATTCTGGAAAATAGAAGAGGAACATAGATGAGTGACCCACTTGGGGTAGGTATGATAATAGCAACTGTTCCTCTTTTGTCAATTTGTCTTCTGTGTAGGATACATGTGTCGCTGGAATAAGCAATGAATAAACACACATGCATATACAAATAAAATATTTTCTGTTGTTATTATTAATTCATCATCATATGAGGTATGGTAAATGGAAACTCTAAAACATTCTTTCAGCATTTACCTTTCATCTTTCTCAAATAATTATTATCAAACAGAAAAAATAGAACAGTGGATTTCATAAGTATTTCATGGAAAAAAGTTAGATGGCTGTATTTATAAAATTTACCCACTGAAATTATAGTATCTGTGTACACTTAATATCCTCAAAGTCCCTGGGTTTTCATTAACTTGTATCTTTGAATTTTTGGAATGTGTGGGATTCTACAGTAATATATTTACAATGTGCGAAGATGACTTGCTGATTGCCACACTGAACAGTAGCCTAGGGGCATGTCAAACTTTGATGTGAGCTGGTGTTTTCTGTATTGTCCAAGTTTTTATTATACCTAAACGATCAAAGACTGCTCTTGTCTTTCTCAATGTGCAGCAGAAGACTGTATTTTGTTAAAAGATCAGAAATAAATGAAAATTAAAATGTCCAGGTTTTGACAGGTTTGAACAATAGTGTGATTAGTGATTCCAGTTCTGCAGAAAGTTGTCATTTTCTGCGTTTTACTACTTGTTCCATGTAATGCTAAAATACTAGTGCCAATAGTAGTATTTAATTTAAAATGGTTCAGAATTCCCAAATTTAGTAAATGAGTGAAACTAAATATTAAATATATTTCAAAATATAAATTTATAAGCACTTTGAAATGCAGGTAAAATGTAAATTTATGAAAATACTAATGTTATATAAGCACTATACTTATCATATAAAATATTAGCCATACTGCTTTGTGGCATCTTTCAACTTCAGTCCTCAGCCATTTTGATTTCTGTCTCCTGGTTGACCTTAGGGGTGGTCTTGGCCCTTAGTTCTTCTCTTCCCTTAGCCTTGGTGGAGATAGCTGCATGCTTTACAAGGCTTCTCTCACCAGCTTCATTTTCAGTCTTGATGATGAAAATTGTGATGATGATGTTGACTGGTGTTGTTGCTATTATTATTAGATAGGACATTAAGGGAAGATGGAAGAAATCAGGAGAGTTTCAGGAGCTCAGTGATATAAAGGGGCTGGGTGAGTTTGTGGAAGGGCATTGAAGATGGGCATGAGGAGGCTGGGAAAAAGAAGGAGACAGGAACCGAAGAGTGGATCAAGAAAGGTAGAGAAAGTTACTGACTCATACCTGAAATAATGCTATTACAGTAACAAAATTCCTGGCATTGGTATGTAAAAATAACATAGATTGAGTTTTGGTCCAAGTAAGATGTTATAGACCTATTCTCTCTGCTCCTCTCTGCTAAGCACAACTACAAACCCTGGAAATGGTACAAGAGACAACCAAAGGAGAGCTCTGACACATGGTCAGAAGCAGGTTAGCTGGTGCAGAGCCCTAGGTCTGGAGGAACAACGTAGTGGCAGAATGTTTTGAAGCTCCTCACCCAACAGAAGAAAGCCATCACAACTGGCATTTCCTGATACCTGATCTAGCAACAGAAAACAGCTCAGGAACACTTTTTCCCAGTGGATTGGACAAAAGTCCCTCTGACACCATCAGGTGAGCCTGATACCACCTGCAAGTGAGATAGATTGAGAGCTCTGCCAAAGACAAGAAGCTGCTTCTCCTTCCTCACTGGTTGAAGACTCCCATTTTATACCAAGAGATACAGAGGAAAGGTGGGCAGAGCTGGCAAGAGAGACTCAGGTACAGCAAGCTGCCCTGTCTAGAAAATGTCTTTGTAACTGCAGGCCCAAGACTTTTCTCCTGACCCCAAAACTCCAGGCTGGCACAAAGAACCAGAAAAAGGAACCCAGTTACAGCAAGTGGCCTAGTCCAGGAAACCTCTTTTGTCCTCAAGGTCCAAGACTCTACTCCTTTGCTCACAGTCACTGGTAGTCAGGGAGGACGCTGGTAAAGGAGATCCCCTCATACCATCTCTCATTGAGAAACACCTGGTGGCCCAGCCTGGGGAACCTCCTTTTTGCCCCACTGGGGCAGCACCATCGGGGGCTGGAAAGGGCCCCATCATCAACCACATAAACCAAGCAGATCAAAATAAAACTACAGAAACTCTAAAAATTAAGCTTTGGCCTGGCATGGTGGCTCATGCCTATAATCCTAGCATTTTGGGAGGCCATGGCAGTGTATCACTTGAGGTCAGGAGTTCGAGACCAGCCTGGCCTACATGGTGAAACCCTGTCTCTACTAAAAATACAGAAATTAGCTGGGCTGGTGGCACACTCCCGTAGTCTCAACTACTTGGGAGGTTGAGGCAGGAGAATTGCTTGAACCCAGGAGGCAGAGGTTGCAGTTAGCCAAGACTGTGCCACTGCACTCCAGCCTGGATGACAGAGTGAGGCTCTGTCTCAAACAAACAAACGAACAAACAATCAGAAAAACTTCAATTGAAAAAAAAGCTCACAAAAATTAGGCCAAGATCTGTGTGCAAAATCTGAACTGAGTGACCCTGTGCTAAAATAAAATATATAGAAGCCACAGTCTCTTAACATGAAAGTCAAAATGTCTAACATATATTGAAAATTATCTATCATAGCAACAATCAATAAAATTGCAAACTGAATGAGAAAAGACAACTGACACCAATAACAAAGAGTTACACATTGGAATTATTGACAAGAATGCTAAAGCAGAAATCATAAAATACTTCAACAATCTACTACAAACTATCTGGAAATAAATTTAAAAATGGAAATTCTCAGAAAAAAATAGAAGTTATAGGAAATAATTTAAAAAATTACAGAACTGAAAACTGCAATTAAAAAAATCGAAACCTTCTGAATGGGCTAAGCAGTAGAGTGGAGGATAGAATCAGTTAAGTTGAGCACAGATCCACTCAATCTGAACAAAAAGAGAAAACAGACTGAAAAAAAGTATGAATAGAGCTTTAGGAATCTGTACATTAAAAACAAAAGATCTAATATTTTATCATTGGAATCTCAGAAGCAGAGGAGAAAGAGAGTGATGCTGAATGATTGTTCAAAGGAATAGTTGTTGAAAACTTTTCTAATATGGCAAAGACATAAATCTAAAGATCTAAGAAACTGAGTAAACCTCAAATAGGATAAACCCAAAGAAATCCACACACCAAAATACAGCTTAATTACACGTTTGAAAGCTAAATACAAAGAAAAAACACTGAATGCAGCCAGGGAGAGATAGAATGCATAACCTACATGGAAACACATATTCACTGTAGATTTCTTGTCCGAAACTGTGGATACCAGAGGAAGTGGCAGAACATGTTTTGAAGTGTTGAAAGAAAGGAATTGTCAGTTGTGAATTCTATATCGAATGAAGCTATACTTCAGGAATAAAAGGAAAACGGAAACATTCTCAGATAAAGGAAAATAGAAAGAATAAAAATTTGTCACTGACAATTCTACCCTGAAATGTTATAATTAAGGAGGTTCTTTAAACTAAAATTACAAAATAAAAAAGAAGAATTTGGGGGCAACAGGAAGGAAAAGGGAATGATGGAAAGACCATATATGTGGACACTCACAATAGACCATTCTTTTCAACTATTTCTTTGAACAATCATTCAGCATCACTGTCTTTCTCCCCTCTTTCTGAGATTTCAGTGATAAAATATCAGATCTTTTGTTTCTGACCCCCAGATCCCTAAGGCTCTGTTCATGATTTTTTTTCAGTCTCTTTGCTCTTTTTGTTCAGATTGGATGGATCTGTGTTCAACCTCACTGATTCTAGCCTCCACTCTACTGTTTAGCTCATTAAGCAGAGATATAAATCACCTTTGGTGATTGAAATAAAAATTGTAACATCATCTGATACTCAAGACAATGATATTTAAAAGTGGGAAGGATAAAAAACTTAATGAAAGTGAGGTTTCTCTACTTCCTTTGGTAAAATGGTGAATAGTGTTAAAATGTTGATATTAATAGCTTGCTGTAAGCAGTAGACTGTTGGATCATTGTGATATGTACATATATATGTATATATAGTGTGTATATACTATATATACATGTATGCATTAACATACAAACATTTGCATTTATGTATACATATGTGAAGATATACAGTGTGGGTATAGTATATATACTACATAGTATATATGGTGAATTTAGTATATTTTAGTGTATATATAGTATATGTTATATATAGTGTATATACAGTGTGTGTATATATAGTGCATATATATTTAATATATTTTAGTGTATAAAACACTATATTTATATACTATATATACACTAAATATATATGCATATATATGATATTTAGTATATTTTAGTGTATATATACCCTATATTTAGTGTATATATAGTGTGTATATATAGTGCATATATATATGTGATACTAGTACACACCTATTAAAATGTTAACATAGAAAATAGTGACAACACCAAATGCTGAGGGGGATGCAGAGAAACTGGCTCACTCATACTTTGCTGATGGGAATGTAAAATTGTACAGCCATTCTGGAAAATAGTTTGGCAGTTCTTACAAAACTAAACATGTCATTACTGTACAACCCAGGAAATGCACTCTTGGGTATTTATCACAGAGAAACGAACTTATGTTTACACAAAAATCTGTACCTGAATATTCATGCAACTCTATTTATAATTGCCCCAAACTGGAAAAAACCTAGATATTCTTCAATGGATGAATGGTTAAACAAAGTATGGTATTACATAGTATGAACTATTACTGAGTAGTAAAAGGAACAAACTATTGATACATGCTCAAGCTGGATGAATTTCCAGGGAATTAGGCTGAATTAAAAAAGTGAATCCAAACAGGTTATATACTGCATTATTCCATTTATACAACATTTTTGAAATAAACATAATTTAGAAATAGAGGGCAGATTAGTGGGGGCCAAGGGTAACAGTTGTAGGTATGAAGGGTTGGGAAGGAGGTAGGTGTAGTTGTAACAGCAACGCAGGAATCCTTGTGGGGTTGAAATTATTCAGTGTCTTTACTGTGGTGGTAGGTACACAAACCCGCACACATGGTAAAATTGTATGTAACTGAATACACACACACACACACACACACACACACACACCAACGAGCATAAGTAAAACTTGGGAAATCTGAATAAGATTGGTGGATTGAGTCAATATTAATATCCCTGTTGGCGTGTTATACTAGAGTTTCCCAAAATGTTACTATTGGAAGAAACTGGGCAAAGTGGGCGATATGATCTCTGTATTATTTCCCACAACTTGTGTGAATCTACAATTATCTCAATAAAAACCTTAATCGAAATTGATTTTTAAAAAAAAACATAGGTTATTAGAATATTTCTAAAGCAGGACTGCAAATATCAGTATGGCAGGCATTTTGTATAGCTGGAATCTTGAAACAGGGTAGGGATACAGTGTGATGAGAGAGGTGAGAAAGTGGTGTTAGAGGTTGAGATCAGAATGGTAAATGAAGGCCTGGTGACAAAGACTCCTGTATGTTTTATAAAAGACACTAGTGGGCATTATATAGGCAATGGAGGGCTCCAAGCTCGGACAGGAGAAGGATGGACGCAGGTGGAGGGATTCTTTTTATGTAGATAATTACCTTGACATTGTGGAAAGGAAACAAACACAGACTTAAAAGACACTTTGACCTTCTAGCTGCATGTTCTTGGCAAGACATTTAATCTGTTTTATGCTTTGTTTTCTTTTTTCTTTTCTTTCTTTTTTTTTTTTTTTGAGACGGCGTCTCGCTCTGTCGCCCAGGTTGGAGTGCAGTGGCGCAATCTCGGTTCACTGCAAGCTCCGCCTCCCGGGTTCACGCCATTCTCCTGCCTCAGCCCCCTGAGTAGCTGGGACTACAGGCGCCCGCCACCATGCCTGGTAAATTTTTGTGTATTTTTAGTAGAGACGGGGTTTCACCGTGTTAGCCAGGATGGTCTCCATCTCCTGACCTCGTGATCCGCCCGCCTCGGCCTCCCAAAGTGCTGGGATTACAGGCGTGAGCCACCACGCCCGGCCTATGCTTTGTTTTCTTAGCTGTCAATTGAGTTAGAACATACCCCTTCAATTATTTTATCGTTTGTGTGAGGGTCAAAGAGTATCATGTGTACAAAAATCCTTTGTCAACTGTAGTATGCATTTCTCATCTAATGAATGAAGATTGTCACATTGGCACGTTTCCATGCTTCAATTAAGATTCTATTACAGGCCAGGCAAGGTGGCTCATGCCTGTAATCCCAGCACTTTGGGAGGCCGAGGCAGGCAGGTCACGAGGTCAGGAGTCCAAGACCCACAAGTTCGAGACCAGCCTGACCAACATGGTGAAACCCCGTCTCTACTAAAAATACAAAAATAAGCCAGGCATGGTGGCACGCACCTGTAATCCCAGCTGCTCGGGAGGCTGAGGCAGGAGAACTGCTTGAACCTGGGAGGCAGAAGTTGCAGTGAGCCGAGATCGCGCCACTGCACTCCAGCCTGGGTAACAGAGCAAGACTCTGTCTCAGAAAAAAAAAAAAAAAAGAAAAAAAGAAAGATTCTATTATATATGTTAGATCTGACATACATAACATGGTCATTAATAAATGATTTGATGATTAATACATTAAACGGCTTCACTTAATTTTTTTAAAAAGCATACAATGCCAGTACACAGCCAGTTTTGTTTCCCTCTTGTGACACTGGCATATGCAAGGAAACATTTGAGTTTAAAGAAAATTAAAAGAATTCATCACGTCTCTCCCTTTTGGCTGGAAAAGTTTCCCTGCTCAGATTTTTCACTGTGCTGCACTGAAGTTTCGTTTGAGTGTTGCCCCATCACAGCAAATGTATGTTACTTATTTCCACACATAACAGATTATGCTTTCATTAACATCCCAGCTGCTGCATTTCTCTTCCAGCTTTTTAACTTCCGTAAATTCACATCTTTACATGTTCTCGTTATATAGATTAAGTTCCACAAAGCAACAGAAATGCAATTTGTTTTTAAAATTTCGAAGCAATTTTAATGTGGACAAAGCCGTATCTAAGATAATCACATTGAGAAGTTTGTTTCCTATGTTTTATTATCTACAAAGACTTTTTTCCTTAATGTAGTAGCATCACTATTCTCATCTCACCATCTTTGTTCATTTTCACTCCTTTTTCTGTAAAATTAGGACTTTTCTTTTGAGGCTCACTTCCTTGGAAATCTGACCTACTCTTTCCTGTGGACGACCCTTAATTCTGTACACTCAAATCTGGCCTTTCTCCTAGATGTTAATTAGACCTTTCTAACTTCTGCCAGGCATTTCTGCTTGGCTATCCCATCTTTCCATCAAATGTACCAGAAGGACGCCATATTACACACAACACTCTGTTCTTTTCCCATCTTTCAAATAGCTCCTGTCCTTTAAGTGATCAATGTCACTTAGAGCTTCTGCTCCACAAAACCAGAGACACCAGAATTATCCTGGCATCCTTCTGCCTGTTATTATCATTTCCAGTCAGTCATTGAAGACCTCTTAATTTGCCCATCAGGCAATTTCCCCAGCAATTTGTTCTCCTTGATCATTGTTGTTACATTATGCTATTACCATATATCTAAAGTGTTGCACTTGCTTCCCAACTCTTCCAACTTCTTATCTTTGCTCTGCTAAAATATTTCCAATGCCTGCCATTCTGATGCTCAAAATGTCATGGATTTTTATTGCTTGTACCATAAATTTAAAATTCTCTGACTAGCTGCAATGGATTGAATTTGCTGTTTCCAATTCTTCGCTTCCCATAATAGGAATATATATTCCAGCCTTTGCAGTACCTCTCCACGTCAGCAGAGTATATACTTGTCCACTGTGTGACTTTTAGGGCCTAAGGGGACAGGAGTGGGCACGATGCAAACAGAGGTCTGCTGGCAAGGATTTCCTTTCTGTGCTCTACCATAAGAAAAGCATGCCCCCGGCAGTCCTTATTATATTAGCCTGGCAGCAGAATGAAGACCTGCGAGTGACCCTGAGCTCAAGCCGCAGTCTCAGGCAGAGCTGCTGGCACTGACCCAAACACTCATGAGTGAGAAAAAAAAAATGAATTCCTTGTTGTAAACCTCTGGGATTTGGGAGTTGTTGGTTACACAGTATTACTACAGCCATAATAAATGACTGTCCTGACATTCAAGGACTCAAATTCTCTTTCTCATCTTTTAAACACCCCCACATATGGGAATGCTTAAAGCTGGTAAAGTGGTCTCTGTAACATGTCCCCTTCACATTTTTTGACCATTTTCCTCACCTTTTGCTCTTCCACTGGTTGTTCAGTTTCCAATATCTTTCTTCTTCTGTCGTTTTTGCTGCGATGACCACAACTCCTGGTGATGTTTCCCATCTTCAAACTACTTAGTGTTCACATCTCTTATTTCACAACTCAAACTTTGTCTGGTATTGTTAGTTCTCTAAAAGCATATATCAGACTCCATTAGTCCCCTTTTCAAAATCTCCCAAGAGACACCTCTGCCCTCAGGATGGAGAACAAGCTTCTTACTACAAACTGTACAGCACCAGCCTCATTTATTGCTGTCTCCCTACTCATAAGCCCTCCTCTAGCCATGCTGGGCAGTTTTCATTTCCTGGAACACATTGTACTGTCTTCACTTTTGGATGTTTGTGCATTTTGTTCCTTACACTTGAATCACTTTTCCCTCTACCTCTGTCCCCTCAACACATACTTGAATCCAGACAGTTACCATAGTATGCCAGGCGTTACATTGCAAAGCCTCTTTCTTCCTCTCCATAGCTAGATCATGTCCCTTGTCTCAGTCAAGATGGGCTACTCTGAGCTGCAGACACAAATCAGAACCCAGAGCCTTGGTGGCTTTACCAGCAAAACAGCATTTCTCTCGCTTATGTCCAACAAGTCAATTTCAGGGAGGATGGGGAGGCTCTACTTCACTCGCACAGTCACCTACAGGTTGAGAGGAGCTCTGCCACGCTGGAGCTGCACCAGCTAGAACCTATGATGCTACTCTTCTTCTAGACCACAGCCCCAACTAGCTCCAAGGCCCCAACCTCAAAGCCAGGAGGTGTGGAAGCTTAGTGGGTCTCATAGAATACTTGGAGATCACTAGTCATCTTCACTACATGTTTCCCAGAGGTGCTTCTATGAACGTCCAGGTCTTATCCTTTATCACACATAGCATCATGGCATCTTCTTATCTTGTCTGTGTCTGTATGAACTTAAAGATCCTGAGGGCAGACACTGTACCTGATTTCATGTCATCTTTTCAGGAGCAAATTCAGGACCTGACACATAAGAACTGGTGGAGAATTACCTGCAGAATAGATGCTGAATCTTTGTGCCTCTCTGCTCTCCAAGAAGATGGCATGCTCCTTGATGACAAGAGCCACCTCTGATCTCCCCCATCCAGTCAAAATCTTCCAGAAAACAGACCATCAATATGGATTTGCAGCATGTATTGTGATTGTTTAACATAATTTTCCAACAGCCAATTATGTGTGGCCACTATACGTAGATATTTCTTTAGCTCATATTTTAATACCTGTCCTGTCATTCTACATTACATATGTGGAAGACCTTTAACCCAGTTTAGTTTATATATAATAAGTACAAAAGGGAAAAAAGAAAGCTTCCTTTTTTCACCTCTTTGGGGACTTCTTCAGTCTTTTTCCAGATGTGGAATCCAGATCGTGTTATTTTCTTTCCAGACTGGGCCTAGGAGCAATACGTTAAGAGTCAGCAAAGCCTCAAGAATCATCCAGCTCTTCAGCAAAGCCTCAAGAATCATCCAGCTCTTTTCTCCTCTTCAAAGTTGCCCTTCTTTTCTCTGAACATTAATGTATCTCTCTGTATCACTTATCCATTGCTGTGCAGCAAACTACCTCAAAACCTAGCACTTTCAGTCAGCAAACACTTATCAGTTTACAGAGTTTCTGAGATCAGAAGTCAAGGAGTGGTTCACGTCGGTGGTTCTGGCTCAGTCTCTCATGGGGCTGCAGTGGAGGTGCAGAATCTGACGGGGCTGACGATTCACTTCCAAGCTCACCTCACTGGTGCGGCTGTTTTCAGGACAACTCAGCTCCCTGCCACATGGGCCTCTCCATAGAAAGCTTATAACACAGCAGCTGGCTTCCCCCAGAGTAAGTGATTCAAGAGAGCAAGCCACCAAGGCTGGGTGCGGTGGCTCACACCTGTAATCCCAGCACTTTGGGAGGCGGAGGTGGATGGATCACCTGAGGTCAGGAGTGTGAGACCAGCCTGGCCAACAGAGCGAAACCCTGTCTCTGGGAAAAATACAAAAATTAGCCAGGCATGATGTGATGGTGGGCGCCTGTGATCCCAGCTACTCTGGAGGCTGAGGCAAGAGAATTGCTTGATCCTGGGGGGCAGAGGTTGCAGTGAGCTGAGATAAAAAAGAGAGAGCAAGCCACCAAATGGGAGCCACACACCCTTTTATAATCTGGTCTCTGAAGTCATCCATTGTATCCTATTCTGTAGAAGTAAATCACTAAGTCCAGTCCCGGAAGGGCAATTAGACTCTATCTCTTGAAGGAAGAAGTATGAATTTTTGCATGGACAGTCATGCACTGCCTAATGACGTTTTGTCAATGATGGACCACATATGTAACGGTGGTCCCATTAGATAATAATGGAACTGAACAGTTCCTGCTGCCTAATGACACTGAGGCCACCATAACATCATGGTGCAAGACATTCCTTATGTGTTTGTGGTGATGCCGGTGGAAACAAACCTACTGTGCTGCCAGTTGTACAAATGTCTAGGCCATACAATTATGTACAGTGCGTAATACTTGAACATAATAACAAATGACTATGCTACTAGTTTGTGTGTTTACTATATTATATTTTTATCATTATTTTAGAGTGTACTCCTTCTATTTATTTTTAAGGAAAAGTTAACTGTGAAACAGCGTCAAGCAGGTCTTTAAGAGGTTTTCCAGAAGAAGGCATTGTTATCTTAGGAGATGACAGCTCCATGCATGTTATTGCCCCAAAGACCTTCCCGTGAGATAAGATGTGGGGGTGGAAGACAGTAATATTGATGATCCTGACCCTGTGTAGGCCTAGGCTAATGTGTGTGTTTATGTGTTAGCTTTTAGCAAAAATGTTTAAGATGTAAAAAATAAATAAAACTTTTTAAAAGGAGAAAAAAAGCTTACAGATTAAGGATATAAAAAAGAGAATATTTTTGTACGGCTGTACAATCTGTCTTTTAGGTTAAGTGTTATAAGAAAAAAAGTCAGAAGTTAAAAGATTTTTAAATTTATAAAATAAAAAAGTTACAATAAGTTAAGGTTAATTTGTTATTGAAGAAAGAATTTTTTTTATAAATTTAATGTGAATTTTAAGTGTAAATTTTAAATTGAAATTTATTTTTACCCTAATACAGTCAAGTGATGTCTTTGTTGCATCTGATTTGGCATAAGTGTACAGAGTTTACTAAGTCTACAGCAGTGCACAGTAATGTCCTAGGCCTTCACAGTCACTCACCATTTACTCAATGACTCACCCAGAGCAACTTCCAGTCCTGCAAGCTCCATTCATGGTAAATGCCCTAGACAGATGTACCATTTTTTTTTTTTTACCTTTTATATGATATCTTTACTGTATCTTTTCTATGTTTAGCTACATAGATCCTTACCATTATGTTCCAGTTTGTCTACAGTATTCAGTACAGAAACATGATGTACAGGTTTGTAGACTAGGAGCAATAGGCTATCCCATAGTGCCTTGATGTATAATGGGCTATGTCCTCTAGGTTTGTAAGTACACTCTGAGATATTCACACAACAAAATCACCTGACCACACATTTCTCCTAATGTAGCCCCATTGTTAAGCAAGGCATGACTGTATTTTTAAACCACCACACTGTCCCTTGGACAAGCTTTGGAGGCAAATGCCATTTTCATGGCCCCATCTCCCATGTTTGCTGAGGCAAACGTATCCCTGTGTCTCCTCCCTTCACCTCCCTGCCTTCAGGGTGTTTATTTCTAATCACCGAAATGAAATGAATAACAAAGATTTAACATCAATAAGATGCAAAAAGAATGGGTAAATTTTATAAGTCTCTAAGCATTCTGGAAGCCATTGAGCAGTCTGTGGTCCAGACCTTCTCTCTTAGGTGGATGTTCCATCAACCTTGGGCTTCGGTTTTTATTTCTGAGGGTCAGCCCAGGAGAAGCTGTGGTGCCTCCTTGAGACTCACCCTTTCCTGGATTATGATGTTGCTTCCTGCAGGAAGACCCCTCTCTTGTTGGCATGGTCCTAGATGTGGACAGTGCTAATGCAGGTGGTGGGCTGGAGGTCCTGGAATTGCCCCTTTGCCTCAGCTGAGTCTCTGTCATCCGAGGGCCCTGAGGTCCAAGTATCATTGTCTTGGTTTCTACGAAGAAGCATAGTTTTCTAATGACTCCTCAGTCTTTGCTATTCTATGTAGAGGTTTTCCCAGGCCAAAAAGGAAAAATATGGGATGAAAGAGTGTGGGGCTGAGCAGAGAGAACAAAATGCGACCCCTGATATTTATCTTGATGCTTAGGGATCTTTCCATATATGTATATTTCCTTCTTCTGCATGCTCTAGCATCATCCTCATGAAGCCCTAGCACCACAGTGAGAAGGAAAACTTTTCTTGTGTGCTTCCCACAAAGAGCAACGTGGCATACTGGAGACAGTATGAGCTTTGAAATCAGACAGACATTGGTCCAAAACCGGCTCTACTGCTTTGTTTCTGAACTGGGAGAAGTTATTTAACCTCCCTGAGCTCCCAGTTTCTTGATCATTACATAAGGATAAAGTGAGGATTGAATGAAACAACATACAGAGGCAAATATTAGGTTGGTGAAACATAATTGCGGTTTTTGCCATTACTTTTAAACCAACCTAATAAAACATGTCAGGCGTACAATAAGCGTCAACCAATGTTCATTCAGCAAATGAATGAATGTGCTTCAGAGCTACCTGGAATCTCTACGGAAGATACTGATGGGATATTGTGATCCTGAATGTCTCTCTCTTGCTTGTAGAAACTGACAAAGAGCTGGTTTATATACTTCTAAGGCAGCATGTTGCTTGGTATTACATGATTTGCTGAGTTCCTTGAATGCATTCTCTTGGAAGATTTTCATTTGTGGCAAGCAGAAATGCAATTCATTTTGGATTTGAAAACTCTGACAACAAAATGTGAGGAAAACCAAAAGAGCGTTTTTTTTTTCTTTAAATTATCTCGTATTTTAAATAAGCTTCTAAGAAATCAGATCTTGCTTTCTACGAAGAAGCACATTTTTCTAATGACTCCTCAGTCTTTGCTATTCTGTGTCGAGGTTTTCTCAGGCGAGGAAGGGGGAGTGTGGAATGAAAGAGGGTGGGGCTGAGCAGAGAGAGCAAAATGCCACCCGTGATATTTATCTTGATGCCTAGGGAACTTTGCATATGCATATATTTCCTTCTTCTGCACTCTCTGTGCAGATAACTGCCCCAGCCTGATGGATGGCACAATGCAATCTGCTTCTCTTGCTTTCTCTCCCCGTAGAGATGTGTGGTTTCACCTTAATATATTCAAGGAAGTCTTTGCTGCATCTGGATTGGCATTTGTAATTACACACTGTGAAAATATAATGTAAGGGGAGAGTATAACTTTTCTTCCCAGATTTTGCAGAAGAGTTTAATGTGTTCATGTGCTCAGATACCCACACACAAGAAGCAACAGATCAAGCTCTGCTTGACTTCTTCTGTATAATAATCACGTTCTATGGACTCAAAAAAATGTGCAATGTTTTGTTGTGTACTGCGCAGAACCTCTGCAATGCTCCCAACTATTTTTCCCTGGTTATTTTCCAAGTTATTATATGTTCTCAACAGCATTAATTGCACCAAGGTCTAATAGATTGTAATTCATATGTTTAGACCTTCCTTCCTCAGGCTGAAGGAAGTAAATAGCAGACACCCTAAAGTAGAGAGGCTTAGATGATGACCAGTGGAACTTAAAAAAAAAAATCAATAGCTCTTTATACATTACACAATCCAATAACCAGATGACTGTATGGGCAGATTATTTTATCTTCCTAAATATACATTCTGTCATCATATTCTTTAAGTTATTTGAAAGAAAACAAGAACAGCTCATCTACAATAACTAGAATTACTCCAGTAATGAACAAGCAGACCTCAAATATAAAGTGTCAAAAGACTTTTTCTGTCTTTCAGGGATTTTTTGTCTAATAATATGTACCTCCTGACATCTCTACTGATCAAAATAAAATGAAATGGATTAAAACCTTAGTACAAGAAGCTTAAATGAAATAAAAATAGGACTTTCAAAACTGAAGGTTGTTACTGTATAAACATTTATTATTTTTGCAATCCTTGCTCCCTTATTTATATAAAAACTATTCCTTACCTTTTCTTGGGGAAACCATTCCTTGCCCACTCTTAACTCATGTGATTTAAGGTTCACTGGTTGCCTCCATACCAGGGTGGGTCCAGATTGGTTTCAGCCAATTATAATATCCCATTCCCCTGACCATGGTGATTGGCTTGGGACGGGCACATGGCCTAACTCTGGCCAGTGAGCATCATGACCAAGAATTATCCTTGACTAATGTGGGGTGTGCAGTGCTTTAATCTCACTGGTTGGGAAGCTGAGAGGAGGTAAGTTCTGGAGCTGCAGCAGCTACTTTGAGACCAGGAGGAGAGAGCCTGGGTGAGAAAGAAATCACATGGGGAGTGCAGAGCTGATCTCAGGGATAAAGAGAACAGATTCTTGAGAAATCATTTGAACCACTGTCTGAAGCTGAGTTTAGATACACTGTTAGCCTAGGAGCTTCCTGGTTCAGAAGTCAAGGAATTTCTGTTTCACTCAAGGAAGATTCAATTTTCTGCCACTGGCAATTTGGAAGACTTCTCTTTTTAAAAAGTTTTTAATTTTTAATTATTATTGTTACATAATAGGTGCACATATTTATGGGGTACGTATGATTGAGCCAGGCACCAACAGGACTAGTGCTGGCCCTTTGCATTGGGGAGTGGGGACCCATATTTTGATGGGCTGACTTTTATCTTTGATGAAAGATAGTCATCAAAGTGACGGCTTGCTTGGTTTGGACTAACTGGCATTCCAAGGTCCCTCTACATGCAATAATTTCAACCTGATTTTCTTCTACTGATTATTTAATTGCAGTTTTAGATTTCAGTAATTCTCTCAACATGTTTTCTAGTTTATCTTTTCTCTTTTTTTGTGAAAGTAAATTCTGGCCACTGATTACCAATATTAACCACAACATATTTTCATTCTTAAAATCTTATCCAAGCCTCAAGTGAATGGGGAGATTTCATTTCAACAGCTTCTACCATATTGTCTTTTTATATTCTTCTTTCCATATCCAAGTTTCCCTGCCAAATTTAATAAGCGGCTTTGTGACTATATTGTAAATCTTCTTTAATGTTCTTTACTGTAATAAATTTCAATCTCTTAGCTTCAGGATTCGTTCCCTTCCTGGGCTAATGAGATTTTCCAGGTATTTAAAGTGATTCACCTGCTTGACTAGTTTGTTATCCACCATTCTATATTTTCCCTCCCAAAGATCCACAGCTCTTTATAGATATTGCCACATTTATATTCAGGCTGTTTTAAAAATTGTCATGGTTTATATTTCTCTGCTGGTTGTTTCCAGGGTTCACACAGTGTTGTAGCACTGGCAGATAAATCTTTGAACAATTCAAGGCCAATTTTTAAATCTTTCATTTAATAATTCTTTCCCCCATCCTCAAAATGCACATGCACTGCGGTCTCTCTCCCCCCACACCCCCCACACATTTATTATTCCTGTTTCACAATTAAAAAACAGGTTTCTTAGACAACTGCTCACTCCTCTCCTCCCTGTGCCTGGAAGCCCTAATGTTTCTCTCGTTACTTATCATAGAACTTCCAGTCTGTGAATGGGCCAGATGGGATCTAGAAATGCCATTTTTCCCCATCTCTCTGCCTCTATGCAAATCATGACTTAAATAAATCCAAAAAGAAGCCAAATCCTATGTTCTTTAAAGGGCCTCAGAAAAAGAAATACAAAATCTTCCTTGGAGAACTATTTCAGTTGTTTTATGACACCTTCATTTTCTGTTGGCTCTTCTATCTCCCTCCACGGATGAGAACACTTTCCTCTCCTGACTTCTACATCTTGTACCTCTCTGTCCATTTCTCAGCTCTACCATTGGTTCCATGTCTTTGGTCTAGTCCTGAAATGTAGGAGCATCCTTCAAGAGCACACTATATCTCAGTATGGAGTACCACATCCAGATTTCCTTCTTTCAATTGAACATACCCAACAAGGTATTTCATTGGTACCTCAACTCAATATGTTCAAAGAAGAACCCATCAATTTTCTACTCTCCTTGCCCCTCAAAAGCAAGTTTGTTTCTCTTCCTGTGTTTTTTGCTTTAGTCGCTGGACATCCAGGGGTATCTTTGACACCTCTGTTTCCTCACACCACCTCCTGTGATGTATAATATATGCCAGGTAGTGTCGTTTCCTCAAGTATTCTACCTTTATCTTAACTTCACCTAGGACAGGTGCTCCAATGGCTGCTTAACTGGTTCCATCGCCTCTAACTGTTTGCTTCTGAAATGCATTATCCACATTGTTGCCACAATGATCTGCCTAAAACAGAGATTATATAATGTTGGTTTTCTGTTCAAAAGCCATCAATAACTCCCCATTGCCACATACTGAAATCAAACTTCTTGGCATGGCATTCAAGGTCATTTATATTTTGGCTTCAAGTTTATGCAGCACATACTTTGCACTACAGGATTCTGATCTTCACTGCTACATAGTTTGGCGCAGACTTTAGGAACCCAGACTTGACATTATGTAGATCTGGATTCTGATTTTAGCTCAGCTACTTACTGTCTAACTTGGGCAAATCTCATAGTTTCTCTAAGCCTCGGTTTCATAAATGAAGATAATAACTGACTTCTAGAGTTGTTGTAAGGATTCAACTAGATGATGTCTATAAAGAAATAGCACAATAGCTGAGATTTATGCAGCACTCAGCAGGTGATCGTTGCTGTTCCCATGATTGCTGTTGTCACTGTTGTACAGCAGTATAATAATAATAATAGTTGTTATCAGCTTGGCCTCTGAAGTCAGCAGGCCAACTCTAACTCTCCCTGGCTATGCGACTACTGGAAAGTCACTTAACCTCTCTTTGCCTCATCTGTGAAATGAAGAAAATAATCATAGCTACCCCATATAGTTTATTTGGAAGAAGTAAATTGACCAGTACAGAGCAGCGTTTGAGACACGGTAAAGCACTGCAAAAATGGTAGTCTTGATCTTGTCATTTTCAAAACAGTCATGCAGTCAGATATCCATGCTTTTGTCCATGCTGTTTTGTGACATAGAAGCCCACTCATTTCTACCTGTCTTAGCATGGGTTCTTAGCTCTCTTTTTACCGTGAATCTACCTGGCATCTGGTAGAGTCTATTCACATCCTGTCAGAATAAAATTTTAAATCCATAATTAAAAATTCATAATTTTACAAAGAAAACCAATTATATTTAAAAATGGTTAACAAACTAAAAAAACTAAAATAACTAAACTTGTGATATGGCAATAGATGTGTTTTTAATAGACACATTAAATAGCAAGATCCAATAATTAATCTAAAAATTGCTGTTGTTTAAAAGGAGTGATTAACATAAATAATATTTCAATTATCTGCAACAGTAGTAGTATGACATGAGAATATCTGGGATTTGTACTGGTGACAAAAATCACTGGTTCTGCTAATACTAGTGTGCATGTAGTCTACCTTAGTACCTGAAGGAAATACTAAATGTCAGCTAGAGATTGGTGAAAATAGAGATGTAATTTTTTTCCCATTCAAATTCACAGACTTCACCTAAAGGTCCATGGACTTCAAGTTAAGAAGTCCTTATCCAGACCCTACTCATATTCTAAAGCTTAGCTCAAATATACCCTCTCAAAGAAGTCCTCCCAAATCCCACTCAGTTAGAATTAACCTACCTCTTTTAACCCCTCATGGCATTATGGCTTTTTGTGTTTTTTAAAGACTCATGTGTATTACTTATGGTTTGCTTATATGCTACCATGTTATTATGAGCCATAAGCACATATGCAGTCCCATGAAGAGTGTCAGGCCATGTTTGGTCCTCACGCTGACATGTACTGCCTATGGCCCAGGCAGCGATGGTTGGGCAGGAACGAGAGAATTCAGGCAGCAGCCCATTACTTATCTCTTTTTCCCTGACTGTCCATTGCAACATAAAATACAGCATTTCTGAGACTGTAGCTCATTTCATTTTAGTGTTATTTACTATGCTAGTTCTGCCAATGGGGCTGACAAATCACCCCTCCAAAAGGCAGGTTCTAATCTCATACGCAGCCACTGTTCAGTGGCAATTTATGTGACAAGCTTTCTGAGTTTAGGCAAATATCCTGATATTTTAGCTTAGTTATTCTGACAACAACAATTTCTGCCTTATGGAGGGCATATGTCATAGAGAAATTCAGCTTCCCATGTTTCCTGCCTGTTGCAGGAAGCATAGATTTTTATGGTAAAATTGAAATGCAAATTATTTGGCTTGATCTTCTTCTGCACCTGGCAGCCATCTTTACAGAGTTTGGACAAAAAGGAAAGAGAGGAAATAGAAGGAGGGACAGAGGGGAGGAAGAAAGTAAGGAAAGGATGGAGGGAAGAAGGTGTATTAGTCCGTTTTCACACGGCTATAAAGATACTACTGAGACTGAGCAATTTATAAACAAAAGAGGTTTAATAGACTCACAGTTCCTCATGTCTGGGGAGGCCTCAGGAAACTTAAAATAATGGTGGAAGGCAAAGGGGAAGCAGGCACCTTCTTCAAAAGGCGGCAGGAGAAAGAGAGGACACAGGGGAAATGCCAGACACTTATCAAACTACCAGATCTCCTGAGAACTCCCTCATTATCACAACAACAGCATGGGGGAACCGCCCCCACGATCCAGTCACCTCCCACCAGGTCCCTCACTCTACACATAGAGATTACAGTTCGAGATGAGATTTGGTGGGGACACAGAGCCAAACCATATCAGAAGGGAAGGAAGGTAGGCTTTATTTTCTGCTTTTTCTAATACCTGGAACTGAGCAACAGACAACTTTCTTGACTCTTGTATTTTAAGAAAACAAATATTTAATTTGAAAAGATAGCAAGAATTAATGTCTCATATTTATAACTTGCTTTGGCATTTGTTCTGGCACTAATTTAGAGCAAGGTTTCTTAACCTTGACACGATCAACATTTTGGGCTGGTTAATTTTTTGTGTGGCAATCTGTCCTGTGCATTGCAAAGCTGTTTAGCAGCATATTTGGGTTATACACAGTAGAGGCTGGTAATGTGCCTCCCCAAGTAGTGACAACCTAAAATGCCTCCAAACATTGTCAAATATTCCCTGGGGAGAAAATAACCTTCTCTCCCCACTATAGAGAGCCACTGATTTAGAGGATAATGAACATTTATGCCATTGTCTGAATGTTTGGGTCCCCCCAGCATTCATGTGTTGAAATCCTAACTCTCAAAGTGATGGTATTAGGATGTGGGGTCTTTTGGGAGGTAATTAAGTCATGAGAGTAGAGTTCTCATGAATGAGATTAGTGTTCCTATAAAAGATTCCCCAGAGAGCTACCCTGCCGCCTTCTACCATGTGCAGACAGAATGAGAAACGTCTATGAGTGGGCCTTCATCAGACACCAGATCTCCAGGTGCATTGATTTTGGACTTTCCAGCCTCCAGAACTGTGGTGTATTTGCTATCCAGTCAATGATATTTTATTATAGGAGCATGAATAGAGTAAGACAATCTATCGTGTGTCAAACTCTGTGTTTGTTGTTCCATATACATTATCTAACTTAATCTTCACACAGTCCCATAAAGTAAGCACCATTATCTCTATCATAAAGTTGATGGAGGTGAAGGATAGTGCATAAAAAACGAAATGCTATAGACTGAATTCTTGTATTTCACCAAAATTCAGATGTTAAAACTTAATCCCCAGTGTCATGGTATTTGGAAGTGGGGCCTTTCAGAAGTGATTAAGTCGTGAGGGTAGAGCCCATGCAATGAGATTAGTGCCCTTATACACGAGGCTCTAGAGAACTCCCTTGCCCCTTCTGCCTCCGTTTGAAGACATAAGAAGTGCCTTTATAAGCCAGGAAGCTGACCCTCACCAGACATGAAACATGCCAGAGCCTTGGTCCTGGACTTGCTAGCCTCCAGAACTGTGAGAAATGAACTTCTATTGTTTATAAGCTACTCAGTCTATATAGCAGCCTTAAAGGACCAAGACAGGAAACTAATACAAAGAGATGGGAAACTAATGCAAAGAGATAATTATTAAATGATATGATCCAAGGTATCAGAGTAAGGATAGCACCATGACCTATCAATCACAACACTCTATCCTGAAGGGCCAAAACAACTCTTCGGTGGGCATTACCAATAGATTGAAACTGGAAAGGGATATAAAAATAATTTACCAACCTTGGTTAGCTTACATCTTTTCCAAAAGTCAGTTGTTTATAAGACTACATGCTTCCGTAGGGCAGGAGCCTCTTTCATAGGGTGGAGCCATATCTCTATATTACTAACACATAGGGAGGCCCTTGAACATGGATCCTCAATAAATGTTTGTGGAATGAACATGTGGTGCTTGAAATCTCACCACTGGTGAGTCATGCCTTACAATACAGCATTGTTGTGTTTTTACGTTCTCCTTTAAATTCATATGTTATTTAAAAATGAAGTTCCCAGGGGTGGTGACTTAATAGTAACAAAATTGTGGGACATTAGAAGTAAAACCATGGAGATCAACATTTTCATCTGGTAGATGTGGAAACTGAAGCACAAAGGAGAGAAGAAACTTTTCCAAAATAAAGTATGAACCAAGTCTGGACAGAAAAAAATCTCTGGAAGCCAAGTTCCAAGTTCCAGTGCTCTTTGTAATGTGTCACTCATCACTTAATACGTTCCAATGTACACATCACAGGCTGCTTCCTGGAGGAAAGGAAGGTCCTTGGTTAACTTGAAAGACATAGAAGGATGTGAAGGACTGAAGAGTGGGAAGAAACCAAAGCAGTAGGGCAGAGGGAAAATAACACAGGGAAGCATGTAATCCCAGCATTTTGGGAGGCTGAGGTGAGTGGATCATTTGATGTTGGGAGTTCGAGACCAGTCTGGCTGTCATGGTGAAACCCCGTCTCTACAAAAAGTAAAAAAATTAGCCGGGCATGGTGGCAGCCACACATAATCCCAGCTAGCTATTCGGGAGGCTGAGGCAGGAGAATCGCTTGAACCTGGGAGGCGGAGGTTGCAGTGAGCCGAGATTGTGACATTGCACTCCAGCCTGGGCAACAGAGTGAGAGGTCTCAAAACAAAAACAAAAACAAAAAACAAAACAACAACAACAAAAAGAACACAGGAAAGAGTATGGAACCCCACAGAAATGCTTCACCTGCAGCTTCAAAGGCTTGGGTTATATTTAGAACACATATTTTGGACCTTACCTATTATATGTGCATTTCATTTCCATTTTCAGTCTTTCAAAGGCAAATAAAAGAAACGTAAGAGTCAAAGATTTTTTAAAAATTGCTCAGAGGCATATTAGTGAAACATAGGCAGCACTGGACAAAAATGAGGGGGCTGTAAAAGGGGCAGAGGGCTGGTGTTCAGAATGACAGCCAGCTCCAGAGCAGTCCCCCATAAGGACCTGCATTCAGTCCCCTTACAAGGTCTGTAGCACCACAAATGTTTTTTAAGCACCTACAATGTGCCAAGCTTTGTGCAAGGGGACTACAACATCACATCAGATATAGTCCCAGTCCTTTAAGAAATCCAATTTAATGGGGGGAGATAGATACACAGCAGGAGCTTATTAAATAAAGTATCTGCATAGGGAGGGAATGAATTGAGTATAAATAATACAGTCTCTTAGAAGTGTGTACGAATTGCTAAGGAAGCATAGAGAAAGAACCAAATCATGTCAACAGAGGAAGCTTTTTCTCAGCAGAGGTGGCATTTGATCTGAGATTTTAAGAATGGATGTGGATGTGACATCAGCAAGAATGGTGGAGTAAAGACATCAGAAAGTCTTCTCCATCAGTCAATGAAAGCACAACAAAAAGTGTCAGAATCAAATTTTAGAACTCTAGAAATTTATCAAATGATGTAGTCATCTGGGGAGGGTTTGCTTAAAAACAATGGCTGAATCTCAGTAAGAACGGTGAGCATTCTGGTGTTTTCTCTTATTCTATTACCCTCCCCATCACCCTAGCATCGCCGTAGCCTTGTAAACCCATATTCTATGGGCATGGTGAAAACCAGAGTCCTGGGAGGCACTGGAGAAGGCATAACAGAGTTGGAAATTCTTCAAAACCCCATTCGCACAGAATTGTCATTAGACCGGTCTGGTGGAGGATTGTCCTTGTTTGACCTGACTCGGAGCTCACCTAGTACAGACCGCCTTTCCTTGAAGGGAGTATTTATCAAAAACAATCAGCAACAAATTGATTGATTAAGATTGCAGCTACCAGAGGCAGTACATAATAGTTAAGCCAAGCAATAGGCTAACCAGAACACTTAAAAGAAAAATCTGGGGAATTAAATGTTCATAAGGGGTTCTAAAACACTCTTACATATTCCTTGGAACCTGGACCTTTATGCACTGTGCCTTATATATAATTTAAAATATGGTTTATGGTGGGACTAGCACATTCAGAAGCTCGATAGCAACACGTGATAGCAGGTGATACTGGATAACACAGAAATTCCACCATCTCAGAATGATAGTCCAAGTTCTATTGGACATTGGTGGTTTAGAGAGAGATGACTTGAGAAGAGAAGAGGGGGATCAGGAATAGTAAAGGAGCCTTTGAAAGTTTTCTGAATTTTAAAAATCCTCTAAATTCCAAAACCTTATAAAAGTTATTCAACAGTCTTTACTGAGTGCCTGTCTAGTTATGTCTACTATGGATCTGGAAGATGAGGCTGGAAAATTAGGATTGATTAACTGCTTTATTGATTCATTCATTATTTATTGAACAGCAACTCATGTAGGAACTGTGCTAACTGCACAGTATAAAATGATAAAAAAGAAACACTGGAATGTTATCTCCTCTCAAGCAGCTTACATTCCAATGGAAGAGGGGCAGATATTGATGAGGAATGACATGAATAAATATAAAATTACAACTATGAGAATCGCTTTGATGGGGAAGAATTGGGAACAATGAGTGCATAGAAGGGGTGTTCTTGATCTAGTCCAGAGCACATTTCCTAAGGAATTGGGCTGGTATACATTGGATGTTTGTCCCCTCCAAATCTCATGTTGAAATGTAATCCCTAGTGTTGGAGGTGGGGCCTGGTGGGAGGTGTTTGGGTCAGGGAGCGGGATCCTTCATGAATGGCTCAGTGCTGTCCTCACAGCAATGTCCTGGTAATGTCTTCACTCTATGAGCCCATGTGAGATCTGGTTGTTTAAAAGAGCCTGACAACTCCTCCCTCTCTTGCCATGGGACATGCTGGCTTCCCTTTGCCTGTCACTATGATTGGAAACTTGCTGAGGCCCTCACTAGAAGCAGATGCTGGCCCTGTGATTTGTGTATAGCTTGCAGAACTGTGGGCCAAATAAACCTCTTTTCTTTATAAATTACTCAGTCTCAGGTATTTCTTGATAACAATGCAAGTGGACTAACACATGGACCCTGAGCTAATATTTAAAAGAGTAGATTAAGTAAAAGGAGAAGAAAAGTCTAGTCCAGAGAAACAGCATGCACATAGGCCCTGGGGCAGGAGGAAACATGAAAAGAAGGAGAAGCTGAGTGTGGAACATCTCAGGAAGTAAGGGAGAGCCAGGTTGAAAGTAACGCTAGAATGATAGAGACGCTATTCTCTGGACAGGCAGCATCCGAATCAGCTGTGAACTTACTAACAATGCAGAATCTCTGACTCCATCCCATATTTTTTTTTTTTTTTTGATACAGAGTTTCACTCTTGTTGCCCAGGCTGGAGTATAGTGGCGTGATCTTGGCTCACTGCAACCTCCACCTCCTGGGTTGAACCGATTCTCCTGCCTCAGCCTCCCAAGTAGCTGGGATTACAGGCGAGCACCACCTTGCCTGACCAATTTTTGTACTTTTTGTAGAGACAGGGTTTCACCATGTTGGCCAGGCTGGTCTTGAACTCCTGACCTCAGGTAATCCACCTGCCTCGGCCTCCCAAAATGCCGGGAGTACAGGTGTGAACCACGGCACCTGGCCTCCATCCCAGATTTATTGTGTTCAAATCTGTATTTAACAAGATCCCAGGTGATTAGTAGATATACAGCGTGAAATGCACAATCCATCCCAAGGGTCAGCACACTATTCTTGCAGGTCAAATCTTTCTGCTGCCTGCATTTGTACACAAAGTATTGCTAGATCACAGCCATGCCTGTTCATTTACTAATTGTCTATGGCTGCATGCATACTACAGTGACAGAATAGAGTAGTTGCCACAGAGATTGTTTGGCCTGCAAAGTCAAAAATGTTTACTATCTGTCCTGTTACACAAAAGTTTCCCAATCCCAAGTCTATATTGTGGCATGCCTCATAAGGAACATTAAAGGATTTTACATTTATTCTAAGAGAAAGGGAAGCTAGTGAAGATTTTTCATTTTCGAAAGATCACTCTGGCTATCACAGAGATAAAAGGCACACAGACAGTACATGCCCCAGAGGAGCTTAGGGTCTGGTGGGAATTCACTTTTATCTTCAAAATTGGATGTTTGCTCCGTTCATGAGATGGATGACTGTATTATTCACTCATTCTTTGTTGCTGTAGTTAACTCCCTCAGTGCCTGGCAGAATTCTAAGTATTTAACCAATGTTAAGTGCTATTTCCTGACTCAGTAAATGGTTTAAACCTATATAACAGTTAACATCTACCAACCTTAGAAACTTATTTTGCAGACACCTCAAGAATCAAAATGCTATGACACCTGATCTGCTTTCAACGGTTTCCTTTTACTTGACATCTAAGCCCTGTTTCTGACACAAAATTGAGACCACCATAGTGGAAGCCAAGCCCTTGGCCACCCTGTGAGTTTCAAGAGACAGCAGAGAGATGAGTCCTATTCCAGTCTCCAGCTTGCATAGGACTGCAGGAAGGAGTTGCTCTGAGCTTTCGGTTCTCTGTCTGTGACATGGGGAAGCTGAAACAGTTTGTCTCTAAGGTTTACAAAGCTTGAGCATTCTTTTATCCTTAGAGTTGTACAAGGTGACAAAATGGGGACATTAAACAGGTCTCTGGCTTACCTGATTCAATGCCCTGAATCTTTATTAAGTCTAAATGGAGCTCTTTATATGGCATACATGAATGATAGTTGATGAGAATGTTGGAGAGAAAAAAAAAAAGCAAAAACCCCACAAAAGTCCACAGTCACAAAAGAGGATTTTGTGCATTGTTTGAGATTTTAAGTATTTCGGCTCCCTTTCATTTGTAAAGGTAATTTAACAGTACTGGCTCAACTACTAGTTCAACCTTTTCTACCCGTTAGGTGTGATTGTGTAGATGCCGGCTTTACCAGCTGGTTAACTTACTTTTCATGTCATGAGTTGGCACTACTTGAATAAACTAAATATTCCATGGCAAGAACCTGGATGTCTATAAACTCACTATGACAAATGGACATGCCATCAAATCCACAGTGCTGCTGAAAGACACTGTTTTGAGGAAGTGGTAGGTGATGTTTTCTGGAAGAGGTTACAACTTGGTGCATAGAAAGAGGCAAAAGATTTGAGGATAATAAATGGTTTTGAGTGGAGATAGATTTTTAGCAGTATTGTCATCTTCTGGGCAATATGCCTGCTACAGAAGTGTTGATTCAACCCATAAAAAAGCAGTTTGCACGTTAAGCAGACTATCTAATGGATAGTATTAAACTGGAGGAGAATATTGTGGAGCCATCTCTATTACATTTTGTGGATGTTGTTGCTTGGCATTATCTTCTGTTGATTGTTGTTGATGGCATTCAATTAAAATAATATTTTATCGAGTCATATTATGTTAGGTACTGTGGAAAATAGAGAAACAGTGCTGACTTCAAGGGTATGTGACTTGTACAGTTGTACAGGGGCTTGCATTTGGATTAATGCTCTGCTATTGCCGTCTTAAAATTATTAAATTTTGGACAAGGGGCCCTGCATTTTTATTTTTACAGGGCTCTGCAAAAGAGGCAGCTTTCTCTGTGTAGAAGATGGCGGATTCTGTTTCTTGCCTAAGGGGTTCAAAACATTGTGTATTAGAATCATGTTAGGACAGTAACGTAGGAACTTGCTTAATTGTTCTGAGCCTTGGTTGCCTCTCTTAGTGCATATAAAGAGACTACCTTGCATGCTGTCTAAGGAGAGAAACCAAAGGCTTAAACTATAAGGATTATTTTCCCAAGTAAGCAGTAGAGACAGGATGTTGAAACTTCCTCTCCTCTCTATGAGTCCAATGAGAAAAAACTCTGTCAATAAGGATTTTTGCTGAGTTCAAGATATGACTCAGCCCAGGATTAGTGGCATCGAAACTCCAATTGCCGGGGAATTCAAGAACATCTGGGTGTGTTAAAAAGAGTGCTCAATAAAGTAGCTGGAGAGCTGCAGCAAAGCTGTGGCAAGGCCATGGCTGAAAGGTTCATCAGAAAATGGGAACCAGTATCAACAGGCAAGCCAGGAGTCCATTCCCCAATACCTTATTTAAACCTCTGGGTTCAGATTTGTTTCAGAATTCAGAAATTTTCTTATTTTTGAAAGGTAACATGATGCCTACTCCATTAATTATGTAAATTCCCTGCCGCATGTCTGGGCAGCATCTCATAAGCAAGTGTGTTGCTTTTTCTGCAGTGAGATGTATCACTGCTAGTATCAAATAAGAACATTTTTAAGCATACGAATAGTTAGGTCAGTCAGATGTTGCTGCTGAATGTGTTCAGGTCAGGGCATGTTTCACAAAAAAGGAGTTACAAGTTTTTAGTTTTCAGCATTTGGAGTTTGAAGTTATGGATAAGGGATTGTAGACCTGTGTCAAACAAGGGACAGGAGATGGGTCCTTAACGCTCAGAAGAGCAGTGACAGTTTAGGCATTTCTCAAGTGAAGCTGTCTTGGTCTAGGGACTTTTTCTGATGGCTTGTTAGGAAGCCTCAACCTCTTTACCATGACAGCCCACAACACATTCTTCCTAGTGAAGCAAAGAGATAGATGGAAGGCTGGGAGCATCCATTCTCAGCAGCTTTTAGCAACTTTGCTGCCCTTTTTTCCCTGCTACTCTAGCTTGGCGGCTTCTTGAACACATGGTCTCTCTGGCCATAGTTTTACTGTGGAAAATGACATTTTCAGAACTGACTGTCCCTAGGATTCATCTGTCACTTTCCCTCCGTGTTCTTCATATGGCAGTTGGCACACGTGGCTCACTCTTCACTTCTCAGATGGGTTTAAAAATCCTTGGCCAAATATATAGCCTCTTCATTAGCACCCTTCTGGTCCTCGCACCAAATAAAGCCAAAGAAATGGACCGATATGTATAAACTCACACACACAACATGCACACACACACAGACACACACACTTTATATACATATTCACTTTCCCTGGGAAAATAGAAGTGAACCCTATTCAGGTTTAGTATTGGTTTCTTCATTTACTTGCTGCTTTGTTTGGACCATAAAATTGACTCCAGTAGAAGCTGTTACAGACAAAGCAAAACAGTCTTCTTTTTGTTTTTTGTTTTACTAGGTAAGTGGTTCTCCAGGTATGATCCCTGGACCAGCAGCATCAGCATTACCCAGGAAGTTGTTAAAAATGTAAACTTTCAGGCCGCACTCCAGACCTACTAATCAGAAACTCTGGGAATGGGGCCTGGAGATCTGTGACTGTGATGCTAGTTAAAGTCTGAGAATCCCTGCACCAGACAAACTAGTTTTCCTCTCATATGTCCAGAACTTCAATTTTCCTTAAGAAATGTTGCTAGTTAAAAATCTTCACTTCCCCATGTCCCTTAGAGTTAAGATGCCATGTGATTCACTTCTTACCAATGAAATATACATAGAAATGTACAACATTTACACAGAGGATGATAATTAAAAGAACTCACAATCTATATGAAATATAGACTCTATAATATATAGTATAGGCATATAGAAAAATTATATATAGATTATATGTCTTTCCATATATCTCTTCTTTTTTTCTTCCTGGAAGGCAAACACAATGTCTGGAAGAGAGCAGCCACTTTGTGACCATGAAGATGGAGTCCGCACTGCAGAAGGCTAAACAGAAAGATACTATGAGTGTATGTCCCCAGGACATGTCTGAGCCTCTTTCCAGACTTCTTGTTAAATGAGAAAAATGGACCTGTGTTCAATTAAGCCACTGTTTTTCATGTGTTGTTACTATAGATGAACACAATTTTTAAGGAAATATATTGATTCAACATTTATTAACATTGTACCTTTGTTGTTAGATGAATATAGCCACTCTTCTTCTCCAACAACCATACACTTTCAAGAGTATATATTTCATTTAACAGATACAGAAATAGAAGTTACAATAGGTAAATAAGTTACTCAAATTCTCACAGTTAGTAAACAGCAAAGCCGGTGATAGTAAATTGAGGTTTTACTGTCTCTAAAACCTTGAGGTAAACTTCTATATTGGGGTAAAGCAGGGACAAACATAAGCTTGGAGGGGCCTGAAACCTATAATATTTCAAGGACCTTCTTTAAGACAAGAAAGAGAAAAGTATTTATTAAATATGGTCCAGGCACTCCATGGGCCTTGAGAGGCATCTGGGAAAATGAAGAGTACTTATCTTTACAGGAAATCTGCTTTGATTTTACCATTTATTGTTAAGGACAGTTGTTTTCTATCTCCATGTATCATTCTTACATGAAAACTGAATATTTTAAAATACCAGGAGAAAATATTTGGGTATTTCTTGAGACTCTCAAACCTATTTTCATTTCTAATAGCCACTACTGGCTTAAATGCAAACAAACAGATGGTTCCATCACCATCACTTTATAAGCTGGGTAAATTCCTCCCTTTCTATGGATACTGTCAGGTATTAGACCAACTGGTGACAAGTGGCTGTGGGATTGAAATGCAAGCCTGTTAAAGGGATAATATTTTTCGAATGTTGGAGTTAAAAGAACTCTGGATAATGCAGTATGACAGTGAGTAGAAGTTCTTTCTTTAATGTCATCCTGCCTAGATTTAACTCACAGCTCAACAGTTTCCCAGCTCTATAGACTTGGGTCTCAGTATTCTTATCCAGAAAAGGACAGATAATAATAGTACTTATCTCAGAGGGATTTTTGTGAAAATTCATGAAAATAAGCCATGCCGAGTACTTTTTACCAGGTACTTGGTACATAGTTAGTACTCAAAAAACGTTAATAATGCTTATTACCACCCATGATCCTTCTGCCCACTACCTGTGTGATGTTAAGAAAGTCATTCTTGGGGCCTCAGTTTCTCCATCTGTATAATGATAAGGTAGGCTGAATTGCTCTTCATGATACCTTAATTAGAAATAGAAAATTCTAAATTCTGCATGCGCCTGAATCTATATGTATTCATGAGGACACAGGCTTTGTCTCTTTTGTTCATACATGTTTACCCAGTCACCAGTGCTTGACACACAGCAGCTATTCAATCAATATTTGTTAAATAAATGAATGTTTGCAAATATTTAGCTTCTTAAGAACAGGACTCTATGGCTTATCCATGCAAAAAGCTGCACAACTGAAGTTGTAAGCAAGCATGTCTCAGGAGAATCTAGCAACGGCAAAGGTCAACGCTTAGTCATGCATAAAACTGGAAGGGTAGCGTGGTTTCACTCCTGCGGTGTTCACTAGCAAGGATGATCTAAAGCCCCTTAACCCAGCAGGAATCCAAGTGGAAAGTATTGAGGTCTCTGGGGAAAAAAAAAATCCACACCTATTATGCTTTCTATTCATTTTCTACTTGATAACATCTTCTATTTGTACCTTGTGAAAATGTCAAACCCACTTTAATGTACTCATGGTCGCTATTGGATTTAACTCCAACTTCAGGTTTTTCTTGCAACTTGGCTGTGAAGGTGGTCTTCCTCCTATACCTATCACTGTACAAATGGCCAGGACTAACTCTGTTAATCTAGTTAACGGAGTAGACAGCCTATTCCTCCTTTCTTGCTGTAGGTGTGGTAGCTTTTACTTAAGATGACCTTCTCAGAGAGGAGAGGTCCATTCTCTAGTCAAGGGTAGTAAATTTACTCTAAAAACCCTGAAGTGGGTCCATAAGGCCCTTGCCATTTCTGGGATGTTCCATTCAGCCTGTTTACAAAGCAGTCCTGAGACAGAAAGCAAAGACAAATCCATAGTTTGTCCCCATTTGACACCCACAATCACCAGACTACAATGACTATTAAAGAATGTTTAGATTGCCAGTCATATAATGTGTGGAAGGCTTTTTATCTCTGAGAAACAGATCGCCGAAACTCATCAATAAAACTCCAGGGTCAATTTTATTTTCCCGCTGGGGGAAATACTGACATTGTCATCACAGGCCCAAGAGAGGCCTGATTGTACCAAGGACAAAGAGCCAGGCACTGTGAGGCAGGTGACAAAAGTAACAATATTCACCTATTGAGATCAAGCAGGATGCAAATCTCCCTGTTTCACCTCCAGACAGAAGACCATGAAAGTAATGAGGCGGAAACAGACCCATATGACATCCTCTCTCCACCTTCCCCTCCACCTGTCCATGTTGGCATCTCCAGCAGAAACAAATTCTCACTTGCCTTCACAGTTATTTAATTATAATTTTAAACAGGAAGTTGATTATGCACTCTCTTGCTTAAAACCTTCAACGGGGGTCCCCCTTCCTTAACATAAAATACAAACTCCTTCCCATGGCTTTCAAGCCCCCACATATCTGAGCTTTTCCTATGTCTGGGCTTCCTTTCAGGCCCTTCTTCCCCACCTTGCCTTGTTCCAGTTGCTTGTCTTCCTTTCCCTTTGTTGCACACCACAGTTTATTCTGCTTCCTGTCCTTCATACCCTCTTTACTCCAACCAGAACTTTCCTTCCAGCTCTGCCCCCAGCCCCTTCTCAGCTCCAATTTCTCCTCCCAAGAGACACTCAGTGAAATCTCTTGTAAGGGAGAATTTCTCTGCCACAACACCATATATATATATATAATATATATATTAAAAAATATATATAATATATATAAATATATATAATATATAATATATATTTATATATAATATATATAATATATGTATATAATATATATAAAAATATATATTATATATATATAAAGCACTTACTATAAGTGAAAATTATCTCATTTATTTGCTACTCCTTTAGTGTCTGGTCCTATCATTAAGATGTAACTGCATGAGGACAGGGCCTCAAGCAGTGCAGCAAAGCCCAGTATACCTTACATGTTTGATTAAATATTTGCTGAAGGAATGCACGCTCTCCTGTACATAACGTATCATCTCATCTACACAACAACCCTGTGAAATAGTTTGGGGGGCTGTTACTATTTTTTATTGTGACTACCCCTACTGTGGGGTTAAGGAATCAGACAGTGGCTGTTAGAGATGAGACTGTAGCCTCTTTGTTCTGATTCAAAGGCATGTTCATTTCTCACCATCTCATACTGCCTTAAATATCAAAAGGCTATGATTACAATTTGAAGGCTAAAGTACTTTGCAAATATAAATTATTATTCCCACATCCTACCTACTTATTAAATACACTACACAAATTCTCTTTAGCTGCCTAAAAGTATTTGCTTGACACCAAGCCTTCCACCCCTAACCATATACAGCAGTTCCATCCAGAATACATATTCATTTATATATAAAATGAGGTCTCCAAGAATGTCCCCCTTCTCCAATATATTTCACTTTGTTTCAGAGATTTCCAACAGAGTAAGGGAGCTCTTAAGAGCCGGAATTTTGTCTTCATTGTCACTATCCTCAGGCTTAGGAGTGTGCCATGTGTATAAATGCAATGCAAGTATCTTTTGAATAAATAAATGAAGATCAGCTGCTTATAGCAATAAAATGCATTTAATTATAAGAGAATAGTTATTAAAATACTTAATATGCACCAGACTTTTTGAAGCACTTCTTGTTTTCATGTATTTCATCCTTGTAACGATGAGATGAGGGAGAGGCTATAATTATCTACATTTTACAGAAGAGGAAACTGAGATATAGACAGGTAAAATATTGCCTATGGAGGCATGGCCAGTAAGTAGTAGAACTGGGATAAGAATATTGCCATTCTTAACCTTCTTAGGTAAATCTGCCATCTGCTTTCCAGGACTCAGTCAGTGAATTCACTGAGATTTTTTGGACGAGAGGAAATTGTAGCATGAGAGTGAGCTTTTCCTCTGCTTTTGAAGTATCACCATCCCACATTTCTCTTTGTTTCCCCAACACCTACCCAAGAACCTATAGTGAAAAGTAACACTAAGGTTTTCTCACACAAATGTTGGGGGCTCCACTTCTATACTGTGAGTCCTCTGGCATCAACTTCTATGAGCAGATGTCTGTTGGTGTCTGAAGAATCAAAAATAATCTTTCTTTATTTCGCTGAGAGCCAGCCAGTGAGAAGCCATGAAAATGAAGATTGAAATCGTGTCTTTATGACCAGTGGCCTTGGGCGTGTGGCAATGGTGGGATTCTTTACTTTCAACCCCTGAGTATTACAAACTTTGCTCCCCAGTCTAAGATAACACTGCATTAACACTGTCCCCTTCTCTCTCTTAACTGGGGACCTGCCACTGATCAATGTGCCCTTGGAGGAGGAGACCAGAGCACATAATCCTAAGAGCAAAAGAAAGGGAGGGACCAAGCCAACCTGTTCCTTCTTTCACATTTCTCACTGAGGAAGGATAAGTGAGAGGGTAAGTGGAGAGAGGCTGGAAATGTTCCAGTGATGGATGGTTCTCGTTCCACAGCAGAGGGAAATCTGTCCTCAACATGGGGTCGTGGAAACATAAAACAGGTGAGCTCAATATTTGGATGAGGCCCATATTGTCCAAAATTGCCTTAGTAGTTTTGACTAAGACACATTTAAAGTCACGTGATGTTTGCCTCACAATCTTCTCTTCTTCTTGGAGTACATGTCCACCCAAACACTGGGAATAATTTTCTTTCAATTGATGTATTTTGGTACTTCTCTTCCAATGGTGGAAAGTAATGCTTTGGTTATTATGAGGTTGATCTACATGAAACTGATGATACTTGATTTTTCACCCACCACGAACATCAACTTAATGTAGCTCACCCTAATAAATACAGATAGAACATGATGCAGAATATTTATAAGAAAATGAGGAAAGAGAAAGAGTGTTTGAATATTAATCAATTAATTAATCCACGGTAATTGGTTATAGATTTAGGTAATAAATTAAGTATGGAGTGCAAAATCCATAAGCAGTATGGATTTTGGTTGTGGAATTAGACTGGAGGGCTCCAGGTTTGGCCTTCGAATGCTTTGTTTGGTTAAGAATCTTTGGTTGTAAGTGACAAAGTCAACCAACTAGCAGGAGGGGGAAGGAAGAAAAGAGAGTGTACCACTAGGAAATAAGCTCTTCGAGGAAGAAATTGGGGTCTGTGTGGAGGGAGAGCATGTTGTATTTATCCATGATTACTTGCAAGTATCTGACTCCAAGCTTATCTCTAATTTTTTCACAGGCGGAAGTAAGAAAGAAAGGGAAGAAGGACATAATTTAAGACAGTAGTTATCACAGTCTGCTCAGTAATCCCCTGGGGGTCCCTGAGGCCCTTTCAGAGATTCTGAGAGTTCAAAACTCTTTTCACAATAATACTAATATGTAATATACATTTTCCATTGAAATTTTATTGATGATGCAAAAATAGTGAACTAAAACTACTGGTGCTTTAGTACAAATCGAGGTAGTGACACCAAATTATATTAGCAGTTATTGTATTTTTCATACCATGCACTTACTTACATAGAAAAAAAAAGTCAGCCTGGAGATGGAGCAAGATAGCTGAACAGAAACCTCTACTGATCGTCCTCCCTGTGGCAACACCAAATTGAACAGCTATCCACACAATTAAACACCTTCATAATAACCTAAAGTCAGGTGAACAGTCACAGTACCTGGTTTAACTTCATAACACTGAAAGAGGCACCGAAGAGAGCAGGAATTGAATTGCTGATACCACTCTGTGCCACATGGCACAGAGAAAGAATCTGTGTGGCAGTGGGAGGGAGAGCACAGTGACTGTGGACCTTTGCCTTGGAGCTCAGTGCTGTCCTGTCACAGTGGACAGCAATGCCAGGCAGAGCTCAGCTGGCACCCGCTGAGGGTGGGTGTATTTATACCAGCCCTAGCCAGAGGGGAATCCCCATCTCAGCAGTTGGAATCTGAGTTCCAGCAAGCCTTGCTCTGGAGGCTCTGGGGTCCTAAAGAAACTTGAAAGGCAGTTTGGGCCTCAAGGACTGCAATTCCTGGGCAAGTTATGGTGCTGTGTTGGGCTTGGAGCCAGTGGACTTGGGGGGCACATGACCTAGTGAAACACCAGCTGGGGCAGCCAAGGGAGTGCTGATGCCACCCCTCCCCCAGTCCCAGGCAGTGCAGCTCTCAACTCCAGGAAAGACTCCTTCTCTCCACTTGAGGAGAGGAGAGGGAAGAGTAAGAAGAATAAAGAGAACTTTGTCTTGCAACTTGGATACCAGCTTACCACAGTAGGATAGGGTAACAAGCCAAATCCTGGGGCTACCATTCTAGGCCCGAGCTCCTGGATAACACTTATAGATACACCTGGGCCAGAAAGATAACCTGCTGCCTTGAAGGGAAGGACCCAATTCAGGAAGGATTCACCACCTGCTGACTGAAGAGTACGTGGGCCCTGAATAATCAGCAGTGGTAGCCAGGCAGTACTCATTGTGGGCCTTGAATGAGATTCAGAGATGTACTGGCTTCAGGTGAGACCCAGCACAGTCCCAGCTGTGGTGGCTATGGTGAGAGACTCCTTCTGCTTAAAAAAGGAGAGAGAATAGTAAAGGGGACTTCATCCTGATGCTTAGGTACCAGCTTGGCCACAGAGGGGTAGAGCAGCAAGCGGGCTCTTGGCATCCCTGATTTCAGGTCTTGGCTCTTGGATGACATTTCTGAATCTGCCTTTGGCCAGAGGGGAGGGCACTGCCCTGAAGGGAGGGTCCCAGGTCTGGCAGCATTCACCACAAGCTGACTGAAGAGCCCTTGGGCCTTGAGTGAACATCGGCAGTAGTTAGGCAATATTCACCATGGTCCTGGGGTGGTGGTGGCCACAGGGAGAGACTGCTCTGCTTATGGAAAGGGAAGGGAAGAGTGGAAGAACTTTGTCTTGTGGTTTGTGTGCCAGCTCAGCTGCAGTAGAATAGAGCATTAAATAGATTCCTAAGGTTTATAACTCCAGGCCATGGCTCCCAGTTGGCCTCTCTGGACCTGCCTGGGGTTGGGGGGATCTCACCACCC
The DNA here is from genome assembly GCF_000001405.40 of Homo sapiens. Lineage (NCBI taxonomy): Eukaryota > Metazoa > Chordata > Mammalia > Primates > Hominidae > Homo > Homo sapiens. The sequence continues at coordinate 8,196,401 of NC_000003.12, read as the reverse complement.
TAAAGGGAAGGACACAAGCCTGGCTGGCTTTTCCACCTGCTTATGTAGAGCCCTAGAACCTTGAGCAAACATAGGTGGTAGCCAGATAATGGTTACTGTGGGCCTTGGATGAGACTCAGTGCCATGCCAGCTTCAGGTCTGACCCAGTACTGTCCCAGTGGAGGGGCTTGTATCACCCCCTGCCCAGCTCCAGGCAGCTCAGCACACCAAGAGAGACCCTGTTTGAGAAAGAGTAAGGGAAGAGAACAAGAGTCTCTGCTTGGTAATCCAGAGAATTATTCTAGATCTTCTCTAAGACCACCAAGGCAGTACCTCTGTGTGTCTGCACGAGCCACCACAGAGTTACTGGGGTTTGGGTATCCCCTAATGAAGACATGGCTGCAGCGACCAAAAATTTAGATTACAATACCCAAATCCCTTCAAATACCTGGAAAGCCTTCCCAAGAAGGATGAGTACAAACCAGCCCAGACTGTAAAGACCACAATAAATCCCCAGATCTTCAATGCCCAGGTACCAATGGACATCCATAAACATCAAGACCATCTTGGAAAACATGACCTCAGCAAATGAAATACATAAAGCACCAGATACTAATTCTTGAGAGACAGAGATATCTGATCTTTCAGACAGAGAGTTCAAAATATCTGTTTTGAGGAAACGTAATGAAATTCTAGATAACACAGGAAAGGAATTCAGAATCCTATCCGATAAATTTAACAAAGAGATTAAGATAATTGAAGAGAATCATGCAGAAATTCTGGAGGTGAAAAGTGCAGTTGACATACTGAAGAATGCATGAGTCTTTTAACAGAATTGATCAAGCAGAAGAAAGAATTAGTGAGCTTAAAGATAGGATATTTGAAAATACACAGTCAGAGGAGATAGAAGAAAAGATGAGCATGTCTACATAACCTAGAAAACAGACTAAAAAGGGCAAATCTAAGAGCTATTGGCCTTGAGGAGGAGGCAGAGAGATAGGGGTAGGAAGTTCATTCAGAGGGATAATAACAGAGAACTTCCCAAACCTAGAGAAAGATATCAATATTCTAGTAAAAGTAGGTTATAGAACACAAAGCAGTTGTAACCCAAATAAGACTACTATCTCAAGTCATCTATTAAGAAGACTCCCAAAAGTCAAGGATAAAGAAAGGATCCTAAAAGCAGCAAAAGAAAGTAAAAATAATATACAATGGTGGCCCAATGCATTTGGCAGCAGACTTTTAAGTGGAAATCCTCCAGGCCAGTAAGAGTGGCATGACATTTAAAGTTCTGAAGGAAAAAACTTTTATCCTAAAATAATATATCTAAAAAATTGTCTTTCAAATAGGAAGAAGAAATACTTTCCCAGACAAATAAAAGCTGAGGAATATCATCAACATCAGACCTGTCTTACAAAAAATGCTAAAGGGAGTTCTTCAATCCAAAAGAAAAAGATGTTAATGAGCAAAAATAAATCATCTGAAGGTGCAAAACTTGCTGGTAATTGTAAGTACAAAGAAAACACAGAATATTATAACACTGTAACTTACATGCTGTGGTGTGTAAACTACTCATATGTTAAGTAAAAAGACTAAAATATAAATCAATTAAAATAATAATTGCAACAACTTTTCAAGACATAGACAGTACAATAAGATACAAATAGGAACAACAAAATGTTAAAAAGCAGGTTGACACAGTTAAGGTGTAAAGGTTTTATTAGTTTTCCCTTTGCTTCTTTGTTTATGCAATCAGTGTTTAGTTGTCAACAGTTTAAAATAATGGTTATAAGATATTGTTTGCAAATCTCATGGTGACCTCAAATCAAAAACATACAACAGATACATGAAAAATAAAAAGGAAGAAATTAAAACATACCACTGGAGAAAATCACCTTTACTAACAGAAAGACAGGAAGGAAGGAAAGAAGGAAGAGAAGACCACAAAACAACCAGAAAACTCACAATAAAATGGCAGGATTAAGTCTTTATTTATCAACAATAACATTGAATGTAAGTGGATTAAACTCTCTGATCAAAAGACATAGAGTGGCTAAATGTATAACAAAACAAGACTCAATAATCTGTGGCCTACAAGAAACACACTTCACCTATAAAAACACATATAGATTAAAAATAAAGGGATAGAGAAAGATATTCCATGGAAACAGAAACGAAAAAGAAGCAGGAGTATCTATACTTGTGTCAGACAAAATAGATTTCAAGACAAAAACTGTTAAAAAAGATAAGAAAGCTCATTATATAATGATAAAGTAGTCAATTCCTCAAGGAGGCATAACAATTGTAAATATATATGCATCCAACACTGGAACACCCAGATATATAAAGCAAATATTATTAAAGAAAGAGATAGACCTCAGTATAATAATACCTGGACATCCAGTATAATAATACATCCAGTATATATATATGCATCCAACACTGGAACACCCCAGATCATCCAGATCTAAAATCAAGAAATAAACATTGGACTTAATCAGCATTATGGATGAAATGGACCTAAAAGATATTTATAGAACATTTCATCCAACAGCTGCAACATATACATTCCTTTCCTCAGCACATAAATCCTTCTCAATAATAGACAATATGTTTGGCTACAAAATAAGTTGCAAAGATTTAAAAAATGAAATTATATTAGAATCTTTTCTTACTACAATGGAGTAAAACTAGAAATCAATAACCAGAGAAATTTTGGAAACTATACAAACACTTTAAATAATATGCTCTGGAATAACCAGTGGGTCAATAAAGAAATTAAGAAGGAGATTTAAACATTTCTTGAGACAAATAATAATGGTAACAAAACATACAAAAATGTATGGGATATAGTAAAAATAGTACTAAGAGGAATGTTTATAGCTATAAACATCTACATCAGAAAAGTAGAAAAACTTCAAGTAGACAACCTAACAATGGATCTTAAAGAAATAGAAAACCAAGAGCAAACCAAACCCAAAATTAATGGAGGAAAACAAATAATAAATATCAAAGCAGATATAAATGAAATTGAAACAAAGGAAACAACCCGAATAATCAACAAAATGAAAAGTTTTTTACAAAGATAATAAAAATCCACAAAACTTTAGTCAGACTAATTAAGAAAAAAAGAGACAAGACCCAAATAAATAAAATCAGAGATTTTAAAAAAAGGAGACACATTACTACGGATACTGCCAAAATTCAAAGTATCATTAGAGGCTACTATGAGCAACTATATGCCAATAAATTGGAAAACCTAGAAGAAATTGATAAATTCTTAGACACATACAGCCTACCAAGATTGACTCATGAAGATATCTAAAACCTGGACAGACCAATAACAAGTAATGAGATCAAACCCATAATATAAAATTTCTCAGCAAAGGAAACCACAGGATCCAGTGGCTTCCCTGCTGAATTTTTACCAAACATTTAAAGAAGAAATAATACCAATCCTACTCAAACTATTCTATAAAATAATGGAGGAGGGAATACTTTCAGACTCATTCTATGAGGCCAGTATTATCCTGATACCAAAACCAGACAAAGACATATCAAAAAAAAAAAAAAAAAAAAAAAAGAAGAAGAAGAAAGAAAAAGAAAACAAAGAAAACTATGGGCCAGTATTATTCCTAATGAACATTGATGCAAAAATCCTTACAAAATACTAGCAAACCAAATTCAACAACACATTAAGAAGATCATTCATCATGACCAAATAAGTTTAATCCCAGGGATGCAAGGATGATTCAACATTTGCAAAACAATCATTGTAATAAATTATATCAACAGAATGAAAGAAAAAAACATATGATTATTTCAATTGATGCTCAAAAAGCATTTGATAAAATTCAACATCTCTTCATAATAAAACCTAAAAAAACTGGGTACAGAAGGAACATACCTTAACACAAGAAAATACATATATGACAGACCCAAAGCTAGTATTATACTGAATAAGGAATAACTGAAAGACTTTCCCCTAAGATCTGGAATAAGATAAGGATGCCCATTTTCACTGCTGTTTCTCAACATAGCACCAGAAGTCCTAGCTAGGGCAATCAGAGAAGAGAAAAAAATAAGGAACATCCAAATTAGAAAGGAGGACATCAAATTATCATTGATTGCAGATGATATGATCTAATATTTGGAAAAACCTAAAGATTCCACTAAAAACCTATTAGAACTGATAAACAAACTCATAAAGTTGAGGACACAAAACCGACATACAAAAATCAGTAGCATTCTATATGCCAGCAGCAGACAATCTGAAAAAGAAGTCAAGAAAGTAATCCTGGCCAGGTATGGTGGCTCATGCCTGTAATCTCAGCACTTTGGTAGGCCGAGGCAGGAGGATCACTTGATGGAGGAGTTTGAGATCAGCCTGGCCAGCATGGTAAAACCCCATCTCTATTAAAAATATAAAAGTTGTCCAGGCATGGTGGCATGGGCCTATAATCCCAGATACTTGGGTGGCTGAGATATGAGAATCACTTGAACCCAGGAGGTGGAGGTTGCAGTGAGCAGAGATCATGCCACTGCACTACAGCCTGGGTGACAGGGTAAGACCCTATTTCAAAGAAGAGGAAGAAGAAGGAGGAGGAGGAGGAGGGGGAGAAAGAAGAGGAAGAAGAAGAAGGAGGAGGAGAAAGAAGAGGAAGAAGAAGAAAAGAAGAAGGAGGAGGAGAAGAAAGAGAGGAAGAAGGAGAAGAAGAAGAGGAAGAAGAAGAAGTAGAAGAAGGAGGAGGAGGAAGAAGAAGAAGAAGAAGGAAGAAGAAGGAATAAGAGGAAGAAGAAAGAAGAAGGAGGAAGAAGAGGTAGAAGAAGAAGAGGAAGAAGAGAGAAGAGGAAGAAGAAGAAGGAGGAGGAAGAGGAAGAAGAAAAAGAACAAGAACAAGTAGAAGAAGAAAAACAGGAACTAGAAAGAAGAGGAAGAAGGAGGAGAAGAAAAAGGAGAAAAGGAAGGAGGAGGAGGAAGAGGAGAAGGAGGAGGAGAAGGAGGAAGAGGATGACGAGGAGGACAAGAAGGAGGTAATCCCATTTACAATAGCAAAAAAAGTAGGAATTAACCAAAAACGTGAAAGATGAAAGAAATTGAAAGAGGACACCAAAAAAAAAAAAAAAAAAAAAAAGAAAGATAGTCAATTTTCATGGTTTGGAATAATGAAAACATCAAAATTGCTAAAATGCCCATACTACCTAAAGTAATCTACAGATTCAATGTAATCCCCATGAAAATACCCAAAATACCCATGACATTCTTCACAGAAATAGAAAACAATCCTAAAATGTATATGGAACCATGAAAGACCCAGAATAGCCAAAGCTGTCCTGAGCAAAAGAATGAAACTGGAGGAATCACATTACCTGACTTCAAATTATACTACAAAGCTATAGTAATCAAAACAGCAGGGTACTGACATAAAAAACAGACATATAGACCAATGGAACAGAATAGAGAATCCAGACACAAATCCATATATCTACAGTGAATGCATTTTTGGCAGCAGTGCCAAGAATATAAACTGGGGGAAGGACAGTCTCTTTAATAAATGGTGCGAGGAAAACTGGATATCCATATGCAGAAGAATGAAACTAGGACCCTATCTCTTTCCATATACAGAAATCAAATCAAAATGGATTAAAGACTTAAATCTAAGATCTCAAACTATGATACTACTACAATAAAACATTGGGGAAACTCTCCACAACACTGGGCAGGGGAAAGATTTCTTGAGTAATAGACCACAAGCTACAGGCAGCCGAGGCAAAAGTGGACAAATGGGATCACGTTAAGTTAAAAAGCTTCTTCACAGCAAAGGATACAATCAACAAAGTGAAGAGACAACCCACAGAATGAAAGATAATATTTACAAACTCTCTAACTGACAAAGGATTAATAACCAGAATATGTTTAATACAAGGAGCTCAAACAACTCTACAGGAAAAGAAAAATCTAATAATCTGTTTCAAAAATAGGCAAAAGATGTAAGTAGACATTTCTCAGCAGAAGACATACAAATGGCAAATAGGTACATGAAAAGGTGCTCAACATCACTGAGCATCAGAGATGTGCAAATCAAAACTACAATAAGATATAATCTTATTCCAGTTGAAATTCCTTTTATCCAAAAGCCAGGCAATAATAAATGCCGACGAGAATGTGCAGAAAAGGACCCGTCATATACTATCGGTGCGAATATAAATTAGTTCAATTAATAGGGAGAACAGTTTGAAGGTTCCTCAAAAAAACTAAAAATAGAGCTACCATATTATTCAGCAATCCCACTGCTAGGTGGGATTTTCTTCCCAAAATAAAGGAAATTAGTATATCAAAGAGATGCCAGCACTTCCACGTTTATTGCAGCGCTATTCCCCAATAACGAAGATTTCAAAGGAATTTAAATGTCCATCGGCAGATGAATAAAGAAAATGTGGCACAGGACATAAAAAGAATAAGATTCCATCTTTTGCAACAACATGAATGAAACTGGAGGTCAATATATTAAGTGAAATAACCCAGGCACAGAAAGACAAACTTGGCATGTTCTCACTTATTTCTGGAGCTAAAAATTAAAACAACTGGACTCATGGATACAGAGTAGAATGACGGTTATCAAAGGCTGAGCAGGGTAGTAGGGGGGAAATGGGGATGGTTAATGTGTACAAAAATGTAGTTAAGTAGAATGAATAAGATCTACTATTGAATAGCACAAGAGGATGACTACTGTCAACAATAATTTATTGTGCATTTAAAAGTAACTAAACAAGTATAATTGGATTGTCTGTAACACAAAGTAAGGATGAATGCTTGAGGTGATGGATACTCCATCTACCCTGATGTGATTATTACACATTGTCTGCCTATAACAAAAGATCTCATATACCCCAGAAATATATGCACCTACTACTTACTATGTACCCAAGAACATTAAAAATAAAAGTCAGTTTAGTGTAGGAATGCCCTTGATGAAGGAATAAAAGTATTAATCTTATTAAATTTTGAACCTTGCATATTGTACTATGTGAAGAAATACGAAACCCACATGACATATTTCTGTTGCAAACCAAGTATGATGGCTGTCTTGAGGGAAAGCACTTTGGCAATAGTTGAGGCTGTGAGCAGAACTAATTGCTTTTTTCACTGAACACCATTTTCACTTGAAAGAAATGACAAGACAAACCATGGTTATTTAGACTTGGGCATTGGCAGACACTTCCTTTTAAATAAATGAAGTGTTCTTGTTACTTCAAGAGACATAACTAACAGCATTTGTTGCCAATGAAAAATTCAAGCATCAATTGAATAACAGTTTTAGAATTTTGGAAAAATTTGTATCTGTTGATCTGAGCTTGGTGGCTTGCCAATGCTTACAGAATTTCTTATTCTTTTTTATTTTCATAGAAATATGTACATTAACATGTAATGAGTTTATTACTGTTATTTGAAAACAAATTAATAAATATCCTTTATGTTTCCCAACTTTAATTTTAAATATAGAACATATTGAAAGATGTTTACCTCCCACAAGCAAATGGTCTTTGGAGTCTTCTTTTTTTAAGTATAGAAAGATATATTAAAACCAATAGAGGTTGAGAACAGCAGTTAAGAGTTACCTTTGTCCTTTGAATAAACTCTTGAAGAGGCATTTTGCTAAACACCTTCTTTCCATCATTTCTGAACTTCTCCTTCAGTGGTCTGTTTCTTTGTGTGTGTGTGTCTCTCTCTGTCTTTCTCTCTGTATGCCTCTCTCTGTCTCTATCATGAGCATTTAGGTAAAGAAAATCTCTTTGAGCAGTTAAATTAGGGGCAGTGTTTCTAAAAAATAAAACAGTTTCCACTGGGCTAGGAGATTTTCCTATATTATCTGCTTTATAGTTCCCCAAATAATTTCCTTCTTTTTTTAGTAACTTAATTTTATATTTTCAGTGACTCCACATGCAGGACTGTAAAATAGGAAAAAAACAGTATCTTACACCTATATGTCATTAAGAAGGCAGAAAGAATAAATGGGAAAGAAACAGTCAATGAAAATAGAACCTACATACACAAAATGCAAATGCAAGTGCCAGGGGTCATTTTATTTTTGTAAAGCCTGGGATGTGTCCATTTCCCCTGAAATATCTATTCTGTGTTATGCCGGTTACAGATGTTGCCACAATTACCGCTGACAGTGTGGCTTTACAGAGACTTAATGACAAGATGATTACTTGGGCAGAAGAGTAACTGGAGCCCACATACGTGAAAAGAATGACACAGGCCCACACACTGAGATTCTCAGCAAGTCAATAGCGATGACCATTACACTTTCTAAGTGATATTATCAGTAATGCTGTCAAATCAGCCAAGCACAGAATATGTTATAGGAAGAAAGCTCTGGGGGCTGTTTTGATAGAAAGCGAGGTTTAGGCCACTTAGAAACTATTCCACTTGGAGGAGGCTATCATTTCATTTTTACCATATGTAGAATTCTGCTGTGAGTTTTAAGCCACCAATTCCCTCTTCTATCTGGGTATCATTTCCTTTTATGTGATATGATAGGATTGGACTCCTCAGTAGTGTTCAACCAATGCAGACTTACCAGTGAAACCTCAATAAACAAAACAGAGAGAAGCAGAGATGCCTGGTTTAACGAAAAGATGAGGAAATTGTACATCTCCCTTTGGGTCCCTACTGAGTTTCTCCTGGTCAGCTTCTGAAATACGGCCATGGACCCTGAGGCTTTGGGGTATGCTGTTTGAGAATGATTAGATTAAGTGCTGTTTAGGTCCATGTGCTTCTAGGGGCTTTGTCAGAAATCTGAGTAATTTCTTTTAATTAGAGAACTAGTTGGTGTCAAGTTCAGAAATATATATATATGTGTGTGTGTGTGTGTGTGTGTGTGTGCGCGCATGTGTATTATGTATATATGTGTTTGTATCTGTGTGTTTGTATTTGTGTGTGTGTGTGTGTGTGTGTGTGTGTGTGTGTGTGTGTGTATGTGTATCCTATTGGTTCTGTTTCTCTGAAGAACCCTGGCTAATGGCTAATACAATAAGCATATACTAGATGACCTGGGTGACCTTTTATAATTGAATTTGAACACACGATGTCTGGTTATAGTGACCCAGTTTGCCCAGGACTTTCCCAGTTTTAGCACTGCAAGTCCCACATTTCAGGAAATTCCTCAATTCTGGGGCAAACCAGGAGAGAGGTCACCCTGAATTAGAGCCACCTAGCAGACACTCAGGAGGTCATATATAGACCCCTAGTGATCTGCAGACCCCAGTTAAAGTTACACACATAAGTTTATGTAGGAAACAGAGTCCTGCTCTGAAAATCAAGACAACTAGTTTCCTATTCACTGGCAGTGAGATCTTGGGTAAGGCATTTAAATAAAGTTGATTATTATTTGCAAAAGAATGAATAAGCGACTGTGCATATAGAGTTGCCCATTTTGCCTATATTTATGTTCCTTGCTATGGAGGGTAAAGCCGGTTCAACAGTAGGCATTGGTTGTTTAGTTAAGCAAAATCAGTTGCTTTCAGCTTCCCTATTGCTAATTATATGTCAGTAGAAGTTTATTTTAAATATTTAAGTTTAAAATACATAATAAATCTAATCAATAATTCATTCAAATAATGAATGTAGAACATATTAGCATATGCAATGTTCACTTAAGAATAAAAATATTTTATTTAGCCTTCCCATGTTTTATTCAGGAATTTTGATCATTTTTATTAAACTTAGAATTGATATGAAAGATACCATGAGTATTGGGAATTAAGGGAAAAAATCAAATAGGAAGAAGAGAAACTATGTCAATGCATATAACCTGCTCAGGAGAACTGGATCATGAATTCTAGAACTTGAGTGAATCTATTTTAAATGTTTATAGCAGGTGAAATGAATTATTTGTAAAACTGTGTAATAAAAGTGATATGGGAGTGCTGGGAAGGGAAGAGCGTGGTCCCTTTAAATGCTACAGAAGTGGGGAAGGGAAATGCTAGATAGGGGAGGTGTGGTCCCTGGCTAGGGCCCTGCCCCCAAGGACCTAGGTGAGGACAGGCATTTCCTGCCCAAATGCTGCATTTCCCAAGTCCACCTTGGCCTGCCATACCCCCATCCTGTGCCTTTAAAAACACGAGACCCTAGCAAGGCAGAGACAGAAGCTGCTGGATGGCGAGAAGAACAAATCAGCAGAAGAAGACAAGAAGCTGGACAATGAGAGGACATCAAGGAGAGCATGCCTGTGGAAGGGCACACTGCAGGCCGGCAGGCCATCCACCTGCAGAACAAGGTGGAGTTTGGTCAGGGCAGTCAGAGGAAAGTCCGGGCTGACTTCAGGGGAAAACCTTCCCACTACATCCCCTTCTGACTCCCTCCATGTGCTGAGAGCTACCTCCACTCAGTAAAACCTTGCACTCATTCTCCAAGCCCGGGTGTGATCGGATTCTTCTGGTACACCAAGGCGAGAACCCAGGATATAGAAAGCCCTCTGTCATTGCGATAAGGCAGGGGTCTAATTGAGCTGACTAACACAAGCTGCCTATGGATGGCTAAACTAAAAGAGCACACAGTGACAAACACCCACTGGGGCTTCAGGAGCTCTAAACCTTCACCCCTAGACACTGCAGTGGGGTCAGAGCCCCACAGCCTGCCCATCTGTATACTCCCCTAGAGGTCTGAGCAGCAGGGCACTGAAGAAGCGAGCCACACCCCCATCACACGCCCTGCAAGGGCGACAAGGGAACTTTTCCTGTTTCAAAAGCATTGACACAAATGGGGTGAACTCAGAGTCTGTTGGAAAAAGCATGGGCTTAAGAGTCAAAAGACATGGATTTCAGCCTTGCTTGGCTTTGTTGCTTAACAGCAATGTGACCTCAGGCACGTTATGCTTCAGTTTCTTTATCTGCCTTCTTATTTCATAGTGATTTTGGAAGGGTTAAATAAGATACTGAATATATAAGTAATCAGGGACAGTGCAATGATCTGTGGTGAGCAGGAGGAGGCCTGAGGGGGAAAGGGTAGTGAAAGGCAGGTCTAGGGGTGCCTGCCACAAGCAGCAGATACTCTAGAGAGATGTGCAACTGTCTGTAGCCACTAGCAAGGAGGGAACAGGCAAGTAAGTCCTTGAACAGCCTTTTCCTCCTGCCCTCTGGTCTCCTGACAGTGCTTTTCTTCAGCCAAACCAAATTGAATGCCAGAGGACAACGGACCCTGTTGATGTAGCCCAGAGACATGAGTCTCCCAAGACATGGTGAGAGCCCAAGGGTCAATTTGGAGGAAAAAATGGAAAGCAGGAGGCACAGTAGTAGAATCTGCCTATACTATAAAATTGTATGCAGGTAAGTATGAAAATTAACTGTTGTAACCCTGGAAGTTAGGTTGGAATTTTCTTATAAACTTAAGCATACTCTTACCATATGTATGAGTCTGTTTTCATGCTGCTGATAAAGACATACCCAAGACTGGACTTATAAAGAAAAGGAGGTTTAACAGACTCACAGTTCCACGTGGCTGGGAAGGCCTCACAATCATGGTGGAAGGGTGAAAGGCACATCTTACATGGTTGCAGGGAAGAGAGAAAATGAGAGCCAAGTGAAAAGAGTTTTCCCTTATAAAACCATCAGATCTCGTGAGACTTATTCACTACCACAAGAACAGTATGGAGGAAACCGCCTCCATGATTCAATTAACTCCCACTGGTTCCCTCCCACAACATGTGGGAATAATGGGAGTGACAATTCAAGATGAGATTTGGGTGGGAACACAGCCAAACCATATAACCATACAATCCAGTGATCCATTTCTGGATACTTATTCTGGAGAAATGAAAACTTACACTCATACAAAAATCTGTATATAGGACTGCCTATAGCAGCTTTAGTCATAACCACTTCATACTAGAATCTCCCCATATGTCAGGTGAATGAATAAACACCTGTGGTACACCCATACAATGGAATACTATTCAGTGGTAAGAAGAAATGAACCATTAAAACTACAGCAGTGTGGATGCATCTCAAAGGCGTTGTGTTGAGTGAAAGAAGCCAGCCTCAAAAGGTTACATAGGAAATGGTTCCGTTTCTATGACACTCTTGAAAATACAAAACTATAATGATGGGGACAGGAGGGAGTGGGTAGGGGTGGTAGAATTGCTGTGTGTGTTGATTGCGAAAGTGGTTACACAAATCTAGACGTGTTGAAACTCATAGAACTGTATAACAAAGTAAAGGTCAATTTTATAATATGTTAATTTAAAGGTAAAAATAAATATTTGAGAAATATCATAGATGGAAGCTGCAATGATAAATTTATTCTCATAAACATATTGACAATTTATTAATCCCAAGTTTGACCTTGAAGAAACTTCAATATCAATTGAAATAAGAGTTCTACATGCAGAAATGCCTGAAAGTAGGACATTATGTAAAAGTGGCAGCCTTGGCATGGGGCAGCAGATGCAATGGGGAGATGTGTGTAACAGGATGAGAGGTAACAGGCAGCATAACCTAGCCAAGGGGCCAGAGGATCAGAGAGCAATTGTTCCCAGGTAGACATAAAGGCCAGGGTCAAGTACAAGGGTCTGAGAACAGAAACCAAAAGCAGAAGTTCAGGCATGGAGCCAAGAACACGTGCTGGCGATGAAAAATCAGACTACAGTTTAGCTGCCTCACAGAGCTCAAGGCAAGAGACCATCCAGCTCTTGGTGTAGGGGTACTAAGGAGTGAGGCAGAACAAGGATAAAGCAGATAGAGGCATCCTGTAGGGTTCAGGGCGCAGGTGATGGAGTGAGACATGACTGGATGGCACCTCTGGTTCTGCCACGTCCTAGCTCACAACCTAGGATAATTGTTTTACCTTCTCATGAACACAACTGGATAAGAATATTCACCCCCACCCCTCGACTGCAGAGCTGACAGAATTAAATGAAGTCACATTTGTAGTACTCTCACCCAGTTGCGGGCTCCAGAAGAAGTGCTCAGGTAACACAAAATATATTAAATAAAAGGCCACAGGTCCCATCAGGGCTACAGAGCTCTTGAGCTGTACATTTAGCAAGTCATTTCACCTTAAGTCTCAACTTATAAATATGTAAAATGGCTATAATAACACCTACTACATGCAATTTGGGGAAGAAAGTTTTGTGGGGATAAGAACTATGACAATGCTTTGTGAACTGGGAATTGCTATTTATATGTATTTAAGATTAGAGCAGGCCAGGAAAAATCTTTTCTTGTTGCTTAGTTGTTGGCCTGAAGATACTGATAATATTACCTGCAGGTTTGGGTTGGTGCCAGAGCTGAGTAAGCCCAAACAGAGAACAGGATCAAAAAAGCACAGCCATCACATGCCAAACAACTTTGTTCATGGGTAAGAGGTGATATAATATCAACATGACCATGAGAACTCACCTTTGAAGGTTGGGGGCAGTTCCAAGGAAGTACAGTTGGGTGCTTAGCAGCCTGAGTTCTGGAGCCAGAACTTTCTGTAGGAACTTAGGTCGATGGTACAGAGAAATCTACTGCTGAAGATTCTTAACTATGACCCTTCTCCCCATCCCAATACACACCTGCAGAGTATTCATCTATAACCTTAGGCATGTAACTTTGAATACTTACCAGTAGATAGACAGATTCTATGTCTTTATCTCACTGACTTTGTGTATGTCCAGTGATTTGTTTTGGACAATGACAGGTTAGTAGACATGACAGTGGTTTCATGCGCGTCCATGTGAAGAGACCACCAAACAGGCTTTGTGTGAGCAACATGGCTGTTTATTTCACCTGGGTGCAGGCGGGCTGAGTCTGAAAAGGGAGTCAGCGCAGGGAGATAGGGGTGGGGCCGTTTTATAGGATTTGGGTAGGTAAAGGAAAATTACAGTCAAAGGGGGGTTGTTCTCTGGCAGGCAGAGTGGGGGTCACAAGGTACTCAGTGGGGGAGCTTTTGAGCCAGGATGAGCCAGGAGAAGGAATTTCACAAGACAATGTCATCAGTTAAGGCAGGAACAGGCCATTTTCACTTCTTTTGTGGTGGAATGTCATCAGTTAAGGCAGGAACCGGCCATCTGGATGTGTACGTGCAGGTCACAGGGGATATGATGGCTTAGCTTGGGCTCAGAGGCCTGACATTCCTGTCTTCTTATATTAATAAGAAAAATAAAACGAAATAGTGGTAAAGTGTCGGGACAGCAAAAATTTTGGGGGATGGTATGGAGAGATAATGGGCGATGTTTCTCAGGGCTGCTTCCAGCGGGATTAGGGGTGGCGTGGGAACCTAGAGTGGGAGAGATTAAGCTGAAGGAAGATTTTGTGGTAAGGAGTGATATTGTGGGGTTGTTAGAAGGAACATTTGTCATTTAGAATTATTGTTGATGGCCTGGATACAGTTTTGTATGAATTGAAAAACTAAACGGAATAAGAGAAGGAGAAAAACAGGTATTAAAAGTCTAAGAATTGGGAGGACCTAGGACATCTAATTAGAGTGCCTAAGGAAATTCAGCATAGTCCTGTCAGCAAAGATTATTTATTTACTTCAAGAGTTAAGAGTGGCAGCTTGGGGATAGCACCAGGAGATATCAGCTGTGATGGCTTGGAGAAACAGTGTAAACCGGCAGTGTAAACAAGAGCAGGGCATGTATGAGTAGTTGAGAACGATGAATAGGAGTATGACTAGACAGAAGATAGTAGGGATGACAAGTTTTTTTGGGGTACAGTCTAAGTTGGTCTGGTGTCTGGAATGAGACTGGGGCCTAATAAAAAGGAGCATCTATACAGGAGCTCAAATGGGCGTATTTTGTAGCATTCTGAGGACAGGTCTGACTTCTGAAAAGGGAAAGTGGTAAAAGTATTGTCCAGTCCTTTTTAAGTTGGTGGCTGAGCTTGGTGAGGTGTGTTTTTAAAAGACCTTTAGTCTGTTCTACTTTTCCTGAAGACGGAGGACTGTAAGGGATATAAAGGTTTCACTGAATACTAAAAGCCTGAAAAACTGCTTGGCTGATTTGACTAATAAAGGCTGGTCTGTTATCAGACTGTATAGAGGTGGGAAGGCTAAACTGAGGAATTATGTCTGACAGAAGGGAAGAAATGACTGCGGTGGCCTTCTCAGACCCTGTAGGAAAGACCTGTACCTATCCAGTGAAAGTGTCTACCTAGACTAAGAGGTATTTTAGTTATCTGACTCGGGGCATGTTGAGTAAAGCTAATTTGCCAGTCCTGGGTGGGGGCAAATCCTCGAGCTTGATGTGTAGGGAAGGGAGGGGGCCTGAATAATCCCTGAGGAGTAGTAGAATAGCAGATGGAACACTGAGAAGTTATTTCCTTGAGGATAGATCTCCACGATGGAAAGAAAATGAGAGGTTCTAAGGGGCGGGCTAGTGGCTTGTACTATAGCATAGCCTGACTTTGCTGGTGTGTGGCGATTAGGCCTGGTGGAACTGCCATCAATAAATCAAGCATGATCAGGATGAGGAACAGGAAAGAAGGAAATATGGGGAAATGGGGTGAATGTCAGGTGGATCAGAGAGATACAGTCATGAGGGTCAGGTGTGGTATCAGGAATAATGTGGGAGGCTGGATTGAAGTCCGGGCCAGGAACAATGGTAATTGTGGGACTTAACAAAGAGTGAGTACAGCTGAAGGAGCTGGGGAGCAGAAAGTATATGCTTCAGGTATGAGGAAGAAAATAGATTTTGGAAGTTATGAGAAATGTAGAGAGTAAGTTGAACATAGTTTGTGATTTTGAGGGCCTCTAAAAGTATTAGGGCAGCAGGAGCCGCTGCACGGAGACATGATGGCTAGGCTAAAACAGTAAGGTCAAGTTGTTTGCACAGAAAGGCTACAGGGTATGGTCCTGGCTCTTGTGTAAGAATTCTGACCGCACTAACCATGCCTAGGAAGGAAAGGAGTTGTTGTTTTGTAAGGGATTGAGGTTTGGGAGATTAATCAGACACGATCAGCAGAGAGAGCACATGTGTTTTTATGAGAATTATGCTGAGATAGGTAACAGATGAGGATGAAATTTGGGCTTGACTGAAGATATGGGGTCTGTCTGTGAAGCCTTGCGGCAGTACAGCCCAGGTAATTTTCTGAGTCTGATGGGTGTCAGGGTCAGTCCAAGTGAAAGAGAAGAGAGGCTGGGATGACAGGTGCAAAGGAATAGTAAAGAAAGCATGTTTGAGATCCAGAACAGAATAATGGATTGTGGAGGGAGGTATTGAGGATAGGAGAGTATATGGGTTTGGCACCATGGGGTGGATAGGTAAAACAATTTGGTTGATAAGGCATAGATCCTCAACTAACTTGTAAGGCTTGTCTGGTTTTAGGACAGGTAAAATGGGGGAATTGTAAGGAGAGTTTATAGGTTTTAAAAGGCCATGCTGTAGCAGGCGAGTGATAACAGGCTTTAGTCCTTTCAAAGCATGCTGTGGGATGGGATATTGGCATTGAGCGGGGTAAGGGTGATTAGGTTTTAATGAGATGGTAAGGGGTGCATGATTGGTCACCAAGGAGGGAGTAGAGGTATCTTATACTTGTGGGTTAAGGTGGGGGAATACAAGAGGAGGACGCAAAGGAGGCTTTGGATTGGGAACAGGGGCAGCAATGAGATGTAGCTGTAGTCCAGGAATAGTCAGGGAAGCAGATAATTTAGTTAAAGTGTCTCGGCCTAATAAGGGAACTGGGCAGGTGGGGATAACTAAAAAGGAGTGCTTAAAAGAGTATTGTCTAAGTTGGCACCAGAGTGGGGGAGTTTTAAGAGGTTTAGAAGCCTGGCCGTCAATACCTACAACAGTTATGGAGGCAAGGGAAACAGGCCCTTGAAAAGAAGGTAATGTGGAGTGGGTAGCCTCCGTATTGATTAAGAAGGGGACGGACGTACCCTCCCTGTGAGAGTTACCTAAAGCTCCGCGTCCGTGATGGTCTACGGGGCTTCCGAGGCAATCGGGCAGCATTAGTCTTTAGCTGCTAAGCCAAGAAGGAGTCAGTCAGAGAGCCTTGGGCCAGAGTTCCAGGCGCTCTGGGAGTGGCTGCCAGGTGAGTTGAACAGTCCAATTTCCAGTGGGGTCCCACAGAGATGGGACGCGGCTCAGGAGGAATCCTGGGCTGTGGGCATTCCTTGGCCTGGTGGCCAGATTTCTGGCACTTGTAGCAAGCTCCTGGGGGAGGAGGTTCTGGAGGAAGGCCTGGCCGCTGCGGTTCAGGCATTTGGAAGTTCTTGTGTGCTGGAGATGTGGCTGGGGTTTGTTTCACAGTGGAGGCAAGGAATTGCAACTTTTTTCTATTATTGTAAACCTTGAAGGCAAGGTTAATTAAATCCTGTTGTGGGGTTTGAGGGCTAGAATTTAATTTTTGGAGTTTTATTTAATGTAGGGAGCAGATTGGGTAATAAAATGTATATTGAGAATAAGATGGCCTTTTGACCTTTTAGGGTCTAGGGCTGTAAAGTGTCTCAGGGTTGCTGCTGAACAAGCCATGAACTGGGCTGGATTTTTGTATTTGATGAAAAAGAGCCTAAACGCTATCTGATTTGGGATAAAGAAAAAGGAGCATTAACCTTGACTATGCCTTTAGCTCCAGGCACCTTTTTAAGAGCAAATTGCTGGGCAGGTGGGGGAGGGCTAGTCACGGAATGAAACTGTAAGCCGGAGCAGGTGTGAGGAGGGGAGGTGATAAAAGGATTATAGGATGGAGGAGCGGAGGCTGAGGAAGAATTGGGACCTATCTCAGCCTGGCGAGGAGCAGCCTGGGGAGGAGGGGAGAGGTCAGATGGGTCTGTAGAAAAGGAAGATTAGAAACTCAGTGATGCTTGGGGTTGGGACTGAGGGGACAGGCGGGAGGGAAAGGAGGAAGATTTGGGACAAGTTGCATTGGGCACAGAGACTAGGAAGGGACCGATGTGTAAAAGAATGCCTGGACGTCAGGCACCTCAGACAATTTGCCTATTTTTTGACAAGAATTATTTAGATCTTGCAGGATGGAAAAATTGAAAGTGCCGTTTTCTGGCTATTTGGAACTACTGTCGAGTTTGTATTGGGGTCAAGCGGCATTGCAGAAGAAAATAAGATGCTTAGATTTTAGGTCAGGTGAGAGTTGAAGAGGTTTTAAGTTCTTAAGAACACAGGCTAAGGGAGAAGAAGGAGGAATGGAGGATGGAATGTTGCCTATAGTGAAGGAAGCAAGCCTAGAGAAAAGAGAGAGTAGAGACATGGAGGGAAGGGGTTCGGGGGTTCTTACCCTCCAGAAAAGTGGGAAAGGGGTTGGGGCACAGAGATACGAGGTCAGGGTGTGGAAATAAGGGATCAGGGCACAGAGATATAAGAGGTTGGGGCGTGGAAATAAGGGATTGGGGTGCAGAGATAAGAGGTCAGGGCATGGAAATAAGGGATAGGGGTGCAGAGATACGAGGTTGGGGTACTTGCCCCTTCCCCAGAAAAGTGGGACTTGCCACTAAGGGTGAAGGAGAAGGGGTTGGGGGTTTCTTGCCCCCCAGAAAGGCAGAGAAGGGGTAGAGACACAGAAGGGGTTGGGGTACTTGCCCCTCCCCCAGAAAAGCAGGACTTGCCGCTAAGGGTGAAGGAGCAAGGCAGGCGTCCCTCCGTGGTCTGACACCTGGATGAATAATCAAAGAGGTGTCCCTGCAATGATTAAACACCAAGGGAAGGCTGCCTTCCCAGTCCGTGACTGGCGCCGGAGTTTTGGGTCCATGGATAAAACATGTCTCCTTTGTCTCTACCAGAAAATGAAAGGAATTGAAATCAAGAGAAGGGAGAGATTGAAGAGTGGAAAGGAGAAAGTGGTTGAGGGATAGTAAGAGAGGTTGGAGAAGAGAGTAAGAAGAGGCCGCTTACCCAATTTAAAATTGGTGAGATGTTCCTTGGGCTGGTGGGTCTGAGGACCTGAGGTGGTAGGTGAATCTTTTTCATGGAGCAAAGAACAGGAGGACAGGGGGTTGATCTCCCAAGGGAGGTCCCCCGATCTGAGTCACGGCACCAAATTTCATGCATGTCCGTGTGAAGAGACCACCAAACAGGCTTTGTTTGAGCAACATGGCTGTTTATTTCACCTGGGTGCAGGCGGGCTGAGTCTGAAAAGAGAGTCAGCGCAGGGAGATAGGGGTGGATCCGTTTTATAGGATTTGGGTAGGTAAAGGAAAATTACAGTCAAAGGGGGGTTGTTCTCTGGCACGCAGAGTGGGGGTCACAAGGTACTCAGTGGGGGAGCTTTTGAGCCAGGATGAGCCAGGAGAAGGAATTTCACAAGACAATGTCATCAGTTAAGGCAGGAACAGGCCATTTTCACTTCTTTTGTGGTGGAATGTCATCAGTTAAGGCAGGAACCGGCCATCTGGATGTGTACGTGCAGGTCACAGGGGATATGATGGCTTAGCTTGGGCTCAGAGGCCTGACAAATGGCATAGGCTTTAAATATGCTTGATGGGTTAGCTGGCCTCATGCCACCCATGATGAATGCTACTGCCATTAGTCAGTAGAAGATTTTGCCCCAAGCTACTGCACCTTCAGCTTAGGTTAGAAATGAATGACACGTGGAAGATAACTGAACCCAACCAGTAGCCTAAATCAGAGTGAGCTCAACCCTCCAGCTGATCCTTTTAGTGAGAAATAAATGTTGGTTGCTGGAAGCTGTTGAGATTTTTTAAGTCATTTGTTATGTGGTATTATTGCAACAATAAGTGACTTAACACAGAAAGTTCCTTAGCTTTAGTTATCCTCAGTTTTGTTCTTTTAAAAATAAAATTAACCATGCTCATCACCTAGTAGTACAATTATCAGGAATAAAGGAGGTGATACATGTTGAGTACTTAATACAGTTCCCAATACCAAGCAAGAAGACAATACATGAAAATTGCTGCTAGAAGGCAGAGAGTGGGTTAGTTTGCAAATTCCAAAAAGTGTACAGCCTGCTAAGTTTCAGCTCCCTCATCTGGGAAATGCATGTGTCACCTCTCTCTAAGGGATGCTGTTAGGGGACACAAAGAGTTGGATACAAGATTAGATTGTGAAGAGCTCTGCACGACTTAAGAATTATTATTTTTCTACTATAGAGAATACTCTTACCAAGTATTATTTATCACCATCCCCGAAGTTACAAAGATATGGAGAGTGGGACAAAAGACATCACTGATGACAGCCTGTACCAATAAACTCATCACTTATTAAAATTAGTCCCCATGCAAGGGTCCCTCTTCATTCCATGCTCTTCTCTCTATATCCACAGCATCAGTATCTTTGCAGGTTGCTGTCAAACATCTGATAACACAGCTCAAATACATCGTAATTTGATTGCAAAAGGAAACTGTGTATCTTGGAAAATAGGCAGAGTTTTGCCAAGATGAAAAGGATGATGGAGAATTTCTCTAATCACATGCAAAGTAATTGACAAAGGAGGATCTGACAGAATTAGACCGTTAATAACTGAAGAAGAGAAAATTGACAAGGATGATGACATGATAGGCTTTAAAAGACAATAAATTGATCATTTAAATATCAAAGGATGCAGTGTGGCCTTTGGGAAAACTGATGAAACCTCAATTTTTTTTCTCAAAAGGTCTTTATGGTGGTGCATTGAAGGGTGTCATATCATGCTAATATGTCATAATTTCTTTGAAAACTGGCCTCAAAATACTTAATTATATGTTAATTTTAATACTTAGCAAATAATTGCAATATAACCTGTGTTTCTATTAAATTCCGAATCATCTTATTTTCATACATTTTAGCTTTTTAAGATAAAGTCTAAAACTTTTCTCTCCCTTTTTCTAGGAAATCTTGGCTTCCATTTTTAGTGGGCTTTTTTCACCATCATTTTTTTCCATGTGTAATTGGGATCTTTTCTATTTATTATTTCCTTCTCTCTTTTAAGTCCAGAGAACTACTTCTTATTTAGAGATTTAGGAACTGAGGCTTTTGGCGGGTTCGTAAAGGGAGGAAAACATCTGCCCAAGGTCCAGTAGACTCTACCCTGGCCATTTGGGGTGAGTTATGTGGTTGGCCAAATGAACTTTTAAAAACCCAAGAGTGTGGGGTGTAAGACACAGCTGCAAGGCATCATGATGCCTTAGACCAATCCTCTTCCTCTCACTTACTTCTGTCTGACTTCGGCCAGGAGGTATATAACTTTGCGTCTTTTCCCCCTCTATAAAATGGGAATGATAATATTTATCCTGTAGCACCTTTATGAGGACTGAATGAAATTACATACATTACAGTATATTGGAAAACATTTGCACAATAGATGCTCAAAAAACTGCTGTGATTATTTCTACTATAGCCATGGTTACAGAGAGAATATTCCAGTAAGATATTTCCGCTGCTGCATTCTCTTCTCTAACTTCCTATCTCTTGAGCATCTTTGTGCACACTTCAGAATTATCCTCCAGACTCTCTTGTGTCCTCTGCCTGGCTGCATAAGATGCACATTCTGGAAAACAGTGTCTTGTATTTAAGTTATTCTTCCACTGGGCAGTGTAAAAAAAGAGCTGCCTTAATATCCCACAAAAAACTTGAGCTCACTGAAGGGATGCTTGGGGTGAGAGGAGGAAGAAGGGCCTCAAGGTGAGTGCTGGTACAGGCACCCAGAAAGCAACTTTGCCTCCTCCATGACTTGTCTTGTTAACATTCCATGAGTTGACTTCAATTTTTTAAACAAACACTGCACCAAATGGAACCAGTAGGGAATCAAACTTTCAGAACATCCAGAGCTAGAATCAACCCACTAGTGTTAAATGTTGTCATCCATGGAAGGAACCTGACAATAACTATGAATTAACTATTTTGTAGATAAGGAAAAGAAGGTTTATAGCTAAATTTGAGTGATTTGCCAAGGGTGTCACATGTAGCCAGAGTTGGAGGTGGGATTAAAACCCTGCGGACCCTCCAACACCCCACCTTACAAGTAAGCCCAAAGCTGTTCTGCTGTGGGTCAAATGAGTGCTCTGCAGGAAACAGCTTGAGTCTTTATCTCAGACAGATGATGTGTGATAATATTTATTAAAACGCTTTGTATTTCTAATGTCATTTTCACCTTCAAATTGGCCCCTGAAATAGGTAAGGCAGAAGAAAGAATCTCATTTACCAATGAATTGATATGATTTATGCTAGGTCACATATTTAGTTAGTGTCAGAGCCAAAACTAGAATGGAATACTCTGACCCTTTTCACTGTATTTTAAATCCCCAAATTCTCTTTCTCAGAGCATTTTGTTGTGTCTCGGGATCTCTGTGTTGTTTCTGTGGCTGCCAGCTGTGAGATGATACATCTTCAGAACAGAGAGATGGAGAGAAACTCCATCCCATGGGAATGCATCTCCTTTCTATTCCAGAGCCCCATCCATCATTTTGGCAGTGCAGAGACCCAGCTGATGCATGCCCAGCAAGGTTGAGAACATATAAATATAACGAAAATCAGTCAGGGGCCAATCTTCCCTATCAAGAAAGGAATTGCATTTCTCAGGCATGTGGGAAAAGAGAGGTTGATTACACATAACACATTTCCACAAAGGGAGTAGCATAAGGGAGAACTCAAGCCATGCGTGTTTTGAGAGGGAATTCTCCTGCACTAAACACAGTCGAGTGCCATCTGTGCTTCTGATAATTTCATCTGACTGCCCATTTAGTTATGGGATTGCTGACGTGAGCAACTTGGAGGCACTTATTTGACCCATATTCCATTATCTCATAAACGTTACAAGAGTTTGAAGTTTTCAGAATAGGATGTGGAATGTGAAATCACCCAAGAGAAAATGGGGTGGTGCATCCTACATGAGTTCATGTCACTGGATGTTAACAGAGATCAATAGTTTCTTTTGATGATGGCATCCTTGAGTATTGAATGCTGATACCTCTGGATAGCTGGTGAGCTTTTGTGTCTGAGGGATAGTGAATGGAAAAAAAAATCAGTAAATTAGTATCCAATGTTAGTATAATAACTGACCTACTCACCAGACAATACATGGGTGAGGTAGAGGATGGCCACAAAGAGATAATGATTCAACATCATTATGTAGAAGTGGCACCAAGGATAAAGAGCTAATTGTCTGGCCCAAAGATTGTATGGAAGGGGCAGTGGTAGTGTTATGATTTGAATATGGACCTGCACTTTAAAAATCCAGCATTCTTTTTATTCTATTGTGCTAGCTGTCATTCCCTTCAAACTCACCTTCATCATATTTACTTTTTATCATTATTTTCTTACAATTTTTTAAACAATTACTTTTATCATTTGCTCCTCTTGGACCAAATTACTTTTATCATTTACTCCAGAATTTTTTGGATGATTTTTATTTTTTGACCTTAAACACCACCAATTGCAATTACTTTTTATTAAGTCTCTGTGAATTCCCCCCATTATCCAACAGCTCCCTGCATAGTGCTAAATATGTGACCATGCCCCAAAAGTATATTTGTATTGACGGATTTGTTGGTTAACTGATTCCATTATTAGTATAATCCCTGTGATTGAGGTGTCTTATTTTTATTTTATTTTATTTTATTTTTGTTTTGAGAAAGAGTCTCGCTCTGTCACCCAGGCTGGAGTACAGTGGCACCATCTCGGCTCACTCCAACCTCTGCCTCCCGGGTTCAAGCAATTCTCCTGCCTCAGCCTCCTGAGAAGCTGGGATTACAGGTGCGCCCCACCACACATGGCTAATTTTTGTATTATTTTAGTAGAAACGGGGTTTCACCATGTTGGCCAGGCTGGTCTCAAGCTCCTGACCTCGAGTGATCCACCCACTCTGGCCTCCCAAAGTGCTGGGATTACAGGCTTGATCCACCACCCTATGTGTGAACTTTTTAAAATTACTATGCACTTATCCAACTAATTAGTCATTAAACATTAGTTGTGTGCCTAGCAGGGGTAGAGAGATTAATCTCATGCCCTCCAATCAATATGACATGTAGCATAATAGAATAATCTGAGAGAGAGAGATTGAGATTGATTTAAAGGAATCAGTTCAAGTGTTGTGGCGGCTGGCAAGTCCCAATCTGCTGGGATTGGCCAGCAGGCTGGAGACCCAGGGAAGACATGCAGTTTGAGTCCAAAAGCAGTCTGCTGGCAGAATTCCTTCTTGCTTGTGGGAGGTCAGTCTTGTTCTATCACTGCCTTATTATAAAGGGTAATCTGCTTTACTTAAAGTCTACTGATGTAAATGGGAATCGGATCCCAAACACTCCACATCTAGAATAGCGTTTGACCACATACCTGGGCAGTGTGTTCCAGCCAAACTGACACATTAAATTAACAGTAGCAGACATCTTTTAATCACGCAGGCTCTCGTGCTGGGCACAGACTTAAATCAATAGAAAGGAAAAGCAGTTCTGTATCCTCTGCTGACCCCTGCTATGAGCCCCTAGCCACCAGAAAAAAGAAAACCACATAAACACACAGCACCATCAGAATGAGCGTATATTTATGTTTTAACATGAATATATCTCAAAAATAGAATAGTGAGCCAAGAAGTGTGTGTCTATGTGTGTGAACAGCTTGCAGAAAGAGATATAGAGTATGATAGCCTTTATATAAAGTTTTAAAGCACATAAAAATTAAAGTTTATAAGGAACAAGAATAAAAGCACATATGTCAAGGTAAACCTCACTCTCAAGACAGTAAATATCTCTGTGGAAGAAGATGGGCAAATGGAAGGTATAGAAGAAGTCTTCAGTGAAACTTTGCCCATGCCTCTGACGTTTCCTTTCTTTTTGTTTCCAAAGGGTCTGACACAATTAGGCAAAACATTGACTTGACAAAGTTAAATAAAAAAAAAAAAGCTGCGATTATTTCTAACATAGCCGTTTCTAATATAGCCTAATAGCTATTCTCTTAGGCAGTAGGTGCAAGGGTGTTCATTTTATTATTTTGGATGCATTTTATAAGCTTGAAATATTTGGCAATAAAATTGTTAGAGTGTCTCCTTTTTCTCTCAAGAGTCCCTGACAAAGGTAAGGTGTCGAACCCTTTCTCTGTACCAGCTGCTTTATTTACCAAGGCCTCAAACACACACAAGAGTTATAGCATGTGTTCAGAAGTAGGCTGCGAAGGAGGGGTGGAGCTTTTCATCAGAGGAAAATTCCATCAGGCCTCTGTGTACTAATCTATTCCTGCGTCTGAGCCCAGTCTATTTAGTTCTCAGCAGTCAGTCTTGAACATCCCAACAGGGACATGCTATGTAAATGTTCAGAGGAGAAAACTAGGAATACATAAGTAGTTTACCCAAGTCTCTTCCTTCTGAACCCTTCTAAAGGGCTAGACAAACAGCTGCTATGTATCAAGAAGGAAACACTATTTAGATTTAGTAAGCGCAGTATTGTATAAATAATTTGTTAAATTACTGATACCACCAACTAAACTAGGGGATATGGAATTAGTTTTCATTCTATTAGTCATGATTCCATGCCCGTGGAATCATGGGTGTTACATAGTCATCAAAAGATCAGAATTATGCCATTTTCTTTGTACTAGACTAGTATGATCATTTTTCTAACAACCCTGATGTGAATCTTGGATTGCTCATATATAAAGTAGGTTTGGAAAAAAAAAATACTTTAAATTGGCGGGGTTAAAAAGTGGATTTTGGTTTTGGGTGCAACCTGCAAATTTTCATGCTTCACTTGGATAAAACAAAAGTGTTTGCATGCCTGGAAGACAGACAGGAAAGGATCTGCTTCAGATGCAAATAAATAATACTGAGATGAAATTCTAATGAAAGGCAAAAAGTTCTCTTGGTACACTCCTTTAGCCGCATAAAGTAGCAAATGGAGTTTATTTAAAAGCCCTGCAGATAACCACTGATCCTTTTAGGGGCAATTACCTAGTAGCAAATTGATTGATTGATTTTAATCATGTTGTATATGAACTTGAAGGCCATGAATAAGTAAAGAAATATTAACTACTTAAAATAATATGAATAACCATCTAATATTCATGTATTTCACAAGTATTTATTGAGCACCTACTATGTACCAGATACTCTTAGGTATTCATGATAAGATGGTACGGAAAAACCTACAGGGTTGAACCTGACTTGATGAAGCTTGTGTAGTCACAAAACCAATACAAAATTGAATCTCTCAAAAGTGCTATGGAGGAGAGGGAAACTGGACCTATAATTGTAGGAACTGATCAGGGAGGTCAGGGAAGGTTTCCCTGAGGAAGTGATGTATGAAATGCAACTTCAGGTCATGAGAAAACAGACCGGAATGGCCAGAGCATATGCTTAGTCAACTGCTATTTCTTGAGCATCTATTATGTGACAGGCACTTTGCTGGTTGATAGGGATACATGAGCAAGATGGTCAAAGGCACCTGTCCTTGAAAAGCTTATATTTGGAAAGCAAGGGGTCAATCAAAAATAAACATAATAATTAATTAAGTTCCGTAGTATAATAAGTGATATGGGAAAGGGAGAAGTGGGCAAGGAGGATCATGAGTGTCTCAGGTTGGGGTGAGTTACTTTGAATACAAGGATCAAGGCAGGCCTCATGACATGGGTGACAGTTGAAGAGTGATGGAGTTAGCTCTACAGATTCCTGGAGGGAGGTGTTTCAGGCAGAGGAAACAGGCAGTTCCAAAGTGAGGGTACAGCTGGCATGTTCGGGAATGGAAGGCGGCCAGCGTGGCTGGAGCAGAGCAGATGAGAGGGAGAGAAGTCAGAGATAAAGCCAGAGGGGCAAGGCTGAGGATCAGATCATGCGGGCCTTAGGGCCACGCTGGGCTTTGCTTCTACTCTGACAGAGTGGGGTAGCCCTACAAGGCCTTCAGCAGCCGAGATCTGATCTGACTTCTGTTTTCAAAGGACTTCTCCGAGTGCTGTAGACTAAAATTCAAGTTGAAAGCCCCTCACTGACTAAGTGGACCCCCTCTTGCTCAAGAGGACCCCAGAGAAAACTAAAATCTTAATTCCTGGCCACGACAGGATGAGAGGTCGAACACACATTATTATACCCCCTCTTTTGTGAAATTTAGGTATCACAACTGATTGACATTAATGTTAAAGCAGAGGCAATAAGACTAATAAAATGGGCTGGGCACAGTACCTCACACCTGTAATCCCAGCACTTTGGGAGGCCAAGACGGGTGGATCACTTGAGGTCAGGAGTTCGAGACCAGCCTGAGCAACATGGCAAAACCCTGTCTCTACTAAAAATACAAAAATTAGCCTGGCGTGCTGATGGACGCCTGTAATCCCACCTACTCAGCTGGCCCAGGCAGAAGAATCACTTGCACCCGGGAGGCAGAGGTTAGAGTGGGCCAAGATCGTGCCACTGAACTCCAGCCTGAGCGAAAGAGTGAGATTCTGTCTCAAAAACAACAATAACAAAAACAACAACAACTAACAAAACAGACTCTTGGTGACAATAAGATAGGGGACTTAAAGCCACGCCAGGCAGATGAAGTCACACACCCCTACTGGTCACCCTGACCCAGCATTTTGATTAACAGACTTCTTAACTTAAAACCTTACTTTCTGTTCACTCCAAATTTTTAAATAAAGCTTTACTCCTTTAACCCGTTGCAAATTAAAGAATCTCTGGATACACCTATAACCTGTACACCACGCTTCAAAGTGTCACATCTTTCCTGGAAGAATGAATGTATCCTTTCAAGGTGTGGATTTCCGTCTTTGCCTGCAACCCCTGTCTCTCTGAAATGTATAAATCCAAATTGTAACCCAACCGCCTGAGACGCACTTTTCCAGGGCCTCTTGAGACTGTGTCCCCCGGGCCATGGTCTCTCATACTGGCTCAGAATAAATCTCTTAAAAATATTTTACAGAGTTTGTTTTTTTTCTATTAACGTTCCTGGAAACAGAGGGGTATGGAATGAAGGTGGAAGCCAAGCCCACAAGGAGATTATGGCAGTGATTCAGAGGGACATGGCTGGGCCAGGGAGGGGCAGCGGCATAGCTGGGGAGAATGGGTATCTTTCAGCTACGCTCTGAAGGGGAGGTAGCACGATTAGCGGGTGGACAGTGGGTAGGAAGAGATGTTTCTTCAAGGTTTCCAGCTGGAGCATCCAGAAAGTTGGAGTTGCCACTGACTGATTCAAGGATGCGTCCAGAGAGCAAGCTGGGGAAGGAGTTGGATCAGGGTTCACTTCCGGAGATGCTGTGACAAGATTTCACCATAGTCCCAGCTACTCGGGAGGCTGAGGCAGGAGAATGGCGTGAACCCGGGAGGCGGAGCTTGCAGTGAGCAGAGATCGCGCCACTGTACTCCAGCCTGGGCGACAGAGCGAGACTCCGTCTCAAAAAAAAAAAAAAAAAAAAAAAAAAAAGGTTTCTATGATATATGCAAGTGGAGATGCTAAGGAGGCAGTTGTGGGGAGAGAAATTGAAGAAAGAGGACATGGACACATCTTTCGGGAAGTTTCATGGCCAACGGGAGCAGAGAAGTAAAGCAGAGGCTAACGAGAAGTGAGGTCAGGAGGAAGTGTTTTTTAGTTTTGTTTTGAACTTGGGAAAAGCAGCAGCAGGTTTGTGTGCAGGTGGTAATGAGTGTGGTGAATAATGACCCTGGGTGGCCAGGGGGAGGCCAGCAATGGAGGCCCTAGTAAGACATTCTGAGATACTGGGTTTTTCTTAGAGAAGTGGGAAACCATTGAGATTTTAAGCAGAGCAGTTTGACAAAAGCCGAATTACATTTTGAAGGGATCTCTCTGTCTGCAGAGGACCAAATAGATTGGAAACTAGCCAAAAAGTAGCTGCAGTCAGTATACTAATACTCCATGTGTGCCTAGGAATGTACTAAATATGTCATGTATTCACCCATTTAATCTTTATAACACACTTTTGCATTGGGTTTCATTAATAAATGAGGGTACTGAGGCTCAGAGTGGTTCAGCAACTTGCCCAAAGTCATCACACAGCTAGTAAATCACTAAGAGGGCCAGAGTTAGAGGCCAGGCTGTTCAGTTCTGAGCCCTTGCCTCTTTGCAACTGTGTTCTATAGGTTACAGACTCATGGAATTTTTACACTGGAAGGGCTCTTAGAAACTGCCTAACCTAGCCCCCAGGTAAACAGAATTTGAGTTATTCAGAAGCAACATCTTGCAGACAGAATCATAGTTTAAATGCACCAGGGGAGGTTGCTATTTAAAGTCCTATTCTGGAAATCCTTTGTAAAGTCAAGAATCCTTTTGTAAAGCAAATAATCCACTCTCCAATTTAGCTTGGGAGAAAATGCTGTTCTTCAAACATCAGGTAAATCTATAAAACTAAACTAGACTAAGGATATTCTTCTTATTCAGGGAGAGGAGCTGTGGCGAGGTTGTCTGAAGAGATGTGGGGAGAGCAGGCTGCTTGAGAACCAGAGGAGTGGGGTTGTTGATTCTGTGTAATGACCACTGACTTCTAGATGAACTGGATGTATTAATTTAAAGGTTTCTAATTATGTCATCACTAAGGAGTCTTAGAACCCACTTTGTGAGCCTGTGAGCTACTGTGGAGGACATAATATTACTGCCTCCCAATACTTCTTTCTTCATTCGAAAACTGTTCCTGCTTCATCCCATCCTCATCAGGTGATTCTGGTGGAACTGTCGATCACAAGGCTGTACCTGTCCCCTGGTTCTTGGATTGGGCACATGACCAGTTCTGCCCAATCAGAATCTCCCTAGACTGTCATCTGAGCAAACTTTCTCTGGATTATGAGCTATGAGAACAAAGCAAACTTGGGGCTATAAACAGTTAACATGTGTCCACATGGAAAGAGTCTGTATGAGAAAAAATCCAGGCAGAGGCAAATGGAACCAAAAATGAAAAATCAAAGCAAAGCCCTGGTGACACTGAAGTTCTGAACCAGCCATACCTGAATCCAGTAAGATTATCACCTTTAGATTTTCCAGTTGTATCAGTTATATTAAGCAACAAATTCCTTTTGTTGCTGTATGCTTCCGATCTAACCTGTGAAAGGTGGATAATAATACTACCTACCTTGTAGCATGTAGCAAGGACTACGTTAAATAATATGTACAAAACAAAGCAGAGAAACGTATCAGGTAGCTGTTGCTGCATAACAAACTATTACACCTTCAAATTTGTGTTAAAACAATCATTCACTGAGATCACAATTCTGCATGTTGTCTGGCTGTTTGGGTTGGGTTCTGTTTGGTGGTTATTCCCATCTCAGCTCTGCTCACTCATGCATCTTGGTCAGTTTCTGAGATGGCTCAGTTCACCTCCCTGTGGTCACACATCCTTCAGCAGGCTTGCCCACACCCTTTTCCCTTAGTGGCTAGATATAGTTCTAAGAGGACGAGTAGAAGGCCCCTTGAGGCCTAGGCTTGTAACTAGTACACTGTCTTTTCTGTGTATTCTAGTGACTAAAGCAAGCCATAAAGTAGACTCTACCTCCACATGGGAGGAGCTGCCGTCCAACTGTGAATTATTATGGCCACCTTTTTCAATCTGCTAAGTGTTCAATAAATCTCACTGTATGTTGCTGATATTATTATTATTGTCTAAATTTGTTTATTTTCTATTACTTGCTATAGACATTATTATCCTTGCTACTAGACTTTTTAAAAGTTTAGGTCAGGGGCTGAGTGTGGTGGCTCATGCCTGTAATCCCAGCACTTTGGGAAGCTGAGGCAAATGGATCACTTGAGGCCAGGAGTTTGCGACCAGCCTGGGGAAGATGGCAAAACCCAGTCTCTACAAAAAATACAAAAAATAGCCAGGCATGGTGATGCATGCCTGTAGTTCCAGCTGCTGAGGTGGCTGAGGGAAGGAGAGTCACTGGAGCCTAGGAGGTAGTGGTCACAGTGAGCCAAGATTGTGCCACTGCACTCCAGCTTGGGCGATAGAGCGAGATTCTATTTCAAAAACAAAAACAAAAAAAACAAACAAAAAATGGTTTAGCTCGGGGATCGCCTAGGTTTCTTTTTTGGACTTCTCTTTGAAACCCAGATGTAGTTAACTTCTAGAAATGTATAGTTTGCCCCCTAAAATATTTCAAGTGTCACCATGTATGTCATTAGCAGAGTATTACAAAAGTGAAAAATTGTAATTTCTCATCTTGTAAGTAATAATTTATCTGCTCAGCAAGACTTTGGAAGTTACCAGTCTTTAATAATCTAGTTTACACCATCTGTTATTTGTTTGCAAGTTTCTCTTCACTGGTTTCAATTTTGTAATTATTTGTATTTTTTCCTTGGTTGATTTATCTTTAATTGTGTTAAATTTGAGGGGGAAAATATTGAGATCATTCAGTTGTTCTTATGAGGCCATAATATTTATTATTTTCAGGAATAAGCACATTGTAGATTTTCATGCTTATTAATTTTTGATTGTAGAGAATATTAAATTATGCAAGGTGTGCAGTGAATACATTTAAATTCATTACTTACACAAATTCCATCAAGAGTATTAATACTGATTTGATTATTTTCATTATTATGTCACTAAAAGTATTACCAAATTTCAGTTTCTTCCATTTCTAAATTCAGTTGAGGATTAGCGTAAGCCTTTCTTTTTATTATTGTAAAGACAAACAATATGAATAGGATGTGGATTTTAATTTTTTGTAGGGAGGTGGTGGTTTTACTCTAGAGTAAGGGAGCTGTATAGTACATTTGTGATATAAAAATATCAAAATCAAATGTCAGCATTGTAATTTCCCAAAGTAACCAGAAATAAACAAATGCCTCCATTATCAGTCAACAATTATGGAGTACCTACTGTGTGCCTCAGAATAAACATCACTATTAGTCAGTGTTGAAAACATGTTATTGTATTTATGAGTAATAGTACTGTTATTGTATTTATGAGTAATAGTATTGTTATTATCCAACATTAGCAGACACCTTTTTGTTTTGACTGGATTGAATATTACCTTTTGTTTATATTGGATTAAATATCAGTGTTAGTAATTGATAACTGAGCACCAATTCTGCACACTGGTCTTGTATTAATTAGATAAATACTGGATAACATTATTAATCTAAAATTTAGAACAATAATTCATTATCTCTTTCTGTGTGTGTGTGTGTGCGTGTGTGTGTGTGTGTCAGGTGTTCAGCAGCAGCATAGCTGTGTCATTCTGACTCAGGGTATCTCATGAGATTGCAGTCATTGGTCAGCTAGGATTGCAGTCATCAGAAGTTTTGACTGGGGATGGAAATCCAGTTCCAATATGGCTGATTCACATGACTGACAAGTTGATGGTAGACCTCAGTTCCTCTTCACATGGGTCTTTCCACATGTCATGGCTCTTAACCTCTTGACATGGTGGTTAGCTTCTCTGATGAGCCATCCTAGAGGCCAAGGCAGAGGCCACAATGCCTTTCATGACCTGACCCCGGCAGCCACACATCATTACTGGTACTGTGTTCTATTTGTCAGACCAGTCATCCCTGATTCAAGGTGGAAAGAAAGCTCAAAATGGTGTGAAAACCAGGAATCAAGGATCATTTGTGACTGTTTTGGGATCTTGCAGCTACTGACTATTATCAGGGGACAATAGAATACCTACTAAGGCCAGATTTTTCAATCAACAGAGATTGATTACATTTTTATGTTGTATCTGCTAGGTATGTTCTATCCCATGCATAACCATGAAGCCATTGACTTATATCTCCAGGGCCCTTTATGCCAGTGATGCTGGAGTCCTTTACTGTAACAGTAGCAACTCTCTATCTATCTTCCCCAGAAGAATCCAGAACTTTTATGATTTGATCATGATTATGATTTAAGATACCACACTCATGGTATCTTTTCCACAAATATTTGGAGTCAAATAACCTTTTCAGAACCTTCTCAAAGTATAAATATACTTTTTAAGAAAAATATGTTCACACACAATTTTGCTTATAGTTTTATGCATGCTCAATATTTCTCATAGATTTTATATGCTTCTTCCTAGTTCTTCTTCTTCTTCTGAACCCCTCTGTTTTTTTCTTTCAGCCTACACACAATTTTTTTCTTCCATCACCCCTTTCTCTTCAAATGTTTTCTTATGTAGATTGACTCAATTTATCTTAGTCTTAGACTTTCCTGCCTCTATCTCCTTCTTAATTTTGTCTTTCTGCCCACCCTCTAACTGTGCATTGACAAATTTGATAACCAGTTGGGTATAATGGCTCTTGTGAAGAGTGGGAGCACTCCCAGGTGTAGAGAGGGATGAGGAGAGGTGAGTGGTGCATATAGCATTGTTATTTTTATTCTTTCTGGTGGAGGGGGAGACCTAAGAATCTTGACATTTTAATATTTTTTAACCTCTGTCTGACTTTCATTGATCAGCAATTGATCTGACAGAAAAGTCTTCAAAACACTATATTTTTAGAGAATTTTGCCTGATCTGAGTCTCCTGAAGAGTAGATGAGTCACATAACCCGAGTTTCAGGCAGACATTTGGAAGAAGCTAGCAGGATAATTTTCTGATTCCAATGTCACCCAACCAGGGGCATATGAATATATAGCCCTGAAAGCTGAAACAAGTTTTTTGCCAGAGCAGTTCACTATATTCTGTTTTCCTTCAGGAATGGAAGATATTAACAGTAAGATTCTCCTTGTTGTCTTGGTATGGATTCTTTTGGTTATCTTGGTAAACTGTCATTCTGCATGCTCCTTCATGTATTCTTTTTATATTGTAATTATTCATCTTATAGTAAAAATGTTACAACAAACAACAACAAAAGATTGAATTCAACTCTCAATGTATATTAAAACCTCCATTAATTGGGCAACCTCAGGAATGGAAATAAGCAAAATCCCTTTATCAATTGTGTCATGTCTATGGAAGGATCAGGTGCATCAATTAATTGCATTTGGAGGTTAACATAAAATGATATTTTATTTTTTCAAATTCCTTTTTTTTTTTTTTTTTTTTGGAGACAGAGTCTCTGTCACCCAGGCTGGAGTGCAGTGGCAGGATCTCAGTTCACTGCAACCTCCACCTCCTGGGTTCAAGCGATTCTCCTGTCTCAGCCTCTGGAGTAGCTGGGACTACAGGCACCCACGACCACACCTGGCTAATTTTTGCATTTTTAGTAGAGACAGGGTTTCACCATGTTGACCAAGCTGGTCTTGAACTCCTGACCTCAAGTGATCCACCTGCCTTGGCCTCCCAAAGTGCTGGGATTACAAGCGTGAGCCACTGCACCCAGCCATCAAATTCCAGTCTTTTAAGGATAAAGAATACACTTGATCATTTTGGAAAGTAGGCAGAATTTTAAGATGGCACCCAAGATTCCTGTGTAATTCCCAAGACTGTGGCTATAATGGATTTTACATTGTCATTAGGTTGTTTATGTGGCACAGTTGAAATTAAGAAAAGGAGATTATCTTGGCTAGACTTGACCTATTTAGATGACTTGGGCTCTTTCTGGAGAGAGAGATTTGAAATGCAAGACAGATTCCATGTGAAGTCTCTATTTTTGGCTTTGGAGATGGAGGGGACCACATGGGCAAGGTCCACTCAGGAGCTGTGAGTGCCCCTTGGCTGGCAGCAAGGAAACAGAGATTTTAGTCCAATAACCACAAGGAACTGAATTCTGTGACAATCCCTGTAGCTTGGAGGAGGATCTTGAGCTTCACTTAAGAATGTGTTAGCCAGTGCCTTGATTTCAGTCCATGTGTATCCGAGCAGAGAATCCGGGCATACTGTACCCTACCTTCTGATCTACATACTGTCAAATAATACATGAGTATTGTTTTAAGCCACTGGGTTTCTGGTGGTTTATTATGGAGCAACAGAAAATGAATAGAAAACCTCACCTGTTTTCTCTTGACACTTGTGGCAGGCTAAATCACAGGAGGAGAGACATGTTAGTGGCAATCAAGAGGTCTAGTTCCAGAATCCTAAACTCAGCTTTGCAGTTCAGTTCTACCCAATTACAAGCTATGTGAGTTCCACCAAATGTGAAACCTCAGTTTCCTCACCTCCACAAAGGAAAATCATTATTGGTTTCTCTTACAATTGTTGAGAGGCTTATATGATATAATAAAAGTAAAGAACTAAGAATGGTGGCTGGCACATAAAAGAGCTATATATATATATATATATATATATATATATATAGCTCTTATATATAGCACATATAAGAGCTAACATATATATATACGTATATATACGTGTATGTATATAGATGTATACATGCACATGTGTGTGTGTGTGTGTGTATGTGTGTGTGTATATATATATATATATGTATGTTATCTATTATTACCCAGGGGAAAAAAGGAACTAGAACATTGATTTTGAGAGCTTGAAAATAGGATTGGTCATTAATCAACCAATAATTGTATACTTTTGGCAGTTTAACAATCTATTATTATTATTGTTTAATCCCATGTAATCATCACTACCCTGTGAAGAAGATATTATTAACATCATTTCTTTTCAACTTTTTGTTATGAAATAATTATAGGCTCACATAAATTTGCAAAAATAGTACAGAGAGGCCCCATATACCCTTCCTTCAGCTAAAGATGACATCTTACATCACTGTAGTACATTATCAAAACTAGGAAACTGACTTTGGTACAATACGATTAGCTAGACTACAGACCTTACTCACCTTACTCAAGTCTCACTGGTAATTACTTCATTTTGCAGATGAGAAAAGTGAGGTTTACTTCAACTGCTAATTTCAATTGCCCCTTGAAAGTTGTGGTCAAATTATGTGGATTTATGTTATGAATTGTTTGTCTCTATTGCCTATTTGTGCTTGGTGACAGATGAGGGGGGAAAATGTAGCACTACTTGACCACTCTGACTAATGAAGACTCACCTGTACTTATAATTACAAAATTTTATTTTTGACACAAAACATGCATTTTTTCAGAGAAAGAAAGATTCCATTGCAGATCTTGACTGTTTGAGGGCAAGCTGACACAGATGTTGACAAGATCACAATAACCTAGATAGATGCACGACAATTTGTGCCCTGGTGCCAAATTCCAATGGCCATAAATATCTGCAAAATAGTCTCAATTTTTCTTTTAGTTATCACGAAAGGCAAAGATTCTCATATGAAATAAAGCTGAAAAGAACCTAGGAGTCAACTCCTTAAGATCTAGGTAAAACTGGCTTGAACCTCTGCCAGTTAGTCAGTGGGAGTTTTTAAGATTTCAGTGACTTATTTGCAGGGATTGTATTCCCTTCCCCTTGTTTGCCTCTAGTGATTCTATTCTGTCATATTGTAATTTTATGTTAATAGCCTTACATATATAAAATCATGATTTTATATCTATAATAAATATATATTATATGTATAATAAATAGAAATAATATATAATATATACTATATATGGAATAAATATATATCATACATTTTTAATACATATATAATAAATATATACTTCATATATATGTGCAAATATATATATGTGTGTGTTTTGTCCACAGTTTCTGGTTCATAACTCTTATAGTCCTTGTTATGGTCTTTTGTTATAATGTTGGGGCACGTTAGGTCTCAGGGGCAGGCCTTAGGAAACATAATCTCTCTTTCTCCTCTCCTTTTACCTGGCCAAGGCAGGACTCTAATCTGATTGTGGGTTCAAAGACCCTCATTCTGGGGATAGAGGGGTCCTGCCCCATAACCTAGAGGAAAGAAGGCTGCACAGAGAGACCAAGAAAAGTCTGAACAGACAAGCCTTGCTGGGTTTAGATCGTGTGCTTTTTGTCCAATCACATTTCCACATGGTTGTCAATCATGCCTATGTAATGAAGCCTCCACAGAAATCTTAGAGGAGCAGGTTGAAAGCTTCTGGAGAGCTGAACAGGGGAGGTTCCTAGAGGGTGGAGCACCTGGAGAGGGTATGGAAGTTCCATGCCCTTTCCCCCGTAACTCACCCGACATGTCTCTTTATCTCTTTCCTCTGTATCTCTATCGTTTATAATAAACCAGTAAACATAAGTAAATGTTTCCCTGAGTTCTTTGAGCCTCTGCAGCAAATTAATTGAACCCAAAGAGAAGTTGTGGGAACCCCAACTTGAACCTGGTCGGTCAGAAGTTCTGGAGGCCTGGACTTGAGACTGGTGTCTGAAGAGAGGGCAGCCTTGGGGACTGAGCCCCCATCCTGTGACATCTGAAACTCCCTTCATGTAGATAAGATTTGAATTGAATTGGAGAGCACCCAGCTGGTGTCTGGTCTTCAGTGTATGGGGAATCCTCCACACCTTTGGTCACAAATGTTTTCTTCTTTGTTGATGATTGCTGTGGTTGTGTGAGAGCTGAGGAAACACAGTTTGAGAGTGTTTCCTTAAACCACATTCCCACACATAGTTTTCTGTGCTTCTCTGTATAATTGAATCTAAAACTACTTGAGTTTCATGAAAACTCTACCAGCCTCAAGTATTTTGAGAACTATAGGCTTAATAGAAGGTGTTAGAGGGAGAGTAGAGAGGTCTACATTCCACATTTGCACAGAAAACAACTTCAATCTTGGATATTAGAATTTCTCTTCCCTAAGATCCTTTGGAGCCACGGTCCTGCCAGGCGGCTCTCTCAGCATGCCTCTTGGTGTCCAGCCTTCAAACTGTGTTCTCCATTTCCTCTTCTCACTCACCTCCCCTGCCCTTGTGAGAAAAATATTCTCCATCCCTTTTCTTTTACCTTCCTCAGACATTCTAGTCTCAAATTCTTAAGCTTACACCACTTACTCAGCTAATTACAAGTCATTTCTCCAGCAATTTTAATTATCTTCTTAAGATGACATCTGGTGCCAGGTGTTAAAAGGACATGTAGCATTGCTATTAATTACTATTAATTTTATTATGCATTGGTTATTCATTTAACTATTTAACTTTCTAATACCTTTCATTCTTTTGATTATTTTGAAGCCCCTGAAAGTCATTTGCCATCTTTTCACTTTCCTACTTTTTGTATCAGGTTGTTCTGGAGCAGGTTACTGGGGATGTTGCATCTTTTAGTAATAAATAAACCAACCCTTGCTGCATCTTGAGTGAAGGGCTCCCTTTGTATTCAAGAGCTACTGATTCATCTCTTAAGATACATAGAAGATAAACTTGGCACATATCTTTACAAATGATGCAAGCCCGGTTAGAGCCGCAGACTTAAAGGGAGCATCAGCCACTGAAAAGTTCCCAAGTGATGATTGCTCTTAGAATCCCATTAACTTCAATTTTAGATATCAGTTTACCCTCCTAGTTGTATCTTCCCCTCTACCTGTTGACCCCACTGTGCCTCAAGCCTAGCACCAAGTTTTTCATAGAGTGAGCACCCAGCAAATATTCATTAAGTGCAGAATGGAACAAAGTAGATATTGTAGCAAATAGGCTGAATTAGTAAGCTCGTGAAGAGCCATAACATAGACATTCTTCCATTTCTTCTCTCCTATATTAAACCCTATGTGGTGTAAGTAACCGATCAACTGGTCCCTTGGAAAGCAAGGTTGTAATGTGAGTTGAACATTTGTAACATATTTGTTGTTATGACTGGGAGGAACCAGTAATGGGTTCAATCACTCAAGGAAAGCACTACACCCCTTAATATTGTTTGAATCACGATAGTGTCTGGAGAGCAGTTGGCACCTATCTATCCTTTGCATTCCAACCACACATTCTGGGAAAAAAACCTTCCTTTCTTCACACTCTTAAAATGCCTTTTAGCTAAATCTCACCCGGCACCAAGAGTGGGTGGCATGCATATGCCAGCAATGTCTACTGTCATTTCTTATCAGCTCAGTGTTGTCATGTTCGATGGGAAGCC
The DNA here is from genome assembly GCF_000001405.40 of Homo sapiens. NCBI lineage: Eukaryota > Metazoa > Chordata > Mammalia > Primates > Hominidae > Homo > Homo sapiens. The sequence continues at coordinate 8,157,751 of NC_000003.12, read as the reverse complement.
CTGGTTATGGTGGGCATAGCTTCACGGATTGTGTTGACTGAAGTGACAAACAGTCTAATGTAATTAGTGTTGGCTGAGCACTGGGGATTCCTTATTGAAGGAGATTTTTTTTTCTTTTAATGTAAACCTCAAGTTGATCTTGGGGAAAGACACTGGATCACACTCAGGCCAGGTGGGTCAGCTGCTGCCATGTGGGGTGAGAAGTCTGGTGTGATAATTCTAGAAGCTCCACTTTTTTTTTTTTTTTTTTTTTTTTGAGATGGAGTCTCACTCTGTTGCCCAGGCTGGAGTGTAGTGGTGGGCTCTTGGCTGACTGCAACCTCTGCCTCCCGGGTTCAAGTGATTCTCCTGCCTCAGCCTCTCAAGTAGCTGGGATTACAGGTGCATGCTAACATGCCCGTTTAATTTTTTTTTTTTTTTGCATTTTTAGTGGAGATGAGGTTTCACCATGTTGGCCAGGCTGGTCTTGAAATCCTGACCTCAAGTGTTCTACCCGCCTCGGCCTCTTAAAGTGCTGGGATTACAAGCTTGAGCCACCAAGCCAAGCCTAGAAACCCCACTCTTAAGGGTTTACAATACATAGTCACCTGGGCACTTTCATATCCATGGGTGTGGCTGGCCAGGGCTCCCATTATTTCAGCATGGATATTAGGTGATCACAAGGGATAGTTTCTCTCCTTTCCCCACTTTATTCATTTACTTATTTATTCATCCATTAACATTTCTACACTACTCCACACCCTCTGCACCAAGCACAATGCTAAGCACTGGAGATACAACACTGGAAGGTAGAGGCATGATCCTTGTCCTTTTGTTGCATTTCATAATCCTGTTTTGTAACCGTCCATCTCTGAACCTGTCTTCCGGTAGATGGTAAGTGCAATGAAGGAGCCAATGGTCAGAATGTTATGGTGTTCATATAACACATATGTAACACATGTGAAGCATATGCAACACAGCTTGTAGAAGACTTCCAGGGGTTACTGAGTTTTAAAGACAAGGAGTCATGTAGGAGAATTACAGGAGGTTTGTGGAAGGGAATGAGGAAGCAAGGACCTTCCAGATGGAGGGTACAGCAAGAACAGAGACCCACAGAAGAGGAGCACCATGGGATGCATGGTGTTATAAGCCATGTGGAGATGCTGAGTGAGGCAGAGGAGTAAGAGATGAGACTAGAGGGAATGGAGGGGCCAGGCCACGGAGGGCCTGTAGATCAGGCTTAGAAGTGTGGACTTTACCTTGAAATATATCTTCAAGTCTTTATCTTGAAGCCTTTGGGGAACCAAGACTAAATGAATTAGCCCCAGACCTCGTTCTCTAACATGCCCATCAGTTGGCAGTAGGTAATCTTGTATCCTAACTCCCCTGGCTCACTCCAATCTCGTTGGTCTCCTCTACGGCGCTAGGGATTTTTCACTGGTCAAAGGTTGCTGACATCATCTGTTGCTCAAGGCTCTCAATCTTGCTCCCCACCCCCACCAGAGCCGGGCCTGTGGGCTTGCAGCTTCTGTTCCATTTCAAAGCTGGACATTGATAACCTATTGACTTTAACCAGTCTCTACGGTGCTCCAGGAGAGTTCTGTGGGCTCTAAATTCTAGTTTTCTGTTCTGAGAAAAAAAATCTTCATTTCTTAGTTTTTTTTGCCCCAGGGGTGTGTCTTTGTTTTCCATACCGGAAAATGAAATGAACCCATGTTTAGTGAGCATGTACTATGTGCAGGGCATTGTCCTGAGCATTTTCATCCATGTTATCTTATTTAATCCTCCCAATCACACTGCAAGGAAAGTTTCATTATTTCCCATACATAAAACAACTGAGTACCAGATAGGTCAGGTGAGTTCTTCAAGGACCCATAGCTAGTGAGTAATGAAGTTGGATTGAGCCCCGTTCAACCTGACTTCCTGAGCAGACTGTGGGGAGAGGCTGGGGCTAGTGCACTCGTCTTAAGCATTTATTAGCAGAAAAATAAATGCAATATCTAGTACCTGGGTGAACAACTGTTTCATCCCTTTTGTTAACCTTGGTCAACTAGTAGTGGCCGTCTGGAGAATTTGGCTCAGAAACAGTGCTGAGAATGATTAGCTACATGTGGTATAGGTGGAGATAGATGGTATCTATCCAAATGCCATATATTTGACAAACTTATGTATTGATAGGAAGGGTGTGACCACAGTGATACTAGACAGGGGTATAGGGAACAGCCAGTTGGGTTGCTATTAGAAGACCTGATTCTAGAGCTATACCCAACATTTCTCCTTTGCTTTTCAGAGTTGCATTTGCCAATTCTTCAATCACCTATTGATATACTAAAGGACTACATGCTTGCAAATTAGCTTAGCAAGTATCTTCATCTGGACATTTTTGAAGGAAACATATTTTAAAAAAACACATGCCTTCTGGTGCTCTATGCTTGATATAATTAGGTGATAAGCATTCAGCCCAGCCAGGCTTAATGTTAAAACCTTAATAATAGTGGTTCTGCATGGATAATATACCGCAATGCTATAAGTTATCACCATTTGTGAGTCCCATTGCTACTACCTACTGGGCACCTTTTTCTCTTCTTCTTAACTGTATGTTTAGGGAGAGAGTTTCACAACATTACAGGCTTGGAAGGCACAGTCAGAATGCTAATAAAGCCATCAACCCTCAGATGCCATCTTGTTAAAGTCTCAGCGAGGTGAGCAGTGCAGCATACCTTATGCCCCCTCCTACAAGTTTGCAATTAACATTTTATCTGCCCTATGTCTTAAGTCACAGCTTTGTCACCATTTCCTGGAGGCTGAAGGACTTTAATTACAGAAGCAATGCACTCATCCACTTCCTGCTGTATTCTGATGTCACCACCTCTGAGCTCCAGAGAGAGGTCAGGCTGATCCTAGGAAGTCATGTGGCTCAAATCCAATATTTTAATTTACAGACCCAGTAAATGGCTTCATCAATTAAGACTGGCTGTACTTGCAGCAGACTTGCCGGGCCACAGCTGGAGCTTTGATTCATTTCATTTCTTACTGACGCTATCACAGAGTGGAGGGATGGCCAACGTTTCATTGGGCTATGGAGAGCTGCCAGATTTAAAAGGAAGACTAATAATTGAGGAGGATTCTAAATGGTAGGATTGGCTTTTGAAATGACAGCACATATGTCATGCTGGCTAAATGACGGTGCTTAATGGGGGTCCAGGAAAAGAGACACACATTATTTTATAGTTTGTTAGCAATTAATAAATCCCATCTCAGTGAATTAGCCCAGATCAGGCTTGGTTTTTGGTTTGGTTTAACTGCAAGTAAGTGGAAGTTCTTCTCCATTTGGTTTTTTAGGGGTCCAGGGTCTATCCATCTTTTGACCCTATCAGGTCCATACCATTTTCTCCAAGAGAAAAAGATAATGGAGGAAAATGCTACCTTTCGGAGGGTGAGGTTGGGGCTGACGCTTTCTTCCTTTCAACCTCAGGTCAGGATTAATCTTGGGACCCAGGATGAGGTTGGGCCTGCAGAAGCATATGTGTGGGTGAGGGAGTTGAAGTCAGAAGGAGGTGGAAGGAGTGAGGTTGGTCCAAGTGTAGTAACAGGAGTAAATTGTAGGAGCCAGGAGGGTCAAAACCTATCTCATTTCTTTCTCAAGCCCACAAGACCTGCTCTCTGCCAGTAGGACAATGAGGCTATAATGAGCTCATTCCTGTTCCCCAAATTTAAACCTGTTTCAGCAGATCATCCAGTTGGCAGTGCTCAACTTCATGGAGCCAGGGAACATAAGTCCTGTGGGGAAAGCTCTTTTTGGCAAAGCCAGCATACTGAGAGCATTTGTATAGCTCTCAGCTCTACACATAATCCTTTGGAATTAATATCACACAATCAGATTTTTGTAAAGGGGTGCAGAGGCTAATGACTCACCCCTAATATTATTGGTCTTAGATGAAACATAATTTAGAATATTGTTTTAGCAGAGACACCATAGCTGCTTAAAATACATAGTGGCTATCATTTACATTTGCTGCCCGGTTATTATCTTGCTTATTTACAAAGAAAGTGGCTAGCTGTCACCCCAGCTTTCTTCCATAGTAAATTATGAATAATTTTGTTAAGGTTTGTACTTTGAATTTAAACATAACTGGGCCATTATGACCGGCTGCCGCCATAAACAGGCATATGATTTGCATGTCTACATGAGCAAATTGGAGCTGCAAGCGAGGGCGGCCTCACATCAGTACATTACTCTGCCTCCCCTCCATTGCGTGGAATTAACAACTGCCAGGGAAATCGATTCATAACAGAATGTCTAATCGAAGAGTTAGGACAGGATAATATACAGTTGCCAAAGTGAAGTTTGATATGAAACTTAAATCTTGTCTCTGGCTCCAGACATCGTGGTTGGAAATGCAAATTGTTCCTTTTAAGACTCACTTGCAAATGGAAGGAGCAATTTCTGAGTTAATGGACACCTGGGAATTTCCCCCACCCACTGGCAATTGGAGGTTCAGATTTATTATCAAGTTACTGGGCCCAGGACTCCTCTCGTTTTCCACAGCTTTCATCCCCATCAAGGAAGCTGCGTTTGGATTCCATCAAGTTCTTAAACTTATACTTGTATTAACTTTGAATGATTCTAGTGGAGCGTGTCACTAGTTGTGGCAGGATTATTTATGAGTTAAATTATTCTGACTCAGTTAGAAAAGCACTTGAGCTTCTAGCCCTGGTGGAAGGAAACAGAATTGACAGCGTGGCTCCTCAGGGAAGCTCGTTGTTTATCATGACTTTTGTCACAGAAGCATTTCCTCAGAGATCTGACAGCAGACCCCCAGGGAACTGGGTCTCAGCTGGCACTGGCTTGGCTGAGACCCCTTCTATGGGCATTGGTTATGGATGGGATGAGGAGGAATGTGTGTGTCAGTGGGGGATGTATTTTTTACCACTTACTTCTTTTTGAGAAGCCAACTTTGATATCCCAGTGGGTACGTACTTAAGGTACCTACAAGGCAGGAGAACCCATCCAAAATGTTCTTTGGAAAGTTTTGGTATGTGAAAAAAAACATCCAGGTAATCATTCTAGGAGAACCAAGAACTACCTTGGCTGCTCTCAAACATCTTTTCTGATTTATTATTTAAATTAGCATTGATTGGGTTGATGTGTGCACCATCACCTTGCATTACTTGAGCCTCTAAATGTCTTATCAGGACCTTATCAATGGCCCAGCTTCATGTATGAACCAGCTGGGTGAGGCAAGAAGACCAGGGAAGGAGAAAGGCAGGAGAAATCCATTAGTGGAGAGCACTGAGTCAGAGACCAGATGCTAACACTGCGGTGGTTCTCTGTCTAACACTCACCCTATTTCAGGTAAAACCATAGCACTATGGAAGGCAAAGTTCCCTGGATCAAGGGCCAGGGATGCTAGGTCTAGTCTTGGTCTTCGTCATCAACCTGATATAAGATCTCAGACTGTTCACTATTGTCCTATGTAAATATAGCTGCTTTCTCATTGGCAACTTCATCCAGTTTTCCTCCTTGGGTTGTGGTAGTATCTATGGAAAGGCAAACAATGAAAGCACTTTGAAAAGTAAAAAATGCTTGCCTCTATCTTCTTAAGAGTACAAAGCTGGACCCTCTGAAGCCAAATCCTACACTGCAGCAAATATATTAGAATAAGGCTTTCATTCTTAGGCAATTTATGGAAAATATTTTTTGAATTCCTTGTTTTATATAAATGGATGTAATAATCAGAATTGTACTATGTCAGAGCAATTTTTTTCAGAAATGATTTAGGAGATAAGAACCAGATCGACTAAATTACACCTGTTGTAGTTGTTTATTTGAGATACACACACACACACACGCAGAAACACACATACATATATATACACACACATACATACACATTTGTTGAGAAGTTGTCTCGTAGACTAATTGCAATTAATAGGACTCTGATCTCTTTCCCATTTAAACCACTGATTTATGTAGCAAGACAAATGCAAACCTGGGATGTAACATACTGACTAAGAGAAATAAATGATTTCAAGTCAACAGCATGACAAATAGTCAGAACAAGCATCCACCCTCTGGTTATTACAACCTTTTATTATGATCTATCATTAAGCAACCCAGCATTTCATATAATGTGGAAGTTATTAATTTCCCAGAAACAAGTGAGGGTGCTCAGGTCTTTTACCTTCTCTGAAAATAAAATGGAAATTGATTTGGCAAACTTTTTGATTATGACCTGGATAACTGGTACCTTCCTCCTTCTTGTTATATACTGAAAACCAACCACATAGTTGGTCCCAGCTAAAAAACAAAAAAACTTAGAGAAAAATCTAGTCTATCTTTCTCTTTGCACAGATAAGGATACTATGGCCCTCTTAGAGGAAGTTGAAAAGAAGAAGTCTTGACCTGTAGAGCTGAACTATGTGTCTGGTACATAATAGATGCTCCGTAAGTGTTTGTTTGATGATGAATCTTCAGGATGAGGAACTTTCAGAGCAGAACACAATCAAGTGGGAAAATAATGGACTTGGCCGGGAATCACAGGGCTGCAAATGGGAGTCAAGATATCTGAGTTTTAGGCCCAAGTGATACTAGCAACATCTTATATGAAGCATATCACTTCCTTTAGCCTAAGTTTCTGCTATTTTCATTGTGAATAATACTTTCTGTTTTAGCTAACTTAGACCAGTGCTTTAGGGTAAACGAGAAAAGAGGCATAAATGCACTTTGGAAAATGTCATCTAGTCTCCTCTGTAGCTAGTGAGCTTGTCGCGCAGATGAATCAGCAAGATCAGCCTGTCTTTAAAGTAAGACTTAGGAAGCAGCAGAGACAGCTAAGTGAGCTATTCAGCTGATGGCTAAAGTTAATGGCTGCTGTTTATTTATTTCTCTTCAAATCTTCTGGTATGGGAATGAACTTATCTAGATCAGAGCTGTAGGATGGAAATCAGTCTAGGATATTTTGATAATTAGAGTGTATGTATTGTGAGCCTTTTAAGATAAAATACTGGGCTAGAATAGAATTTCAATTTTCTTAGAGTTCAGAATCGAAGGTTTTCAGAATAATACTGCCTGGAGCACAGGGCAAAAATAATGAACCTACCAAAGAGAGAGAGGGTTAAACCTTTTTATTTAAAAAGCTCTCAGTTTAAGCCAGGCAAGGTGGCTCATGCCTGTAATCCCAGCACTTTGGGCAGCTGAGGGAGGTGAATCACTCAAGCTCTGGGGTTTGAGACCAGCCTGGGCAACTTTGTGAAACCTCGTCTCTACAAAAAATTACAAAAATTAGCTGGGTATGTTGTGCACACCTGTGGTCCCAGCTACTCAGGAGGCTGAGATGGGAGGATGACTTGAGCCCAGGAGACAGAGGTTGCAGTGAGCTGAGATTATGCCACCACACTCCAGCTTGGGTGACAGAGTGAAACCCTATCCCCCCAACCAAAAAAAAAGAAGGAAAGAAAGAAAGAAAGATCTCAATTTTAACAGTATGCTTACAGGTTTCTCTGTTTCCTCTATCAATGCTTCAGAAATAAGAGGTGAGCTCTGTTATATGAAAAGTCAAATTTGACAAAAGCAGTTCATTGAGGGATGGATATTTATGTTTTTCTATTAGATTCAGCCAAATTACCAGTTATCCTTGAGCATTTAGAAATATGAACATATACATTAAAATTTTATTGACTTTCTATAATTTTACAGTTGTATACCTAACCGCCAGTATCTGAATGGTGTGACAATCCCATGAACACATCCATTTATTTTTTTTTTCCACTTGAAATTTGTCAGATAGCCACAGGTTTCCTTAATACAATTAAAGTAGAAGTCAAATAATTGCAACATGAGATTTAAACCAGGACAGTTCCCTTTGATTGACAATAGACTGAAAACACTTATTATTGGGTCTCCCATCTCTCTAGCATTATGGTATTTTCTTTGTTTTAGTTGGTCATGCTATGAACATAAGAGAATGCCCTAGTACAGAGTCCAGTCTCATCTCTGAAGATAATGTCTTTCTTTGAAAATGAAAATAATCCACTTGGCCATTGTGCATGTGTACACTTTTAGGTAGGAATGGTTGTGGTACCAATGAGGACTTTCTTAAGACCAGATGTGATTCTCAAAATCTCATTCATTTCCACCACCATTTTATCAGACTGGGACCTCTCACAGACAATCACTATAACTAATTGTATGAGATGTCCATTTTTTCCAAGATCAGTTTGAAGTGATTCAAATATCAGGACTTAAAATTTAACCCTTGTTACATATATTATCTTTTATTAATGAAAGCAAATGTTTACTGTTTTTTTTTTTTTTTTTTTTTTGCTGTCTCTACTCCAAGTCTGGAGGAAGTGGACTCCACCTGATATGGTGCATATTTTCCAAGGGTGCATATTTTCACGAAGGAAGAATGGTTTCCTAAGGCCGGTGTTTCTCAAATTGAGGTCCAAGCACTTCCTGCCTAAAATCAAATATGAGTCCAGTTAAAAATACAGATCCTTGGAGTCTACTGAAAACTTAATGAACTAGAAACACTAGGATTGTGACTCAACAATCTAAATATACAACAGACTCCCCATATAATTCTTATGCATGCTAATGTTTGAAAACCACCACTACAGGCTTTAATAGAGTCCCATGCAGGTACGGTCCCATGTTGCAGAAGAAATTGATGGTGAGGAAGGGGACAGCATGCTCCTACAGACTAGAAGAGGATGCCAGGGGAGGGTTTGTGCTTCTAGATAGTTACACAGAGAACTTCTATTCCCTCTAAAAATATCTCTTCAGCCAGTCTACTGGTTACTTTCTGGTCATTCTCCCATTTACACAAAGCTCATTTTGATTGGATGGCCCAGTGCTGCAGGTGCTTCAGATATAGATGTGGGGTTAGGGCATAGATACATGAATACTATAACTCACCTTCCCTTTGGTTTTAGCAGAGTATCCCCTTTGCTGAGATTTACCTTTCCCTCAATCTTCAAGTCTTTACAATTTGAACATTTTCCTCTTGTTCGAAGAAACGCATCAACTGTTACTCTGCAACTTATGTTGATGGGTGTGTGTGGGCTGTATCATGTGCTAAAATCCTACGTTAGCTTTGGTACAATACTCTTGACTCTTTCACTCAACGCAAATCCATCAAAACCTCTTTTCCATCACCACTTACCCCTTAGTGAGTTAAGGAAGAGTCCTGCCCCCTTTACTAATGTTTTGAATCATTTTTATTCCCAACTCAGAAAGTGTGCTGCTTGATTACTCTGGTTGCTATAGCTACAGGTCTAATTTCCCTCCAGGTCTGTCTTTTGGTGTCATATGTTCTCTATATGGTTGATCTGTAAGGGAGCTTTTCAGATATTCATCTAGTAGGTATCCTAAGGGAATAAGACATTAGGACATCAAAGTGGGCCATTCCTAAGCTTAGTTTCAAAAAATAACCACTAGCATTCCTGATGGTATATTTAGGAGAAAAATACTAAAAAGATCAGTTTTCCCAAATTCTTCTAGTAGTTCTCTATACGTTCCTTTTTTCTTTGCCTAAATATTTTCAAGAATTTTTTTGTAGTCTGTATGGTCAGCTTTTATCTAATAAATCTTAATGAATCTCTTAAATATTTCCCAAAACTTCTCATCTTCATTGGCAGTTACATCGGCTTTATTTTAATTTTTCCTTCCTCCTGAGGTCTTTCCTTTTCTTTTCTTTATTTAACATGAGAGTGCAGATTTTCCTTGTAGGACTCTGCAATGTCCACCAGTAACAAAATATTAGTTGTTTTAAAATTGTCATGTTACTATTCTCTGCTTACTAAGGCAATCATGTGGCTTAAATTATTTGGAGGATTACTCAGCAATTTAGTTAGAAATAGTGATTGGTCAGTGTTCTTCTTTTATATCTGATGCAATCTGGTCCTAATATGTTGTTTCAAAAATATCCCAGTTCCAAGGAGAATTCTTACGTTGCAGGATTCCAACTCACTCAACAAAAACAACTTTAGGAATATCATCTGAAGTGGCATTACCATGTCAATCTTCCCACAAGGCAAAGATTATTGTGTGATTTAGCTACTTACCTGTTTTGGAAGATTTCCAGCTTTATTTTTCTCATTTCTTTTAAGTGGCTGGTTTTAACAAAATCACCCAAAGATTTGAAAAGAAAGGACAAAATGAATGGCAAATTTATGGGCAATTTGGGCTTGACCTAGTGTGGAGGAGAGTTTGTTACTATCCTGGCCACGGTGGACATGAGAGTTTGGAGTTCTTTAAGGAGGCATTTCAGTAAAAGTACAGTTGAAATGATTAGTGCAGTCATTTGAAAACAACCAAAAATTTTTTTAGCTTACCTTGTGTCTTTGTGGATTTACCTATTCATGCACATGGGTGAAGTTAGGTTGACAGACTTGTCAAGCTGTGAAAGGCATATGGTATAAGGCTTTTTAATGCTTGATGAGGCAGAAACTACGTGAACAAATTCATTCTTGGGATTTGTAAATAAATGCGTTAAATGCCTTGAATATTTAATTCACTTGTTCGTAATAATATTTGTTGACATGGAAGATAATAAAGTGTAATGACTCCTAACCTCTTAATGGGAATAATTCTTAAGAGCTGTCATTAATATGGAAAGTTTTAGAAAACGGTTGGGTTTCAGCAGCTAATAATAAATGTGCTGTCCTTCTCTTGAGAAAAAAAACATAACCTAGCATTTGTGTACTCCTTAGAAGCTTTACTTTTAGACTTTTGTGGATTATCTTTTACTTATCCTGTCTACTCTAGATTCCTTAGTATCAGGATGTTTACTGTGAAGACAACCACCAAATGCGAAAAAGGAATTATAGCTGAGAAAGTATCTACAAAACTCAAAGCACTTAAACGCACCAAATGACTACCTCCAAATGAATGAATCCAACAACAGAACAAGTTGTCTTTCCAATCTGATTTTCTAACAACAACTCCATTAAGGAATTCAGCAATGGTAAAAGACCATAGCATTTGTCTACATAGAAAAACATAACTGTGGTTGTAGAAGCCAACAACTGGATTTTCCTCTATATCAGTATAACTTCATAGCAAAGAGAATGTATTTATTATTATTCAGTTAAAACTTGGAGAACTAGAACCTCTGTCACACTTATTTTTTCAATAGTAGCAGGAGGCCCCAGTGTGGTTGACTTTTTGATGCTCTTGGTGGCAGAGCTTTTGGAGAAACTTGATCTTGGTAGGGAATAAAATCGAAGAATGAAGGAATCATTTGACTTAGGTTTCTCTGAGTTCCTGCCGTGTCCTAAAACTCTCTGAATTGCCAGAAAAAAGTACATGACCTTGAGTGTACTTAATTTTTGTTCGATTTCTTTAAAAATTGGAAATCTGAGGCCGGGCGCGGTGGCTCACGCCTGTAATCCCAGCACTTTGGGAGGCCGAGGAGGGCGGATCACGAAGTCAGGAGATCGAGACCATCCTGGCTAACTCGGTGAAACCCCGTCTCTACTAAAAATACAAAAAATTAGCCGGGCGTGGTAGCGGGCACCTGTAGTCCCAGCTATTTGGGAGGCTGAGGCAGGAGAATGGCTTGAACCCGGGAGGCGGAGCTTGCAGTGAGCTGAGATTGCGCCACTGCACTCCAGCCTGGGTGGTAGAGCGAGACTCCGTCTCAAAAAAAAAAAAAAAAAAAAAAAAAATTGGAAATCTGAACACGTGATAAATCTCTAATTAATCAAATCATTGGTTAGCCTGGAGAACTGCTTTTGGATCTTGATGGATGACAGAGAATCTCTCTTTGTGCTATTTTTGTTCTGCCATGGATCTCCTTCCAGCAGGCACTTCTCTGTACTTTCCTGTTTAGTAACATTTACAGTGTCTATTCAGTTGTTTTGCTGGAAGCGCTCCTCTTTTCCCTTTTTTCAGTGTGAGGAATTGTTGACCTTTTGTGTACACAGCATTTAATGAGGTCCCCTTGCAGCTAAATGAACCCAGATCCAAACGCTGGTCATTCAGGTGATTGGGAAAAGAGCTGTGCAGCCAAACTATATGACTCAGACCCCAAAGAAATTTGTCCTCTGAAGGAATTGGAATTAGTCCCATGTAATTTGCAATGTCCTTAAATCTGGGCCTTCCATTCTTCATTGTGTCAAGGTCCACCATCTCTTAATAGTCCCTGAGATAGCAGAGATGATTATATCTTAGATAAATCCTTTACAAATTATTTGGGTAGGTAAAGAGAAATAGAGAAAAAAAAGCCAACATATTTTGCTTGCAGGCTTTGAAATCCATATCCAGAAAGTAGTCTTTAAAATCTGTATTATTTTATTGCAATATCATAAATTTCTCTGAGTTCCATATTACTCTGAAAGTACCAATCTGTTATAATGTTACATATTATCACAAGGATTCAGAAATACTCAGGTCAAATTATGGCTGCTAAAACTACCTCCACAGAAAGTTCTTGAGTATTAACTTGGAAAGAAATTTGTCTTTTTCTTATTTTCATAATTAGAAATGGATTCCACTGTGTCTTATCCAAGAGAAAGAAAAAGCGTCTCTATTTCTAAAATAGAGCACTCCTTCTATCTTATCATATTTATCTAAATAGATGGGTATAGTGGTTTCAGAGCTTCACACCTTTCCAGAAAGCATGAGAACTAAATTGTGCCTGTCTTTTCTATAACATTTATTTTTCAAGTCATGTTCTAACTAGGCTGCCATTATGGACATTAAATACACCAAAAACCCTTGGCTGATCAGAAACATACTGATCTTACTTTATTCAATAAAGATTTACGAAATGCTGAACATTTGCCAGTTCTTAAATCACGCAATCAGAATTAAAGAAGACATGGTTCCTTTCCTTAAAGAGCTTATAGTGGGGAATAAAATCAGCCAATAGTGAGAACAAAGTATTATGAGTGGTGATGGTAACACAAGGACCACAGAAAAGGGCCATGATACCCCCTTGGTGAGAGTTGAGAATGTTGAAAAAGGCTCATTGAATGAAATGACACCTAAGGGCAAATAGAAGATGCTGAACAAGAGTGGACCGTAGCAAAAGTTTACCAGGTAAAAGGAAGAGCATGTGGAAAGAATCACATGCTAGAGAATATATAGAAAAATATAGTTGTTCAGCAAGATTGAAGAGTGAGCTGCCTTGAGGCAAGCAGGTTGTTTCATTAACTAAACAATTTTGACTTTATTCTTGGAGCAATGGGAGGCTCCTGACAGGTTTTAGGATGCTTTAATAAAACTTGTGTCCTAGATCACTCTGTTTAGAATAGATGGAGGGGAGCAGGATTGGAGGCAACAAGACTATTAAAAGGCAAGAGATGATGGTGGTCTAGATTGGGACAGGATTAGATTGAATGTGAGGGGGCAGCTAAGTAGGATGCCTAGGTGTGGGCTATGATATTTGGATTGAATTGCAGGATCAGACTGCTAGACTCCTTTTGGAAATATGGTAGTCATGAGTTTTGAGTTCGAAGTTTTAATTTGGATTTTCAATATATCGCATAATTGTCCTTAAGGAAAAAGAATTAGTAAAGAGGTTGTGCCCAGTTAGATGATGCTTGCTTGAGAGAGAGAGAGAGCATGTGCATGTGTGTGTGTGTGTGTGTGTCTTAGTTGCAGACAATAATCCCAGGATGTACATGCTTTAGGCAGAAGACAGATGAGCACAGACCCAAAACATAGATGGTGAGGACACTGTCTAGCAGGAGCTAGCTGCTGGAAGTTGAGGACCAGACGGTGAAGATGAGGGGCAAAGCACACAGCTGTGAGGATAGGACTGAGTTCTCCAGTGGCTTCGTCCGTTGCTCAGCAACTTTGGCAGCACTTCCCAGGCAAAAAGTCCAAGGAGAGGCTGGTAAATGTCCATGGTTTTAGCCCAACCACTGAAAGGCCGGAGGTGTTAAGTGTTGCCATCAATTGATAACGTAATCTACCCCACATTAAGTGTTTCATGCAGACTTAGTAACAGAGTGTCATGAAGACTTCTCAGACAGGAAGGCACCTAGGTAAAATCTTGGAGGGCAAGTGAAAAAGATGCTAAGATTGGGGAAGCAGGTATTCCAGGTAGAGAAACATTTTAAAGAGCCACATTCTTAATGATAAAAGAATTCTCCCTATATGCCTAGAAATTGTTTAAGTACAGGTTTAAGACATCACGAACAAAATAGGACATCAGAAATGAATTATAATTTGTACAAAGTTATTGGGCAAAATCAAAGCTACTAATACATTTGTAAAAGATCATAGACATAATCTAAACCAGTGGTTCCCAGGAACAGTCTAGTGCAGTGAGGAGAGGCAGGCTCTGGAGGTGGACTGGCTCGACAGGGACTTAAGCTCCCCACTTACTGGATGTATACCCTCAGGCAAGTTTCTTAACATCTCTAGGCTTAAATTTCCTTAGCTATAAAAGCAAGATAACAGCAGTGCTGAGCTCACTTGGCAACTGCTCTCTACACATGAGTCACTATTGTTATGTTTTTATTATTCCTAAATTCTCATCCAGGGATCAATTGGTTTGGGATCACTAAGAGAGGTTTTGTAAAATTGTTTTTGATTCTCCAACCGCAGGATTTTTGGTTCAATAGAACAGAGGTAAAACACAGAAACATGAACTTTTAAAACACATGGGCTAGTCTGGGATCTAGGGCACATTGTAAGCGAAGAAAGTTGATCCAGAAGAGATTAAGTTACTTATCTGAGGTGACATAGGAAATAGAGACATAGGCAGGTTCAAGAACAAAGTGCACTCACTGTTAGTACTGGGCTTCTCATCTCCTTCTCCATCCTCATCTTTGTAAGCTTTGGGGAGATATTTTCAGTTAAACTAAATCATTATGTATGGAACACAGAGACTGTGTTAAAGGAGCTATAGTAAAAAAGAAATCAATTTACACCCATCAGAAAAATATGAAGCTAGAGGGAATTTAATCCCAGGTGGTAGAAATGTAGGTATATGTAAAATGTGGTATAATTGTATAAGAAGATGCTCCTGAAGTACATAATAAGCCTAGGCTGGCTGGATAAATGTTAGTCATAATGCTAAGTGACGTATGGTAAAAACATATTGCTCTCTGATAAATACCCAATATGAAGGTGTCTTTCAATTATAAATTCCTAACTAGAAATTGTCAGGCTACCTACGCCTGTTATAATATTTATTTCAAAAACCATTTATTAAATAGAGCATGAATTTGGTTTAGGTTTTTATTTTATACATAAACTATGTTTATAAATACATATACATGTATACCTATCTCCATCTATTTATCTGTCTGTATGTCTATATCTGTCTGTCTGTCTATCTATCTATCTATCTATCTATCTGTCTATCTATCTATCTATCTATCTATTATAGCAAAAGTTTTTCCCCCCCTTATTATTTCCTTTCTTTCCTGAGGGGAAGTTCTTTGCTTTCCAAGGGGATCTGATTTTGAGCAATACTTTTAAAAAAGTTTCGGTTGATATTTTTTTCTGAATAAAATGACAAGTACATATTACATACTACTTTTGTTCGATATATATGAAACTATTTGAACAACTCTTCCTAAGAAATATTTCTGGCTTAGAATGGGCCTCTAGTTTCTGGCACATGGTAGAAACTTTCTGAATGGTACTTGGGTGAGTAAGTAAATGAATGAATAATCCAGTGAGTCAACTGAGATTATCGGAGGGAAGGCTAGCACTAAGAACTAGAATTGGAGAGGGTAGCTCTGAGAACCTAGATTGAAGGCATATATGAAATGCCTCCTCCAAGGTCCTTCACTTCCACAGAACATATATCTGTGCTCAAGGACCCATATTCCCAGGAGAGAGCCCCTGATGCCTACCCCAAGGTGACCACTTTGAATAATAGTCCCATCAAGATTATATCCAATGGGGGTGAGAAGGTTTCCCAAAACACAGTTGGCTTCTCCTCAGAAGAAAGCAGACGGATGCTGGGAAGGCAGAAACCAAAGAGGTCCAATACGTCACTGAGGAGAAAATCCTCCTTTTAAGCTCAAACAAACAACATCAAATTACCAAGCAAAGAAACGTTAAAATATTGCTTTCTTTGCAGTCAATTTTTAAGCATATTTGGAAATGTAAGTTGTCCACACAAGATTAGTTTATTATTCCATTCTCACATTACTGTCAAGAAACACTTGAGACTGAGTGATTAATAAATACAAAAGGTTTAATTGGCTCATCATTCCACAGGCTGTACAGGAAGCATGATGCTGGCATCTGCTCAGCTTCTGGGGAGGCTTCAGGAAAGTTACAATCATGGTGGAAGACAAAGGCAGAATGAGGTGTCTCACAGGGCAGGAACAGGAGTAAGGGAGTGGGGCAGGGGGAGGTGCTACACCCTTTTAAACAACCAGATCTCGTGAGAACGATCATGAGAACAGCACCAAGGGGATGGTGTTGAACCATTCAGGAGACATCCACCTCCATAATCCAGTCACCTCCCACCAGGCCCCACCTCCAACATTGGGGATTACAATTCAACATGAGATTTGAGTGGAGACACAGATACAAACCACATCAATTAGTAAAGGCTGATTGACAGCATGGAAACAATAGAAGTCCTAATCCTCTTGTATGTACCCTAAGAAGACATGCTCTGTCAGCTTTATTCACAACAGACTCTGGGTTCTACGAAGGGCATGGTAGACTGGAGAACATCTCGGGAGAAAGGTCAGAACAGTGAAGTGCCAAGAAAATGTCTTACTTGGTAAATTTTTGAAAAGACCAGGATAAGGACAGACATTAAAGCTTGGATGGGAGGAGTGTCTGATCTATCCAGGAAGCTGGTCAAAGACTAGTGCCTCAAAGTCGGAAGAAAGGAGCTTTAACCCATCTTTTAGGAACATGGACTTTTCGGTGAGATCAACCCATAATAAATCCCAGCTTTTCCACTGGCTGGCTGTACAACCTGGGACAAACCACATAATCTCTCTGAGTCCCAAATCTCTTTTCTCTAAAATAAAGATTATTATAGCACCTATCTTAGTACATCTCCATGAAGACTCTATGAGCCAATGTTTATAAAGCCCAAGTTCTATGCCAGGCATAGGATTAGTAGTTCAATGTATGGTAGCTGTTTTTATTATTTACTTTTTGAAGTAGCCCATTTCCAGTCACCGGAATGTTAAGCAGAGATTGGATGTGTCCTGCTGTCAGAGACTCAATAAAAGGGAAGGATGCATCTGACCAGGGTTAAATTTGATGAAGCCTAAGATCTTCATGACCCTTTTGATAGAGAAATAGGACTGTGAATCATAAAAAGCCTAGTAACAAAACTTTATTGATTAGGAATTTAAGATTTCAAAAATTGTATGGGTTATGGTCCATGAGAAGAAAAAAAATCTTCCAAAATTCCCTATATACATTATCATATTTACCGATAATTCTGGAAACAAGAAGAATTAAGCACAGGATGTCAAGATCTCATCAGTTTTACCAATTCCTCATGATTAATTACCATGGAATGGGAAAGGTAACCTATGAGGGATGCAACTAATAATTTTGAATCTTGAAGACTTGTTTTTCAGAGCCATTTACAAGGTAGATGTGATATGTGTTAATTGCCATTATCCCTGATTATAGATTATATAAAGGTCCTATCTGAATTCAGGGAGATGTTGTGATTTGCTGTGTTCAACTTTGCAGGCAGATGAAGGCTTGATTTTAGCCCTGTCTTGGTACCACTTTAGGTGGATGGCTCTTGTGTTTGTTAGATGCCTCTCAGTGTAAGTATGAGACAGAGCAGGGACTCCTGTTAGTGGCCTGCAGGCCCCTGCAAGCAGGGAAATGAAGGAAAATCTTGGGCTCCTTAAAGGGAAATTCCATGCACCTAGTTAGCCCTAAGAAGTAAAGGATCAATCTAATTAGCAAGAAGGTAATGATGGCTAAAAATGATAGCCAAGGAAGCTAGAGTCACGCCATGTTTGGTTTCCTGTAGAAACTAAAGTTAACATCTTAACATATATCCCAGAGTTGTTTTTCAGAAACCTAGATCCCCACCAAATGGATCTGCTGGCACAAAGACCTCAGATAAAAGGGAACTGAGAACCGAACCCTGTTTGTACTAAATTTCTTCCTGAGGGTCCTGGAGGAAGTTATACTCATCGGCCAAACTTTAGCATTCTTTTCTGGTGACCCTAAATTTTTAGACAAAGCTCAGTTTCCTTAACCAATCACAAATAAGAGGGTCTTTAAATCTACTTATAACCTGTAAGCACACCTGCCTCAAGATATCCCACCTTTTTAGGCCAAACCAATGTATAATCTTCATGTACTGATTTACTGTTTTGCCTGTAATTTGTGCTTTCCTGAAATTTGCCCCCACCTTTAAAAGTCCTTGCTTGTAAGCCATCAAGGAGGTCAGGTGTTAAGTGCTAGTCGCCCAGTCAATTCCCTTTGCTTGGTGCCCTGTAAATAAATACCCTCCTTTCAGTGTGGATATTTGGCTTCACTGTGCCAGGCGAGAAGGCCTCTGTTCAGTTCAGTAAAAAGTTGATATTGGGAACCTCATTCTAAGAGAAAAAAGTTGAACAGTTAGGGTGGATTTTTGATAAAACTCTTTTAAACAGAGAAATAGCCTGAAAAATCAGGCTGCAGGCACAGATAAGGAAACTTGCCCAAATCTCTTGCCCACTCAAATAAAGAAACAAGGCGCAACATAAAACTGCCTTTGTTGTTTGTGCCTGAGACATGCCCCTAGCTACACTGATAAAAAAACAAAACCCAACATAGAAACACCTCTGTCCTTTGTATAACCAGCGGGTTTCCAGGAAATAGTCTCTTCTTTTGTGCTCATGTACACGCTGGGCTCAGGTAGGTTCCAGTGGGGACTTTCCTTTCCTTTTTTGGACACACTTTGAATTGAAAGCAAAGTCTGTATAAATCATCAGTTCAGCCAAGGTCCTGAGCCACAGTAACAATTCCCCCTACTCCCAGAGGGCCAGGACATCAAAACTGAAGTTAAGGAGCCTCTTTCTTTGGTTTCTTTTCTTTTTTTTTCTTTTTCTTTTCTTTTCTTTCTTTTTTCTCTTCCCTCCCCTCCCCTTCCCTCCTCTCCCCTCCCCTGCCCTTCCCTCCTGTCCCCTCCCCTTCCCCTCCCTTCCTTCCTTCGTTTTTTCTCTCCTTCTTTCCTTTTTCTTTTCCTTTTTTTTTTTTTTTTTTAAGACAGGGTCTGGCTCTGTCACCCAGGCTAGAGTGCAGTGGCACAATCTCAGCTCAGTGCAACCTCCACCTCCTGGGCTCAAGTGGTCCTCCTATCTCAGCTTCCCGAGTAGCTGGGACTACAGGCGTGCACCACCACTCCCAGCTAATTTTTGTATTTTTTGTAGAGACACAGTTTTGCTGTGTTCTCCAGGCTGGTCTCAAACTTCTGAGCTCAAGTGATCTGCCTGTCTTGGCCTCCCAAATCGCTGGGATTACAGGCATGAGACACGGAGCCCAGCCTCCTTTTGTTTCTTTATGAAATATTTTAAATGGTCACAAAATTACAGGGAGTAATAAACTCCCAGGTATCCGTCACCCAGATTTAATGTTTTATCATATTTGCTTAATGTCACCCTCCGTTTATTTCTTTAAATAAATAAAATGGTACGGATAGAGTCATGGCCCACTTCAAAGAGCACTTTCTGGTAACCCTAACCAGATATCAGAAGCAAAATAGTGAAAAGTGTAGCTCTTTTAACACTGACTGTTGAATTTCAATGGAAAAATCAAAATACGCATTTTAGAGTACATCCTATGTATGTTTGATACTATGTCAAATATTTTCACATACATTCAGTAGTGTGCTGGTAAACTGGCTTTCAGAGGGGGAAAAAAAGCCCTGATTTGTAGAGTTTTCTGATTTATGTGGTGTATAAACACACCCACTGTGGCTACTCTTGAGCTACCAACCATTTATTTAACAACTGGCTTGTGAAAATCCTGAATATTTCACAATGTGCATTTGTAAGCCAGTACGGAGCTGGCTCCAGGACACAACTCCAAGTATTCACTCATTCAGTAGATATTTATGGGGAATGATTTATGTGCTGTAAGTGTTGGTAAAATAGTCATCTTTCTTATAAGATGGGCTTTCAAATGGGCTCCGTAGTCCTGAGAGATTTAGGTGTTACTGCCCCCATTTATGGATGTGGAAACTGAGCCCCTGATAAGTTAAGTCATGCAGAGGAGGCTGTTGATATCACACCCATATCCCCTTGGAATTTACCACCCCCAGGCATCCCAGCCTAACTTCCACGTGCCTGTGTCTGGGACTCTCCCTTCAGCTCTCTATGCCCACCAGGACTTGCTGTTCCTATTAATAGCTTGCTTTGCTAGAGAGGCTGGGGAATTAACAAGCGCTGGGAGCCAATGGGAGTTAGTGGGTAGACCTTTCATCTTGTTCACTCATCAAATGAGATAACCCTGAAGTGCATGTCGCACACGGGGTTTTCCAGCAGGATTAATCTCACAGAATTAAGTTCCCTTCAAGGGTAACTGATTTGAAAAACACACCTTTTACTAACAGCTGTCCCTTTCTCCGTTCCTGCTCCCTTACCTGTATTTCCAGCAATTGCATTCAAAACACATTACTTGCATTGGAATACTGGCTTTGAGGTCTGCGTCTGGGAGAACCCACATTAAGCCAGGCTCTAGTTTGGTCAGATTCCAGAGCTCTGTTTGCTTTTTTCACCAACTACCCTGCTTCCTTAACGTTCATACTTTGTCTTAATGTTTCTGGTCCCACTGTTAAATGCCACCATTTGGTGGGGCAGGGACTGGTGGGTATAGCTGGAGGGTGGTATGAGGACAGGTCTGGGGCAGCATCCCTTCTTCTCTCATGGGGATTCCTAATCCATCCCAGGGGAAGAATCAGAGTTAGGGTGTGCAGGACACTCCAGCCACATGCCAAATTATTACTAGTCCAAGCATTTGGGCTGAATCTGCCCTTCCTGTCCGCTGGATTGAGCTGGCCTGAAAAATCAAGCAGGGTGATTAGTCATAATTGACTTCTCACCTGTAAACCTAGAGGCCAGAGTTAACTCAGTGAGCCTGGCGTGTTCTCACCCCTACCATCACCCTGACCCACTTTTCTCCCTCTCAGCACCACTCGGCAATCCAGGGCCTGAAGTTCCTCCTAAACAGAAGGCTTCCCAAGCCTAACAGCCCTTTCCTAAGTTTTACTTTTCCAAAGCTGCTTTGTCTGTCATATAATCTTGAAGCAGGGCCTACCTCTCCCCTATGACACTTTTTAGTCTTTTAATTTTCTCTTATTTCTGTGCCCTCCAACAGACAGAAAGTCCAGGAGGAAGAATCTGTATCTGTCTGTTTTACCTCTTCAGGGATCTTTAACATCTGACCTGGAGTCTGGTACTTAACGAATGCTCAATAAATACTTCTTGAATAAATACATAGGACAGAAAAAAAGTGAAGAATAACTTTGCTTGTTCTTGAGTTCAGGGTGAACCCCAAATGCTGACTCCACTCACTTTCTTGGTCTTTATGTCTCCCTGTGATGTCCTGCCCTTGGGTGCTCTTTGAACATCAAAGAGCATCAGCCTAGCATGCTGTGTCAGAGAGGGGATTCTGGAGTCAAAATGCCTGGGTTCAGATTCCAGCTATGCCATTCATGAGCTGTGTGATCTTGGGTGCTGAATCTGTGTTCCTCAATTTTCTCATTTGCAAAATAAGGAAAAGAGTGCCTAACTCAAATTGTGGTTTTGAAGAGTAAAAGCTTTAATGTAAGCGAAGTGCTTACAGCAGATACTGACACATAGCACAGGTTGAGCATCCTTAATCTGAAAATATAAAATCTGAAATGCTCCAAAATTGGAAACTTTTTGAGCAGTGACATATCACTCAAAAGTCATGATCAAACGGTTTTAGAATACCAGATTAGGGATGCTTAACTCTAAGTACAATGCAAATATTTCAAGCTCTGAAAAAATCTGAAACCCAAAACGCTTCTGGTCCCACGTATTTCAGATAAGGGCTACTCAGTGTATAGTGACAACACAGACATAGTGTTCATTCAAGAGCAAGTACTGAGTTAACATTTAATTATCATAACCTTTAAAAAATTAAAACAGTGAATTGTGCATTTCGTTGTAGGAAAACCCTTATGCTTTTAGATAAATTTCAACCTCTGACCCTAGCAACATGAGCTGTCCCTAGGATCCTCTTAGCTTCCTCTAGTATCCCTCTAAGTGCCAGGTGCAGAGCTGCTTTCCTCTTCCTCCAATATGGCAGAGTTTTTCAGCTTCTGGGCCTTTGTCCGTGCTGTTTCCTCCAGTGCCCTCATCCTCACCTCTAGGAACTGGTTCCTTCTCACCCCCAGGAGTCACCTCTTCCACGAGACCATCTCCGATCTAAGCAAGCTCAGTCCCAGCCCTCTATTTCAGGAGCACTTATTAGAAGGAAGAATTATCTAATTGAGCTGTTTAATTTCTCTCTCCCATCAAAAACCCAGCTCTCTAAGTGCACTGAATCCCTTACCCAGGTACTGAGTAGGTGTCAATAAAAATGTTGAATGAACATTATGGCTGGGCATTAGGTGGCAGATTCCAAGGCCTGCCTCTGGACCCCCATGTTACTCTTGCGTAGGCACCCAGCCCCCTCTCACCCCCTTGTCTGGCTGCATGGCCCTGACCTTACCCTCTCCAGCTAGTGTTCCACATGGGGCATAAGCCTGGAGCCCTGGCTGCAGATCTCAATTCCTTGCAGCCTCCTGGTTGTTTAGGGTCCTGTTACTCTCCTACTCCAAACCCTTTAAAGGCTTCCTATCCCACTTACCATAAAATGACAAGCACCCACATAATCATATATCTTTCTGCTTCTCTCTTGTTCACTGTGCTTCAACCAAAATGACCTTCTTTTGTTTCTCAAATCTGCCAAACCTGCCCCATCTCAGGGCCTTTGAACTCCCTGCTCCTTTTGGCCTGGAATGCATATCCCTCACCTCATGTCCCACAGGCTCTTCCTCTTAAGTTATCTTTCAGTTCAATGAAACCTTGCTGACCCACCGTATAACATGGTACCCAGAGATATTAATGTTAATCTATGCTATTAGCTGTTTTTTCTCTTTATAATTCTTACCACCACAGTTGACCCTGGAACAATGTGGGGATTAGGGGTACTGACCTCTCGAACAATACAAAATCTGAGTGACTTTTGATTCTCTAAACTTGACTACTAATAGCCTACTATTGACTGGAAGCTTTACTAATAACATAAATAGTTGATTAACACACATTTTGTATATGTATTATATACTGTATTTTTATATTAAGTAATCTGAAGAAGAGAAAATGTTATTAAGAAAATCATCAGGAAGAGAAAATATATTTACTATTCCTTAAGTGGGTGTGGATCATCATAAAAGCCTTTAACCTCATCGTCTTTACATTGGGAAGGCTGAGGAAGAGGAGGAAGAGCAGGTGTTGGTCTTGGGTGTCTGTCTCTTGGGTGGCAGAGGTGAAAGAAAATCTGCTTATAAGTGGACTTGTGCAGTTCAAACCCATTTTGTTTAAGGGTCAACTGTGTTTGAAATCATTCTTCTAAAAAAATCTGCCTGTCTCCATTTCTACCTGTTTCTTGTGTTAGAATGTAGACTTGTTAGAGTGGGGAACTTCACCTCTCTTCTTATCCATTGTTATATTCAAGTGCCTGATGCAGTGCGTGGCACAGAATCAGCATTTAATAATATTTGCTGAATGAATAAATGACAGAAGGAATGAGCGAATTCCCTTTTCCGTTCCTCCCTGGGACACAATGTTTCTCCCCAGAACTGTTGTTTGCTGAGTAGAGTTTGAGGTCCCCTAGATGGGGATCTAGGCCCACAGACCCAGATACTCCTGATAAAGATGCTGCCACCACATTCTTGTTCAGGGACCCTTACTGACTTTTGCTTCCCTCCCTTCCTCTCCTTTCTTGGATGGTGTCCTGATGCTTTAGTGTCTCTCCTTAGTCCTCTGAACAAGCAATTTCAAGAGGCAACCCAGTGTGGCTTGAGACATTGGGAGATCCAGGTTCAAATCCAGCCTCTTTCACTTATGAATTCTGTGGCCTTGAACCAAGTCACTTTGTTTCTCTGGGACTCAGCTTCCTTCACTGCAAATTGATACTGTGGTGAGAAATAACAAATAGCTATTGTCATACAGTGGCACCGTGAGGATTAAATAAGATAATATATCAAAATGTTCTAGAACAACAGTAAATGCATGAAACAGTATTGGCACTCTGGAAGTCAGATACACGTTCAGTTTGACTTGTCCTCAAGTTCCTACATCATTTCTGCACCAGGAACTCTTGCCCTCCCTGATACCACACCCTTGTCCCAGCCAAGCCCCCATACTTGGGCTGACCAATGAATAAATGGCCATGCAGCATTTTGAGTAATATCCATAGAGTGTGCAAAAACTGTAAACAAAGAAGCAGTTGGATCACAGGACTTAGAGCTATAGTTCTGTGTGTTAACTCATGAAAACACCTCAGAATTTCCTCTCATGGCCTCCCTAGTGGGGAGTCGGGGAGAGATGCTGATCAATCAGTACCATCACAGAAGGCTGACATCACATAGGGCCAGCCCCATGTCTGGTGATGCATGTCAAGTTTCTGCAGAAACGTCCTAATATGATTACAATATTTGCTTTCTGAAAACCCACAGAAGGGAAGAGAACCCCTTCATATTTAGTAACAAGGCAACAAGTCAAATAATAAGCATGGGCCTATTTATTTAGCAACCTGGCCACAGGGAAGCTGAGACGTCTCAACACCTAGTCCCAGTCTTTTTCTAGAACCGAGAATGCAGACCCACACCCCTGGAATACTGGGTCTCAGTTACTACCTTGAGTTTTACAAGTGAATGTTAAGTTCCAGCCCCCTTGCCTTCTCTGTTCTGATATAAGCACTGTATATGCTTATCCAACAAATCCAGGTCTCTGACTTTCTGCTATTAACTGCCTTTACTCACAATGTGGCCCTCACATCATTTAACGTAAGTTTCCCACCACTCGTTTTTCTAGAAAGACCTTGAATGTATGTTAGAGACCCCTTTCAGGAGATGGAAGCAGGTATAGGAAAACAAAATAATAAAATATGCAGGTGTAGGCATTAGGATTTGTGAAGATGATAAGTGGTTATTACTTAGTGCATCTCTATTCATTAAGTTGAAATAAAATCCAGAAGTAAGTAAGCTATTGTTTAGAAACTAATAATGGCTCATCTTCCACACAGGATAAAATCTTTGGAGAAGCTTGAGAGCATTTAGTAAAGCCATTTGCCTGTCACTGGTCTCCCTTTAATTCCTTGGTTATGAAGTGATGTCTTTCCAAATACCCAATGAAAAGAAATTAGAAAGAGACAAAGATGCATAGTATAAATGAGAAATAAATCACACACATTCTGGAAACACAACTTAGTAGAGAATATCGCTGTTCTATGCTAATGAGTTTATTATGGGTAAAAAGCTTTATGATTGAATACAAAGGACAGTCCTAAGTCATCACTGAATGTGAAAGTCTACTTCCTCTGCTGCCTCCAATGATTTTAAAAAATATTCTACATCATGATGGAAAACCTTTTATTATGGTAAGCACTTCATGCTAATGCATCATCAAACAAGGAAGTACATAAATTTCAAGTTTCAAAAATGGATAATTGTAAAAATTTTCTTCTGGTTGCTTGCCCCATCTTGATGGATGGTCATTCTTCAAAACTGTAACTTCCATTGTTGAGTTGGTTATTTTATTGTGGATTTCCTAAGTTCTATAGATGTATATGTGTAGGAACATTGCTGTACTAGTTATTTATTACTGTTTAATAAATTACTCTCTCCAAATTAGTGACTTAAACTAACCCATAGTCATTATCTCACAGTTTCTGTGCATCAAGAATCTAGGCATGGCTTAGCTGAGTTCTCTGGTCCCTAACAAGGCCTAATCAAGGTGCTGGCTGGGCTGCAGTCTCATCTTCAGGCTTGACTGGGGATGGATCTTATTCTAAGTTTACTCAAGAGATTTTTGTCGGGATTCCATTCTTCATGGGCTTTTAACAGAGTGCCTGAGCTCTTCACTGGCTGCTGGCCAGAGGCCTCCTTTAGTTCTCTGCCACATGGGCCTCCCCATAGGATCATCTGCAACATGTAGCTGGCATCGTCAGAGAGGGCAATCAAGATGACAAGATAGGGAATGTAAGCAAGATGAAAGACAGTCTTTTGATACTTAATCTTGGAAAGGGCATCCCAGTACTTTTGCCACACTCTGTTTGTTTGAATCAAGTCACTAGATCCATCCACGCACACAGGGAGGGAATTACCCAAGGACGTGACTACCAGGATCCAGGGCTCATTGACAGCTATCTGACAGGCTGCCTGCCACAAATACCGAGGATAACAATCTAAAAGCATTTTGAATCTATGATGTTTTTCTAGATGTAAAGCAACATTAAACCCCACAGTGATAGGCAATATATCATGGTGTTTTATTACATAGACTACAGACTGGGGCTTAAATTCCAACTCTGCAAAACACTAATTGTAAGAACTTGGTCAAGTTATTTAATTTCTATTTGTAAAATGGAGATAATTTCTAACTCACAGGGAAGGACAATATGTTTTTCTACATATTGCTTATTGCATAGTATGTAGTTAGTAGCAGTAATAGTTGTGTTTTGTGTGACCTATGTAGAACATAGGCAAACAAAAACAACAACAAAAAGAGGCAATGATTAAATCCATGGAAATAAAATAATTATAAAAGGAAGGCAATGAATCCACAGAGTACTACATGGACTAACTCTGAACAGTACTTACATAGCCATACCACTGAATATTGATTTAACCAAGAAATGCGATGTTACTATTCCAGAATGATACAGACAGTGACAGTGTGCATGCGTGTATTTTGTGGGAACCATGTAAAAAAGTCAAATCTTCAAATCTTCATTATCCTTTCTTTCTTTCTTTTTTTTTTTTTTTGAAACAGAGTCTTACTCTGTTGCCCAGGCTGGGCTGCAGTGGCACAATCTGGGCTCACTGCAACCTCCACCTCCCAGGTTCAAGTGATTCTCGCACCTCAGTCTCTCAAGTAGCTGGGACCAGAGGTGTGCAGCACCACACCCAGCAAATTTTTGTATTTTTAGTACAGACAGTTTTCACCATATTGACCAAACTGGTCTCGAACTCCCAACCTCAGTTGATCCACCTGCCTCAGCCTCCCACAATGCTGGGATTACAGCCATGAGGCACCATGCCTGGACTCATTTTTCATAATAAAAAATAATAGAAGAAAACTGTAAAATCAATAAATAGCAGATAAGTTTTTATATTAAAATGTGGAAGTAACTTCTAGAACTTCCAAGTGGTTTTCTCTAGGGAATGGATATCAGAGGTAGGAAGGGTCGGGTAAAGAAAATTTCTTTAAATTTTGTGCTACTTTAATTTTTAAACATTTTTTAAGCATTACTTTTGTAAAAAATTAAATTAAATTAGGAAGTAAACATAGATATTTAAAACATTTTCAAAAGAAGATTAAACCATGATCCCATCTTTCAAACATAACAATTTCATTTTGCAAATTACTTTCCAAACTTTCTTCACATATCTTTGTATTATTACATATTTGCAGTCATATCATTTGTTATTCTGATTTTATAGTTTTCATTAATCAATTCAGCTTATTATTTTTATGTTTAGCGTTACAAATTGTCTGGATGGATCACAATTTACTTACCTGTTTCTCCGTTATTAAATATTTCAATGGCTTCCTGTTTGGGATGATAAGTAATATATTCATTGTTCACATGACTGCTTTTTGTTTGTTTGCGTATTTGTTTTTCTTCTCTTGAAGTATTTATTCCAATAGTGGAATTACTACATCAAAATGAATATGCATATTATGTTTTCAGTATGTATTATATTCCAAAAATGTTGTTTGGAGGTAAAATATTATCAGTAGTTGATAGAGATAGAGTAATTTACTCTATCTCAAGAAATCTGAAGCAGCTTCAACCTAGCAACCTGGTATCTCAGAAAAAAAATATCTAAGAACTAGATTGCCAGTCCATTTGATGTGGAATGGAACATTAATTCATAATTATTAGTAGTAATATTTGCTAACTTGATAGTATAAAATGATACTTTGAGATTACTTGAGTTTGCATTGTTTGTTTGGTCAGAAGGGCAACAATGACCTTACATATTTTCTTTCAAGAGAGTTGCTTATAGTCATTGACATGTTCATTTACAACAAGGATTTTATGAATTTCCATGAATATCTACTTGGTGAAAATAATGTCAAAAGCTTTTTTGCAGACACTTCATATTACTTGACTAACCTCAGAAGTGCATAAACGAGTGCACTCACAAGCCAAAGGGAGTCATGTCCATCATAAGTTACCATGAATGGTACCTCAGGGTTATGGATTGTGCAACCTCTGCTACTGTGTGTGGCAGATCTGTTCACTTGCTGTTCATTGACACATCTTACCCACAGAGTAAAATATATAAAATAAGCATTGTAGCTGCATCCTCTCCATGAGGAAAGAAGTCATGAAGCTTTGTACAAATAGATGTAGCAAGGGAATACAGTTGGAAAATTAACTGTTTTATTTATTTATTCATTTCTTGTACGCTTCTCTTGAAAGAATAAGAGCCATGCTTTCTTTCTTCTTCCCAAGAGCTTCCCAGGGGAAAGTTAAATTAAATATTCTTTTGCCTGAGAAAGTGGCGGCTAAAAGTAGTTTTAAAGCCTCATTTTAGGAGTCACTCTTATGAGCTATTGACTTGAGCTCAATTTGGTTTCCAGGGTGTGGTTTGTACGTATGATGTACAGCCTGCAAGAAACATAGGGCTAGTTTTGTTTTAGGAAATGAAGATTAATAACCACCAGCTGGGCCATTAATAACTTTGGTTGTGTGGGACAAAAACAAATTCTTAGATAAATTTGTTATCCCATAAATATTGGTGAAGCAGTAAACTTCTGAGTCCAAATTAGTTAAGTTTCTAAGGCCATAAAACACTTTCACTTCTGCCTTTCTCTTTCCAAAATATCCAGCTGGGACCTTTCTCATGTGTTCAAAGAACAATATCCACTTTTTTCTTTTGAAAGCAATTTGATTCTTATAGTAACTGTAGAGGATAGATTGGTATGAATGCTCTCCTTATTTGAGAAATCAGCATAAACTGGTGATCGCATTTGTATCATGAACTTAGCCTTTTTCATGTCTGGGTACTCTCCTGGGGTAAAATGTTTTCACTATGCATTTTCAGTGTGACTTTCTCCTTTACATTCAGATGTGGATTTAGTCAGGAAATGTTGCCTTTTCTGTATTCAAAAGTCAAATCAATTGCTTTTGCCTAGTGCTTTATATTTTGCAAATTATTTCCCATATTTTATTCTCTGTCCTAAAGCCACTCTTTACAATAGATATTATCCTTGGATAAGAAAAATAAGGTTTAAAGGTGTTAGGTCACCTGCTGATGGTTGACAGTAACAGGAAGGGGTAGAGCTGAAAGTCAGTTTCAGATCTCAGTGCTCCAAATCTTGTGCTGTTTTTCATAATAATAGAGAAGGGAATGCTTTAAGTGACAAATACTAATTCCATCCTCTAACGATTGGGCAGTGGGTTACTCCTTACAGAAGATGGCTCCAGTATCTTTCCTGTGCTCGAATTTTCTCATGGCATTTCCTTCCCCTTGCAGTATTCTTTTCCTCCTTCCACTGTTTTCTAGAAACAATAGCTATCAATCATTTTATTAGTTTGGGCTCCCCTCAAAACAGACATTGAGATAAAGTTTAGGGTGCAAGATTTTTATCTGGGAGATGATTTCAGGTATCATACAGAAAGAAAAAGACAGAAGAGAGAGGAAGGACAATGAGTGAGTTAATGCTGACAATCAGGACTCCATTCCATCAGGTATGCTCTGTGAAACCCACCTCAGAATGGCCCCACTGAAGGAAAGCCAACTTTTACCCCTCAGTGGCTAAAGTTTGTTTCTGGGGACATTAACTATCCATTCTGGGATGTGTATGGGATGAATATGCTCCTATGGCCAGAGAATGTTCCCAGATATGTGGGCAGTTGAGATAGAAAGACATCAGCAGGTATGATTACTGTCCCCTCAAGCTGCAGTTCTCACGCCTGCCAGGAGAGCAGAGAGAGAATGTTGGAAGGGTGCACCAATAGTGTGTGATATATCCATTTATTTTTATTGTGAATTCAAGCCATTGGATCACCTCTTTTTCAAGACATTTGGAATCCTCTCTCAAATCTGTTGATTGTAAGTGACAGAAAATCAAACCCAAACTGGGTCTTAACCACAAAAAGGAATTTACTGGATCAGGTAGAAGAAAAGTCCAGAAAAAATTTTGGCTTTAGGGGCTGAGCTACGCAGGGGCTGTGGCAAGTCATTCCCATTTCCACTGTCAGGTAGCACTATTTTGAGAAAGGCTCTTTACTCATACCCCAAAAGTGGCTGCTAGCAACACGTGGCTCTATATCCTCCTACGTTCAAATCCAATAGAAGAATGAACACTCTTGTTTAGAATGTCCAGCCAAAGTTCTAAACTTCATTCTGATTGGACTAGCCTAGGTCACATGCCAATCTTTGAACAAGTCACTATGGCCCAGGGACTGTGATGCACCAATTGTCTTAGGCCTGCATCATATATTGCAATTTGGGTCCAGATTCTGTGGGCTAAAATTGGGGAGAAGTGGATCCCCAAATGAAAGTTGAAGTTGTCTCCTACAGAAGGGGCAATAGATGTTGTGAAGCCAAAACATAAATATCTAGTACGATCACCTAGGGGAATTGTATTTCAATATTTATCTTTCACCATCATCTTTTGAAAAGGTTTTAGACATCAGGAGGCAAAAGTGAGATAGGGCTACTGTATAGCCATGGAATGGAGGGCCCTGTCTCATACATTAATTTCTTGGCTTTTTTTTGGCCAATCTGTTGTCCTTGTATATGTGTGCAGAAAATCCCAAACCTAGTCTGAAACTCTGCAATTCAGATAAAATTCAAACATAATTTTCTGAACATATACTATGTGCAAGGCCTATGTCCTCTGCCATTGGTTTCTCCCACTGGCAACTGTTCTAACCCTAGGTTTCTACCCTTTATTCTCTGCTCTGGGTGGGTCAAATCATGCCTGTAGTATTTATCTGCCCCAAGAGAATATTAGCAGAGAGTACAATGTTTTTCATGTATGTATTTATTAGTCCTTTTGTCATTCCAGCTGTCTATTCAATTATCATTTATTGAATGCCTTCCTTGTGCTGCAAAAGAGACCAAGACCAATCAGAAAAAAATATTTTGCCTTCAAGGGGCTGAAAATTTAGAATTAGATTGCTGTGGTTTGAATGTGTCCCCCAAAAGTTCATGTGTTGAAAATTTGATCCCTCTTCCTTCATGAATAAATTAATGTTGGCTCTGCCCTCAAGAATAGATTAATAGGTTAACGAGGGCTCTGCTCCCATCCATAAATTAATGTCACTACCATGGGTGTGAGTTTGTCATCTCAGGAGTGGCTTTGTTATAAAAGTGAGCTCTCCCTGGCTCTCTTGCTCTTGCCCTCTTGCCATGTGATACCCTCTGCAGTATTAAGACACAGCAAAAAGGCTTTTACCAGATGCAGGTGCCATGCTCTTGGACTACCCAGCCTCCCTAATCAGGAGATGAATAACCTTTTTCTTTATAAATTATCCAGTCTATGGTATTCTGTTACAGTAACAGAAAATAGACTAAGACCAAAAACTGGTGCCAAAAGGGGGCTATTGCTATAGCAAATACCTGAAAATGTGAAAGCATCTTTGGACCTGGGTAGGGGTAATGGGTAGAGCCTGGAAGAATTTGAAGGAGCAACCTAGATAAAGGCCTGCATTGCCATGGTCAGAGCATTAAGGGTGATTCTGGTGAGGATTTGGAATAAAGGACTAGAGAAAGTCCAGAACTTCTTAGTGATTACCTAAGTGTTTACCATCAGAATGTTGGGTAGGGGCAGGGCACAGTGGCTCATGACTGTAATTCTAGCATTTTGGTAGGCCAAGGTGGGCAGATCACCTGAGGTCAGGAGTTCGAGACCAGTCTGGCTAAAGTGATGAAACCCCACCTCTACTAAAAATACAAAAATTAGCCAAGCATGGTGGCGCTCACCTGTAATTCCAGCCACTCAGGAGGCTGAGACATGAGAATTGCTTGATCCCAGGAGGGAGAGGTTGCAGTGAGCCGAGATTGTAACATTGCACTCCAGCCTGAGTGATAGAGCGAGACTCTGTCTCAAAAAAAAAAAAAAAAGAATGTTGGTAGGAATATGGACAGTAAAAGCCATTCCAGTGAGGTCTCAAATAGAACCAAAAACAAGTATTGGACATTAGAGCAAATGCCATCCTTGTTATAAAGTGGCAATGACCTTGGCTGAACTGGGGTAAATGCTTGAAGGCTTTATCAAAGGCAGAATTTAAGAGTGATGAACCAGAATAGCTGGTGGAATACATACCTAAGCAACAAAGCATTTGGGCGCTACATGGCTATTTTTAACTGCTTACATTAAAATGAGAGTGTAAACTAAAAATACAATTTTAAGTCCCTAGACCAACTGAACAGACCCCCTCTTGGCCAAGGGGACCACAGAGAAACCTTAAAAATGGAGTTCTTGGCCATGATGGGACCAGAGATTAGACACGACTCGTTATACCCCCTTTCTTTTGCATTTTAGACACAACAACCGACCAGCATTAATGTTAAAATAGAGATCATAAGGCTGACAAAATGGACTCATTGCGGCAATAAAATACCAAATTATAAACAGGACCTAAGGTCATGCCAGGTAAGGGTTAAGTCACTCGCCTCTACACTTAAAGAAGAAACTATGTCCTTTTTTATGTTTTGTTTTGTATCAGAATCTTTTTTTTTTATTATTATACTTTAAGTTCCAGGGTACATGTGCACAACGTGCAGGTTTGTTACATATGTATACATGTGCCATGTTGGTGTGCTGCACCCATTAACTCATGTTCTTACTGCCGCAAGGGTTTTCTTTCTCTCTAGCAGCTAAACAAGCACTGACCTCAAGATAAGGAATGTTAAAATAATTGCAGCACATCTATTATCAGGTGCTAACTGACCTTGGTTCCACATGCTATAACTGCAGCCTTGATTGGACAAGAGACTGATATGAGGAACTTTCTCCTAATATGAAGACCACCAACCATGAACTCTTTCTGGCCAGTCTACAGAGGCTGCACATTTGAGTGCTTTTGTGTCCCTGCTTCACCTTTTGATGTATAGACCCTAATTTTAATGCATTTAAATGTTGTTTCCACCCCAAAGTGAACATGGATCACATGTAACATGCATGTTTGCTTATAATAAATGTGCAAGACCCCCTTTCATGAATATTCACAGATTCTCCTATACCCTGTTGACTATATTTAGCCAACCCATTCAGCATAAATTCTTGTCTTATTCCTACCTCCCTGGAAGTGCCTGGCTCTTGTCTTTGCTTAAGGCTACATTTCCCAGCCTGAGGGACAGCCACTTTGCCGGCTGTAACTCTTTATAACAAAAAGTCCTTTTCCAAATGTATAGATTGTGTGACTTACGTTAACAAGAGGAAATAGATGATTTAAAGACACAATTTATAATTAAAAGGGAAGAACAGTGGAAAGATATGGAAAATTTGCAACCTGGCCATGCAGAGAATGAAATAACTTTTTCAGCAGAGGAAAGCAAGTGTGTGACCAAGCCACATGATTGATAAGGAAATTAATATGGATAGAACTAAGCCAGAGGCTATTCATATGAATGATGGGAGAAAAATCCAGAAGCCATTAATGAGATCTTTCAGGCTGCTTCTCCCATCACAGGCCCAGAGCTCTAGGAGGGCAGAATAGTTTCAGGAGATGGGCCACTGCCCAGGGCCACCTAAGGTCTCTGCTCTCTGCCTTCTGGTGAAGCACATCTTGGCCAGCCCCCGCTGTGGCTCAAGTGACACCACAAGGTACTCAACCAGTCTCTTTGGAAGCTACAAGTTGTAAGCCTTGGCAGTGTCCATGAGGTTCTAATTCTGCAGGTATACAAATGCAATAGTTGTGGGGGCAGGATTTCCTCCACTTGGATTTCAAAGGATGTCTCCAATAGTAGAGGGGCTCAGGCAGAGACTCGTCGTAGTGGCAGAGTCACCATAGAGAGCCCCTAGAAGGGCAACGCTGAATGGAAATGTGGGGTCAGAGCTGAAGCCACCACAGAGACCCCCCCGCTAGGGCAATGCCAAGTGGAGCCACAGGGGCAGGGCCACCCTCAATACTCAAGAACTGTAGAGTTACCTGTGTGCAGTGCCAGGCTGGAAAAACTGCAGGCACATAACTCCAACCTGTGAGAACCACTGCATAGTCTGAGCTCAGCAAAACCATAGGGGCAGTGCTGCTGAAGGCTTTGGTACAGGGCCTAAATCCCTCAGTGTAACTAGGAGGTGGCCCGTGGAGTGAAAGATTATTCTGAAGCTTCAAGGTTTAAAATTATTTTTCCTGTGGATTTAGGACTTACCTGGGACCAGTTACTCCTCTTTTCTTGCCTCTTTCCCCCTTTTGGAATGAGAATGTCTGCCTCATTCCTATCCCATTTTGTATTTTGGAAGTAAATAACATGTTTGGATTTCACAGGCTCACAGCTGAGGGGAATTTGCTATGGTATAAATCACACCTTGAATCTCACCCATATCTGATTTAAATAAGACTCTGGACATTGGACTTTTGAATCGGTGATGAAATGAGTTAAGACTTTGGGGCTCTTGAGATGGAATTGATGTATTTTGAATGCGAGATGGACATAAAGTTGAGGGGCCAGGAATGAAATCATATAGTTAAATGCGTCTTCCAAAAGTTCATGTGTTAGAGACTTAACCCCTCTGCCTTCATGAATGGATAGTGTTACAATCACTGGAGTGGGTTAGGCTTTGTTATAAAAGTGAGCCGTCTCTGGCTCTCTTGCTCTTGCCATCTCACCGTGTGATTCCCTCTGTCAGTCATGTTGTGATGCGGCAAGAAGGCCTTCACCAGATGCCATGCCATGGTCTTGGACTTCCAGAATCATAAGATAAATAACGTTTTTTTCCTTTATATATTACCAAGTCTGTGGTATTCTGTTATAGAAACAGAAAACAAACTAAAACAGTAAAAGAAGTAAGACATGAGACATATAAAGAAGATCTCTCATTTGAGACAGAATTGATCAATGTCGTTAGTCACAAATAGAAAAATACCCAGTAAGCTCAGAAACAGAAATGATCCCTGATATCTGGGTTGAAATGAAGATGAAATCTGATGGAGGAGGGAGGATAATTAAATTAGTGCTTCTGTTTTAGAGAACTAAAAATGCAAAGCGTGATTGAAATTTTTATTCCAGTAAGTTAAATATGTCTATTTAATGTGGCAACTATTGCAATTCAGATTATTCCAGATTATGGCTAATGTCTAACCTTGCCCTCTAAGAGTGTGCTTTTCCTGTGTTACCAAAGTGAAAATATCTAATTTAGCTCTTATTTTGTCTTATTTGGTCCCAGCAGGACCAATGTCAATTTTTATTCTCTAGCAAGAACTTGATGCATTGCACATGAATGAATTAGTTAAATGATGTAGCCTGCGGAATGGCTGCATTCCTGCCCATTCTGGAACCAATTAAACATAACACTGAGGTAGAAATAAGATTACATTTTAAGATTTAGACTTAAGAGCCAAA
The DNA here is from genome assembly GCF_000001405.40 of Homo sapiens. NCBI lineage: Eukaryota > Metazoa > Chordata > Mammalia > Primates > Hominidae > Homo > Homo sapiens. The sequence continues at coordinate 8,122,052 of NC_000003.12, read as the reverse complement.
AAATTGAGTTTTTCAAAACAAATCATATCATTAAACCATACATTCTTCTGGAGCAGGGACTGCGACTTTTTCCTTTATATTCCTACCCCTAATCCTGATTCAAGGCCTGGCACATAATAGGTGTTTAGTGAAGGCATGTTGGATTAATCCCTTTTCTCTCTTTGGAGATACACTACTACTGCAGAACCATTTGCACCATCAAATACATCTACCCTCCTGTAAACTCTTGGAGGGCAGGACGAAGATTTACTGCTCTTTTCTTTATTGCACCCATGTGCAAAATGTGTTGCACATGGAAGCTTCAAATTGTTTATGGAATTGAACTGCCAAATATAACTTTCAACGTTGCCTAAGTATGAACTAGAGATCTCAAAGAGGGTCTCAAATCTTGGTAATTTGGGGCATTGGGCATTCTGTCTCCCAAATGAATACTTTTCAAGTGAGCCTCAGTTTACCTGAACCATAAAAATAAAAGGTGGGCAGAAGGAAGACAACATCTACCGATTTTATAGAACTATTTTAAGGATAGCAAGAAATACCACGTGTAAGTAGCTAGCAGAGTGCCTGGTACATAGTAGGAGTTCAATAAATGTCAGGTGGATTTATGAACATGGACAAACATCATTTTCATGTCTAGCTTTAGTCTGTGAATTACATTATTAAACAGTGCGTATCTGGTGATTTTAAAACTTAGTTCCAGTTAATCTAACTTCACCTGTTGCTGGTTTTGTTGATGAAGGCTTTGAGTGAACTAGCAAAGAATCTGATTCTACATAGGGAATACATGTGAGAAAGATATGGGCACCGTAGTATTTTTTCTGTGTCAACAAGGAAATGATGGCAGGCAAATGTTACTGGTGCCCCGTCCAGATAGGAAAGGTAGCTGACTGGTGTATGCACCCTGTGCTGAGAGGGCTGGCTGCAGCCAGCTATATCTATATCCTTCATTGGAGAATTTTTCCTGATAGATGGAGCTATCTCACCTGGAAATCCCTTGGATATTGTATTGCTCCCACCTCCCTCATAGCCAGTGACAGATGTCATTGTAGGAAAACAAAAGCCTCCCTTGTCTCAAGGTTACTCTATGATGCCATTTACATCCCAGAGCTCCCCATGGGATCAGGCTGAGGCTAGACTTTAGTGGAAACCACATGTTGTCTGGGCTTCTCACTCTCTGCCCTATTCTGTTTCCCCACTTCCTATGGGTTTTTCCTGAGACCATCCTCGCACCAAGCATCTCAGTTTCAAACTGTTCTTCTGGAGATCCCAACTAAGCAAGGGATAAACTGAAGACACAGCAAAGAGATGCAATGCTTTGTGGATGGTTTTATTTAGTAAATAAAATTCAATGGTTTGTTAATAATGATGGGTGCCATTGTATATATCACACAGTTTGCGTAGTGTTTTTTACATGTGAACTTCACTTCAAGATAATTCTATTGGGAATTATAATATTTTTCCCAGGTTTGCTATGAGGAAAACAAGGCCCAGATTGTTTAAAAAACTTGGGTGGTTCACAATCCCAGGTCTTCTGGCTCAGTGCTTTGTACTGTTTGTTTGGGGACAGGGTCTCTTTTTGTCACCCAGGCTGGAGTGCAGTGGTGTGATCAAGGCTCACTGCAGCCTCAACCTCCTAGGCTCAAGCAATCCTCCTGCCTCAGCCTCCTGGGTAGCTGGGACTATAGGTGTGTGCCACCATGCCCAGCTAATTTTTAAAATTTTTTTGGAGATGGGTTTTCACCATGTTACCCAAGCTAGTCTTGAATTCCTGGGCTCGAATGATCTACCTGCCTTGCCCTCCCAAAGTGCTCCACTGTGGGAAGTGTGCTCTACTGTGCCCGGCTGCTTTGTATTATTTGTACTTGACAACCTTGGAGTCTGAGTTTGTCTCCTTGTGCCCTTCTGTGGTTGAAACTCTTGTTTTGTGGATGTAGAATCTCTTGACATTGCTTTGCCATTCACTTCTAATCATCTGCAGCTGCTGGATCACCTTGGATTTTTTTAGACAAAAAAACAAAATGAAACAACCTATTTGAGATATTTGACTCTTTCTAAATGTCAGAATTTTGTTGCTTTGGGTACAGGCCATTGCAGAACTTGTAGACCAAAGATAAACAGTTACAATGTGTTCCGCAGGAAAGGTTATGATATTTTATACAAAACTGAATAAAAGAAAGTTTTATTCAGAATACTATTTATGCAAGTAAACAACTTCTGATAATTTATTTTTCAGAGAAAATGGTGCTGAAAGAAGCATGATTAGGTTACCTCCATGTCTCTGTCAGAATCTGTGTCAGAGAAGGAGTAAGTAACACTTAAAAATATGAATAAATGCTAGTTAATATTGCCATCAAGAAATTATTCATTTGGCTCTAAATAAACACGGTAATATAGTTTGTAGGCATTGGAAATACTATTTTATTGGGATAGAGGAGGAATGTAATGTGTATCTTAAGAGTGGATAGCTAAAATTGTTTTTGTTTATATTATTAATGATTTCTAGCTAATATTGCCTCCAATAAAGTCATAGAAAATTTTACCATGTCTTTTGTGTAAACAAATCTGACATGGTGGTTAAATCACTAAAAAATTGAGTTAAAAAATTTAGAAAATTTTTAAAAATAATTACGCTATCTTAGAGAGAGAGAGAACATGAGAGAGAACATGAAAGATATTGAATAATTGATTGGTTTAGACGGACAATTAAAAATTTGTTTGCCAAACTGCTGTTCTTGCACTTACTTGTTGCTTATTTACAGTAGGGTTTAAAAAATTTTTTTTTCTGTAATAAGTCACTGTACCATAATAAAAGGCCATTAGCCCCAGTGTATTGCTTCTGAAATGTTACCACACACTGTGTAGCAGAGGAATAATTTGACATGTTAGCTGGCATAGCTTTTTTTCTCAGTAAATATACAGATATATAAAAATCTATATATAAATAAATATATTAATATTAAATATAAATATATTTATATTTATGTATATGAATCTATTGCCTTACATTTGAAGTACCCACTGATTTCTAATATGGCTGTTTGGTGCATCCCAGGTAACCCAAAAGTTAAATCTTGGCTTTGAGGTTTTAAAGCAGACATTTGAAAAACATTTCAGATAGAGGAGTTTTGAGAGAAAAGGCTTTTTAGTTGAAAGAATATGACCTTTTGGACTTCTAAGTCCAGAGAACTCAGGGTATACATTTTCTTTAATTTTTTTTAATCTTCAAATATAAACAATTAGGGACAGAGAAACATCTGACTGGATAGAGCCAGGGTTTTCTTTGCCCTGTCAGGCTAAATAATGAGTTCATAAGAGATATAAGAGACCTCTGGTTTGAACACGATGGCACAAAGTCACTAGAAAAAAACAGAAATACAAACTTGCCTTCAGTGAAATGGGGAAACTACTGAAATCTTAAACTATGAAATAGGCAGAAGGGCAGACCACAGAGATAGAGGCTGAGCAGGGGTGTATGTGGGAGGAAATAGGTTACTTTAAGAATGCAGATCTCAGAAAAACTCTGGAAAAAATAATTCCTAAAGCTAAAGGAGCACACTTTGATGTGAAAACCATAAGTTTCTTGGGGGCAGAATTTGGAAACAGGAATCCAGGCTGACAGATGAAGTTGTCCTGGATTCTATCTCAATCTGGGGAATTCAAAAAGTGGGTCACACAGAGACCATAAAGAATCACACAGTGCAGCCATATTTGCAGGCAGCAGTTTGTCATTGAGGTAGTGGAAGAAAAGATGGAATTTACAATTATAAACAGTCTCATAGCCATTTTTTACATTGCTTAGAAAGATGTAAAAGCTAAACAAACTCACATACAAAAACTCAGGTTAAAGAAAAATTCCTGCTCGCCTGAAATATATCCCTGATCTCTTCTTTGTAAGTGTTTCAGAAAAAAACTTATTTCCTTCAAAGGTAAGTAATTTAGAAGGAAACTAGCACAAAAGTAAAAGCACAGGCAATAAAAGCAAAAACTGGCAAATAGGGTTAGATCAAAATGAAAAGTTTCTGTACAACAAAAAAACAACAGAGTGAAGAAACAACCTATAGATTAGAAGAAAATATGTGCAAGCCATACATCTGATAAGGGATTAATATCCAAAATATATAAGTAACTGAAACAACTCTATAGAGAGAAAACAAATAATTCAATTTTTTAAAATAGGCAAATGACCTGAACGGACATTTCTCAAAAGAAGACAAACAAATGGCCAACAGGTACATGAAAAATGCTCAACATCATTAACCCTTGAGGAAATGCAAGTTAAAACTACAATGAGATATCTCACACCTGTCTGTATGGCTATTACAAAAAAGACAAAAGATAACAAATGACAGTAAAGATGTAGAAAAAATGGAACGCTTGCATACTGTTGGTGGGGATAAAAATTAGTACAGCCAATTTGAAAAACTATATGGAGATTCCTCAAAAAACTAAAAATAGACCTACCGTATGATCCAGAAATCCCATTTCTGGGTATATACCCAAAAGATTTGAAGTCACTTTGTTAAAGAGATGTCTGCTCTCTCATATACATTGCACATCATTTGCAAAAGTCAAGCTGTGGAATCAACCTTAGTGTTCATCAACAATGAATGGATGAAGAAAGTGTGTTATGTATATATATACAATGAATACTATGCAGCCTTTACTAATTTTTTAAAAAATGTAATTTGCAACAACATGGATGAACCTGGAAGACATTATGTTAAGTTAAACCAGCCAGGCACAGAATGACAAATAAGGCATGATCTCACTTATATGTGGAATAAAATCACTTATATTTGAACTCAGAGAAGCAGAAAATGGAATGTTAATCACAGAAGCTAAGGGAGGAGGTATAAATGGGGAGACGATAGCTAAAAAGTACAATGCCTCAGGCTGGGCAGGGTGGCTCATGCCTCTAATCCCAGCACTTTGGGAAGTCGAGGCGGGCAGATTACCTGAGGTCAGGAGTTGAGACCAGCCTGGCCAACATGGTGAAACCCCGTCACTACTAAAAATACAAAAATTAGCCAGGTGTGGTGGTGGGTGCCTGTAGTCCCAGCTACTTGGGAGGCATGAGAATCATTTGAACCTGGGTGGCAGAGGTTGCAGTGAGCCTAGATCACACCACTGCTCTCCAGCCTGGGTGACAGAGCAAGAATCCATCTCAAAAAAAAAGAGTACAATGCCTCAATTAGACAAAAGCAATATGGTTTTATTTTCTTTGAGATAGATTGCACAGCAGTGTGAATATAGTAACAGTGTTTCATACATTTCAAAATAACTAAGAGAGTAAATTTTAAATGTTCTCACCACAAAAAGGAATAAGTATTTGAGGTGATAAATACATTAATTAGCTTGATTTATTATTCCACGTTGTATTTATAAATCATAACATCACTTTGTATCCCATAAATATATTCAATTATAATTTGCCAATTTACAATTAAAATAAAATTTAAAAAATTCTACAAGGAAACAAACAAACAAAAAACAAGAAAAAGAAAACAGGATAAGCAAGTGACAGCTGAAGATTGTGGAGAGGGATGGGATGCCTGAGGGGAATCAGTGATTTGCTAGCATAGCCCCTGTGAAAGCCCCCTCTCTTCTCCCTTCCACACACTTTGCAAACCCATTCCCCAGTGTGTTCTGGCAAGGGGCTGGAAAATGAAAATGTAAGTTTGGGGACTCCAAGCCAGAGCATCTTTGGCTGAGGCTGGTGAGGTAGCAAATCTCATAGATTATATATATTTTAAAGAGAGAGAGAAAGTGACAGAGAAAGAGAGTGAGAAAGAGAGAGAGAGAGAGAGGAGATTAAGGAAGTGGTTCACATGACTGTGGAGGCCAGCAAGTCCAAATTCTGCATGGCAGTGCTGTAGGCTGGAGACTCAGAGAATGATGTTGCAGCTCTAGTCTAGAAGCCATCTCCAGGCAGAATTCTCTCTTCCTATGGGGAGGTCAGTTGGTTTTCTGTTTAGGGCTTCAACTGATTGGATGAGATTTGCTCCCATGATGGAGCATAATCTGCTTTATTCAGGCTACTAATTTAAATGTTAATCTCATTTTAAAAATGCCTTCTCAGTGGCATCCAAACTAATGTTTGACCAAATATCTGTATGCAGTGGCCCAGCCAAGTTGACCTATAAAATTAAACCACTAGAACCCCAAAACAGAGAATCAGATTTTTCCACTTCCCTTATTCTCTTTGGGGCTTCTGCAAATCCCTGGAGTGAGACAGAGGGGAGCAATAAAATAAACTGATTGTCTGCCTTCCAGTGGGTGCAGGTTCACTTGATCTTAGCCAAAAGGCCAAGAAATGATAGTGAATACAAGTTCAAGGAAAAATTAAATTCAACTATTGGAGAAATAGTCCCATGTCTAGAATAGCCAGGTATGTGAGTTGACATCTCTAATGGCCGTTTGTGCTTCCTCCAGGGCCTGACTGCCCTGCTCCGTCATCTCTGGCATATCTCTTGAGAATCACCTCCTTTGGATGTCTCCAGAAGCTCTCTCTACAGAAATGGTTTCTCCCTCCTCCAGGCTATATAGCCCACTGCATGCGCCTCTACTACTGAGACCACTAAGCATCCTCCTTTCCTGGAGGCATTTCCTACCCAGCCTCCCAGAGTTCCCAAGGAGACTCAGTTCCGCATGTCCTCAGTCATCATTTGCTTATTAAAAGTCCTTTTATCGGCATTTTTCCTTTCCCTGTCTCATCCCACCTTTATCTTGTCTTGTTTCCGGGGATCCCCTCCCAAATAAATTATGTGCCCTCCAGTTCTTTTCTCAGAGTCTGCTCTGAAGAAACACAAAACAAAACAGTGGCCTTTTTAAGAGCATTCATTTTACCTTTTTTGGTTTAACCAAAGAGTAGATCCTTGATGAACAGTCAATATGAGAGATTTAAGTTACATACAGAATATTATGCAACCTCAGACTATGAAAAGTTAGATTTAAAGGGTTGTATATAAATCAAGACCTGATTTCTCACTGTCTTATTTGTACTACTGACAGTGAGTAGTTCCTACTAATGTTTGAACATGAAGTTTCACTGGCTGTTTGTCTCTCTCTGCCAGCGTCAGAAACTACACATACTTCTCTGTAATAGACAATGTCAGTATCTAAGACTTTTATAGTGGAGAGGGTCATAATATATCCATTGCATAAGTTTAGACTCCTCACATAAATTATTTTAAATAAGGTATACAGCAAACACTATATATACATATATGTGTGTGTGTGTGTGTGTGTGTGTGTATGTGTCTGTGTGTGTGTATAAAATTCATTCTAATGGTTCAATGAATATGTATTGAGTATTCTAGCAGCTGAGCATTCAGCAGCAAACCAAACAAGCAAATCCTTTCCTTGCTAGAAGAGCACATTGGAAAGATGACATTTAAGCAGACCTGAAGGAGATAAAGGGGCAGGCATGTATAAACCTGGGAGAGAGTTCCAGCAAAGAAAACAGTAAGTGCAAAAGTCCTGCACACACATACATTTGGTGTGTTAAAAAATGTTGTAAATGTAGTTAGGAGGCTGGTGAGGCTAGAGCAGAATGATTAGGAGAGGGAGGAGCAGATGAGCAGATGAGATCTGAGAGACGTGGGGAGCTGAGAGAAGATTGTCCAGGGTCTAGTAATGATTTTGACTTTTCCTCTTATTGTAATGGGAAGCTACTGGAAGATTCTGTGCAAAGCAGTGACAGGGGCTGCCATATGGTTTCAAAGGATCACTCTGGTTACTGTGTGGAGTAGGGAAAGCGCAAAGAGAGTTTCATGTGCGTCCGTGTGAAGAGACCACCAAACAGGCTTTGTGTGAGCAACATGGCTGTTTATTTCACCTGAGTGCAGGTGGGCTGAGTCCGAAAAGAGAGTCAGCGAAGGGAGATAGGGGTGGGGCCATTTTATAGGATTTGGGTAGGTAAAGGAAAATTACAGTCAAGGGTGGGGTTTGTTCTCTGGCGGGCAGAGTGGGGATCACAAGGTGCTCAGTGGGGGAGCTTTTGAGCCAGGATGAGCCAGGAGAAGGAATTTCACAAGACAATGTCATCAGTTAAGTCAGGAACAGGCCATTTTCACTTCTTTTGTGGTGGAATGTCATCAGTTAAGGCAGGAACCGATCATCTGGATGTGTACGTGCAGGTTACAGGGGATGTGATGGCTTAGCTTGGGCTCAGAGGCCTGACAGAGAGAAGCTGGGATGCCTTTGGCATGATTACAAGTGCAATCGTTGACTACTAATTTGTGACGTCATTTAGATAGAAAACAAACCTTAGGAAAACAAGCCCATAGATTCTTCATGGGAGGAGCAATAAGCCACTCCAGTATGCTATCATATAATTTCTTTTTCAATCAGCAAGGAGCTTAATTGCACGGTAGCAGCTGAAAACCCATTGTTCACCAAATAACGAAACAATTTCAATGAAAAGAGGAAGATCTAGCCAATGGAAGAGTCAAGTTCTCAAGGGGAAGTTCCTGGAAGCCAGATTTGATGCTGTTTTTTTTTTTTTTTCCATCATCCTATGTTGCTTGTGAAAGGAGACTTTATGTTTCCTACCAGAATCTGCAAATTGAAGGCCTCTAAGCCAAGAAACTGGAGACCTGTGATCTCACTGTGGGTCTGTCAGAACCTTGTCAGGTGACCTTGGGACACATCACACACTGCCCTGGCCTCTGTTTTCCAAGTTTGTATAATGTGCGGTAGTGTTGCCTTGCTACTGTTATTTCATCAGCTTGTTTGAGGGCCTCCTGAAACGATGCATATGAAAGCACCTTGTAGCTCTGAAAGCAGCACTCAATGCAAGGTCATTAGCATTGGCTTTGCCCAAATACTAAAGGAACAATCCATACCATTGAAAGGGGGATATGACAAATTGATCAATGTAAAAGATAAGCTGGTAGCTGTCACATACCTTTTTCTGTACAGCAGTGGCAAACATCGTCCTCTCGTTGAGATTCTGAACCATCACATGAATGCACATAAATCACCCTGTACAAAGCACTATATACAAATACTTGGGGATGTTTAGCACCATGGACACACTTGCAGGGAGTAGTGGTGATTCTAAGTTGGACGAGTCTAGCACACCACGGGGTGGGCAGCGGTGGCACTAGCACTATATTGTGGTCAGAGAAGGGCTTTCTGAAAGATCCACTTGGGACGAGCCCTGAAAAGCAAGAAGAAAGTTGCGCTTGAGTCCAGGGGATGGGTGTTTATGATGGAGAGGCTGCTATTGTGAGTCACTTAGAAGCCACGTGATTGGGAAATGTGCAAAGCATTTAGCTGTGAGATAATAGTGTGGCAGGTGCGGTGGATACTCAGCTGTGTCCCCTGGCCCATCTCTGAGATTCCAGCAGGGTAGGTGGACAATTCCCTCTAACATTCCATATGCTTCTCACTCCAACTGCCTGCTTTTCTGCCTGTGGGTGTTCCCACTCCCTAATTCACAGGGCAACCTGGAAATGCAGGGGAGTTAATGCTACAGGGATGGGACCAGCCCTCCGCCAAGGGGGACCAGTCTCAGGACAAATGCCCCAGCCTCCCACTGCTCTGCTGACATAATTCTGAGGTATCGTCCCTGAAATTTCTCAGGGCCCTTGGCAGGACTAAACCCCAGCTGCCCACAGTAGTGGCCCCTCATTCACATACCCTGTCTGAGCTTGCCAGGGCTGTTATAACACAGTACTACAGGCTTAAACAATGGAAGTAGATGGTCTCACAGTCCCAGAGGAGGGAAGTGGAGATAAAGGTGTTGGCAGGGTTGGTTTATTCTGAGGCCTCTCCTTGGCTTGTAGATGGCTTCCTTCCCCCTGTGTCTTCATACCGTGTTCTCTCTGTACTCATCTTTATCCTAATCTCTTTTTGTAAAGACACCCATCATATTGCTTCGGGGTCCATTCATATGCCCTCATTTCATCTTAATTACCTCTTTAAAGGTCTTACTTCCGAATGCAGTTACATGCTGAGGTACTGGGGGTTAGGACTTAAACAAATAGATTTGGGGCACACATGATTCAGCCCATTATTGGCATGCCCTTTATTGGCATTTCTGTCCTCCTGTGTCACTCTCCCTTCCCCCTCACTACCTCCTTAGGTACTCTCCCAAATTAAGTTCCTGTATACAAGACCTTGTTTTGAATCGGCTTTGGGGAAACCAAACTAAGCCAATATGAAGTGGTAAAAACTGTGAGCAACTGGAGAGTGCAAATCTACCTAGAAGCATTTAAATTTATTTTAGAAAAATAGCATATAAACAAGTAAAACGTTGTGCAGGGCATGCAAAACACTTCCACAGTCCCAGTCTTTCCTGTTTGCAATCTCTGTGCTGGATAACTTTCAGGTCCAGCTGTTGCTTTCTATGATGTGTGTGTGATGTTTGTGCGTGTAAGGAGGCAATCCCCTGAAATGTAGGAATCATGCACAATTCAAAATAAAGGGGCAAAATGATCTATGATATAATTCGGCATCCTGAGGCTGCAAGGAAGCTCCTACATCTTAATCTGAGACTGTGACCCATCGTGGCAATAATGCATAAGGCTGAGTTATTCTCAGGCACATCGTAGCTTATGAGTTGGGGTTATGTCATACACTCTAAGAAAGGACTGTGAGTAACACTGCCCCCATTCAGCCCGTCCTTTTGGGGTGTAATGTCAGATCTTCCCACTGGAGGGCATTGAAGCTACAGAAAAGAGAGGGTGCCTTTCTGGTCCAATGCTATTGAATTAGGAAGCTTGCTGTACCCGGACTGTATTTCCGGTTGAGATGACAGACGTCCTTTTTGTGCTTCAGTGTGAATTTTACCAATCATGGCCATGTTCAGCATGCTGGAACTGATGATTAGATTCATGACGATAACCACCAGACTGAGAGTGTGATTTTCCGAGACAAAGGGCAGATTATGTTGATAATAGTCTTTCCCCGAGTAGTCTCTATCCCCATTGGCTATAATGAGGTGGGAAGGGGACTGGAACTCAAGGCTAAAGATAAGAGTTTGGATTCTGACTCTGTCCCTTTCTGGCATTTTGAGTGTAATCACATTGTTTAAACCGGACATACCCCAGTTTCCTTATTTATAAAACAGGAATAGCGAACCGAGCCCACAGAGAGTTTTAGTAAGTGGAAGGTTTAAGGTTTTGTATGATTTAATGCACTAGCAACTGCATGGAGGGAGGGGGGTGTTGCTATTATCGAGAGTGACCACATTCATCTACATGCTGTAAAAGTCCCGGGAAAGGTCCGGGATTCAAAAATGAGTTCCTTGAAGTAGAGTATACTTTCTAAAACTTTACTATTAGATATTAATTTGCTTAGATTTCAATCAATAAAGCAATTCATTGCTTCTGCTTTAATGAGCATCTTCTCTTGGAATGGCACATACGCACAGTAAACAGTTACAAATCATCAACATTTTGCTGTGTTAATTTTGGGGACTGATACCTTTGGCTGAGAGCAAGAGCTAAGTTATCCAGATTTGGGGAAAGGTAGGAGATATTTTAGCATGGGGCAGGGGGGTTCTCTGCTGAGATAGTGCATCAGACCCTCGTCTCCAAAGTAAATTGTGGCTGGAGAGAGGATCAGAGAAAAGGGGAACGTCTGAGCCAGAAGATGGTTCAGCCTCACAAGTTTGCCAGGAGTGGCCAGGTTTTATAAATCTTCATTTATTTTTAGAGTCCCTGAATCCCCGTTGCATAACCAGTATTTGAGGTCATGTCTATATGATCACAAATTTACCATTACTTCTATTGTTAAGCATTTACTGAGCATACCTTATTATCCCATTAAGAAAATAGAGAAGAAAAGAAACACAGGTTTCCAGACTAATTGGGTGGATGTGGGGATGACAATATTGCATGATTGTGCTATGATGGAGTCTCAGCTTTGTGAAGGCAAGAATTCACTTCTATATATTCATTATTTGATGTGGTAAATACCTAACATATGAATAAATGAATGAAACTACATTATTTTAGGACAGACATTCTCCAAGTATGTTACCTGGCCCACTACCATCAGAATCACCTGATCCTTTTCTAGAATACCATATATGAGACACTGTTCTAATTACTTTTCTTAAATTAACTCATTTTATCTTCACTCAACTCTATGAGATAGGTACTATTATTATTACCTTCACTTTACAGATGAGCTAACTAAGGTCCAGAGTGCCAAGGTCACACAGCCAGTAAGTGACAGAGCTGGGGATTTCAACCCAGAGTCGATGCTCAAAACCCCTACATCATCTTGCCTCTCTATATCTAAAAGTAATGAGGCAGATAAATATGTGTTATAGGAAGCGGCCAACAACTTATATTTTTAAGTGGGAAAAAAACACAATATTGAGGCCAAGCACAATGGCTCACGCCTGTAATCCCAGCACTTTGGGAGGCCAAGGCCGGTAGATCATGAGATCAGGAGTTTGAGACCAGCCTGGCCAAGATGGTGAAACCCCGGGTTTCACCGGGGTCAGCCGGGTGTGGTGGCACGTGCCTGTAATCCCAGCTACTCAGGTGGCTGAGGCAGGAGAATTGCTTGAACCCGGGAGGCGGAGTTTGCAGTGAGCTGAGATTGCGCCACTGCACTCTAGTCTGGGCGACAAAGGAAGACTCCGTCTCAAACAAACAAACAAAAAACCAAAAAAAGCACAATACTGGCCAATATATTTAATAAGCTACCATTTGTGTCAAGAGAGAAAAGAGATTAAGATATGTTTGTATATACATAGATTCTCTCAAGAAGAAAAGAGAAACACCACGGCTAATTAGGTCTAACATTTTCATCCTCCATTTCTGTTAGGGGTGCACGCAGCCCACTTTAGAGACCCTTCGACGGTCATACTGTTAGTGATTTTCTAGCACTTATCCTGCGCACCTTTATGGTGATCCCTGAGAGTATCCCACACTCTCTGGGAGTTAGACCCTCTATGTTTTTCTGGGTACTTTGAATGATTAACAAAGACTCCAAGTGATGATTTTGTACTTTCAACTTTGAGAATCATGACCTTAGGTTTGGGCCAGAAAATTTAATTCCATTGGAAGACCTAGGAGCTTTCCTACAAATTTCTTCCCCTTATCTGTAAACCAACTGATAGTCTGCTTGGGAAGAAAGACGAAGATAAGCAAAGCATTGGGACATGCCTCTCTTTTCTGAGTAACCACACTGTCACCCCATGCAGCGTACCTCATTATACCCTTGTTCGTTTTCTTCTTCTGCATTATCAAAAGACAGAATAAAAATCTTTTGTTTTTCTTAGAAGTTTTACCAAGAAATTTGGTCTATACTATATGACTGTGTTCATTCATTCTGTCGCTATTCTTATATGTGATAACCTCTCCTCCCATATTTTGTGTGTGCCCCTTTTAATATGTGAGCTCATCAGGGCCTGTGCCAGTGTCTTAGTCTTTTTTCCTCCTTTTTCCTCCTCAGAATTTTTTATGACTGCAATGTAAGATTGTCATTTTTGAGACTGTCCTATTGAATTTCTTTTGAAATTCTTTTGAAATCTACATTTCTTTTGAAATCTCTTGAAATGCTCTGTCCAATATACTAGCCATGTGGCACAATTCCACAATTTAGAGTAGCCACATTCCAAGCACTCAATAGCCACATGCAGCTAGTGGTTACAATATTGGGTAGCACACATTATAGAATATTCCTCTCATCATGGAAAGTTATATTGGAGAGGGCTACTCTAGAACTTTCCTATCCACCAATCTTTGCTCTAAAAAAAAAGATTAAATTTCTTTTTCCACAATCAAACAAAAGAAGTTTGAATCTACTTCCATCTTTTCAAGTTATTTGGGATAATAAATGATCTGAATTTTCCAATGCTTACTCTACTTCCTGTCTTCTGTTGGGTCCTATTTTTTTTTTCAGAAGGCCTACTTCCCTATGATCCTCGTGGATTGTAATATAACCTGAAGTAGCAAGTGCCCTCATTACTTCTTTATGAGAGTGAAAATTCTCAGACAATTTTCAGACATGCAAGAGCTTGAATGTTATCTCCTATATGCTATATGTAATTTCTTTATAAAGTTGCTTGAGGATATGAAGCAAATGAACGAGTATAGTAGTCATTAGGGCAGTTTACTAATAGGTCTTTTCTTTGACACATAGTAGGATTGCATTTATCTGCCCCTCTTTGAAGTTAGACTTAACTATGTGACTTGCTTTGGCCAGTGAGATGTACATAAAAGTGACATGTATCAGTTTCAAGTGGAATGTCTTACAGCCAATGCAAAATGGGCCAAGTTTTCTTTTCCTTTGCCAGGCAGCATGCTGCTCTGTCAGCCTGGTTCTGAGAATGGGAGAGTCAGGCAGAGCCACGCCAATCTGAAGTGGACGTGCACTCTGAGTAGGCAATGAAACTTGGGGTTTTGAGCCATTGAGGTTGTAGGTTGTTGTTACTTCAGCATAAAGGAGTCTATTCTGACCAACACAGAACCAGTACCAAAAAAAGGAGAGCATAAGATTTGAAAAACAGTGAGTCCAGAACAGGAACAGCTTAAAGGGAAGTCCCAAAATGGTAGTTGCACAGTAAATAATTCAGAGCAGGAGCTGGAAGTCCCAGGAAGTCAATAGAAAAATTTGATGTAATAGAGAGCCCAAGAGAGTAACAGACATATGATAAAAGCAAGTAGGAAATGGATAAAAATGAGGAACTCCAGGAAAAAAAATTAAAAATAAAATAATAGTATATATATTATCTCCATAGTGAATAATTTCTCCAGATAATAAAAATATAAATATAGTGTATTATTCAGGGTACTCCAAAGAAACAGGACCAGTTACACACACACACACACATACACACATATAGTACAGAGAGAATTTTCTTCTAAATAATTGGCTTACATGATTATGAAGGCTGAGAATGTCCACAATCTGCCATCTACAAGCTGCAGATCCTGGAGAGCCGGTGGTGTAGTTCTAATCCAAGTCTGAAGGCCTGAGAACCAAGAGAGCAGATGGTGCAAGTTCCAGTGTGTGGTTAGGACAAGACTGATGTCCCAGCTCAAACTCCCTGATGTCCGGGAGTGAATTCTGTCTTGCTTAGCCTTTTGTTCTATTGGAGCCTTCAGTGGATGGGATGAGGCCCAACCACATTAGGAAGGGCAATCTGCTTTATTCTGTCTACTTATTCAAATGTTAATCTCATCTAGAAACACCTTGACAAACACTCCCAAAATAATTGTCTTTTTCTTTTTTTTTCTTTTCTTTTTTTTTTTTTTTGAGATGGCATCTCACTCTGTCACCCAAGCTGGAGTGTAGTGGTGCGATCTTGGCTCACTGCAACCTCCGTCTCCCAGGTTCAAGTGATTCTCCTGCCTCAGGCTCCCAAGTAGCTGGGATTACAGGTGCCTGCCACCATGCCTAGCTAATTTTTGTATTTTTAGTAGAGATGGGGTTTCACCATGTTGGCCAGGATGGTCTTGAACTCCTGACCTCAAGTAATCTGCCCACCTTGGCCTCCCAAAGTGCCGGGATTACAGGTGCCTGCCACCATGCTCAGCTAATTTCTGCATTTTTAGTAGAGATGGGGTTTTGCCATGTTGGCCAGGCTGGTCTCAAACTCCTGACCTCAGGTGATTCACCCGCCTCAGCCTTCCAAAGGGCCAGAATAATGTTTAACCAAATATCTGGCTCCCCGTGGCCCAGTCAAGTAAACACGTAAAATTAACCATCTTATCAACATTCTTGATATACAATTTTAAGATCAGTCTCTAGATACAGCAGGAAAGACAAGGTGTAAAAGTTATCCAGCTTAATTATATTAAAGTGAAAGCAAAAGTTGCAGTGGAAAAAAGAGGCAGAAGCTGAAGAAAAAAAAGAAGAGGTGCAGCTAACTTCATCTTATAAGGCACGGAGTAGATGTTAGAGACTACCTAGGGTATTACTTAAAAATTTAAAAGTACCTCACAGAAAATGTAAAAATGCTGAACTATCTAAATGGGGAGGGGAAGTAGGAATGATACAAGTAGACCAACTCCTTCCCTTTTATCATGGGAATCAATAAATAATGACTAAATTCGATCTTGATTATCAAGTTCGAGCTGTATGAAGATAACTAGCAGGAGAGTTTGAAATGGATTCTTTCCCAAACAAGTCTGGGGTTAGGAGGGGTAGACTAGAACATTGTTTCCAAGCAATGTATTACTTTGATTTTAAAACTTTTAAATTAAAATAATTAAGAAAAATCTTCACCTAGTCAAGCCACTAGTTGATCTACCTGTTTGATTTTAGTGAAACAAGTCCCAAGAGTAGTTCACTTCCCAAATCTCTACTCATAGCCAGGATCCTGATGGCTTTTTTTTTTTTTCCCGAGATGGAGTTTCTCTCTTACTCCCAGGCTGGAGTGAAATGGCACGATCTCTGCTCACTGCAACCTCCGCCCCCCGGGTTCAAGCGATTCTCCTGCCTCAGCCTCTGAAGTAGCTTTGATTACAAGAGTCCACCACCACCATGCCTAGCTAATTTTTGTATTTTTAGTAGAGATGGGGTTTCGCCATGTTGGCCAGGCTGGTCTCAAACTCCTGACCTCAGGCGATCCACCCCTCTCGGCCTCCCAAAGTGCTGGGATTACAGGTGTGAGCCACTGCGCCCGGACCCAGATGGCTCTTTCTTTTCCTCCCTCTCATGAGACAAAAAGTCATCGCGAGAGATTGCTTGGTTTGTGAGAGAGCTCTCTTCATTCAAACAACAGAAACATTTGAGCTCTGGCTCTTGAGCCAAATTGCCTGCACTTCAGTCTGAAATCTTTTATTTCATAGCATATGACTTTGGACGAATCACTTCACTCCTGTGTTCCTTGGTTTCCTTCTTCGTAACAAGAGTAGAAAATACTGGTATAATAGTATCATGTATATTATGAGGACTAAAAGAATTAATTCATTAAAGTGATCAATATAATGCTTAGAATATGATAACCATTCAATAAATGCTAGTTTTCTTCATTGTCATCATTATTATGTGCAAAATATCTTGCTGGGCCTTGGGATTTCAAAGACAAGTAAGAAACATTTGGCCTCTGTCCTCGCAGAACTTAAAATCTAGTAAAGGAAGAAGAGAAGTGATCAAGCAGATTTAGATAGAAAGATAAGTGTTCATGAAGGGCACTGCCCAGGGTTGTTAATGGAGTCAACGCTGCTGTCATGCACTGAATATTCCTGTCATCCTTCTAGCTCAGATTCATGGCCACATGACTTTATTTGACATTCAGTGAAATAAATAAGCTATTTATTTAGGAACCCCTAACCTAGTGTCTGTGGCACCTATAAGACCTGCTTATTCTCTTGTGAATATAATTTCCAGTTTCCTGAATCTCTCAGGCATTGCAAATTGTATTTCCAATGTTCCTCAAGACATAGGCCGTGTTAAAAGTATTTGGAATTTCAAAATAACAGGTAACCCAAGGTATGCCCATTAAAAGCAACTATAAGCACTTTCCCAGTCTCTCATTCCATCCCGTCTCAAGATGAGTGTAGTCTGGTTATTTTCCAAGCCAGAAGGCAGTTGCTTTGCATTTGCTTCAAATCTATGCACTTTAAAAAATACCATGACATTTTGTTTCTGAGACAAAAGTCAAATGCCAGAAAAAAAATCACCTCTACAAATGTGAGTATTAAAAACTTAATTTATAAATGCAAACGAGACCAGCTGCCAAGATGCCAACTCGTTTACCTAGTTTGCCGACTTGGAGATTGTGGGCAATATTCCTCATATTTACCCTACACTTTGTGTGATTTATCAGTAATTGGAAGAGCTGTTCCAGAAAGAAGCCTCCATTGGCATTCTTTCCTGTCTGAATGCTAAAATGCAGCTGGTGGGCTTGAGGTTACCGTTCTGGAATGTATTAAGAGTGAAACAGGAAGTGAGATGGTATATGATGCATCAACTGTTCTGCGTGTTCAACACACGGTGTCATTTGGAAAACTGTCCCTACCTCAGTCCATGATGTCTGATTGGCACTGCCAGTTGCAGTGTCCCCTCCACACCATGATCCTATGTAGGTAAGCATCTAATCCACATTGTTCCTTTTCCTCTTGCAAACAGTACATAAACAGATAACTTCACAAGAGAAAGGGCTTTGCCTTCTTGGTCCTAGAATAGCCGTTTGAAATAAGAGCTCCATAAGTACTTGGTAGATGTGTCTCAAATATCAATCAAAAGATCATTTGCAGATTTGTAAAGTAGGTTTGCAAAGAAAAGGATCTTAATTCCCAAAGGAGTTGCTAAGCTAGTGGGAGGTAAAGTTGGGAGTGTTGAGATCTATCTTCCTCTCCTGGAAAGACAGTCTGCAAATTCATGGAGGAAGGTGGAGGCAGGGCTGGACAAAGAGACTAAGCCCTACTCAGCCTAGTGTAAAGGTATCCCCACCTGCGCTTTCCAGTTGTGGGAACCAAGACATTCCCTTTTCACATAAGCTAGTTTGAGTTGTTTTTGTCCCATGCGTTTTTAAAATTCTTTTTGGTGATCCTTTTAATTCCCACCAAAACCACCTGGTGAAGTGAGAGGAAGGAACAGAGCCAATGGGAGCATGCATAAGTTGAGAAGACAACCAGATAAACAAACACATTTTCCAGAGATTCTGAAGGAACCCTAGATTTCAAATGTGGCCCCTCACTGCACCCGACAGCCATTCCCAGTCAGTCCCCTGGAGTGAACATGCTGGCTCCATTTAAACATGTCTTCCACCTCCTACCTTCCTTTCCCTGCTGATAGTGGCACATGGCTTTTAGCCTTTAACTTGGCTTGGCAGGACACAAATCCTGCTAGTTTTCTGAGATGGTATTAGGTAAATATCTGTAGCAGAAAGATGAACAAGGGTTTGGAGCTTTAGGACATTAAGATGATTGAGCAATCATTCCATAGCTCCTCTTTCCTCAGCTAACCCTTATGGTTTCAGGATAAATCTTTCCTGTCCCCAGCAGGCATTCCCTCCCTGGCCATCATGTCTTCTGTCTTATCTGTTACCTCTCTGGGGAAACTGGAATTATGGCTCTCAACTGACTGCCCAAGAGAGCCCCAAATCTCAGATCACATTACCACCTTCTCAGACTCTGCTGCCATCAATCCCAAACACCAAAAAATCCACTGAAATCTCTGCTGCATACAGATTGGATTTGCATGCATGCGTGTTCACAGACCATGAAACAGTTTAGGCCCCTGACCCCTCATTTGTTCTTCCCAGTTCTCTAAATCTTTGCCAGGGTTTGCCGGCTCATGTTCCCTGTTTATAGTCAGATCTCATTCTCACTGACTTGATCTCACTGAAATCTCATGTCCGGTGGCCTGTTCTCCCTACCCCATGCCACTCTACTTACAGGTCTCAGCTTCTTTTCCTTGATTTTACCCCAAATCTACATAGAGCCGTTTGGCACTGTGTGCATAGCAGACTTGACTGAAAGTTAGAGGCTCTGGAGGGCCCCTATACCAGAGCAACCACAAATACGTTAAATACATAAGTTAGTTAAATATCCAGAATATCTGCTGTTAAATTCTTTTGACCAGTTGGCATATCATCAACTTCACTCTCTTCTTTCTTCAGTTTTCTTTCTCCCTTCTCTTATTATTTCACCTCCATATCCTGTTTATTTCCTGTGCAGAGCTATTTGGTTCTCTCTAACCCAATTCATCAAGACCTCACCTTCTCAGAAGGCTCAGCAGTCCAAAGTCAGCTTTCCTTCTAACCAAAAATCCTGATACCTGCTGTTTTCATCATCATTTCTAGCACACTGCCAACATATACTTCAATAGCTGTACATTCATCCTCTCTCTCTCTCTCTCCTCCCTCCCTCTGTGTGTTTGCATGTATATATGTGCATAAATATCTATTCAGGTGTGTATGATGTATATGAATATACACCATTATATACATGCTATATGATGCTTAATGAGCTTGTATATATGATGCTTGTATATGATATATTACATATGATGCTTATATAGATGCTTACATATATGATGCTTATATATGTGATGCTTAATGAGCATATATATATATATACACACACACACACATAGAGAGAGAGCATGTGAGTGCATGTATATAATGGTGTGTATTCATACCCATCGCACACACCTGAATATATATACATGCATATATATATGTCCTGTGTATGTACCTTTACTTCCCTTGGCCAAAGTGTCTTGTCTTTATTTATAAAAGTAAGGGAATATACTAAGCTATTTCCAATACTCCATTCAGCTCTAAATTTATTTTTAGTGTTTATACTGCATTTATGCATCTATATGGTAGGACACATATTAGATTGTTAAAACGTAGTAATGGCCGGGCACAGTGGCTCATGCCTGTAATCCCAGCACTTAGGGAGGCCGAGGTGGGCGTATCACAAGGTCAAGACACCAAGATCATCCTGGCCGACATGGTGAAACCCTGTCTCTACTAAAAATACAAAAATTAGCTGTGCGTGGTGACATGCACCTGCAGTCCCAGGTACTCGGGAGGCTGAGGCAGGAGAATCGCTTAAACCCAGGAGGCAGAGGTTGCAGTGAACTGAGATCACACCACTGCACTCAGCCTGGTGACAGAGCAAGACTCCGTCTCAAAAACAGACAAACAAAACAAAAAAAAGTATTATTCATTTGCACATTTGTTTTAAGACTTTCCTATTTTTTCATGTTAAAATAACATGGCTACAATTATTCAATGGCTTTCAGATACCACAATAATTATGCAATTATCTTGAACTCTAACAGATAATATAAAGTACCTATTTTTGGCTCTGAGTTCACTAGAAAAATTATTGAGTCAACATGAGCTTAATGAAGCCAATGGAACATTACTCAATACCAAAGGTAGACAAGCTAGCCCTCTGTGTTCAGATGTACCTGTGGAGTTGGAGTGACTCTTAATATCTGTCATTGACCTGTCCCCAGTGGTCATCTAAAAATGTGCTTAATTTCATGGTCAGCTGGAGTTAGATCTTCTAGGGATTCATGAATATAGACTGATAGGCTCACAGGGCCACCTGATAGCATCATAAAATACTATGAGATAATAAGGTTTCTGGACATGACATTAACTTTTAGAACATGTATCATCTAAAGTTGTCTATCTGGTTAATTCCAATTAGTTTTGCAGAAAATACATCAATTTCTTCATCATACGTGAATGTAAAGAAATCTAGGCTTAAGGAATTATTTCAGAATTGTGTAAAAGTTGAGCAATTATTTTTGCATAATTTGATTTTGTCAATTCCAGTTTTTGCCTTTTCAAAAAAATTCTTTCTTTTCAGTAAGGCAAAGTAGAAAAAGACCCGTCTAGGTTGAAGTTACAGCACAAGGTTCACTAGCTTTGTAACCTTGGAAATGCAGCTCAACCTTTCAAAGCAAAAGCTCTTCATTGCTTCCCTTAAATGGTTGTTCTTCAATCCTTGAGGATAATAATACTTACCGTGAAGGATCATTCTAAGGAGCAATTAAAAATCCTAGGCATGTAAGTAATAAGTGAATATTGGTGACATTTCTCCCTGCCTTTCCTCCCTAATCCTCCTCTTCTTACCTTGCTTTATTCAAATCTAGAATGAATACATGTAGGATTAGGATTCTGAGGAATATGGGGCAGTCCCTTTTCTCCTAGCCATGGAACTGTCCTAGGGGCTAATGGCAGGCTTTCTCCAACCCCCTTCCTGAAGGAGAGTTTTATCCGTCAGGGTCCAGTCAACAAAACAAAGTATGCCAGGAATTCAGTAGCAAGAGTAGAATGGAAGCAACTAGTTAGAAGGATGACAGAATGGTTCAAAAGCCAAATGAGATGGGAGGCATCTTCATGGTTAGCAACTGCCAGAAGCCATTATCACTCTGAGGCTTGAGGAACAAAAGGAGGAGATGGTGGTGCCAGAGCTCAGGAGCCAGGGCTGCCCTGCATGAACTGAAACCACAGTGAAGACACAGCCACTGCAAGAGATACAGCCCATAACAAACGGAGAGGGAGACAAATACTGTGGGTTCTCCATGGAGCCTCTTGCTGGCTGACCCTTACTGGATGTCACTTGGCAAGGAACCTTGGGGACTGTAGATTGTAGAGTCAGTCCCTTACAGCAGAGAGCAGAAGAGAAGCACAAGGAATACATTAAGGGGCAAATAGGCAAAGACTGGCAGAACAGCCAAATGAGGGAGATTTTTCCCTTGTATGTGGCCCTAGCTGCTGCCTCTGAGTCAGATTTTAAAAAACCCAACTGTAAAATTCTTCATAAGATTAGCACCTCTCCTAAGACTCATCCTAAAGATCTTTCCATTACAAGCAAGAGCATGTAAGTTAACATATATTTGCAGCAAATATTTTAGCATCCATTATCCCTAAGGAGCAAAAGCTGGCATCTTGAAGGATTGGGACACAAGAAGGATAAATTTTGGTGGATAACAATAGGTAAGTGTATTGGGAACTATGTGTTGCTGGGATGCTGTGGTCCTAGATGCAGCAAGAGGAACACCATGTGCATAGGGCTGAGGGGAAGGCCCAGAAGGGTGATGGTAGAGAGACAGAGCAGAAGCCAGTTTCATGCAACTTCTTAAACAGCTGAGAACAAGTCTGGCTGTTCAGGATAATTAAAGAGGGGGCAAAAGAGGTGTCCATCAGTGATTTAACTTATGCCCTATCCCACTTGTCTTAAGTCCATTCATCCACTATTTGTTGAGGCCCTATGATATGTTCTCAAGTACCTAACACATAGAAACCTGCAACTGTGTCTTAGCTCTTGTTTATTATTTTTAAGAGTGTTCAATGAGATCATAGAGAAGGGGCATCCAACCTCTGCTGGGGTATGATCCATAAAGGTTTCACATGGTTCTGAGTATCAAAGTAGAATAGGAGTAGAAGCCAGATGACATGGCAAAAAACCTTCTAGGAAGAGGAAGTAGTAGGAATAAATAATTGCAGATGTTGAGGAAAAGATGTAAAACTTGTTAAAAACTATTCCTGCTTCTTAAAACGGGTAGGGCTCATTACTGATCCTGGTTTCATGAAACCACAGTAGGGTTGCAGGTTAGGCAAATAAATTACAGGATACCTACGTAAATGTGAATTTCAGATAACAAATGTGTTTTAGTGCAAGTATGTCCCTTGCTGTATTTTATCTGGCAACCATAAACTATAGGGATGACCATGGACTACATTGTACAGGCTAAAAATCTTAAAAACAGAAAAAAAGATATAATTCTTATTTCCAGGTACTTCTTTAGCAATAGCTCAACCAGATGACATCTTTAGAACAGTGGTTGACAAACTTTTTATGTAAAGATAAAGACAGTACATATTTTAGGCCTGTGGTCCATATGGTCTCTAATTACTTAACTGTGCCTTTGTAGCATGAAAACAGCAGTAGACATTGCATCGATAAATGAGCGCGGCTATGTTCTAATAAGACTTTACTTATAACAACAGAGACCCCACTGTGATAGTTTGCCAACTCTAACTTTAGAAGTTGGATCTAGAAGAATTTTTTTTCTTTTTGTAGAAAGCTGCTTGCAATATAATAAGAAAAACCAAACAACACAATAAAAAAATGGGCAAAAGACTTGAATAGACAATTCTCTAAAGCAGAAATACAAATGGCCAATAAGGACAGGAAAAGATGTTCAACATTACTAATCATTAAGGAAATGCCAACCAAAACCACAAGAAGACACTGCTTCACATGCATTAGGATGGCTGTTATGAAAAACAAAGCAAAACAAATATGGTTAACTATAATCTACTGTAAATTTCAGAATAGCTAGAAGAGGATAATTCTATGTTTCTAGCATAAACACAAGATAAATATTGAAAGTGATAGATATCCCAATTACCATGATTCGAACTTTACACATTATATGAATGTATGAAATTATCACATGTGCCCTGAAGATATGTACATCTATTATGTATCAATAAGAAAGAGTAATAAATGCACACAAAAAAGAAAACAAAGTAACACGTGTTGATGAGGATGTGGATACATTGGAACCCTTGCGCACCGTTGGTGGAAATGTAAGCTGGTGCTACCCCTGGGAAAAATATTATGGAATTTCTTCAAACATATTAAACCTAGAATTACCACATGATCCAGAATTTCCACTTCTAGATACATTCCCAAAATAATAGAAAGGATTGAAACAGATATTTGTATATCAATGTTCTTAGCAGCATTAATCACAATAGCCAATAGGTGGAGACAGCCAAAATGCCCATTAATGGATGAATGGATAAGTATATAATATGTGGTGTAAACACACATATGCACGCATACACAAAACGAAATATTGCTCCATCTTAAAAAGGAATGAAATTCTGGTACATGTTACAATATGAATGAACCTTGAAAACATTATGCTAAGTTGAATAAAACAATCACAAAATGACATATATTGTGTGATTCTACTCATGTGAGATAAGCAGAATAGTCATAGAGACAGAAAGTAGAATAGACATTACCAGGGGTCAGGGAAAGTGAGGAAGGGAGAGTTGGTATTTAATGAGTACAGAGTTGCAGCCTGGGAAGATGAAAAAGTTCCGGCGTTGGATGGTGGTGTCACTGCACAACAATGTGAATGTACCCAATACCAATGAACTGTACACCTAAAAATGGTTAAGACGGTAGATTTTATGTTACATATATTTTACCACAATAAAGGTTAGCTACTTGCAGAAGTTTACCTAATTATAAACTAGTCTAAGACAGCTAGTCAGCCACACAAGATTCTATGCATTTCCAAACTAGAAACGATAGCACAGATTATAGTCACTTATAAATTTCCAGTAATCTAGATATAAATAAGACATGCGATATAACAAAATTTAAAATGTTGTCTTTGCAGTACACAGTCAAATTATGCCTCAAAGTCTCACCATAGAATTTTCTCTCTCAAAGGCTGTGAGAAGAAATTTTCTGTAACTTTGCACACAGACTGTTGATGAGCCTGGACACTTCACTCCTGTCCCTGTATTAAAGTGAGAAACAGCACAGATCTGGTCATAATGTCTAGATCAAGAATATCTGGTAGGCCCTGGGGATAAAGAAGGTCATAATTAAGTCCAGTCCCTGTTCTCAGGAGTTTTCAGATGTCATGGAGAAAAACATATCATGAATACTTTTTTGAGAGGTAGCTACGAGCAGTTGCCAGTGCATTGCAGCTGTCCTATCATGCACTTTGCCTTCTCCCCAAGTATCATTTCTCACTCTCTGCATAGCCATTATCAAAACTTAGAATATTTGTGTTTATTTATTTTAACTTCTGCCTCTTTCTAGAGGTTTAAGGTGTTTTCCAACGAGAACATGATAAGATGAAAATAGATAATCAAGACTAGAAAAGAAAGAGGCTCAGAGCCTCAAGGACATTGTATAACCCTCTCACCCTAAATTTTACTCCATTTCTTTTTAAATGGCAACAGTGCAAAAGCTTCCTTGCATGCTAGAAAGATTGATTTCCCAGAGTCAAAATTTTTCAGAATCATTGCTTTTGACACTTGTCTATGGAGACAACATTGTAGATGTAACTTGGAGATATTATATGAAAATGAATTTCATTTGTAGTAAATTATCAAATAAAATAATCTGGCTTTGAGATATGCTACATAATTAGGCCATTGACAGAATTTTATGTGGACAGAGAAAGTCTATTTTGGACTTACTGATATATTTTGCCAAAATGCTTCCTATTACATGATAATTGGATATATTATCTGGATGTATTTTACTGATACAACATACACAAAGAGCAAGCATACAAACACACACACACACATACACTTTAAGTGAATGATTCTTTTTCGAATATATGCATAGTTATACAATGGATTCATCTCAAAATATGCATTAACTTGATTTTACCATGATCTGTAGCATGAAAGCTTTCCTTTCTAAGAGTAATATTCAGAGCTTTAATTTTGTTTTCAACAATGGAAAATAAGAATTGCCCCATGCTTTGCTTAGTCATTTCTCTATCCACTTTCACTTCTTTTAGCTGCCTTCTTTATTAGCATTGCTATGCCCTCGTGCAGACCCCAGCCTCTCTTCCCCAGATTCCTGCAGCCCTCCTCCCTGCCTGTAGCTCCATATCCCCACCAATGAGGCTGACGGAGTACCCCTTATAAAACGTGGATCTACTCTCGCCACCTGCTGGCTCAGTTGTCTTCTGAGGCTCTGTTGTCACAGTGAAGTCCAGCCCATTGCTGGTCAGGGCCTGCACTTAGCTTGTTTCTCCTGTTTCCCCTCTCAACAGATTCCCGCATGGACCTTCTCTGCATGCAGAGTAATCACATTCACATCCCATATGTCCCATGCCTCTTCTTGCTCACTGCTTTTGCTCAGGCTGTTTCATCTACCTAAAATACCTTTCCTTTCTCTGTACATGTGGTTAAATCCTAGCAGCGTGTTTCAGTGGAAAGGGAATAGACTTTGAATTGGGCTACACAAGCTGAACTATAGAGCTTGTTGTCTAATGTTTTGTGTCTCTGGTTTCGTCATTTGCACAATAGCTTACAAATACCTACTTTGCAGGGTTTTTATGGTGTTTAATAAGACAATGTAAGAAAAAACACTCAAGGCTTATCAGTACATATTTTATAATGAATTGTTTTATTAATCATATTAACATTATTATTCTTTTATTAATCAATAATATTAACAGTTTTATTGATTATTCTGCTTAAGTGTCAGTTTTCCTGAAAGCACTTCCTGACATCCCACAACAGAATTAACTTTCCCTATTTATACTCGTCCTATGACTTGAGCACCCTTGTCTGTTTTAGCCGTCATTCCACTGTATTGGAATTATCGATTCCTTTGTCTCTTTCCCTGGCAGGACAGAGAACACAATGGGGAAGAAGACTTTACCTTGATTACTCCACCTATGTAGATGAGTGAATGACTGAATGAAATAATTACTCAGATTCTGCTGGCTTTTCCATAACATTATCCAAAATGACCAGCTCAGAAAAATCTCACAATTGATGAGATGTCAGGTTAGGATTTTTTGTTGTTGTTGGGTTTTTTTTTTTTTTTTCTCAAACCAGGCAACTGTGTATGTAACAATGAAAGAAGTCACTCAAGATGACAGAAGGAGATGGTGGCATCTTCAACCACCAGCTTTCAGTGATTTCTCCTTTGGTTCATTCTCCTCCTGTCAGCCAGATAACTTTTATCAGTGATAAAGCTCATATTCTCAATTTTCTGCATTAAAGACTTCTGTGATTTTTTGATGCACCTAGAATAAAGGTTGTATGCCTCGCCCCAGCAAACATTCATTTTAATACTCTCTACTTTTAATTCTCATCACTCTTCAGCCTCTCCTCA
Organism: Homo sapiens; assembly: GCF_000001405.40. Classification (NCBI taxonomy): domain Eukaryota; kingdom Metazoa; phylum Chordata; class Mammalia; order Primates; family Hominidae; genus Homo; species Homo sapiens. The sequence goes on along the minus strand of NC_000003.12, from coordinate 8,094,765 downwards.
ATATTCCAGCCACACTGAGCTGCTTCCAGTTCCTCAAATCACCTGGCCTTTGCACACAGCCTTTCCTCTGCAAGATGTTTCCTCACCACTTCACTTGCTACCTCCTTTTACTCTCTGGTCTCAGTCTTAATGCCACTTTCTCTTGGTCTTTCTCAATATGCTTTGCCAGTTTTGGCTACTCTCCTCTGACCCTGCTGACTGCCCCGTGAGGCCTGTACCTCCCCAGTCACTATACTCATTGTAGTTAATGGTGGTTAATGGCTGAATGTTTATTCTCATGGCTAGACCGTACACTCATGAGCACAAGGATCAAGCCTGTCTGGTTTGCCATTGGATCTCCTTAAATCCTAGAAGCTGATATAGAACAAATAAGAAGTGTCACTGAATTAATAAATTCTGGTGGTCTGGTCCTGGGAAGTGTGCATCTTTAAAGCTTGACAGCTATCTACAAATTTTGTTTTGAGATAAAGAAAGTGCATTTCCAAACCCAGGAGGCCAGGACTTATTTTCTCTCATTACTCATCAGCACCTTTGTGGGCATCTTTATTCACCCTTATACCTGCCCAGTCCCATTGGGAATAGGACCAAGTTTTCTGACCAAACTGATACATCAGTGAGAGAAGCTTTTGGTGCAGCGTACACGTAATGTGAATATAAGGATGGTGCAATTTTCCAACTTCCCCAGCGTCTGGTAATACCCTTTGTGGCACCTCTTCAATCACCTCCCTTCCATTGGAGTTTTCTGTAACCCTTTCCTTACTCACACATACCTATATCAGCAGATAGTCAGGGCAGTGCAAATAAGGTAAGCTAAGCCATCTTTTAAATTTCCCTTTTCTGGCCTTAGATGTGTGTTTGTTTAAGTGTGTGGGGGTGTGTGTGCGAGAGAGAGAGAGAGAGAGAGAAAGATATATATATATAGATATCTATATATATATCTATATATATAGATATATATATAGATATCTATATATCTATATATATATATAATGGCATAACAAAAGTTTATTTTTGTTAGTATATGTGTATTTATTTTTACGATTTTTTATCCCAGAAAATGTTTAATGTGACTTTATGTTAACACTGTCCTCCCCACCTCATTACCACAGACAACTGTTGGATACTATAATGACACTTCATGTGATCCTTTAGAAATACAGATATTCTAAATGATAGACTGATTATCTTTTTTTTCTCTAAATTTCTATTTTAATGCCTATGCTTATTTTCTCCTAACCAGTTTTTCATTTGCATCACATTTCCCCAGAAAATCGAGGCTCTTTCTATGCAGCTGATTCCTCCCCTCCAGATCATTCTACCTGTTGGCACCAGAGCAATCTTCCTAATTCATAGCCTTGCAGATGTTGCTCGACAGAGCCAAGAACTTCAGAAGCTCCAGAATACCTAAATGATGATGGCCAAATTCCTTAGCCTGGCATTGAGGATTCTCTAGCCCTCTAGTCCCAGCCTCCCTCATTAATTTCTTTTTTTCTACATACATTGGTTAAGTGCCAGTGGTATGCAAGACTGTGTGATATGGATACAGTGACAAACATGAACATGGTTTCAAGTAGCTCACAAATTTATAAGGGGAGACAAAAGCTGAATTGAATAAATATGATCCAAAGAAGGAGAAGGAAATATTGTCTCTGGTTGTGTGTGGGGGTGACGATCACAGAACTCAGTGCTGAGCACACAGTAAGAACTAACTCAGTGTAATGGATGCTTGCATGAAAGAAGGCAAGGTCTGAGCTCTTCTCCCAAGAGGTTAATATGACAGAAGTGATTGCAGTGGGTTCTGGGCAGAGGTAAGGAAAGAAAATTACTCAAAGGAGATGCAAGGAGGTCTGAACCACAGGTGCCATCATGTGCTGCCAGTGAAGATGGCATGTGGGCAACTATGCATGTAGAATCATTTTCTGATGGGGAATCAACAGAGATGCCTAAGAGGAGGAGGGGGTTAAAGATGCCAGCACAATTTCCAGTCTGCGTGAAGATGCTCCCAATATCAGAAAAAGGAAATTCAAGAGGAGGTTTAGGAAAGGAGCTTTAGACCACTTGATTTTGACATCTCTGTGAGATATTCCAAGAGGAATGTCCAGTGGTTGTGTGGGGGAAGTGTGTGAAAGTTTGTTAGACTAGCATTTAAGTGACACATGGGAGTCTTTGGAGCAGAAAGCATAGTTGAGCCACAGATGGGAGTGAGATTGCTCAGGGACAGAGTGCAGAAAGAATCACCCTCTTCTCCCCTTTTGAACCCTTTGCTCCAGGCCAGCATTCTATGTTCCAGAGCCCAGCAGGAGCAGACCCCTGCCTTACTTCTGCTATCCACCCCAATTTTGATGTTCTCTTCTTTACTTGACTAAGTGCACCTTATGTCAGCAGAGTTCTCCAAACATTTATTTAGTGTCAGCTGTATATCAGACACTTGACTAGGTGCTACAGGCTACAGAAAGGGGTCCTGTATCCTCCAAGGGGCTATCTTTAAGATCTTGTCTGAGTCCCAGTCCACATGACCTTTCTCTGAATTTTTAAAATATATCCTCCCACATATCTAAGATTTAGCATGAGTCTCAGTATTTGTATTTATCTTGCTAGGATTCCACTACATCTCTATCTAGACAATGAGGTCCTTGAGAATACACTTTGTCATTATCTGCTTTGAGATCCCTAAAGGCCTGATACAATGCTTTGGACACAGTCGATACTGTTTTTAAGTCTCCGAGGCTCTGCTTTTATTTACTAGCATTCTCCTCTCCCTGCCTCGATCTCTGTTGGCACCAGTTCTTTCATCTTAAGTTTCTTGTTTGATGATTCAAAAGTATAGATAAAAATATAGTTTGTTATGACTCACAAATTATAGAGAAAATTTTAATGGAGAGATACCTCTGCTCACCTTGTCATTCAAAAGAGCTAAAGTGTTTTTTACATCCTAAATATAAAAAGATACTATAAATGCTGCAGCAAAAAGTGAAGTGATCATTAATAATTAAGTAATTAATCACCTAGGTCTGTAGTGGGTAGTTTAGTGCAGTTGTTGATGTTGCAAGCATTTTCCGTTTGTTGCAATGACAATACTTTAAGAGGAATCGGGATTATTCTAAATATTTCAATAGTTTGGGAATCATGGAGTCATGAACTTCAGAGCTTGGAGGGCAAAATATACTTACATAATAGAGGATAAATTGTTTCTTTTCAAGAGCCAATTGTGCATGACTGGTAGAAGCTTTGAGGACACTGTTTTGAGAAGGGTGCAAGGTGGAGTGTGGGAACGGACCGTCGTGGGAAATGTTCACCACCCATGAAGGTAATGAAGGCACAAGCTCACCTTCTTGAGCAACATCCTTAATTCACAGATGAAGAAACTGAGCCTTGGAAGAGGAAAACTTTCAACAAATTATTATTCATTGAGGTCTACTATGTACTAGTCAATTTGCCATATAAAGTAAGCTTCTCCTTAACCCAGATGTCATATTGGGAAGAAGGAGCACAGCTTCAAAGGTCCTTAGCACAGTTCACATGTAGAAAGTGCATTTACATTTCTATGTTTTCTCCTGCAACAAAAAGAAGAAAAATGCACTCATGAATTTATTTTCAGCTTATCGACTCAGGAAAAAAACTGAATGTTGATTTTTTAACATAACCTAAATGCAGTTACTTTTCACAATATTTGACTGTCACAAGTATTGCATCTCTTCTCAGGAATAACTTTACTCACATTTTTAGATAAGACTATCTCTGATCAAGATGGAAGTTCCAAATATAGAAGACTGATATTGAGTCTTTTGAATTTCAAAATAAGCAGAAGCTAATTCATGCATTTGTTCACTTTTTTTCTCAAGCTCAAAGCATTCAGTAGACATTAAGTCTTTAGTATCTCACACACACATGCCCAGAGTACTTTCAATCTGGATATTAAATAGCCTGATGCAGATGGTAAAAACAATTCTGGCTTTAAAAGCAACTTAAGTGTTTTAATAGACATGGCCCAGGTATATAGCAATGTGATTAATGGAGTGTCTGGAATTACTCATGTCTATACAATTCAGGTTAGTCTGTTTGGTTGAATCAATGCTTAGCTCTACGTGAGGGGAAAAATTTTGGAAGAACACCCACACCTAAAGTCAGGCTCTGTATTTTATGTGCTGTGTGATTTTTGGAAAGTTATATTTAACTTCGGTCTTTTTAACTGTGAAAAGTAGATTGTAATGAAACCTACCTTTAGGGACAGTATAAAAATTCAGTATTGTAATGAAGGTAATATTCAATGGTTTCTCATGTTTCTTGATTATCCACTGTTTGTAGAAACCTAAATACCGCATATTATCACGTGTAAGTGGGAGCTAAATTATGAGAACACATGGACACATAGAGGGAAACAAAACACACTGGGGCCTTTCGGAGGGTGGAGGTTGGGAGAAGGGAGATGTTCAGGAAAACTAACTAATGGATACTAGGCTTAATACCTGGGTGATGAATTAATCTGTACAACAAACCCCCATGACACAAGTTTACCTATGTTAACAAACTTGCATTTGTACCCATGAACTTAAAATACAAGTTTAAAAAAACAGCCTTCACAACTCCATAAATTTTTTAAAAACCTACCACTTTATTATCTTTCATGATTCTGTTGTTGACTGGGATTGACTGGTTGGTTTTCCTACTCTATGTTATGTTGACTGAGATCATCTGGGGGCTCGAATGGTTTGGAATGTTCTGGATAGTCCCCTTGCATTCCTAGAGTTGATGCTGCTGTCAGCTTGAAGCTCTGGGGGTCTGTTGAACAGACCACCTCCATTCTTCATGTGACTTCTCCTTGGGACATGGCAGCTGGCTTCTGAGAGAGGGTGTTCTTAGTGCTCAAAGAGAAAGGAAGCAAATGCTATCAGTCTTCCCGAGGCCTGGAACTTGAGTCCCAGAACACCACTTTACCATAGACTATTGTCAACTCTCTCACTCAGGCAGCCCGGATACAAGAGGATAGAAACTAGATGCACTTTTTAATGCAAGGACTTATATACGTGAACAATGAGAGAGGGAATTGTTGGGGCCACTCATGGGCATTAATTGTCACTTCATTACATAGAGAATAACATCTGAAATCCTTACCAAAGTCTGCTATGATGTATATTAGTCTGTTTTTACGCTACCGATAAAGACATACCCGAGACTGGGTAATTTGTAAAGTAAAAGAAGTTTAATGGACTCACAGTTCCATGTGGCTAGGGAGGCCTCACAATCATGGCAGAAGGTGAAAAGCACCTCTTACATGGTGGCTGGCAAAGAGAAAATGAGACCCAAGTAAAGAGGGTTTTCCCTTATAAAACCATCAGATCTCATGAGACGTATTCACTACCATGAGAACAGTTTGGGAGGAACTGCTCCCAGGATTCACTTACCTTCCACCAGGTCCCTCCTACAGCACGTGGGAATTACATGAGCTACAATTCAAGATGAGATTTGGGTGGGGACACAGCCAAACTGTATCAGGTGGGTCCTCATCTCCCACCAACTCCACCCTCATCCGTCCTTTTCCTCCTCTCTAAGCACACCAACCATCTTGTCCTTCCTCAAATAGGCAATTCTTACTCTCACTTTGGGTCCCAGGACTTGCTGTTTTCTTTTCCTGAAATGTTTTTACCCTAGATTTTAGGCTGGTTCTCTAACTTAATTCAGGTCGGTACTCAAACAACACCTTCTCAGAGAGATTTTTCCATTACCATCTCATCGGAAAGTGTCATGCACATCTGTCTCTCTTCTATCATATTATTTTTATTTTCTTTATTTTTCTTCATTTTATTTCAGTTTCTTAAAAACATACTCTGTGAATGAGAATGTGTGAGATAACTAAAAACTAGCTTGTTTGTTTTTCCTTTTCAATTACTATGTACCATTCTATTTCTTTTTTGCTTATTGTCTGTCTTTCCCACTAGAATATAATCCCCTCGAGGTCAGGAACTTAGTATTTATTAATACTAGTATTAGTAATACTTTAGTAAATACTAGTAATACTAGTATTACTAGTAAATATGAGTAATTTACTAAGGTATTTACTTAGTAAAGTGTTTACTTAGTATTTAGTAAAAAAAAAGTGTTAACTTAGTACTTAATACTTAGTAAAGTGTTCACACTTTACTAATTATTTACAGTGTCTAGAATCTTGTCTAAACATAGTAGATTCTGTATATGTGTATGTACACACATATATATGTATACATACAGGAGTGAAATGAATAAACTTGAAATAACTTTGTAAATTGTCTAGAATATTATTAATATGGTTAGATAAAGACATAGTTCACTCTCTCTCTAGCTGATTCATTCCTATAATGCAGGAAACATTTGCTAAATGCATAGTATATGTAAGTCTCTGTTAATGACTTGTTGCTTAAAGAGTTAACGTGCATTCAAAGTTATTGACTTACAAGTTGCTTGTTAGATGACATTATAAATGACAATGAGATCTGAATTATGTTCTTACTGAGAGTTTTGGCTTAACTGTGCTTCACAGATTGGCCTTTTAAACCCACATTTCAACCTTGCGATTACATGCCAAAAATCACAACTTTGCAATCAAATGCCTGAGTGTAGTTGTAGCTATACAGATAATCCTGCACTGGGGGAGATAAAACTACAATTTATTGAATGTCCACTATGCCCCATGTGTCTTCTGTAGCCTATCTCATTTTATTAGCACTGCTAAGTAGAATTTATGATATCCCGTTTACATTTAAGAAAACTGAGGTTCAGAGTGCCTCGATTCTCCCATTTCTCTAGTTCCCAGCATAAGACTTGGGAAAGAGAGGCTCAATAAATATTGGTTAAATACTAAGTAAAAGACAAATTGACTAAATTGACATCTTAAAATGTCCCCTAGGAGATAACAGACCTGAATTTGAACATGGATTGATGGGCTCCAAAACTCAAATTATTTCCATCAGCCCAGAACTGGCCGTGGTGGCCTTAGTAGCATCAGTGTCAAGTCTAAAAATTGGAGAAGAGGAGTAATCTTAGGGGTGAGAGTTGCAGGTCCACTTTGACAGTGAGACTGAGGCAGGAAATAAGATAATTATTCAAACTGACAACACTTTAGATTAAATGCTACAGTTGTTTCGATGTGGGACATCTGTTTAATATGACTTGCAAAATAAAACTTTCCCTCTGATGTTTCTGGCTCTTAAGTATCCTAGAAAATGCTGGATGATCTACATCCTTTGAATATTAATGAAGCAAATTAGCTCCAAAAATGCCCTACCGTGTCTCAACTCCAGGAACCAACATGACTCATTAGACTCCTGTTGATTAGAAATGTTAAAGTGGATTTTCTTTCTTTTCATTTTAATTAAGTAAATTTGACAGGCTTTCTTGATTCTCAATTGGCCAAGACCCTCAAAGTGTGGAATGAGAAGAAAATAGGCCCCTCTTCTAAACAAGCTTTGCTAGTCTGTGTTATATTTTATTATTTCTTGAAGGACCCCATGAAGCAATCTGTAAGTTTTAAGTCAAATGGAATCCAAAGGTTTTGCTCAAGGGAGAAAAGGTAGAAATAGAGAAAAAAAGTATTTCCTACCATTGCAGATGAGAGGGTATGGAGATTACAAATTGGGTCAGGTTGGTTTGCTGAGTGTCACAATACTGTGTAAGCAGCAAGCATGGTTTTAGGTCTCTACAGCCTAACTGAGCCATAACAAAAGGCTGCAGTGATTCAAAGGAACTTAGTTTTTTTTTTTCATCCAGATGGACTGATGCACAGCCATAGAGACTGTGCAAGATCATAGCTGAGAACCTTATCATCCAAGCTGCAAGGAGCCAAGGAAGACATATACTTTATTTTCAGCTTCACATAAAATCATCTTAATCTTAAGTTGTACCATTCTATTGTAGGTTTATAACCACATTAATACCTTCTGAGAGTGCAATGAACAGAAACAAGGTATAAAGACCTGGAACAGGAAGGCTTGGAGATACGCAGGAAAAAGAAGGAAACTTGTCTTTCTTTGAGCTTCCTCCTTAAATTGCATCACCTTCTCTTCTGTTAATGATGAGAGTTAGAAAGCTCCCAGCTAAACTGGGCTACAAGTGATCCGTTAATAAAATCTTCTCCTTTTAGGGCATTATTATCCCCATTTTACAGATAATTTCACTGTGCCAAAGAGGGTATAAGGAACTTCTTCATTGTCACAATAACTAATTAATTAAAGCATGTTGAGACATTGGTCTGATAAACATGTTGATTACCATGGAAACAGAAATAAATAAAACATAACTACTGCTCCAAGGAACTCCTGTCAACACTACTCACTGTCAATCTGGAACCTTCAGTCTATCAGCTAACAATATTTATTGAGCTCCTACTTTGTGCTAGACACTGTTTTTTTTAGGCCAAATAACTTTATTTTCTAGGCTTCTTTTCTTCATGCCTCTTACCCTCAACATCTATCTAAATCCTAGAAAACAGCATTAGGCAAAGAGAGAAAGAAATGAGGAAAGGGTCCTTCTTTGCTTAATCATCAAGTATTAATCCACTCAGAACATATTGTAGGTGGGTTTGTAGAAATAAAAAATAGCTAAGGTATGCTTCTTCTCCACAAAGAGGTTGCAGTATAAGAGAAAATCTGAATGGCATATAAACCATACAAGATTGAATAGCTATGGTAAAGCCCTAAATCAATGATTCATAGCTGTTTTACATTTAAGGATATCCCTCCCTCCTTCTCTCTCTCTCTGTCTCTCTCTCTGTCTCTCTCTCTCTCTCTCTCTATATATATATATATATAAAATACACACACACATTTATATGTATGTGTATGTCTTTATATGTCATCTCATATACTCATACACTTTCCCTGTGTATACATTATCTTATTTATATTTTTCATTTTTTATTGAGAAAATACTTATGTGTGTGTGAATTAGGTATCTCTTGGTATAACTCCAAAAACTCTAAAGAGTTTATAGCCCGTTGTCTGGGACCCTCTACTCCAGATGCAATAGAAAGTGAAAGTCAGAAGAATACTTGCAAACCAGTGGCAGCTTCCCCCATCTATGCTTTCCTTTCTCATCTCAAGACTTAGGCTAAGTTAGACTCATGGTTTCGAGCAGTGGTGTGCTGGAAAACTGACTCACTGGAGAGGAAAAAAAAAAAAAGCCCTGATTTGTAGTATTTGCCAATTTCTGTGGTGTAAGTATTCCCATGGTAACTGATTTTTATGCTACTAACTTGATGTCATTGAACATGAGGTTGGGAAGATATGAACAGAACAGGCTCTTGATAATCAACAGGAGACAACCTGAGCACACCATTGTAAGACATCTTAGAAGCTGCCTTATTCCAAACTTTGATTTGTAGCATTTAACCATACCATAGAGAGGCTTCAAGGGCTTCCTTGGGAGCAATGAGAAGACCTAAAGAGCAAATCTCAAGCTACTATCCCTTATTTCTCCAACACTTCATAAATCAGAGAAGTTCTACTTTAAACTGATTTACACACTGGGTGTCTGGATAAGACATTATTTACACAAAGCTAGTTAGTTAACCCTTAGGTCCATGTTTGCCAGTTTGGTGTTTCCCAGAATAAAATTTCCAAAATATGTTAATATTTAGTTTATTTATAAGTGTTTATCTCTTTAAATATTCTCTAGAGCAAGATTCCATATATTACTGTTTTGGGACACATTTTCTCAATATTTCCTAGAGTAATTTTGAGTCTTGGCCAAAACTTCTATTCTAAAGATTATAGAAAATCTCAAATACTAAAGGAAGAAATATCCCTGAAGACAGTCAGAGACAAAGATGGGAGGTGGGACTACTCTCTCCAGCCTGGAAACTGTGCTCTGTAACTCATCCAAAGGAGGCACCAAATTAGAGTGGTTGTTCAGTAGCACCAGGCTGTAGCAGGTATGTGCCATAGGTCCTCTGGGCACAAATCCCTGACCAGCCTTCCCACACGGCTGGGATATTCCTTTTTGGATGTCCTTCATCCAGGATATGTAGCAGTCTAGTCATTTACTACAGTGAAGGCAAACCCTGGCTTAAGCTGTCTTCTAGTGCTGAAGAGGAAACAGTATCGTAGTGGGAGAAAAAAGAAACCCAAAAGGTAAACTACAATGAATCCCTAAGCAAACATATTCAATAAAAATAAAACAATACAGACAGAAAAGACTGGAATAAATTACTAATAATTCAATGCAAAGATACATGCATTAATACATCCACAAAAAACAATAGCAAACATGGAACCATGATCTCCCCAAACACACAAAGCAAGGAACCGGTGACTGACCCTAAAAAGACAATGATAGATTTGCTGAACTGAAAAATTCATGAGGCTTTCAAGAGCAGAATACTTCAAAGAGAATCAGTTAGCTCGAAGACAAGCTATTTGAAAATACAGTCAGAAAAGAAAAAAGAATTTAAGAAATCCCCAAAGATTGCCTACAAGATATAGAAAACTATCTCAAAAGACCACATCTAAGAAATATTGATGTTCAAGAGGAAATTAAGCAAGAACGAGGGGTAGAAAGCTTTTTCAAATAATACCAGAAAACTATCCAAAACTTGAAAAAGATATAAATAGCTCAGGAATGTCACAGAACACCAAACAGATTTAACGCAAATAAGACTACCCTGAGGCATATAATGATCAAAACTCTCAAAGGTCTAGGATAAAGAGAGGACCCTAAAAAGCAGCAAGAGAAAAGAAGCCATAACATATAAAAGAGCTACAATTCATCTGGCAACAAACTTCTCCATGGAAACCATATAGGCCAAGAAATGTTGGGATGACATTTTCAAATGCTGAAAAAAAAAAAAAAAAACTTCCATCCAAAAATACTGCGTAAGACAAAGCTGTACTTCAAATATGAAAGAGAGATAAAGTCTTTTCCAGACAAACACTGAAAGTATTCACCACCACAAGATTTGTCTTAAAAGAAAGGCTCTAGGGAGTTCTTCAATCTGAAAGAAAAAAAAAAACAAAACACTAACATGCAAAAAGGAAACACATCAAGGTATAATGCCACTGATGAGGTAAGTGCACGGACAAACGCAGAAAACTCTAACGTGGTAACTGTGATGTGCAATTCACTCATAACTCTGGTATAAAGTCTAAACGACAAGTCTGTCAAAAACAGTGATAACTTCAGAACCCTGTTAAGAGACAGGAAATAGAAAAATATGTAAATTGAGACAATAAAAAGTAAAAATGGGGAGGTGGTGGAGTTAAAGTGTAGAGGTTTTTTTCTTTTCATATTTGTTTATTTGTTTCTATTATTTGCTTTTGATCAAAGATAAGTTGTCATCACTTTAAAATAGCTTGTGATATCTATAAGACATTTTCTTTAAGCCCTGTGGTAACCATGGTGCAAAAAACTATAATAGGTACACTAAAAACAGAAAGCAACGGATTAAAAAAATACTATCAGAGAAGATAACCACAAAGGAAGACACTAAGAAAGAGAGGAATTACAAGACAGGCTGAAAACAAGCAAAAGGAATGGCAGTAGTAAGTCCTTACTAATAAACAGTAACATTGGGTGTAAATAGACTCAATTCTCCAATTTGAAAAATTGACTGACTGGATAAAGGAAGAAGACCCAACTATATACTGCCTCCAAGAAACCCATTTCACCTGGACAGACTCACACAGACTGAAAGTGAAGGAATGGAAAAAAATATTTCATGCACTTGGAAACCAAAAAAGTACAAGAGTAGTTGTGCTTATATCCTCCAAAATAGAGTATATGACAAAGACTGCAAAAATAGACAAAGAAGGTTACTATATAATGATAAAAGGCTCAATTCAGCAAGAGAATATAACAATTTTAATTATCTATGCACCCAACACCAGAGCCAAGTATATAAAGCAAACATTAATAGGTCTAAGGGGAGAGGTAGCCTGCAATACAATAATAGTAGGGGATTTCAACATCCCACTGTCAGTAATAGACAGATTACCAGCCAGAAAATCAACAAATAAACATTGGAGTTAAACTACACAATAGATCAAATAGGCCTAATTGACAGTCATAGAACATTTCACCCAACTACTGCAGAGTATACATTATTTTCATCAGCACATGAAACATTCTTCAAAGTAAACCATATCTTAGGCCACAAAACAAGTCTCAAAAAACTTTAAAAAGTAGAAATTATAATCAAGTATCTTTTCTGACCATGCAGGAATAAAACTAGAAATCAATAACAAAAGGAACTTTGGAAAATACAAATATAAGAATATTTTAAAATTTCAATAAAAAGCCCAGAACCTGATTGTTTCATTGCTAAATTCTTCCAAACATATAAAGAACTATACTAATTCTCTCAAACGATTTCAAATAATTGAAGAGGAGAGAATATTTTCAAGCTTATCTGCAAGATTAGCATTAACCTTATACCAAAACCAGACAGGGACACAACCAGTAGAAAAAACAACAGGCCAATATCACTGATGAACATAGATGCAAAATTCTCAATAAAATACTAGCAAACTGAATTCATCATCATATTAAAAAGGACCATTTCTCATAATAAATTGAACTACTAGTTTTATTTCAGAGCTGCAAGGAAGATTCCACATATGCAAATCAATAAACATGATACATCACATTTACAGAATTGAGAACAAAAACCATATGATCATTTCAATAGATGCTGAACAAGCATCTGATAAAATTCAGTATCCCTTTATGATAAAAATCTTCAACAAACTGGGTATAGAAGGAACATACCTTAACTAATAAAGGCCATATATGATAAACCCACAGCTAACATCATAGTGATAAGGAAAAATTGAAAACCTTTCTTTTAAGGTCTAGAATGAGAGAAGCAAAGATGCTCACTTTCACCACTTTTATTATATGCAGTACTGGAAGTACTGACCCAGAGCAAATAGGCAAGAGAAATAAATAAAGGGCATCCAGATTGGAAAGGAAGAAGCCAAATTAGTCTTGTTTGTAAACAGCATGGTCTTATATTTAGAAAATCCTAAATACACACTGCTCTAAAAAACGGTTCAAACTGATAAACAAATGCAGTATAGTTGCAGGATACAAGATCAGCATACAAAAATCAGTAGCATATCTATATGTGAACAGCAAACAATGTGAAAAAAAGTCAAGAAATCAATATTATTTCAATAGCTACAAGGAATATAAAATACCTAGAAATCAATTTAACGAAAGAAGTAAAAGATCTGTATGAGAAAAACTATAAAAATACTGATGAAAGAAAATGAAGAGGATACAAAATATGAAGATATTTCATGCTTATAGATTGGAAGAATTAATATTGTTAACATATCAATACTACCCAGAACAATTTATGGATTCAGTGCAATCCTTATCAAAATAGCAATGACATTCTTTACAGAAATAGAAAAAAACTTCTAAAATTTATATAGAACCACAAGAGCCAGAATAGCCAAAAAAATCCTGAGCAAAAAGAATAAATCTGGAGGAATCACACTAACTTCAAAATATACTGCAAAGCTATAGTAACTAAATCAGAATCAAAATGATATTGGCATTAAAAACAGACATGTGGACAGATGGAACAGAATAGCAAGCTCAAAAAATCCATGCATTTACAGCTAACTTATTTTTGGCAAAGTAATGAGAACATTCAATTGGGGGAAAGGATACTTTCAGTATCAGTAAACAGTGCTGAGAAAACTGGATAACCATTTGCAGAAGAATGAAACTGGATTCCTGTCTCTCACCATATACAAATATAAAATCAAAATGAATTAAAAACTTAAATCTGAGACCTGAAACTATAAAACTACTAGAAGAAAATATTGGGGAAACGCTCCATGACATTGGTCTGGGCAAAGATTTCTTGTATAAAGCCTCAAAAGCAGAGGCAACGAAAGCAAAAATAGACAAATAGGATTACATCAAGCTAAAAAGCTTCTACACAGAAAAGGAAACAATCAGCAAAGCAAAGAGACAACCCACAAAATAGGATGAAATAATCCATGCAAATGCAAATTATCCATCTGACAAAGAAATAACAATAAGAACATATAAGGGGCTCAAATAACTCAACAGCAATAATAATAATAATAATAATCCAACTTAAAATTGGAAATAGCTGAATAGACATTTTTCAAAAGAAGATACACAAATGGCCAACAGGCATATTTAAAAAATGTTCAGCATCACTAATAATCAGAGAAACACAAATCAAAACCACAATGAGATATCATCTTACCCAAGTCAAAATGACTTTTATCAAAATGACAGAGAATAATGGATTCTGATGAAGATGTAGAGAAAGGGTAATCCTCATAAACTGTTGGTAGGAATGTGAATTAGAACAGACACTATGGAAAAGAGTATGGAAGTTCCTCAAAAAACTAAAAATATAACTACCATATGATCTAGCATTTACACTGCTGAACATATATGCAAAAGAAAGGAAATCAATATATCAAAGAGATATCTGCACTCCCATGTTTATTGCAACACTATTCATAACAGGCAATTTATGGAATCAACCAATCAACAAATATATTGAATCAACTTAAGACAGCCAATATATGGAATCAACCTAAGATATATATATATACATATATATATATGTGTATATATATACGTGTGTGTGTGTATATATATATATATCTCAACCATATGTAATGGCCAATATATGGAATCAACCATATCAAACTAAGTTGACATGAAATCAACCTGTCCATTAATCCATCAATGGATTAATGGATAAAGAATATGTGGTATATTATACACAATGAAATATTATTTTGCTATAAAAATAATGGAATCCTGTCATTTGCAGCAGCATGGATGAAACTGGGGGTTATTATTTTAAGTGAAATAAGCCAAGTTCAGAAAGACAAATATAGCATGTGCTCTCTCATGTGGGAGCTACAGAAGTGGATCTTATGAAGACAGAGAGTAGAGTGGTGGTTACCAGAGAGGAGGAAGAATAAAGGAGGAGAGGGGATAAAAAGAGGTTGATTAATGGGTACAAATATGCAGTTAGATAGAGAAAATAAGACCAAGTACTCAATAGAGCAGTACGGTGACTATTACTAACAACAAGCCATTGTACATTTCAAAATAGCTTGAAGAGAATAATTCAAATGTTTCTAGTCTAATTTGATCTTTACATATTACATAAATGTATAAAAATATCACAAGTACTCTGAAAACATGTACATCTTTTAGGTATCAGTAAAAAATTATAAGAAAGTTCTAGGCCCATAAAATAAGATTTCTGAGAATACCTGGAAGCTTATATTCTCATCATCATCTCCAGTTCAAAATTCTTGCTATAGCTTTGTTTGGTTTTGTTTTACTTTCTTAGCTTTTAATTCCATTCAACCATCATCATTCTCTGAAAAACTTCCTTTGTCAACATCCCACTTACACAGTGACAGCTGTACCTAATGTGTGTTATTTCAAGCATAGAAGCGAAGAAATAGAACACCCTATTTCCTAGATTCTAAGATGGACATTTTTCACATTGTGACGTCTCTGAAAGTGGGATCCACCTTATAAAATGAAGTTACAGTTTAATTGGTAATTTTTTTATTATACTTTAAGTTTTAGGGTACATGTGCACAACATGCAGGTTAGTTACATATGTATACATGGGCCGTGTTGGTGTGCTGCACCCATAACTTTTTTAATGTTACATAAAATAATGATGCATCTTACAAACAACATAATCTTTGATTTGATAAAATATGGCATTGTGAATTAATATTTAGTAAATATAAGCTCTAAAAACCTGCAGACCTGAGTCTCGTGGAACATAATAGATGCCTCATTTGTATTTGCCAAATGTATAAATAAATGAAAGTTTGTTTTTTCTGTTTGACCGCGTCAACTGTGATATGCAATTCAGTCAGTCCTGTTTCCTAACTTAAACACAGATATACATGAACCTCCATACGTAAGTGCTTGTTTGTGCCTGCACACACACAAACACACACACACATACAGACACACACATAAGATTTTCGGAAGTAAGCTCTCCTCACAAATTGAAATCAGATGTTAGACAGCTCTTCAAGCAGTCCATAGACCACTTCTTCAACTTAGGTTCCAGAACAGACCTTCTCTTTCCATCTTTTGTCTCTTCTTCAACTTCACTTTCTCCCTTTCCCTCTCTTCTAGGTTGCTTCCCAATCAGAAACAAAACCAAATTCTTTTTCTGTTCTTAGGCAGAGGAACTTAGTCATCTGCAGTTCTTCCAAATTCAGTGCAAGGAACATTGCCACTTCAGGGGCCTGTGTGAGTTATTGAACTGGAGTTCTGATACGGTTAGGCTTTGAGTTCCCACCCAAATTTCATCTTGAATTGTAATTCTCAGGTATTGAGGGAGGGTGGGAGGTGACTGGATTATGAGGGTGGTTTCCCCCATGCTGTTCTCATGATAGTGAGTGAGTTCTCACAAGATCTGATGGTTTTATAAGGGGCTCTTCCTCCTTCACTCTCTCTCTCTCTATTGCCTGCTGCCATATAAGATGTGCTTGCTTCCTCTTCCCCAATGATTGTAAGTTTCCTGAGGCCTCCTCAGGCAAGCAGAATTGTAACTCAATTAAACCTCTTTCCTTCATAAATGTATTAGTCTGTTCTCGTACTGCTATGAAGAAATACCTGAGACTGGGAAATTTATAAAGAAAAGAGGTTTAATGGACTCACAGTTCCACATGGCTGGGGATGCCTCTCAATCATTGCAGAAGGCAAAGGAAGCGTAAAGGCACATCTTACATGGTGGCAGGAAAGAGAGCATGTGCAGGGAAACTGCCCTTTATAAAATCATCAGATCTCATGAGACTTATTTACTATCATGAGAACAGCAGGGGAAAAATCCACCCCCATGATTCAATTACCTCCCACCAGTTCCCTCCCACAACATGTGGGGGTTATCAGAGCTATAATTCAAGATGAGATTTGGGTGGGGACACAGCCAAATCATATCAATAAATTACCCAGGCTCAGGCATTCTTCATAGCAGTGTGAAAACAGACTAATACCGGTTATTTTTCTCATAGTCTATTTATGAGGGAAAGTAAAGGGTAGATGGGCTTCTGTTTTTGTTGTTTACGTGCACATCTCTTCTATAACTTTCCCAGTCAGTGGTCCAGTTCCTTCAGTTTCATTTCCTTTAATGATAAAGTGCTCACTATCTCCCAAAGCAAAGAAGTCCATTTTCAGATAGTTCTAATTGTCGGAACCTTCTCTTATATATTGACTGGATATTTTCCTCATTGAAAGGCCTGCCCATCTATTTTGAATTCACACAAATATATGTCTAATAATTTCTTTTCCACATGACAGCTGTTGAAGGATTTAAAGACAAGGGTCGCATTACCTTTGAATCTTCTATCCCACATGTCATTATTTCTTTTTATGGTTTCTTGAATGTCAAGATTCCCAGATTATTTATCATCAGGATCTGTCTCCTTAGACAGATTCCAGTTTGTCAGGCTTCAAATAAGGGGACAGCAGCCAGATATGAGTGATATACTTCAACTGTAGCTTAGGAGCACATATGACTTCATTTCCTTCACTTCACAGTATTTTCTTTCATACAACCTATAATCTCAAATTAACTTATTTTTCTTGTTTATTGTCTCAGGCTTTCAGTAGAATGTCATTTCATTGATATCATTGTTCTTGTCTTTCTGTTTTCCATTTTATCCTATACATGTCTGGCAAACAGAACATACTTAATAAATGTATTGACCGAATGAATCAATGAAAGAGCTATTTTTTTCTCTGGCATCCCTCACAAATACTCATCTACTTCATATTAACATATCTCACTTGTGAGTCCTCTTAGTGTCCTCAAATTCTGCTTATCAAAGACCTAAACACAAAACTATTTTAGAGGCCTCACCCTGCTTGAGTTTCACTTCTTTCATATCAATATCTATTGATATAGATAAATAATAGAGATCTAAAAATTGACAGTTCAATATATACCAGTATCTATCTTCTGACAGAAAAAGTGGAAGCAAAACAGAAATCGAGTGATGCTCCTTTTTTCTATTACCCATCAATTTTCAGTCATCTTCTTTATCGTCTGTAAGAAGATTTAAAAGGGCATTGAAATTCAACAGGGATGCCAGGTCTAGGGGGGATCTGTACTGAATGCCCCAAACCTGCCTTACTGATATAATTTATATTTTTGATTACACCCCAAATTCTCTTTTATCTTGAGCCTTTCCTTTTCTTGTGTGTAACCATTGTTGCATAATGCACAATAAAATGTTCTCAAGAGCAAGAACCCTATTTGTTCTCTTCACCAGTGTATTCAAATGTGATGGTTGTTTCAGCAATTGATGTTCAAAACTCAGGAGAGCTTGTGTGACTTTAAGCAGCATCCTTGAACTCAAATAATCACACATGCCTTGGTTTCTACCTGTATATCAAGAGCCAAAAGGAGGAAGGTAAGATCCACAGAAGAAAACCTTATCAAGTGGTGAGGGCAGGAATAGCCACTGAATTTTCATAGCCATATTACAGACCATTATGTAGATGCTATATTTAGAAACTCATCCTCTAATAATTTTGAAGAGTATCCAAAATATATTATTCCCTTTAAAAACAAGTTGCAGCAAAGTGCAAATAGTATGATGTATCAAAAAAATCAAATGTTAAAAATCTTCGTGTGTGTGTATGTTTGTTTAGTACATAGAGAAGGCCACAGGAAGGATGCTCACTAGTGTTAGTTAACTTAGGAGGTAAAGAATAAAAAACATAAAATGTAGTTGGTGTCTACAGTTTTTCTATATGTGTGTTGTATTATTTCCTTGGTAATGAAAAATATGTATTAATCTGTCTCCTACAAAAGAGAAAGCTCAAAAAAAAAATAAATGAAAAACAAATCTCAAGGCCTATAACTCTCCAAAAGAGAAACCAAAGTAAAACTGGGGAAAAGTAGAATCTTTAGGCATGTTCTACCTGTTTCGTCTCATAACTCCCTGTGATGGTTAATTTATGTGTCAATGTGAGTGGGCTAAGTTGATAGCAGATATCAGATAGTTGGTAAAACATTATTTCTGGGTGTGTCTATGAGGCTGTTTCTGAAAGAAATTAGCATTAGAATTAGTAGATTGAGTAAAGAAGGTTGTTCTCACCAGTGTGTGTGGTGGGGAGACATCATTCAATTTGTTGAGGCCCCAAATAGAACAAAATGGCAGAGGAAGAATAAATTTATCTTCAAGTTCAAGGCGTTCATCTTCTTCTGCTCTTGGACATCAGAGTTCCTGGTTCTCAGGCCTTTGGACTCCAGAACTTACGCCAGCTGTCTCCCACCCTGACCTTATTTTCTGGCCTTCAACCTTGGACTGGGATTATAACATTAGCTTCTGTAGTTCTCTGGCTTTTGCACTTGGACTGAATTACTCTACTAGCTTTCCTGGTTTTCCAGGTTACAGACAGCAGAGTGTACTTCTTGGCCTCCATAAGTGTGTGAGCCAATTCTCATAATTCTCTCTCTCTCTCTCTCTACATACTGCCCCCCACCACAAATACATTTATATATATAAATTAAAAAATATATCTGAATTGGCCAGGCATGGTGGCTCACGCCTGTTATCCCAGCAATTAGGGAGGCCAAGGCGGGTGGATCACCTGAGGTCAGGAGTTCGAGACCAGCCTGACCAACATGGAGAAACCCCATCTCTACTAAAAATACAAAAAATTAGCCTGGCGTGGTGGTGCATGCCTGTAATCCCAGCTACTTGGGAAACTGAGGCAGGAGAATCTCTTGAACCCAGGAGGTGGAGGTTGTGGTGAGCTGAGATCGCACCACTGCACTCCAGCCTGGGCAACAAGAGTGAAACTCCATCTCAAAAAAAAAAATATATATAAATATATCTAAATAAATAATATATCATAGTTAATATATTATTTATTTAAATATTGAATATAAATTTATTATATATTTAAATATGCTATTGAAATATATTTAATATATAATTAATTTATATTATTTTATTTAAATCTACAAATATATTATATATTTATATATTTATATACTTATATACATAATATATTTATATATTATATATTCATATTTGTAATTTCTATATATATTTGTAATTGTATATATAACTTATATATATTCATATATAGTATTTATAATATATGTGATTTACATATACGTATATAAATATATGTGTATTATAAATATATGTATTTCTAAACATGTACTCAATATGTAAATATATTATAAACATAAATATATTATGTATATAAATATATATAGATATATGTAGATATTTATAATATACATATGTATATATTTATAATATATTATATATTATAATATATAGTATATAGTTTATATTTATATATTATATATAATATATATAACGTAGTATATATTATATATTATAATATATACTATAGTATAATAAATGTAGACATGTATATATTTATAATATACATATACATATATACATATAATATGTATATAGTATATTATATGTATACATATAATATGTATATATGTATATATACATATGTACATATAATATGTATATATGTATATATACATGTGTACATATAATATGTATATATGTATATATACATGTGTACATATAATATGTATATATACATATATACATGTGTACATATAATATGTATATATACATATATACATGTGTACATATAATATGTATATATACATATATACATGTGTACATGTACATATGTATATGTATATATACATATGTACATATAGTATGTATATATAACTATATTTTTAATATACATATATTTATAATATACATTTGTTATAATGTATATACATATAATGTATATACTATATAATATACATAAGTGTATTCAAAATGTATATACATATACAAATATATGTATATATGTATATATACATAAACATATACACATATTTATATATACATTTATGTATAGTTATATATACATATACATATATACATATTTATATATACATTTATATTTATAAATAAATATATTTACACATATATAAAGATTTATGCATATGTAAACACATATATTTATACATATAAATACATATATTTATATATGTATACATATAAATACATATATTTATATGTATACATATATTCATATATACATAGATTTATAATATATGTGATATACATATTAGAAAGAGACGGTGAGTTCTTTATAAATGACCTCGTCTGTGATATGCTGTTATAGTAGCACAAAATAAACCAAGACACATCCTGATTTTTTATCCCTCTGTCCAGTGTTAGGTCCCATCCATGCATGGGTTCTGAGCTCATTGAGAAGCCCTGTGTGATCACATGAACATCTTTAAATATTGTTTTTCAAAATGTGGTCCAGAGGCCACTACATCCAAATCCCAGTGTTAGGGAAGTGAAGTTATTAAAATGTGTATTCCTGCATATTCCTTGGTGCTGCCACAGCTTTATTCACTCAGAATCTCTGTGACTTGAACCTTGGAATATGCATATTATATTCTGCACTCTTTCCCTTACCCTTTAACGCATACCCAGGTGATTTATTTGTTATGTCATATGTGAAAACATATGGTGTTTGGTTTCTCCTTTTTCTTAATCACCTAGCTGGAACTTTCTAGATTTCGTCCATGGGGAGGTCTCTTTTAAAAATTTAGGCTATAGAGTTATACTACTCCTGTTCTGAACTCCTTGTAATAAACTCCCTCAAAAGCATATGCAAACATTTTTAGGTTAGTGGATATAAACTTCCATAATTTTTAAACTCCAGCCAGTCTATCATAACTCATACTGATAATGTGCTTGTTGAGGGTGTAAAAGGGCCCCCTTCAATGATAACTAGGTGGGATCTATTTATTTCTAAGTGCTGGCTATTAATGAATAAAAATAATTATATGGTGCAGTCCAGAGCCAGTGTGATCTACAATTGTATAACAAGAGACACAATTAACACCAGGCTTGGGAACTGCTATTGTAATGAGCATTTGGTATGAAAAGATCACTATTTTTTAAAAAGATATAGGAAGAAAAGACTTAATATGCCAGTTGGTTTTTGTAGACTAGCTAAATGGCTTAATTATCCACTGTTAGAAACTGGTTTTTGAAACTGCAATATGAATTGGCAAGGGCTGAACTTTGTGTCAAGGTGGGTGTCATCAGAGAAAGGAAGGAAAAAAGGGAGAATTAACGAGCATCCCATTAGGTCCTTTTGCTATTTCATCTCATTGAATCTACAAAACAATTCCATTTGAGGTTTATGGAAGCAAGGAGTAAAGAGTATTCAGAGATGTGAATGGAAATGCCACGTGGTCCTATGAAATGAGGGATACTCAGGGCTCCCCTACAGCTGTACTTCAAGGTGGGCAGAGGAGAAGGGGTGCTCTGAGGACTGTTTATATCTTCTCTGGAACTCTACTGCTCTATTCAGGGAGGTCGTCTCACTCTTGCCCACCACAGCCCACTCCATACTCCTTGCCCCCTTCATATTACTTCTCAAGCTCTCTTCCTTGAATTTCCTGCCTTGTCCATTTTGATACTTTGAATTCCAACTACTCCTTTTGAATCTACTCAAGTCACATC
This sequence comes from Homo sapiens, assembly GCF_000001405.40. Lineage (NCBI taxonomy): Eukaryota > Metazoa > Chordata > Mammalia > Primates > Hominidae > Homo > Homo sapiens. The sequence continues at coordinate 8,072,218 of NC_000003.12, read as the reverse complement.
TTAACCAGGAAAACTTCTTGCAGAATTCTAGCCAACTGTGAAGTTCCACATCATTGGTAGTCAACCAGAGCTGGGATACCCTGTACTTGATCATCCATGGATGTTTCCTTCTTCTCAGCTCTGCCTTTTTCATGTAGATGCAGATGCCTTTTCATATCAAGAATGAACTTAGGAAAAGAAGGGATGCATCAGTTGGGATGAAGGTCAGTCAAGAGTGACAGAAAACTCAAAATGATGGTGGCATATAAAATGAGATGTTTGTTTCTCTTTCATGTAAACATATACAGTCCAGGGTTGATATAATGTTTCTGTGATTGTTGGAAACCCAGACTCCTTGTTTCTCTGCCATCCTCAATATATGGCTTCCATTATTAGTTTCAAGATTTTAATTTATATTGACAACATACCCAAATAATAACTAACATTGATAGAATAATTTTCATGCTTCAATAACTTAGGCCTACCCTTTTCCTGCAAGCGGAGATCAAGACAAAATCTTGCATATAAGTAATTTATTTGATAATGTGACATAAGGAGCCAATAGTGAGGGACAAGGAAGAGTCTAACAGAGAAGGAGGAAACAAATGCAAGTATGTGTTATGCAGAAAGTCTGCTGGCATTAATCCCTTGGAACATTACAAGGAGCTGTTAAAAGGTAATTTCACAAGCAGAATATAGTCATAATTTTCATAAAGATATGAATCTGGGCACATGTTACATATTTAACTCATAATCAACGAGGGAACTACACAGATATTTTACGCACTTCAGAAGAGAATCCAAAGAACAGATACATGTATAGATTGGGGATATTAAAATGAAGACATAAATGGAGGCAAAACCACTTTTTACTCCAGTGGGAAAGGAAGTCTTTGTGGAGGACAGAATTGGGTTGTCTACAGCCAAAAATCATTTTGCCTTGCTATCAGTCATTTATAATTTAGAGAATTGTAAGATAGCTTCCATAGAGCAGACAACGTGGGGGGATATCTGCAGGGTCTACACAATGCATAGTTTTACATGAAAGCATACATTTTCCCACACAGAGCTGTAAGGAAATGCTCATAATTGTCATCCTCCCTTGGTCAAGGATGCCCCGCAACTCCAGGTTGGGCATGCCTGAGTATGAGCCACTAACCTGCAGATGGCCCCCACCACCAAGGCAGGAAAGCCTGGGAGCAGGAAGCTAGAGGAACATGGTGTGCACATCAGGTCACATCTTCACAAAGCTGGCCAGAGCCTGTATGGACCTGTTTAATGCAGCAGTAGCTAAAACAAAAGGTGAGGCTGAGAGAATTGGCATTGGTATACTTTACTCATGTTATATAAATTATCTAAATGAATCTATTTTATAGATGGGAAAACTGAGGCTCAGATGGGGTTGAATTCTGTTGCCCAAGATCACACAGTCAATTCAATAGGAGATTCAGATATCTAACCTACACAATCGGACTCTTTAGCCATCACTCCAAGTACTTACATTTTACTTGCTATATTGCTTTGTATTTGTGACACTAACCTTGAGCCATTGCTTAGGGTGGAATTTAAGTGCCAAAGAGAATAGCTACAATAGCTGGATTTATTTAACACAAAGAACAAAAATCCCCAGTAGAAAACACGTTATGATATCAGTGGCTCAGCTGAGGCAAGAAATGATTGACAGTGTGTTTAATGTCATTAGTGTTGGGTGATCTTAGAACCCCACAGGCACCCCCACCCTACCCCCTCACTTGACCTTTGCTGAACCAGCGGTAACATTTCTCCTGTTTTCCTTCAAAGCCAGAATGTATTGTAAAAGCGGGTATGGGGCTATTTGGAAAGGGGGAGGTATTGCCTTACACAAAATCACTCCAACAACTTAGTAATTCTTAGTGAAAGCAAAATTTGAAAGCAGCTTGGTCCCTACTGTCACCAGCTTTACAAATTATTGTTCCTAGTTTGCATGCAGTAGAGCTGGGATTGAAGGGGGGGGTTCTTAGAGAACCATTGGACACTTAATCACTGATCTCTGGGGACTTATAGGTTAGGCCAGGGGAAACATTTAAGCCTGATGATTCATTTCTGTGGTGTACATTTGAGGCTGATTGTATAAACATATGTTCCCTTACTTGTGATTTATCTTCTTCTCTGAAAATATTTTTAAGCCTAAAAATCCTTTTCATGCCCTAGTGGGAAAGCCTCCTGTGGTTACCTTCAGCCAGGTTACTTTGACAATAAGAAATCAAGCAACATTTGTGAGTGCCTCTCACTGCTGCTTGGTGTAAGTAAAGATTACTGACTTTAGAATTTGTCTGGAAGAAGAAAAGTGCCACCTTGCTGGGTCATGGCAGGAAGAGTTTGCAGAATTTAATGATCACATTTCTTATACAGGCTTTCTGACCTTGGGCAGGTTGCCGAGACTCTGGCATGTTAGAAGGAGTAGGGACTCCTTACCTCCCTCAATGGGGCTGGGGCAGGCAGAGTAAGAAGAATGCATTGGGAATTACTTTGCAAACAATTAAGCACTGTGTTACTTGAGATTCAGCAGATGCTAACATCTTTCTCTCTGAGCCTCAGTAAAGAAAGGCTGAGGGTGTGAATTTCCTTTTGAACTCAGCCAAGGCCACAATGCAGTGAGCTAGGCTGATGTCATCCAGGTATGTGCTAACATTATCCAAGGCTAAACCTGGAGGAAAGGAGAGAAACAGTGTTTCCTTGCTTGTCTCTGGGAAAGATCCCATGATTATAAAATCATGTGGTTGTTTGCCATATCCCAGATTCTATGCTAAGCACTTTCTATAAGTTCCTCATGTAAATCTCATAGCAGCTCCAGGAGGTAAGTTCTGTCATTTGCCCCATTTCCCACATGAGGAAATAGAGGCATCAAAGGCTTTAGCCATATGCCCATCATCGCACAGCTATAAGTAGCAGCACTAGAGTTTGACCCCAGACTCTAAAACCCACCCTATCAACCACTCTGCCAGGCTGCCCAGTCATCACAAGGCTTTGGTCAGAATCTGACGGTTCAAGGTCGCACCCTGTCCACCCCAGAGGCTCTGGGAAACTTGCTGGCACTTTCCTCTCTTCAAATCCTTGTCACCTTTCCTCTTTTGCCTAGGATAACCTCCCTCTGGACATTATCATAGACTGAGTCTCATTCACTGTGTTTTCCTCAGCACAGGTTAGGTGACCAGTAAATATGATATTGTGAGAATAAAGGAATGAATGAGTGGATGAATGAATGAAAGAGTAAAATGAGAGGAACAGGCATTATGAGCCTGATGGTGACTGCAATATAAATCATTGTTCTTGTTGACTGAACATCTTTCACAAGCCTTGGATTAAGAAGGGCAAGTAGCAGCAAGAGTTGACCATCTGCTTTAGAGTTTGAGAGGCCTGATCTATTCTCTGAGTGAAGGCTTCTGTTTTTATTTTATTTTCCTTGTGGTCAGCCCTCTTGAGTTCACATCTAGTTCAAGAAAATCTTCAAAAATTTTGGAGGTTCCAAGATGGCCAAATAGGAACAGCTCCAGTCTGCAGCTCCCAGCCTGAATGATGCAGGACAGGTTATTTCTGCATTTCCAGCTGAGGTACCAGCTTCATCTCATTGGGGCTTGTCAGACAGTGAGTGCAGCCCATGGAGGAGGGCAGGGCATCGCCTCACCTGGGAAGCACAAGGGCTCAGGGAATTCTCTTTCCTAGCTAAGGGAAGCTGTGACAGATGGTACCTGGAAATTCAGGACACTCCCACCCTAATACTGCACTTTTCCAACAGCCTTAGCCAATGGCACACCAGGAGATTATATTCCACACCTGGCTCAGAGGGTCCCATGCCCACGGAGCCTCACTCACTGCTAGCACAGCAGTCTGAGATTGAACTGCAAGGCGGCAGCGAGGCTAGGGGAGGGGCGTCTGCCATTACTGAGGCTCGAGTAGGTGAACAAAGTGCCAGGGAAGCTCGAACTGGGTGGAGCCCACCGCAGCTCAAGGAGGCCTGCCTGCCTCTGTAGACGCCACCTCTGGGGCAGGGCATAGCTGAACAAAATGCAGCAGAAACTTCTGCAGACTTAAACGTCCCTGTCTGACAGCTTTGAAGACAGTAGTGGTTCTCCCAGCACAGAGTTTGAGATCTGAGAACGAACAGACTGCCCCCTCAAGTGGGTCCCTGACCCCCGAGTAGCCTAACTGGGAGATGCCTCCCAAAAGGGGCCGACTGACACCTCATACAACTGGGTGCCCCTCTGAGACGAAGCTTCCAGAGGAAGGATCAGGCAGCAACATCTGCCGTTCTTCAATATTTGCTGTTCTGCAGCCTCCGCTGGTGATACCCAGGAAAACAGGGTCTGGAGTGGACCTCCAGCAAACTCCAACAGACCTACAGCTGAGGGTCCTGACTATTACAAGGAAAACTAACAAACAGAAAGGACATCCACACCAAAACCCCATCTGTACGTCACCATCGTCAAAGACCAAAGGTAGATAAAACCACAAAGATAGGGAGAAACAAGAGCAGAAAAGCTGAAAATTCTAAAAATCAGAGTGCCTCTTCTCCTCCAAAAGAACACAGCTCATCGCCAGCAACAGAACAAAGCTGGATGGAAAATGACTTTGAGGAGTGGAGAGAAGGCTTCAGATGATCAGTAATAACAAACTTCTCTGAGCGAAAGGAGGATGTTCAAACCCATCGCAAAGAAGCTAAAGACCTTGAAAAATGATTAGACGAATGGCTAACTAGAATAAACAGTGTAGAGAAGTCCTTAAATGACCTGATGGAGCTGAAAACCATGGCATGAGTATTACGTGATGCATGCACAAGCTTCAGTAGCTGACTTGATCAAGTGGAAGAAAGGGTATCAGTGATTGAAGATCAAAGGAATGAAATGAAATGAGAACAGAAGTTGAGAGAAAAAAGAGTAAAAAGAAACTAACAAAGCCTCCACGAAATATGGGACTATGTGAAAAGACCAAATCTATGTCTGATTCGTGCACCTGAAAGTGATGGGGAGAAGGGAACCAGTTTGGAAAACACTCTTCAGAATATTATCCAGGAGAACTTCCCCAACCTAGCAAGGCAGGCCAACATTCAAATTCAGGAAATACAGAGAATGTGACAAAGATACACCTTGAGAAGAGCAACGCCAAGACACATAATTGTCAGATTCACCAAAGTTGAAATGAAGGAAAAAATGTTAAGGGCAGTCAGAGAGAAAGGCTGGGTTACCCACAAAGGGAAGCCCATCAGACTAACAGCAGATCTCTCAGCAGAAACTCTACAAGCCAGAAGAGGGTGGGGGCCAATATTCAACATACTTAAAGAAAAGAATTTTCAACCCAGATTTTCATATCCAGCCAAACTAAGCTTCATAAGTAAAGGAGAAATAAAATCCTTTACAGACAAACAAATGCTGAGAGATCTTGTCACCACCAGGCCTGCCTTACAAGAGGTCCTGAAGGAAGCACTAAACATGGAAAGGAACAACTGGTTCCAGCCACGGCAAAAACATGCCAAATTGTAAAGACCATTGATGCTAGGAAGAAACTGCATCAAATAACGAGCAAAATAACCAGCTAACATCATAATGACGGGATCAAATTCACACATAACAATATTAACCTTAAATGTAAATGGCCTAAACGCCCCAATTAAAAGACACAGACTGGCAAATTGCATAAAGAATCAAGACCCATCAGTGTACTGTATTCAGGAGACCCATCTCACGTGCACAGACACATATAGGTTCAAAATAAAGGGATGGAGGAAGATCTACCAAGCAAATGGAAAACAAAAAAAAAGAGAAGGGGTTGCAATCCTAGTCTCTGATAAAACAGACTTTAAACCAACAAAGATCAAAAGAGACAAAGAAGGCCATTACATAATGGTAAAGTGATCAATTCAATAAGAAGAGGTAACTATCCTAAATATATGTGCACCCAATACAGGAGCACCCAGATTCATAAAGCAAGTCCTTAGATACTTACAAAGAGACTTAGACTCCCACACAATAATAATGGGAGACTTTAACACCCCACTGTCAACATTAGACAGATCAACAAGACAGAAAGTTAAAAAGGATATCCAGGAATGGAACTCAGCTCTGCACCAAGCAGACCTAGTAGACATCTACAGAACTCTCCACCCCAAATCAACAGAATATACATTCTTCTCAGCACCACATCACACTTATTCCAAAATTGACCACATAGTTGGAAGTAAAGCACTCCTCAGCAAATGTAAAAGAACAGAAATTATAACAAACTATCTCTCAGACCACAGTGCAATCAAACTAGACCTCAGAATTAAAAAACTCACTCAAAACCACTCAACTACATGGAAACTGAACAACCTGCTCCTGAATGACTACTGGGTACATAATGAAATGAAGGCAGAAATAAAGATGTTCTTTGAAACCAATGAGAACGAAGACACAACATACCAGAATATCTGGGACACATTTAAAGCAGTGTGTAGAGGGAAATTTATAGCACTAAATGCCCACAAGAGAAAGCAGGAAAGATCCAAAATTGACACCCTAACATCACAATTAAAAGACCTAGAGAAGCAAGAGCAAACACATTCAAAAGCTAGCAGAAAGCAAGAAATAACTAAGATCAGAGCAGAACTGAAGGAGATAGAGACACATAAATCTCATCAAAAAAATCAGTGAATCCAGGAGCTGGTTTTTTGAAAAGATCAACGAAACTGATAGACTGCTAGCAAGACTAATAAAGAAGAAAAGAAAGAAGAATCAAATAGACACAATAAAAAATGATAAAGGGGATATCACCACCGATCCCACAGAAATACAAACTACCATCAGAGAATACAATAAACACCTCTACGCCAGTAAACCAGAAAATCTAGAAGAAATAGATAAATTCCTGGACACACTCACCCTCCTGAGACTAAACCAGGAAGAATTTGAACCCCTGAATAGACCAATAACAGATTCTGAAATTCAGGCAATAATTAATAGCCTACTAACCAAAAAAAGTCCAGGAACAGATGGACTCACAGTCGAATTCTACCAGAGGTACAAAGAGGAGCTGGTACCATTCCTTCTGAAACTATTCCAATCAATAGAAAAAGAGGGAATCCTCCCTAATTCATTTTATGAGGCCAACATCATCCTGATACCAAAGCCTGGCAGAGACACAACAAAAAAAGAGAATTTTAGACAAATATCCCTGATGAACATTGATGCAAAAATCATCAATAAAATACTGGCAAACAGAATCCAGCAGCATATCAAAAAGCTTATCCACCACGATCAAGTGGGCTTCATACCTGGGATGCAAGGCTTGTTCAACATGCGCAAATCAATAAACATAATCCATCATATAAACAGAACCAAAGACAAAAACCACATGATTATCTCAATAGATGCAGAAAAGGTCTTTGACAAAATTCGACAACCCTTCATGCTAAAAACTCTCGATAAACTCGGTACTGATGGAATGTATCTCAAAATAATGAGTTATTTATTTATTTTTTTCTTTTTATTATTATTATTATACTTTAAGTTTTAGGGTACATGTGCACAATGTACAGGTTAGTTACATATGTATACATGTGCCATGTTGGTGTGCTGCACCCATTAACTCGTCATTTAACATTAGGTATATCTCCTAATGCTATCCCTCCCCCCTCCCCCCACCCCACAACAGGCCCCGGTGTGTGATGTTCCCCCTCCTGTGTCCATGTGTTCTCATTGTTCAATTCCCATCTATGAGTGAGAACATGCGGTGTTTGGTTTGTTGTCCTTGCGATAGTTTGCTGAGAATGATGGTTTCCAGCTTCATCCATGTCCCTACAAAGGACATGAACTCATCATTTTTTATGGCTGCATAGTATTCCATGGTGTATATGTGCCACATTTTCTTAATCCAGTCTATCATTGTTGGACATTTGGGTTGGTTCCAAGTCTTTACTATTGTGAATAGTGCCTCAATAAACATACATGTGCATGTGTCTTTATAGCAGCATGATTTATAATCCTTTGGGTATATACCCAGTAATGGGATGGCGGGTCAAATGGTATTTCTAGTTCTAGATCCCTCAGGAATTGCCACACTGACTTCCACAATGGTTGAACTAGTTTACAGTCCCACCAACAGTGTAAAAGTGTTCCTATTTCTCCACATCCTCTCCAGCACCTGTTGTTTCCTGACTTTTTAATGATCGCCGTTCTAACTGGTGTGAGTTGGTATCTCATTGTGGTTTTGATTTGCATTTCTCTGAAGGCCAGTGATGATGAGCATTTTTTCATGTGTTTTTTGGCTGCATAAATGTCTTCTTTTGAGAAGTGTCTGTTCATGTCCTTTGCCCACTTTTTGATGGGGTTGTTTGTTTTTTTCTTGTAAATTTGTTTGAGTTCATTGTAGATTCTGGGTATTAGCCCTTTGTCAGATGAGTAGGTTGAGAAAATTTTCTCCCATTTTGTAGGTTGCCTATTCATGCTGATGGTAGTTTCTTCTGCTGTGCAGAAGATCTTTAGTTTAATTAGATCCCATTTGTCAATTTTGGCTTTTGTTGCCATTGCTTTTGGTGTTTTAGACATGAAGTCCTTGCCCATGCCTATGTCCTGAATGGTAATGCCTAGGTTTTCTTCTAGGGTTTTTATGGTTTTAGGTCTAAAGTTTAAGTCTTTAATCCATCTTGAATTAATTTTTGTATAAGGTGTAAGGAAGGGATCCAGTTTCAGCTTTCTACATATGACTAGCCAGTTTTCCCAGCACCATTTATTAAATAGGGAATCCTTTCCCCATTGCTTGTTTTTCTCAGGTTTGTCAAAGATCAGATAGTTGTAGATATGCAGCATTATTTCTGAGGGCTCTGTTCTGTTCCATTGATCTATATCTTTGTTTTGGTACCAGTACCATGCTGTTTTGGTTACTGTAGCCTTGTAGTATAGTTTGAAGTCAGGTAACGTGATGCCTCCAACTTTGTTCTTTTGGCTTAGGATTGACTTGGCGATGCGGGCTCTTTTTTGGTTCCATATGAACTTTACAGTAGTTTTTTCCAATTCTGTGAAGAAAGTCATTGGCAGCTTGATGGGGATGGCATTGAATCTATAACTTACCTTGGGCAGTATGGCCATTTTCACGATATTGATTCTTCCTACCCATGAGCATGGAATGTTCTTCCATTTGTTTGTATCCTCTTTTATTTCATTGAACAGTAGTTCGTAGTTCTTCTTGAAGAGATCCTTCACGTCCCTTGTAAGTTGGATTCCTAAGTATTTTATTCTCTTTGAAGCAATTGTGAATGGGAGTTCACTCATGATTTGGCTCTCTGTTTGTCTGTTATTGGTGTATAAGAATGCTTGTGATTTTTGTACATTGATTTTGTATCCTGAGACTTTGCTGAAGTTGCTTATCAGCTTAAGGAGATTTTGGGCTGAGACAATGGGGTTTTCTAGATATACAATCATGTCATCTGCAAACAGGGACAATTTGACTTCCTCTTTTCCTAATAGAATACCATTTATTTCCTTCTCCTGCCTGATTGCCCTGGCCAGAACTTCCAACACTATGTTGAATAGGAGTGGTGAGAGAGGGCTTCCCTGTCTTGTGCCAGTTTTCAAAGGGAATGCTTCCAGTTTTTGCCCATTCAGTATGATATTGGCTGTGGGTTTGTCATAGATAGCTCTTATTATTTTGAGATACGTCCCATCAATACCTAATTTATTGAGAGTTTTTAGCATGAAGTGTTGTTGAATTTTGTCAAAGGCCTTTTCTGTATCTATTGAGATAATCATGTGGTTTTTGTCTTTGGTTCTGTTTATATGCTGGATTACATTAATAGATTTGCGTATATTGAACCAGCCTTGCATCCCAAGGATGAAGCCCACTTGATCATGGTGGATAAGCTTTTTGATGTGCTGCTGGATTCGTTTTGCCAGTATTTTATTGAGGATTTTTGCATCAATGTTCATCAAGGATATTGGTCTAAAATTATCTTTTATGGTTGTGTCTCTGTCTGGCTTTGGTATCAGGATGATGCTGGCCTCATAAAATGAGTTAGGGAGGATTCCCTCTTTTTATATTGATTGGAATAGTTTTAGAAGGAATGGTACCAGTTCCTCCTTGTACCTCTGGTAGAATTCGGCTGTGAATCCATCTGGTTGTGGACTCTTTTTGGTTGGTAAGCTATTGATTATTGCCACAATTTCAGAGCCTGTTATTGGTCTATTCAGAGATTCCTTGCAAAGACACACATAGGCTCAAAATAAAAGGATGGAGGAAGATCTACCAAGCAAATGGAAAACACAAAAAGGCAGGGGTTGCAATCCTAGTCTCTGATAAAACAGACTTCAAATCAACAAAGATCAAAAGAGACAAAGAAGGCCATTACATAATGGTAAAGGGATCAATTCAACAAGAAGAGCTAACTATCCTAAATATATATGCACCCAATACAGGAGCACCCAGATTCATAAAGCAAGTCCTTAGATACTTACAAAGAGACTTAGACTCCCACACAATAATAATGGAAGACTTTAACACCCCACTGTCAACATTAGACAGATCAACGAGACAGAAAGATAACAAGGATACCCAGGAATTGAACTCAGGTCTGCACCAAGCGGACCTAATAGACATCTACAGAACTCTCCACCCCAAATCAACAGAATATACATTTTTTTCAGCACCACACCTCACTTATTCCAAAATCGTCCACATAGTTGGAAGTAAAGCTCTCCTCAGCAAATGTAAAAGATCAGAAATTTTAACAAATGGTCTCTCAGACCACAGTGCAATCAAACTAGAACTCAGGATTAAGAAACTCACTCAAAACCACTCAACTACATGGAAACTGAACAACCTGCTCCTGAATGACTACTGGGTACATAACAAAATGAAGGCAGAAATAAAGATGTTCTTTGACACCAATGAGAACAAAGACGCAACATACCAGAATCTCTGGGACGCATTCAAAGCAGTGTGTAGAGGGAAATTTATAGCACTAAATGCCCACAAGAGAAAGCAGGAAAGATCCAAAATGGACACCCTAACATCACAATTAAAAGAACTAGAAAAGCAAGAGCAAACACATTCAAAAGCTAGCAGAAGGCAAGAAATAACTAAAATCAGAGCAGAACTGAAGGAAATAGAGACAAAAAAAACCCTTCAAAAAATTAATGAATCCAGGAGTTGGTTTTTTTGAAAGAATCAACAAAATTGATAGACTGCTAGCAAGATTAATAAAGAAAAAAAGAGAGAAGAATCAAATTGACCCAATAAAAAATGATAAAGGAGATATCACCACCGATCCCACAGAAATACAAACTGCCATCAGAGAATACTAAAAACACCTCTACGCAAATAAACTAGAAAATCTAGAAGAAATGGATAAATTCCTCGACACATACACTCTCCCAAGACTAAACCAGGAATAAGAGATATTTATGACAGATCCACAGCCAATATCATACTGAATGGGCAAAAACTGGAAGCATTCCCTTTGAAAACTGGCACAAGAGAGGGATACCCTCTCTCACCACTCGTATTCAACATAGTATTGGAAGTTCTGGCCAGGGCAAACAGGTAAGAGAAAGAAATAAAGGGTATGCAATTAGGAAAAGAGGAAGTCAAATTGTCCCTGTTTGCAGATGACATGATTGCATATTTAGAAAACCCCATCATATCAGCACAAAATCTCCTTAAGCTGATAAGCAACTACAGCAAACTCTCAGGATTCAAAATCAATGTGCAAAAATCACAAGCATTCCTATATACCAATAACAGACAGAGAGCCAAATCATGAGTGAACTCCCATTCACAATTGCTCCAAAGTGAATAAAATGCCTAGGAATCCAACTTACAAGGGTGAGAAGGACCTCTTCAAGAAGAACTACAAACCACTGCTCAGTGAAATAGAAGAGGGCACAAATGGAAGAAAATTTCATGTTCATGGGTAGGAAGAATCAATAGTGTGAAAATGGCCATACTGCCCGAGGTAATTTATAGATTCAATGCCATCCCCATCAAGCCAATGACTTTTTTCACAGAATTGGAAAAAACTACTTTAAAGTTCATATGGAACCAAAAAAGAGCCCACATTGCCAAGACAATCCTAAGCCAAAAGAACAAAGTTGGAGGCATCACGCTACCTGACTTCAAACTATACTACAAGGCTACAGTAACCAAAACAGCATGGTACTGGTACCAAAACAGAGATATAGACCAATGGAACAGAATAGAGCCCTTGGAAATAATACCACACAACTACAACCATCTGATCTTTGACAAACCTGACAGAAACAAGAAATGGGGAAAGGCTTCCCTATTTAATAAAGGGTGCTGGGAAAACTGGCTAGCCATATGTAGAAAGCTGAAACTGGATTCCTTCCTTACACCTTATACAAAAATCAATTCAAGATGGATTAAAGACTTAAATGTTAGACCAAAAACCATAAAAACCCTAGAAGAAACCTAGGCAATACCATTCAGGCCATAGGCATGGGCAAGGACTTCATGACTAAAACACCAAAAACAATGGCAACAAAAGCTAAAATTGACAAATGGGATCAATTTAAACTAAAGAGCTTCTGCACAGCAGAAGAAACTACCATCAGAGTGAACAGGCAACCTACAGAATGGGAGAAAATTATTACACTCTACCCATCTGACAAAGGGCTAATATCCAGAATATACAAAGAACTTAAACAAACTTACAGGAAAAAAATCAAACAACCCTATCAAAAGTGGGCAAAGGATATGAACAGACACTCCTCAAAAGCGTTCCTATTTCTCTACATCCTCTCCAGCACCTGTTCTTTCCTGACTTTTTATCTCCATTCTAACTTGTGTGAGATGGTATCTCGCTGTGGTTTTGATTTGCATTTCTCTGATGGCCAGTGATGATGAGCATTTTTTCATGTGTCTGTTGGCTGTGTATTTGTATTGGTAGTAGGAAATGCACAACGTCTGTTTTTCTTTTGTCTGTAGAAAATATTTCATTCATCTTTTTTGTTTTAACTTGATTGTAGGACATGTGACATGCCTATATGAAGAAGAAATTCTGAATGTAATATATTCAGGACCAAAAAATGGAATCTTACTGAAATACAGTCAGGTTAAAATATTTTGCTTATAGATTGCTCTGTACTGCACAAGGCTTTTCCAAAAAATTAGCTAACTCCCTTAGTTCATCATATCGCATAAGAGTTCCTTTGAAAATATAGGAGCTATGTGTATTTTTTTAAAGGAGCTCTGTGTATTTTAAAGACAGGCACAATCCTGTATCTTTCTACCACACACTCACATTAACACCATTTGCTTCAGAAACCTGCCCTTACCTCGCAATTCCATAAGGAACTGCAAGATATGCGCACATTAAATTCTTTCAAGGTGATACAATTTTTTGTCGTAGTCTTATTTATCATCTGGTACCTTCCTCAGCAAATTTCCATTTTTCATGTGGACCTTAAGTTTTTTGTCAAAAAAATTTAAACGTTTTCTCTATTAATCTCGTAGAACTTCCTGGAGAACATAGCTTTTTTCAAAGATCTTAAATTTCTATCTCTTCAGAAAAAGTCTACTTTATAGCTTTTATAATTTATAAATCTTTCATGGTGATTTTTATGTTATTCCCACTTTCCTTTTACCAATCAAAAGCATAATCTGTCAGAATTTTCTGGAAAGAAAAAAATTGCCCTAAGTCATTTCCCATTATTTCCAGGAATAGAATTAAATTAATGCAATAAATCTTAAAGAAGAAATTCAAAAAAATTTTTTTCTCATCCTCTGTCAGACTGACTCCCTTGAGGATAAAGAAACCAACATAAATTGCTCATTTATCACTGGAATTGTACTTTGTTTGAAGGCACACAGAATTCTATTTTTCTTGTAATATTTGCATGGTGACCAAGAAGGCCTAATGTTCCCATCAGCTTGGAGAAACTTTAAATAGACTTCTTCCTGAATCTAGGCCCCTAATCTTCCATTTCTTAAAGCATTTTCTTTAGAAACTTGCAAATGTAAATTCTTTCTTTGTCTTTTAAAGATATAAATTTTCTCCCAGCCTTTTGTCAGTTTTGTTCAGGAATGTCTTTCTCAAGAACTTGGGAGCCATCACTTTGAAAGGTCATCATCAAGAAAGATAGGGACCCTATCTCCTAGTCTCTGTGGGAGAGTGGAAATCTAATTCCCATAAGTGACAATTAACAACCACCAATAATGTCCTAATCACATTGAACAACCTCCTCCCTAACATCCTTCATTACTTTTCCATTAGCTCACTCTAGTGTTTAAAAATCCTTTTGTTTCAGTGAAGTCCAGTTCAACTATTGCAACAGTCTAGACCCCTATTGCAATGGTCTTGAATAAAGTCTTCCTTGCCATTTTAACAAGGGTCCAGTGTAATTTTTTCTTGCAAAATGGACAGAATATTCAATAACATTAACTATATGGAAGCCACATTGTTATAATTTGTAATTAAGAACAAACAAACAAAACCTGGAGTTATCCTTAACTCTTTCCTTTCTTATACTCCACCCTTACTCTTATTAGGAGCCTGGCTCTACCTTCAAAACATATTTAGATTCTGACCACATGCCACATCTCCACTAAGCCACCCTGGTCTGAGCCACTATGCTTTCTTGGCTGGATTACTACAATAGCACCTTCACTGGATTTCCTGCTTCCACCCTTGTCTCCCACCACAAACTCTATAGTCTATTTTGCACAAAGTAGTCAGAGTGAGACAATATTAACTCTCTATTAATTCTCTGCCAGTCTCCTTCCATATTCTATGAAGGAAGGCTACCAACAATGCATTTTGCTTGAACCCAGTAGTTCTCAGAATATGGTCCATGGACTAGAAACATCAGCATCACTTGGGAATGCTGAGTAATGTGAATTCTTAGGCACTGTCCCTGACCTGCTGAAGAGAATATTCTTGATGTCAGATCCAGCAATACGTATTTTAAACGAAGCCCACTGGATGGTTGTGATGTATGTTAGAGTTTGAGAACCCCTTCTCCACCCTATAGCTCTTCTTGAAATGCTCTTCCTCCAGTTATCTGCTGGGCAAACTCCTCCCCATCCATGAAGCCCTTGCTCAAATCTTGCCTTTTCCTTGAGAATTTTCCTTCCTGCATTCTTGTTGCCTCTCACTCAACTCTTCTTTCTCCCCCGCCCATGGCATTTAACAGCTTCTAAAGTAAAGTTTACTTTTTCCTTATCTGTATTATTTCTTATCTATTACCCACCTGCCTGGAAAATAAGCTCCATGGGAGTAAAAGTCTTTATTTGTTTTGCTCATTCTGTACTCTAGGTAGGTGTCTAAAACAGTGCCTGGTATAATATAGACTTGATAGATAATTTGCAGGTGTTATTGAGGAGCAAGCCACACACAGCTTGGGTTAACACCTCTTTAACTTTTGCTGATGCCCCCCTACCCCCTGTCTTTTTTTACTTTACAAAAAAGACCAGATCTCAGACTGACAGCCTTTGTTTAGTAAGAATATTTAGCTGGAATTTTAACAAATCAACTTTATTTTAATTTTGTTTACTTTTACAACCTCTGTGTTTGGCAATAGATTCCAGTTCTCCACTAACTAGTAATTTAAGACTTCCTTTTGAAATAACATGAAGGAACTAAAAAATATATTGAATACGTGGCCAGGCGCAGTGAATCACGCCTGTAATCCCAGCACTTTGGGAGGCCAAGGTGGGTGGATCACGAGGTCAGTAGTTTGAGACCAGCCTGACCAACATGGTGAAACCCCGTCTCTACTAAAAATATTTTAAAAATTAGCTGGGAATGGTGGTGTGTGCCTATAAGCCCAGCTACTCAGGAGGCTGAGGCAGGAGAATTACTTGAACCCAGGAGGCAGAGGTTGCAGTAAGCCAAGATTATGCCACTGCACTCCAGCCTAGGCGACAGAGTGAGACTTCGTCTCAAATATATACATATATAAAATACATAATAGTGCAGAAGGTGTGGCAAGATTCACAAACGATGTGCAAAAATGACAGGCATTTGGGAAATGCTGATTTTAGCTGCAAAGGAATGCCTAAGAGTGGTGACATGAGAGCCCAGCAAGTGGGGGGATATCTGGGGGCAGGTGAGCCTTCTAGACAGCTTCTGTCCATTTCTAGGCTGTGGTCCACCCCAGCTGGGTAGTATGGGAGCTGGCAGGAGGACAAGCATGCAAGTCAATATTTTTTAGTCACTCATATATTTTGATCCCCACCTTTTGCTTTCCCTCTTGTAGTCTAAGAAACGTACATGAAATAGAATTTCACAGTTCAATATTTGTATTTTACCTGGAGTTCTCGTCTTGTCTCTTTTTGTGACAAAGAAAACTTTCCTCTGTGGCTTCATTTCTGGCAAAAAGCAAGAGGCTAAGAGAACACAGGCTGCGTTCCACCAAACACTACTGTTCATTAATTTCCAAATATGTCCTTTTCAGCACTGCTGCTATAGCCTGCCAAGATCTTGCTGTCTTGTGACACCCCAAGGAGAGAAATTTGATCAAAATTTCTTGCATTTCTGAGAAAGACACTCAGTTCTATAAAGATGACTTACTGTAGAACCGAGAGGTTAGGTGTCCTCCAAGTGCTGCCAATGTCACTTAGACATACTTGAAACTCAAGAGGAAGAGCACAGATGCCTTAATAAAGTAACTCTTGAAAATTATTCTTGCCTTCTTGTTTTGTATTCCAGCTCTAATTCTTTCTAGGGATGTCCAAAAATTCAATCTAGCCTAAGGATTGTTTTAAGACAAGGAGGAATCCAATGCATGTTCATCAGTGGATGAAATATTGGACCAGATACCAGGGACCTCAGGTAGAATTCTGGCAGCTCTAGCAATTGCTTTCCACAGGAAAGTAGAGTTCTCTGATTCTCCAGTAGCAGATGCTGGAGGGACCTTGCCCATATCTTCTTAGTATTCAGCATTGGTGTATGTCATTAGTTTCTTATTTATTATAAGCATTTGCAATTTTCTGTCTAGGACATCTCTGACTGTAGGGCCTGATTAGTCTACAGGTAGAGCGGACTGGAAGTGCTTGGGAAGTATATTCTCAGGAGCTACCCTTAAACCACAAGGAAAAGAGCTGGTGGCTAAACATCCAGCTTCCTCAACTTCTGTGGGGCAGCTCTGAGGGGTGATCTGTGCACTCCAGCAGGACTAAGATCCTGTTGTCCACATTAGCAGCCTGCTCATTAATATGCTCTGTCCTATGTATCTTTCTTTACCTAACTGTCTTTTATATATTTTTTTCTGCGGGGGCTTCCTTTCTTCCCAAAGCAACTGGTTACACTCAAACTCTTATGTCAGGGTCTGAAAAATGGGACTAATAAATTTCCTAGCTGCCTCGTGAGGCTTTCTTGAGGACCTGAGGGGATACTTCTTGGAAAAATATTTTCATATCATTGTACAGTTAGAAAATATGAAATATGAGGCACTCAGTGGTTAGAATCAGAGGGAAAGGCTAGTCCAGGAGTCCTAAACTTCAGAACCACCATGGTAGTCTTGTGGCCAGCCATGGTGTAAAAATGGAGCGTACCCCCTCTAGTTCTTCACAGACCCACTGTCTTGCCCTATGTCCCAGTTTCTTCTAATAATCTTGTTACCCATCTTGCCCTTAAAGGCACCTAGCCCTCATGTTCTACCAGAAGCAAGGGCGAGGGTTCTTTATAATTTTATACCACCAGGATCTTAATGCTTATCTACCCAGGAGTAAAAAGGCTGATCCATAAAGAATCACCTTCACCTAGAAACATCTGCATTGCTTGTTGGTTTGTGTTTTAAGCAAGGCAAATGGTATTATAATTGGAACATCTATCAAGTACCTACTACTTGCAGAGCATTATATTAAGCACCTATTTTATGCCAACTGTTGCAACTCTTGCACTACTGAAAACATGGGGCTTAAAAATTGTTCTGGCAGTCATGATGTTAGGAAAAGCTGGCCTGTACCTGATGGGTTTCTCCTTTTCATGGCAAAAATAGGAAACTAAGTGAGAAAATGCTAAGGCAAGATACCAACAATGGTAAAGGTAGTTCAGAGGTACTTCCCTCCCATCCCCAGCTGAAAGGAGGCCATTTGCTCCAGTCACCTCTGGTATGAAGAGCAATAGTGAGAATTGTGAAGAAGAAGCAAGCTAATAAGAATAAAGAGACACTACTAAGGGTACTTGAGGACAGATCCCTTGCAAATTTGTCACCGTATATAATACAAATCCTTAGCTCTGCCCTGGATGACTAAGAGAGCAAAGAATACAGTACAGAAAACATATCTTACTATTGAGCAACCAAGCACCAGAGAATCTAGAGGGTAATTCTCCAGAATTTTACTTTAATTCTCAGAAAATGAAATTTTCTCTTCTTCTTCCCTCCTCTTCCTCTCTTAGTCTTCAATTTCTGTCTTCTGTCCTGTACATTCCATGAGTTTTGACAAATGTATAATGACATGTATATCTTATAGTGTCACACAGGTAGTTTCACTGCCCTAAAAGTTTTCTGTGCTTCACCTATCTATCCCTCCCTCCCTCCAGACCCTGGGAACCACTGATTTTTTGTTTGTCTCCTTAGTTTTAAGGCAAGCATTTCATTAGTCCCATTTTGCAGATATGGAAAGTGAGTCTTGAATAAATTAGCTGACTTCCTTAAGGATGCAGTTTGTGACTGAAAGGCAGAGCATTAAAACTAAGGTCTGCTGAACTAATTCCCCACCAGAAGTCCAAACTAAAACCCCCACCAGGCCGTCCTCCAAACAAGATCAATGAACTGACAACACAAACGTCTGATGCGGTTGTATTGAAGTTGACGAATGGGGAGAGCATTACCTCCCTTGGATTCCCTATAAAGAGTTGGCTCCTGCTTCACCTATCAGTGCAAGCAAAGGGGAAGGTGCATGGAAGGAGAAACAATCAGGAAGCAGACCATGGTGAAGAAGAGCAATGCAGAACTTCTCTGCACTCATTTGTTCAGCTACCATTTATGCAGTCCCTCCTCTGTGCCAGGCATTCTGCTGGGTAAACATATATCTTGGTGTTTGTTATCGAGACTGAGGCATGACCACATATGGCAATGCAAAGAGAGGCAGCTGGGAGGCTAAATGGTAGGTAAATCCTGGAATTAGCATATGCTTCTTACCCTAGGCTGGGGGGCCTTGGCCTTAGCTTTGCAAATCAAAACCCAGGCCAAGGGCTTGAAGCTGCTTAAAGATTGACCCTCGGAGGTCGCCGAAAGCTGCTAAGTGAATGTTCTCACTCTCCATCTGTCGCTCTAATCACAAACCCCTGTACTCCTGTTAATCCCAGCAAGCTCCCACATGGAAGGCATGGGGGCAGGCGGGACCTACTCCTGCCAGATCTTTGTTAAACGCAACTCTCTGAAGGTGCCTCTCTAACCTCAGAAGGAATCTGGAACTGCTGGCTTGGACTCAAGCTCCCAAGAGCAGCAACTCAAAGACATCATGTGGTCTGCACTAATTAGAACTGCCAAGCCCACTACCAAAGAGAGCCAGCATGCTTAGGCAATTAGCAATGATTTGGCCAGTGTCCACCATTACCAGATGGCCTCTGCAAGTTCTCCGTGTTCTCAGAGAAATTACACATAGAGGCTAAGCTTATGTCCTGTAAAAGCACAGATAGAATGAACATTCTAGACATGCAAGGGGAAGAAAAGATAATACCAGTGATATTAATCATAAACACCGGTGCCATCTATGGAACAGGAATTACATGCCAGGCTCGGTGCTAGACATTTTACAGATTATCAACTCAACCCTAACATTAACCCTGTGGAGTAGGTGATAAGATTATGCCCATGGCTAGGTACAGTGGCTCATGCCTGTAATTCCAGCACTTTAGAAGGCCAAGGCAGGAGGATCGCTTGAGCTCAAGAATAACCTGGGCAACAGGAAAAAATTCCATTTCTACAAAAAATACAAAAATTAGCTGGGTGTAGTGGCATGCGCCTGCAGTCCTGGGTACTCAGAAGGCTGAGTTGGGAGGATCCCTTGAGCCTGAGAGGCAGAGTTTGGAGTGAGCTGAGATTGCACCACTGCACTCCAGTCTTGGTGATGGAGTGAGACCTTGTGAAAAAAAATAATAATAATAATAAGATTATGCCCTTTTTACAGAAGAGAAAACTGAGGATTTAACAGGTTGGTTCCCTGAGTTCACTCAAAAAGTTTATTTACAGCTGGAATTCAAACTCAGATCTGTCTGGCTGGAAAGCTTTGGAACCACACAGATTATTCTGCGATAACTTGGTAGGAAAATCTTACTTAAATGTCACTTCCCCAGCCTAATTATGCTCCTCTTGTGGCTGCTCTTATAGCCCACATTAGGCATTTTTTAATGTAACCATAACTGTCATATGCTTAATGCATGCATCTCCCATTGTACTAAGCTTAATGAAGGCAGGGCTTTGTTGTTTTCTTCACTACTTTATCCACAACCCTTTGCATGATGCCTGGTGTATAAAAAGTGGTCAACAAATACTTGTTTAATGAATTAATAAAGGGAAACAAATAGGCAAGAAAAAGAAAGTGAAAGAAAGAAGACAGAGCTCTTGGGGATATGGAAAGATGATTAGTTTTTATATTTGCAAATATATAACAGTGATGTGCTGATAAACCAGTTATTTGGGGGAAATAAAGCACCCTGATTTGTAGCATTTGCCAGTTTCCATTGTGTGAATGCTCCCACTACAACCAATTTTAAGCTCCCAGTGTGATATCACAGAATGCAGAGTTGGAAAGACATGCCCAGTGTTGGCTTTTGCCAGCTCTAGTGCCACTTTCTCAGGTTTTTTTTTTTTTTTGTCTAGAGAAAATCAATCTCCTCTCTGATTTTAAATCTCCTCATCTTCTGGTTTAGAGCTCTCTATTAGCTCTATTAGCTCTGATACTCTATGAGCCTATATATGATGTCTTTCATTATTTTGTCCTCCCACTGGATTCGGGTACTGGGGTGATGGGTTAAGTATGAGATGGAGGACTAAATCCCAAGTAGATCTAGTAAAGTGCTCAGACCAATAGGTAGTTAGAGCACATCAGCTCTCTGTTTTCCTTTCTCAGAAATATGTCCCAGTACATTCAAAATACGCCACTACTGATATCCAACTGAAGGAATCCACCTGTTTTCTCCCTAAGTAAAATACAACCACATCTCACCAGTTTCAAAAGTCAAGCACCAGTGGATTTTGGAAAGCTAGTACTTAGCGTTAAAAAACAGCTGAAGATAAAGCACCCAGTTACAATGTGTTGGTTAGGTGTAGAGAGACTCACAACTTCTGTATTTGAAAAAGACAAATGGATGCAATGAGAGTATGGTGACATCTCTATTTTATGCTCTTCTGCTCACTTGACCATCCCCACCCTCCTTCACCATTTACAGTACACACACAGGCTTTCCATCTCAAGCTAAACTTAGGATGTTGCAGAATATCCCAAGGAGAATAGAAAACTGCTATTGTGATTGTAAGCTGTGAGAACTGTATTTCTACCTTTGTGATATTTTCAACGGCCTTAATGTCTCAGTATTACAGGGCTGCTAAGTCACTAGTCTGAGTGTTTGTCCAATGGAAAATTGAAAAACATAGGTTTCTACAAACATAAAGTTCTTTCAAGTAGTCACTACAATTTGGATAGTTCTACATAGAAAGCTTATTTCAAGAGATTTAGAGATTTAGAGACCGCACGAAGCACAAATGTTTGCTCTCTTATGGGACTCAATGGAAAATGGATTATTTTAGAGTGCTGGCAGTCACCCACATAGCCAGACTAATTATATCTTTTGCCTTGAAGTTTCTCTCCACCCTTAGTCAATATGCATAATGCATTCAGTTCAAATTTACATGCAGAAAGCATTTGTTGAACCATCAGTATTTGCCAGGCATGTTGATAGATTAGGGAGGGGAAATGGGTAAAGGAAACCTATTTCCTTTTCTCCAGGAGCTCTCAGTATGGCACCAAAAGTCAGGTATAAATGAATAATCGGGGAGCAAATATAATATGGATGAAAACAGAAGTATGTAGGAGAAACACAGGGCTTTTGGACATGTGGTTAGAAAAGTAGGCTCTGGAGTCAGATCAAGTTTTTTTGCTAGCCATATAGCCTTAAATAAGGTACTTAATTCCTTTGAGTTTCAGTGTTCCTATATGTAAAATGGGATCATAACTAGCATACCTAAATATCAGGTTGTTTTGATGATTAATGAGTTAATCCATGGAAAGCATTTAATACAGTCCTGACATATAGTAAGCACTCAATAAATATCAGCTCTTATTGGTTGTTTTCCTGGGAGTAGCATTTGGAGTAAGATAAATGGGGGTGTTATGGGTAGAAGTGGGGATAAGAAAGGCATTGGGGACAGAGTGACAAAGACATGAAGGTATGAAAGAGCAGGCATGCTTGGGTAACATTTAATAGACAAAACTGATCTAATTTGTATTGAATGAGTGGGAGAAAGATGACTGGAGCAAGCTTGGAAAGGACTGATAGACCTGATAAAAAGAATGACCTCAACCTGAAGGCAAAGGACATCCACAGGCATTTTTAAGGCAGAGGACAGAATTGTGTATTAGCGAGTTTGTTCAAAGTGGCACAATGAATTGGATGGGGGAAGAGTTTTGAGGCAGAGAGACCTGTTAGAGGACTTTTGTGCAGTGACATATATTAGGAAGCCATTGGTGCTGGGCAGTAGTTGACACCATGTGAGTGGAGAAAGATCCCCACAACAAATGTAGGAGGAAGAGATTCAAAGGAAAAGGCTTAGGGAATCCTACATCTTAGGGATGAACAGAGAAATAAGCGCTGATGCGAATGCAGGAGACAGCTGGGGAGCAAAGAAGAGACTAGGGAGAGAGAGACAGGCTGGCTTCATAAAGACAAGGAAAAAATGATGGCTCTGGGAGGATGGAGTGGGCTAGCAATGTCAAATACCACTGAGATGCCAAGAAGGCTGAGACTTGAAAAAAAGTCAAGAGTTGAAGCAATTAGTGGTTCACTGATGGTCTAATTAGATCAGTTTGAGTGGGGTTTTCGTTGCAGCTAAAAAAGAGAGGGTAAGGAAAGCAGTGAGTGTAACCAACCCTTCAAGGAATTGGAAGGCAAAGAACAAAGAGAAAAAGTTAATAACCTAAGGCTGGGGAAGAAGAAATTGGAGGTTAAATAACATAAAGCAAAAAATTGGAATATTCTAACATTTTTAAAGTGGAAGGTTTGGTTAAGAAACAGGAAGTTTTAAAAACAGAGAGAAGAGATGACTGCAGAGCCCAAAGAAGAGAAGATCAAACTACAATTGGAGGAATTTGTCTCCATTGGGAGTGGGGACTGTCTTCCCCTGGGGCAGGAGGGAATACAATAAGATTGCATAGGCCAGGTGCAGTGGCTCACGCCTGTAACCCCTGCACTTTGGGAGGCCGAGGTGGGTGGATCATCTGAGGCCAGGAGTTGGATACCACCCTGGCCAACATGACGAAGCCGTTTCTACTAAAAATACAAAAAAAATTAGCCTGGCTGTGATGATGGGCACCTGTAATCCCAGCTACTCGGAGGGCTGAGGTGGAAGAATTGCTTGAACCTGGGAGGCTGAGGTTGCAGTGAGCCGAGATGGTGCCACCTCACTCCAGCCTGGACAACTCTGTCTCAAAGAAAAAAAAAAAAGCGTAGAAAAATAGTTAAAATTGGAGGGGGGTGGCACACTAGCCTATATTTTCTCTGTAGAATAGGTAAAGTTGTCTTTTCAGTGTAAGGAGGTGGAGATGGAGCATTTATACATTAGTAAATTTCGGCAGCACCCATGGACAATGAGGAAGAAGGTGAAAAAAACAGGTGAGGAGAAGACCTGAAAGCATCAGTAAGAGCTCTACTCAAAGCAGAAAACATAATGTAGCAAAGAGGGCACAATAATGATTTTCTCCAGCCCTTGTGGGAAGCCTGGGAGCAGTTGCCAAGAAAATGTATATGTAGGATGGATTCAGGATTGCTAATTTCAGGTTGGCAGGAAGCATATGGCAAAAGGGCCATAGGATAAAGGAATGGGGGATCTCCAAAAAATTATCACTGAAATGGCTATTAGTGGGGACCAGACAGGCAGGGGAAAAAGAAGAGCTAGGACATGTAGAGGGGATTACATACCAGGGCAACAGGAAATTGGCAGTGAATGCGAGGTGATCAAAAACAACCAATCCTGAAAAGTAATACCGCAGAGCATTCTGGACCAGTGGAGGTGACAGGATTTATTCATTGGATAGTGTCTATAGTGACCATTGGAATGACTAGAGCCTTTTTTTTTTTTTTAGATGGAGTTTCACTCTTGTTGCCCAGGCTGGAGTGCAATGGCCTGATCTTGACTCACTGCAACCTCTGCCTCCCGGGTTCAAGTGAATCTCCTGCCTCAGCCTCCCAAGTAGCTGGGAATACAAGCATGCACCACCACGCCTGGCTAATTTTGTATTTTTAGTAGAGATGGGGTTTCTCCATGTTGGTCAGGCTGGTCTCGAACTCCTGACTTCAGGTTATCTGCCTGCCTCAGGGCTAGAGCCCTTTAAGATGGCATAGAGTCTTTATGAGAAGAGAATAATCTCTATTGTCAATAATCTTATAATTTAATTTTTGATAGCTCTGGAGGGATCATATCTTTATTTTTCCTCTTCATTTCTTCTTAACATTGGAATAATATCTACAAATTCTTGCAGGCAAAATATTCCAGCTTGACATCTTAAGCATGGCCAAAGGAGGGATTTACCTATGTAACTTGGAAGGTGTCAGGGAGGCAAATTTACCTATGCATATCTTGTTCTTCAAAGTCAGACATGCCTGGGTGGAGTTAGACTATCATGTCTTAATGTGAATGAGTCAGGTAATTTATGGAAACCAAGGGTTCTAAAATCCATTAATCTAGAATTAATTTTTTGGCCGACTCACTAAAGAAACATAATATTTGGTAGGAAGACTTGAGAAGAGAATGATGTTACTAGTAAAATACTCAGTGCTGTTGAGCTTGCCCCTTTTGGCAAGAGAACAAGAAGTAGTATCAACAGACTATCCAGGAAGGGTAAAAGTTTTACTAATCTTTGACTGTATACATACTCTGAATTTCTCATTAATATTTACTATTTAATTATAATGGTTTTGTGCAATCTCCAAGGAATATAACCTTTTACCACAAGGCTCCTCTTCACAAAACTTTTTAAAACATAAATGTTATTGGAGGACACATTTGTTTACATAAAACTATGAACTATGATTGTTTTAGAAAGTCAAATTTGCTTTCTTAGGGTATAAACTCAAAGCCTTGCAGTGATTAACTCATCACTCTGAGAATGAGCCCAATAAACTATTTAATTTTTTCATAAGTTATTGGGGTACAGGTGGTATTTGGTTACATGAGGAAATTCTTTAGTGGTGATTTGTGAGATTTTGGTGCACCCATCATCAGAGCAGTATACGCTGCACCGTATTTGCAGTCTTTCACCCCTCAAACCTTCCCACTCTTCCCCTGAAGTCCTCAAAGTCCATTGTATCATTCTTATGCCTTTATGTCCTCATAGCTTAGCTCCCACATATCAGTGAGAACATACGATGTTTGGTTTTCCATTTCTGAGTTACTTCACTTAGAATAATAGTCTCTAATCTCATCCAGGTCACTGCAAATGCTGTTAAATAATTCCTTTTTATGGCTTATAGTATGCCTCTCTCTCTCTATATATATATATATGTATATATATATAAACTGTGATATATATATGTAGATGTATATATAGATATACATGTAGATATATATATAGATAGATATGTAGATATATATAGATAGATAGATATGTAGATATATATATAGATAGATATATAGATAGATATATATATAGATAGATATATATATAGATAGATATATATATAGATAGATATATATGTAGATATATATATAGAGAGAGAGATAGATATATATATCACAGCTTCTTTATCCACTCATTGATTGATGGGAATTTGGGTTCCAAGATTTGCAATTGTGAATTGTGCTACAAACATGCATATGCAAGTATCTTTTTCGAATAATGACTTCTTTTCCTCTGGGTAGATACCCACTGGTGGCGTTGCTGGATCAAATTGTAGTTCTACTTTTTGTTCTTTAAGGAATCTCCACAATGTTTTCCATAGTGGCTGTACTAGTTTACATTCCCACCAGCAGTGTAGAAGTGTTCCCTGATCACCACATCCACGCCAACATCTATTTTTTTAATTTTTTCATCATGGCCATTCTTGCAGGAGTAAGGTGGTATCACATTGTGGTTTTGGTTTGAATTTCCCTGATATTAATGATGTTGAGCATTTTCTCATATATTTGTTGGCCATTTATATATCTTCTTTTGACAATTGTCTGTTCATGTCCTTAGCCCACTTTTTGATAGGATTGTTTGTTTTTTTCTTACTGATTTGCTTGGGTTCATTGTAGATTCTGGATATTGGTGCTTTGTCAGATGTGTAGATTGTGAAGATTTTCTCCACTCTGTGGGTTGTCTGTTTACTCTGTTCCTTTTGCCAACAGCTCTTTAGTTTAATTAGGTCCCAGCTGTTTACCTTTGTTTTTATTGGATTTCCTTTTGGGTTCTTGGTCATGAAATCCTTGCCTAAGCCAATATCTAGAAGGGTTTTTTTTCCAATGTTATCTTCTAGAATTTTTATAGTTTAAGGTCTTAGGTTTAAGTCCTTAATCCATCTTGAGTTGATTTTTGTATAAGGTGAGAGATGAGGATCCAGTTTCATTCTCCTACATGTAGCTAGCCAATTATCCCAGCACCATTTGTTGAAAAGGGTGTCCTTTCCCCACTTTATGTTTTTGTTTATTTTGTCAAAGATCAGTTGGCTGTAAGTATTTGGCTTTATTTCTAGGTTCTCTATTCTGTCCCATTGGTCTATGTATCTATTTTTATACCAGTGCCATTCTGTTTCAGTGACTATGGCCTTATATATAGTTTGAAATCAAGTAGTGTGATGCCTCCAGATTTGTTCTTTTTGTTTAGTCTTGCTTTGGCTATGGGGGCTCTTTTTTGGTTCCATATGAATTTTAGAACTTTTTTTAATTATGTGAAGAATGATGGTGGTATTTTGATGGGAATTGCCTTAGATTTGTAGAGGGATTTTGCCAGTATGGTCATTTTCACAATATTGATTCTACCTATCCATGAACATGGGATGTGTTTCCATTTGTTCGTGTCATCTATGATTTCTTTCAGCAGTGTTTTGTAGTTTTCCTTGTAGAGGTCTTTCAACTCCTTAGGTATAATCCTAAGTATTTTTTTTTTTTGCAGCTATTGTAAAAGGGGTTGAGTTCTTGATTTGATTCTCCACTTGGTTGCTGTTGGTGTATAGAAGAACTACTGATTTGTGTACATTAATCTTGTATCCAGAAATTCTGCTGAGTTCTTTTGTCAGTTCTAGGAGCTTTCTGGAGGAGTCCTTAGGGTTTTCAAGGTAAACAATCATATCATCAGCAAACAGTAACAGTATGACTTTCTCTTTACTGATTTTGATGCCCTTTATTTCTTTCTCTTTTCTGATTGCTCTGGCTAGGACTTCCAG
The DNA here is from genome assembly GCF_000001405.40 of Homo sapiens. Classification (NCBI taxonomy): domain Eukaryota; kingdom Metazoa; phylum Chordata; class Mammalia; order Primates; family Hominidae; genus Homo; species Homo sapiens. The sequence continues at coordinate 8,044,689 of NC_000003.12, read as the reverse complement.
TACTGTGTTGAAGAGGAGTGGTGAGAATGGGCATCCTTGTGTTGTTCCAGTTCTCAGGGGGAATGCTTTCAGCTTTTCCCCTCAGTATTATGTTGGGTGTGGGTTTGTCATAGGTGGCTTTTATTACATTAAGGTGTGTCCCTTATATGCCAATTTTGCTGAGAGTTTTAATCATAAAGGAATGCTGAATTTTGTCAAATGCTTTTCCTGCATCTATTGAGATGATCGTATGATTTTTGTTTTTATTTCTGTTTATGTGGTGTATCATATTTATTGACTTGTATGTTTAACCATCCCTGCATCCCTGGTATGAAACCCACTTGATTATGGTGGATTATCTTTTTGATATGCTGTTGGATTCGGTTAGCTAGTATTTTGTTAGGGGTTTTAGCATCTATGTTCATCAAGGATATTAATCTGTAGTTTTCTTTTTTAGTTATGTCCTTTCCTGGTTTTCATATTAAGGTGATGCTAGATTTATAGAAAGAATTGAGGTGCGGGGGCAGGGGGTTCCTTCTTTCTCTATCTTGTGGAATAATGCCAAAAGGATTGGTACCAATTCTTCTTTGAATGTCTGGTAGAATTCTGCTGTGAATCCGTCTGGTCCTGGACTTTTTTGTTGTTGTTGGTAATTTTTAAATTACGATTTCAATCTCGCTGCTTGTTATTGGTCTGTTCAGGGTATCTAATTCTTCCTGATTTAAGCTAGGAGGGTTGTATTTTTCCAGGAGTTTATCCATCTTTTCTAGGGTTTCTAGTCTATGTGCGTAAATGTGTTCATAGCAGCCTTGAATGATCTTTTGTATTTCAGTGGTGTCAGTTGTAACATCTCCTGTTTCATTTCTTAGTGAAGTTATTTGGATTTTCTCTCTTCTTTTCTTGGTTAATCTTGCTAATGGCCTATCAATTTTATTTAGCTTTTCAAAGAACTTTTTGTTTTATTTATCTTTTGTATTTTTTTGTTTCAATTTTATTTAGTTCTACCCTGATCTTGGTTATTTCCTTTCTTCTGCTGGGTTTGGGTTTGCTTTGTTCTTGTTTCTCTAGTTTCTTGAGGTGTGACCTTAGAATGTCAGTTTGCGCTCTTTCAGTATTTTTGATGTAGGCATTTAGGGCTACGAACTTTCCTCTTAGCACTGCCTTTGCTGTATCACAGAAGTTTTGATAGGTTATATTATTATTGTTATTGAAGAATTTTTTAATTTCCATTTTGATTTTGTTTTTGACCTAAGGCTCATTCAGGAACAGGTTTTTAAATTTCCATGAATTGAGGCTTGTTTTAGGGCCTATCATATCATCTATCTTGGGGAAAGTTCCATGTGCTGTTGAATAGAATGTGTATTCTGAAGTTGTTGGATGAAATAGTCTGTATATATCTGTTAAGTCCATTTGTTCCAAGGTATAGTTTAAATTCATTGTTTCTGTGTTGACTTTCTGTCTTCATGGCCTGTCTGTTGCTGTCAGTATTGAAGTCCCTCACTATTGCTATGTTGCTGTCTATCTGTTTTCTTATGTCTATTAGTAATTGTTTTATAAATTTGGGAGCTCCAGTTTTAGGTGCATATGTGTTTAAAATTGTGACATTTTCCTCTTGGACAGGTCTTTTACCATTATACAATGTCCCTTTTTGTCTCTTTAACTGCTATTGCTTTAAGTTCGTTTTGTCTGATATAAGAATAGCTACCCCTGCCTGCTTTTGGTATCCATTTGTCTGAAATGACTTTTTCTACCCCTTTACTTTGAGTTTACATTAGTCTTTATGTGTTAGATGAGTCTCCTGAAGGCAGCAGATGGTTGGTGAGTTCTTATTCATTCTGTGGTTCTGTATCTTTTAAGTGGAGCACTTAGGCCATTTACACTCAATGTTAGTATTGAAATGTGAGGCACCATTGCATTCACCATGTTCTTTGTTGCCGGTGTACTTTGTTTTTTTTTTTGTTTTTTGCTTTTGCTTTTTAACTTGTATTTTTGTTTTATAGGTCCTGTGTGATTTATGCTTTAAAGAAGTTCTGTTTCGATGTGTTTCCAGGATTTGTTTCAAGGTTTAGAGCTCCTTTTAGCAGTTCTTGTAGTGGTGGTGGTAATGGTCAATTCTCTTAGCATTTATTTATTTGAAAAAGACTGTGTCTTTTCTCCATATATGATGCTTAGTTTCACTGCATACAAAATTCTTGGCTGATAATTGTTTTGTTTGAAGAGGCTGAAGATAGGTCCCTGACCCCTTCTAGCTTGTAGGGTTTCTTCTGAGAAATCGACTGTTAATCTGTTAAGTTTTCCTTTGTAGGTTACCTGGTGCTTCTGTCTCACAGCTCTTAAGATTCTTTCCGTCGTCTTAACTTTGGAAAACCTGATGACAATGTGCCTAGGTGAAGATCTTTTTGCAATGAATTTCCCGGGTGTTCTTTGTGCTTCTTGTATTTGGATGTCTAGGTCTCTAGAAAGGCCGGGGAAGTTTTCCTCGATTATTCCCCCAAATATGTTTTCCAAGCTTTTAGATTTCTCTTCTTCCTTGGCAACACCAATTATTCTTAGGTTTGGTTGCTTGACATAATCCCAGACTTCTTGGAAGCTTTGTTCATATTTTCTCATTCTTTTGTCTTTGTCTTTATTGAATAGGATTAATTTGAAGACCTTGTCTTTAAACTCTGAAATTCTTTCTTCTACTTGTTCAATTCTGTTGCTGAGACTGTCCAGAGCATTTTGCATTTCTAAAAGTGTGTCCAAAGTTTTCTGAATTTTTTATTGTTTTTCCTTTAAGCTATATATTTCCTTGAATATTTCTCCCTTCACTTCTTGTATCATTTTGGATGTCCTTGCATTGGGCTTCACATTTCTCTGGTCTTTCCCTGATTAGCTTAATAACTAACCTCCTGAATTCTTTTTCAGGTAAATCAGGGATTTCCTCTCAGTTTGGATCCATTGCTGGTGAACTAGTGTGATTTCTGGGGGATGCTGAAGAACCTTGTTTCATCATATTACCAGGGTTGATTTTCTGGTTCCTTCTCATTTGGCTCTGTCAGAGGGAAGGTCTAGGGCTGAAGGCTGTTGTTTACATTATGTTGTCCCACAGGATGTTCCCTTGATGTAGTAGTCTCCCCCTTTTCCAATGGATGTGGCTCTCTGTGAACTGAACTGCAGTGATTGTTGTCTCTCTTCAGGGTCTAGTCACCCGGTGAGTCTACCCAGCTCTGGGCTGGTACTGGAGGTTGTCTGCACAGAGTCCTGTGATGTGAACCATCTATGGGTCTCTCAGCCTTGGATACCAGTGCCTGTTCTGGTGGAGGTGGCGGTGGGGTTGCAGTGGACTCTGTGAGGGTTCTTAGTTTTGGTGGTTTAATATTCTATTTTTGTGCTGGTTGGCCTCCTACCAGGAGGTGGTGCTTTCTAAAGAGCATCAGCTGTGGTAGTATGGAGAGGGACTGGCGGTGGGCAGGGCTGTAGAACTCCCAAGATTGTATGCCCTTTGTCTTCCGCTACCAGGTTGGGTAGAGAAGGGCCATCAGGTGGGGGGCGGGGCTAGGCATGTCTGAGCTTAGACTCTCCTTGGAGAAGACTGGCTGTGGCTGCTGTGGGGGTGGGGGTGAGAGTGCCAGGTCACTAGAATTGTGTACCTAGGAGGGTTATGGCTGCCTCTGCTGAGTCATGCAGGTTGTCAGGGAAGTGGGGGAAAGCCAGAAGTCACAGGCCTCACCCAGCTCCCATGCAAACCAAAGGGCTGGTCTCAATTCCACCGTGCCCCCACACCCACCATGCCCCCACACCAACAGCTCTGGGTTTGTTTCCAGGTGGAAGGCAAGACTGGCTTGAAAACCTGCCCCAGGCTACCCACCTCTCAGCTGTGAAAGAAAAGGACTTGGTTGTTCCCCTGCCTGTGGAGTCTGCTCACTGGATTTGGGCCCTCCCCTGAGTTCTGGCAAGGAGGCCTCTCACCCCATTTGAATCGTTACAAAGTTTAGCTAGAGATTTCCTTTTCTTTGTGGAGTTTTACCCGCTGCTCCTCTGGCCACCCTCTCGGTGGATCCCTGTGGTGCCAGGCAGGAATGGGCTGCTCGGGGACTCAGCAAGCTCCCAGGGCCTTTCTACTGCTTCCTCTACCCCTGTATTTTGCTCAGCTCTCTAAATTGACTCAGCTGCAGGTAAAGTCAGAAACTTCTCCCGCAAACAGACCTTCAGCTTCTCCAGCAGGGGTGTGTGTTCGGGAGAGGAGGGTCTCCCTTTCCCACTTCCACATTCGGTGCACTGACATTATTTGGGGCGTCAGCTGGGTCCTGCAGGAGCAGTCTGGTTCCTTCAGACGGCCTCTGGGTCCTCTGCTGGTTTATTCTTGCAGTCAATCTGGAGCTAAAATTCACAAAGCAAGCCTTCACTTGCTGCCGTCTGGAGCTACAATCTAACCCTGCCTCCCCCAAGCAAACTATTAATTGGTCTGCTACTATATATATTGGTTATGTTTTGCTCTAAGGTAGTATTTTGGCCTTCTCATTCGTCTTGTGAGTGGAAACATCTAGGGAATACGAATGAACTCCCACTGGGGAGTCTGTGTTGGAGACTGAGACAGGAGTCCAAACTTCTTTCTGTGTGCTGCCTTAGACCTTTAAGGATAATCAAGGGTTTGGGGGGGAGAATATTGAATTATCACACATGTTTGAACACACTCTTCTGCCAGAAAATTTCATAAATGGCTTCCCATTAATCTTAGTATAAAATCTAAACTTCTTACCATGGCCAAAAAGTGTATGCACAGTTTTGCCTCTTCGTATCTGTGCAATCTCCCTTGCTCAAAGCCGTCTAACCATAGTGATTCTTCTTCAGTCCCTCCTGTAACCTGCATGTTTTCCTACTCAGGACTTTTGAACATATTCTTCCTCCTTCTTAGACTGTTTTTTCTCCACTCCCGTAGTGGTTTTTCTCTCTCCTCTTTAATTTTTATCTCAGAAGCTACCTCTTCAGAAATGCCTTCCCTGAACCACCTACCTAAAATAGGTACACCTGTTTTTATTTCACTGAAAACCCTGTTTAATGTCTACATGGCACTTACTTAAAACTGGAATTACTTTAGTTATTTGTCTGTTGACATAATGGTAGGAAGCTTGCTTATTTTTTCCCCTCACCGTTGTGCACCTCAACATGGAGCTTAGCACATTGTGAGCATTAAATAAATATTTGTTGAATAAATGAAGTAATAAAAAGAATAACAATAACAACAATACCGTTTTTATTGCACTATTTCTAGATGCCAGGTAACTTGTTAAGCATAATCCATATACGGATGTCAAGCAACTCCACCAACAATTCCTCAGTGGAGATTATTATTCTTCCTGTTATTGAGATTAGTAGACAGTTGTAGGGAGGTTAAGTAATTTGCCCCTTGATTTTTTAAATGATTAAACTTGAATTTGAGCTCTGACTGTTATACATTTGTGCTGTCGGCTATGATGCTTTATATTTATTGCTGATATGGTTTGGATGTTTTGTCCCCTCTGAATTTCATGTTGAAATGTGACCACCAATGTTGGAGGGGGACCTAGTGGGAGGTGTTTGGGTCATGGGGTCAGATCTCTCATGAACAGCTTGGTGCTGTCCTTGTGGCAATGTGTGAGTTCTTACTCTATGAGTTCACCTGAGATCTGATCTCAGGTGAAAAGAGCCTGGTGCCTCCTCCCTCTCTCTTTTGCTCACTCTCTCCATGTGACACACCATCTCCCCTTCACCTTCTGCCATGATCGTCATCTTCCTGAGGCCTCACCAGAGGCAGGTGCTGGTACCATGCTGCTTGTACAGCCAAATAAACCTCTTTTCTTTATAAATTACCCACCCTCAGGTATTTCTTTATAGCAATGCAAATGAACTAACAAAATTGCCAACTTTTAAGAATGGCAGATGGCTGGGTGCGGGGGATGGGGGGTGGTCCAAATTCAAATGGTTCAGAATTCTATTCAAACACGATAATCTGCCAAGTTTTTAAAATCCTACAATTAGTTCTCCAATTTCCCCAAATCTGCACCTCATTTTGGTGGCATTGAGCTGGTCTCAGTACTGAGTTTAATTATTAAGGAAGTTTCCTGAGGCATCTTTTCCCCTCTGATTCAAATCCCATCTCTCTGTGCCCCCCATTAAAGAGGTACTGAGATGCAAACAATCATGGTGAAATATGGGTTTTAATAGGTATTTCAGCTGCGTGGGAAATGTGCAGATTTCTGAGAATACAGAATCCAAACCTCTGCAACAGCCAGTTGAAGTGGTATTTCATCAGCCTGGATTTTTATTCCTGCTCAAGATCTCCGAGTCCCTGGAGCTGTTTTAATCTTGGCTCATTAAACGTTAATATAATTTGGATTGGTGCTATTCATTTTGTTTCTGGCCACCTTATTTACCCAGCTCAGGCTGGGATTCTGTGCACCAGGTCTAGGTGAATTGCAGATGTATCTACCTCACCTTCATTCATGTTGTGGACCCAGATGGCAGTAATCAATAGGATGATCATTGATAAATGGTAATCATTATAAAGAATACAGATTCAAATGTCAGCCACAGAATAGATGCCAGTTATTTGTTGTTGGGTAACTCAGGAATATCAAGAGGTAACAAAGAGAGACTGCTATGCTGCAGTCATTACCTAGCCCAGGGGAGGAGTATTAAACATTAATACTTGAGCTGTAAAAGTATCAGAAACTTGACTTTCAGGAAAGCTTTGTAAGGGGGTGAAAAAGCTCAGCCCAAATTTCTTGAGCAGGTGCTGCAAACAACTACTAATGTGCAAAATCCCCTTCTTAGGAGATACAGTCATTCTCTCTGACTCCTGTAGTACTGACATTGGATAGAAGTTTTGTCTGGAGGGTTACTATTCCTGGGTGGAGGAATGGGATGGGGTTCGGAGGGAAAGAAAAGAGGAAAAGCAGCATTATTAGATTGAGGAATGGTGTCTATTCATACTATAGACAAGTTCCCAAGTGGTGACTACTATTTTCTTTAGGACCCACAGTTATTTACTTCATTTATGCATTTTAAATGTTTATTTATTTATTTGTTCATCCAAAACAATTCCCAGAGCTCCTATATATACAGACATTTGCTACAATAGGAATGCAAAAAACTTAAAAAGCTAAGGCATGGATCTTGCCTCTTGAGCAGCTATGGTCTATGAAAGGGAAGAATGGACATCAGCATAAGTTATTAAAATACACTGTGGTCGGTTCTGTGATAGAAGTTCCTGGAATTATCAGAACATGAATCTGAGAATATGTTAGGTGAGTGATAAAGGGATGGAAGAAAGTGTCATATATAAGAGATTTTACATATTGGTCTTAAGAATGAAACTTACATCATTCACCATGTGGAGCAGGTAGACAAGGCATGTTAGGAAGAGAGAACAGCAACTGTAAAGACTGTCTGGGTAAAAGCAAGTAGATTCATTTGCTTGAAGAAACATAGTGTGTGAGCTGATACAGTGGGAATTGAAACTGGGATAAGCAAGAGAAATGTTCTTTTTTGTTCTGGTGCTCAATGGCTCTTACAGGTTTTTAAGAAAGGAAGAAGTGGTCTATATATTTCCATGTTTTATATGAAGCACTCTCTGGAGGTCTACGGTGAATAGATGGTAGGGTAGGACTATTTCAGTCTTTGGAGCTAGGATGTTTGTGAGAGTTCAGCTTAGAGATGTTGAAGGCTAGAGAGGCATGGCAAATGTTAGCGTTATTCACTGAGATGGAGAACATGGAGGAAGAATGGGGTAAGAAGGTGAATAAGGAGTCTGGAAAAAGAACATGTTGACTATGAGAGTGCTATAGGAATTTATGGCAAGGATGGAAGAAAGAAGAAGAAGTATAGGGTTACAGGTTAGCAGAGATGTCAGGGAGGAAGATAGGGGTTTGGAATAACTATGTAATATGTATCCTGATAGTTGATAAAATTATGGGTTTGAGGAATCACAGGTAGGTGAGAGAAGTTCCAAGGATAAACATGGTGCCTGTCCACATCCACTTGGATGAGCAGAGGAGAAGCCAGTAAAGCAAACTAGATGACGTGTTCAGAAGGTCAGAAGGCAATTCTGAGGGAAGCCCAGAGGAAATTATTTTCTTCCACAACTACAAAAGCAAAAGCCCCAATAAAGAATAATCTAAGTTGGTTCTTATAATGAATATGTTTTATTAGATATTAGGTTTTGCAAACTTATATTTATAGCCTCTATTGAATTTTCATTGAACATCTACTTTACGCTAATGGCAAATAATGAAATCTAATTGTATTGAGGCTAGTAATTATTTCAGAAGAATGCAGAAATTGGTTGAAAGGTTCAGACAGAAAAACATCATCATTTTCTGAGAGCTTTATTCACTTCTCACATGAAGATCTCATTATCATACTTATTAAGGTGGTGTTTTTTTAATAAGAGAAAACTTTTAGATAATAATTCCTACATTGTAGATTGTAATTAAGTTTGGGTTAAAACTAGAAAGAACACTCATCTCAGTTTTATAGTTGACCTATGGGCACTGAGCCAGACATGTTTGTTAAGTTATATTTATACACATTTCATAGTTGGATAGGAATGCTGGTTAAGTACTGTTTCATTTCTCACTAAATTAATTTATTTAGCAAGTGTTTATTGAAGTTCTAAAAGCTGCTGTAGACTCTGAGACTAAAGCAGTAAAAAATAGTCACTATCTCTACTCTCATAGGGTTATATTTGTATAATGTCAGAGGAGAGAAACGATCAATCAATAAATAAAATGTCAGATGGTGATAGCTGCTTTGAAGGAGTAGGGCAGAATAAGGGATAGAGGTGAAATCCTTGCATTTAAGAACAAAAGCCTCCTGGGCCCCACACCCTATCTGCTCTATCAGTGGAGATGTCAGCTAATGGGAGTTCCAGTGGGAATTCCCTGTGATTGAAGTCACACAGCTGAGCAATTGCTCTCAGCAGAAGCTTCTCTCATCCATGCTGTCTCCCCTGTTACTCTTCCATGTTGACTCTCATGTTCAGCAGCTGGTAGACCCTAGAATCTTACAGAAGTTCTGCTGTGTCTTCTCAGTTTCTTTCATCTCTAGAGCAACTCTGCTGCCACTCAGCTGCTGGACAGTTCTTCATCTTTAAACATCCCACAAAGGACAGCTTGCGCTGGGCTTATAATGGCATCCTCTAGCTGCAGATCTTTGGATTAAGAGCTTTTTGGCTTTTAGTATTTACTTATGTTTTAAACTAGTTTTAAAAATTGTAACTATAATATTTAACAATGGGGAAACATTGAAATAATACAGAAGAATATTTAAAAAACAAGTTTCTTTCCATCACGCTTTCCCCACATTCAACCTATTCCCTAGAAGAAACTACATTTTTTTTCTTTTAGACACAGGGTCTTCTTCCATCACTCAGGCTGGAGTGCAGTGGCACAATGAAGGCCCACTGCAATCTTAAATTCCTGGGTTCAGAAGATCCTCTTACCTCTGGCTCCCAAGTAGCTGAGACTACAGGCACAAGCCGCCATGCCTTGCTAATTTTTTTATTTTTAATTTTTTGTAGACACTGGTTCTTGCTATGTTGCCCAGGTGGTCTTGAACCCCCAGCCTCAAGCAATCCTTCTGCCTCAGCCTCCCAAAGTGTTGAGATTACAGGCCTGAGCCACTGTGCCTGGCCAGGAACTACTTTTAACAGTTTCTTTTGTATTTTTTCACATATATAAGAGGTAGAGACCTAATCCCCATTTTTACAATATTGAAATGTCTTATCAAGGACATAATTTCACTATGTTTTTACCTCAATGGCTCAAGAAGTTCTCTGGGTATCCCTGTAGGTCATCAGGCTAGAAGAGCAAAGCGTATACTAATAAGGGCCCCACATAACACCTATGCAATTTGAAGTAATAGACTTTGCCAACAAACCCAAGATGTTTAAGAGAAAGAATTGACAAGAATGTGTAGCCTTGTATGTGGCAAAATTGACTCTGTCTTGGTCCAACTCTAGAAGGCACTGTGACATCAGTACAATAAAAACAATAAGAGCAAAGATTTGCTTTGTACTTCCAGTTCTCCCAAAACCTCCACTGATGGTCATCTCCTGAGTTTGAATGACTATCTGTATGACTACCCATATTCTTGATTTCCTTTAAAAAGACTGAGCTCTGTTCTTCTAGATTTTGTCCTTTACTTTTTTTTTTAATCACAGGCCTCTAAGGCTTCTAATTTGCAATGAATTAAACAGGCTAACTTTGCATATTTCAGTAACAGGTATACTTGTTTTATTGCACTTCACTTTATTGTGTTTTGCAGACATTGTTTTTTATAAATTGAATGTTTTTGGCAACCCTGAATCAAGCAATTATCAGCACCATTTTTCAAATAGCATGAGCTCACTTCATGTTCCTGTGTCACATTTTGACAATTCTCACAATATTTCACAATAACTTTTAAATTATCAAAGATATATTATGGTGATCTGTGATCAGTGATCTTTGATGTTACTATTATAATTGTTTTTAGGTGCCACAAACCATGCCCATATAAAGCAGAAAATTTAATGAATAAATGTTGCATGTATTCTAACTCCCCCAACAACCAGCCATTTCTCATCTCTCTCTCTCTCTCTCTCCTCAGGCCTCCCTATTCCCTGAGTCCCTCAACAATATTGAAATTAGAGCAATTAATAATGTTACAATGGTTTCTAAGTGTTCAAAGGAAAAGAATAATGCATCTCTCAGTTTAAAACAAAAGCTAGACGTGATCAAGCTTACTGGGGGAGACATAATGAAAGCTAAGATAGGCCATAAGCTAGGCCTCTTATGCTAAACAGTTAGACAAGTTGCAACTGCAAAGCAAAAGTTCTTGAAGGAGATTAAAAGTGCAATTACACTGAACATATGAATGATAAGAATGTGAAATAGCCTTATTGCCGATACGGAGAAAGTTTTATTGGTCCGGATAAAAGACCAGCCAATCATAACATTTCCTTAAGCCAAAGCCTAATTCAGAGCAATGTCCTAACTCTTTAATTCTATGAAGGCTGAGAGAGGTGAGGAAGCTGCAGAAGAAAAGTTGCAAGCTAGCAGAGTTTGGCTCAGGAGGTTTACGGAAAGAAGCCATCTCTAGAACATAAAAGTCCAAGGTGAAGCAAGAAGTGCTGATGGAGAAGCTGCAGTACGTTATCCAGAAGATCTAGCTAAGATCATTGACAAAGGTGGCTATACTTGACAATGGATTTGCAATGTCAATGAAGCCTCATATTAGAAGATATCATTTGGGACTTTCACAGCTAAAGAGATATGAAGCCAGCCGGGTGAAGTGGCTCACACTTGTAATCCCAGCGCTTTGGGAGGCCAAGGTGGGCGGATCACCTGAGGTCAGGAGTTCCAGACCAGCCTGGTCAACATGGTAAAACCCTATCTCTACTAAAAACAAAAAATTAGCTGGGCGTGGTATCAGGCACCTGTAATCCCAGCTACTCGGGAGGCTGAGGCAGGAGAATCGCTTGAAACCGGGAGATGGAGGTCGCAGTGAGCCGAGCTCACACCACTGTACTTCAGCCTGGGCAACAAGAGCAAAACTCCATCGCAAAACAAAAAACAAACAAACAAAAAACCCGAGAGATATGAAGTCGATGTCTGGTTTCAAAGCTTCAAAGGACAGGCTGACTCTCTTGTTAGGGGCCGATGCAGCTGGTGACTTTAAGTTGAAACCAGCGCTTATCTAACATTCTGAAAATCCTAGGCCTCTCAAGAATTATGCTAAATCTACTCTGCCTGTGCTCTAGAAATGAAACAACAAAGCCTAGATGATAGCACCTCTATTTATAACACGGTGTACTAAATATTTCAAGCCTATGGTTGAAATCTACTGCTTAGGAAAAGAGATTTCTTTCAAAATATTGCTGTTCATTGATAATGCAATGATAACCTATTGATAAACCTAGTCACCCAAGAACTTGGATGGAGATGTACAACGGGATAAATATTGTTTTCATGTCTGCTAACACAGTAACTATTTGACAGCCCATAGAATAAAGAGAAATTTTGAACCTCAACTCTTTTTTTTTTTTTTTTTTTGAGGCGGAGTCTCGCTCTGTCGCCCAGGCTGGAGTGCAGTGGCGCGATCTCTGCTCACTGCAAGCTGCGCCTCCCGGGTTTACGCCATTCTCCTGCCTCAGCCTCCCGAGTAGCTGGGACTACAGGCGCCCGCCACCATGCCCGGCTAATTTTTTTGTATTTTTAGTAGAGACGGGGTTTCACCGTGTTAGCCAGGATGGTCTCCATCTCCTAACCTCGTGATCCGCCCGCCTCGGCCTCCCAAAGCGCTGGGATTATAGGCGTGAGCCACAGCGCCCGGCCCTAAGTCTTATCTTTTAAGAAATACATTTCATAAAGCTACATGGATAGTAATTCCTCTGATAGATTTGGACAAAGTAAATTGAAAACCTTCTGGAAAGGATTTATCATTCTTAATGTTATTAAGAACATTTGTGATTCATGAGAGGAAGTCAAAATATTGACATGAACAGGAGTTTGGAAAAAGTTAATTTCAACCCTCATGGATGACTTTGAGGAGTTCATGGCTTCAGTGGAGGGAGTAACTGCAGATGTGAAAATAGCGAGAGAGCTAGAATTAAAAGCAGAGCCTGAAGATGTAACTGAATTGTTTTAATCTCATGTTAAAACTTGGAAAAAATGAGGAGTTGCTTCTTATGGATCAACGAAGAAAGTGGTTTTTGAGATGGAATTTACTCCTGGTGAAGATGTTATAAATATTGTTGAAAGGACAACAAAAGATTTACAATATTGCATCAACCTAGCTAATAAGGCAGTGGCAAGGTTTGGGAGGATTCACTCCAGTTTGAAAAGAAGTTCTACTGTGGGCAAAATATTATCAAATGGCATTGCATACTACTCAGAAATCTTTTGTTAAATGAAGTGTCAATCAATGAGGCAAGTCGTTGTCTTATTTTAAGAATTTCTACAGCCATCTTGATCAGCAACCACTACCTTGATCAGTCAGCAACCTTGAACATAAAGTCAAGACCCTTCACCAGCAAAAAGATTATGGCTCATTGAAGGTTCAGATGTTCATTAGCTTTTTTTTAACAATAAGTATTTTAAATCGATGTGTATGTTGTTGATCTTTAATTTTTTGCTTCAAGATCATTGAATATGTATGCAGTTTTTTTAGACAATGCTACTGCATATTTAATAAACTACAATATAGTGTAAACATAACTTTTGTATGCACTGAGAAACCAAAAAACTTTGTGAGTCTTTATTGCAATATTTGCTGCCTTGGCTTTTGCTGGAACTGGGCCTGCAATATCTCCGAGGTATGGCTGTAATTGCTTCTTTTAATAAATATGTTTTTAAAGGAAACTTTATATAATCATACATAGAAAACAAATACATATTTTTATAAATAGAATATAAGTAGAAAAATAAATGCTATTACATAAATAATATTATTAAATTATAGCTAGATTCCACTGCCTGCCAAGTCCCAGGGTCTGAAGCCTACTATTTCCCTGTGGGGAGAAAAAAAAAAAGACATTTCTCCTTGAAGTATTCAGAAGAATAAAAAGGGAATGAAGAAAAACGACAAGAAAATTTTTTAAAATACCTTTCCACTTAGGGATGCACAACCCAGATCCTCCTTCAAGGATTTATGGGATGTAGAGCTGCAGGGTGTGCAGTCAGTAGATGGCTTCCAGCTGCGGTCTCCTTCAGTGCCATCTCAGCTGTGGAGAGCCACCCTATCCTAGTTCAAGTCCTTCCCAGAGCAGTACACATCCAGTGACTGAGTGAGTCAAGGGTATAAGGCCTGGCTGGTTTGGCCCAATGAGAGATTACTCTGACAGGCAAAACTTGCGCTGGAGCTTCCTGCAGGGCTGGTTGAGCCTTCGTTAGGCCAACATCATGGTTTGACTTCTTCCTCTGCTCAATCCCAATTTCTTTCTCTTTCTTCCACAGATGTAGATCTCTAATAAATATCTCTACCCCAAACTCCACCTCAGCATCTGCTTCTGTAGAATCCAGCCTGGGATAAAGATTTTCATTTATTTATTTATTTTTTTTTGAGATGGAGTGGAGTCTCCCTCTGTCACCAAGGCTGGAGTGCAGTGGTGCCATCTTGGCTCACTGCAACCTCCACCTCCTGGGTTCAAGTGATTCTCCTGCCTCAGCCTCCCGAGTAGCTGGGACTACAGGCACCCACCACCATGCCCAGCTAATTTATGTATTTTTAGGAGAGGTGGGGTTTCATCATGTTGGCCAGGCTGGTTTTGATGTTTAATATTGGGTCAGTTTGCCACTAGAATGTAGTCTAGTGCCACAAAGAGAACTTGAATTCAGAGTCAGAAAAAAACTAAAATTTACCTAATGTAAATGACGAGTTAATGGGTGCAGCACACCAACATGGCACATGTATACATATGTAACAAACCTGCACGTTGTGCACATGTACCATAGAACTTAAAGTATAATAAAAAAAAGAAAAAAAATTAATGTTCTACTTGCACTTGATAAAGTTTTTTCACCTCCAGAATTTCACAATTTTATTAAATCTCAAATAACAATAATAATTCCTCACCGAACTTCTTTATTCAATGAAAAAACACATGTAAAGAATTTAAGACAGGACTTGTTCCAGAGACTATTCTAGATTTAAATTATGAACTATAGCATATTTTCATTGCTCTGTAATAAAAATTTGAAACAAACCACAAATGTGAACCACCTATGTGGTTTAAATTTTCTAGTGGCCACATATAAAAAAGCAAACTACTGTTGAAATTAATTTTAATAATATATTTTATTTTACCCAACATATTCAAAATATTATTTCAACATGTGGTCAATTCAAAAAATTATTAATGACAATTTTACTTTTTGGGGGTATACAAAGTCTTCAAAAACTGGTGCATATCTCAGCACTTGGTGCTCATGTCATTTTGCATGTGCCATGCTTCAACTGCTCAGTAACAACATGTGGCTGGTGGCTGCCATATTGACAACACAGTTCTAGAGCAAACCTTGGGTTATATCGCCAATCCATGGTTAGCCTTCCATAAAAATTGAGAATTATAGAAGCTAAAATGTCACAGGAAATCTACAGAAGGCTGGACTAGGATGAAGTCAGTGAGAGGAAACACCTTGAGAGAGCTCACTTTCTCTCCTAAATGCTCTTGGTCTGAAAGTTGAGAGTCTCCCAGCTAGTATGCTAGACAGATAATTAGTGGAAACATAAATTTCATTTATTCAGAGAAATTCCTTCCCCAAATTTAGCAGAAATATAATTCAAGGTTTTAAGTACATAGTTGTACTCTTCATCAAAGATCTTATGTATAGCAAAATGTGAAAAAAGTCCCATTCTCAGGGGGTGGAAAATAAAATAAAAAATGTAAAAGAAAATTTGAGTATAAGAAGATATGCTGATGTTCCAAGATGTCTTTTTGAGACTGCTAGGATGAAACAATATTATTTCTGATATTCAGAAGGAGCGGGGGAGAAATTAAAAGAGTTAACTAAAAAAAAAAAAAAAAAGAAATGATGAAGAAGGAGCATCAGCCTGTTATTATCACCCACTCATTTATGGAATTAATAAATAGTGCCTGAGTACTAAAAGTATGAAAGAGTTAGCATTTATTGATAGTTGAACATGGGTCACTCACTGTCTTAAGTACATGCATGGATTGAACAATCACATTGTAGGTATGATTATAATCCCAATATGATGTATGAGGGAATTGAAGTAAGAAGTTAATCAATAAACCCAAGGTCATACACCCAGTGTAGGATAGAATCAAAACTATCTCAGGCAGTCTAATTCCAGAACTGTACCCTTAACCACCATGAATTGCTAAGTGGAAAACAAAGATAAATCAAAGTTAGTTAATCACTTTTTTAAAACTTAAGCCCTAGAGAGAGGGATAAGCACATCAATAGATCTGATAATAGAGACAGTAAAATGTATGAGGCCAGGAAGAAGTTCAGTGGGAGCACCTGGAGGAGTTTAATATGTTCCCCCTTATCTTACAGATGAGGAAAATCAAGTCTAGCAATAGCTCACTAATGTGTTCAAATATTGTGAAAGAACCCTGTTTAAAACAAAATCTTGTTTCTCCCAGGGGTGTAGTGAGGCAACCTTAGTCCGTTCTCTGCAAAGTGGTGGCTGTTCTTCTAATAAAATCACATTTCAGTTTCTTCCCCTTTATCCAAGGGCTTTATGCACAAACTTTCCAGTTTTTCAAGGTTTCCATATTGTTGAGTGCTTTTTGATTAACATTTTACGCACCAGATCATATGCAAATAATATCAGTTACTCAGGCAGTAACTCAGAAAGTAAATACAGTAAATATGAGGAAAGAAAACTGTCACACCTACTCATGTGCTCTAGTCACTTGAGAATATGTGTGGATGAGAATTAAAGGATATTTCAGCTGAAAAATGGAAGGATTTATTGCTCTCAGGCTGTCATATTACATTTATGAGAGTGGATTTTATGTTTCTCAAGATATCTTGCTCATGAGGACAACTCATTTATAATCCAAGCATAGCTCCTCTGATTATCTTGGGAAATATATCTGCAGATGCTGTGTTGAAACAACCGGAGACCCCAAGGCTATATTTTTCAATATAAAAACACTCTGTTATTCCTAAATGACATTATGTCACCTACAACTGTTCTTGTTGACATATGTGAATTCCATAAAGCAGTATTTCCCAAAGTGTCCTTAAGGTTTTCTGTGGGGGAAAAATAGTTCCAAAATCAAAGACATTGGGATATATGGGTTACTTTATTTATTTCATAACTTCTCAGGGACTTTAATATGCTAATATGGAAGCTAAATTTACAAGTACTTGCCAAAAATATTTGATCAAAATCTTCACCCACACCACCCCTGTTTATTTTTATTTGTTGAGGAGTGTTTTCTAGATTTAGGGTTGGTCTAAATATGTGAATGTAAACCATATACAATTGCCAATATTTGACCATTTTTATTTTACAAAAATGGTAACAGGATGCAGTTCTATTTAAATAGTTTGGCAGCACTGTGTTAAAGCTCAATTCTAAGAGCTGTCCAGGGATTTAGATTATACTTTGATTTCTGCTTCAGAACCCTTCCTAATGTTCACCAACCCCTAACTTAATCTAGTTTTGCTCTTGATACAAGAATGTATTCTACTTGTCAGAATGTCTCTGTAGGTATCGACTCTCCATGGTGGGCCTCTCACAGACAAGTGGAACTTATTTATTATTATTATAATTATTATCATCATTAGATTAATATAATCTGACCTCTTACCTCTAATGATACATTTTACCAGAAAATAAATTCTATCTCATTGCTTGAGAAAGTTGGATCCAGGCTCTATACTCCATCGATAAATTCATTTAATCTGCAGGAAATCAATAATCATGACACAATTAGTGGTGGTAGTGGTGTGACAGTTATAGTAATACCAGCTAATGGACATTACAATCCACTCAAATTTGAAACACAAAAGCTTAATTTATTTCTTTTTCAAACAAGAGAGAAATCAAGAGCTGCAAATCCTTGCTAAGCAAAGAATGTTTTTCTGTGGATTTTTGGAGAAGTGTAGAATTTACATTAAATCTAAATAAAGCAGTGCTTTTATTGACTAAAAGTAAAAGGGGACATATGAGATGAAAGGCAGGGTAAAAACGTCCAAAAGTAATCTCCTTTATAAAAGTAATGAAAATTCTGGCAAAATTAACTTTTTTTGTAACCACATGAATTAACTAAAGTCTTAAAGCAATTTAAAGGGCCTTTATTGAGGAAAATGGCTGAATATCTTGACAAAAGCAACCTTTGTCACATTTCAACTTGTTCTGCTCTTAGCTTTTCCCAAGATTCATGATAACCTTGCAAAACAACAGCCCCCAGTTATGTTAAAATCAGCACCCTGGCAGCCACTAGAGAAGGCATAATTGGAACTGAACTGCTTCAAAGCATCCTCCCCAAAGAATTGTCATTATTTGAACTGTCTGGTGGTTCCCTAGAAGAACTCACTTGCAAGGATTGTCTTTGCCTGATGTGGAAAACATCAAATACAAACACTTTTTTCCTTGGGTAGGTTTTTCAAAAACAATTAGCAGCAAATGTTTAACATTGCAGCTGCCTGAGGCAGTAGACAACATATAGGGAAAATAATAGGCTACTTAAAATAATTTAAAAGGAAAAGCTGGGGAATGAGATGTTCATAGGGGTTTTTAAAAATGTCAATATAATCCTGAGAATCTAGATTGTTACATATATGTGTAGGGCTACTATGCACATGCCCGGAGTTGTGTACAACCTCAGAAAGGACCTGAGAAGGCCCTGAGATTTTAGCTTGGAAAGACATGAGACTCTGTGCAAATAGAAACTAAAGGCTTAGGCAGAGTTGTAAACTGCCTGACTGAGTGTTGAAGGCACACACACACACACACACACACACACACACACACACACACACAGAGATGTAAAGCTCCACAGCAAACAGCAAGAGATATACTGGTTTCAGGCATTTAAGGAAATGTTTGTCCAAACATTAGCAGACCACCAAGCTAACTGAGCAGAGACTTTGTGGCCACACACAACAGAGAACACAGACTTTATAGAATTCGTTTTAAAAAGTCACTAAACAAACAGCCAGCAACAACAATAATATCTCGGAAAGGGGAAGAATCTGATTTCCAGAGCTCCCACATTACATTACTTCAAATGTTCAACCTTCAAAAAAAATTACTAGATATGCAAAGAAATAAGAAACATCTAAAATGCAGCATGGTCCTGGGGGAAGACCAAATGTTATACTTACTAGAAAAGACTTCAAGTCAACTGTTTCAAAATGTTAAAAGAACTAAAATAAGCTATATCTAAAAAACTAAAGAAAGTTATGAGAATAATGGCTCACCAAATACAGAATATTAATAAGAGATAGAAATTACATTTAAAGAGAATAAAATAGAAAGTCTATACCTAAAAGTATGATAATGGAAATGAAAAATTCACCAGAGCATTTCAACAGTGGATTTTTTTAAGCAGGACAAAGAAAAAAGGTCAACTGAGGTTATCCAGGATGAGGAATAGGAAAATCAAAAAGAAGAAAAATGACAAGAGCCTCAGAGACCTATGGGACACTTTCAAACGTACCAACATATGGATAATGTGAGCTCAAGAAAGAGAAGAAAGACAGAAAGGGGGAAAATACTTTTTAGAATAGTGGTAAAAAACTTGCCAAATTTGACAAAAAAAAAAAAAAATTTACCTACCCTTCCAGGAAGTCAACAAATCCAAGTAGGATAAACTCAAGGAAATCCATATCTGCATACATGAAAATCAAACAAAGACAAAGAGAGAGGTGACATCATATACAATTATCTGCATTAAGATTAGCAACTTATTTCACATCAGAAACCATGGAGAACAAAACGCAGTAGGATAACATACTCAAAGTGCTGGGCAAGGGGCCAGGGGGTCAGTGTCAATTGATAATCCTTTTTTTTGTTCTTTTTGACACGGAGTCTCGCTCCGTCACCCAGGCTGGAGTGCAGTGGTGCAGATCTCGGCCTCACTGCAAGCTCCGCCTTCCAGGTTCATGCCATTCTCCTTCCTCAGCCTCCCGAGTAGCTGGGACTACAGCCACCTGCCACCACACCTGGTGATTTTTTTTTTTGTTTTTTTTGGTATTTTTGGTAGAGACAGGGTTTCACTGTGTTAGCCAGGATGGTGTCGATCTCCTGACCTCGTGATCTGCAAGCCTCAGCCTCCCAAAGTGCTAGGATTACAGGCGTCAGCCACCATGCCCGGCCTGATAATTCTATATCTAGCAAAACATTCCTTCAAAAATAAGGAAGCAATTAAGATATTCTCAGAAAAATAAGAGAAAATTTGTTGCTAGCATATTCACTCTACAAGCATACTAAAGGAAGTTTTCAGGATAAAATGAAAAAACACTAGAAAGTAGCTCAAATCCACATAAAGAAGAGCTCTAGTAAAGGTAACCACTTAGGTAAATATAAATGTATAAATATATTTTTGCAAGTAACTTCTTTTCTCCCTTCTATCTGATTTAAAGGCAATTTCATAAAACATTGATTATAAAACTGTGTTAATGGTTATGCAATGTATGGTTTAATTTATATGAGAATAAGAGTGCAAGGGAATAAGGAAGGAACTGAGCTATATAGAAGCAAAGTTTTTTGCAGTTTTGAATTTAAGTTGGTTATTAATACAAACTAGATTGTTATAAACTGAGATGTTAATTGTAATACCCATGGCAATCACTAAGAAAAAATAACTAAATAAATGTCTAAAAGAAATGACAAGGGCATTAAAATGGCATGTTAGAAAATATCTACTTAACACAAAGGAAGGCAATAGTGTAGGAAAAGAGGGAAGAAAAGACAAAAGACGTATAGAAAACAAATAGCACAATGTGAGATGTAAATCTTACCTTATCAGTAATTGCATTATCTATGAATGGATTAGGCATTTCAATAAAAAAGCAGAGATTAATAGAATGAATTTTTTAGTAACATAATACAACTATATTTTATCTGCAAGAGACCCACTTTAGGTTCAAAGACACATATAAGTTAAAAGTTCAAGAATGAAAAGAGATGTGCCGTATAAATGGTAACTGAAAGAGAAATGGAGTGCCTATAGTAGCATCAAACAAAATAGATCTAAGTTGAAATTAACTTAGAGACAAAGAAGGACTTTTTATAATAATAAACAGGATAATCCATTATGAAGACATCACAACTATAAACATATGTGCACTTAAAATTAGAGTCCCCAAATACAGGAAGGAAAGCTGACAGAATTAAAGGAAAAAAGAGAAAGTGAACAATAACAGTTGAAGACTCAATACCTTACTTTAGATAATGGCAAAACAAATAAGAAGGAAAATTATCAAGGAAATAGAATACTTGGACAACACTGTAGATCAATGAAACCTAACAAATACATATAAAACATTCTGACAACAGAATAATACACATTTTTCTCGAGTGCACATGAAATCATTTTCAGAATAAAGTATATATTAGGCCATAATACAAATCTTAATACAATGAAACATACTTTGTAATCACACAAAGTATGTTTGCTGACCACAATGAAATAAAATCTGAAATCATTAACAGGAAAATATCTTGATAATTCAAAAATGTGTGGACATTAAACACTTTCCTATGTAGCTAATGGGTGAAATCACAAGATAAATTAGAAAATACTTTGAACTGAATAAAAATGAAAATGAAACATATCAAACATATGGAATGTGGCAAAAGAAATGCTTAGAAATTTATAGACGTATGAGCCTATCTCATGAAAACGTGATCTCCAATCAGTAACCTGATCTTCCACATTAAAAATTAGAAAAGAACAAACTATACCCAAAACAAGTAGAAAGTTTTTAAAAAGAGAGAATAGAGAAATAGTAAATTAATAAAACCCAGTTCTTTTGTAAATCAACAAATTTGATAAACATTTATTTAGACCAAGCTTGTCCAACACATGGCCCACAGGCCACATGTGGCCTATGATGGCTTTGATGTGACCCAACACCAATTGGTAAACTTTCTTAAAACACTATGAGATTTTTTTGTGTGTGTCATTTTTTTTTAAGCTCATCAGCTCTTGTTAGTGTTAATGTATTTTATGTATGGCCCAAGACAATTCTTCCAATGTGGTCCAGGGAAACCAAAAGATTGGATACCCCTGAGACTGAACAAATAAAAGAGGGAGGAGAGTGAAGTCACAAAAACCAGGAATAGAAGAAGAAATATATAATTAGAATTCCTTATAAAAATAAATATTTCTATGAAAATCACATTTGCTTTTTTGCTAATATCAACCAACTGTTCTAAAATTCACATGGAAATGCAAGGGATCCAGAATAGCCAACACAATCTTTAAAAATACAAACCAAGTTGGATGGCTCACACCTTGCAATTTTAAAACTTACTATAAAATTAAACAACCAAGACTGTGAGGCATTGACATAAGGATAGATATATAGATCAATGGGATAAAATTGAGAGTCCAGAAATCAATTCATAATTTTTTGTCCAATTACTTTTTTTTTACAAGAGTAGAAAGATAATTCAATAGAGGAAAGAATAGTCTTTCGAAAAATAGTGCTAAAACAACTGAATATCCACATGAAAAATAATGAAGTTGGACCCTCTGCCTCATACCATTCACATGTATTAACTGAAAATAAATCAAAGAACTAAATGCAAAAGCTAAAATTATCTTCTATAAGAAAATTATCTTCTATAATAAAACCTAGATGTGAAGCTGTATAAAGCTGTATTAGGGAATGGCTTTATAGATATGAAACCAAAAGCATAATCAAAAAAAGAAAACAATGATAAATTATGCTTTATCCAAATTAAAAACCTTTGTGCTGCAAAGTATGCTATCAAGAGAGTGAAAATACAATCCACAGAATGGGAGAAAATATTTGCAGGTCATCCATCTGATAAGGGACTAATATCAGGAATACATGAAGTGCCCTTGTAATTCAACAATTTGGGAAACTTAATAAGCCAATTTAGAAATGAGCAAAGGACTTGAATAAACATTTCTCCAAAGAATATATATATATATATTCTTTATATATATATATATATATATATTCTTTATTTATATTATTTATATATATATATATAAATTGCTGATATGCACATGAAAACACGCTCAACATCATTAATTATTTGGTAAATGCAAATCAAGACCACAATAAAGTATCTCTTCACACCCTTTGAGATGGCTATATTAAAAACATAGATAAGAGGAAGTGTTGGTGAGGATGTGGAGAAATTGGGGCCCTCACAGATTGCTGGTGGAAATATAAGTGGTACACCCACTTCGAAGACAGTTTGACAGTTCTTCCAAAAGTTAAAACATAGAGTTACCAAACAATTCATCAATTCCATTCTTAGGTATGTATCCAAGAGAATTGAAAACATATGCACACAAAAAAATGTATACATAAATGTTCACAGCAGCATTATTTATAGTAGTAAAACATGGAAACAATCCAAATGTCCATCAATTGAGGAACTGATTTTAAAAATGTGGTGGTATAGCCATACAATAAAATGATTCAGTCACAAAATATATTGAGGTACTGACACAGGCTATAACATGGATGGACTGTGAAAAAACTATTTTAAGTAAAATAAGTAAAACACAAGAGGCTACATATTATATAACTCCATTCATATAAAATATACAAAATATGCAATTTCATAGAGACCATAAATAGATTAGTGTTTGCCAGGGTCTGAGAGTGACTGCTATTGGTTATGGAGTGTTTTCTATGGGTGAAGAAAACATTCTGAAATTAGAAAGTGGTAATAATTGCATAATTGTAAGACAGCAAAGTATAAAGGGGTCACCAGAGAACCTTCGACCAGCCTGCACACTGGGAGGAGTGCACGCTGGGGTAGGGCCTCAGGAAGTTCATGTCATTTGCAGGGGTGAGGAACCTGGCCCCTCCTCTTCCTGGATGGTACCTGGGATTCAGTCTGTGAGGTGGGGGGCCTATAATAGCAGGACTCTCGCTCTCCTGAAAGTCCCTGTTTTGCTTTTTTTCCTTTTTGCCCAATAAATTCCATTTTTCTTACCTTCAAAGTGTCTGCGAGCCTAATATTTCATCGTCATGTGACAAGGACCCTGTTTTTAGCTGAACTAAGGAGAATGTCCAACAACAACTTTGGTGCCCAATGTGGGGATTGAGAAGGGGTGAATGAAATGAGGACTCAAAACCTCTCACTGTTGCCTCTAAGCATTTTGGTCTTAAGGCATTCTTCTTTTCTTTTTTCGGGACAGTAATGACACTTATTTTTTCTTTTACAATACTGGAGGAGGTTCACACCCACCCCAACAGCCACAGGCATGTGCAAGGGATGGTTGGGTGGGGCAGCTCCCTGTTCCCTCCTCCTTCTTCCCTACTGGCTGGGGTGCATGGCCGTGTCTGTCACATGTGTGCACAGTGTACAATGGCCACACAGGGCAGGAATGAGCCACAGCAGCTGCCTGGCCTCAAGGCACCCCATACAGCTGGCTGGCATTCCCTGCCACATACCCGTGGAGTTTCCCCATCCCCCAGCCAGGGAGGCCTGCTCTGTCCCACAGCAATTAAGCTTTTCTCTCTGGTGGAGGAACTAGTTGCATAAGAGGTTTTTACCCCAGGCATCCTTTTTTCATCTCCACCCCATCAGCAGTTAACTTTTAAACGTTTTTGTTCCTTTTGGAAGAAGTTATACTAGGCTAGGAATGATAAGGATTACTGTTTATATTCTCTGTAAATTTTTAATTGTGAAAAAGCATTTACAGGGCTGGTCTTAAGCTGTAGCCAATCTTATGTGCTTTGCATATCTGTATGGTTTGTAGCAGACTTCATTGCAGGCCTCCGTCTTGTTTTACCTCTCAGTGGTGTGGCCTGTGACCCCGTGGCAAGGCTTTGTTTAGCAATTCTGCCTTAGGGAATGAGTCCTTTCTCATTTAATATCTGCATGTTTTCCTAGCCCTGTCTCTTAACGGCCTCCACCTAGGGACTGGGTTTTCCCGTCTGTGTATGTATATATGTGTTATGTGTATGATGTCTGTAAAAAGAGCTCTAATTAATTTGGCCTAATGGGAGATAAGCACTTGGATCAAATATATTTTAAAAGGAAGACAAAAGTTGTGGTACCTTTCAGTTCACATGACTTTAATCTTTGAGATATAAAAACAGCCTTAAAAATTATTGGTAAAATGCAGATACCATCAAAATGTAAATAAGTGGACTAAATTATGCAGGTCAGATGCAAGGTTTGGCAAGTGTGTTAAAGTTATATTCTGCCTTTTAAGTTTTGAGAACTATTTAACTTGCCTGTCCCACAATTGATAAGGCCTGGGGACCATATGGAACTAATTACACCCTTAATTATGCTGGAAGGAGTCAAACCTTGCTGCATTTAACACTCAATTAAAACAACTTACCAGGTTTTACATTAAAGTTAAAAATTGCTAAAATTTACCGTTATAACATGTAATTGAAACTACTGGAAATAGATTTACATGCGAGGTCTGTGAGAACAGTAAAATGTATTTTTTAGTAAAAGGTTATAAGAAGGCATGGAAATGTAAATATTTGCCTAGGGTTTTAAATTGTTTTAAATTAGATAAGATAAAGCTGAAGGTTCAAACAAGTGGTGAAAGGTTTCTAAAAATTAAGCTTGCAAAAGAAATTCTGTGTGTGAACATTGAGTGGAAATCAAAAGGTTATTACATAGTTTTTTTGTAAATTGAGTATTGAAATAAAAACACGACAAGGTTTTCTTACGGCACTAATCTGCTCTTTAGCAAAATTTGTAAAGGGTTATAAAAGGTTTATAAGAATCTTGCCTCATGGTCAAATTGGTTAAGGTTACATAGAATTGTCTATAAGGTTTCATTTAACAATTGGGTTTGACAATAGTAGTAAGGGTGAAATTTTGGATTTCTCTCCTTTATACAAGATTTTCATGTAATAGTAAAGGATAGTGAAAGATTTTCATTTGCCTTAAGAATAGACTGCCAAGGCAAAGGAAGAGAAGATAGGAGATGAATTGTTTGGAAAGCTAAGTCTTCTCTCTTAATGAGTAAAGATTTTTGCTTCTTTGAAATTCTGAATCATCATTTGGCAAAATAAATAATTTATGGCACTGTGGAATTCTATTTCATAACATCAAGTGTTTTAATCCTCTAACATATGTAACAGGCTTCCCCAAATCAATCTTCAGTTTCAAAATTTTCTTTCTTGACACCTGGATTTTCAGAGGCTCCAGAAGAGCCCCTGGATTGTCCAGAAAAGAGAGGTAAACAGTATTAGTTGACATGTTTAGGTACATGGGATTGCCAAAATGGTGTTCAATCCTCTTTAGGTTATATTTTGGTGAATAATACTAATATGTGTTTCAAAATTGTATAGCATTTAAAAAATTCTAATGTCTAATAATGTGCTATCAATCATAGTTTAGGTTGTTAAGTTATTGAAAACCACGGAGATAACCAAACTTCTTTATCAATTGTGTTTCTAACTGTGTCTACCCTGGACATTTTGCTATTCACAGACATTTTATTCCTTGTTTTAATCCTTTTTAAAGGATGGTTTATGATAAGCTACAGAACTTTGACAGGTGTTCTCAAATACAAGTTTCTGATAACTTTGGAGATTGTAACATTAGAATAAAGGAAAAATGTACAGGACTCAAGAAGAGCTGATATGTTCATGAATATCAAGCAAAACAAAAACTAAATGTATTGAACTCAGAAAACTGAAATAATCTTTCTAACTTTTTCTTGGAATATTGCTGATCCTTGTTTTGTTCTCAGAGTCATGGAAACATATTTTGAACTATTTACAGCCTTTAATAACTAAGTAAGTTATACTCCTATGAACAAAATTTGGAGCATGTTTATTTCTCTCTGCCTGGTTCCTCTAGAATTTGGAAACTATCTGTGAGTATTCTTAACTTATGACCATATAGTTCTTTGCATCAGTGCAATAAGAATCCATTTTTGTTTTGCAACAGGACACAATTGGAGAAACTGGTTATTTTACCAAGGCTTTGACTGGAAGGGTATGCTTCCCTTTAAGGAGTCAAGCTCAAATTGCAGAGCCAATAAAAGGCCCTTGGGGAAAAACAAATTGGCCTCATACTCTTGCCTATGCAGTCCTTGTACAGGGTTCCTGACCTGTGGTAAATACAGAATATCACTTTCTAACAGACCTAGGTGCTCCAAGTTCATCTTGGGACATTAAGAGGAGAGGCTCACCCAACTCACAGGTATTTGAGGATAAAAACACATCACTGGGCTCAGCTTTAAAAGGTTTCATCAGGCTGGGCGCAGTGGCTCACACCTGTAATCCCAGCACTTTGGGAGTCCAAGGTGGTGGATCGCGAGGTCAGGAGATCAAGACCATCTTGGCTAACACAGTGAAACCCTGTCTCTACTAAAAAATACAAAAAATTAGCCAGGCATGGTGGTGGGCACCTGTAGTCCCAGCTACTTGGGAGGCTGAGGCAGGAGAATGGCATGAACCCAGGAGGTGGAGCTTGCAGTGAGCCAAGATTGCGCCACTGTACTCCAGCCTGGGTGACAGAGCGAGACTCGGTCTCAAAAAAAAAAAAAAAAAAAAGAGGTTTTATCTGTGATTCCTTACAGCACAAAGTTCCATCAAAGCCAATCCAAAAGGCTTATGTAGAAATAGTTATTCTGGCTGCATTTTCCGCAAATAATCAGGCCAAGTATAAGAATAAAATCTATTTTTCAAACAACTCAGTCTTATCATGACTTTTTTTTTTATAAAAATGAGGACTGGAGAGATTGAAATTATGTTTCAAATCTCAACATAAGTTTGTCATTAAATTCTAAACTCATTAGTTTTTTACATTTTTGCCTACATTTTTATACTAACCCTGTTTGTTCCTGTGACCCAACCAGCAATCTCTCACTACAGCTCAGAAAGAAAAAGAAGAATGGGTAATGTGAAAATCTGGATCAATATTCTAGTTCTGAGCAATTATCCTGCAAATCCTGCCAGGCGATGGGAATAAATAAGATGCCCATCACTTGGAGGAATCCTTTTGGAAAAGTAAGACCAAGGGAGCTAACAAAAGCCAAACACAATGCACCTAAATCCTAGCAAGCATAACTATAGCTACCAGTTATCTTTATGTGTCACAAGACATCCTTTTCTCTCCCTTGTTGGAGGAGGACTCAGTTCCACAGTTTCACCTTAGCATTTGGCTATGATAAGGAGTTCATACAACCCCACCCCTTGAGACATATTTTTGTCCCAAACTCAATTCCAAGCTTCCAGTCAAAGCCCTAGGAAAGAAAACTGGATCTGAAGGATCCAGAGGCAGACAATGATGAACGTTAAAAGGCACAGCCCAGGTGAGTATGGCTATTCCTGCCAATTAAGCCAAGCTTCCCATTTCACGGATAAAGGCCATGCTAGTATCCATGGGCATAAATGAGGTATAGGTAATTCAAGGCTACTGACAGCAGGGTAGACAGGGTGTATGTGGGTAAGAGTGAATAATTCCCACCTCCCTCCCTGCCCTGTTAACATGGGTGAAAGCCATTTTAACACCCATGGTGGCACTTGCCAAGGTTGCCAGGACTTGGGGATGTAAGGACAGAAGAGGGAAACAGATGCTCTTCCTTCTCTCCCTCAGGTACCCTGGGTATCTGCTAGAAGAGGAAGGGAATCAGAGATGCCTGCTCTCCTCTTTCTAGAAGGGTAGCCATTCATCTTCAGTCTGTACCCCTTTCAAATGCATCCTGAAGCCCTGGGACTCCTTTGAAAAAAATTCCTTCTTTTTTCCTTCTCTCCTTCTCTGTCTTCTCTTCACAGATAGGTAATTATGTCTTCATACTATGGGACACTTCCCTCAGATGCATCCTCTAAACTGGAAAGAGTTAATTTCCCAAAGCTTAAACTGGTTGGCTTAGGATTGGGCTCAGGGGAAGAGAACCCAGAAACTCAACATGCTGACAAAAGGGTGAAGTTTTTTACCAGTCGGATTTTTGGCCTCCCTCTCTCTGTGAAAAACAGTAAAAGGTCTCAGTATTTTTAAATTTTCCTCACCCCTCCCAGTGTTTCATTTTGATACGTTTTCTAATAACCCAGTGTGTCTTTTCTTGCCTTCAAGCCATCAAACTCCAAACGGTCATGCAACTGGAGCCTCCGGCGATGGTCCCTTTTGCCAGGGACCCTGAGATAGGCCTCCGAGGGAGCTCTGACTGCCATTTCCCCAAAACAGCCCCCACTATCAGCAGGAAACAGTTAAGGATCAGTCTTCATCCTTATTCTTATACTTATTCTAATGGCAGTTAGATGTACTTCTTTATAGGAGGGAATGAGACAGCCAGGTGGATGGGGTCCCCAGAGAAACTTCAACCAACATGCACAGTGGGAGGAATGCACACTGTGGTGGAGCCACAGAAGTCCACCCCATTTGCAGAGGGGAGGAGCCTGGCTCCTCCTCTTCCTGGTTGGTATCTGGGATTCAATCTGTAAAGCAGGAAGCCTATACTAGTAAAACTCTTGCTCTGCTGAGAGTCCCTGTTTCCCATTTTTTTTCCTTTTTGCCCAACAAATTCCATTTTTTTCACCCTTCAAAGTATCTGCGAGCCTAATATTTCATGGTTGTGTGACAAGGACCCCATTTTTAGCTGAACTAAGGAGAAAGTCCTACAACAATTGAATGAATATACTAAAAGTCATTGAATTGTACACTGTAGATGCATTTTATAGTATGTAAATTATATCTCACTAAATATAGATACATATTTGATGATATATGTGTGTGTTTTCTCTATATAACTATTATATATGATAAATCATATATATGTATATGTGTATGTGTGTGTATATATACGTGTGTGTGTATATATATATACAAACACATGCACACACACACACACACACGTACATCTATATAATAAAGTAAAACAAGTTTGGGATGACCTCAGAGTCCTATTTCATTGGAGACTATAGTGTTAAAATAAATATGTTATGTTGTGCCTGCCTTGTTTGCTGTGAAATCCTAATCTTTGTGGGCCCAACTGAACCAAGAAAACTGAGAGTTGCCTTGCATGCCCTGAAACCACAGGGTCAGAAAAATATAAGACTAGTGGGGGCTTCAGTTTCTCTGTGGTAAAATGAAGATTGTTCCATTTGCAACCACTAGGTTGGAATGAAGATCACTGTTACGTTAAATAATAATACCAGTAGTATAGCAATTATTCATATTCTGTCATAGACTAGACAACGCCATTTAATCCGTGATTAATTCATATGGTTGTAACCATAATTGTTTAATTGCACAGTGCACACAGCAATTCAATATGCCAAGACACCAGGTTGCAGCAGAGAAAGATTTAATTGTAGGGTCACCTAACAAGGAGATGAGAACAAACTTTAAATCTATCTCTCTAAGGAATTTGGACTTCGGGTTTTTAAGGTTTAGAATGGGCCAAAACATGGACATTATTGATTGGTCAAAGAGTACAGGGTCATGGAACCTGGAGATGAAAAAGCCATATTCTCATGCTGATCCTGTTCCTCTGTGGAAGGTCTTCAAATTGGTTGCTGGAATAAAAGATCTGCAAAACATCTTAAGGGATCCTTAAGCAAAAGCCTTTCTAGTGTGAGAGATCCTGTGTATAGAAACAATGGAGATGCAAATCAACTCTTAAATAGTTTTTGACCCCAATGTCAAAAATCCTATCTGTAGGAATGATGCGTATGCACATGTTCAGAATCTAGTGCTAAGTGACCTTTAGCAACAAGGAAGGGATGAGGCCAAAGTGCAGCCTTATTAATGCTTAATTATAACGATATTTCTGTTCAAAACCCAGTATGCAATTCTTGTCAACCCTTTGGAGGTGGTTTCATGATAATCCTATAAAATATGTATTATCCTTGTTTTACACATTCAGAAACTCGGGCACAATGAGGTAGAAAGACTTGCCCAAGAGAAGATCATGGGGATGTCTGGGGAGGACAGTCTGTCAGGAAGCCCCATGTTACCTACCTCCTGGTATTCACACCCCATGTAATCTCCTCTCCAGAAGTGTGTACAGACCTGTGACTTGCTTCTAAGCAACAGAATGCTGAGAAGGTGATGAAATGTAAATTCCATGATGATTTTATGTAAGATTATAATGCTTATGATCTGAGAGACCAAAATACACACCCCTTTATCAACTAGGATAGACCCTAAGGTTACAGAATCAAAAATTACCTACAGATAGAGGGTTTAGGGCTTGGTTGGCATGAATGGCAACTTCCTAAATTCCTAGAGCTGCAAAAGAATCACACTTGCTAAACTTCCTAACAATGGAGCTATCAGACTCTTCTAACTCTGGTTTACAACCCAGATCACTAAAACTCTGATTAGAAGGAGGACTGGCCTTACAAACACTCTTTCCTGATACGCAACTGTAGACCTCAAGCCAGTTTCAGCAGAGACTGCAGAAACTGTCTTTGTATCGTAGACTTTACCTTTTGATGTAAAGAGCCAAATTCTGTCTCATCTTAATGCTAAAACCCTGCCCCAGTGTGAACATGGGAATGTACGTTACATGTATGTTTACCATCATGCATGTGTTCGATCCCTCTCATAAATACGTATAACTTTTCCTCAAACCTGCTAAATACATATGACTCTATTATGTAATACAGACCCTGTAAGGCATAATAACGTCAGTCTCTGGTAAACTCCAGAGACTGTCTCTTTCAGGTTTGTAAACTGATATCACAGATGAAGCTCTCCCTTCTGAGAGACAGGATTAGCTGGATTTCCTAGGCCAACTAAGAATCCCTAAGCCTAGCTGAGAAGGTAGCTGCATCCACCTTTAAACACGGGGCTTGCAACTTAGCTCACACCCGACTAATCAGGTAGTAAAGAGAGCTCACTAAAATGCTAATTAGGCAAAAACAGGAGGTAAAAAAATAGCCAATCATCTATCCCCTGAGAGCACAGCGGGAGGGACAATGATCGGGATATAAACCCAGGCATTGGAGCCAGCAATGGTTACCCTCTTTGGTCCCCTCCCTTTGTATGGCAGCTCTGTTTTCACTCTATTTCACTCTATTAAATCTTGCAACTGCACTCTTTTCTGGTCTGTGTTTGTTATGGCTTGAGTTGAGCTTTCGCTCGCCATCCACCACTGCTGTTTGCTGCCGTCGTAGACCCGCGGCTGACTTCCATCCCTCTGGATGGAAGTGACACCTGAAGGGTGTCCGCTGTGCTTCTGAGCCAGCAAGGCACCCACTGCTGCTCCCAATAGGGCTAAAGGCTTGCCATTGTTCCTGCATGGCTAAGTACCCGGGTTCATCCTAATCGAGATGAACACTAGTCACTGGGTTCCACGGTTCTCTTCTGTGACCCAAGGCTTCTAATAGAGCTATAACACTCACTGCATGGCCCAAGATTCCATTCCTTGGAATCCATGAGGCCAAGAACCCCAGGTTAGAGAAAAGGAGGCTTGCCACCATCTTAGAAGCGGCCTGCCACTATCTTGGGAGCTCTGGGAGCAAGGACCCCTGGTAACACTTCTACTATTCAGCCATCCTGGTGATCTTTTGGATAACATACTCTTCTTGGGAGCTGATTCTTTTCCTTGATGGCTATGATGTAGCAAGTGGCAATGTTGGGTAGGTTCACATGGCAAAAAACTTAGGAAAGGAACTTAGGGAGGCAGTCTCCAGCCAACAGTTAGCCAAAAAAAAAAAAAAAAAAAAAAAAAAGAAAGAAAGAAAGAAAAAGCCCCTCAGTCCTACTGTAAATACCCAATGGGTTCACCTTGCCCACTGCCTAGACAGAGCTGATTTATCAAGACAGGGAAATTGCAATAGAGAAAGAATAATTTATGAAGAGCTGGCTGTGCAGGAGACAGGAGTTTTATTATTACTCAAATCAGTCTCCCTGAAAACTCAGGGATCAGAGTTTTCAAGGATAATTTGGTGGGTAGCGGGGCCAGTGAATTGGGAGTGCTGATTGGTTGGCTCTGGGATGAAATCATAGGGAGTTGAAGCTGTTCTTTTATGCTGAGTCAGTTCCTGGGTGGGGGCCACACAACTGGTTGGCAGGTCCAGGTGAGGCCATCCAGTTGTTAGAAATGCAAAAATTTGAAAAGACATCTCAAAAGGCCCACTTTAGGTCCACAACAGTGATGTTACCTTTAAGAATAATTGGCAAAGTTGCAAATGTTATGACCTCCGGAATAACGGCTGGTAATATTTAGAATTCCAGCTCCTCTCATTCTAACTTGGTGGCTGGAGGCCTTTCATTAATTTTACAATTAACAGTTTAGCTTTTGGGAAGGGCTATTATTTAAACTATAAACTAAATTCCTTCCCAAGCCTAGTTCGGCCTACATCCAGGAATGGACAAGGACAGTTTAGAGGTTAGAAGCAAGGTGAAGTTGGTTAGGTCTGATATCTTTCACTGTTATAATTTCTTAGTTATCATGTTTGCAAAGGCGGTTTCACTATAACCACAAGGAACTGAATTCAGCAAACCTCCACATGAGGCTGGAAGTGGATCCTTTCCCAGTTGAGTCTTGAGATGAGGCTATAGCCCTGGCTAATACATGGCTTGCAGTCTGAGACCTTAAAGCGGAGAACTCAGCTAATCCATGCCCAGACTCCTGATCCAGAGAGACTGAGAAAATAAATCTGTGTTATTTTAAGCCATTAAGCACATGTAGAAACCAAAAATAAAATTCTAAGGCCCCCCAGCCCTCTGAATGGACTTCCTCCTCAGCCAGTCCTCTTAAAATTTAACCTGAGAGTCTGTTTCAGGCCATGATGGAAAGTGGGGGCTGAACATGCCTCATTATACCTCTTCAGCATTAACATCAACACAGACTTTAAGTCTGATAAGAAACATTTTGCAACCTATTCTCCCTGAAGCCTGCTAGCTAAAAGCTTTGTTTGCATGATTAAACTTTGGTCTCCACAGCCTCTTATCTTAACCTAGACATTCCTTTCTGTTTGATACCAGATCTTTAGAGAAATTCAGCCGTCAACCAGAAAATGCTTAAATTTACCTTTAGCCTGGAAACCCCCACCCCGCCCACCACCCCACTTTGGGTTGTCCCGGCTTTCTGGACCAAACCAATGTATTTCTCAAATTGATTGATTTATGTCTCATGTCTCCCTAAGATATGTAAAACCAAGCTGCACACCAACACCTTGGGCACATGTTCTCTGGACCTCCCGAGGGCTGAGTCATGGACCATGGTCACTGATATTTGGCTCAGAATAAATTTTTTCAAATATTTTACAGTTTCACTCTTCGTTGACACATGGTAGTTAGTTATTCAACAACACTAAACTAATACATGCGCCTCATGAGAACCAGGGCTTCCAGAGTCTACAGCTGCATTGCACATAAAATAACCACTGGCCACATGTGGCTACTGTAATTGCAAAATTGTATTTTATTTCAATTTACTTAAATTTTACTAACATGTAAATAAAAATTTACCGTCTTCCTTGTGCTAGCTACATTTTAAGTGCTCAATAGTCATGAGTGGCTAGCATCCTCAGAATGGAATACAGTCAATTCTCATTATTCATGATAGTTATATTCTATAGTCTCCATGAGCACTGCATTAGTGAATACTGAACATTCCCTCCTAGCAGAAATACTGAGTTAGGTTCCTGTGAGCCTATGGTCATAACGTTTTCATCAAGCATTCATTATATAACCTTGTGTTATGTATTTCTGTTTAAAACACCTTATTTTATATATATATGTGTATATATATACATATATATATGTATATATATACATATATATATGTATATATATACATATATATATATACATATATATATATACATATATATATATATAATTGATTCATTGACATTGAACTCATGGCCAACAGCCCTATAACTCATGCCTGGATGAATCTGATCTAATCCACTTATTTTCTCCATAAGGCACAACACAGCTTTCTTGTGCTTAGGAACATTAGACAGTACTTTATCACTACACTTGGGCACTATTTAAATAGTGAAATCACCAAAAAAGAGTGCAAAAATATGAACAACATGGCACTAAAGAGACCTAAAATCAGATAGAGTATGAGAGCTGAAAACAAGAAGACAGGATGAGGTCTTGTTCGATCTCAGCTTGGAATGTACATATCTGGTAACTCACATTTTTCACTCAAATTCATCCATGAATGATCACAAAAGCCCTGTGAGTATTGACTTTGGAGAAATAAATTTTAGCGATTGGGCAAATTTGCAAATTTGGAATCCATAAATAATGAGGATGGATGGTATTTCCATCTTTGCACAAATTTCTATTGGATATATTGGTCTAGGGAATCCAGTAGATTTTTCTTACTTTTATTATCTAACCTTGTAAAGACAGCCAGCCAACCCAAGGCCTTGGGAAAAAATAGAGTAAAAATGACATGCATAGGGAAAGGAGCTGCTCCTCAACCCAAACCCGATCTACTTGCACATAATAATGGAATGACAAAATTTCTTATTTCATAAACTCATTTATCTTCAGAAGCCAATATTATTTCTAAGACCTTAGAAAACTGTTGGACTTTGCCAGGAGTTTTGGCAAGATAAGCTTTCTTTCTTCCCTGATGTATTTAGCTTCAGCTTTTTACTCACCTTTCATAATTGCATTGTAACTTCCTAAGAAGTTTTGCTTAAAGTCTTTTTTTTTTAAGTTTCATGAAGATAATAAGCCATATTATTCAAGTTCAGCATTTGTGTAATGTTTTAACTCTAGACAATTTGTCCTCAAACTTGTAGGCACATCACCATGTTCAGATGAGTAAAATGCAGGTGCCTAGGTCTCTTCCTCAAGTACTATGATTCAGTGGGTTTTTGGGAAGTCTTAGAATATACATTCTAACAAGCTTGCCAAATGGCTGTGATGTAGGAGGTCCTGGTACCAAATTCTGAAAAAACATCATTGCTGACATGCAGAGGAATCCTCAGAGGCAGGACCCACATAAATAATGGCTTACAAGTAGCTTAAGAAAATAGTTTGTAAAATATACCCAAAATGTAGAAAATAGTTTAAAACCTAGACACAAAGGACTGTGATTTTACTGAGCTTCCAGATCAATAAGAACCTAGATTGTATTTTCAAGTGTTGAAATTTTGGAATTATGTTAATGGTCCCTAGATGACAGCACAAAATCTTACCAATTGAAACTTCTTTGGGAATCCATCATATATGCTCCCAAGGGATGCCTCATATGCCTGTGTGAGTCCTTGAGAATGGCATTGAGGGTCTGAGCAAGTTTGTAGCTCAACGGTACATTCTGGGATCTCAGAAAGTGTCTGTCTCTTCCTTACCCCTGCTATAGAATATATCTCCAGTGCTTTGTTCTGTAGTTGGTCTGAATATGCATTCATTAAAAATGTGTTGAATTCGACCAAATCTTCCTTTCCCTGTTCTCCTTCCTGTGGTCAGGTCATTAAGCAGTAAATTAATCAGAACAACCCAAATTCGTGAGGAGAAAACATAAATAAATTATTCAGATAACCTGAGAGAAGTGTGTGGGTTGCCTGCATTCTCAAAATTACTTCCCCAATCACCATTTTATTTAGCATGTGTTAGATAAGGCTTAATCTAACAAACTTTCAATAGCATTTTTATAAGAAACAATCCTGTCTTTGATTCTGAGTTCATGGAGACTATACAGTGGTAAGGTCATTCTCTTTGACAGTTCTAATGCAGGAAAATCTTTTATTGGTGTTAGACACATGTACTAATTGAACTATTTCTTCTGACCTTGATTACAAACCCCACGATGCCCCAAATAGATTTGCTTTTGAAACTACTTTGACAAGGTTTACAAATCAATTTCCCTCACAGAGATTGGTTGGGCTTTTGTGTGGAAAGAGGTTTTCTTTCTTTTCTTTTTTTCTTTTTTTTTTTTGCTCATTTTGTTCCTTCCTGGCATCAATCTGAACAGCATCCTGAGAACAATGCTGCACCTAATTTGCTTCTGCAAATGAGAGCAATTAAAATAACTCGACAAAAATGATGAAGGCTCTCGGATGATTTAAAGGCCAAGAATGAGGTACGATGACTGTTTATTCCTTTATCATCTGGCTTGCCAGCAGCCCAGGAGTTCAGGTGTTAAGTGCTTCCAGCCTAGTTTTGACTTGCATGGTCCAGCTCCTTACTGAGATGCACAGCTGTTGGTCTGAGCTTTAGTACTGAAGGAACATGGGCCAGGCACTGCCAGGTCATCTTTATCCAAAAATATATGCAGCCAAACTGCAGGGATCTGCTTCTGAACTGGTATTCCCAGTTTAGGAGTGTGTGTGTGTGTGTGTGTGTGTGTGTGTGTGTGTGTGTGTTCCCAACTGCCTCTTGGTACAGAGACAGCATGCGTACTAGAAAGAGCTACTTGAATAGATGGGACACATAGTTTGATATATCTGGATTCTAATCAAATATTGATCACTTATCTTTGGGTTCTTAGGGCTCTATTAACCTGTAACAACCTATTTCCTTAGATATGACACTGATCTTCATGAGCGTTTGACCTGTGCCATTCTCCTCTCTACCTCACCTTGTCCCACTCCGTGAGTTACTCTCCTTGCTGTGGCTTTAGTTTAGCACCTCCAATAAGTCAAGTTCTTTTCTACATCAAGACATTTGTCCATGTTATTCCTCTTACTTACAACCCGCCTCCCACCACCCCCACCTCACCTAACACCCCACCTAACTGAAGTCTCAGCTTAAATGCCACTTACCTACACAGGTCTTTTTTGACACCTCACCCAAGCCAAAATTAAGTTTACTCTCATTGCGTATTCATCAATAGGTTCCTTGTATTATATGGTGGTGGCACTCATTACAGTTTGTAAACAAATATACATATATAGTAGTCACCCACATTCTTTATCATATCTTCCTTTCTCCTTGTCTTCATTTTTTTCATGGTGCTTATTAATTTGTTACATTTTATATTGCAGTTAATTGTAGGTTACTCTTTACCAGAATATATGTTTTATGAATGTAGGGACCTTGACTGTTTTATTCACAACTGCATTTCCTGTGCTGGGTACAAAGGCCCTGGCATGAAGGCAGAGCTCAAAACACATGTGTAGGTTGGATGGATGATTGGGTTAATAGTGGGTAATTATCCACTTAGCAACGTAGTTCTGAAGATCAGAGATGATGCATAAAAATACCTAATGCAGTGAAATGCACTTGTAGCACTCAAATAAAAGGTGCTTATCATTACTGACATTAATAAAGAGGCATGTAACAAAGAAGACCGGAAGCATTTCTTCTAAACAACCGCATATTTCTGGAGTGTGAACACATCTAGTATAATATGCTATACCATCTACATGAATAGTTCAGCAAAATTTATGCCACAACCCTTCATCTGTGCCACCTCCCTCCTCAAGGTTCATACCTGCTCTAACACCTTGAACAAAGCAAAGTTTGTCAGGCAGCCATACCGTTTCATTCCCCTGGGGCTTTGGATTCCCCTGCCTGAAATAGCCCACATGAGGTAAGCTGAGGCAATATATAAAATGATTTTGGCCTTTATTTCACCCCACAATTAAGGACATACCAATTATATTAGGTTGGTGCAAAAGTAATTGTGGGGTGTGCCATTGCTTTCAATGGCAAAAACCACAATTACTTTTGCACTAAACTAATAGGAGAGTTTCAGAGCATCTCCACTTCTAGTCAAGGCCAACTGAAACACAGCCACATCAAACTCTTGATAAATTCTTGGCAGCTTTTACTGATAACAACACGTTACTTTTATCTTTTTCTCCTTAATTTTTAGAGCCATCCTCAATTAAGCTTGTGAAAAGTCTCTGTATTAAAGTGTTAGAATTGTCTACAATCTTTAATCTCTCTAAAATGCCAAATCATAACTTATTTTTTCTCTCTTTTTTAATGTTTCTAAATTGAAAATATATAGAAAGGATAAACCAGGGAAATATTGTGAAATACAGTGTACACAATGGGGGCTTTCATGTTTGAGCTGGGGTAAATAAGAGAAAAGTCATTAAATGGGACTTTAGTTTTGATAATGGAAATATTACTTTCTCCATTGGCCATATTTTTTCTTACTACATTAGCAGCACCTTGGCAACTAAGCATCACAAGATTTAAGATTTCTCTTGCAGAAGGAAACTGAGATCCAGAATAATTAAGTGGTTAGTTATCAAAAGCATTTCCATCCCTGGTTCCTACCAAGGGCTTCTCTTTAAATGAAATTTTTGGCCGGGCATGGTGGCTCACTCCTGTAATCCCAGCACTTTGGGATGCTGAGGCGGGTGGATCACCTGAGGTCAGGAGTTCAAGACCAGCCTGGCCAACAGGGTAAAACCCCATCTCTACTAAAATTACAAAAATTAGCTGGATGTGGTGGCAGGTGCCTGTAATCCCAGCTACTTGGGAGGCTGAGGCAGGAGAATCACTTGAACCCAGGAGGCAGAGGTTGCAGTGAGCTGAAATCGCGCCATTGCACTCCAGCCTGGAGGACAAGAGCAAGACTCCATCTAAAAAAAAAAAAAAAAGAAAAAAGAAAACAAAATTGTCTTCATGGTGCAGTTTTTAAGTGGTAGCTAGACACAATGCTAGTGGGATGTCATGCTGTGGCTTGCTGAAGCAGGATAGCAATTCAAATGCCCACAAGAATTAGGCTGGGGATGAGTCTGAGTGATGCTGACCATGTTAAGGTAAAGGTTCATTTTCCACTTAACTCTATTACAATAAAAAAAGAGAACGTCCATTCAATGACAAATAGCAATGGACAACTGACATCAAGACTCAGGGAAAATAGGGAGTGATAGAGACTCTGGCTAATTGGAACAGCAAGCCTAATCTGAAGCAGGCAACTATTAAGCTCCAGCCAATTGTCTCAAGAAGATGAGCCTTATGTTTTCAAATCTACATGTGCTTTGAAATCAGCCAGAAATCTAGATTTTTGCATGAGATTTCCCAATTTCAATTATTGCTTTCAATTAATTATGGTTAATTACAGTGTGCTTATTTGTAAATATCTTGAGTACTTTGAATGCTTCTGAGTCATGAAATCTTGCTCATTTTCTCTGTCATTTAGTATAATCAGATGTTGAGTCCAGAATTTCCAGCGTGCATGGTGGCAGTGAGTTCTTTTAGAAGAGGCTAACTGCACATCATGAGAGCCAAGTGAAGTGCATTGTTCACTTGAGTGAAGGCTGTGTGGATAGCTGCTCAGAAGTGATTCCAGCCTAACTTATTCCATGCACCCCTCAAACATCCTTTCCCACCCCCTTGGGATCTTGGACTTTTACTGAGATTCCCATCTCAGAAGGTGATGTCATTCCTGAAATGTGGTGCTCACCTGCTCCCAAACCATAACTTGGATGTGCATGTAGCCTCAACCCCCAATTCTTTAAGAATCTTCATCACTAGGGTTCTGGTGGTTATGCCAATGGGTCTGACTTTGCACTATTTCCATTCTTGGTCTTGCGCATTTTGTGGGCCCTATCAGTCCAGGAACACATATTTATTGGTTCCAGATAATATTCTTACATTCTTTGATAATTTTGTTTCTTCCTGATTTTTCTTCTCTTTCTAGGCCTCCTGTTAGTTGAACACTTCTTGGATGGATCCTCTCAATATTATATATTTTTTATTCCAAATTTTCATCTGTATGCCTATTTATTTTATTTTCTGAGAGATTTCACAATCTTTACCTTTACCCTTCCATTTTTTTTTTTTTTTTGAGACAGAGTCTCGCTTTGTTGCCCAGGGTGGAGTACAGTGGCGCAATCTCGGCTCACTACAACCTCTGCCTCCTGGGTTCAAGCAATTCTCCTGTCTCAGCCTCCCAAGCAGCTGGGACTACAGGTGCCGCCCACCATGCCCAGCTAATTTTTGTATTTTTCGTAGAGACGGGGTTTCACCATATCCGTCAGTCTGGTCTCGAACTCCTGACCTCAGGTGATTCACCCGCCTGGGCCTCCCGAAGTGCTGGGATTACAGGCGTGAGCCACCGCGCTGGGCCTAATTGTTTTTTTTTTAATTCTGATGATTATATTTTTAAAGAATTTCTTATTTTGTTGTTCCCTCTTAAAGACAGGATGATACTCTTTCATAAATCCAATACCATTTCTTCCCTCTAACATGCTAGTTATCTTTTAGGCTTCCCTACCACCCCGTTCTCATATTACCTTTCTGTCTTGTAAGTTCTCTTTTTTTTTTTTTTTTTTGAGACGAAGTCTCGCTCTGTCACCCAGGCTGGAGTGTAGTGGCGCTATCTCGGCTCACTGCAAGCTCTGCCTCCTGGGTTCACGCCTGTCTCCTGCCTCAGCCTCCCCAGTAGCTGGGACTACGGGCGCCTGCCATCACGCCTGGCTAATTTTTTGTATTTTTTTAGTAGAGACGGGTTTTCACCGTGTTAGCCAGGATGGTCTCGATCTCCTGACCTCGTGATCTGCCCACCTCGGCCTCCCAAAGTGCTGGGATTACAGGCTTGAGCCACTGCGCCCGGCCAGTTCTTTTTCTGTTTTATTGTCTGTTACTGTTTCCCAAATTGCAGGCTTCCTTTGAATGTCTAGCGGTGTTTTGTTGTCTGCCCATTTTCAGAGTGGGGCAGAAATCTGCATGAGAGTCCCATATATTCACGGGGAGCAGGGAGAGAGAACTCATTGAATGGTGGGCTTCTCTGTCGGATGATTAGGTAGGCAGGGGACTAGCTGCTTCATTAGGGGATCTTCCAAAGTCAGGGTCCCCACACAAGAGCTCCCAACCTTCTTGTCTTGGATGGTGGTGATGGGAGTGAGGGAGTGAATCTGACCCTCAGTGCTCTCAAAGCTGAACTACAAAGTGTGGCTGAGTGGTCGAGTGTGGTGGCTCATGCCTGTAATCCCATCACTTTGGGAGGCCAAGGCTGGCAGATCACCTAAAGTCAGGAGTTCAAGACCAGACTGGCCAACATGGCGAAACCCCATCTCTACTAAAAATATAAAAATTAACCATGCGCAGTGGTGGACGCCTGTAATCCTAGCTACTCAGGGTGCTGAGGCAGGAGAATTGCTTGAGCCCTGGAGGCAGAGGTTGCAGTGAGCCTACATCACGCCCCTGCACTCCAGCCTGGGTGACAGAGTGAGACTCCGTCTCAAAAAAGCAAACAAACAACAACAACAAATAAAATGTGGCTGAGTCTGTCATCATTCAATAGGTCTTTACTTAAACTGTTTGTGCTCAGTACTGTGCCTCTTCCTAGGTTTCCACGGAGCTTGCATGTCACAGTTTAGAACATGTCTGATTCAATTCCTCCACATCCAAACAGAAACAAAATAGAGGCTGCCCATTGAAATCTGAATGTCAGATGGCCAAAGAATATTTTTAGCATAAATATGTCCCATGCAATTATTTATAATATGAAATTCAAATTTAATTGAACCTCCTGTATTTTATCTGGATCCAGGGAATGAGGGGAAGAGAAGGGTAGTTAGCTGGCTGCATCGGTGCGGAAAGTGTCAGGGATCTGGAGGAGTCTGTGGTTCCTTCTACCAACTTTCAACCAATCCCTCGTTGGCCCAGCTTTTCACCCCAACCCTCATAGCACACGGTGCAGGCAAATCTTCTGCCCCTTCTGGAATTCTGCAAGGGAGCTTGGCTTCCTCTCATTGGCATGGCCCTCTGTGAACTTTCAGCATTCAGATTTCTCTGTGCTGTTATCATGTTTTATTTCATCTAAGATGCAATCGATTATAGAATACATTATTCATTATCTAATAAATAATTTAGAAGGAAAAATGCTGCCAATTACAACTGTAAGATACCACCAATTGTAAGAGCCATTCTGATTTCAGAAACATTAAAATGTTAAAAAGATGCATGTTTTAGAACTGATGAAATACGCCAATTCCTCCATTGTCTCCCACTCTTGCCAAAATAAATTAACATCCCTTATTTACTATTATCTCTTATTTCATCTTTGTTGCCCTTTCAGATTCTTCTCTTTTTCAGAAAGTCTATATTTTTTTCTCATTTTAGAGGAATCTCAGGGGATAGTAGAGTTTTATGCATGTGGTTATTCTTCTTTCTCTACTGTTTAATTGAATGGAAATTTTAGATCATTCTGTGGTTTGGTATAAGGAGGGATGAGCTCTGGTGACATGTTTCCTTCTATTCCTACCAGACATGTGGCAGCACTGTGGAGAGTACAGCATGCCAAGATTGCCCGCCCGGGCCTGCTCCAGCCTCAGTCAGCCACTGCCAAGACCCCGCCAGATAACACAGCTCTGGCCACAGCTGATACAGCCTAGAGAATAATTTACTCCCACCCCTCTGTGCTGAGTCGCTGTAACTATTTCAGGCAGAACAGAACCTATGAGGTGTGAGCAGATCATTTTAAAGGGCGGACGTCAGGTGATGAGCCCCCATGCCAAGCCACACAGCAGGGATGGCAGGGGCAATTTATCTTGCTCTATTCTTTATGTACGTCTCCCAAAATCTCAGCTTTTGGAGTTCTCTTTTTATCCTTGCAACTCATCTCTTCCATCCTGCTTGGGGTTTCTCTTATTTTTCTTTCCCTGAGTTGGACTTTTGTTTTCTCTCTTTCATTCATTCAACTATGTACCCTGGGACTGTTCTTGGCACTGGGAAGACAGCAGTGACCAAAACAGGCAACAATCACCACTCACAGGGAGCTTGTATTCAGGAGTGACAGGGAGACAGAGAATAAAAGGGTAAAGTATATGATATGTTAAAAGTGATCAGTGCTGTGGGAAAAAAGAGCCTTCAAGGAGAGTGGGCAGGTCAGGAGGCAGGGGATTCCTATTTTAAACAGGGTGGTCTGGGAAATTCTCATCAAGTGGAGACCTTTGAGGAAAGGCCTGAAGGAGTGAGGGGTGAGCCAGGTGATCGCCTGGGGAGTGAGGGGGCAGCATTCCAGGCAGAAGGAACAGCAAATACAACTGTCCTGGGGCAGGAACATGCAGGGAAAGTCAAGGAAGACCCTGGGCAGCATGGGTGGGTGGGGCAGGCAAAGGGCAGAGTGATAGGGAGGGGGTGAGGGTAGGGTGTCCAGATCAGGTAGGGCTGAGTCATTATTGTAATGTTTTCTAGGGTTTCTCCTTGAAGGGATGTGAGCAGCCCAGTGCTTCCACCTCTACAGCTCCCCCTCCTCCCAGATGAATGTGACCTAACCTGTATCTTCTCAGGACCCCATGCAGGCCACGTGCACTTTCTCTCACTTTCTAAAAATCCTCCTCATTTCTAAAGTTTCCTTTGAAAAACTGAGCCTGATGTCATCACTTCCCACACCTCAAGATCCTCCCTCTCAGGCCAAACCCAGTCCCTTCCTTGGGGAATGACTCCAATTTTGAAACCTAAATTTATGTCTCCGTGATCACCTCAAGGATTGAGAATCATAAAAACCTCGTACAGTGTTCTCACTGTTTAATTTTCAGCTCAGGGATTTAATCTGACAAATTACCTTTTATCTCATTTATGGCGACTAAGATTCACCAACTTTCCCTTGAACTAAAGGGTAAGGTAAAATACTACTCTGGGGGGGAATGAGGAGTTAAATTAGTTCCCGGGGTGCAATTATTAACAGCAAATATAATGTAATCATCTAGCAAGTGCCAAGTATAACCCCAGCACTTGGAGAAATTGATCAATAAATGTAGTGTATGTTATCTTCCAGCTTTGCTGGTGTAATTAAAAAAACATTTTAGGGTTCTCTAAGGTTGAAAGAGAGCTCAG
Organism: Homo sapiens; assembly: GCF_000001405.40. Lineage (NCBI taxonomy): Eukaryota > Metazoa > Chordata > Mammalia > Primates > Hominidae > Homo > Homo sapiens. Next base: position 8,000,415 of record NC_000003.12, on the reverse strand, counting down.
AGAATCTTCTCTTAATCATATTCAACAACTAGAATCATAAAACAAAGCACCCAGCTATCATGCCTTGTTAAGAAGCAGTGTCAAAGGGTCTCATTTAATCATTTAGTGCTATTAAGTAGAAATTAGGTTTCCATGGAGGCACTGGCTTTAGACTTGGCAGGATTCTGATCCTCATTTGCTCATCTTTTTCCTCTATAGAAAACAGAATGATAATCATCATACTCTTTTCTAGTTTCCAAAGCTGCACACCTGGGTGATGGCCTCTCAGGTCCAGGTGCTTCTGAGAGGGGATTTATTTTATCTGGCTGTGGAAACATGAGACAAAATGACATGAAACATGAGAAAATGAAATGAATCTCAGATTTATTATTGGCATGGGTTAGGGGTCTGAAATTAGGAGTCTGAAGCTCCAGGTCATTCTGTTGGTTCACCTTACAGCAGGATCAAATGAATCATGTAGCTGAATGCACTTGGAAGAAGCAGCAGCATCACTGACTGTTTTATATTTTTGACCCCCCTCCGCCCCGCTGCCCCGCAACACATAGACACATCCCCATTCTACTCTGAGTGGGAAAAGAATGGGTTTCTTTCCCCTTTGGTCGTTCTCTGCTATGAATCTTGTTTCCAAAGCCAGAGTTTATTGAAGCTGGAGGCAGAACAGACTCCCCTACACCTCTACCCTGGCATCCCAGATCTGAGCCTCAAGCTGTGCTCTCCTCTTAACTGCTATAACTTCCAGAGAATCCTGCTGCTGCTACAGAGAAGGTGATTGCGTTAATTGCCAGGGTTCACCTCAGCCTGCAGCACATGGGAATGCTGCCAAGTTAACAATGGACCACATGCGGCTGTGGCCAACCAAACCTTACTGGATGGTCTGCCTTTTCCTAGCCCTCCCCATGTCTTGGAATGCAAGCGTTTGCTCTTAGGCTCACATGGCCACTCAATTCAAACACTAATTGGATGACCCTGTGGAGATGTTTAGAAGAGAAAAGCAGGGAAGCTAGCTCAAGTTTGACCAGGAACACGTAAACCATTTAACGCTTCCCTTTGCAGTATTATATAAATTTTCATTTACTTGACAAATATTTAATAAGCACCTACTATGTGCCGTTAGTACAATGTGGCATTGTACTAGGTACTGAAGAAAAACATAAATATTTTAAAAATCTTCCTTGTCTGAGATAATTTGTAAAATTTATCTAATATATTTTATATCTAATATCTAATATCTAACATATTTCTAAAAATTCAATGGGCATTTTCAGAAGGAAGCTCTAAGTATGTCAAGTCCAGTTTATGTTGATATAGTTATAAAATATTGGGTCTAGAAGGAGATTCAGTCTCAGGATTCTTGTCCAACTTCTCATTCAACCCTTTTATATTACTTCAAGTGGTCAGTCTTTTTTTTTTTTTGTGCACACATCTATGAATAAGATGCTCCTGTAACAGCTGCTGCATTTTTAGAAATCTAGAATTTCTTGAAAGAATCTCTTTTGCTTGAGCTGAAACTAAGTCCTTCTTACAGCATTCGTTTCTCCTTTCTTGGCCAATATGGAACAATTTTGCTGTAGCTTATAATTTTATATAAGCTGCTTTTATATCTAAAGTCGGACTTTTCATCCATAGTGGTACTCTTAACACTAAGCACCTCTTCTCTCCTTGATTCCTTTAATTCCTGCTCCATCTTTCTAGTCACTTCCTGATGTCTGCTTTTATAGCCATATTCATACTGACTAGTAGGTAGGGAAAGGAAGCTAATGAAATTTAAATAAATCATCTGTCCTCCTTGAGGATTTTCACTATATTCTATTTATTTATACCATGCCAAATATCATCAGATCTGGACACCGTAAGGAAACTCAGAAATAATGTAGCCCAACACAGTAATTTTTCAGGAGGGAAACTGAGGCCCAGAGAGACAGTGTCTTGCCTGAGACCAGATAGATGACAAAGATGACAGTGGTAAACTGAGAACCAAACCCAGGTCCCCTGACTGCCAGCTAAGTGTTCTTTCCATGGTAACACATCATTGCTCCACCTGCCTCTTGGTACTAGGTGCTAGCCACGTACAGAGTTTCTGTCAACCTTAAATTTAGAAACTATGATTACATATAGGGTTTATTTGAGCAAAAAGCTGAGAATAGCCACTCAGGAAACACAGACTCCAAAGGAATAGAGTCAGTGCTCCAAAGCAGATAAGTTAAGGTTTCATTTATATAGGCAGAAGCAGAGTTTATAAGGGTTAAAACATTCTCCATGCAAGGTCAGTACATATATTATAGTGATTTAATTGGTTACAGCTTGCTGTAGCTTAAGGAAGATTGCTGTGACATTCTATAAGAGGGGGTTCATGATCTCCAGGGATCTTATCCTTGGCACTATTTGGTCTTTCCTAATTATTTACAAGAAAAAGCAAAAGTTGCAGCTAACTGCTATGTGACTCAGGCCACATAGCCACATTCCTCTCAGGGCTCACAATAGTTTAAAGTTCCAACACCTTCAGGTTTAAATTATTTAATTTTACATTCCCCTTATAAATTGGACCAAACAGTGTTCCTCACTAATGAGGGTTTATCTTTCTCTGAGAAGCACTTCATAAGGGATGCATTTGGAGCATCAAGGAGGAAGTTGACCCCTTAGATCAGCCCTACCAACCCCAGAGTTCTATAGACAGCAAGATGGCACAGCCAGGTCCCTCCTTCCTCTCTCACTGCCACGTACCAGAGGTTGGCAAACTTCAAAAACAGCCCATAGTCTGTTCTTATAAATAAAGTTTTATTGGAACACAGCCATGCCCATTCACTTACATATTATCTATGCCTGCTTTTTTTATTTGAAATAGATCAAGTAGTTTCCATGGAAACCATATATCCTTCAGAGCAGAACATTTTTACTATCTGGCTCTTTTTATAGAAATAGTTTACTGACCACTGCCATACAGAGGTATGAATTCTAAGAGTGATTCTGATAGCAATCCTCACATTTTTGTTAATATACCATGAGATCTCTTTACTTGATTCTATCAAGATGTTTCTGGGTAATGTTGATTTAATTGTGCACTTTAAATCAACACATGGTGTGAAAAGGTGCCAAAAGTCCAGTTTAGGTACAAAGAATATATATGCTGTGACATCATTTATGTACATTATAGAGAAGCAGTAATCAATACTGTATCTTATTTATAGATACATGTAAACTTAGAAAAAGTACAAAAATATGGACAATAATGATAATCACCAACTTTAGAGCTCTGGTACCTATACATGGGAGGGAGCAGGGCAAGAAAGAGTGGGAAGAAAGACATAGCTCCAATTTGTAACAAAAAATAAAAAAGAGTTTTGAAAAAAATACAATGGAATGCTAATATCGGCTATATTTGGCCTTTGCATACTTGGGAGTCTTGTGTCATTTTCTATATTTGTTGTATGTTTCATATATATTTATATATATATATTTATGCATATCACATATATTGAAACCCAAAGTGAAGACAGGCAGGTTTGAGTAAGTCATTTAGAGTCTCTGCATTTTAGAGAAAACCCTTAAGTAGGAGGATTTCCAAAGTCTTTGGCAAAGAGTTTTGTTCCTCTATGGAACACAGGGTAACAGGGGGAACAGGCATCACATTAATAGACAGCAAGATTCCATTAAGACATTCTGGCTGGGCGTGGTGGCTCACACCTGTAATCACAGTACTTTGGGAGGCCGAGGTGGGTGGATCATTTGAGGTCAGGAGGTCGAGACCAGATTGGACAACATGATGAAACCTTGCCTCTACTAAAAATGCAAACATTAGCCTGGCATGGTGGTGCATGCCTGTAGTCCCAGCTACTTGGGAGGCTGAGGCAGGAGAATCACTTGAACCCGGGAGGCAGAGGTTGCAGTGAGTCAAGATCGTGTCACTGCACTCCAGCCTGGGTGACAGAGCAAGACTCTGTCTCAAAAAAAAAAAAAAAAAAAAGCATTATGTTTGTTTTCTATACTTAATGCTCTGTATTCTAAATCCAGGCACACCTTGGAAATACTGCGAGTTTGGTTCCAACTAATGCAGTAAAGCAAATATTCAATACTTGCATGTGACACAATTTTTTTGGCTTCCTAGTAGATATAAAACTTATACTTACACTATACTGTGGTCTAATAAGTGAGCAATGGCATTATGTCTAAAATCCTTTAAAAAATACTTTATGGCATAAAATTAAAAAAATACTTTATGGCTAAAAAAAATGCTAATGATCACCTGAGTATTCAGTGAGTAATAATGATTTTGCTAGTGGAAGATCTTGCCTCGATGTTGATGGCTGCTGACTGATCAGGGCAGTGGTTGCTAAAAGGTGCGGTGACTGTGGCGCTTTCTTAAAATAAGACAATGAAGTCTGCCACATTGACTGACTCTTTCTTTCACAAAAGATTTCTCATGCAGTGCTATTTGATAACGTTTTACCCACAGTAGAACTACTTTCAAAACTGGAGTCAATGCTCGCAAAACCTGCCACTGCTTTATCAACTAGGTTTATGTACCATTCTAAATCCTTTGTTGTCATTTCAACAATGTTCATAGCATCTTCACGAGGAGTAAATTCTATCTCAAGAAACCACTTTCTTTGCTTATCCACAAGAAGCAACTTTTTATTCATTTGAGTTTAATCATGATATTGCAGCAATTCAGTCACATCTTCATGCTCCCTTTCTAATTCTAGTTCTGTCATTATTTGGAACACCTATCCCCTCCACTGAAGTCTTGAACTCCTCAAAGTCACCCATAAAAGTTGGAATCAACATATTTTAAACTCCTGTTTATGTGGATAGTTTGATCCCCTCCCGTGAATCATGAATGCTCTTAATGGCAACTACAATGTTGAATACATTCCAGGAGGTTTTCAATTTACTTTTTTCTGGATTTATCACAGGAATTACTATCTATGTAGCCTTATGAGATGTATTTCCTAGATAATAACTTCAGAGTCAAAATTACTCTTTGGTCCATGGGCTGCAAAATGGATCAAAGAGTAATTTTGTGTTAGCAGGCATAAAAACATTAATATCCTTGTACATCTCCATCTGAGTTCTTGGGTGACCAGATATATGGTCAATGAGCAGTACCATTTTGCAAGAAATCTCTTTTTCTGAGAAGTAAGTCTCAACAGTGGGTATAAAGTATTTAGCAAGCTATGTTGTAAACAGATGTGCTTTCATCCAGGTTTTGTTGTCCCATTTCTAGAGCACAGGCAGAGTAGATTTTGGATTCTTAGGGTGGTAAATGAATAATGACTTCAACTAAAAATAAGCAGCTGCATTAACCCCTAACACGAGAATCATCAAAGCCAGGTGTTGACTTTTCCTCTCTTGCTATGACAGTCCTAGATGGCATCTTCTAATATAAGGCTGTTTTATCTACACTGAAAATCTGTTATTTCAGGTAGCCACTTTCATCAATTATCTTCACTAGATCTTCTCTGAAAAACTTTCTATGGCTTCCAAGTTAGCACTTGCTGCTTCACCTTGCACTTTTATGTTGTGGAGACAGATTCTTTCCTTAAATCTTGTGAACCAACCTCTGCTAGCTTCCAACTTTTCTTCTACAGCTTCCTCACCTCTCTCAGCCTTCATAGAATTGAAATTGAAGAGAGTTAGGGCCTTGCTCTGGATGAGATTTTGGCTTAAGGGAATGTTGTGGCTGGTTTGATCTTCTATCCAGACCACTCAAACTTTCTCTGTATCAGCAATGTGTGCTTTGCTTTTTTATAATTTGTGTGCTCACTGGAGTAGCAGTTTTAATTTCCTAGAAGAACTTTTCCTTTTATTCACCATTTGGCTGTTTGGTGCAGAAGGTTTAACTTTATGCCTGCCTCAGCTTTTGACATGTCTTCCTTGATAAGTTTAATCATTTCTAGCTTTTGATTTAAAATGAGAGATTTGAGACTCTGCCTTTCACTTGAACACTTAGAAGCCATCATAGGGTTATTAACTGGCTTAATTTCACTATTGTTCATTGTGTCTCAGAGAATAGGGAAACCCAAGGAGATGGAGAGAGAAAGGAGAATGGATAGTTGTTGGCAGAGTCAGAACAGACATAATATTTATTGATTAAATTTGCCATCTTATATGGACATGGTTCATCGTTTCCAAAAACAATTATAACAGTAACATCAAAGAACACTGATCACAGATAACCATAATAGATATAATAATAAGAAAAAGGTTGAAATAATGTGACAATTACCAAAACGACAATTACACAGAGACATGAAGTAAGCACATGTTGTTTGAAAAATAGTGCCAATAGACTTGCTCAATACAAGGTTACCACAAACCTTCCATTTGTAAAAAGTGCAGTATCTGAGAAGATCAGTAAAGTGACATGCAATAAAATGAGGTATGCCTGTACACGCTCAATTACATACTCCTTTACATGATTCATTACAGCATTTGAAACTCCATTACTGTTTCTCAACCCAACTACAGGTATTACTGCAAACGGTTTTTGATCGTATCCTTTTGTCTCCTTCTATACACCTGTAAAGCAATGAACACATCTCTTCTGCACAGTAAGCTCATATTTTATGAATTATTCTAGGGCCTTCATTTTTCTTGGAGATAATTCTAATTAAGTCTGCCTCTTTCCATAAAATGATTCAATAGCATTTCATATAAATCAAAAACGAATATTTCTTCATAGTGCAGCACCAGGACACTTTTCTATCAGCCTTAAAAATTTTCAGGAATGAAAACCCCGAAGCACATTGCTTTCCGTCACCTAACCCCTGGCATTGCATTGGTTACATAGCTGGAGGCAGTCAAAGTTTAATGTACTTAATTACAATACACCTTTTTCTATATTGCAAGATTTCCTTGTTATAAAAAGATACTCAAAACTCATCTTAATCATTTTTCTATTTCCCAAGAGAGTTCAAAAAGTTTAATAGCTTCTAAGCAAGTGGATCTGAGAAAGGTTGTTTCGAAACAATTACACCAGTTCTTCTTCATTGTGATAGGTGTGACTTTTTTGGATCTAAATTGAGGTGGAAGTATGATTGAAGAGAAGTTAGAAAATTCACAGTTAAACCAAATAGAAAGGCCCAAAGCAATTCCCTGTTCTTTGTAAAATGAAGCTCCAAGGGTATTAATTTAAACAACAAAATATCTCCCCCAAATTAATTGAGAATAAGGCTGGATCTAGCCCAGGGGTTGTTGCCTAGCAACAAAGGTATGTGTTAGGAAAAGGATGGGGGTAGTTCAGACACTGGGTATCACTTCAGGCATTGAATTTCCTTGAAAGATGTGAAGAAAATTTTGTGCTCTTTTGAAATTGTCTATTTAAAGATGCCTATGATCCATACCACATGCTAGGATACTCTTCCTCTTTTTAAGTCAGATTCAACATTAAAATTCAGCTCAGTTGCCTCCTCTTCCATGAAGCTTTCCCTGGCTATCCCCAAGGACCCTCAGACTCCGAACCATGTCTGCTTCCTCTGTGCTCCCTTGCCCTCTGCATTTCACTACCTTTGCACTTCTTTAAATGTTTGGTAGAATTCAGCAGTGAAGCCATTGGGTCCCGGGCTTTTCTTTACTGAGAGACCTTTTTATTATGGCTTCAATCTCATTACCTGTTATTGGTCTGGTCAGGTTTTAGATTTATTCATAGCTCAACCTTGGTAGGCTGTATGTGTCTAGGAATTTGTCCACTTCTTGTTGGCACTTATCATGGTGTCCATCACTTATCATGAAATCATTAGCTTGTTCATCTCTCTGTTAATGTGCCCAACCAGATTATAGTTAGGGACTGTCCTTTGCTTTTGTTTGTATCTCACATGCATAATATCATGCTTTGTACTCTGTAGATGCCCTGACATTGTTTGTTGAGTGGATGGGTGGATGGATGATGAAGAAGTAAATGAACTAATGAATGAATTAGAAAATCAATCAGGCTTCAATAAGAATATGATCTATAATCATGGCTGTATTGAGGACTCTAATATGTGTAAATGTAATGGAATAACTCCAATACGTACCGCTGTGAGGGATTTTATGATAAGCCTGTCTCAAGTCATGTTCGGAAAAGTTTATTTGAATTAAGTTGCCTTTTCCCTATTTTCTGTTCTCTGCCCTACAGGCTGCCTGAGCAATTGTGTCTGGTTCGTGAAGTGACTTCCCATTTTCATCCAATTGGCCCTGATCTCACATCCCAAGGTAGGCATGCCTGCCTGCTTCTCCCTGCTTATTGGGCTTTGCCTGTGGCTTATTGCTCTGTTTATTATAACTCAACTGCTGCCTCTCCCCTTTCATTTTGATATGAACTATTCTTCATCTCAGGTTGGCACAAGGAAGTTTTCTTGCTGGTACTCTTGGATCCCTGTAGCTGTTAACATCTTTATTTATGACTGTAATAACCTTAGAACTCCCCTGCATAATCCTCAAAAAGGACATTATACATGGGGCTGTTTTCTAAGGTAGAGAGCTGTAAAGGGAGCTGATTTCTCATATCCAAGTCTTCATAGCCAAGATTTCTAAGGCATTTTGCCTTAATAAGGGTTCTGGCAGGAAGCAGATGACACACAAGCTGTGTAGTTTCAAGAGCACTTTAGAAAGAGATCCTTTACCATGTTATGGTCAGAATATGGGAACCCCAAAAGAGTTTGGGTACTACCTTGGGGCTAGAAATAGGCTGGGTCTGAATGGGGAAGGAAAAGGAATAGTTACTAAAACCTAAAGAAAAATAAATGGAGAGAAAGAATGAGAGCTGTGAAGAGGGATGCCAGGGTGGAAGAAGCATGTGCTTTGTTAAAACCTGTGGAGACTCTAGGGAATGCATGGCCTAAACATGCTTTCCTCCACCCCTCTGGTCTCCTGCTAATGTGCTCCAATGGCCAACCCCACTGGAAGTGGCCCCACTGGCCAGCCTCTTGGGGAACTGAGAAGGGTGAAAAGCAGTGGAAATAGGATCTGGAAGGGGAAGTGGAAGATACACTGTACAGCCCCCAGAATAAATGCAAAGATAATGGTGCCTGTGCATGGGAGGCATGCCTCCAATGACTTCACTCCAAAATAATTTTGGGGAAAGTATGTTGATATTTCCTTATGCATTTTTAATTGCTTCTGAAAATTTTTTGTTATCTTGTTCCTAACTGGCATTTGATCTTTACTAATTTGCCCTCTTAAAGACTATAACCCTCTACAAAAACAAATAAACACAAACACCCTTTAGCTTGCTGTTACCTCAAGGATAATGTATGACTTGAGTGTGTTGTTGAGCTTTCTGCCTTAGCTAGTTTGCCATCAAATCAAGGTTCTCTATCAGTACAGCTAAGAAATTTAAAACCAGAATAAGCAAAAAACTTTAAGGCTCTAGAGATTTACTTCATAACTTGCTTTAATTAAAGTCAATTCCTATATTAAAAAGAGAGGTATTTCTGATTTAATATTTTTCCCTTAAGGAGGGCATCTATAACTTTTTTTTGTAATTGAAAGTATTAGATGGGTTTCAAATCATTTGCTGTATCATTATTTCTTTGAAATCATTCTTTCCTGTGCATACCTAGTTTAGAATCTCTCTGTATGTGAGCCTGATGATTTGTAAAAGAAATTAATGATCATGAGGTTACTTTGAAATTCAAGGAGGTAAATTGATGTAAAGGAGTTAGAGTGCTGCCTCGGATGGAGCAAGTACTCAATATGTAGTCCCCGTTGTTTGTGGACCTTCTTGTATCATGTTCTTTTAAGAACATGGAGATCAGTAGACTATTCTTATAGCAGTATTCAAAAAGATTAGACCAACTAGTAGGATGATTTCTTAGGGGACAGATATGAGGTTTTACTCCAGAAGCTTCAGTCTTTGGGAGTCTTTCCCTTGGGAGCTAAATGATGGATATTTGGAATACTACAAAGCAGAATAACAAATATTTGCTTTTCCTTTCTTTTTTTGTGATTGTCCTGAGCCAGAAGAAGTAACAAATTATATGGTCATTTTGGCATTCTCTGGCTATTATTTTGTGTATCTTGCCTGATTCAGTTATGCCTTATAAATTTTAAAATGTGATTGAAGTCTCCATACTGTCATATTCCTCAGTCCAAGAAACATAAACATGAAAAATCTAGTGGAAGCCTATATTAGCTAGGATTCAGTTCAGCCATATATATTTTTTAAAAACATCAAATAGCAATGGGTTAAATAAGACAAAAAATTGTATTTTCTCTCATATACAAGATGTCTAGTTGTGGGCATTCTAGGGATGGTATGGTAGCACCACAATTATCAAGGACCCAGGAGTATTCTCTGTTTCTGCTCCTCTACCCTTAGTATGACCCTCATCCTAGAGGTCACCTTATGGTCATGAGATGCCTATTGTAGCTTCAGCCATCATGTTCAATTGAAAGGAGTAAGGGGCAAACAGTGTGGTTTCACACTGAGTGAGCCCCCTTTAAAGTGCTTTTTAAGAAGCCCCACACTTCTGCAACTTTTGCCTACTATCCCCAGGGAAGACAGGAAATATAGGTTTTATCTAGAGTTTGTCAAAAAGCCATTCACAATGTGGAGGTATATCCACACCACTCCGTAAGCTGACCATAGTTGTGGGCAAACTGCACCACGTGAGCTAAGAAATCAGAACAATCTGTGTTTGAATCCTGGTTCCCTCTGACCTTTACTATCTGGATGTCCTTGAGCAAGTCAGGTTAACTTCTCTGAGGCTTAATTTTATCAGGTCAAATGAAGATAGTAAGAGAGCCTACTTAGGGCAGTGGTAAGGACTGAAAGAGCATATATATACAAGTTGTAACCTGATTAATAATTTTCAAAATGTGTACTTGTAATTTTATTTCTTTTAATTATGGTCAAACATTGTGCCAGCCTCAACAAATGATATTTGAAAGCTGGCAACACAGCAAGCTTTCAAAGTATCTACAATTAATAAATCAGAAACTTGGAGAGGCTAAGTAACTTGACTAAGCTTATGCAGAACTGAAATACACTCCCCTCCCTCAATAAACAACAAAAAGAAAGCCCAGGCCTTTCTGACTTGAACAACTGCCCTTTTTCTTTCCAAAGTACACTGTCTCTTTCAAACTCAGGTTTCAATTGGCTACATAATATATACAGGTTTATGTAATAACAAACTTGGTTCTAATCGCATTTTACTTCACTGGTTGAATTCACTCAGCAACTATGGAGAACTTCCAGAGATGGGGAATTAGGGCTTCAAGCCAAGACTTTGGGCTGGCTATGTCCTGGAAAAAGAAGCAGACCCTGCTATAGCAAAAAAAAAAAAAAGTTTTTCTGCTCAAGGCACAAAGCCTCTTTGGGTCCTGATAATATACATACCCTTTGACTTAACTAACCTGGTTGGGTGGCCAAATCATATTATTTTCTGTATTCTGATGTCAATTCAATTTGAAAAATGTAAATGAGGCTTGCTTATCAAAACAAGTTTAGGAAAAAAATCGAAAATAAATAAATGGGGAATCTGCTGTGCTAGTCATAAATAGAGCCAGACTAATATTTTGCATTTTTTAAGGAAATATTCAGTGCCTATAAGAGTTGCATAGATGGTAAAGGGTGCCATGATAGAAAAGTCTGGGATTCTGTTAGTGCAATAAAAGGTATGACAAAATTGACAAGTGGGAGTTGAGTAAGAAAAGCAATTTCTAAGCTAAGACCTGAAGAATAAATATGAATTTATCAAAGGAATAGCGGGTGGAAGAATATTCCTAGCAGAAGGGTTAGTGTATGTCTCTGACTCTTGAGTTTTGACTTCTGGACACTTATTCCCCTATTCTTCTTACCCTTACTTCTGACTTTTGCCTTGAGTCTGCACAGGCGGGCTTTTAGCCTTCTGGTAGCCCACCATCAAGCACTGAGGCCACCACCTTAAACGACTTTCCACTGGAATTATGTTCATTGGAAGCCGCTGTTAACAAACCATTCTACAGGACTGTCCTAAAACAGAAATGGCAGCTAGGCTTCATTTCCTGTGCCAATGTTAATAGCTTCTTTGTGGCAGCCTGGACAAATCAAAAGGATACTGAGGACCAATAGAAAGTGCCTCACAATTAATTAGTGAGGTTTCCCTAGTTTAGCAACAGAGAGTTCTGACACACAGGTACTGGCATTCTTGGGTCCAACGCTCTCTTCCCCCCTTTCTATTATGCTTGAATGAAATTAGGAAAAATGTCAAAGAAGAGGCCGGGTGCAGGCCAGAAAGCACTGATGCTAATAATACCTGGCATCTCTTGCCTGTACATATCCAACTTCCGCATTACAAATTTGGCTCCTGCTAATAAAAAGTTGTCTGTAAGTTCCCTGGGCCATCTCAATGGTCACTGCATTTACAAGCACTTTCAGACACCCAGCTGCTGCTCCTAATATGCTTTCTGACAATAAAACACCTGCCTCTTATGGGAATGGCTGGGGGAAGTTGAGAATACTGTCAGTAGTCACAGCCTTGAGGTTGCTATGAACCTGAATAGACTGGATGCTATGATGCCTTCCCCGTAAACACTGCCTGCTAACCCACTGAGTAACAAGCTGAAACCAACCCAATAGTCTCATAGACAGTTGTTTTTGGATAAACATAGAAATTGACTCTTCTGGTCTTAAAACTTGAAATTTCATTTGTTTTATTTGAGTTCCTTCCTCAGGAAATGACTTTCAGGCCTCTTAAAAAAGGTATCAAAGAACTGAAACTCACCAGATCACCACATCTAGACAATGAGATGTGGGACCACTCATTCATCATGATTGCTTCCTTGCCCCATCCCTGGTTCCTGTTTTCTTACACATTGTTACATTTCTTCCCTACTATATAAACCCCTAGTTTTAGTCAATCAGGGAGACAGGTTTGAGACTGAGCTCCTATCTACCCAATTGCAGAGCACGATTAAAGCCTTCTTCCTTGGCAGGACACGTCGTCTCAGTCATTGGCTTTCTGTGCAGCAAACAGCAGGACCTAGACTGAACCCCTGGTGTTTTGGTTACAAAGCTACAGACAACAGTCTCCTGTTGTAGAAAAAAATGTATTCAAAATATTTCTCTGCTTAAAAATTTTTACTGTTGCCTGCTCACTGACCATTCTAGGCCCTCCATCTTGGACTCTCCATTCCAGCAGTAAAATCAACTGAAATGTGCTTTCTCCCTCATTATTTGACTGTCTTTACCTTTCTCCATGAGTCCTCTTTACCTAGAGCCTTTTAAACTCCCTTTGTCCATTTAGTAATTCCTGTGCAGACTCCAGACCTAGCTTGAGCATGCTCATCTCTGCAACCTTTGTCTGCCCATCCCATGCTTTTTATAGATTTATAATGTACTTCTATTATTGCACACTTTGCTATATTTGTTGTCAATAAATCATATGCCCTAGAAGACAGTGAGTTTTTTGAGAGTTTAGAATTTTCTTCTACAGTATATGATTTATTTGACCACTTTCATCTTTTAACAGGCATTTAAGCCAGGTCTTTATCATCTCAGACATTGAATTTAACTGAATAATTGAGAAGAAGAAACACTATATATTCTGTTTTTGTACACTTTTGACTGGGCCCTGTGCATGTCTGTGGGAGTGAGGAGATTTTGGGTTAATCAAAGATAGAGATGCCTATTTCATATGTTTATCATTGAATTTTCTTATTTCGTAGATTATAGTCAAGTAAAGAAAGACCAGGATTAAAAAGTAAACATTTTGAATTACCTCCCTGTGATTTGGAGGAACATGAAGACACTTATTTTTCCTTTGAATTTTTACCAAAGAGTTTTCATTTTTATTTATCACAACAGGGTTCCAGACAACATCATGCATACTCATGTTAATTGAATTATTCTGATTGCTCATGAGTTAATATTGTCTTATTTCATCTTTCCAGCTCATTAACTAATAACCAAAGTCTAAGTAATTAAGGTATTTAGAAAATGTCATTAAGTGCCATTGAATTTTCTCATCCCAAGTTTCTTGAACAGTTGGGAAGAAAACACTTAACCCTGGACTTTTGTTACCTTCCTGTCCCCCTGGATTTTTCCCAATGCACTGGGCTAGTTTTCTACACTGTGGACTCTTGAGGCTGTTTCTCCTGTTAGCTATTGTGCTGTTTGGAAACGTGTTGTCAGAGTCAAAAGAGAGAAAGGAGGAAGATCGTGGGATCTCACTTGTCTAAACATGTGTATTTGTTTGCTTGTCTTATCAACATTTGATAAAGACAAATATAAGTATATCCCAAGTGCCCCAGACCCCATCAGCCTCTGCTGGAGAATAAGGTTAAAATCTATTTTTTTAAGTATCAAAATTAAGACACGAGTCCCCAACACATTTGGCTGCAAAGAACCCTGTCTTGAGATTTTATTCCTTAGGTCTCTCTGGTCATCCCCAGCGAATGCTTACATATCCTACAAATTCATCCCACTGGTTTTCCTGCCCACTGTCAGGCTATGGATCCCTGTCTCTTCTGCTATTGGTTGCATCATACCATCTCTCTGGCCACTCAGGCTATGGAGGCTCCTTGTGTAACGATACCTGGGCTTGGCTCTGGGCACAGCCTCTTGTCTTTAGTTGACTGTACACACAGCTAGTAGAGGGCAAAGAAAGCTCTGAAATTTTGAAAGACAACTTCAGCACAGAAATAGGAAAGGGATACCAGATGCAGCAGATCTCAGGGTCCATAGGCCAAACCCTCCAAAGGCAGAGCTGAGTTGGTGCCATAGGGAAGTATGTCCAGCGAAGCCAAAACTATTTACCATCTAGCCCTTTACAGAAAAAGTGTGCATATTATTGCCCTATCTGGTTCCAGGCCTGGGCAAATGTCCTGATTCTTGGATTTGCTAAGTGGACTCACTGCATTCTTCAATATACAGTATTTTATGTATATTTGTCCATTTTCACACTCTTATAAAGATACTACCCAAGACTGGGTAATTTATAAAGAAAAGAGGTTTAATTAACTCACAGTTCCTCAAGGCTATGGAGGCCCCAGGAAACTTACAATTATGGCAGAAGGCAAAGGAGAAGCAAGCACCTTCTTCACAAGGCAGCAAGGAGAGAGAGAGAGAGAGTGCAAAGCAGGAAGTGCCACTTTTAAACCATCAGATTTCATGAGAACACACTCATTATCATGAGAACAGCATGGGGGAAACTGCCGCCATGATCCAATCACCTCCCACCAGGTCCCTTCATCAACACGTGCAGATTACAGTTGCAGATGAGATTTGGGTAGGGATACAGAGCCAAACCCCATCATCATGTTCTAGTCAGAACTCTCTCAGTAACATAATTGAAATCCAAATCAAACAATCTAGAGTGAAATAGTAGAATTTCAGCTAGTAATTGGAAGGTTAAAGGCTAACTAGCATTATGCACAGATGGATCTCAGGAGGCAAGTTATGTCATCAAAACTAATTTTTCCACCTTCATCTCTCAACCTTGCTTTTGTCTCAGACACTCAGGAGTCTCAAGCTTAGTAGGTGCCCAGCTATCCCAACTGAGTGGAATAAGTCCAGCCAAAGTCCCAGCATTGAGTGTAAAGGGACCATTATGTATTGTTTCACATTCTCGAATATTCTGGCCAGGAGGTGAAATTTGATAACTGGCTTGACCCAGATAAGGAGTGCTTTCCTGTGGCTGGAACTGAAGTGAGCCCAACCAAAATTATATGAGATGATTATGAGGGGTAGAGCTAGTTTCCCAGGATTAATTTGTTTCCCTCCAGATTAAGGGTGAATAAATGTTAGTTGGTAGTTAAGATGTATCCACTACCCTAGCCAGTGGGTTCTATATGATGGCAGAGAATTAAGAGAGGGAGATAATCCATTGGCCTGGTCCTTCCAGATTTCTGCCTGGTAGTTTCTGTTCTGATCCAATGACTGGCCCAGTGAGGAAGGAACATTTGGTGGCTTCTGAGTGCCTACATAGTCTCTCAATTCTGAATCCTTGTACAGACATTTCAAGCTCAGAGCACTGTGCAATGTGAGCTCGCCCCAAGAGTTTCTTCAATAAAACTGTACCAATATCTATGCTATAATTTCTAATTTTCTAATAATAATGCCTTATAGCAATAGATCATACCATGACTAATACCTAGCAAGGAGATATGGTTGGCACTATCCACTCTCTCTCTTCTGCCAAACAAACCAACCCCAGGTTATTAATGTAATAGCTTTGGTTGAGAAAATGTAATTATTTATCATGGATAGACAAATACGCTCATTTTAAAAGTTTATCTTCTTTTTCGTCATTAAGTCATTTAGTTAATGCTTTCATTCATAAATACTTTCAGTGGAAACAAAGCCACAATTTCCTGTCCCCTTGCTCTTTATTCACTTGAAATGATGATGTCCCAGGATACTGCAGCCCTTCCAATTCACAAATTGATCTACTCAGAAGTAAACCTGAGCTACCTCATCTCTCTCCACCTACTCCAGCATCTTTTTCACCGGACAGCCAGGGTGTAGGGACTTTCCAGAGCTCTTCATGATTCTGGAAACCATTGATTCAGACAGTTTTCCTGCTTGACACTTCTGAATCCTTCTCAGCCCCACCCTAATCACAGAGGTAGCTGCCACCTTCATTTTTTTTTTTTTTTTGGAGACGGAGTCTTCCTCTGTCGCCCAGGCTGGAGTACAGTAGTGTGATCTCGACTCACTGCAACCTCCACCTCCCGGGTTCAAGCAATTCTCCTGCCTCAGCCTCCCGAGTAGCTAGGACTACAGGCACACACCGCCATGCCCAGCTAATTTTTTGTTTTAGTAGAGATGAGGTTTCACCGTGTTGCCCAGGCTGGTCTCGAACTCCTGAGCTCAGGCAATCCACCTGCCTCGGCCTCCCAAAGTGCTAGGATTACAGGAGTGAGCCACCACGCCCAGCCTCTCTCTGTTTTCATTGTACTATTGGTATGACTTTCCAGGCTGTTTGGCAATAGCTGATTTATTCCTCTGCCTCTTTTGCTGAATCGTGCTTCCTGGAGGCAAGGACTCTGTCTATTCCTCATTGTCTCTTCAGCACTTTGTAGAGTGCCTGGAACAAGATAGATATTTTATAAATCTTAGCTAAATGAGATGCTCTCAAACCATCCTCTCAAATATGCTATTATCCAGGCATTATTATAACCATTTCCCTCTTACCAATGTGGAAATTAAGGCTCACAGATATTAAGTGCTACATTCAGAGTCTGACTTGAACCCAGAGCTTCTGAACTCAAGGCCATTTTTCTTTTCAGAACATCTGGCTGTCTCCTTCATGGAAAAGACTGATAAAATTTATAAAATTTTGTTAGGCTGAATTATATGAAATGGGAGGTTAAAAATGTTCAAAAATGGGTAAGTGCATATGCTTCATTGTGGCCTTTATACAGGATGCGACTTTTTATTAAAAAAGACTTACACCCCATACTTAAAAAAATGGACTGAAAGTCTCAATGGACTTAGTTGGTCAGAACAAATGTACCTGGAAGTCTGGTGAGCAGAAACTCAGACCCATGAACCCTTGCAGTACAGCACAGACTTTAATGAAGTGCTTCATAGGATGAGTTTAGTTTAATGGCTGTGTATGGATATTAACACTCTGGATTGAGGCTTTTTTTCTATCAACTCATGGAATCATGAGTTGGAAGTCAACTCCATCAACCCATGGAGTCATGGAAGCCTGAAGTCTCCAACTTCTCGTGGAGTCAGGTCATGGAATGAATAGTTGAAAGTCCTGAATTTAGGTTCCAGAGAAGTCACCACCTTACTGTGTGAACTCCTGAAAGCCTGTCATCTCTGTGAACTTCGCTTTCTTTATCTGCAAAATGGGAGAACACTTCCTGTTTAACCAGATTACTCTGAGGTTTAAGAAAAGACATTATCCATTAAAGCCCTCACAAAATAAAAAGTAGTATACAGTCATATGATGATTTCGTAGTGGCTTTGCCCTACCTAGAAGAAAAAGAGCCAGCAGGCTCAATAAACAGAGTATTAAAATATAAATCCTTGAATGAACAACCTAGATGTCCTTAATGATAATACATGAGCATCCTCTTTTTAATATAAGGCCCCCTCTGGCATGAATAGATTGCTACAGCCACTTCATTTTCCATCTTTCCAGCAGATTAACTGCTTGTCTGAACTCCTGAAATAGGAATGATGAGCCTCTGAGGAGATGAAGGGACTTCCTGATTAACTCATCTGTTTCATCTCTCATAATGAGAAGTTACCCCTGTGCCCAGAGAGCTGTGCTTCTCTGAAGGGCTGCATTTTATACAGTGGCAGGCAGGCAATGAGGTTTACAATTGAGGAATTTATTACCTAGGGGCTGGGGAAAGAAATGACAGTGGGAGTTAAAACATTTTATTTAAAAAAACTGCACACATTCATGATGCTATCTCCATTCTTGTATATTTTGGGCACTCCTCAAGATACTTGAGAGTATGTCTCAGAATCTACAAAGAATTTAATTTAAATAAATTTACAAGATAGAAAACAATCAACCCCGTTAAAAATTGGGCAAAGACATGAACAGACACTTCTCGAAAGAAGACATTTATGTGGCCCACAAGCATATGAAAAAAAGTTCAACATCACTGATCATTAGAGAAATGCAAATCAAAACCACAATGAGATACCATCTCATGCCAGTTAAAATGGTGATTATTAAAAAGTCAAGAAACAACAGATGCTGTTGAGGCTGTGGAGAAATAGGAACACTTTTACACTGTTATTGGGAATGTAAATTAGTTCAACCATTGTGGATGACCGTGTGGCGATTCCTCAAAGACGTAGAACCAGAAATACCATTTGACCCAGCAATCCCATTACTGGGTATATACCCAGAGGAATATAAATCATTCTATTATAAAGATATATACATGCATATGTTCACTGAAGCACTATTCACAATAGCAAAGACATGGAATCAACCCAAATGCCCATCAACGATAGACTGGATAAAGAAAATGTGGTGCATATATACCATGGGATACTATTCAGCCATAAAAAGGAATGAGATCATGTCTTTTGCGGGGACATGGATAGAGCTGGAAGCCATTATCCTCAGCAAACTAACACAGGAAAAGAAAAGCGAACATCATGTGTTCTCACTTATAGGTGGCAGCTGAACAGTGAGAACACATGGACACAGGGTGAGAAACAACACACACCAGCGTCTGTCAGGGGGCGGGAGAGGGAGAGCATCAGGATAAATAACTAATGCATGTGAGGCTTAATACCTAGGTTATGGGTTGATAGGTGCAGCAAACAATCCTGGCACATGATTACCTACATAAGAAACCTGCACGTCTTGCACAAGTATCTCAGAACTTAAAATAAATAAAATAATAAAATCAAATAACTTCCAAGTTAGGCACAGTAAGAGATTAACAACAATAACTAATAATAAAATACAGCAATTATAACAACCTATTGTAATAAAAGTTATGTAAATGTGGTATTCCCCTTCTCTTTCTCTCTCAAAGTATCTTATTATAGAGTAATCATCTAGTTTCCAACCACGGTTGACTGTGGGTTACTGACACTGTAGAAAGCCCAACTCTCAGAAAGATAAGCTTTGATTGAGAGGGGACTGCTGTAGTTATTCCCTTCCCCAGGTATTGACTGAGGGTTCTTTGTTGAAAATGCTCAACTTTGTCGTACTTTGTTGAGTTAGTAAGTGTCATGAGTGGAGAAAATTAAGTGAAACTATGAAAATCTAAAGTAATATAACATTTTAAAAGGGCATGCTGTCACCTTTGATTTAAAAGAAAAATTCTGGAAGATATAAGTGGGGGCAAGAAGAGGAGGTATGACCAAGACAGTGAAATGAACCCGTTTTTTTAGGAAAAGACCAAAACAACAACAACAACAACCAAAAAAAAAAAAAAAAAAAAAAAAGAGAGAGACAAAATAAGATGCAGCAAGTTGTTTAAGTCATAAACCCAGAGTCACTTTTGACTCAGTTTTCTTTTTTCCCATGGTCACATTCAATTCATTAGCACATTCTCTTAATTCCAACTCCAAAATATATGCTCAACTCCTTCACTTCTCCAAGTATTTAATGCCACTGCTATCAAAGGCAGTATCATCTCTCTCCTGAGCCACATCTTGCCTCCTAACAGATCCTTCACCTTCTGCTCTTGCCAATCTACTTTCCACAGATTCTGAATCATCTTAAAACATAATTAAAATCAGTCACTCCCTTACTCACAACTCTCCAATGCTGTGCTTTGCATTTAGAATAAAATCCATACTTCCTAATGATGGCCTGTGAGGCATGGCCTATAGTGGACATTAGTCACTCAATCTCATCTTTCACTGTCTCACCTCTTCCCTTGCACAATCTGCTCCAACATTTTCTTTAACTGTTTTTTTTTTTTGTTTGTTTGTTTGTTTTGAGACAGAGTTTCACTCTCATTGCCCAGGCTGCAGTGCGATGGTGTGATTCTAGCTCACTGCAACCTCTGCTTCCCAGATTGAAGCTATTCTCCAGACTCAGCCTCCCAAGTAGCTGGGATTACAGGTGTGTGCCACCATGCCTGGCTAATTTTTATATTTTTGGTAGAAACAGGGTTTTCACCATGTTGGCCAGGCTGGTCTAGAAATCCTGACCTCAGGTGATCCGCCCACCTTGGCCTCCCAAAGTGCTGGGATTACAGGCCTGAGCCACCGCACCCAGCCTTCTTCAACTTTTTAAAAATTTCCTCAAGCATCTCAGCCTCTTTCTTGTCTCCAGACATTTGCCCACGCTATTAACTCTGCCTGGGATGTTTTTGTTAACACTCTTACATGGTCAGCAACTCCTTTTGCTCTTATAGGCAATTCTATCAAAAGCAGGTTCCCCAAATGCATCCAGTACTCCATCTTGACTCCTTGCTTTATGCACAGTATTTATCAAAATTTGAAATTATTGATATTTTGTTTCCTTCACTACATTGTAAACTCCTCGTAGACTGGGATCTCATATGTCTTATTCACTATTTTTTTTTGTTCCCCTGCCTCTGCAACAGTAATGAGCATATAGAAATTGCACAATAAATGTTCATTTAATTAATGAATTGAAACATCTATTCTGCCACATGATTCTTTAGACAGATAGATTGATTTTTAGAAACTTTCACTTTGTGTTGTGTAATATAATTATGCCATAATTAATCTTCAAGAAATTTTTGTAAAAACTTATTGGTTTTAAATGAGATGGGATATAAATATAGGCAGTGGTATGATAGAACCATCTCATAGTCACTTGCAGAAGCAGATTATAAGTATCTTGTTCTAATTCTGAAACCGCATATTTATATTTTGAGATCTGTAATGGTGGGAATATTTACACCATGGAATTGTCAAAGGTAAAAAACAGACATTCCACCCCCGACCTCCCCTGGACACTGTTCGCCAACCCCCTAGCCCAGACAGCGAGTTGTTAAACATTTCCCAACATGTCATTGACAAATAAGTTTCTTAGTTTGTGATTTTCAGAAAGAGTCCCTTACGTGAGATTTCATGAGAAAGTTATTTACTAGAAAGTAATCCAGGGGTGAGGGGCCAATAGAGAAAGTGAGGAAGTGGGATCAGTAAGGAAAGATCAAGCAGGAGTGCGGTATTGATATGGGAGTGGGGCAGGGAAGCGATGGGTAGAGAAGGGTGAGGTCCTTGGCAAGGGCTCCACCCTCAAGCCTGAAGACCCGCAGCCCTAAGTGAGGACAGGCATATCTGTTTAGGCACCCAAAAAGTTGCTTTTGGCCTGCCACAACCCTCATCCTGTGCCCATAAAAACCCGAGACCTTAGCGGGCACAGACACAAGCGGCTGGACATAGAGAGGAGCAGAGGAACAGAGTGACAGACAGTGTTGGGGCGGCACCACAGAGAAGGAGGGAAGAAGAAGGACACCTGGGCACCAAGGGGAATTCAGTCGGGTCAGAGAAGAGTCTGGCTACTGGGCGGCCCAACTCCAAGGGAAGACCACCTTCCCACTCCGTCCCCCGCTTCTGGCTCCCTGTCCATCTTGCTGAGAGCCATCTTCACCACTCAATAAAACCTTATATTCATCCTTCCAGCCCACGTGTAATTTGGTTCTTCCAGTACACTGGGCAAGAACTGAGGCTGTCACACTGGCTCCCTGTCCTTGTGATAAGACAGAGGGTCTATTGAGCTGATTAACGCAAGCCATCTGCAGACAGCTTAGCTGAAAGAGCGCACTGTGACACACACCCACTTGGGCTTCCGGAGTCCTAGACGCTGCCCTGGGGCTGGAGCACAAAAGCACTCCCCTTGGCCTCTGCACCCGCTCCCCCTAGGGGTTTGAGCAGTGGGGCAAGGAAGGAGGGAGCCATACCCTTGTCACACACCCTGCAAGGGAAATAAGGGAACTCTCCATTTCAATATCAAGCAAAGTTCCATGGAGTTTTACTTTGGCTCAATGCCACGGAGAAACTCTGAAAACACAGTTATCCAATCAGGGACTAGGGATCTGGTTTGTACTCTCCCCTGTCAGTCATAGGACTGTCCCATGGGAACACATATTCTCAAACACTTCCTGTTTCTGTGTGCAATGATAAAGCAAGTTCCAGCAGTGGGGGGGAAGGCCTATGACAAAGAGACAGATGCTAGCTGTTGAAGGTGAGAGCACACAAATATGGAAAAAGAATCCTGGACCTATAAGCCCCTCACCGACGGCCCTGCTGCTACAGTGCCTCCAAACCTTTAACAAGCATGCACTCACCTGGGAATACACATGTCAGCAGGTCTGGAGCTGTGCCTAAGATTCTGCATGTCTAACAAGCTCCCAGGTGATGCCTTTGATGCTGCCTGTGAATCACATTTTGAGGAGCAAAGTACAGCAACATACCTTCAATTATTTTGCACGGGAAGACCCAGCTTTATTTGGCTTGTTCAAGTTAGTTTTCAGGCAAACATGGTTTACTGAAAAGTTTGAACTAGAACCACTTTCTTTGAGGGACACTCTGTTTCACCATGGGTTTTCCCCAAATATTTTATCAGTGAGGTCAGATATTTAGTCAGAGCACTTTACATTTGCAAGCGAGGTTTTAGAGCCTTCAGTTCTTCTCAGAAGGTAAACTAAGATCAGAAAAATTCTTAACATTATTTAAGCATGCATAGTGCCAAATAAGTCTGTAGTCTAGATACTCAATGATTAATTTTCTCTATCATGCTTTGAATTCAAGTTCATTTGTCACTTCAACAACCATTTAGTGATACTTTGTTCATTGCAAGCCACTATAGACGGTTTTGTTGGGGATACGAAAGTAAATTATATTAAAAAAATAGACATGGCTCTTGCCCTCCATGATATTACAACTGAAACAGGAGAGGTTCCCTTATCCCCCTCACAGGGCATGTGACAGGGGTGTGGCTCCTTTCTTCAGTGCCCCACTGCTCAAATCCCCATGGGGAGCAGGCAGATGGGCAGGTCATGGGGAGCATTTCTGGGCTCCAACCCCACGGCGGTGTCTAGGGCTGAGTGTTTACAGCTCCCGAAGCCCCAGTGGGTGTGTGTTATAGTGCGCTCTTTCAGCTTTGCCGTCTGCAGGCAGCTCGTGTTCATCAGTTCATTTAGACCTTCTGCCTTATTACAAAGACAGAAGGCTTTCTGTATCCTAGGGTTCTTGCCTTAGTGTTTCAGAAAAATCAGATCACCTGTGGGCTTGGAGACTGAGTGCAAGGTTTTATTGAGTGGTGGAAGTAGCTTTCAGTGAGATGGATGTGGAGCCAGAAGGGGGATGGAGTGGGAAGGTGGTCTTTCCCTGGTGTCAGGCTGCCCAGTGGCCAGACTCTCCTCCAGCTGCCTCTGGTCAAATTCCCTTAGGCACCGGTGTCATTCCACCATCAATGGCCCGCCAGTGTCTGCTTGTGTCTGTCAGTGTGATCTTCTGCTCCTCTTAACATCCAGCTACTTGCGTCTGTGCCCACTATGGTCCTAGGTTATTATGGGTGCAGGATGGGGGGACTTGATGGGCCAAAAGGCAACATTTTGGGCACAAAAAAAGAAATGCCTGTCCTCATTTAGGTCCATGGGCACAGACCTGAGGGTGGAGCCCTTGCCAGGGACCCTGCCATTCTCTACCCAGCACTTCCCTGTCCCCATCCTGTATCACAACCTAGAGTGTTTGCTTATAGAAATGGCTGGAGAACTGGTTTCAAATTTATCAAACATCTGTGATGTTTCACTTTGTATGTGGTCGATAGGTGACATAGCTTGAATTACCTACAAGTTGCATTTGTCTTGTAAAACCAACTTAAAAATGTGAAGAGGCTGTGTATGACACAAACTTAACAACAAAAAATAAGGTAGAAAATTATTTTTAAGCTTAGTCATTGGAGATGTGAAGGCATAAATGATTTTTTCATGTTAACTATACTCTTTATTTTTATATTCTTCAATGAATGCTAATAAGGCCTACCAGTACAGACTGCTTTGGGCATAAATAAATATTATGCACTTGCAGTAATTAATTTATGGCACACTATAGTCAGTAGGGTAAAGTGAATTTGTGAAATTCTCAGAGCACTTGACAGTTTTTTATTGAAGCAGAAATAAAATGCAGTCAGTAAATAGTACAGTGCCGAAGAAAGTGTTTAGTTATCACCACAAGAGTTATATGAAGTAATTTAGGGTACTTTGCTTTCCTGCTCAACCCAGAGGTTATGCATTCATATTATTACAATGTGAGTGCAGTATTTCCAACCTGAGCAAATAAGGAATTAAGTAAAACAAGCCTCATGAAAGTATTATTTGAGAATGCCTTTTCTCTAACAGTATGCAAATGCACTTTTAAATATGTGAAGTGTTGCCTGGGTCTGTATGGTGCCCCTAGTTCAAATATTTTCATTCAAATAATATTGAGGCAGCAACAATTCCTAAAACATCATTTTATAGACATGAGAATGGTTTGGCAGGGAGATATTGTTAGCATGGTGATGTTGGGTATTTCTACAATCTCCTGCCTCTGTGTGGAATTTGATTGGATGGGGTAGGGAGGGGTGATCGTGCTGTCTTAGTTCAGATTCCCAGAGGCAGATTCTGAAATAGAGAATTTTGTGCAAGTGGATTTTTGATGATGTGCTTAAGAGAAAGGGAATGAATGAAAAAATTAGGCAAAAATATGACTTCAAAATAAGTCTAGTCTTAGCTGAGTCCCCCAGAGAGCTGTGAATGTGAATTACCCTACAGAGCTGGCCCACCTTGAGTCCAGGGATTTAGCCTTTGTATCGTCAAACTAGTGGAATTCATGAGTGACTGCAGGCTGTGGAGAGAGGTGGACAATCTCCAAGATGAGATGGCCCTACTTTTTTTTTTTTTTTTTTCGAGGTGAAGTTTTGCTCTGTCTCCCAGGCTGGAGTGCGATGGTGCAATCTCGGCTCACTACAACCTCTGCCTCCAGAGTTCAAGCTATTCTCCTGCTTCAGACTCCTGAGTAGCTGGGATTACAGACACCCACCACCATGCCCAACTAATGTTGGTATTTTTTTTTTTTTAACAGAGACAGGATTTTGCCATGTTGCCAGGCTGGTCTCAAACTCCTGACATCAAGTGATCTGCCTGCCTTGGCCTCCAAAAGTGCTGAGATTACAGGCATGAGCCACTGCACCCGGGAGATGGCCCCACTTTGACCCAGGACAATTCTCAGAAGAAGGGGACAGCTAAAGTCCAAAAGAAACAGAAGCTGGGGGATGAGTGCAATAGCCCAGTAAAAAAAATCTGAGTGCAACACCAATATCATCTGCTATTCTAACCTAGGAAAGAAGAACAAATGACAGGCTGGTTTATGAACCAAGTGCTATAATAAAATAGCACAAATAATGACATGGTACTGACAAACAAGTCTTGGTTACAAGAACATTTTGATTCCTGTTTATTACTAACCTTTTCCTTTATAAGTAAGTTAAGAATTAATCCAATGATGGGCCCATACTTGTTGATGCTGGTCTCAGCTTAAAATATGTTAATGGCTATTACACCTTTGGGGGAAGTTGACTAGGGAGAAACAGGCTCACACATCAGATGACAGAATGAGGGGAGACATTTGTAGTAAGTAGATGAATCCTGGGTCATTGTGGTGAGCCTACCCCTTCCTTGCTGGATGGAAGTCTTCCATAACAGGGGAACTCCTCCTACGTTTCTCAGACATTACCTAGGTAGGTGCCAGAGCCTTTAAAGCTCTGATCCTAGGGGGGTAACTAAGGCTGGCATCTGCCATCAGCCACAGCCACCTGAAGGAGAACCTAGATGGTGGAAATATCCTGCCTGGCAACATGGGTGCAAGGATTGGGTGCCATTTTTTTTTCTTTGTCCATTATCCTATCACTAAGTAGTCCTTTATTTTTCTTTTTTAAAGTCACCTAGGATTCACAGGTATCTCTCTTTGATCAGTCTGCAGCTGGAGGTCAAAGAGACTTGGGGTAAGTCCCCTGTCTGCTATTCCTCTGGTTAGTATTGAGGGCATCTAGAACAGTAGATGTGGTGCTTTTAATAGGCTGATCATTTTCCTTTTTCCCTCCCTTCCTTCTTTTAGTCTTTCCTTTTCTTCTTCTCCCTTCTCTTTGCTTGTTTCCTTCCTCCTCCCTTAAATAAATTAATTTATTTTGTAAATTACCTCTCTCCTTTATTCTTGCCGTCTCTTTCTTTTTTCTCCTCTCTTCTTCCTTCCTTATTTTCCACCTCTACCTCTTTCCCTTTTCTCCTCCCATTTTGTATGTTAAGTTCCCCCTTCTGCTCCCTCCCTCTTCACTCCCCTTTCTTCTGCTCATCCTTTCTCTTCCTTGCTTCACATCCTCCTCTCTCCTCCCCTCTCCCCTGCTTTGGTTTTCCCAGCACGTCTATTCCCGGGTATCCAGGATAACTTCTATATTCACAGCGTCTCCTCAGGCTCCAGTTTGACCCAGAGGTTCAACAAAAGGGACAGGATTTTTTATATTTAATTTGGCAAATAAGATGCAACCAGATGATCTAAATGCTTATGTTTGATAATTCAGGCGAAGACATGGAGAATGTGAGGGGAGGGGAGGTAACTCAGCAGGGCTCCGGCCTTCCTCTCACAGAGCTCTGGCCAGCCTCCTTTAGCATAGGCTCAGTTCTATTGGCCCCTGACCCTCCAAGGCTCCAGCGTTTCAGATGAGCAGTTCTTCTAGGCTTAAGGATTGTTTGTCAGATTCCCCAATTCTCAATGCCTGGTGTTCTTTGCAGAGCTCAGATCATGCTGATGTAAATTCACCATCCCCACCAGCCAGCATTGAGCAGGATCTGCTACCATTGCCTTACACTCATTACACATCCCATCTGTCTGTGATGCCTCTTTGGCAGTCAAAGAGCTTAATGCATTATGCATTTCAGAATATTAGAGAGATTATTTAACCACCAGGCTATCAAAACCAGGAGACCAGAAATAATGGCAGCATCTCTTTCAAGGACTTTCCCTCAGTTTTAATGTCAAGGACAATAAGAATATTGTTTGGAGAATTTTCAATTGTGGAGAATAAAAACACACAATCATGGACACACAACATACACTTATAACCTCCCACTGTTCTAAGGATTGACTTTGTCATTTTGGTTTAAGAAAGTGGAAGTATTACATGTCTTTTGGCCAGAGCCTCCCAGAATCATTAGCCAATTTTGTGATTCAACAAAGGCCCATAAATTGCTAAGGGTATTGCCAGAAGGAGGTAGTTTATGTATAAATAGATGAAAATAGAGGATACTATCTCTTTAATGGGTGATTTAATGATATTGTTAGGGTGATATGTTAGCAATTAATGTGAATATATAGAAGGAATAAACATAAGTAGCATTGTCAACTTGCTACTTTGACTAGGTTTGTAGTGATCTTATACCAGAACGTTTGTGGCCTGCCCTGGGAAAGCATCACTTCAGGCTGTACTTTGTTCATTAGATTACTCTAATTATTAGGAAGAACCAAGCAAATTAATGCATAGCAGGGTCTTATCAACAGTAAATAGGAATAAATTCTATAGAATACATGTCAGATGTTGTAGTGCAGAATATGAATACTAGGTGTTCAGAGGAGCAGGGCAACAGAAAATCTGATGGGGAGAGTCGCTAAAGTGAGAAAGGTTGCTTATCAAGACTTGAATAGCCCCAAACACAACCCTAAAAATCCAGCATAATTACCTTATATGGTTGCAAAAACTTTATTTGCTAAGTTCCATCTCCTAGGTCTAACATTCAGGTGTTGGTTATGGTTTAGAAATTTCTCACAGAATTCAGCGGTATGCACCTCGGTCTCCTGCAGTACAGGAGTGTTACCAGGAGCCAAAGCATTTTTACTTGCCACCTTTCTCTAGAGCTACAAGTTATCTGTCTCTTTCTACTCTCCACATTTACTTTCAGAAGAGGAAAGCCTTCTTCTTCAGGTGGATATGAACTGCTACAGCTCCCCTCAAAATAGCATTTTTGGCCAACAAATTCACGTCTTATTAGAAGTCTCTTTCCATAGGCAAATATCTCCATCTTTCCTAATACAAGTGCTCAAATAGCAGGATAAAACATCTGATTGGCTCAACATGGGTCATCTGACTACTTCTGGTCCAATCAGCTATGGCCAAGAGGCAGTGCCATATGGTATACCTATGGCTGTGCTTACTTATTTAGTGGAGGAGAGAGTAGTTCTCAGGAAACATAGTTGTGGCTGGGAAGATACCTCAAAAGATGTCTACCAAATTATTGTGATATTCCAAAAGTTGAAATAAGAAGCAACATTCCAAAAGTTGAGATAAGAAACAACATCAATGATAATGAAATAGAATTGTAAAAGATGAATGGACCTGTAATCTTCTCCTAATTTAAAAGTAATGTTCTAAGGGCCTTAAGCTGTCTATGAATACGTGAGTTACACACAAATTTTAATTTATAGGAATTTAACACAGTCCTCAAGGCAATATTCACAAAGGCAAAAACTTTTCTATCTGACACTAAAACAGTTCCTTGGAAGTAAACAAAACTATTTGATAGTGTCGAGTGGTTTTTGCTTCAATGAATTAAATGTTTTTAAAATCATATTGAACAATGAAAACTATTTCTAATTCTTTGATTATTTTAATTAAAAAATGTTCTTCTCTTCTCTCAATATCTAAGTTAAATTACCGTCTCATTTTCTAGCCCTCTACTTTCCCCTTGAAGAAAGTGTGTTTAATTCTCTACCTTTCAGGTTGACTTCATACTGAGCCAATAACTTCTTAAATAACAAAGGTGACCTGCAATAAGCCCTGAGATATGATTTTTATAAATAACATCTATACCTCTGTCATTGCTGTCATTCATTCAAGTGCACAAACCCATTAACTCTTCCTTCTCCAACCAAAATCAAAGAGTCACCAAGTCTTGCCAGTTTCTCTTTCTTGATGTCTATCAAATCCATCTCTTAAAATATCTTTTTCTTTTGATCTTTTGTGCACACTGCTGCTCCACGAATATTCCTAAAGCACAGCTTTGCCTTTGTTTATCCTTTCTGCTAACAGATTTGCAGAGGTTCACCATTATTTTCAGAATCAAGTCCACTTCGACCACCTGAGTGTGCCAGAACCTTCCTGCCTCTCAAACCTTACTCCCTTCTGTCCCCCACTCCTAGCCCCCTTGCTGAATAACTCAGGAAAATGTGCAGGAAATCAAGGATGCCAAATAGTATGAGTGAAATCATTTTTGAAATAGTTTTATGCCTGCTATATTTTTAAAAGCATCAAACAAAGTCACTATGGAAAAAATTAAGACTTTCTTAGATTTCTTTATACTTCTCACATAGTTCAGTATTTGGAGTATGTATGAATTACTTATATTCAAAAGCCATATTACCTTCTAAGAGTTTCTGAAGTTGTTAAATGGAACTATTTCCCATGATCCTTCTTTAATAGTAAGGTCTTTGACTAAGTGAGGTCTTTACCTTACTGTTCCCTGATCATCCTACATGTAGCTTCATCCTGGAAACTTTCTGCAATGCATCCTCCCAACTCTGACCTAGAATTTCTCTCATCCTCTGACTCTCTGAGTCCTTCAATTCCAGAGCTTAGGACTGTGGAATTACTTAGCAGACTCCCACTCCCACCCTTTCCTACAGTCACTGTAGATGATCTACGGTTCTTAATACGTGAACCATTCATTTGGCCTAGAAAAGCACTTTATGTTGCTACTTAATTGTTTTTATAAAGCAGTCGTTGTGAAATGGAAAGAAAATTCCACTGGTAATCAGACAGCATTGATTATCAAGGTTGTTTAATACCTTCAATCTCCCCAGAATCCATTGCATCTCCTGGGTGACAGAGCCCTGATCTCCCTCCAGCTTCTTCTCCACTACATTTTGTCTTTATGCCTCTGGGTAGAAAGGATGTCTGTCCATTGATCCTCAGCCTCCAGGCATAGTTCCCATTTGGCATGAGCCAATTATCATATCCCACCCCGCTGCCTGGCCATATGGATCAGTCAGGGATGTGCTCTGGAAGCAATCAGAGCCAAATAAATGCACAGAGGCACTGCTGGGGCTTCTGGGAAAGGGAAGATGGCTTCACCCTCAAGCTCCACAGAGAGTCTCCCATGCTTCAGCCATTGGGGGAAGGACTGGAGCAGCGTAGGAGACTCTGTGGAGCCTGAGGATGAGGTCAACACTGCAAAAGGCAGAAAGAGAGAGAGAGAAACAGTGTTGGTGTCATGGGTTGGCCTGCTGGATCACATATCCTGCCTAAAGCAGGTAGCTCTGACACTTTCAGTTCTATGAACCAACTAATGGTCTAGGTTAGGATGCTTGTCTTTTACAAAACAGAGATTCCCATTGGACATAATGGTCTCAGGCAAACTATCACAGTCCTCCTCTGTAAAATGAAGGTGGAGATAAGAATTCTTTCCTCAAAAGACTGCTGGGAAGATTAAATAAGGCAATACATTTGCAAGTATCTAATAAACTGGGTTCTTAAAAATTTGTTGTATTTGTATATTTTCCTTTTTAAGCAATAGAAAGGCCATGGAATTTGAAGTCGCATAGAACAGACTGGAGTTTAAAGCTAGTTCTGCCTTTATTATCTAGTTAAGTAAATGACTTTGTCTCTGAGCCTTGATGTCTGCTTTTGAAAAAAAAATGGGCATACTAATGATATTTATCCTGAAATGTTGTCATTTCTAGAAACATAGTACAGCATTTGCCATAAGGTATATATGCAACAGGTACTATTTCTCTTCTCTTCCCGCTTTTGTCATTCCCCCATCCATGTATATAGCCATTTCTCTAGATGCACTAACCTCTTTGAAGGAGTAGAGCTAGGATCTTAGATATTTGTTCACAGTATAACATAGCAACACGAACACTGGGAAAATGTATTACTAATAAGAATTATGCAAGAACTATATTCTATACACATACATTATTTTATCTTTATATCAACTATTATCTGCTAAGAAATATCCACAGTTTATAGATGAGGAGGAACTTGCCCACAGACACATAAATATCACACTGCAGAGCTAGAGTCTGAATACAAATCATCTGTTTGATTGAGAAGCTCTTATTACCTTGCCAAAGAGAACAGAAAGTTGAAAAAGGAGAATGGAATAAAGAGGCAAAGTCTGGTATGGAAGCATGTGGCTGGCTCAGGCAATGAAGCTAAATTCCTGCAGCCAAATGAGAAGAAATCCACCTGTCTTTACCTGCTTCCTGTTGCTTCTAGTATATTTCTTTGTTAACATACTACTCCCTAAAATAATTTCAGAGCTTCTCAGTAGCTTCTGAATGAGCCTCCTCACTGCTTTGCCTCCTTATCCATAATATATCATGTTGCTCCATTATGGGATGAATCAGGCAAGAGTGTCAGATTTGATTTAAAAGCTTTTCTGCTTCTCCTCTTAAAATCTCTGGTTCTATAATAAATGTTAGTTTACATTTGCTCATAAAGATATTTTATGGAGGGGGTGCTTTGCAGTTATTTCATTATTCTTCCAACTGTAGAGAAGATAAACTTTGATGTCTTTGTTTGTTCTCACATAGTCCTATGTGTATATTTAAAGATTTTTTAAAGCAAGATAAATATACAGAGATACATTAATATATTGTAAAAAAAGAATTAGCATCAGAGATTGCCCTGGCATCTAGCTTGTGGTGGGGAATACAAAATCTGTTTGCTTTGGAATTAGGAAGACCAGGTATAGTGGCTCATGCCTGTGATCCTAGCACTTTGAAAGGCAAAGGTGGGACGACTGCTTGAGTCCAGGAGTTTGAGACCAGCCTGGGCAACATAGCAAGACCCTGTCTCTAAAAAAATTAAAGAAAAAAAATTAGGCAGGCATGGTGGTTTGTACCTGTAATCCCAGCTACTCTGGAGCCTGAAAAGGGAGGATCACTTGACCATCCAGGAGGAAAAGGCTGCAGTTAGCTATGATTGCGCTACTGCACTCCAGCCTGGGTGACAGAGTGAGACCCTGTCTCCAAAAAAAAAGAAATACAAGAACAAAAGAAAGAAAGAAAGAGAGAAAGAAAGAAAGAAAAAAGACTTAGGGCCCCCAGCTTGTTCCCACTCCTTTGCTCTCAGTTGGAAGTGTGCATAATCACCTTGAAAGCAATGTGTTCCTTGAACGTACCAGCTCTCCTGCTTTCTTGATTCCCTAATTTGCAACTCTTGCAGAGTTGACGCTATCTGCCATGGATTCATTCAGCAAATATCTATTTTGAGCACCTACTATGTGCCAGCTAGTCTTCTATAGGTACCAAAATCAAAAGTAAAAAATGGCCACGGAGGAGTTGAGGTGAAGTTTTATACACACATAATTAAATCCCAAATCTGTTTTCTATTAATTAACCAAGTTCTTAACACATTGTTTGCATACTCTCCGTGCTTCTCTGAAAATGGGGAGTAGAAATAAAAGATAAGCGAGACATGAAGGAGCCTCCCACATACAGATAAACAATACATGGCCAGGGCCTTTGCCTTTATGTATTCTGGAATTTGTCTACAAGTACCAATGCTAGGCAGAAACAGGCTATCATCCAAGTGTCCCTCTAATACAGAACAAACATTCATTGAGTCTCTACTGGGGACCTAATATCATGCCAAATACTGGAGATACAACTAGGATCAAGACATAGGCTCTTCTTTTAACGTACTCACAGTCCATTAGCTTAGCTGCATGGGGGAAGGAGGAATAAGATACATACATGAACAAATACATGTGTGGTCAATAGAGTCTCAACCCTTTCTGCCCCTTCCATTTCTCTCTATCCTTACTCCTGGTGGAGGTGGAGTGTCTTTGGCATAATCATCCTTAAAAGTTATAATGTGAGAGGTGATCAATATTTCTACTACTTCTGATATAATTAATAATGTAACAAATAATAACTCTCATTTTTGAACATGTATATGCCAGGCATTGTTCTAAATGCTTTTTGTATATTACCTCATTTATACTTTTAACTATTCTATGAAATAGGTACTTTTATTTTTTTTTTTTACCGTTCAGGAACTTATGGCACAGAAATATTAAGTTAATTGCTCCATAATGCAAGAGAGTTTGTCTTATAAAATGTGAAGTTTGACCATTGCCAGCCTTGGACACCTGAAGCCAGAGGTCTTGCTGCCCTTAACCTCACAGAGAGTGAGGGGTTGGTTTGATGGAGCCAGGTACTGGGAGGTGGCAGAGGGGTAGATTCAAGAAGGCAAATCAAGGGAGAGGGGACTTAGGGTGCTCATCTAAAGTAGACACTCTGTGGCCTAAAAAAGAACCCCACGAGAAGAGTGGAGAAATGTTTTGGCTTGGGTGTCAAGTATGTTTGAGCTTGGCTGGAACAAATAATTATTTTTCTGGTATGAATCACCTGGATATTGTGGTACATGAGTTCCATGTATTATTTAGCATCATAGGTTCAAAGCTAGAGCTTTTGGAAGACAGATATAAGAGGAAGTGGTCAGTTTTACCTGATACGGGGTTGGGATATAGAAAGGGCTTCTTGGTGGAGGATAAGCTGAATCTCGGAAGGTGAGGAGATACTACGCACAAAAGAGGGATGGAGAAGGGTATCCCTGTCAGAGCAGTCAGCATCTGCAATGGCATGTAAGTGGTAGGCAGTTTTCAGATGGATCACAGGAAGTTTGGCTTGGGTTGAGTTTACCCTGCTGGGATGACATGGCTGGAGGGGTTGGCACGAACTGTAAGTGACCTTATAAACCATATTTTACAGCAGGATATGGGAAGCTTTCAAGGACATTTTAGCAGAGGGGTAATCTGGTCAGTTTTGTTTTATCAAGCTCACTCTGGTATGATAGAGAGGATGGCTGGGAGAAAGATACATCATGCTTCTGCTTTGCTCCCATATCCACTCTCCATATGGAACTGCTAAGTGCATCTTAAAGTATTATCTCTTTATACTTTAATGTATAAAGTTAAAGTACATCTCTTTAAGCATGTCTTGAGTAGATCAAAGGAGAAGAAAGATATCTAACCCATGTTTTTGTGCCTTTGAACTTCTCAGAAAATGGCCAAGTGTGTATTGCTCCCAGAGCAGATGGAAGAGCACTTGGCAGTTTATATTCACATCTCTGAGAAATCCTAAAGATTGACTGGTTTACCAGTACTTCTGTTTTGTGTGCTGTAAAAGTCCATTGGTTAAATCAAGTCTCAATGCTGAGTATGAAGACAAAATGTGCTGATCTATCTCATCACTTCATTATTAATAAATATCAATTTCATGTCTAATTATACACTGAAAGGATATTGTACTCTACACTGTGGAAGTTGTAAAAATTACTACTACTACTATTAATAATAATAATATGGTAGGAAACAAAATGTATTAAGCAATAACTTGGGTCAGGCATTTTTCTAAATGCTTTTCATGGATTGCCTAATTTAATTCTCACAAAAAAGGCTAA
The DNA here is from genome assembly GCF_000001405.40 of Homo sapiens. Classification (NCBI taxonomy): domain Eukaryota; kingdom Metazoa; phylum Chordata; class Mammalia; order Primates; family Hominidae; genus Homo; species Homo sapiens. The sequence continues at coordinate 7,965,598 of NC_000003.12, read as the reverse complement.
AAGGTAGATGCTCTTATTATTTTTATTATATTGATGAGAAAACATGTCTGAAGGGCAACAGTTTGAAATTACACAGCTAGTCACATACAGGTGTGGCTGGGATTTTACATTTGTCTGACACCAGAACCTGAGCTTTCAACTTGACACACAAAGAATTAGGATTCTAATTGAGGATATAAGCCAAGAAGATAGGGAAACAATAAAAATACCACAAGAAAGATGCAAAATAAGTATAAATGGCTTCAGAAAAGAAAGATGATCATGTTTAATTTGGGAAGATTAGGGAAACCTTTCCATGGGAAAGAGTACTATGTCTCAGGTTGAGTTTTGTTACAAGCAAAACCTGAGATGAAAGATAAAGTGTATGTAGTTTATTTGGTAGATGATCCTAGAATATTACAGCAGAAATGGAGATGTGAGAAGGGAAGGCAGGCAATCGTGAACATTTCTAGAACAACTTACTGCAGGGACACCTGAGGTTCAATCCCACTGGGGACTGTAGGAGGCAGTGTAGAACATATGCTTCAGAGTAATTCCACCCTAAAGGTAAGAAAGCTGTGCTATTTATTTTCCTGCACCAAATCTATAATTGAGTGAAGGCTTCCCTAACTTTCCAGCATTTCCAGCCAGTCCCAGCCCAGAGAGCAGCCTCGATGCAGGGAGTATCCAGTGCTTGCAGTAGGATGGGATTGGAATTTCTTGGAATGGTGATGGCTGAGGGGAAATGAACCAGGCACCAGTAGCGTGAGTTATGATATTTGAAATGTGGACACTCCTAGCTGAAAAGGAGGTGAGAGATGTAATCTTTCTTTACTCTGGCCCAATTTTGTGCCCGGCTAAAAATCTAGGGTTCTGCTTCTAAAGAAGAAAGAAAGAATAGAAATAAAGAGACATCTCTCAGTCTCTGCCATGATGGTGTCCATGAAATGCTTCATGGGGGGATGTGATTTGCTTAGAAAGACTGGAGATGGTTTCCCTGAAGAAATGTTAACAGAGCTGAGCTCAGAAAGCTGAGACCAGCCAAAGGTCTCTTGCTCTCTCCTCTCTCTCTCTCTCTCTCTCTCTCTGTGTGTGTGTGTGTGTGTGTGTGTGTGTGTTTATGGCAGGGAGGGATGATAGCAGCTGAGAGCTTGAGGCAGAGGAGAACATGGTAAATTAGAAGACCTGAAGGAAAAAAAGGGTGGCAGTAGTTAGGGGAAGAAAATGTACAATGGAGACTTCAGAAGGTGGGACACCAAACAGGGCCAGGTTAATATGAACTAGTCTGTGAATCTGATGTTCTTAAATATTCCCCTCAATAAGGTATTATGTTGGCCTAGTTAACAGTCAGTGCATCAGAAGATCCTTAAGGAATGACTGTAGTTATAGGGAATGTGAGGTTCTGTAGCCAGGTGAGATACCCAGATGCAGTCTTCCACTCAGAGCCCCTGAACTCATACCAAGTGAGTGGATGCCCACATTCCTTAAGGATGCATTTGGCGATAAATAAACTGTGGCTTAAATTAACTCAAATACAAAGAAAATGTATTTCCCATAAAGAGGTATGTGATCAAGCTCTGGCGATCAGGGATTTGGAGGTTTCTCTCCTGTCCACTTAACTCTTTCCTCTATCAACTTTGTATCTGCTTGGCTCTCCTGGTAGTCGCACGATGGCTGCCAGCAGCATGTGGGGCAAGTGACTGCGTGGTTATAGTGGGAGGGAGATAATCCATTTCCCTCACTCTAGGATAAATATTTTTCCCTTCAGTCCTACTGAACTGACTCATATTGAGCTTATCCTGGAACCAATGATAATGACCAGGAGAATTTCTAGAGTAGATCGGCTCAAGCTTGATATCCAATCACCATCCAGAAAGATCGGGGTACCACATCTGGCTTAGACTAATGAAGGACCACTTCTGGAGGTGAAGATGGAGTTAATTATGAGAACAGAATGAATACTTGAACAAAAATAATTGTTTTGGAAGGAAGGAGGGAAGAAACATGATGCTGGGTTGACCGCCAAAAATATTCACACTACTATGAAATTCATCTGTTCTTCAAAATAGCCACAGAAAATATAGGACTGACAATTGATAAATCTCAATGCATAGCTTTCCTTGAAGACATTAATTTGTAGCAGCTAAGTAGCGCAGTTAAGAGTCTGGACTCTGGATCTGAACGCTTGGGTGCACATCCAGGCACTACCATGTACCTGATGTACGATTTTAGACAATTAAATTCTTAGTTACTAATTACTTATATACTCTACCACAGTGGGTTGTGCAGATGCTGAAATGAGATGATATTTCAGCTGGAACTGTCCTGGGCTTGTATTGAGAACTCAATACATTTAAGCTAATATCATCACCTATTTGCTTAGTACAAAATGCTTTTCTGCCAGTTAAGCTAAAACGAAGCTAGAACTTGTGATAAGAAATTTCCAGCTTGAAGATATCTTTGGGAATTGGCAGAATCCATATGAATTTAAAATGATTCCTTCTAAATATCCAGTTTAGAAATCTAGGTTTTGAAAATGCAATGAAGGCAGTAAAAAGAACATTCTTGATAAAAAAGCATAACCAGAATATTAGTATTTCCAAGGATAGACATTACTGAGCCCTTTCAAGGAACAGATGGACTTACATATGAATGAATGAAGTGATAGCCTAGGTATAATTAGTGGGAAGACACAATGACACTGTTATTAGACTGGGGATATGTAGAATTAAAGAAGGCTCCAGACAACTTTCTTTCATTGCCCAAAAATCATTAATGGAGGTTGGGGCTGGGAGAGCCAGGAGAACTAGCTTCCTAAGATGATTCCATTGCTTATGCCAAATCACAGCCAGCCATTCTGTAGTTTTGCAAATCTCCCTCCAGAGAGAAGAAGAAGATAATTTTCAAAGCAGCTAAGCCCACATAACCACTAAAATGGAAATGAAATTAATGGAATAGTTTTTATATTCCCTCTCACACTCATCTACAATAAATCATGCAAAGCCACGGCATTTCTGCATTTATCACAAAAATAGTCCCTTTCTCCTGATGGCCGTGCTTCTGTCTTTAAATACAGAGAAATACATTCACTGCCTAGAGTCTGGGGAAAGCCTGCATTTGCTCATAAACAGCTAGGAAAGAATAATGCTTGTGCAGTCCAACTGGCACTTGCCTATGGGACTGTTAGACTGTGGGAGGATGTTCAAACAAGAGAAGTGCAGAAAAAGACCCAGCCTTCCTTAGAGCTTGGGGCCCATCCAGCAATTGAAAGTGTACTGTTCCACTGTCAACTTTTTGAGAGAAGCTACATCGCAAAGCCATCCCTCTTTTCATCTTTCCCTGCCTAACTTACATTGAAAACTGAAAGGATCAGACCACTCAGGGGCTCTTGAAAAAAAGTACATTAGTCCAGAAGGAAACAAATGGAAAAGCTCTCCAAGAACAGTAAATATTCTTTGTACTGATGTACTACTTTCATCTGCAATTTAAAAGGGCTTTGTGTTTAAGAAAATGTCACTGTCATTCCCTACCAGAGGGCCAAGGTAAACCCAGACACACAGGATGAAAGGACTTTCACTTGTCCTTCTTGGTCTTTAGAGTTTAAACTGCTCCTAGGTTGAAACTAAGCAAAGAAAAAGAATCTTGGATTGTAAATCAAGAATGAAATTATTTGAAAATGGTGGATATTTCTCCAACTCAGGTGCATATGCTCCCTGGGGGGGTCTGGCCTGGTGTGCCTGGTGATATGTGAAATCTCAGGATAAATAAAATCTGTTTCAGGGGAATATCTGTTCCACCCGAAGGTTAGCATGTCAAGTAGAAATGCATTTGGCTGCAAGTAAATAAAACAATGGTTTAAACAAATAGGGGCTTAATTTGACCACACGATATCTCCAGAATTAGGTAATTGGTGGTTTTAGGGACCTAGATTCCATCTTTTCATTCTCAGCAGCCAACCTTTAACATCCTTAGCATATCAGCTTTTGCCCTGTTTTTTGTCCTTTTATTCTATGACTTTTATACTTTCAGGGCCCAAGTCTGTGTACAAAGTGGAAAGAAGAGAACAGGTTGTTGAATAGTGCTTGCTGTCTCCATCCCCTTTTTAAGGAAAGCAAAACTTTCCAGAATACTCTCCATAAAAATTCCATTTTACTTTCAGTTTCCAGAATTAGATCATATTTCATTCTTAGTTGTAGGGACCATTACACATCAGAAGTCAGAATTTTCAAAAAAAAAAAAAAAAAAAAAAAGAAAGAAATCAAAATTGCCTCAATGGGCTTAGGACACTGATGACCCTGTATTTGGGGCTCATATCACATTGTCATCTTTAACAAAATTAGGGTTCTTTCAACAAGAATAAAATGTCTATTTGCTACTCAATTAATGGGGTTAGCACCAGTGAATAATTGGGAATATTTTTAAAGCACTACAACACGGTAGTATACATAGTATGTCAAAATGCAAACTTTGCATTACATTTTACAACAATATTTGAAAGAGCTGCATGCTTTCAACATGCCACTGCAAACCCATGTTTGTGATAACTGGATCTCCCTCAGCCCTTGCCCTTGTCTGACCCACTTCCCGCCCAGTAACATGGTGATCTTTGAAAGGCACCCTCTGAATATGTTGCTCCCTTGCTTAAAATCCTTCAATACCATTCCAGCAGGGCAGGAATAAAGTCTAAAGTTTTCTTGTTACTTTCAAAATCCCTCAGAGTTTAGCATCAGACTTCTCTCCAGCTACATTTCTTACCATTCCTCCTCCTCACTTTTGAAGCTCCGATTGCTCAATTTTTCAACAGCACCAAGCTCTCTTGCCGTTGAATCTGGTGCATGCTGCACCCTCTGTCTGCATCACTCTGCTCCAACTTCCTGAAATTCGTTTTCCCTGGCTAACTCCCTGCCATCTTTCCAGCTGTTACTTCCTCTGGGAAGCCTTCTCTGATTCCCCCCAATAACATTTGATGCTCCTACCTTATGCTCTTCAATACCCTCTCATTGCGTTTGGAGTTCTTTCTCAATATTGCTGTACATTCCTCAGAATATGGAACTTTTCCATCTTCTCCATCTTGTTCACTATTTTTTCCTCCACACCTAGCATATTGCCTGGTACTCACTAGGTGTTCCATAAATATCTTGATTTTTAGTTTATTTCTAGTTGCTTGAAGTTTGTTGAAATAATCCCAACTTACTTATTTACAGCACACTAACTATACAGGGGAAGCTCTATTGTTTCTTGAAGAGTTTGAATAAACAGATAAACTAGAAATGAAGAAAGGAACATAGGGTATCAGAAGTGGAGAGAAATTTGACCAGTGGTCAAATGAGGCAGAGATGTCCCCATCATTAGAAGATTTACTGGAGGATAAGCATTTTATCCCAGTCACGCCTATAAAAACTGCCTTTCTTTTTTATAAGCAAGGCTTTTATTTTGCTTGTCACTTGTTTTGCAAAGAGCTCTGTCCTCTCGTATTTAAGGATTTGTTGTTGTTTTGTTGTGTTTTCCTCCAGGTTTACAAGTGAGGGTGTGAGGCTTAGAATACTCATTTTTGTGGTATTTCTTCTCTAAATTCTCTGATCTTTTTTTTTTTTTTTTTTTTTTTTGTGAGCCTTGTTAGCATCTCTCTCAGGCAGGCTAGAACCACGTAGAAGGAATGGTGGCACCTGAGAGTTCCCAGGTACTATGCTTGTTATTGATACTTCCAGATTCATGGTTCATGTTTCAGAAGGAGGACAGGCAGAGAAAGGATCATCTGAGCTCTCTGATCCAGCCATATCTAAACCCAGAAGCTCCTCTGGACTTCCCAGGTTTATAAGTCAGCAAATATCCTTTCTGCTATAGCTCTTTTAAATGGAGATTTTGTCATTTACAAATAAATAGTGAATACAGGATTTGAAATGAGAAATGTAATAGTTGATTGACTTGATGTCTCAAGTCAACCCCTGTGGCTCATGGTGGGAAAAGTTATTCCTTTCCAAACCACTGAAGACTCCATTATCAGAAAATGGAGAATTTCAGGAGACAAAAGCAAATAAAACAAAACATCTATTTTGTCCATGTGACATTGATACCAAAGCAGGGAAGGGAAGTGCTGGGAAGGGAAGGGCGTGATCCCTGGCGAGGGCTCCACACCCTGCCTGTGCCCACAGACCCAGGTGAGGATGGGCACTCCTGCCTTCATGCCCAAATGTTGCATTTCCCAAGACTACCCTGGCCTGCCATGCTCCCATCCTGAGCCTATTGTGCCGATAAAAACTCCGAGTCCCTAGCAGGCAGACCCACAAGTCGCTGGACGTCGAGAGGAACACATCGGTGGAAGAAGACACAAGTGGCTGAATATTGAGAGGACGTCAAGGGGAACGCGCTGGCAGAAGAGCACAGGACAGAAGACGGCATGCCAGCAGGCCATCGACTGGCGGAACGATGTGGACTTTGGCCGGGGCAGTCAGACGAGAGCCTGGGCCACTGAGTGGTCTGACTCCAGGGGAAAACCACCTTCCCACTCCATTTCCCTTCTGGCTCCCACATCTGTTGAGAGCTACTTACAGTCAATAAAACCTTGCACTCATTCTCCAAGCCCACGTGTGATCCGATTCTTCTGGTACACCAAGGCAAGAAACCCCGGGATACAGACAGCCCTCTGTCCTTGCGATAAGGCAGAAGGTCTAATTGAGCTGACTAGCGCAATCTGCCTATGGAAGGGTAAACTAAAAGAGTACCCTGTAACACAGCCCACTGGGGCTTCAGCTGTAAACATTCATCCCTAGTCATTGCCGTGGGGTTGGAGCCCCACAACCTTCCTGTCTGAATGCTTCCCTGGAGGTTTGAGCAGTGGGGCATGTAAGAAGCGAGCCACTTCCCGTCGCGTTGCCCTGAGAGGGGGACAAGGGAACCTTTCCCATTTCAACATGTCTCTTTGTCACTGCAGCTTCAGCTAAATTCATAAAATTGCCTTTATTTCTGAGACCTGGAACTTTCTTTGGGACAGTGGAAGTGGACAACTTCCTGAAAATTAATTTTCCAAATGTTCGTTTCCTAAGGCTAGTTCACTGATAGCCAATTTGTCAAAAGCCAATTGTAAGCTTTAATTTAAACTCAAAAGTAAATAAAAGAAATCAGAATTACCCAAAATATAACATAAAATAAATCAAGATTAAAGAAAAATGTCCATATTAATACTGAGAATTTAGTGCCAAGCAATAAAATGTATATTTTTCTGAATATTATATTTGATACCCAAAGATGAACATTTCTGTTAAGATGGTTAAGTCTTTTTAAATTTTTACAACATTACAATGAGGAAATTTGGTATATTCGGCCAATTGATCATTCAATGACTAAGCTTCTTCCCTTGGGCAAGACCTAGAGAGGTGACTGGAACCACTGATGTTCTTCACAGGCTTATTTGAAACACTTGAATTTATACCAATAAGCAGATTTGTTTTGTCGATAGGGCAAGAGGTCCAATGCAAGTGGAAAAAAAAAGTGCAAAAGAGGACACCTCCCATAGGGAAAGGTCTGTACAGGCCACAGACTTTCAACACTGCCTTCCCTTCACCCCACTTGCCAAGTCTCTGATCTGATATTAAGCTGCCACCTTTTTGAGATAATTTCCGTCTTTTATAAACACTCTGTTGTGGTTAAAGGGTCTGTTTTCCAAGACTGACTCAGTCTTTTACTAACAGTGAATTCGTGTAAGACAGAAGAAGCTGTTATGCTGTAATAGGGAATCCCTCCCAAATCCTAGCATCTTAACGCAACCATGTTTTGTTTCTTGCTCATGTTCCATGCCCGATGTAATTGTCATCACTGACAGATCCTATAGGAGCTCTATTAACATACAGCTATACTACCTGAACTCCTGGCTTCTTTGGACAGCTCAGCAGAGGAAGAGGGGGCACAGAAAATCAAACAAAGGCTCTTAAATACTTACACTTGAAAGCGATAGTTCTCGTCCACTCACATTCCACTGGCCGAAGCACATCATGAGGCTACACTCCACTTCAAGTGGGCAGGGGATTGTAGTCCTCTTTGTCCCTGATTAGAAGAGAAATGAATGTTGGCAAACATTAGTATTACCAAACAGAGAAAATTAATTGTTCTGTGTTTCTGTTAACTCATCTGTAAAATGAGGATGATAATATCCATGTCATAGAGCTATTTATGAAATGGAAAATGAACTAATAAATATACAAAGCCTAGCATTATACTTGGTAGACACAAAACAATAAAATTAACTATGATTATTATTATTAGCATTAATATTTATCTTCAGGATAGACTATTACATTGAGTAGCATCACTCTAGATCTTTTAAAGTATTTCATATATAAGATCAGATTAATTTTCTTTGGAATAAGTTGCATAATCACTAAATTTGTTTCTTCTTTTCTGTTAATGACATCATCACCTACCCATTTACTCAAGCTAGAAATTTTGGCATTATCCTTGATGCCCCTTTTTCCTTACCTCCCTAATTCAATCAATTCACCAGGTCCTGTGAATTCTGCTTTATGAATAATTTTCCACCCCACTGTTCTCACCTATTCCACACTACCATCATTGTTATGTACTAAATTTTCGTGTTCCTTCTTCCCAGTCCAAATTTCTATGTTGAAGCCCTAACTTCCAATCTGACAGGGAGAGATGGGGTTTTTTCAGGGGGAAATGGGACCTTTGGGAGATAATTAGATTTATTTGAGGTCACAAGGGTGGAGTCACCATGACTGGATTAACGTCCTAATAAACAGAAAAAGATATACCAGAGCTCTCCATCCTCTATGTGAGGACACAGCAAGAAGGTGGCCGAATGCAAGTCAGGAAGGGAACCCTCACCAGAACCTGACCAGCCTGGCACCCTTGGGCTTCCAGCCTCCAGAACTCTGAGAAATAAATGTCTGCTTTTAAAGACACCCATTCTATAGTGTTTTGTTATGGCAGGCCAACCTGATTAAGGACAGTCGTCTTTTCCACAGACTACAGCAACCCCCAACTGGTTACCCCAGTATTTATTCTGCTCTTCTCCAACTTTTATTCACATAGGAGCCACAGTGATTTTTTTTTTTTTTAGCTTAGAGATGATTAAGCTTCTCTCTGGATGATATCCTTTAATGGTTTCTCATTTTATTTTTTACCAAGGCCTACAAAGCTCTCTATGCATATGAGCAACCATTCTGCATAAAACGACATTCTAGTTCCCCAGGGATGAGGGAGTCATCTATGTGAGACTCCCTACCTTGAATTTCTACAACTACTTTTATTATTTCTTAAAGAGAAGATGGGTGGGTGGACAGGTAGAAGAGGAAAGAGAAGGCTTAGGGAATCCCATCAAATATTTCCTGCTCCTTTTTATCTCCTGAGTACCTTCCTGATGAAGAAGTGGTTCAAACAGTCTCTAGTTAGGTGTTTGAATCTGAAAGAAGAAATGACAACGTCTTTCATTATGTGCTTCAATTTCAATTCGTTGTTAGTGGCTTCTCAAAGGATTAAGGTGAGAAGGTTAAATGGGGCTCAGTGTGAAAAAGCATTGAAATTATTTAGTAATGTCTGCCTCTGGTGAGAAAGTAGTGAAGAGTGACTGGTTTTGTCACCATCATCTCAGCCCTCCAAACTGGATGATAGCCTTTCTCTAACATCCGAGGAATCATCTTCCTTTGAAGAGCTTTCTCTCAAAACCATTAGAAATACTAGTGATCACTTACTTTCTGAGAGTGTCAGAAGGTTTAAATGCTGGTAAAGCTTAAAGAAAGTGCATCATAATGCTAGACAGATGTGACATTCATTCCTTGTCTTGTAATTTGCTTTCACTGCTGGAAATTTTTATTTCTCTCTTATGTGGAACAAGAGTAACAACAATATTCTGGTTCAAACAGAACCATTTTACTCAAAGGTCTTATGGTGTGATGGGTAAAAACTTGGGAAATGCCTGCGGGAAATTAGCAGCACAACTTGCTTCCTCGCTTTCAGCCTATTAAAATTTTCCTGAAACTTATAAATGGAAAGATGTTTTGTTCCCAAGGGTCTGCTTGTACGTTGCTTCAGTTTTTAGAAATAATTCAAGAAAGTAAGCACAGGACCTGGGAAGTCTGCAGAAAAGTTTCAACTAAGATGAAAAACTCAGTTAACTTTATTATTTTGTTTCCTTACAAAGCCCATGGATCATACCACATTGTTCTTTCTGCAAAACAGTTGAGAATTACCAGTAATTGGGACTGTTTACATTCAATGCCATCATGACAGAAGCAGCTTTATTATATTGCAGAGGAATGATTAATACATGATGGGGATTAAAGATTGCACTGCAGCAGGTAAGCCTCTTGTCTGATATGTCATTTCACTGATACAAAGGAATGCAAATTATATAAACAGAAATAATGTTTTTCTCTTATGCTAATTTTAGCCTAGCCCACCTGTGCATTTTCAATTAACTGGAGAAACGTGAATAATATTAGGTTTGCTAAGGTAGATTTCTGCATTGTCAGCCCACCCTATCTGATAGTAAATGCAGTTATATCTTTTTTAAACTCCATTTTTAACCTTTTTTTAATTCCTGAAAAGATAAAATTCAAGCAAATTACTTATATGAGCTATGAGATTTAGGAGACATGGCATGATTTGGGTAAGGTAAAAGGCTTATCTTTCTTGACAAATTGTACAAATTAGAGCAATATTCTTGGCTATTTGACTATCGTGATACTGTCATTTCCTAGGCTTGTGCTTGTTTGCGACAGATCCTTAATACCTAATATTGTTAATTGCAAAACATATCAATACTCTCCTTTGCTTCTATCACAGGCCAAGGCAAGAGGCAATAAAGATTAATAATTTTAGATTTCCACTGTAGCAAGAACGGGAAAAAAGCGTCATCTGAAATGCCAACTTCAAGCAATTGCAGTGATTTCCTGGAACCCTACGTGACAAGTCCAGATTCAGTGGGAAAGACTGTGAGGATCCGTTAGCAATGTTTACGATGGGCAAGTCTTGTGATGGGGTTACCCTCCTTGCATTAGAATTTGCAGTCTTCTATTAGGCCATTAGTCTTTGAGAGCAAAAACTGTATGTATCTCATTTTTGTAGCCCCAGTGCCAGGCACACAGTAGCTGCTCCAAAAGCAAAGGACATCGAGTCTGAATCAAGCTGCTTGGGTTTAATGGCTGTCTTTGTCGCTTACTAGCTGAGTGGACTCGTCATATTTATAACTTAATTGTGGTTCAGTTTCCTTCTCTACAGAAAAGGCATGAGTTCCTCATTCATAGAGTTATAATAAGGGTTAAATAAAGTCATGCATATCCAAAGCTTAGCATAGTACCTGAGACATAGCAAATACTTGAGGAATGCAGGTATAAATTAACATAGGAGTGAATAACATTGCAAGGAAACAGAGAAAAGGATCCTAAACAGTCCTGCTGGTATATTCATTTATGATTCAAAAATCCTCAATTGTTAAAATTTGGGTCAGAACCTTATTATTCCAGGTTGTTGGTAAATGTGAGGACCCTTCTGGGTTTGGAAGTAGAACAATAAATTGAGAGGCCAAAGAAGCTGCAAATAAAAATTGGCTTCTCTGGGAAAATGATTTTCACATTTATACCTACCTGCCTTTTGTCCTCCCATGCATTTCTCCAGATGTGATACCAATGTGATACAATTGTTGTTTATTCCTTCTCTGACAATAGCAAGGTAGAGTGAGCCTTCCAGTGAGGGCTTAAAATATAGCTCCAGAGACATTCACCACTACTTCCTGCCTCCATGGTTACACATTCCCTTTCACAAATAAAACATGGCCTCATGCTTCATGCTGAGCTTGCATTTTACATACATCATTTGGATCTTCTCTGCAAACCTATGAAGTGGGCATGGTAATCTTCCTTTACAAATAGAGAAACTGAGGCCTAAGATGGGGAGCAATTTCCCTTTAAAAACCTTTTATTGTCAAGGTCCAAATGGCTGATGATTCATGCCATAGACATCCCAAACCAGCTGGTAGGCAGAGCTCTTGGCATTCCAAATGGAAACGTGGAACAGACACAGATCACCTGGCCACACAGACCTCAGCTCTAAAGACAGATGACTACTTACCTGTTAAAGTTCCCTGTGCACTATTTTTTAAAATCTAGAGATAGATAATAAATAGGTTAAGTTACATTTTAAATTAGCCCAAGAGCATTTGAGAACAGAATCATTTTTAGAATCTTAATTCTGAGATTCACTGTTGGGCTTAAGTCACTGCTTCTGTGATGGTTAGTTTTGGGTGTGAACTTGACTGTATTAAGGGATACTTACCTGGGAAAGCATTATTTACTCTCCATGCTTCAGTAGATACTGAGCCCTTCCCTTTTCTGCTGAAAGGGAAACCCAGGTGGCTTGGCGTTTGATTAGAATAATTGGGCTGCCCCAGGTGTGTCCGTGAGGGTGCCTCTGAGGGAAACTGGGACTAAATGAAGAAGATCTGCCCTCCATATGGGCAGGCACTATTCCAATTGGCTGGGGGCCCCAGATAGAACAAAAAGGCAGATAAAGGGCAGTCTCCCTGGAGAAGAGACCTGCCTGTAGACAGACATCAGAACTCCAGGTTCTCCAGCCTTTGGGCTCCAGGACTCACACCAATGCGCCACCGGGCTCTCTGACCTTCAGCTTTGGACTGAGAATTACACCATAGAATGCCCTGGTTCTGAGGCCTTCAAACTCAGACTGAGCCACGCTACAGGCTTTCCGGATTGTCCAGCATACAGAAGGTCTGTTGTGGGATTTCTCAGCCTCCATGAGTAAGTAAGAAAATTGCCTCTAATAAATCCTTTTTCATATGTCTCTCTAGACATCTGTAGGTTCTGTCTCTGGGGAGAACCCTAACTAAAACCCATTCTTGAAGGTAACATGCATAAGAATTGCCTGGGGCAGGGGGATGGAGTCTTGCTAACATGCACATTGATTCAGAAGAGGTAGGGCCTAGGATTTTCTGTAGTTCTGAAACACTTCCAGGTGATGTTGATGCTGATGGACAAGGAGCACACTATCAGTTTTCAGTCAGGCTTCCACAAAGTGCTTTCTGCAGGTGTCTTGCATCAGAATATGCAAACATGAAGAGAGTCTGCTTTAGTTGGTTAGTGGGTCTCAGGTGGGTCTGGAGAGACCAGGGGAAGCTGCCTGTTTAAAATGCATTCAGGTGATTCAGCTACATATTAACAAAGCATTGTGACATTAATGAAAGTGTTTTCCAAACTTGCTCCATCATTAGAACCACCTGCTAGTTAAAAGGCACTGATTTCCCAGGCTTTCCCCCTTACAGACTCAGTTTTAAAGATCTGGCTTATCTCATTTTGATCTATGCAATTCCTGATAATAGCTTAGTGAGGTTATGGAACTTGTCCAAAATCAAAAGTAGTGAATAGTAGTCTCAGGTATATGTGTAGACTAATGGAGAAGTGTCAGAGGAGAAGAAATAGTAAATGAGACACAAACAGGGAATTAGAGACTTCATCGAGAGACATTTGCATGAGTGGACCTAGAGTACTCAGTGCCACTGGGCTAGCTTTGGAGGACCAGCTCACCCAGCAGAGTTGGGCAGTGGCTCCTCCACAGTGTGCCTGGGCTTCAGGAAGGCAAGAAGCAGGACTTGTGTTCAGACTGGTGCAGGCTAAGCTTGAGACAAGACAGCCACATGGACTCATAACTGCATGGAGAACTTCAGTGAAGGAACTTCTAGTCTGTACCATACTGGTAACACCTGCCTTGTTTGTTTATTTATTTATTTATTTATTTATTTATTTATTTATTTATTTATTTTTGGTAAAAATAACCTGCACAAACATAACGGGAAATCATGTTCTAAAAATATAACTTTCCTAGTAATCCTCTACCCTTCCGTATCAACTTAAGTCAATTATAATCCTTTTCGTCCCCCAGTTTTTACACACACAAATTTTCTAATGTTGGCAAGACTGTTATTTCAGAGAGGGGTGAGGCTTATTAAAGGTATCTTAAGGGTCTAAACTAGTAGCGATATATAGAAGTTAGTGGAGGACAGATTTCTGTGGACAGAGTAAGGGAGAATGGTTTAAAATACTCGCATAATAATTAGACCAGAGAGAGCAAAAATATTTTATCTTTTATTGCTAGCCCCAATCTATTATTGAGCATCTAGGGAACTGTGTAGGGAAGTATTCTAAGCTGATACCTAATCAGTGTTTTTAAAAGATCTTGGTAGCCAAGTCTTTTGTGTATTATATCTAGTAAGAATTGTTTCACAGTTGTTTTCTAATTGTACTCTGGGTGAATATGCGCTAGAGTCTGGGTGAATGTGTATCACTATGCCTGGGGACTTGGTGAGGAGGAACCAGAAATTCCTCCTTTGTTATTAATATTCTAAATAAAACTTGATTTTCATGGTTTGGGCCTGGCTCTGTTGAAATGATGGTTATGGAGTTTAAGAACTAGAGCAGAACAAACACAATCCTACCATAGACGCCCTTCCAGAGGGAAAAGGGATGAATGAGGTCATGCTTCTTGGCTGGTATTAGTCACCCATTCTCTGTAGAACTCAAGGTGTTGCTCCTCCAAAACCAAATAACATTAGAGTCTCCACCTGTCATCTGAAACCACAGCACTCAGCAGAATGCCCAACCTGTCAGCTAATATCCATGACCCTCATTCAGTGCCTGCTGACTCTTCCAGTTCATCCTGCCCGCTCACCCCTAACCTCCACAGACCCACCTGGTTATGGTCATCCCGCTTCAGGTGTCTACTTAACTCACCCCCAAAAATGATTTGAATCTTCATACCAATCAAATCTCCTAATTCCTCTGTCCCTTCCTTCTCTCCTGCCTTTGACCCCATCCGTCAGATTCTGGGACTCAATTATCTTCCCATAGTTTCGGTCTCCTTTCTTACCCCTGCAAAATTTAAATTTTACATCAATTTTAAAATGGGAGAGAAAATAATTTTTAAAATGAAGTAAATGGCCACTACTCATTACCTACTTGTTCTAGACTTTCCCATATAAGGATAGTTCTAGATGCTTTCTTACAGATTTTGAATTTAATTATACTGAGATTCAAGAATACAATTTATATTTTGATTATTTGTTAAAACTCGTTATCGTAGTTAATCTTAGTAAATGTTTTATTGGTGGGCTTCAGATTAGTATGAATTCATTAATAGTTACACAAAATTTGCATAATGCAAATAAGTTGTTTATCTTTAATTCTTTTTGTCAGCTTTATCTCTCAATTACTGAGAGCTACGTGAAAGCCTAAGGGTATGTTGGTAAATTGTCGATTTCTTCTTAATTATAATCAAGTTTAGAATTAATGTATCATCTTGCTAAATGAAACTCTGTGATTATGTGATCTTCCTTGTCCCTATTATTTTTTACCTAAATGCTATTTTGGCTGATATAAATACAAACTCCCCAATTGTTTTTTTAGCTAGTTTTTAGTACGTGCTTTCCATCTTTTTCCTATCAGCCTTTTGATTTTCCTAAGTTTTAGCGTGTTCCTTCATGGCATAAAGCAGAATTTAAATCTATCTGCCGTTCAAATGACTGATCAGTCTTAGTTGTGATTACTGTTGTTTTAAACTTTATTTCTGTTGTCTCATTTAATGTTTTTGCTTTTTGTATTAGTTTTTAGAAGCTTTTCTGGCTCCTTCCTTGCTTCATCTTTTATTTTTGAAAATTCCATTTCTTTCTCTACTATTTTGAAAATTACATAATCCATTTAGTCTCAAACTTGACATTTCCCTATGTATTCTTAATTTTTTTGAAGCCCGAAGTCCATCAAAACTTGACTCTCCTCCTGAGCAATATTGAAACCTTAGAATGTTTAAATTCTGAATGTCTAAATTCCTTCAATTACATATTTTAGAAGATTGTTTAAAGAAGATTTTTTGTGCTGAACTCTATTTTTGTTTAACTGGAAATATCACTTGGCCTTAAGAGATGTTTGCCAGAGACATTTCTATTCTAATTGACAGCTATTTTCACCTTGGAGCATATTATTTGAACATTTTATTTGTTATTGTTGTGGGCCTTTTTCCTTAGTTCGGCTAGAGATGAGGGTCCTTATCACACAGCCATGAAAAATTAGGCTTGCAGACAACTTGAAGGGTAAGGCAGGCTTTTATTGGGTTGAAAAGGAAGAAAAGGGGAAACGGACTCTCAGCAGAGTGAAAGCCCTGCTAGTACCAGTACATGCTTCACTCCTTGAAGATTGAATCCCAAGTTCCACCCAGGAAGAGGAGGGGTCAGGCTCCTTCCTGTTGCAAAGGGCCGGAATTTCTGTGGCTCGGTGCGTATTCCTCCAAGTGTGCAGGCCGGCTGGAGTTTCTCTGGGGACCCCCTTCCCACCTGGCTGTCTCATTATTATGAACGTTTTCTGATTTCCATTGTTACTTTAAAGAAATCTTCTAATTATTACTCCTTTCATAAATGAATATGTTTTAGCTGCTTTTAAGATCATTTTCTTTAGTGTTCTATAGTTTCACTACATATTTCTAGCTATTGATTTGTGATTTACTTTCTCAGAACTCCTTGTGCTTCCAGGATTGGAAATTTCATGTTGTTGTTTTTTTTTTCTTAGCCATTATTTTGGTGAATGATCCGTGTGCAGTTGAAATAAAATATGCAGTCTGACATGTGTTGTAATGTTCTATACATGTCAGCTAGATCAAGTTGTTTGATAATGTTGTCCAGTTATTCAATGATTACTAATGTTTCTATTTTTTCTCTCAATTTTTGAGAAGAGTATTAATCTCCAACTATAATTGTAGATAGATCTATTTTTCCTCTTAGTTTTGTCAGTGTTTTGAAATTGTTAGGTGCATATACACTAAAGACTTTTATGTCCTTTTTATAAACTGACCCTTTATATTATAAGTAAATACTTTTTATCTGCAAATTATTGTAACCCAAAGTCTAATAGGTCTATGTCTTATATAAATCAATGTTCTCATTATTAGTGTTTACATGCTATTTTTTTTCATCCATTTACTTTTAACCTGATTGTGTTATATTTAAAGTACATTTCTTTCCAACAGGATGTAGTTGAGATTTGATCTTGCTTGGGACAACCTATCTGTCATTTGAAATTGATCCAAAAGGTGTAACCAGTTTACCAGCCAGATGATAATCTTTTTATTTGGTGATTAGGAATTTGAGACTAGGAGAGAGAAAGTGACTTGGTCAAGATCACACAGCTAGTAATCGCAGGTATGAGAATAGATTTAGGTACATGATGCTCAACTCTGTGGTAATCTTGTTGCTACACAGACCTTGTCTCATTGTCTTCATTGATATTGGAGGGTTTCCTAGTTTCTCCACTTCTGATTTTCAAAGTTGTGTTTCAACATCATGGTCAGTAGGATGAAAGCCATTGTTCTGGATTCATGGAAAGCCTTTGGTTTTGCCTGCTTTAGTGACTTGTTCAGGATATTCAGTCCTTAGTATTAAGCAACTCCTCTTTCAGCTTCAAAGATTTTGGATAACTCCAAAACCTTTGTAGTATAAAACCATGCAGTTCAAAGGCCAAGTGTTCCTTTAAAGGAAGGAGAAAAGTCTACCCAGATGCACACTTGGCCCTTGACCTCTTTTGATGTTTCTCCTTTGAAAATGCAGATCCTATTGATTTTTCAGCCCTTCCATACTGAAAGGGCTGCAGAAATTTCTCTCAAATCCTCCATTTCTTTCTGCATCTATTTAAAATGAAAGAAAAAAAAACACTTTAAAAATCTTTCCTGAATGAGGTGTTTGCTATTTTTTTGTTAAAGGTTGTCATCATGGATATAAAAACTGTTGCCTGCCTTTTTGAAGTTGAAATTATGAATTGTTCAGAAATTAAGAAAGTTCACTTTCTAATTTACTTAAATTTGCATTTACTGTATCTGAGCTACAGTATTCACCTCCAGGTGAATATCAGCTATACATACACGTGAGATTCAACTGATACACCATATAGTCTTAGAGCTCAATCTTAGTGGAGAGACATCTCCTTTCTACTTTTGTCTTTGACTATTCAGTAGCCATTTGATCTTGGGCAAGTAACTTCACTTGGGTTAGTAACTTAATTCTTTGTCTCAGTAGCCACACCTGTTAAATAAAATGTTTGACATTTCCTGTCTGAGATTTCGTTCTTCAGCTGTATTTTATTGCTAAATGTTTAAAGAGCAGCACTTTTTTTGTATAACTATTTTTGTGCAACATATAAAACTGCAAATTTTGCCCCAATCTGAAATTATAAACATCCCAGAATCTCCTGTATACGTTAGCACGTAGTCTCTCCTAAACTCAACACATTGTTTTCATTATTTTTATACCATTGCTCAACTAACTTTGGGAATTTGGGGAGGGATACCTCATACAGATCAATGTGCATGCTTTTCAGAAAACATACTTCATTTTCTTTGTGTCATTGGCCTTTCCTAATCATGTCAGCAATGTACATGTAGACTATGCTACTGCAGTGGTGGGGCAGGAGTCAGTGCCACAGATAGTTTACTGATGGCAACATTGTCTGCATGAAATGGAATCTGCTAAGGGTGGGGGAAAAAAATCATGTCCTTCAAAATAATGCCTTATTTGGGAGAGTGTTCATGGTGAGCTTTGAAGTAAACTTTGATTTGAAACTTGGCTGCCATGAATTAGCTTTACATCCAAGGAATAGAGACTTGACTAACTTGACCAAGCTTTCATTTCTTTATATCCAAATAGGAATAACAGAATCTAATCCTGCATATTTGCTATGTGGTTAAATGACTTAATGTATGGTGAAGCACATCTTATGTCTGGTATATAGGTCACTTTCAAATGTTCATTCTTTTTTTTGTTGTTACCCCTTTAAAAAGTCACACATGGCTGTAGTCATCAATTATGATTCTCAAAAAGTTTTTTTTTAACATATGAATTACTGCTTCAGGCTATCTAGTTCCTTCTCTTGAAGCAGTGTCATAGGATTCATAACTATGAGAGAGAAATCTGCCCGGAATATGTGAAGGGAATTTGGAGGACATATTGGGAACTGCATGGATCTCAGTTATAGGAAATATTACCCAACATGACGGGGACTGAAAAGAAGCAGGTAGCGCCCACTCCTTTTTTTCCCCTGTCTTTTTCTGGGCTATCTGTGCTTCCATCTCTATTTCTCTTTGAGATTGCTCTATTCTTTTATTTACAGATCCGAGTTGGACACAACTTTATTTCCTTCTTGAGTTGCACATTTCTTTTCTATGACATAGCACTTTTCCATTTTTTTCCTACCTGACTTCATTTTCTCAGTATTGTCTTGCTGCTTTCTTTTCCTCTGCCAGACCTGCATGTTTATATGTACTAAGGGCTTGGGTCTCACCCCTGTTATTCTCCAAACACATGTTTTCCCAGGACGGTTTGATCTACTGCGTTGTTCATTACCTCTCAGATTGTTTTCTGCCCTCCCCAGTCTCTGAGCTCCAAGCCAACATAACCAACCTCATACTTGATATATGCAGATGAATGTCTAATAGGTCCCTCGAGTTGAACAGGCCAAAACAGAATTCTTGGTCCCCCAATCTCCTCCCATCAACTCTGTTTCTTGCTTGTAATTCAGAGAACCCAGTTTCTCAAAAGCCAGAGAATCATTCTTATTTATTTCTTCCCTTTACCATCACATGAAACTCACCAGCAATTTCTAATGAAAACAAATGTAATCTGAAGCCATTTTTACCTTTCTGTTTCTACTCTGGTCACCTATATGGGCAAAATTATCATCTGTCCCCTAAACTTTTACCATGCCTCTATTAATTTGTCTTCATATAGCTATTGCTGTCCCCTTAACAAAATTCACCCTCCATGTTTCTTACTAGAGGGATAGTTTTAAGATTGAAAACCTTCTCCGATCATTCCCCTGCTTAAAACTCTTCAGTTGTCTCTTATTACATTGAGAATAATGGCTAAGTTTTTTTTATGCTAGCACATCAGGCCCTACCTGATAAGATTTCTGTGACTTCTATAACCTAAAATGAATGGTGTCTTTCCTTTCTTCACTATAATGCTCTGGACACCTTCCGGGCTTTCATTTTATTCCTTTATTTCTCTTTTATTATTTTTAAAATAGGCAACACTCTTGAAAGCATCAAGGCATTTGTATTTTGTCTCTGGCTCAAGTCCCCACCCCATGGATCTTTGCAGAGCTGTCTTTTCATATTATGAGACCATTACCAGAAAACTCAGAAGAATCAACTAAAATGGTAAAGCTTAGCCAAAGGAGTTGTGTAAGGGTATGAGAGCATGAATGCAATTACTGAGTTTATTTTTAATATTCTTACTTTGAAAATATAAATGTAAAAATACAATTATGTCAATGATAAATGTAATCCAAAATTAAAAACAAGCAGAAGTCACTAGCAATACACAATGGGAAATGGAAATTAAAAAGCAATTTCAGGGACTTCTACTTACAGACATGATGGAGTAAGAAAGACCAGATTCCTTCTTGCTTTAAATAATAAGAAAATAGATAAAACATATAAAACAATGGTTTGCATACAATCATTGGAAAACGTAGTACAGGAATGTGATCCCAGAGCAAAGAGAAGAAGCCGAAGAGAGTCTATCAGCCTGCAGAGAGTTTCCAAGTAATAACACAGGAGACAGAATTCAAGAGGCCAGTAAGGCAGGTATTTGTTGAGGCAGAACACCAGAGAAGATGGAATTCATAGAGGGCATTCTGGTAATTTGCAGAAGCATCCCCTCTTGTTTTTGGCAGAGTACTGGTTTTAGAGTGTATGAAAGGGAACTCGGTAAGGGCAGCGATATAATTTTTGGGAAGCAGTTTAATAATGCTAGGAGCTCCTTGCAAGCTGGGAATATTTTCTGTTCTATTGAGTTTGGAAAGGCCTCCTTATACATGGGCATTGGTTCAAGTCCTCGCATAGTTACAACTTCAGTATTTGGGATAAGTTAGCCTTAGAGCAGAGGCTGCCTTAAGATCTGTCCCAACAAAGCTTAAATGCAAGCCTTAATAGATTAAACTGTTTCAGAGTAACTTAACTGAGTACTAGAAAAATTCTCATAATGTTTAAAGGAATAATAAAAAATTACCAGGTCAGGTGCAGTGGCACACACTTGTAGTCTTGGGAACTTGGGAGGCTGAAGCTGGGGGTCTTTTTATTATTATTTTTTAAGGTAGGGTCTCATGCTGTTGCCCAGGTTAGAGTGCAGTGGTGCAATCATGGCTCACTGCAGACTCAACCTCCCAGGCTCAGGTGATCCTCCCACCTTCGTCTCACAAGTAGCCAGGATAATAGGCACATTGCTATCATGCCTAATTTTTAAAATTTATTGTGGAGACAAGTATTGCTTTGTTGCCCATGGTGGTCTTAAATTCCTGGCCTCAAGTGATCCTCCCATCTCAGTCTCGCAAAGTGTTGCAATTACAGGCATGAGCCACCCCTCCTGGTCACTGGGGGATCTTTTGAACCCAGAAATTTGAGACCAGCCTGGGAAACATAGTGAGACCCTATCTCAATTTTAAAGAAATATCAGACATCCAAAGTAACAGGAAAATATAACTCCCAGCCATAAGAAACACTCAGCAGAAACAGACCCAGGTATAACAGATAACAAAATTAGCAGGCAAGAGTGTGAAAATACCTATTAGAAAGTATGATTCATATATTCAAAAAAAAACCAGAAAAATGTAAATAAGTTAAATATATACTTATCATATGACATCAATCCTACTCATCTACAAGATAAGTGAAAATTTATGTTGACATGAAAATCTGTACTCAAATGTTCAGTGACTCCATTGTAATAGCCAAAAAACCTGGTAACAATGCAAATATACATCAACTTGTAAATGAATAAGTAAACTCTGGCATACCTATACAATGGCATAGTACTCAGCAATTACAAGGAACATAATATGATACATGCAACAGCATGGATGAATCTCAAACTGATCATCTCAATGAAATAAGCCATTTCAAAAGGCTACCTATTGTACAATTTTGTCTATGAATTCAGAAAAAGAAAAAATGAAACAAAAAATACCTTATGGGAACACAAGTGGGATCAGTGGTTACCAGGAGCTGGGGGCAGGGCAGGGCTTAACCATAAGGGAGCCAAGAGGGGTTTATTGTGATGGAACTAGTCTATGGATTTTGATAATCCTATGATTATACCTTTGCCAAATGTAAATGGAATCCAAAAAAAGGTAAACTTTATGTAAACGGTATATCGTTAAATTTGATTTTGAAAAATACTGAAAATATCAAGTATTGATAAAAATATGGAGCAACTGGATCTCTTACTTCTGCAGGGAGTGCGTTAATAGCTACTTTGGGGAAAAAGGGAACATTTCTTTTTCTTTTTTTTTTTTAAGTTCCAGGAAAAATATGCAGATTTGTTACATAGGTAAATGTGTGCCATGGTGGTTTGCTGTACCTATCAACTCATCACCCAGGTATGAAGCCCAGCATGCATTAGCTACTTATCCTGATGTTCTCCCTCTTCCAACCTCACAGCCCCCAGTGTGTGTTGATCCCCTCCTTGTGTCCACGTGTTCTCATTGTTCAACTCCCACTTACAAGTGAGAATATGTGGTGTTTGGTTTTCTGTTCCTGCGTTACTTTGCTGAGGATAATGGCTTCCAGCTCTATCCATGCCCCCTGCAAAGGAGATGATCTCATTCCTTCTTATGGCTGCATAGAATTCCGTGGTATATATGTACCATATTTTCTGTATCCAGTCTATCATTGATGGGCATTTGGGTTGATTCCATGTCTTTGCTATTGTCAGTAGTGCTGCAATGAACAGACATATGCATGTATCTTTATAATAGAATGATTTCTATTTCTTTGGGTATATACCCAGTAATGGGATTGCTGGGTCAAATGCTATTTCTGGTTCTAGATCTTTGAGGAATCACCACATTTTCTTCCACAATGGTTGATGAAGGGGTGGCCTGCCCCTCCACATCTGTGGGTATTTCTAGTCGGGTGGGATGAGAGACTGAGAAAAGAAATAAGACACAAAGACAAAGGATAGAGAAACAACAGTGGGCCCAGGGGACCGACACTCAGCACACCAAGGATCTGCACCGGCCTCTGAGTTCCCTCAGTTTTTATTGATTATTATTTTCATTATTTCAGCAAAAAGGAATGTAGTAGGACAGCAGGGTGATAATAAGGAAAAGGTCAGCAAAAAACATGTGAGCAAAAGAATCTATGTCATAATTAAGTTCAAGGGAAGATACTATGCCTGGATGTGCACGTAGGCCAGATTTATGTTTCTCTCCACCCAAACATCTCAGTGGAGTAAATAATAACAAGGCAGCATTACTGCAAACATATCTCACCTCCCACCATAGGGCGGTATTTCTCTCATCTCAGAAATGAACAAATGTACAATCAGGTTTTATACCGAGACATTCGGTTCCCAGGGGCAGGCAGGAGACAGTGGCCTTCCTCTATCTCAACTGCAAGAGGCTTTCCTCTTTTACTAATCCACCTCAGCACAGACCCTTTACGGGTGTCAGGCTGGGGGGCGGTCAGGTCTTTCTCATCCCACGAGGCCATATTTCAGACTATCACATGGGTAGAAACCTTGGACAATACCCCGCTTTCAAGGGCAGAGGTCCCTGTGGCTTTCTGCAGTGCATTGTGTCCATGGTTTATTGAGACTAGAGAATGGTGATGACTTTTACCAAGCATACTGCTTGTAAACATTTTGTTAACAAGGCACGTCCTGCATAGCCCTAGATCCCTTAAACCTTGATTTCATACAACACATGTTTTTGTGAGCTCCAGATTGGATGAAAATAGTTGGGTCAAAGTGGCTGGGGCAAAGCTACAAATTAACAACATCTCAGCAAAGCAATTGTTTAAAGTACAAGTCTTTTTCAAAATGGAGTCTCTTATGTCTTCCCTTTCTACATAGACACAGTAACAGTCTGATCTCTTTCTTTTCCCTACAGGTTGAACTATTTCACTTGCCCACCAAAAGTATAAAAGTGTTCCTATTTCTCCACAGCCTCACCAACATCATTGTTTCTTGACTTTTTAATAATCACCATTCTGACTGGCATGAGATGATATCTCATTGTGGTTTGATTTGCATTTCTCTAATGATCAGGGATGTTGAACTTTTTTTCATGTTTTTTGGCCACATAAATGTCTTCTGAGAAGTGTCTGTTCATGTCTGAAAAAGGGAACACTTCTTATGAAGCTGCACATAAGCCTACCATAAAACCCCACACTCCCACATATAGGTATTAGTCCAACTGAATAAAAACATATATTCAAACAGAGACACTTATATGTAAACATTTATAAACTTATCCATAAAAACAAAGCAAAGTACACACACACACACACACGCACACACACACACAAACACGCACCAAAAACAACCCAAAACTAAGAAATCTCAGATGTTCACCACCTGGTAAATACACTGTCAAATAGCTATACAATAAAATACTACTAGTTAAGATACATTAACTGCTAATATAGGAACAATATGGATGATACTGAAGGGTGCCTGCCATAAGTTATATACAGTCGTACATATTGTACAGCTTTCTATATAAAAATATCTAGAAACTATAGAGCCTAACAAAAGATCAAAGTGGGGAAGGATGGAGTGTGCCTGCAAAGGAGCATGGGTGACCTTGGGTAATGAAATTAGTCTGTGTTTTGATTATGGTAGTGGTTTCAGGAGTGTTTTTATTTATTTGTTAAAACATATCAAATGAGTGAATTTCATTGGGTTTTATTTTCAAATTATATCCAATGTTGATTTAGAAAATATAAGCAATTAGAGCTAACTGTATAATAAACAGAAAAAACTTATATTGAATAACTTTAAATCAACTATATCACAAATTAATAGTATATTTTTAAGGTCTCTAAACTTAAAAACAAACTAGAATATATGAGCAAATGAATCCAAGTATATACAATATATCCATAAAGAGCTAGTTCAAATGATTTTGATGTATTACTGATTGCATCCTTGGTGAGAAATATTCTAAAGAGAAAAATAACTGCACAATTATTTAAACAACACGAGGTAAATTTAATTTTAGGAATAATGTTGGTTTTGCTATCTAGAAGCTGCTATATTTAAGCTACAAAGTAAATAAACAATTATGTTATTATAATTAAAAACCATGATTTCCAATGCAAGAGAAATGCAATACAAGTATAAAATGTTAAGTCAAATTATGCACTAAAAATTTACTTGTCTCAGTATAAACTTTATAATTTTTATTTTTTTCTTTAATTTTTTATTATACTTTAAGTTCTAGGGTACATGTGCATAACGTGCTGTCTTGTCGCATAGGTATACATGTGCCATGCTGGTTCACTGCACCCATCATCTCGTCATTTACATTAGGCATTTCTCCCAGTGCTATCCCTCCCCCAGCCCTCCAGCCCCTGACAGGCACTGGTGTGCGATATTCTCCGCTCCATGTCCAAGTGTTCCCATTGTTCAACTCCTACCTATGAGTGAGAACATGCGGTGTCTGGTTTGCTCAGAATGATGGTTTCCAGCTTCATCCACATCCCTACAAAGGACATGAACTCATCCTTTTTTATGGCTGGATGGTATTCCATGGTGTATATGTACCATATTTTCTTAATCCAGTCTATCATTGATGGACATTTGGGTTGGTTCCAAGTCTTTGCTATTGTGAATAGTGCCGCAGTAAACATACATGTGTCTTTATAGTAGCATGATTTATAATCCTTTGGGTATATATCCAGTAATGGGATCGCGGCATCAAATGGTATTTCTAGTTCTACATCCTTGAGGAATCGCCACACTGTCTTCCACAATGGTGGAACTAATTTACACTCACACCAACAGTGTAAAAGTGCTCATATTTCTCCATATCCTCTCCAGCACCCGTTGTTTCCTGACTTTTTAATGATCGTCATGCTAACTGGCATGAGATGGTATCACATTGTGGTTTTGATTTGCATTTCTCTGATGACCAGTGATGATGAGCATTCTTTCATGTGTCTGTTGGCTGCATAAATGTCTTCTTTTGAGAAGGGTCTGTTCATATCTTTTGCCCACGTTTTGATGGGGTTGTTTGGTTTTTTGTCTTGTAAATTTGTTTTTCTTTGTAGATTCTAGATATTAGCCCTTTGTCAGATGGGTAGATTGCAAAAATTTTCTCCCATTCTGTAGGTTGCCTGTTCACTCTGATGGTAGTTTCTTTTGCTGTACAGAAGCTATTTAGTTTAATTAGATCCCATTTGTCCATTCTGGCTTTTGCTGCTCTTGCTTTTGGTGTTTTAGTCATGAAGTCCTTGCCCATGCCTATGGCCTGAATGGTATTGCCTAGGTTTTCTTCTAGGCTTTTATGGTTTTAAGTCTTCCATTTAGGTCTTTAATCCATCTTGAATTAATTTTTCTGTAAGGAAGGGATCCAGTTTCAGCTTTCTACGTATGGCTAGCCAGTTTTCCCAGCACCATTTATTAAATAGGGAATCCTTTCCCCATTTCTTGTTTTTGTCAGGTTTGTCAAAGATCAGATGGTTGCAGATGTGTGGCGTTATTTCTGAGGACTCTGTTCTGTTCCGTTGGTCTATATCTCTGTTTTGGTACCAGTGCCATGCTGTTTTGGTTACTGTATCCTTGTAGTATAGTTTGAAGTCAGGTAGCATGATGCCTCTATCTTTGTTATTTTGGCTTAGGATTTTCTTGGCAATGTGGGCTCTTTTTTGGTTCCATATGAACTCTAAAGTAGTTTTTTTCCAATTTTGTGAAGAAAGTCATTGGTAGCTTGATGGGGATGGCATTGAATCTATAAATTACCTTGGGCAGTATGGCCATTTTCATGATATTGATTCTTCCTATCCATGAGCATGGAATGTTCTTCCATTTGTTTTTGTCCTCTCTCATTTCGTTAAGCAGTGGTTTGTAGTTCTTCTTGAAGAGGTCCTTCACATCCCTTGGTATTTTATTCTCTTTGAAGCAGTTGTGAATGGGGGTTCACTAATGATTTGGGTCTCTGTCTATTATTGGTCTATAGGAATGCTTGTGATTTTTGCACATTGATTTTGTATCCTGAGACTTTGCTGAAGTTGCTTATCAGCTTAAAGAGATCTTGGGCTGAGTTGATGGAGTTTTCTAAATATACAATCATGCCATCTGCAAACAGGGACAATTTGACTTCCTCTTTTCATAATTGAATACCCTTTATTTCTTTCTCTTGCCTGATTGCCCTGTCCAGAACTTCCAACACTGTGTTGAATAGGACTGGTGAGAGAGGACATCCCTGTCTTGTGCCAGTTTTCAAAGGGAATGCTTCCAGTTTTTGACCATTCAGTATGATATTGGCTGTGGGTTTGTCATAAATAGCTCTTATTATTTTGAGATACATTCCATCAATACATAGTTATTGAGAGTTTTTAGCATGAAAGGCTGCTGAATTTTGTCAAAGGCCTTTTCTGCATCTACTGAGATAATCATGTGGTTTTTGTCGTTGGTTCTGTTTATGTGATAGATTATGTTTATTGATTTGCATATGTTGAACCAGTCTTGCATTCCAGGGATGAAGCTGACTGGATCTTGGTGGATATGCTTTTTGATGTGCTGCTGCATTTAGTTTGCCAGTATTTTGAGGATTTTTGCGTCGATGTTCATCAGGGATATTGGTCTGAAATTCTCTTCTTCTTCTTTTTTTTTTTGTGTGTGTGTGTGTGTGTGTGTGTGTGTGTGTGTGTGTGTGTGTGTGTCTCTGCCAGGCTTTGGTATCAGGATGATTCTGGCCTCATAAAATGAGGTAGGGAGGATTCCCTCTTTTTCTATTGATTGGAATAGTTTTAGAAGGAATGGTACCAACTCCTCTTTGTACCTCTGGTAGAATTCAGCTGTGAATCCCTCTGGTTCTGGACTTTTTTTGGTTGGTAGGATATTAATGATTGCCTCAATTTCAGAGCCTGTTATTGGTCTATTCAGAGATTCAACTTCTTCCTGGTTTAGTCTTGTGAGGGTGAGTATGTCCAGGAATTTATCCATTTCTTCTAGATTTTCTAGGTTATTTGCATAGAGGTGTTTATAGTATTCTCTGATGGTAGTTTGTATTTCTGTGGGATCGGTGGTGATATCCCCTTCGTCATTTTTTATTGCATCTATTTAACTTTTCTCTCCTCTTTATTAGTCTTGCTAGCGATCTATCAATTTTGTTGATCTTTTCGAAAAATGAGCTCCTGGATTCGCCAATTTTTTTGAAGGGTTTGTCACTATCTCCTTCGGTTCTGCTCTGATCTTAGTTATTTCTTGTCTTCTGCTAGCTTTTGAATTTGTTTGCTCTTGCTTCTCTACTTCTTTTAATTGTGATGTTAGGGTGTCAATTTTAGATCCTTCCTGCTTTCTCTTGTGGGCATTTAGTGCTGTAAATTTCCCTCTACACATTGCTTTAAATGTG
The DNA here is from genome assembly GCF_000001405.40 of Homo sapiens. NCBI lineage: Eukaryota > Metazoa > Chordata > Mammalia > Primates > Hominidae > Homo > Homo sapiens. The sequence continues at coordinate 7,937,204 of NC_000003.12, read as the reverse complement.
TCCCAGAGATTCTGGTACGTTGTGTCTTTGTTCTCATTGGTTTCAAAGAACATCTTTATGTCTGCCTTCATTTCATCATGTACCCAGTAGTCATTCAGGAGCAGGTTGTTCAGTTTCCATGTAGTTGTGTGGTTTTGAGTGAGTTTCTTAATCCTGATTTCTAATATGATTGCACTGTGGTCTGAGAGACAGTTCGTTGTGATTTCTGTTATTTTACATTTGCTGAGGAGTGCTTTACTTCCAATTATGTGGTCAATTTTAGAATAAGTGTGATGTGGTATTGAGAAGAATACATATTCTGTTGATTTGGGGTGGAGAGTTCTGTAGAACTTTCTTAGGTCCACTTGGTGCAGAGCTGAGTTCCAGTCCTGGATATCCTTGTTAACCTTCTGCCTCGTTGTTCTGTCTAATATTGACAGTGGGTATTAAAGTCTCCCATTATTATTGTGTGGGAGTCTACATCTCTTTGTAGGTCTCTGAGGACTTGCTTTATGAATCTGGGTGCTCCTGTGTTGGATGCACATATATTTAGGATACTTAGCTCTTCTTGGTGAATTGAACCCTTTACCATTATATAATGGCCTTCTTTGTCTCTTTTGATCTTTGTTGGTTTAAAGTCTGTTTTATCAGAGACCAGGATTGCAACCCCTGCTTTTTTTGCTTTCCATTTACTTGCTAGATCTTTCTCCATCCCTTTATTTTGAGCCTATGTGTGTGTCTTTGCACATGAGATAGGTCTCCTGAATACAGCACATGGATGGGTGTTGACTCTTTATCAAGACCCATCTTTGCCAGTCTGTGTCTTTTAATTGGGCATTTAGCCCATGTACATTGAAGGTTAATATTGTTATGTGTGTATTTGATCCTGTCATTATGATGTTAGCTGGTTATTTTGCCCGTTAATTTATGCAGTTTCTTCATAGCATCAATGATCTTCACAATTTGGCATATTTTTGCAGTGGCTGGTATTGGTTGTTCCTTTCCATGTTTAATGCTTCCTTTAGGAGCTCTTGTAAGGCGGGCTTACTGGTGACAAAAATCTCTCAGCATTTGTTTGTCTGTAAAGGATTTTATTTCTCCTTCACTTATGGGGCTTATTTTGGCTGGATATGAAATTCTGGGTTGAAAATTCTTTACTTTAAGCATGTTGAATATTGGCCCCCACTCTCTTCTGGCTTGTAGGCTGTCTGTGGAGAGATCTGCTGTTAGTCTGATGGGCTTCCCTTTGTGGGTAACCCAACCTTTCTCTCTGGCTGCCCCTAACAGTTTTTCCTTCATTTCAACTTTGGTGAATCTGACAATTATGTGTCTTGGGGTTGCTGTTCTCAAGGAGTATCTTGGTAGTGTTCTCGTATTTCCTGAATTTGAATGTTGGCCTGGATTTCCTGAATTTGAATGTTGAATAGGAAGCTAGGTTGGGGAAGTTCTCCTGGATAATACCCTGAAGAGTGTTTTCCAACTTGGCTCCATTCTCCCCATCACTTTCAGGTATACCCATCAAACATAGATTTGGTTTTTTCACATAGTCCCATATTTCTTGGAGGCTTTGTTCATTTCTTTTTACTCTTGTTTTCTCTAAACTTGTCTTCTCACTTTATTTCATTCATTTGATCTTCAATCATGGATATCCTTTCTTCCACTTGATCGAGTCAGCTATTGAAGCTTGTGCATGCATCACGACGTTCTCGTGCCATGGTTTTCAGGTCCATCAGGTAATTTAAGGTCTTCTCTACACTGTTTATTCTAGTTAGCCATTCTTCTAACCTTTTTTCAAGGTTTTTAGCTTCCTTGCAATGGTTAGAACACGCTCCTTTAGCTCGGAGAAGTTTGTTATTACTGGCTTTCTGAACCCTACTTCTGTCAACTTGTCAGTCATTCTCCATCCAGCTTTGTTCCATTGCTGGTGAGGAGCTGCGATCCTTTGGAGGAGAAGAGGCACTCTGTTTTTTAGAGCTTTCAGCTTTTCTGCTCTGGTTTCTCTCCATCTTTGTGGTTTTATCTACCTTTGGTCTTTGATGTTGGTGACCTACAGATGGGGTTTTGGTGTGGATGTCCTTTTAGTTGATGTCGATGCTATTTCTTTCTGTTGTTAGTTTTCCTTCTAACAGTCAGGTCCCTCCGCTCTGGTCTGTTGGAGTTTGCTGGAGGTCCACTCCAGACCCTGTTTGCCTGGGTATCACCAGCGGAGGCTGCAGAACAGCAAATATCGCAGAACAGCAAATATAGCTGCCTGATCCTTCCTCTGGAAGCTTTGTCCCAGAGGGACACCTACTTGTATGACTTGTCTGTCAGCCCCTATTGGGAGGTGCCTCCCAGTTAGGCTACATGGGGGCCAGGGACCCACTTGAGGAGGCAGCCTGTCTGTTCTCAGATTTCCATTGCTGTGCTGAGAGAACCACTGCTCTCTTCAGAGCTGTCAGACAGGGATGTTTAAGTCTGCAGAAGTTTCTGCTGCCTTTTGTTCAGCTATGCTCTGCCCACAGAGGTGGAGTCTATAGAGGCAGTAGGCCTTGCTGTACTGTGGTGGGCTCTGCCCAGTTCGAGCTTCCCTGTGGCTTTGTTTACCTACTCAAGCCTCAGCAATGGCAGATGCCCCTCCCCCAGCCAGACTGCAGCCTTGCAGGTTGATCTCAGACTGCTGTGCTAGCAGTGAGCAAGGCTCCATGGGTGTGGCATCTGCTGAGCCAGGCACGGGAGAGAATTTCCTGGTCTGCCAGTTGCTAAGATCTTGGGAAAAGTGCAGTATTTGGGTAAGAGTGTCCTATTTTTCCAGGTACAGTCTGTCATGGCTTTCCTTGGCCAGGAAAGGGAAATCTCCTGACCCCTGTGCTTCCTGGGTGAGGCGACACCCCGCCCTGCTTCAGCTTGTCCTCCATAGGCTGCACCTACTGTCCAACCAGTCCCAATTAAATGAACCAGGTGCCTCAGTTGGAAATGCAGAAATCACCCGTCTTCTGAGTCGATCATGCTGGGAGCTGCAGTCCAGAGCTGTTCTTATTTGGCCATCTTGGAATGGAAAAAAAAACTTTACCATTTTTATAAGATAAATATCTTAGATTCACATTGAGAAAACCAAGAAATAGCTTCCCAGGACCAGTGATCACTCCTGACATTTAGATTTTGTTCTCTACATATCATTTATCATGAAAAGAATTTGGATTCAAAGAAATGGCTGATTTTCAGGTGTGATGAAGAAAATGCCCTGGGTGTTGGGATATTCTGTTGTTCTAGAGAGCAAAGAATACTTAAAGACTAATATGGTCACTTAAAAAGGCACAGTCAGTTTGAAGGTGCTCATAATATCCACAGTTGTTATAATCCAAATCACAGTAAGAATGACTATAATTGATTAAAGCATAATTACTGTAAGGCCTCTGAGCCCAAGCTAAACCATCATATCCCCTGTGACCTGCACATATACATCCAGGTGGCCTGAAGCAACTGAAAGTCCACAAAAGAAGTGAAAATAGCTTTAACTGATGACGTTCCACCATTGTGATTTGTTTCTGCCCCACCCTAACTGATCAATGTTCTTCGTAATCTCCCCGACCCTTAAGAAGGTTCTTTGTAATCTCCCGCACCCTTAAGAAGGTTCTTTGTAATTCTCCCCACCCTTGAGAATGTACTCTGTGAGATCCACCCCCTGCCCACAAAACATTGCTCCTAACTCCACCGCCTATCCCAAAACCTATAAGAACTAATGATAATCCCACCACCCTTTGCTGACTCCTTTTTTGGACTCAGCCTGCCTGCACCCAGGTGAAATAAACAACCTTGTTGCTCACACAAAGCCTGTTGGTGGACTCTCTTCACACGGACATGCGTGACAACTACTATATAAAATCCATGAGCTCATAGTTATTCTCATAAAAGCAATCCACATTAAAAGCAAATAATGACAATTTCAGGAGGTCAAGACCATCCTGGCTAACACAGTGAAACTTCATCTCTAATAAAAGTACAAAAAATTAGCTGGGCGTGATGGCGGGCACCTGTACTCCCAGCTACTTGGGAGGCTGAGGCAGGAGAATGGCATGAACCCAGTAGGTGAAGCTTGCAGTGAGCTGAGATTGTGCGACGGCGTTCCAGCCTGGGCAACAGAGCAAGGCTCCATTAAAAAAAAAAAAACAAAAATACAAAACAAACAAGACAACAGGCAAATAATGACAGTTTAAAAATCCATCAGGGATTTAAAGGCAGAGGTAAGTATCTGCCTTTTCTCTGCAAACTGCATGACAGGGTGATCAAATAACCCCATTTGATGAGAGAAGGCTCTTTTTTGATTTTTGTTTTTAACAGCAGACTGTTGGCTAATAAACATAGAAGAAATAAAGGCATTAGAAAAATTGCTCCTTTGAATTCTTTAATGGAATAACTGAGTCAGTCAAAGATCATCAACTGGCCGGGTGCAATGGCTCACGCCTGTAATCCCAGCACTTTGGGGAACTGAGGTGGGAGAATTATGAGGTCAAGAGATTGAGACCATCCTGACCAATATGGTGAAACCCTGTCTCTACTAAAATACAAAAAATTAGCTGGGAGTGGTGGTGGGTGCCTATAGCCCCAGTTGCTCGGGAGGCTGAGGCATGGGAATCCCTTGAATCCAGGAGGCGGAAGTTGCAGTGAACCAAGATCATGCCCCTGCACTCCAGCCTGATAAGAGAGCAGGACTCCATCTCCAAAAACAAAAACAAACAAAACCAAAAACAAACAAACAAAAAATTAAACCATTTCAATGAAAGACTGATAAAGAATTGGATAGTTGTGTGGTGTCATACTATCTCTCCATATGTAATACTTTCTGCTTTCAAGTCAGGAAATGTTACTTGTTAAAGGCAGGATCAGTCTGTGACACCTTAACCTGGAAGGTTTAAGGTTGATGGAGGAGCATTTGAATGTGATATGCTTTATGAGGTGATATAACATGAAGTGCACAGAATTACCTATCAAATAGTCTTTCCAAAAATTTTTAACTTGAGTCAAATCAAGCTGCCATACCTAACTTCCAGTGTATATAAAATACAGAAGAAAGAACAGGTTAAATGGTACCATGGGAAACCACTGGGCAAATTCAAAGCTAGCCCAGTATTTTAACTAGTCAGTATCATGGGGAGAAAAGACAGTAGCAGGATTCTTGAAGAACAAAAGGTATAACCTGTTGTAAAGATTGGATCTTATTTGGATCCTTGAACAGAGTGGTTATAAAATATTTGGAGGGAACTACTAGATTGAATATGGTGTGAGAATTTGACACTGAGAAATTATCAATTGAGTCCCACGTGTTAATAGAACCGTAATTATGTGGGGAAATACCCTTGTCTAAGATTACAGAATTTAAGGAGTAAAATATCTGTAAATTGCTTTAAAATATTTAATAAAAATAGGAACGTACATAGCAAAATATTCTATTTTCCTGAATCTTTGAAAATTTTCTTAATAAAAAGTTGAAAATTACACTTATAACCTCAGAACTTTTCTGATTACCCTATCCATTACCCTGTCACATCACCTTATTTTCTTTATGGCACTAATCAAGATTATAAAATTTTTTATTTACTGAAGATTCTGACACCCCCCACTAAGAATGTTAGCTTGATCAGGGAAGGGATCTACTGTCACTAGTCACCAATGTTGTCCTAATAATGGTACCTGACACATAGTCATTTTAAAAATATTAAATAGAACAAATAACTATGACTAAGTAAGTTAGAAGATGATAAAATGCCAATAACAGTAAGACACAAGAATTAAACTGTAGTAATTAGGCAGTGAGAGGTCTCTGAAGATTTTCAGCAGGGCAGTGACATAATCCAAATTAGAACATGATTTTTTCACCCCTCCAGAGATTTTCCAATCATTGATCCAGGTGCTTTGCATAGGAAACATGGCAGGTAAGCAGCAAGTCTTCATGAATTTCCATCATGGCTTTGCAACAGACAAGTAATATTTTATGGGGCCATTTAACATTGTGTAGCAATTCATGTACCCATAACCCATGCAAATACCAAACTGAAAGGGACTTTTGCATTGCTGATTGAAAAGTTGATGTAAGAAACAAGTTTCAGTTCAAAATAAAAAACCCAGGTAGATTTTTTGAAGTTGTTTGTGAGTAGTTCTAGTCCTTTGAGATAGCTTCTCAATTTTTTACATTTTGTACAATTTTGTTCTCAATTGTGAAATGCCATGTACTCTTACCTCCAGTCCCACCACAAGGTATTTTTAGCTCTTTCAATGATTCTTCTGAATACCCATAACTAATTCTGTTTTGGAGTGAGTGCAAACTGTCTTCCTGCTCCCTTTAATTTCTCTTCTGAGTCTCCACCCTGTATATTCCTTGCCTGAGATGGTCGACATGAGCAGCAAACCACCAGGGAAGGGAAGGATACTATAGACTAGAGTTGGAAAAAACAATCTCCTTAATTTGCACTTTTAAATTGAGATGGGATAAATATTCCAATTTATTTCTGTAAAGCAAATCACTCTAATAGTTGTATAAAATAACTACTTAATTATGCTCAAAATGTGTGCAGATCAAGAATTTGAACAGAGTACAATAGGGAAGGCTAGTCCATGTTCTACATACCTCATCTGGAGCCTCAACTGAGAAGGCTTAACGGCTTGGTTATGGAACCATCTGGAAGTTTTCTCATTTACCTATGAAATCTGGGATGACTCAACAGCTCACCTCAGCTGGAACACTATTAAACACAGTGCCCACATGTGACCTCCTCAATTTCTTGGGCTTTTCCACAGCATGATAGTATATGTGTGGTTAGACTTCTGACACAGTAGCTCAGGACTCCGAGTGTTCCAGTGACCAGGGTAGAAGCTGCATGACTTAGGCACACGGCGTCACTTCCACTGTGCTATATAGTTGAAGCAATTTAAGTCTGCCCAGATTCAAGGGGAAGAGAGTTGAACTCTTAGTGGGAGGAGTCAAATTTGCAATCATGTTTTGCAACTGCTGTGACTGGAGAAATGGTATACAACCAGAAATACTACCCTGGAATGACTACTTAAAATGAGCACGGTTGTTCTGTTTCATGCAGATTTGCCATGAGGCAAAGCAAACTTGAAACGGAGCTGTCTTCAGAAAGTTTTAGTCCTTCTAGCCCTAGTTCCTATTCTGTTGATTCCTTATCATGCAGTGAAGAATAGTATATAAATTGTATCATGCTAACAGCATAACTAAGAAAATTTTCTAATTACAAATGAGGATGCAACAAATTCTGTATTGACAAAAGTTGTTAATGGATCATTTGATCCAATGACTAATGGATAATGGTTCTTCTCAGCTCTATTCTCATCTTTGAACTCACTTTCTTTAAGACATTTAGAATCAATTATAACAGCTCACATAACCTGGTATTTTGCTACACATGGTTCAATCATGATGCCTCTACTCTTGGCCGTTGGCCTCAAGAAGCATGGACAGTAAACAGGAACTTTTCAAATGGTACCAACAGTCCAGCCTAGTAAGTTAATTATTGAACAGTCACTACCTAATGCTGTAGATGTGTGCAGTTTGACAAGGCTGTTATAACGTCCAACCCTTTCAGGAAAGTAATTCTGTAAGGAAATTGCCTGCAATAGAAGTTATGGGACTCAGCTGGGTGACAGCCATGTCATGGCAATCAATACAAGAACAAAAAAAATCAAATATTAATGAAAGATGGATTTGTTCAGGCACAGGATTGGTAATTTTTTGTAAATGACATTTTACTTCCACTGTCTGTTTCCAGGGAAGGCTGAGTATAATCTCACTGACACTAAACTCAAGGTGACATTTCTCATTTCAATTATTTCCTAGTGTCTTCCTCCTTCTTTTTCTCCCACATCTTGTCAAGAACTGCAGGCAACATAATGAAATACTCCATCAACTATGGAGTCTAGGGTCTGAAGAAGCAGGAGAGAGTTTTGTTGTGCTTTCTGAATGTAGAATACATCCTAATTTGAAAGCCAGTGTGAGGCTTGGTGGAGGATCTTGGCTTCAGAAAAAAATTATCAGGATAATTTGAAAGAAGTCTGAATATTTAACAAGTTCACTGTGAATTACATATAAGTTGGCAGATTTCAAGTTAAGAATCATAGGGATGGCTATAATAATACTAGCTGAGACTTATTGAGCAATTATGCTGGATAGATAAAATCTCTTATTCTCTAAATAAACAGTGGCCATTTTTAATCATGTTTATGGGATCTGCCAAAATTTTGCTTTTGATTCTTTGTTCTACGTAACGTAGAAACAGCCAGAGAAAAAGTATGAAGGGGGAAAAGGCAATAGGAGTAATTATTTGATGTTTCTTAGGCAACATCTTGTTAAATAATTTCTGAATTGACTGTTTTGACTCAGCTGAACAATTATTAAGTAACTGTGTTGAAGGACTGTCTAAAGGAATTGAGGTGGTTGATTCCATTAAAACAAGTAGACGCCACCAACCTTTAGAAACATAGAATACTTGCCAGTTATTGCTATTTCTTTCTCCCTTCCTTTCTTTCTTTTTCCCTTTCTTTCTTTCTTTCTCCCTTTCTTTCTTCCTCTCTCTTTCTTTCTTTCTCTCTCTCTTTCTTTCTTCCTTTCTTTCTTTCTTTCTTCCTTTCTTTCTTTCTCCCTTCCTTTCGCTTTCTCTTCCTGAGTGTGGTAGAGAATGAATAATGGCTCATCGAAGATACTCACATTGTAATCTCTGGACCTGTGGATATGTTACCTTTCCTGGCAAATGGGACTTTGCAGATGTGATTTAATTAAGAATCTTGACATGTAGAGATTATCCTGAATTATTGAGGCAGGCCCATTGTAGTCACAATGTAACCAAAATGCAAGTTCATTGGCTCACTGCTTGCAGAATCCAATTGACAAGAATGAGGTCTGGTATAAAGAAGTAGCACAGGCTTCCTGCCGTAAGGGTGCCACCTTCCTTTTGGAGCAGAAGGCAGGTGCTTTTAAAAAGGGAGGTGGCATGAATGGCACATAGGAGAGGGAATGAAGAGGTGAGGATCCCTGTGACTTGCTTTGGTGCCTTATCTCCTGGGTGCTCAAGCTGGCACCATCCAGGCAAAACTAAGTTGTACTTTTGGTTGTAAATTGACTATTGTCTTTTCAAGGCAATCTCCTGGTGGGAGAGAGTTCTGCTGTGGAGCTTTTAAGTAAGCACAGTTAGATAAGCTTGTCCTGTAGGGAGTGTCTGGTGAGATGAAGGTAAAAGGTTATAATTGCATTTCTAAAGAGCTAAGTAGGAAGTCAGGAAGAGGAGAAAAAGGAAAGAGAAAAGAGAGCAAAAAATAAAACTAGCTCTTAGAAAACTGGAGTTACTTGATTACAACAAGTGTTCTTGTAAAAGCGAGGCAGGAGAGTCAGAGTTCAAGAAAGGGGAGAGTAGAAGAGGAATGGGTGGAATGGGCTATTGCAAGAAGCCAAGGGATGTGGGTGGCTTCTAGAAGCTGGACAAGGCAAGGAGCAGGGTCTCCCTTACAGCTCCAGAAGGAATGCAGCCCTGCCAACAGCTTGGTTTTAGCTATGACAGCCACTTTCAGACTTCTGACCTATAGAATTGCAAGATAAATCTATTCTCTCTTAAGCCTCCAAGTTTGTAGCAATTAGAGAATTACTAATACAATTTCAGTATCCTCCCTTCTCTTTCCTAGCCTACACCCTCTGCTCTCCTTCCTCTTCCTTCCCACTTACTCTTGCTCTCTTCCTTCTACCAAAATTTCTTAAAATATATACTAGTGGAAAAAAACAGCTAAGACCCAAACCTTTGTATGTAAATGAAGCAGAGTATTTAGACAATAAAAAGTCAGGAAGTATTACATTCTGCAGATGCTTTGAAGGGAATGAACAGTGGGGAGAGAAAATAGAGATTGTGCTTGCTTTATTTACATGGTAGTTTGTGAAGATCTTGTTAAGGAGGTGACATTTATGTGACAGTGTCAACAGTGAGAAGGAGCTACATACGAAGGAGCTATGAGTGGGTGGAATGGGCTGAGTAGAGGGTGTTGATCATCTGTCTTGAGAATCAAGGCCAATATGAATCAGGAAAGAGTAGGCAATGGGGTTCAGGATGCTTTCTAGGAGTGAGACTCAGTCTTGTTAATCTCTCTTTTAACCTTAGTAAGTGTAAAAGTCTCTCTCTCTCTCCTACACAGGATTTCAACATTAAGCTCAAGCTACCAAAATTCTTTTTCCTCAAGAAATGGAGGAGGTTTGATTAGACTGGCCCCATGTTCCATTCTACATTGGATAATAATGTCTAGTAACATAAAGGTCTAAGAGCAGCAGTGGAAAGCTGACTTGGCTGGCTTGGCTTTGAACTTCACTGTTAAGAAGGCTTTGGCTGCTAAGCATGGCCTCTTATCTCTCACACACTGTATGGTTAGGGGCTCAGTGGATGGTGCAGGTTATCTTTCTATTCTCTTTCTGTGTTTGAATTTTTTTGTTTTTAATTGTGTTTGAACTTCTTAATAGAACAATCTCCAGAGGGTTCACTTTCTCTTGATGAGAGTTTTTATTCCAATATCGTACTAGGTAAGGGTTCTGATGCCATTTCTTATTCTCTTCTCCACCTCAGGTCTTTTTTTTTTTTTTTTAAGACAGTGTCTTACTCTGTCACCTAGGCTGGAGTGCAGTGGCACCATCTCAGCTCACCGCACACTCTGCCTCCCGGGTTCAAGTGATTCTCATGCCTCAGCCTCCAGAGTATCTGGGATTACAGGCACACACCACCACACCTGGCTAATTTTTATATTTTTAGTAGAGATGGGGTTTTACTATGTTGGCCAGGCTGGTTTTGAACTCTTGACCTCAAGTGATCCACCCGCCTTTAAGTGCTGGGATTGCAGGAGCCACAGTGCCTGGACTTCACCTCGGTTCTTAATTTTACACCATAAAGGGAGATTTGAGGGGATCATGGATAATTTAGGTCACTGAATGTTTTCCTTTGTATTATTCAATTAATTGTAACCAACAGGCACTTTGAGTTGAGTTACATGGATAATAATTGCCTTCTTACTGCTGTTGTTTAATCCTATATTCCAGATTTTGACTTATGGTTAGAACAGATAGCAAGGTATTACATATAAATCATAAAAGAACTAGAATAACCATTGAAACTAAATCGGGTCATTTACAATGTAACTTTGCATTAATGCATAATTGCTTCATTTCTCTTATTATTAGTTTTGAAATTGTCCTGTCTTATAGTTGAATTGTCAGCCTCACCACCCACTTACTCCTTGACTTTTCCTGTTCACTCCAACTTCTTTCTCAAAGGTCTAGGATGCTCTCCTAGTAATAAAATTCAGTAATGTTCCATCCCTTAATTCTCATCATTTGTCTTACATGTGACATTACAGACATCCTTTTCTTCTTAAAATATTTTCTGCCAATAGCTTCTCTAATGCTTTGCTATTGTTTTGTGTTTACTTTTCTGGATTTTCTTCTTCATCTTTGTATGTTCCTTGTCTGGCTCTTCTTTCATCCTTAAATATAAGGATTCTTCTAGGATCTATCTTTGATTGTATTTTTATACCTTTGACCTACCAATTTCATAATATGGCATTTCTTTGGATATACCACATTGACACTTCTTATCTCCAATCTTAAGTCTCAATGGGGCTGCATTTCTAGCTGCCTGTAATACATTTCTACATCCAAAAGTCCTTCCGGTGCCTGTTAGGGGCTTGCAAAACCTCTTTCCATTTAGCCTTAAAGTGGATCTAGCCCTCTAAGCAGGCTATTCCATGTCGCAGGTTTGTGACTCTTCATGTGTACCTTAGGAGAGCCATGTGGCTTAAATTTTAGGGCTCCAAGCACCATGGCCTGGAAGCTTCATCTCTGGAAGCTTCTACAGTTTTCTCTATACTAAATTCTGCAAAATCACTGAAAATGATTGCAGGAGTTGTCCAATGAGAGTCAGACAGAAGCATATAGGTATTATGACATTCTGGGTACACACAAGAAATATATCATTTTACTCCCAAGGCGGGGAGCAATTTTATCTGGGCCCACCCTTGATAGGATTTTTTCTTTCTTTCCCTGCTTCATCTTCCCAAGCCACTTCCAGTGAGAGGCAGACTGTGTAGACATAAGAGAAGTCACACAATGCTCCTTTATCTCCTCTTTTCCTGTATCTTCCATTATGAATGAAGGAAATTGGAGTTTGCTGGAATGTGGTACATGATAACTTGGCCTTTATAGACATTATCCCATGGAACACAAATGGTCAGTCATACATTGGGTCTCTAACCATGCACTGCTTTAACTCACTATTCCTCTAAATAAATTAATGCTTTTATTTCCCAATAGACTCTCCAAGTGCATTTTATATTGTTGTCAGTGGAATCATTGACCATCCAACCAATTTCTCAAGCTGTGAATAGTAAAGCTGTCTATGTTCTCATTAGCATGTGATTGAAATACCATCACTGTGAGATAAGACTCTGTCTAAACTGAAGTCATGATTGTGGGAATGGAGAGGGAGGGACAAGTGCAGAAAATAAATTAAATGATAAACTTAATGAGACTTGAGAGTTCATTATGAAGAAAGGGTGAAGGAGAGGGTGGAGTTGGATAGCAATGATATTTAACAGTCATTGAACTTTTACGTACGTGCTGGGCATTATTCCAACTTCTACCCATATTATCTTCATTAAGGAATTGTAGATAGGTTAATGTTGAAGTTTTAACCTGAACCAGCTAGTGGTAAAAGTCAGTGCCACTCAAAAGAAGGTCCATAAATCAATGTAGGTCCATAAACTGTTTGCATTGATCCATGACATAATGAGCACAGAAACTGAAAGTAAGCATTAGAAATGTTTATGGCAAGTTGATGGAGTGACTTTATGTCTGTTGAATGTAATAGTAAAAATGTTTTATATTTTATGCTTTTGCTTTTGTATTTTAAGTTCCATGTCATTCATTTTTATGGCATTTCACACATGTATCTGTTATGTTTATATGCATATGATGTTCTGACAGGAAACGTGACACCTCTGGATCAGAGAACAGATGATTTATTACTCAGAGTATCTTGGCACAGTTCTCTCAGCCTTAGTCCTTTTTGGATGATACAATGAGAACAGGGGAAGAACCCTGAAATTAAGAGATTTAGAGCTTACATAGAGTGACTGGAATATTGGCCTATCCTCCCCCTCTAGGGAGAGAGAAACCTTTACTCTGGAATATAAACATGCTCCAGGGAGGCAAGAGGAATGTGGTCCATAGCTTCCCTAGCCTGGAATATAAGTCAGTGGTTCTAGGAGAGGTAAATCTCTATCTCTCCAGAGAAATATACTATCTTCAGCTTCCAATATGTACATTCCACTAAATCATCTTTTATTTAAGCTTACCAGTTTGCAGAAAGTTCAGACAAAATATAAATGTGAAAATATTTATGGAGAAGAAGCTCCTAAGAGTATATAAAAAAAGTCCTGTTCCAAAGTAGTTTGAGGAGCATTAGAGTAAGTGGCAGAAGAAAATCAAGATGTGAAGCTCAGTTTTGCTGAGGGGCAGGGTGAAGAGTTTGATTTAGATGACATTTCCTAGAAAGGTAGCCCTAGTGCTGAGAAGAGAGCAAAGACAGACTTTTACAAGTCATCCTTAGAATGACATTTAAGACCAGAATGAGTAGAAGATACCTCTAATATACAGAAGAAGAAAGAGAAGAATGTTAAAGAAGCAAAACTTGGATAAGCATTGGGGTTAATGGCAAATGGGGGGATTTTAAGAGGAGTGCCCAGAAGAGGTTAGGGTGGGCATCTAGATAAAGCCAAGGAAGGTTCAAAGAAAAACTGTGGTGTAGCGATTGTCAGGGGCCTGGGAGCAGTCCATTGCCTTTAGCCGGAAGACTCCTCACCAGATACTTTAAGATACCGGCCGGGGACAGTGGCTCACGCCTGTAATCCCAGCACTTTGGGAGGCTGAGTCGGGTGGATCACAAGGTCAGGAGTTCGAGGCCAGCCTGGCCAAGATGGTGAAACCCTTTCTCTACTAAAAATACAAAAATTAGCCAGGCGTGGTGGTAGGTGCCTGTAATTCCAGGTACTTGGGAGGCTGAGTGAGGCAAGAGAATAGTTTGAACCCAGGAGGTGGAAGTTCCAGTGAGTCATAATCACGCCACTGCACTCTAGCCTGGGCGACAGAGCTAGACTCCGTCTAAAAAAAAAAAGGTACCAATTGCAATTCCTTCAGCCCATTTCATGAAGTCCTCTCGTTTTTGAATGCTATTAATAATCCTTTTGAAAACCAAATGCCTGCCAGAACTAGCTCTCAAATTAGTTTCCTTTGGTTAACATTTGAAAACCTGGAGCTTTCTCATAAAATTTTACATTTTTGGTTTCTCTCTCTGAGAAAAGAAAGATCCATCACACTGAATCTGGATTTCTCATTAGATAAGATTTCTGTTATCCACAGTTTCATTACCTCTAAAATATTCACTCTCTCTGGCCTTGAACCTGAATGACTTTTGCCATAGGATAAGCATCATGTTTTCTTTCATGCTGACTTTACTTATATATGTGATTTACCTGGCAGCTTTAATTCATACTGTATTTTTTCTTAGAAATTTTCCCTTTAGGCCCAGCATGGTGGCTTATGCCTGTAATCCTAGCACTTTGGGAGGCCAAGGTGGGCAGATCACAAGGTCAAGAGATTGAGACCATTCTGGCCAATGTGGTGAAACTGATCTCTACTAAAAATACAAAAATTAGCTGGGCATGGTGGTGCATACCTGTAGTCACAGCTACTTGGGAGGCTGAGGCAGGAGAATCGCTTGAACCCAGGAGGCAGAGGTTGCAGTGAGCCGAGATCGCGCCATTGCATTCCAGCCTGGGCGACAGAGCAAGACTCCATCTCAAAAAAAAAAAAAAAAAAAGAATTTTTTCTTTTAACATACACATTAGTATCTTTGGAAGTATCCAAAACAGTTTAATGCCAGAAATTGATCTAGCAGTGACTTGAAAGGGCTAAGGTTTAAATCTCAGCAATAACACACCCCAGTTCTGACAGACAGGGTGGTATGTCACTAGAACTGGTAGCTTCTGCTCAGAGTGGCGAGTTATTTCTGGAAAGTGGTTGCCTAGCCAGATGTCTTTGTTTTTTTCTTTTGCTCTTTTGCATCTAGGGGAAACCATGTAATTTGTGCTGGGCAATAAAATGTGTGAGGCAGTCATGTGTGTCACATCATAACCTAGGAAGTCTAAAAATTAGGTTTGTTTTCTCCACACTCAATGCTTAGCTGTGGTGGTCTCATAGGCCATATTTGACATATGACCTTTAGCTTCATAAAGTACACCAAACATGCATCTCTGCGTCATTGCTTGCAAAAGAGCTACACAAAAGGGATGGAGTTTGCATGACCTGGAATATTTGAAATGGACCTCATTGGAGAAAGAAATACATGTTTAGTATGTTAAGTCACAGATTTTAGGATTGTCTCATACTGCAGTGAGCCTCTTGACTAAAATGCCAGTTATGACCTTGGATGAGTTAATTTACCTCAGTGCCTCTGTTTCCTCATCTGTGAAATTGAGAGGAAAAGGCAGGATACCTCATAGAGCTGTGAAGATTAAATGGGGTGATTTGTATGAAACATTTAGAAGAGTGCTTGCCAGAGTGTAGGCATTCAAAAAGCCTTGGCTGTTGCCATTCATGTCTGCCATTATTTCTGCTTCATTACTGTAGCCAAAGATGGTCTTTATAGAAATGGGACTCATTCTAATTCTTCCCAAAATGTGGTCAGACCATACAGCCAAATTAGGCAAAGCCTAACATTTCCCTTTAGAAATCTAAGTAGATATTTCCCCCAAGGAAGTAGAAAACTTTGTATTTTTAACTTGCCACAAGAATCTAGGTAATTGGATAGGATTTGAGATGGCCATCCTCTTTACATTCCTTACTTTCTGTTGGGTTGAGTCTATCTAACCACCAAACTGATGATGGCCAATGGGGAAAAATATGGCAGAGTCCGATGAAAATAGATGAAGCCAATTGTTATTCTCACTGTTTGGCAGGGACATCACCATGGTGAGAAATGGCCATTGTGTTGCCTAACTCAAATCTGATCCTCCTGTGCCAGGCACCTGTGTTTATGGGATAGGGAAACTCAGTGCAGAGAACTCTTCTCACTGGGATGACTGACTGAGGGTTTGGGCATCCTTGACTCTGGGGCTTGTAAAGTGTCATCTTGTCTCACACATTCTATCCTCCTGCCATCCTGGACAGTTCCCATGGTCCCCACAGGTATTGGCAGAGATGGAGCCAGGGGACAGCCCTTCATGAAGCTTTGTGCAGCTGGAATGCCCTCCTGTGATATGAGAAGACATGGGGAAAGAAGACGATGGGGACATTTAGAGCTACTTCTAGAAACTCCAACAGCTTGTAGGAATCTATCTCATAGGATAAAACCTACCCATTTTTCCCTAGTTAGGCTGAGTCAGGACTGTGATTATTCGAGCACTGATACCCCTTAACTGACTCAACCCTTCTCTCTCCTTCAGGTTGATTTGAATCCATGTTTCTTCTTAAGTGAATGTGCTTTTCCTTGCCTTAATTTAATTAAAAATCAACCCTGGCTTTACATAAGCTCATATGGAACTCATAACTGGTCAACGTATCCATCACTCCATTTGTGATTTGCTTATTTATTAAAGGACCCTGAGGAGTGCTCCTGGGCTGGTCAGTCAGCCTCGGAGCCCTGGCCCCAGCAAGCCCCCTGTGTCCTCTACCAACCCTCACACTAGTTTCCCCGCAGATGGCAGCTCTAGAAGACGCCTGTCAGCACTGGGAAGGAAACCAAGTAGATAATCAGGAAACCATACGTTCACCAGGAATGGGTATTTGGAGTGTAGCAAGTTCAATTTGCCAGATAATTTGCTTCCCACACTCAGCCTTACCTACAGCACAATGAAAGACATTTCAATTTAAATTGCTTCCCAGCTCCAATCGGCATTAATTTAATAATATATATTCAACAGTTATAAACACTTCAAATGGCTAGAAAATGTGAACAGATTCACGTGTTTATGCTGATATTGATGCCTAAATATATTTATTGGTGATGGCAATGGAAATGTTTTTCCTTTTAATTCCCCCCTCCCAAAAAGGAATATGAAATCACTTGCAAGCTGCTAAGGGATTTACATACTGTCTGGGTTGGGAGAGCTTTCAGCTACTTTGCTTTGCATTTCTGTGTGTTCACTAAGGTTTTGTCTGTTGGCCTTCACTCTGATGAATTTCTTCTCTGGTCAGGACACAGACTTTCCTCTTCTAGTTGGTCTAAAGTAACTCAGCTCAACCCACAAGGGTGCTTTTTCTTCCTTCTTTGTGGAATAAGGGAAGCTGTGGAGCTTTAGAACATTTTTACCACCTAGACAAGAGGGCCACACAATAGCCCTTAAGACAAAGAGAACATCCTGGAATAGACTGCAGGATTGTCAGAACTGGGGAAGATATCCTGGAGGCTGCACCTCTCATGTTGCAAATGGAGAAACTGAGGAAAGGAGCCTGGCTTAGAATGTTAGGCGAAGCGAGGACCAGAATTCAGGCTTCCGGAATCTAAGACAGCAGACATCCCCAAATACAGCTGTCACTCAGGTAAAAAAAAACAAAAAACAAACAAACAAACAAAAAAACAGAAAAAAGAATGCATGTGCAACTAGGGTGGCCTTTTTTTTTTTCTTTTTAAGCCAGGCTTAGAACAGTTTTGTTCAAAGAAAATAGTATAGCAGCTGAAAAAATAACTAGATTTGAGGATTTAATACAAAAGCTAATGGTAGTAATAATGGTGGAGGGAACTATACATTCATTGTCAAAGTATATTTTTCAAAAAGTTAAAAACATGATCCTGATACAAATATATAAACGTGTCAGTTTCAGTTCATCGATAAGGGAACAAATGAGATGATAAAGCTGGTTGCAAAAGTATTTGAAGAATCAGGAATTTATAGAAATTTTTAAAATGTGAGCATACATTTGCTTGGTTACATAAAAAACTGGTTAATATTTCACAGAGCAATAAAACTTAAAACCCTGACGTTTGGGGACATCTCTTTTACTAGACATAAATCAACAAATTAACATGTAAGTTCACACTGTCTGGGCTCCTGTCAAATACTAAATAGCTATGTCAAACGTGGGTACAGGCTTCTACAGAATTAAATAATCCTTGAGTAAACCTTTTAGGCGAAACCTCAGTATGTTATTGATTAAAGATGCCCCCTTCTTCATCCCACACCTACATCCTCGGCACCTTATTTCCAGGTGTTGGGTGATTATCAAAGCAGATTTCAAAGTTTTGGATCATAATTGCAATAGGACTGTATAATTACAGTATCTCTCATACCAAAAACTGCCTCCCCAGTCCCATGTATGTCATTCGTCTTTCTTTACTTTCTTTACTTTCTTTACTTCTCTGGACTTAAATCTTTCCTGCTTTATCTCACTGGGTCCTATCTCTGCCTCCTTCCAACTCAGTAGCTCTTTCTCTTTCCAATGTTATACTCTTACAGGATCCTTAGACTTTTAAAATTGCACCTGTTCTGGATCTTTCTAGTGATCATAAGGTCAACAACTGTCATGCTAAAAACAATTTTGTGGTAAAGGTGAACAGTAGGGTCAGACCTAAAAAGCAAACACAAATTTTGGGAGCTGGGGGAAGAAGGAAACAGTGGGGAAGAAGTTAACGATATGCAAGCATTAGATACCTTATTGCATTAACTATTTTATACCAACACAATTCCCACCCAGTAATGAGCCTCTCAGAAATGCAAGATTCTGGGAAGGATGCAAGATTTGGCTTTCCTGGGCCAATGTACTGATTCAGGATAGTATCAATCCTTCCCTCTCAGTGATATACCTTCTTGAATTATCCCTGTACTTAAAATCACTTTGAAAATTCTTAGCTTTCCAGAGTAGTTTTTTGAGCAGATTTTCTTTTACCACTCAGGTTTCATGGATTTATAGTTATTATTAACATTTGGCCCACTTATACAGGCACACAAATGTCAACGGCAAAAGCAAGTCCTAATATTTTTTAAAAAGGGGTTTTGAAGATGACATTTCTTTGGATTTCTTTCAGGATTGAAGACATGGAGTGCATTTGCTGGGTGTAAATAATTAAAGACATCTCTGCTTTCAATTGGAGTCAGTAAGTGCAGAATTTGTTTATTTTTAAAATAGATCAAAGAAGTGGAAGAGGGTGTGAGGCTTGAGGTTGGAAAACCTGGGTTGTCATCTGGAGAGACTCATAGGTAGCTCTGTGGGCTTTGCAGGCCCAAGAGAGGAAGTGATCATTTCCTTGAGTCACGCAGGGAATAAGTGATTGAAATTCTGTGTGTGTGAAGTAGATGGAAAGATGGGGGCGTTATGGAAACCCACTCTCCTGTTTCTCAGTGCATCATTTCTTTGAGTATTGCACGTTATCTCTGGAAAAGGAATATCAAGGATTCTCCTGAACTTTATATTTTTAATAAACTTAAAAGATATGGTAGTCCCCCATCATTAAGAGAGCTGTGTTTTGACTGATTTGCAAAAGCTGTAGGAGTAGGCAATGGCTATGACCTCTAAACATTCAAATACACAGTCTGCTGGAGGCCACTACCCAGTCCCTCTCCTTGTTAATCCTGATACCTGCCCCCTATGCCAAGAAAATGATGGTTTTGAGCAAGGGGACTAGAAAGAAGTTCATGGGCTCATTTCAGTCCATGAGTTTCCTAGACTGGATACCGTATTCTGGGTATATTATCAGGAGTCTCCCCACCCTTGGGATGTCCAGCCCCCCAGCAGGTTAATTCATTTAGAGAAGTTGTGGGGAGGGAATGTTGAAGTGCTCACTGATGCACCCACGGTCTCTGCAGCCTACATTCCTCATCCCCCCCATAGCAGTCAACACTGATAAGTGTGTTTTGTATTTCCTAAAAGGACCCTGCATATCCCTCAGAGGTACAAGTTATTGGGATTGTGATTCTGGGGATTTGCTGAGCTCAAAGAAGTGAGGCTCATATCTGAGCTCCATAATGGTGAAACCCACCTCTGTTCTGTGTTTTCTGCTATCTGATAACTTCTTTCATACTGGAGATTCTGCTGGCTCTTGACAAAATTTTGGTACAAATGGCATGAAGTAACCTCCCATCTCTGTGTTGCAACTATTAACGCATATAAGATGCATAGGCCACTAGAATTTGTACAGATCAGCACATCATGGCTTGGGGGAGCATGTCTGTGGTCTTTGAGATTTCTCTTGAAAGTTGAGTGGAAGCTGTCACATAGAGTAACATTTTTCAAACTGTGATAAATGGTCTTTTTGTTTTAAAAATTTCTAGTCCACTATAGGCTAACACTCTTATAAGACAAAAACACAAAAATCTATGCAAAGTACAAGTTCCTTATTTTTAGTAGGCATAAAATCGTTCTTTCAATCTCTATAAATTCTGATTTTTTTCCCTCAATGTCAGTACTTGCTGCAGACCAGTAATAAACAACTTATAGGCCAGCACAATGGCCCACACTTGGAGAAGCTCTTGTTGAGAGAGTATGTAGGAAGGTTCCATCTTTTTTACAGTGTAGGGGAAAGGTTGCCTAAAAGTCGTAAAGCCCTCTACCCTTCTCATTCCCTCCAAGGGTTAGGACCCATATACATAGAGTCTATCCTATGCAACTAGTGTGTAGAAAGATATTGTTTATAAACATGAAATCGAGCTTGAAGTTTCTTGGATTCTCTTGGAATCTTTCATAAGAACAAAAAGTGGTTTCACCATCCAGAGAACCTTTATTTTAAGTTACCGATTACAATCCTTCTGGAGAACCTGATTCTTTTTTTTTCATAGCCTAATTTCCATTACCTTAAATTACCTTACCCAGGACAAATGGCTTAGGTCTGAGCATTGAAGCATCAGTTTAGTGGCCACTTAAATGAAGGAAGTGGGAATGATTTAAGTCAGCATGTGTTTTCCAAACATGCAATGTAAGAAGGCTGCAAACAAGTAAGTGTTATTTAAAATGTAAAGAGATCTGTGTAGAAGCCAGGCACTTTGAAATGGAAATAAAAAAGCCAAAGACCTCAGCTGGGTGCTTCAGATAACAACTCAAATATTACATGAAAGAGGGAAGAAGGAAGACGAAAAGGGAGAAGCAGGATTCTGAAACTTTGCAATAGCTGATGTCCTTTGAAGGAGATGGATTTGAGGGGTCAATACTAATCTTTAGAATCAGAAGCATTTGCACTGTTAACTGTATCAGAATCACTTAAATTCTTTTGTTACTCTAATGAGCACTTCCTTGATGGTTAAAATATTGTATCATAGCATTAACTAAGTGCATTTGCCCTTAACCTGAAATTAGTGAGTAGTCAAGAAGATTGTAACTGGCTTGGTATAGAATTGGGGGAGATTTACTTCTGAGGCCTGCTGGAACTATGTAGACCTATTAAATGGAAAGATAATGCCATTGTGTGAAAAACTCACACAAAAGAAACTATCACAAAGATGAAGTTGTACAAGGAGGTTTTGGGGATTATCAGAGAATTATGTAGATTCACAAATTGCAAAAGTGTTGATCTTTATCTAACTAGCTATACTGAAATGGGAGAGCTCCCTGACCCCCCTCAGAGGACGTGTGACAGGGGTGTGGCTTGTTGCTGCTCAAACCCCTTACAGGAGGGGGAGCATGCAGACAGACAGGTGAAGGAGCCTAAGTGGGCGTGTGTTACACTGTGCTCTTTTAGGCTTACTGTCTGTGAATGGCTTAAATGTTACCCAGCTCAGTGGACCCTCTGCCTTTTTGCTAGGGTAGGGGGCCAGTGTGACAGTATTCTGTATCCCGAGTTCTTGTCCGGTATACCAGAAGAATCAGGTCACACACAGACTTGAATGATGGTGAATGCTGGGTTTTATTGGGTGGTGGAGGTGGCTCTCAGTGGGAGGGATGGGGAGCTGGACAGGGGATGGATTGGGAAGATTATCTTCCCCTGGAGTTTGGCCATCCAGCAACTGATTCTCTGACCATCCCCAGCTGAACTCCTCCTGACGTTCAGACGCTCCTTCTCTGCCATGCCATTCTTCTGTTCATCTGCTCGTCTGCTCATCTTCTCCTTCTGAAGTCTAGAGTTTGGGGTTTATATGGGTACAGAATATGGGGCATGGTAGGCCAAAGGCAACTTTTTGGGCATGTAAACCGGAATGCCTGATCTAATTTAGGGCTGCAGGTTTCCAGGCTTGAGGGTGGGGTCTTTGTCAGGGAACCCACCCTCTTCTACCCAGTATTTCCCTGTCTCCTGTCCATATCAATACTTAGCAAGACTTATTAGTACTGAAATACCTGATGCCTGCCTTTTTGATGCCCTGACCACACATAACTTATTCTATACTTAGACAAATGATGTGATGGAAATCATGCTATAAAATACTTTATCAGAATGAAAAGAAGTCGCAGTTGTTACTTTTACTGGGCATCAGAATCGCCCAAAAGGCTTATCAGTAATGTAGATTCCAGGGTGCAAAACCCCAGATATTTTGCGTCATCAGATGTGGGGCAACATAGACTGCCTTTCTAAGCATACCAGCTGGGTTTGACACAAGTGGCTCCTGGAACACACTTTCAAAATTCATGCAACTTCCTCACTGTATGAATGAAGAAATAGAAACTCCTTGGCTGTATGACCTTGGTGAGGCCACTTAAACTCTGAGGCAGAACCAAGATTGGAACTCAAGGATTCTGTCCCACCCCCATGCTGCCTTATAATTACCTGGATCTGCAGCTAACCTGTATTTCTGTGCAATGCCTTTGAAGCAAACACATCTTTCTCAATTTACAATTGGAAGGGTTTGTCCTAACCAAGGGTGACAAAAACAAGTCAAATGTTTAGTATGTCATTGAGGCTGCTTTTAAAATTCAGCTTTAGATTTTTATCATGGTGACTGCCTTGTATCTCCATAACCTCAGACACACCCTGAGGATAGAGGGTGCAGACAACCTTTCTTTTCTTGCTCCACAGGGGGGAATCTATTAATCACAAGGGGAAGTAGAGCTAGAGAGCTCTTACTAGCTCAGTTACCAACACGTAAATGAAGGCTCAAAATTAAAGCAACTATCTTCTGTGTCATCCCAACAGCAGCTTTCTGATACCAGCTGGAGTCTTACAGTTCAATTCCCTTCAGACAGTAACTACCCAGAGCTAGCACAGACCCCACAGGTTGAAGGGCTGAGTCCCACAAGACCACCCCTACTTCACATGCCAGCTCTCAATCCCAAATGCCCCCAAGCCCTCTGCACTTCTGCCCAGCTGGTGACAAATTTGGAAGTTTTCATGAAATTACGCCGTCAGGTTTGATAATTTGCTACAACAGCTCACAGAAGTCAAGAAACAACTGTAGTTATGATAACAGTTTTATTATAAAGGGTACAACTCAGGGAAAGCCAAGTGGAAGAGACGCAAAGGGTAAGATACGAGGCTGAGGGAGAGGCTCAGCACTTCCATGCCCTCTCCAGGTGTGCCAGCCTTGCAAACACATGTGGTCACCAAGAGGGACATTCTACAAGCCTTAGTTTTCTGAATTTTTATTGAGGTTTCATAATGTAAATGTGATTTTTGAAGTGACTGGCCATATGATGGAACTCAATTTCCAGTTTGTCTTTCATCCCCATCGACTAGAGGATAGGGTTGATAGTTCCCACTCTCTAAACATGTTTGGACTTTCTGTGACTAGCACTCATCCTGAAGCAATTGAGGGAGCCTTGCCATGAGTCATCTCATCAGCATAAATGCAGGTATGGTCTAAGTGTCTCATTGTAAATCACAAAAGATATTCCTACTGCTGAGGAAATTCCAAAGGAGTTAGGAGCTCTGTGCCAGGAACACTGGGACAAAGACCAAATATATATTTTTATTACACTACATCTTTCAATTGTATTTTAAATATATACTGTTGTCAGAGAGGGCTATTTGTCTTATTGGCTAATCTGTAGCTTTGTGCAAAGACATATTTACTATCTGGGTCTGGATTGTGATACGTAAGAATATTAGAAAGGATTATGTATGTAGTTTGCATTTCTTGTATTAAAAATGATGAGAAACAAGATGGCTTTATAGATCTTGTAACTGCCTAAATGCTATTATGTTATGTAAGGGAGAATAGATTTATATAGTATAGGACCTTGTTAGGAATATTAGGCTGTGGTAATAAGTAACATCCAAATGGCACTTCAGTTTATAATGTACTTTCATGAGCATCATAATCAACTGCTAACATTTATTGAACACATCCTTGGGTCAGATTCTGTACGAAGTGTTTATATGCATAATAACTCGAGCTTCTATGCTTCATAACTCTATTAGGTAGGCACCATTACTATCCCGATTTTGCTAATGAGGAAACCAATGTGCATACCAGGTTAAAAAACTTGTTCAAGGTCACAAATTAGCATCACAACTTGAACCTTCGTTGATTTGACCCAGAGCTGTAAACCATAGTTGCAATGCCTATACTATAACCAGAAAGTAGAAAGCAGAGGAGTGAATCCCAAACTAATAGCAAGAGTAGATTCTAGTCTTTGTTACAGAGACTTTCTATTTGACCTTGAGTTTCTGAACCTCTGATTTCTCTTTTCACTTTGTTGGGCCGGGCACAGGTTGAGGTAGATGCTCTCTGGCACTTTGAGTTTGTCATTGGTGATCTGATGCCTGAGTTTGGCTTCTGCTCTGGTTTTGGGGGTGATAGGGTAGCAGCATTGTTGTCTGGGTTAAATACTCGGGATTTATTGTCTCACAACCATGGAAAACTAGAATGCAGACACACAAGAGTGAGGTTCAGAGCAGAAATGTAATAGGCAAAAGAAAGAGAAAAGCTCTCTTGCTACAGAAAGGGGTCTCAGAGAAAATGGGTTGCCACTTCCGCAGTGAAGTGTAGAAGGTTTTATAGGTGAGCTTGAGGAGACGGTGTCTGATTTATATAGAGCATGAAAGATTGGTCGGACCAGGTGTGTCATTTGCATAGTGCGTGAAAATCTGGCCACCCCCACTCTAATCTTTTATCATGCAGATGGGTTCTCTACCTAGCGAGCTCCATGTTGCCTGTTTCTTACTGTACATGTGGTGACAAAGAAAAGAGAAGATGGAGTCTCCATGTTGAACATGCCTGTCTTCCAGGTAGCCCTTTTCTATTGGCACAGCTGCCGGCATTCCCCCATGCAAGCTTTCAGCTTGCTTTTCTATGTCTGTAGCTTGATTTTTCAGGCTGCTCTTTGTTAGAAAAGAAATGATTTTGGGGCTGCCTTTTGTTAAAAGGGAAATTCCACTGAGGAGTCTGTTGTCCTCCCTATCTGCCTCAATAATTTCTTTTTAGCTCCTGTATCAGTAACAGTTTATAAGTCTGAGAACTTGGAGGGTGAGGGGTAGGTTCCCTGAGAAACTCTAGAACCAGTACCCTATCTCCCTTAATGCCATAATTTCTAGTCCCAACATACTCTGCGCCAATATTTTTATTTTCTCTGCTTCTCTCTGAATACAGATGAAGACCATTTCATAGAGCCATATAGGCAATGTAAATGCACATTTCAAAATAAAGAGAGTCCTCGGACAAGACCTTCTAAACCCATAGACTCAATATCAGTTTTGATTTTTCACTGATGGTTGACATCTAGGGCATTTGGGCTTCTGTTTTTCCCTCCTGCTCATACAGAGCACTGGACTAGTTCACATAGATCTTAGGTTTTACTTTCTTGCTCTCTTTTACCAAGAGGCTTGATCTTGGGCAAGTAGCTTAGCTAATTTTAACCTCAATTTCTTCATGTGTCAAATGATAATAACATCAACCTCAAGGGATTACCAGGAGGATAAAATGAAAGAGCCTGCTAAAATAAATGATGACTTAAATCTGGCTTGACCCTTTTCAGAATGATGCTTTACAACCTCCTTCCCCCATTCTCCTAAGCCCATAAGCGGGAATATGCAGGGGGTCTTGGGCAGCCTGCTGGACTGAGGGGGCCCTGTGCTTGCTCCTGCCTCTTTTATTTCCAAACCTTCCCACACACATCTCTGCAGAATCCTATTTATAGATGGAAAGGAATATTCTTGAGAGTAGGTAGATAATTCCTCCTCTTCGGTTCAGAAGCAGACTTATTTCCGTTGTGGAAAGCTTTCCCCAGTGCCTTAAATGGCCTTGGGATTAAGAAGAAGCTCTCAGGGGCCCTGATGAAATATGACCCTGAATCGCCCATCCTTATGGTGGATGTGACCTCTAAGGAGAGCCTCAGGGACAGTACATGAACCTATGTGGACTTCTAGGACTCCAACACCCTCACAGGGAACTTTTTACCACAGCAGATAAGAGAAAGCCCAGATCCCCTTACTAAAGAAGGACCGATGCCTCTCCATAAGGCAGCGTGGTCTATCAAGTATTTGAACTCTGACAGACTCCCTGGATTCAAGTCCTGGCACTGCACTTGGGCCACTTACTTCACTTCCCTGTGCCTCAGTTTCTCATCTGTATGATGCTGATAATGGTAGCTCCCTCATAGAGTGCCAATGAAAATGTCTGACATGTATTAAACAACGTGTGTTTTTGCTACTAAATATTTACACTAACTTAAAGAAGGTAACCTATTTCCCTATTACTCTTGATACTTCAATAATAGTAACATTATCAAGAGTCAGAAAATTACAGCAAAGTGGAGTTTGTACAAGCTTTATTTGAGTTTCTCAAAGATGTTATAAAAGATGATTCTGGATGATATGAGCATAGACTTTGTTTTTCTTAATTTTGAATTTACTGTACATGGAAAAATAATATATCTAGTCCATGAGTTCATGGGTTTGCTCTGGACGAGGCCAAAGACTGGTGATGGGAATATAAGGCCCAATTCGAGTGAGGAACCGGAAGAGTTTCCTTTGGAGAATTTCAGGTTGTGAGATGTTCTTGATGGGAATTTATGGCTCTGTAAGTGCTTAGAAATCCTGTCATGCAAGATGCATCAGAGCCATGAATTTTCATTGACTTGTAATGAGATTACAGAGTTTGAAAAGTACTTTGAGAAGAAAAATGCCATCTTTATAGCTTAATATTAATCTTAGTTTTTGTTTCTGTTTTTTTTTTTTTTTTCCTTTGGGCAGTGTTTCAATGACACTAAACAGATTCTTTTCCCGAGACTAGTTCTCAATTTGCTTAACGGTGAAAACACCTAAGTAGAATCCCCTTCATTGTTGATAAAATCCTATTTCTGAGGATAAACTGTCATTTCAAAGGGAAAAATAATGCAGGCATGATTGACTGAAGGACACAGAACAGCTTGGTGCAGTGTCAGCCACATTCACTACTTGCTTTCTACCCATTTCCCGGAGGATGGCCCACCGGTGGGCTTGCTGTGATGTGCTGGAGGAAGAGCTGCCAAGAAAATTCATCGGTTGTCTGTTCTGGGGGCTGTGATATAAATATGGAGAGCATGAGGTTGACAGGAGACCTAAGTTCTCTTTCCAGTTCTGTCCCTTTCTAACTGTCTGACCTTGGGAGAGCCACTCAAATCTCCTAGGTGTCCATGCATAAGTAGGAGGTAGAGCTAGCACAGAGTTCAGAGGCATCCACATGTTGGGTCTTGGATGGTAGAGTTTTTTTTTTTTTTTTTTTTCCCTGTGCGGTGCTTCAGATAAGATGAAATGTCACATGAGACATCTGGAAGCTTTGCCTCTGTTTGAAACTTGGAAGATCCTATGACCTTGGTCCTACTCAGCAAAACCCCACTAGTGCTGAGTAGCTGTTGCTCACTTTAGATACCGTATCCTTGGTCACCACCATTCCCGTTGACTCACATAATTCAGGTGCCACATCAACTTGGCCTCCTTGGTCATGTGTGTTTGTGACTTCCAGAACTCTTTTTTGATTGATCAAATGTCTTTGTTTCTACCTTCCTGGTTGCTTCAAGAATAGACTG
Organism: Homo sapiens; assembly: GCF_000001405.40. Classification (NCBI taxonomy): domain Eukaryota; kingdom Metazoa; phylum Chordata; class Mammalia; order Primates; family Hominidae; genus Homo; species Homo sapiens. Next base: position 7,909,291 of record NC_000003.12, on the reverse strand, counting down.
AGTTTGCCAGATAAGAAGTTTCTGGATAAATAAAACACTTGTATTAACTTTTCACAATTTTTCCATATACATAATACTGGTCTTCATAACTACGCCTATTTAAGATAAATTCAATTAGGTTTAGTATACTTTAAAAAAATCTGTAATTTTTATGATGTTGGAGTTTCCGCTTTAAAATGATTGTTTTGATATAACTTTGAAATAAGATCCAAGTTTCTTTTATTTTCTTAAATTATCAAAGGAATCAGAAATAACTTACAGAAAATGGTGGGGCGGGGGTTGGGGGAAGCGCTGGAGCTCACTGTTATTTGCTAATGTATTGCATTCCTGCTCTCTGTCTTCAGGGAGCCTAGGAAAATATAATTGTTGGGAAAAAAGAGCATCAGGTAGGAGAAAAACCTAACAGATTAAGAAAAATAAAATGAGAAGCACTGATTTAGTAATAGGATATTATAACAATATTACTATATAACATCTGTGCTTCTCATTTTATATAATTATATGCTGTATATTTTATATAGTTATAGATAATAGAGGGTTATTTTTAATCTTAATTGTAACAGGAAGCAAATATGGCATCTACCATGATTTTAACTCATTTCAAGGTTCTGAAATTTGAGCAATATACTATGTTATATAATTTTCTTTCAGAAATATCTTTAACTGTTTTAGAATTTAGAAGAAGAGAGTTTAATATTTGCCAAACTCCATATGTGGTACAAATTTGTCTCAACTTCATATTTGACTTTAGTAACCCAATACAACGCTCTTGGAGTCAGTACTGCTGGGTGGAGAAAATCACTGGAGTGGGTGTCAGATTAGACCTATTAAAACCCTAGCTGTACATACATGCTAGGGTCACAGAGACAGTTCTTAAGGTGCATTGAGCCTCAGTCTCCTCCTTTGTAAAAAGGGATAATATTGGGACTTACAAAGAAAGTTATGAAAACCAAATAAAACAATTCCCCTAAATCACTTAGCATAGTGTCTAGCATTAAAAAAAAAATCACCATAGATGTTTTTAGTTTGGGCCCAGAAAATAATTATTAGGACTTGTATACTACTTCAATCCTCACAAGTTTTAAGAAATCATCTTGTTCTATTTAAATATATACTTTGACTATTTTTAAGCAACAAATGATATCTGTTCATGATTAGTGCTTTTTCCCACCAGCAGTGCATCATCAAAATTTGTGAGCAGATGTAGGTTACATTTATCCTCACACCTGAACTAGGTTTTATTTAATACCCCCCACCTATTGTAGAAGTGAAATATTTTGCAGACACCCACTGCCAAATAACAGGTGCTGAGCTGCCTGATCCCACCTAGCTGTTATAATATCCAAGTGGCAAGGTCAGGAACGAGAGGCAGGCAGGATGCTTCTTCTGTTGAGGTTGTTGGTGAGATTGCCTCTTATACTGGGGAGCCCTTAGGCAGTGGTGTGATATTGTGTAGGCAAAAGACCTGCTGGGCTGCGTCTTCCACCGGCCATCTGGTTGTTATGGTGCCTTATTATTTGGCATAATCCCAGTCTTCTGGATTGTTGGGAAGAATTAAGCGCAGGAAGATCAGTATGCTATAGGTATGCAAATTGCTAACATCCTAAATCCAAAAAATGAGATGTCCTTTAAGAAATGAAAATTTAGCATGATGTTGCTCTTCAGGCTTACAAAGAGCACTTAGAAGTAAAGCTTGCAGAGAAAACTCAGAAAACAGCAAAGCCCATAAAATTCACTCTAGTGCAAATCAACGCTTTTAACTTCAGCCTTTTAAGTTACTCCTTCGTTTCTTATACAATTGGATTCCTAACTTGCTTAAAGAAGAAGAAAAAAGCGACAGTGAAACATCTATAGAGGCAAAGGGAACCATTCCCTCTTGGTTTTCATTCAAAGGAAGGCCACATATTTAAATATTTCCTGTTTTGGTAGAATTATTGAAGGTATTTCTTTATATTTTATTTGTTCGTTCTTTTGTTTTAACCTTTCTTTATGCTTTGTTTTAATTGTACTTATTATAGGTATCCTATAGCTAGCTATTATTCCATCCTTAACAAAAGGATGCAATAAAATGGCTAGTCAACATGATAGTGATTTTTTGTTCATATGTTTATTTTTGCATTTTTCAAACTTTGCATTCATAAGATTGATTAGTACTTTTTATTATCTACTAATATGGAATTTTAACTAGAGTGTATATTTTGCTAATGCTTTTATATTTTAAGTCATATTTAACCTGCTTAAAAACTTTTTCCAAGTTTTTATTTTGAAAATTTGTTAGACATATAGTATAGTTGAAAGAATTTATAATGCACATCTGTATATTCTCTACCTAGATTCTACAATTAACTTTTTATTGTACTTGCTCTATCAATGAATATATTCTCTTATGAAAGTTTATTTGCTACTGTTTGCAATGGTGCTTAAACATTTTTCCAACTAAAAGAAAAAGTGCATTCAGGCTTTTATAATTTCTACCCAAAAAGCGGTGGTTGGGTCACTGGCAAGATGGCTGAATAGGAACAGATCTGGTCTGCAGCTCCCAGCAAGATCAATGCAGAAGGCGGGTGACTTCTGCATTTCCAACTGAGGTATCTGGCTCATCTCATTGGGACTGGTTAGACAGTGGGGGCAGCCCACGGAGGGTGAGCTGAAGCAGGGTGGGGTGTCACCTCACCTGGGAAGTGCAAGGGGTCAGGGAACTCCCTCCCCCAGCCAAAGGAAGTCATGAGGGACTGTGCCATGAGGAATGGTGCATTCCAGCCCAGATACTATGCTTTTCCCACAGTCTTCACAACCTGCAGACCAGAAGATTCCCTCAGATGCCTATGCCACCAGGGCCCTGGGTTTCAAGTGCAAAACTGGGCAGCTGTTTGGGCAAACACAGAGCTAGCTGCAGGAGGTTTTTTTCATACCCCAGTGGCACCGGGGATGCCAGCTAGACAGAATCGTTTACTCCCCTGAGATGGGGGCTGAAGCCAGGGAGCCAAGTGGTCTAGCTCAGTGGATCCCATCCCCACGAAGCCCAACAAGCTCAGATCCACTGGCTTGGAATTCTCATGGCCAGCACAGCAATCTGAAGTTGACCTGGGATGCTGGAGCTTGGTGGGGGCAAGGGGCATCCGCCATTACTGAGGCTTGAGTAGGCAGTTTTCCCTTCACAGTGTAAACAAAGCCCCCAGGGAAGTTCAAACTGGGTGGAGCCCACAACAGCTTGGCAAAGCCACTGTCGCCAGACTGCCTCTCTAGATTCCTTCTCTCTGAAACAAAGGCAGTAGCCACAGTCAGGGGCTTATAGATAAAACTCCCATCTCCCTGGGACAGAGCACTTGGGGGAAGGGGCAGCTGTGGGCACAGCTTCAGCAGACTGAAACGTTCCTGCCAGCTGGCTCTGAAGAGAGCAGCAGATTTTTCAGCACAGCATTTGAGCTCTACTAAGGGACAGACTGCCTCGTCAAGTTGGTCACTGACCCTTGTGCCTCCTGACTGGGAGACACCTCCCAGCAGGAGTCAACAGATACTTCATACAGGAAAGTTTCAGCTGGCATCTGGTGAGTGCCCCTCTGGGATAAAGCTTCCAGAGGAAGGAACAGGCAGCAATCTTTGCTGTTCTGCAGCCTCCATTGGTGATACCCAGGTAAACAGGGTCTGGAGTGGACCTCCAGCAATCTCCAGCAGACCTGAGGCAGAGGGGGCCTGACTGTTAGAAAGAAAAATAACAAACAGCAAGGAATAGCATCAGTGTGAACAAAAAGGACATCCACAGAAGAACTCCATCCCAAGGTCACCAACATCAAAGACCAAAGGTAGATCAATCCACAAAGATTGAGGAAAAACCAGCATAAAAAGACTGAAAATTCCAAAAACACAGAACTTCTCTTTTACTTCAAAGGATCACAACTCCTTGCCAGCAAGGGAACAAAACTGGATGGAGAATAAGTTTGATGAATTGACAGAAGTAGGCTTCAGAGTGGGTAATGACAAATTTCTCCGAGCTAAAGGAACATGTTCTAACCTAATGCAAGGAAGCTAAGATCATTGGAAAAAGGTTAGACAAATTTCTAACTAGAATAACCAGTTTAGAGAAGAAAACAAATGAGCTGACGGAGCTGAAAAACACAGCACAAGAACTTTGCGAAGCATACACAAGTATCAATAGCTGAATCGATTATGTGGAAGAAAGGATATCAGAGATTGAAGATCAACTTAATGAAATAAAGCAAGATGACAAGATTAGAGAAAAAAAGAATGAAAAAGAATGAACAAAGCCTCCAAGAAATATGGGACTTTGTGAAAAGACCAAATCTACATCTGATTGGTGTACCTGAAAGTGACGGGGAGAATGGAACAAAGTTGGAAAACACTCTGCAGGATATTGTCCAGGAGAACTTCCCCAATCTAGCAAGGCAGGCCAACATTCAAATTTAGGAAATACACAGAACACCACAAAGAGATACTCCTCAAGAAGAGCAACCCCAAGACACATAATTGTCAGATTCACCAAGGTTGAGATGAAGAAAAAAATGTTAAGAGTAGCCAGAGAGAAAGGTCAGGTTACCCACAAAAGGAAGCCCATCAGACTAACTGTGGATCTCTGCAGAAACCCTACAAGCCAGAAGAGAGAGGGGGACAATATTCAATATTCTTAAAAGAACTTTCTACTCAGAATTTCATATTTAGCCAAACTAAGCTTCTTAAGTGAAGGAGAAATGAAATTCTTTACAGACAAGCAAATGCTGAGAGATTTTGTCACCACCAGGCCTGCCTTAGAAGAGCTCCTGAAGGAAGCACTAAATATGGAAAGGAACAACTGGTACCAGCCACTGCAAAAACATATTAGATTGTAAAGACCATCGACACTATGAAGAAACTGCATCAACTAGCAGGCAAAATAACCAGCTATCCTCATAATGATAGGATCATATTCACACATAACAATACTTACCTTAAATGTAAATGGGCTAAATGCCCCAATTAAAAGACACAGACTGGCAAAGAAGGGTCTTGATAAAGAGTCAAGACCCATCAGTGTGCTGTATTCAGGAAACCTATCTCATGCAAAGACACACATAGGCTCAAACTAAAGGGATGGAGGAATACTTACAAAGCAAACGGAAAGCAAAAAAAAAAAAAAAAAAAAAAACAGGGGTTGCAATCCTAGTCTCTGATAAAACAGACTTTAAACCAACAAAGATCAAAAAAGACAAAGAAGAGCATTACATAATGGTAAAGGGATCAATTCAAGAAGAGCTAATTATCCTAAATGTATATGTACCCAATACAGGAGCACCCAGATTCATAAAGCAGGTTCTTAGAGACCTACAAAAAGACTTAGACTCCCACACAATAATAGTGGGAGATTTAACACGCCACTGTCAATATTAGATCAACAAGACAGAAAATTAATAAGGATATTCAGGACTTGAATTCAGCTCTGGACCAAGCAGACATCTACAAAACTCTCCACCCCAAATCAACAGAATATACATTCTTCTCAGCACCACATCACACTTATTCTAAAATTGACCACATAATTGGAAGTAAAACACTCCTCAGAAAATGCAAAAGAACGGAAATCATAACAGTTTCTCAGACCACAGTGCAATCAAATTAGAACTCAGGATTAAGAAACTCACTCAAAACTGCACAACTACATGGAAACTGAACAACCGGCTCCTCAGTGACTACTGGGTAAATAACAAAATTAAGGCAGGAATAAATAGGTCCTTTGAAACAGTGAGAATGAAGACACAATGTAGCAGAATCTCTGAGACACAGCTAAAGTAGTGTTCAGAGGGAATTTTTTTTTTTTTGAGGCAGAGCCTCACTCTGTCATCCAGACTGGAGTGCAGTTGTGCAATCGCAGCTCACTGCAACCTCTGCCTCCCAGATTCAAGTGATTCTCCTGCCTCAGCCTCCTAAGTAGCTGGGACTAATAGGCACCCACCAACACACCCGGCTAATGTTTTGTATTTTTAGTAGAGACGGGGTTTCACAGTGTTAGCCAGAATGGTCTCGATCTCCTGACCTCGTTATCCGCCTGCTTAGGCCTTCCAAAGTGCTGGGATTACAGGCGTGAGCCACCGTGCCCATCCTAGAGGAAAATTTACAGCACTAAATGCCCACAGGAGAAAGCGGGAAAGATCTAGAATCGACACCCTCACATCAAAATTAAAAGAACTAGAGAAGTAAGAGCAAACAAATTCAGAAGCTAGCAGAAGACAAGAAATAACTAAGAGCAGAACTGAAGGAGATAGAGACACGAAAAGCCCTTAAAAAAAATCAATGAATCCAGGAGCTGGTTTTTTTTTAAAAGATCAACAAAATAGACTGCCAGCCAGAAAAACAAAGAAGAAAAGAGAGAAGAATCAAATAGACACAATAAAAAATGATGAAGGGGATATCGCCACTGATCCCCCAGAAATACAAACTGCCATCAGAGAATACTATAAACATCTCTACACAAATAAGCTAGAAAATCTAGAAGAAATGGATAAATTCCTGGACACATACACCCTCCCAAGACTAAACCAGGAAGAAGTTGAATACCTGAATAGACCAATAATAAGTTCTGAAATTGAGGCAGTAATTTTTTGGTTGGCCTACCAGCCAAAAAAAGCCCAGGACCGGACGGATTCACAGCTGAATTGTATGAAAGGTACAAAGAAGAGCTTGTAACATTCCTTCTGAAACTATTCCAAACAATAGAAAAAAAGGTATTCCTCCTTAACTCATTTTATGAGGCCAGCATCATCCTGATACCAAAACCTGGCAGAGATACAACCAAAACAGAAAATTTCAGGCCAATATCCCTGAGGAATATCAATGCGAAAATCCTCAATAAAATACTGGCAAACCAAATGCAGCAGCACATCAAAAAGCTTATTCACCACAATTAAGTCGGCTTCATCCCTGGGATGCAAGGCTGGTTTAACATATGCAAATCAATAAACGTAATCCATCACATAAACAGGACCAACAAATAAAACCACATGAATATCTCAATAGATGCAGAATAGGCCTTTGATAAAATTCACCCCTTCATGCTAAAAACTCTCAATAAACTAGGTATTGATGGAATGTATCTCAAAATAATAGCTATTTATGACAGACCCACAGCCAATATACTGAATGGACAAAAGCTGGAAGCATTCCCTTTGAAAACTGGCACAAGACAAGGATGCCCTCTCTCCCCACTCCTACTCAACATAGTGTTGGAAGTTCTGGCCAGGGCAATCAGGCAAGAGAAAGAAATAAAGGGTATTCAAATGGAAGAGAGGAAGTCAAATTGTCTCTGTTTCCAGATGACATGACTGTATTTTTAGAAAACTCCATCATCTCAGCCCAAAATATGCTTAAGCTGATAAGCAACTTCAGCAAAGTCTCAGGATGCAACATCAGTGTGCAAAAATCACAAGCATTCCTATACACCAATAGTAGACAAATGGAGAGCCAAATTATGAGTGGACTCCCATTCACAATTGCTACAAAGAGAATAAAATACCTAGGAATCCAACTTACAAGGGATGTGAAGGACCTCTTCAAGGAGAACTACAAACCACTTCTCAAGGAAATAAGAGAGGACACAAACAAATGGAAAAACATTCCATACTCATGGATAGGAAGAATCAATATCATGAAAATGGCCATACTGCCTAAAGTAATTGATAGATTCAATGCTATCCCCATCAAGCTACCATTGACTTCCTTCACAGAATTGGAAAAAACTGCTTTAAATTTCATCTGGAACCAAAAACAAGCCCGTATAGACATGACAATCCTAAGCAAAAAGAACAAAGCTTGAGGCATCACGCTACCTGTCTTCAAACTATACTACAAGGCTACAGTAACCAAAACAGCATGATACTGGTATCAAAACAGAGGTAGAGACCAATGGAACAGAACAGAGGCCTCAGAAATAACACTACACATCTACAACCATCTGATCTTTGACAAACCTGACAAAAGCAAATGGGGAAAGGATACCCTATTTAATAAATGGTGTTGGTAAAACTGGCTAGCCATAGGCAGAAAACTGAAACTGGATCCCTTCCTTTACCTTATACAAAAATTAACTCAAAACGGATTAAAGACTTAAACATAAGACCTAAAACCATAAAAACCCTAGAAGAAAACCTAGGCAATACCATTCAGGATATAGGCATGGGCAAAGACTTCATGTCCAAAACACCAAAAGCAATGGTAACAAAAGCCAAATTGACAAATTAGTTCAACCATTGTGGAAGACAGTGTGGTGATTCCTCAAGGATCTAGAGCCAGAAATACCATTTGACCCAGCAATTCCATTACAGGGTATAACCAAAGGATTATAAATCATTCTACTGTAAAGACACATGCACACTTATGTTTATTGTGGCACTATACTTAGCGAAAATGTATTGTACTTGGGTGGATATTTAGCTTGATTCTATATCTTTGCTTTTGTGAATAGTGCTGTAATAAACATGCAAGTACAGGTATTCCTTTGATACATTGATGATTTGATTCCCTTTGGGTATATTCCCAGTAGCGAGATTGCTGAATCAAATGCTAATTCTGTTTTTAGGATTTTTAAGAAATCTTCATACTGTTTTCCATAGTGGCTATATGAGTTTACATTCCCACCAAGAGTTCCCTTTTCTCCACATTTTCGCCAACATCTGTTATTTTGTCTTTTTAATAATAGTCACTCTGAATAGTGTTCAGTGGTTTTGATTGGCATTTCTCTGATTAATGATGTATTGCACATTTTTTATGCACCACTTTTAAATGTTTTTTTTTTCCTGGTGAGTTGACTTCCTTGTGTATTCTGAATATTAGTCCCTGTCTAATAAATAGTTTGCAAACGTTTTCTCTCATTCAACAGGTTGTTACTTTACTCTGTTATTTCTTTAGCTGTGCAGAAGCTTTTTAGTTTTATTCCAATTTGCCTACTTTGGTTTTAGTTGTCTGTGCATTTGAGGTCTTAGTCATAAATTATTTATCTAGGCTAATGTCCAGGAGAGTTTTTTCCCTAAGTTTTCTTCTAGTATTTTTATAGTTTCAGGTCTTACATTTAACTGGTCAATCCGTTTTGAGGTGATCTTTGTATATGGTAAGAAATAGTGGTTCAGTTTCATTCTTCTGTATGTGGCTGTCCAACTGTCACAGCATCATTTATTGAATAGTTTCCTTTCCCCAATTGCCAAAGTATAAATTCTTGTCAGCTTTGTCAAATACTAGTTGACTAAATATATGGCTTTATTTCTGGCTTCTCTATTCAGTTCCATTGGTCTATGCATCTATTTTTATACCAATAACATGCATTTTGGTTACTCCAGCCTTATAATATATTTCAAAGTCAGATAGTTTGATGTCTCTAGTTCAGTTCATTTTCTTCAGGCTTGCTTTGGCAATTTGGGCTCTTTTTAGTGCCATATGAATTTTAGGATTGATTTTTCTAGTTCTGTAAAGAATGAGATTGGCATTTTCATAGGGATTGCATTGAATCTGTAGATTGATTTGGGCAATATGGTGGTTTTAACAATATTAAATTCTTCTGATGCATGAGTGTAAGATGTTTTTCCATTTGTTTACTTTATCTTCCATTTCTTTCATCAGTGCTTTATACTATTCCTTGTAGGGATCTCTCACCTCCTTTGTTAAATTCATTTAGAGGTATTTTGTTTTTTGTCACTATTGTAAATGAAATGGCCTTCTTAGCTCCTTTCTTGGCTAGGTTACTATTGTATAGAAGCACTACTGATTTTTGTGCATTGATTTTGTATACTGCAACATTACCAGATATATCAAATCTGAGAGGTTTTTGGGGGAGTTATTAGGTTTTTCAAGATGTAAGATTATATCATCAGAAAAGAGATAATTTTATTTCATGTTTGCCAATGTGGATGCCTTTTCTTTCTCTTGTCTGATTGCTCTGTCTAGGACTTTCAGTACTATGTTAGATAGGAGGAGAGAAAGTGGACATCCTTGCCTTGTTCCAGTTCTTAGAGAAAAGGCTTTCAACTTTTTCAACATTTTTCAAATGTATTTTGTATTCTATGAATTCTTCAGTTCCAGAATTTCTGTTTGGTTCTTACAAAAAATCTATCTCTTTGATGAGTTTTTTTTTTTTTTTGGATTTTCCAGAATTATCTTGTAGCTTACTGAGCTTCTTAAAATCAATATTTTGAATTATTTGGGATTTTGAAGACTTCTTTTGATTAAGATCTATTGCTGGAGAATAATTGCATTTTTCTGGAGATGTCATATTTCTTTGCTTTTTCATGTTTCCTGTGTCCATATGTTGATATCAGTTCAACTGGTCTAACGGTTACTTCTTCCTAGTTTTGAATTTACTTTTGTAGTAGAGCACTTTCCTGAAGACATATCTTTGGTGTTGGTTGGGTAGGGAACTTTTTGATTCTCTGTGTGTGCAGTAGTGTAGCCTCTGTATGATTTATTTGGGTGTAAACAGTGTTCATGCTTTCTGTGAGTTTTTCTCACAAGGTTAGGGTGCAGTAATTGGTAGAGGCTATGGTGAAGCTACACTGGAGACTAGAGAGAAAAGCGGGCCAGTTATCAGCCCTCAGTGGCAGCAGCAGTTGGCTGAGCATGACTATCTTTGTTCCCTACATTGGTGAACACTGGCACTTGGATTGGCAGTTACTGGCAGGTGAATTATTGGGCCTCCACGTGGTTTGCTTATATGTGAGTAGTGGCAACAGTGGGCCAGGCAATTGAGCAGGTTCTTGGGTTTCTGAGCAGCCAGTGTGATGTAAGCAAGATCAGTAGCAGTGGTGGGAGGACCCTTTGAGTGATGTGGGTTGGTATTGGCAGTGGCTGTGGTGTGGGGTTGCAGTCACCACTCATAGCCCCAGACAGTTAGCCCACTGGCTCACCCATCCCAGCCTCTAGCAGCTGCAGGAGCTGGTGTGCACAGAGACAAGAGGGCGTTCCATTCTTTACTTAAGACCAAGCACAGAGGCTGCTCCGCTCATGGGAGGGGATTTCACTCTTTACATGCAAAGCCTAGAACAGAGCTTCTGCTGTTGGTGGTGGCAGGGTCACTTCTCATAGCTCCAGACAGGGAGCTCTTTAACTCTGCAAAGTGCATATCTTGGTTTCCTTTGTCCCAGAAGCTCACCTTGTTGGTGCACTGGACTATACCTTACTGAAGGATTATTACTCCCTGTGGGCTAGAGAAGCAGCCCCCAATCATTTTGGAACCAAGGACTGGACTGGTTTTAATGGAACACAGTTTTTTCACAGGCTGGGGGTGGAGTGGTTTGGGGATGAAACCATTCTACCTCGGATCATCAGGCATTTGCTGGATTCTCATAAGGAATATGCAACCTAGATGCCTTGCATGCACAATTCACAATAGGGTTTGTGCTCCTACGAGAATCTAATCTGACAGGAGGTGGAGCTCAAGCAGCAATGTGAGTGATGGGGAGTGGCTATAAATACAGACGACACTTTGTTCCCTTGCCTGTTATTCATCTCCTGCTGTGCAGTCCAGTTCCTAACAGGCCAGGATCTGGGCTATGCGGCCCAGTTCCTAACAGGCCAGTACCAGTCCACAGCCAGGAGTTTGGGGACAACTGTGCTAGAGAACTGGGGACCCTGTAGCAACTTTGGGTACGGCCAACACTATGCTGCTAAAGCCATCCCAGTAGATGCTGGGGAATGTCAGTGGGAACTCCCATTGTGTGGAGATACAGAGGCTGTGTTTCCCAGAACAAGATGTAGTCCAGTGACAGCAGTGCTCCTAAAATAGTGTCCTGCCACAGTTGCTCAGGTCTCAGGGTGGGGGTGAGTGGCTCAGGATAAGTTCCCTCTCTGATACAATCCTCTCATGGGGTCTCCAAATCACCACCCAAACTAGTGTCAGGGTTCACGTGGGTAGAGGAACTCTCCTGTGGTACAGTGCATAGCAGCGTATGGCAGAGATGTGGACCACCAAAGCGTTCTCACTTACGCTCTCCTTGCAATACTTTAGTATCTCTGGACTCCCAGGCTGAGCTGAATGCTCACTTTCTTTTTCTCTGCCTCAGGTATTTCCTGTAAGTTCTCTGTTATACTTTATTGTGCACTCCTAAATGTTCTATTTGAGGTATGACTGTCTATTTATAATTTTGATTCTTCTTTCTGGAGAAGGTATCTCATGTTTCTAGTCCGCCATCTTGGACCAGAATCCTCATGGTGCATTTCTTCAATGTTTTCCTGCATATCCTTGCTTACAGCACATCAAATTGTTTGATGTTTCCTGATGCCTTGTCTGTGTGTAACATTCAGTCAAACATTCTACTGATAATAAACTTAAAGACAGCAACTGCTACTAATGCTTACCAAATGCTTCTTTCAAACAAGCCTCTGTTCTCAGTGCTTTATTGTGTAAGGATTAAATGAATTAATATAACAACTATATATGGCAAGTGTGAATAATATTGTGCTACAGATGAAACAAGCACAGAATGATTAAGTCAATACCCTAGGGTCTTATAGCTAGAAGTGGTAACACCGGTATTCACACCCAGACAGCTGGACTTCAGGACATGTTTTAAGACTGGGGCCTCCATCTCACATGCAGAGACATACATAGGCTCAAAATAAAGGGATGGAGAAAGATCTACCAAGTGGAAAGCAAAAAACAAAGAAACAAACAAACAAAAAACAGGGGTTGCAATCCTAGTCTCTGATAAAACAGACTTTAAACCAAAAAAGATCAAAAGAGATAAAGAAGCCCATTACATAATGGTAAAGGGATCAATTCAACAAGAAGAGCTAACTATCCTAAATACATATGTACCCAATACAGGACCACCCAGATTCATAAAGCAAGTCCGTAGAGACCTACAAAGAGACTTAGACTCCCACATAATAACAGGAGATTTTAACACCCCACTGTCAATATTAGACAGATCAATGAGACAGAAGGTTAACAAGGATATCCAGGACTGGAACTCAGCTCTGCACCAAGCGGACCTAATAGATATCTACAGAATTCTCCACCCCAAATCAACAGAATATACATTCTTCTCAGCACCACATTGCTCTTATTCCAAAATTGACCACACAGTTGGAAGTAAAGCACTCCTCAACAAATGTGAAAGAACAGAAATCATAACAAACCGTCTCTCAGACCACAGTGCAATCAAATTAGAACTTAAGATTAAGAAACTCAATCAAAACAGCACAACTACATGGAAACTGAACAGCCTGCTCCAGAATGACTACTGGCTTAATAACAAAATGAAGGCAGAAATAAAGATGTTCTTTGAAACCAATGAGAACAAAGACACAATGTACCAGAATCTCTGGGACACATTTAAAGCAGTGTGTAGAGGGAAATTTATAGCACTAAATGCCCACAAGAGAAAGCAGGAAAGATCTAAAATCAACACCCTAACATCACAATTAAAAGAACTAGAGAAGCAAGAGCAAACATACTCAAAAGCTAGCAGAAGGCAAGAAATAACTAAGATCAAAGCAGAACTGAAGGAGATAGAGACACAAAAAACCCTTCAAAAAATCAATGAATCCAGGAACTGGTTTTTGAAAAGATCAACAAAATTGATAGACTGCTAGCAAGATTAATAAAGAAGAAAAGAGAGAAGAATCAAATAGATGCAATAAAAAATGATAAAGGGGATATCACCACTGATCCCAGAGAAATACAAACTACCATCAGAGAATACTATAAACACCTGTACATAAATAAACTAGAAAACCTAGAAGAAATGGATAAATTCCTGGACACATACACCCACCCAAGACTAAACCAGGAAGAAGTTGAATCACTAAATAGACCAATAACAGGCTCTGAAATTGAAGCAATAATTAATATCCTACCAACCAAAAAAAGTCCAGGACCAGATGGATTCACAGCCGAATTCTACCAGAGGTATAAAGAGGAGCTGGTACCATTCCTTCTGAAACTATTGCAATCAATAGAAAAAGAGGGAATCCTCCCTAACTCATTTTATGAGGCCAGCATCATCCTGACACCAAAGCCTGGCAGAGACACAACAACAAAAAAGAGAATTTCAGACCAATATCCCTGATGAACATCAATGCAAAAATCCTCAATAAAATACTGGCAAACCAAATGCAGCAGCACATCAAAAAGCTTATCCACCACAATCAAGTCAGCTTCATCCCTGGAATACAAGGCTGGTTCAACATGCATAAATCAATAAATGTAATGCATCACATAAACAGACCCAATGACAAAAATAATGTGATTATTTCAATAGATGCAGAAAAGGCCTTTGACAAAATTCAACAATCTTCATGCTAAAAACTCTCAATAAACTAGGTATTGATGGAATGTATCTCAAAATAATAAGAGCCATTTATGACAGACCCACAGCCAATATCATACTGAATGGGCAAAAACTGGAAGCATTCCCTTTGAAAACTGGCACAAGATAGGGATGCCCTCTCTCACCACTCCTGTTCAACATAGTGTTAGAAGTTCTGGCAAGTGCAATCAGGCAAGAGAAAGAAATAAAGGGTATTCAATTAGGAAAAGAGGAAATCAAATTGTCCCTGTTTACAGATGGCATGATGGTATATTTAGAAAACTCCATCAACTCAGCCCAAGATCTCCTTAAGCTGAAAGCAACTTCAGCAAAGTCTCAGGGTACAAAAATCAATGTGAAAAAATTACAAACATTCCTATACACCAATAATAGACAGAGACCCAAATCATGAGTGAAACCCCATTCACAATTGCTTCAAAAAGAATGAAATACCTAGGAATACAACTTACAGGGGATGTGAAGGACTTCTTCAAGGAGAACTACAAACCACTGCTCAACAAAATAAAAGAGGACAGAAACAAATGAAAGAACATTCCATGCTCATGGATAGGAAGAATCAATATCATGAAAGTGGCCATACTGCCCAAAGTAATTGATAGATTCAATGCCATCCCCATCAAGCTACCAGTGACTTTCTTGGGAAAAACTACTTTAAAGTTCATATGGAACTGAAAAGAGCCCACATTGCCAAGACAATACTAAGCAAAAAGAACAAAGCTGGAGGCATCATGCTACCTGACGTCAAACTGTACTACAAGGCTACAGTAGCCAAAACAGCATGGTACTAGTACCAAAACAGAGATATAGACCAATGGAACAGAACAGAGGCCTCAGAAATAACAGCACACATCTACAACCATCTGGTGTTTGACAAACCTGACAAAAACAAGCAATGGGGAAAGGATTCCCTATTTAATAAATGGTGCTTGGAAAACTGGCTAGCCATACATAGAAAGCTGAAACTGGATCCCTTCTTTATACCTTATACAAAATTAATTCAATATGGATTAAAGACTTAAGTTTTAGACATAAAACCATAAAAACCCTAGAAGAAAACATAGGCAATATCATTCAGGATATAGGCATGGGCAAGGCCTTCATGACTAAAACACCAAAAGCAATGGTAACAAAAACCAAAATTGACAAATGGGATCTAATTAAACTAAAGAGCTTCTGCACAGCAAAAGAAACTACCATCAGAGTGAACAGGCGACCTACAGAATGGGAGAAAATTTTTGCAATCTGCCCATCTGACAAAGGGTAATATCTGGAATCTACAAAGAACTTAAACAAATTTACAAGAAAAAATCAACCTCATGAAAAAGTAGGCAAAGGACGTGAACACTTTTCAAAAAAAGACATTTATGCAGCCAACAGACACATGAAAAAATGCTCATCATCACTGGTCATCAGAGAAATGCTAATCAAAACCACAGTGAGATACCATCTCACACCAGTTACAATGGCAATCATTAAAAAGTCAGGAAACAACAGGTGCTGGAGAGGATGTGGAGAAATAGGAAAGCTTTTACACTGTTGATGGGAGTGTAAACTAGTTCAACTATTTTGGAAGACAGTGTGGTGATTCCTCAAGGATCTAGAACTAGAAATACCATTTGACCCAGCCATCCCATTACTAGGTATATACCCAAAGGATTATAAATCATGTTACTGTAAAGACACATGCACACATATGTTTATTGTGGCACTATTCACAATAGCAAAGACTTGGAACCAACCCAAATGTCCAACAATGATAGACTGGATTAAGAAAATGTGGCACATATACACCATGGAATACTTTGCAGCCATAAAAAGATGAGTTCATGTCCTTTGTAGGGACATGGATGAAGCTGGAAACCATCATTCTCAGCAAACTATCACAAGGACAGAAAACCAAACACCGCATGTTCTCACTCATAATGGGAATTCAACAATGAGAACACTTGGACACAGGGCAGGGAACATCACATCACACACCGGGGCCGGTCGTGGAGTGGGGAAATTGGGGAGGGATAGCATTAGGAGAAATACCTAATGTAAATGACGAGTTAATGGGTGCAGCAAGCCAACACGGCACATGTATACATATGTAACAAACCTGCACGTTGTGCATATGTACCCTAAAACATAAAGTATAATTAAAAAAAAAAATAGGGCCTCAGCTACCTTATTGCCACTTCCTCAGTATCTAGCATGGCTCCAAGCACATAGTAGGAACTTGATTAATAGTTAATAAATGAGTGATGGTTTGGGGAAGAGTGTCCAAGTCATCAGAATTTACATACAAAAAAATTACTGCACACTATGCCTGGTACCTTCTTGTGTTACCAGGCTGCTAGGTAAAACATTCTTAAGCACCAGATACTATGGTTTCCTCTTGCTTCCTCCAAAAGCACATATTGTCCCATAGGAAACCGGGCAACTCTAATGGTGTGCTGGCACTCTTTTCCCTACCAAAATAATACTCTTATTGGAAAATCAATGAATCCAACTTTGATTTAATGAATCCTAAAAGGGATCCTCTTAGAAGGCTTTTGGATAGTACCTAGAGTCAATGGGAAGGTTTGCAAAACAGGCCATAACCAAGACATACTGGGAAAACAGATTATGCATTTGATCCCTCTAACTGACCAGTGTGTTCGTTCACTTAAATCTGCTGTTGCTGGCATCTTCTCTATTGACCTTTGTCCACCATAAGATACTCATGTGACTGAATCATCAAAAGATTTTTTAACCTCCTGTTGCCATTACCCTGAAAATCTTTATTGGAGATAAATATTTATGTCTATATGGATATTTATGTCTATCTCTATGATTTTTTAACATTCATTGTCTTGTTAAAGCACATATGATTGGCTACCATATTTCTCATGACTACCCTGCCCTAGTCCAACTCTCCCACATCCCACCTGCCACTGTTTTAAGATTCTCCAAATAAAGAAAAATAATCTGGATGCCTGATCATCCCACTCTATCCCCACCAAAATATGTAGGTGGAGACCATGCATTCTCTAACTTTGCAAAGAGAAAATGGTGAATTGAAAGAAATTTTACACTGCTACCAATTCTCAATTCTCCAGGTATTTGGTTTGGAACAGTCCATTCAGAGTGACATGGTCTTGTACTGTAATAAATGCTCCTGTCATTATTACTTGTATATTAAATAGCTCTTATGTGTTAGACATGACTCTAGATGCTTGGTGGAAAGGAAAGATGGTGTCCCTGTTTCCATGGAGTTTATATCGACCAATGGACAATAAAGTTCACTGTTAACTTCATTAGCCATCAGAAATCAAACAGGCTTATTAGAGAGCAGTTAAACCTCTCTCAGTGGAATGTAGAAGGTTCTGAAATTCAGAAGACTGGTTTAACAAAATACAATTCATTATTTTTTGTTTAAAAAGATCAAGAGAGAAAGTTATTAGATTTAGTCAAAGACTCTAGAAGCTCATTTTTGGCTAGTTTGCCTTGAGGGAAGTAGCTCACTATCTTCTTAGCAGGCTAAAAGCCATCACGGCAGATGGTCCTCAGCTGCATGTGCCAGCCACAGAACATGTGCCTGGTGTGTTTGAATATGGTCTTGCTCTGGTCTAAGCAGCAGTATATCCAGGTAGAATATTTTCTGGTGCTCTCCAACAGAGGATGGGGATAAGGAAGAGCCCATGGGAGTAGGTCCAGAAGTAGTTTTCTCTCATTTCTGGTCCTCTGCAAGTAGGCTCATGACTTGGCAAGCTCGAGGCAGAATGAAGGGATAAACAGAATCCAAGAAGCCCATGGCAATTGCAGAGCCCAGGACACAGCATCTGCTAGGCATATTTATTGGCAATGGATCTTCTGACTGTCCCTGCATCTCTGATATCTGTCTCACCTGAGGTCTAGCTAAGCATTTAAATCTCAAACCACTGTACAGTCATTGTTTATGCCTGACAACTCAGCATTACCACGCAGCTTCTGTTTAAAACCTAGCCTCTTGCCTATTCCACTGGACCTGTACTACAAGACTTAATTTAATAATAAATTAAACTATTATTTTTCTCTATAATATTATTGACTGCTTCTGATTCTGATTTCAGTCTCAATTGTTCTTGTTTGATTTAAGCTCTTCACTTAAGTACACTGAACTTCAGTGTCCACATCTATAAAATTGGAAGAAAAAAGCCTTTCTCATTGGCCATTGAGAAGATGGAAAGTATGCATAAAAGCATTTGTAAATGATAAACTGCTTTCCAAATATTCATGTTGCAACTATTATTATTATTACTATTATTTGAGACGGAGTCTCGCTCTGTTGCCCAGGCTGGAGTGCAGTTGCGGATTCTGCTCACTGCAAGCTCCGTCCCCCCTGGTTCATGCCATTCTCCTGCCTCAGCCTCCCAAGTAGCTGGGACTACAGGCACCCGCCACCACGCCTGGCTAAATTTTTGTATTTTTAGTAGAGACAGGGTTTCACAGTGTTCACCAGGATGGGCTCGATCTCCTGACCTCATGATCCGCCCGCCTCGGCCTCCCAAAGTGCTGGGATTACATGTGTGACCCACTGTGCCCAGCCTGTTATTGTTAATTATATGATGAAGGTGATATTTAGAAATGACATGACTAAAGGAGACTGTTTAGGTGAAAAAAAAAAAAAAAACAGGGCTCTAAGGTATGTATGCATCTGAGCTAGTTTTCTTTTCTGTAATATGGGGATGTTGATATCTAGGCCATTCTGAGTGACATGATTACTCAGAGGTTGCAGGGTTTATATGTGAGTATTAGATGAGATTATGGTTAAAACTAGCCATACCTGTCTACTCTCATTTCAACTCTGTCTCTGGACAGGAGTCACTTAACCTCTCAGACTTCTTTTTCTCATTTATTTATTTTTATTTCAATAGATTTTGGGGGGAACAGGTGGTGTTTGGTTACATGAATAAGTTTTTTAGTGGTGATTTCTGAAATTTTGGTGCACCCATCACCTGAGCAGTATACCTTGTACCCAGGGTGTGGTCCTTTATCCCTAACCCCCCTCCCACCTTCCCCCTGAGTCCCCAAAGTCCATTGTATCAGTCTTATGCCTTTGCATCCTCATAGCTTAGCTCCCACTTAAGAGTGAGAACATACGATGTTTGGTTTTCCATTCCTGAGTTACTACACTTAGAATAATGGTCTCCAATTCCACCCAGATTGCTGCAAATGCCATTATTTCATTCCTTTATATCGCTGACTAGTATTCCATGGTATGCATATAACACATTTTTTTTATCCACCTGTTGATTGATGGACATTTGGGATGGTTTCATATTTTTGCAATTGCAAATTGCACTGCTATAAATATGCATGTACAAGTTGTTCTTCATACAATGACTTCTTTTCTTCTGGGTAGATACCCAAGATTGGGATTACTGGATCAAATGGTATATCTACTTTTAGCTCTTTAAGGAATCTCCACGCTGTTTTCCATAGTGGTTGTACCAGTTTATCTTCTCACCAACCATGTAAAAATGTTTCCTTTTCATCATATACCTGCCAACATCAATTATTTTTTCATTTTTTGACTCCGGCCATTCTTTCAGGAGTGCAGTGGTATTGTAATAGCGTTTTGATTTGTATTTCCCTGATAATTAGTGATGTTAAGCATTTTTCATATGTTTCTTGGCCATTTGTTTATCTTCTTTTGAGAATTATCTATTCATGTCCTTAGCTCACTTTTTGATGGATTTGTTTGTTTTTTTCTTGCTGATATGAGTTACTGTAGATTCTGGATATTAGTCCTTTGCTGGATGCAAAGATTTTCTTCCACTCTGTGGGTTGTCTGTTTACTTTGCTGATTATTTATTTTTCTGTGTAGAAGCTTTTTAATTTAATCAACTCCCATCTATTTATCTTTGTTTTTGTTGCATTTGCTTTTGGGTTCTTGGTCATGAAGTCTTTGCCTAAGCCAATGTCTAGAAGGGATTTTTCTGATGTTGCCTTCTAGAATTGTTATGGTTTCAAGTCTTAGATTTAAGTATTTGATTCATCTTGAGTTGACCTTTGTAAAGGGTGAGAGATGAGGATCCAGTTTCATTCTTCTACATGTGGCTTGACAATTATCCCAACACCATTTGTTGAATAGGGTGTCCTTTCCCCACTTTGTTTTTGTTTGCTTTGTGGAAGAACAGTTGACTGTAAGTATTTTGCATTAATTTCTGGGTTCTGTATTCTGTTCCATTGATCAATATGCCTCTTTTCATACCAGTACCATGCTGGCTTGGTGACTATGTCCTTATAGTTTGAAGTTGGATAATGTAATGCCTCCAAATGTGTTCTTTTTGCTTAGTCTTGCTTTGGCTATGTGGGCTTATTCTTGGTTCCATATGAATTTTAGGATTGTTTTTTCTAGTTATGTGAAGAATGATGGTAGTATTTTGATGGGAATTGTATTGAATTTGTAGATTGCTTGTGGCAGTATGGTCATTTTCACCATATTGATGCTACCCATTCATGAGCATGAGATGTGTTTCCATTTGTTTGTGTCATCTATGTTTTCTTTAGTTTTTTTTGGTTTTGTTTTTGTTTTTCTTTGAGATGGAGTCTCACTCTGTCACCCAGGCTGGAGTGCAGTGGCACAATCTCGTCTCACTGCAACCTCCACCTCCGGGGTTCAAGCAATTCTCCTGCCTCAGCCTCCTCAGTAGCTGGGATTACAGGTGTGTGCCAACACACCTGGCTAATTTTTGTATATTTATTAGAGACAGGATTTCACCATGTTGGCCAGGCTGATCTTGAATTCCTGACCTCAGGTGACCCACCTGCCTCAGCCTCCCAAAGTGCTGGGATTACAGGCATGAGCCACCATGCCTGGCCATCAACTATGTTTTCTTTCAGCAGTATTTTGTAGTTGTCCTTGTAGAGATCTTTCACCTCCTTGGTTAAGTATATTCCTAACTTTTTTTTTTTTTGGATGCCCTTTATTTCTTTGTCTTGTCTAGTTGCTCTGGCTAGGACTTCCAGCACTATGTTGAATAGAAGTGGTGAAAGTGGGCTTCCTTGTCTTGTTCCAATTGTCATGGGGAATGCTTTCAACTTTGTCCCATTCAATGTAATGTTGGCTGTGAGTTTGTCGGTTTGTCATAGATGGCTTTTGTTACCTTAAGGTATGTCCCTTCTATGCTGATTTTGCTGAGGGTTTTATTAATAAAGGAATGCTGGATTTTGTCAAATGCTTTTCCTATGTCTGTTGCGATCATGTGATTTTTGTTTTTAATTGTGTTTGACATTTGACTTGCAGTTGTAAAACCATCCTTGCATCCCTGGTATGAAACCCACTTGATCATGGTGGATTATCTTTTTTGATATGCTGTTGGATTTGGTTAGCTAGCATTTTGTTGAGAATTTTTGCATCTATGTTCATCATGGACATTAGTCTATAGTATTCTTTTTTATGATATGTCCTTTCCTGGTTTTGATATTAGGGTGATGCTGGTTTCATAGAATGATGTAGGGAGGATTCCCTCTTTCTCTTTTGGAATAGTGTCAATAGGACTGGTACCAATTCTTCTTTGACTGTCTGATAGAATTCAGCTGTGAATCCATCTGGTCCTGGACTTTTTGTTGTTGGTAACTTAATTACCATTTCAACCTCACTGCTTGTTGGTCTGTTCATAGTTTCTATTTCTTCCTGGTTTAATCAAGGAGGGTTGTGTATTTCCAGGAATTTACCCATCCCCCCTAGGTTTTCTAGTCTATGTGTGCAAAGGTATTCATAGTAGCTTTGAATGATCTTTTATATCTCTGTGATATCAGTTGTATTAATATTTCCCTTTTGCTTTCTAATTGAGCTTATTTTAGTCTTCTCTCTTCTTTTCTTGGTTAATCTTGCTATTGATCTATCAATTTTATTTTATCTTTTAAAAGAACCAGCTTTTTGTTTCATTTATCTTTTGTATTGTTTTCTTTTTGTTTCAATTTCATTTAGTTCTGCTCTGATCTTGGTTATTTTCTTCTGCTGTTTTTTTTTTTCTAGTTTCTTTAGCTCCTTGAGGTGTGACCTTAGATTGTCTGTGTGTGCTCTTTCAGACTTTTTGATGTAGGCATTTAATGCTGTGAACTTTCCTGTTAGCACCACTTTTGCTGTATCCCAGAGGTTTTGATAGGTTGTGTCACTATTATCGTTCAGTTCAAAGAATTTTTAAATTTCCTTCTTGATTTCATTGTTGACCCAATGATCACTCAGGATCAGGTTATTTAATATCCATGTATTTGCCTGGTTTTGAGGGTTTGTTCTGGAGTTTATTTACAATTTTATTTCACTGTGGTCTGAGAGTTCTCAATATAATTTTCATTTTCTTAAATTTGTTGAGACTTGTTTTGTGACCTCTCATATGGTTTATCTTGGAGAATGTTCCATGTGCTGATGAATAGAATGTATATTCTGTAGTAGTTGGGTAGAATGTTATGTAAATATTTTTTAAGTTTATTTGTTCTAGGGTACAGTTTCCACTGTTTCTTTATTGACTTTCTGTCTTGATGACCTGTCTAGGTGCTGTCCGTGGAGTACTATTTTTGTGTTGCTATTCATCTCATTTCTTAGGTATAGTAGTAATTGTTTTATAAATTTGGGAGTTCCAGTGTTAGGTGCATATATATTTAGAATTGTGATATTATCCAGTTGGTCAAATTCTTTTATCATTATATAATGTCCCTCTTTGTCTTTTAAAACTGCTTCTGCTTTAATGTTTGTTTTGTCTGATATGAGAATAGCTACTCCTTCTCACTTTTAGTGTCCATTTTCATGGAATAACTTTTTCCAACTTTTACCTTAAGTTTTTGTGAGCCTTTATGTGTTGGGTGAGTCTCTTGAAGACAGCAGATACTTGGTTGGTGAGTTCTTATCCATTCTGCCATTCTGTATCTTTTAAGTGCAGCATCTAGGCCATTTACATTCAATATTAGTATTGAGATATGAGGTACTATTCTATTCATCAAGCTGTTTGTTGCCTTAATACCCTGGTTTTTTTTTTTTTTCACTGTGTTATTGTATTATAGGGCCTGTGAGATTTATACTTAAAGGATATTCTATTTTGGTTTATTTCAAGGATTCATTTCAAGATTTACAGTTCCTTTTAGCCATTCTTATAGTGTTGGCTTGGTAGTGGCAAATTCTCTCAGCATGTTTGATAAAGACTGTATCTTTCCTTCATTTATGAAGCTTAGTTTTGCTGAATACAAAATTCTTGGCTGATAACACGGAGGGTAAAGATAGGACCCCAGTCCTTTCTAGCTTGTATGGTTTCTGCTGAGAAATCTGCTGTTAATTTGATAGGTTTTACTTTGTAGGCTACCTGATGCTTTTGCCTCATAGCTCTAAATATTCTTTCCTTTGCCTTGACTTTAGGTAACCTGATGACTATGTTCCTAGGTGATCTTTTTGGAATAAATTTCCCAGGTGTTCTTTGAGCTTCTTGTATTTGAATGTCTAGACCTCTAGCAAGACCAGAGGTTTTCTCGATTATTGCCTCAAATATGTTTTCCAAACTTTTAGATTTCTCTTCTCCCTTGGGAACATCAATTTTTCTTAGGTGTGGTTGTTTGACATAATCCCAAATTTTTTGGAGGCTTTATTAAATTTTTTAAATTATTTTTTCAAAATTCTTCTTTCTTTGTCTGTGTCATGATGGGTTAATTCAAAAGCCCTGTCTTTGAGCTCTGAAGTTCTTTCTTCTACTTGTTCAGTTCTATTGCTGAGACTTTCCAGTGCATTTTGCATTTCTCTATGTGTGTCCTTGATTTCCAAAAGTTGTAATTGTTTTTTATTTATGCTGTCTATTTCACTGGAGATTTTTCCATTCACATCCTGTATCATTTTTTTGATTTCTTAAAGTTGGACTTCACCTTTCTCTGGTGCCACCTTGATTGGCTTAATAATCAACCTTCTGAATTTTTTTTCTGGCAATTCGGAGATTTCATCTTGGTTTGATCCATTGCTAGTGAGCTAGTGTGATCTTTTGGGGATGTTGAAGAACCTTGTTTTTTTTTCATATTACCAGAATTGTTTTTCTGGTTCCTTCTCATTTGGGTAGACTATGTCAGAGGGAAGATCTGGAACTCAAGGGCTGCTGTTCAGATTCTTGTGTCCCATGGGGGTGCTCCCTTGACCTGGTGCTCTCCCCTTTGCCCTAGGGATGGGGCTTCCTGAGAGCCAAACTGCAGTGATTGTTAGTTCTCTTCTGGATCTAGCCACCCAGTGGAGCTACTGGGCTTTGGGCTGGTTCTGGGGAGTACCTATAAAGAGTCTTTTGATGTGATTCATCTTCAGGTCTCTCAGCTTTGGATACCAACACCTACTCTGGTGGAGGTAGCAGGAGAATGAAGTGGACTCTGTGAGAGTCCTTGGTTGTATTTTTATATGTGTTGGTTTTTGTATTTTCATGTGTGTTGCTTTTGTGTTGGCTGGCCTCCAGGAAGGAGGTAGCACTTTCAAGAGCACATCAGCTGTGATTGTATAAGGAGGATACAAGCTTGCCCTAGGGTCACCCTTGGATAAGTATTCAGGTTTCTCAGGCAGTGGGCAGGGTCATAGAGCTCCCAAAAGATTATGTTCTTTGTATTCTGGCTACCAGGGTGAGTAGAGAAAGACCATCAAGTGGGAGCAGGGTTAGGCATGTCTGAGCTCAGTCTCTCTTGGGCAGGGCTTGCTGTGGCTGCTGTGGCAGATTGGGGTGTGGTTCACAGGCCAGTGCAGTTATGTTCCTTGGGGGATTATGGCTGTCTGTTCTGCATCACACAGGTTGCCAGGGAAATGGGGGAAAGATGGCAGCCACAGACCTCACCCACCTCCCACTCAGCCCATGGCCTGAAAGGCCAGTTTCACTCCCACCATGCCCCCAGCCCCACCCAAAAGCACTGAGTTTATTTCTAGGCAGCTGATGAGCAGGACCGAGAACTTGCCCCAGGCTACAAGCCTCCCAGCTGAGAAAGCAAGGGGACTCACAGTTCCTTGGCTGCCCATGGAGCCTGCAGTGGCAATCAACTGTCTTCAACGCATCTGTGGATTCTCTCAGCTTTCCTGGTATGTTCCTGGGATAGTTCTTGGAGAAAAGTTAGCAATGTGGGTCTCCACATGCTGCTCTGTCCCTCTGAGTAGGAGCTGCAAGTTCATCCTGCTTCCTGTCTATCACTCTCTCCTCTTTTTCTCATTTTAACAAGGAGGAAGAGCAGAATATCTATTTTTAATCGCTGTTGAAAGAACTAACCAAGATAACTCACAGAATATGTCTGGCCTAGAATAAAATTTTAATAAATATAAAGTATGTTTACCCTTCATTTTTGTTTATCAGAGGGAAAAACATTCCCAGAGTTTTCTGAGTGATCATAGCAGAGGTAGGCATATAACCTCATCTTATTTTTTAACTTTTATTTTAGTTTTGGAGTACATGTGCAGGTTTGTTATATAGGTGAATTATGTGTTGTCAGGATTTGGTGTACAGAGCATGTCATCACCCCAGTAATAAGCATAGTATCCAATAGGTAGGTTTTCCTTACCCTCTTCCCAAACACTAGGCACAGTGTCTGTTGTTCCCTTATTTATGTCCATGTGTACAGAATGTTTAGTTCCCACTTGTAAGTAAAGCATGTGGTATTTGGTTTTCTTTCCCTGTGTTAATTCACTTAGGAAAATGGCCTAGAGCTCCATCCATGTTGCTGAAAAGGACATGATCTCATTCTTTTTTATGGCTGTGTAGCATTCCTTGATGTATATGTACCACATTTTTTTAAATCTAGTCTACAATTGATGGGCATTTAAGTTGATTCCATGTCTTTGTTATTGTGAATAGTGCTGCAGTGAACATACACGTGGATGTATGTTTATGGTAGAATGATTTATAACCCTTGGGGTATATACCCAACAATAGGATTATTGGGTCAGATGGTAATTCTAAGTTCTTTGAGAAATTGTGACACTGCTTTCCACAATGGCTGAACTAATTTTCATTCCCACCAGCAGTGTAGAAAGTGTTCCCCTTTCTCCACAACCTTGACAGCATCTGTTATTTTTTGACTTTTTAGTAATAGCCATTCTGACTAGTGTTTGATGGTATCTTATTGGGGGTTTGACTTGTATTTCTCTCTGTGGAAGATCAGATGGTTGTAGGGGTGTGGCATTAGTTCTGGGCTATTAGTCTATGTGTCTGTTTCTGTACCAGGACCATGCTGTTCTGGTTATACTACAACCTTGTAGTATAGTTTAAAATCATGTAACATGATACCTCCAGCTTTTTTGTTTTTGCACTATTTGAGTTCTCTCTCGCTCTCTTTTATTTTTTTGTTCTGCATGAATCTTAAAATAGTTCTGTGAGGAAAGTCATTTTTAGTTTGATGGAAATAGTATTAAATCTTTAAATTGCTTAGGGAAGTGTGGCCATTTTAACAATTTTGATTCTTCCTATCCACAAGCATGAACTGTTTTTTCACTTGTTTGTGTCATCTTTGATTTCTTTGAATAGTGTTTTGTAATTCTTGTTGGAGAGATCTTTCACTTCCTTAGTTAGCTGCATTTCTAGGTATTCTTTTTGTGGCTACAGTGAATGGGATTTTGCTTTTCATTTGGCTTTCAGGTTGAATGTTGTTGTATGGGAATGCTACTATTTTTTGTACATTGATTTTTTTTTTGTATCCTCAAACTTTGCTGAAGTTGTTAGATCAAGGAGTTTTTGGGCAGAGACTATGGGGTTTTCTAGGTATAAAATCATATCATCTGCAAACAGGTAGTTTACCTTCATCTCTTCTTATTTGGATGCCCTTTATTTTTCTCTTGCCTCATTGTTCTGGCCAGAACTTCCAGTACTATGTTGAACAGAAGTGAGGAGGGTGGGCATTCTTGTCTTGTTGTGGTTCTCAAGGGGACTGCTGTGAGCTTTTACCCATTTAGTATGACGTTGGCTGTGGGTTTATCATAGACAGCTCTTATTATTTTGAGATATGTTCCTTCAATGCCTAGTTGCTGAGTGTTTTTAACCCTTTGAATTTTATCGAAGGCCTTTTATGCATCTATTGAGATGATCATGTCCTTTTTTTCTGTTTATGAGTCATATTTATTGATTTGTGTGTTTGAACCAACCTTGCATCCCAGGATTAAAACCAACTCGACTGTGGTGGAATAGCTTTTTGATGTGCTGCTGAATTTGGTTTGCTGGTATTTCAATGAGGATTTTTGCATTTGTGTTCATCAAGGATATTGGCCTAAAGTTTTCTTTTTTGTTGTTGTGTCTCTACCAGGTATTGGTGTCAGGATGATGCTGTCCTCATAGAATGGGTTAGGGAGGAATCCCTCCTTTTCAATTTTTGGAATAGTTTTAGTAAATCTAGTATCAGCTTTGCTTTGTACAGCTAGTGAAATTTGGCTGTAATTTTCTCTGGTCCTGGGCTTTTTATTATTGGTAGCTTTCTATTACTGACTCAATTTTGAAACTCATTATTAGTCTGTTCAGGGATTCAGTTTCTTCCTGGTTCAATCTTGGGAGGGTGTATGTTTCCAGGAATTTATCCATTTCTTCTAGGTTTTCTAGTGTGCATGCATAGAGGTATTCATGGTAGTCCCTTAGGGTTTTTAATTTTTTTAATTTCTCTGTGGTTGTTGGTAATGTCCCCTCTGTCACTTCTGGTTGTGTTTATTTGGAATCTCTCTTTTTTCTTTATTAGTCTAGCTAGCAGTCTGCCAAATCTTATGCATTCTTTCAAAAATACATAGAAATTCTTTCATTGATCTTTTTGATGGTTTTTCACATCTCAATTTCCTTCAGTTCAACTCTGTTTTTGGTTATTTTCTGCTGCTGTCTTTGGGGTTGGTTTACTCTTGTTTCTTTAGTTCCTCTAGGTGTGATGTTAGGTTGTTAATTTGAGATCTTTCCAATTTTATTATGTGAGCATTTAGTGCTATGAACAACCCTTTTAACATGGCTTTAGCTGTGGCCCAGAGATCCTGGTATATTGTTCCTTTTTTCTTATTAGTTTCAAAAAGCTTCTTGATTTCTGCCTTAATTTCATTGTTTACCTAAATGTGATTCTAGTGCAACTTGTTTAATTTTCATGTAATTGTATGGTTTTTAATCATTTATTATTTATTTCTATTTTATTGTGCTGTAGTCCAAGAATGTAGATGGTTTGATCTCACTTTTTAAAAATTTGCTGAGGATTGTTTTATGGCTGATTGTGTTGTCAATTTTAGAGTATGTGCCATGTGAAAATGAGAAGAATGTATATATTCTATTGCTTGGGGATGGAGAGGTCTGTAGATGTCTGTTGGGCTCATTTGATCAAATATCAAGTTCAGGTCCTGGATATCTTTGTTAGATCATCAAGGCAGAAAACTAATACTGTCAGTTGGGCATTGAAGTCTCCCACTATTATTGATTGATTACCTAAGTCTCTTTGTGGGCCTCTAAGAACTTTATGAATCTGGATGCTCCTGTGTTGGTGCATATATATTTAGGACAGTTAGATCTTCTTGTTGAATGGAACCCTTTACCATTATGTAATGCCCTTCTTTGCTTTTATTGTTTGTTATTGGTTTAAAATCTGTCCTGTCTGAAATTAGAAACCTCTGTTTTTTTCTGGTTTTCATTGGCTTGGTAGATTTTTCTCCATCCCTTTAGTTTGAGCCTATGGCTGTCATTGCAAGTGAGATGGGTTTCTTGTAGACCGCACATGGTTGTGTCTTGCTTCTTTATCCAACTTTCCATTATGTGACTTTTAATTAGGACATTTAACCCATTTACATTCAAAGTTAATATTGTGTAGGTGTGAATCTGTCATTGTGTTGTTAGCTGGTTATTCTGCAGAATTGATTGTGTGGTTACTTTATAGTATCAATGGTCTATGTACTTAAGTGTGTTTTTGTGGTGGCTGATAATCATCTTTCCTTTCCATATTTAGCACTCCCTTTAGGACCTCTTGTAAGGACAGTCTAGTGGTAATAAATTCTGTATACTTGGCTGAAAAGGATCATGTTTCTTTGTTTTTGAAGCTTAGTTTGGCTGAATATGAAATGCTTGGTTGGAATTTCTTTTCTTTAATAATGCTGAATATAGGCCCCAATCTCTTCTGGCTTATAGGGTTTTTGCTGAAAGGTCCACTGTTAGCCTCATGAGGTTTCTTTTGTAGATGACATGCCCTTTGTCTCTAGCTGCCTTTAACATTTTTTCTTTCATTTCGACTTAGAGAATCTGATGACTGTATGTCTTGGGGATGGTTACCTTATATAGTACCACACAGGGATTCTTTGCATTTTCTAGATTTGAGTGTTGGCTTCTCTAGCAAGGTTGGGGAAATTTTGGGAGATGATATCCTCAAATATGTTTTGCAAGTTGTTTGCTTTCTCTCTCTCTCTTTCAGGGATGCCAGTGTGTCATAGATTTGGTCTCTTCACCTAATCTCATATTTCTTGGTGGATTTATTCATTCCTTATTTTTTATTTTTGTCTGAGTCATTTCAGAGAACCAATCTTTAAGCTCTAAGATTCTTTCCTCAGATTGGTGGTTCTGTTGTTAATACTGCAGTTGTATTATGCAATTCTTAAGTGAGTTTTTCAGCTCTGTCAGATCAGTTTCTTTTTGTTCTTAAAATGACTATTTCATCTTTTATCTTTTGCATTGTTTTATGGTATTCCTTAGATTCCTTGCATTGGGTTTTGATTTTCTCCAGAATGTCGATCTTTATTCCTATTCATATTCTGAATTCTATTTCTGACATTTCAGCCATTTCAGTCTGAGTAAGAACCATTTTTGGTGAAGTAGTACAATAATTTGGAGGTCAGAAGACACTCTGGCTTTTTGAGTTGCCAGAGCTCTTGTGCTGGTTTACTCTTATCTGTGTAGGGCTGATGTTCCTTCAGTCTTTGAAATTGCTTTCCTATGAATGGATCTTGCTTTTATCTTCTTTCGTGCCCTTGGGGGTTTGATTATGATATAAGGTGAGTTCAGTCAACTGGCTTCAATTCTAGTCTGTTCCTGGGTCTTGGAGGAGTCCTCTGATTCCTATCTCCAGGCCACTGTTTTCTGTTTTTTTGTTTGTTTATTTGTTTGTTTTGGTGGGAGGGGGGTTGTTCTGGTCCACAGGGCTCCCTCAGGTTAGGGGCCACAGTTGGTAGATGGGCTATATCCTTGCCAGGTCAGTGCTAATCTGTTGTCCAAGTGCTTTCCGGGGAATACAGGGTTGTGCCTGCCCAGAGTTCAGGCAGAAGTAGAATTATGGAAGCTCTAGCAGTTGTAGTTTGCCTGGCTATCAGCGGCAGATGTGGTTGGGGGTTGCCCTCCCTGCTGTCCAGTTGCTTCTTGGGACACAGGAGGCTGCACCCACCTGTTGAGTTCACATAAAATTGGGACCACTAGGCTGGGAGCTCTAGCAGACATTGTCTGCTTGGCTACCAGTGGCAGGGGTAGGTGGCCTCACCCACCCTGCTATCTGAGCATTTCTCAGAGCCACCGGATAAATGTATCATCTGGCAGAATCCACACAGCAGCGGTACCATTAGGCTAGAAGTTCTGGCAAGTTTTGCCTGCCTGGCTACCAGTGTGTAGGGGTCTCCTACCTTGCCACCCAGGAACTTCCTGGGACAACAGGAGCCTGTGGCTGCCAGCTGAGTTCAGGCCAAAGTAGGACAGCTGGGCTGGAAGCTGGCACCAATCTTTTCTGGTAAGGGAATGGGGTGGAGCAATCCTGTTGTTCCCAGGCACTATGATTACAGACTCTAGTGAGGCTGTGTTGCCAGTGCTGGTCTACTCTGGGGCCCAAGGCTTGTAGAGATTTCCTTGAACTTAAGAGTTGCCCTCACAGAATGTCCAGATGGCTCTCTACCCCAGTCTAGAAGGAAGGCTGCAGGAGGGATAGGGGGAATCTCTCATTCCCAGGAGAGGTTCCCAGACAGGTCCCTGTGGAGAGTTCATTCACTCACCCTTTCCTGCTTTTGAGAGGTACTCCCAGCTCTGCACTAAACTAATACAAGCTGGTTTCCAGCCTCACTCCTCTCTGCTCTCTCTGTTCCCCTGCTGCCTTGATGGAACCCGATGTAGTTTCTCAGATGACTGGCCTTGCAGGGCCAATGTTCGCCAGCCCTCTTGTTTCTTCTCTGTGAGAGTGGCATACATAACTGCTTCTAGTTCACCACCTTGGCCTAACCCCCACCTCATCTTTCTCCTTCCCAATTTTTTCTTTCTTTCTTTTTTTTTAATTTTTTTTTCTTTTATGAGATGAAGTCAGACTGTCACCCAGGCTGGGGTGCAGTGGTACAATCTCAGCTCACTGCAGCCTCTACCTCCTGGGTTCAAACGATTCTCCCACCTCAGTGTTCTTGAGTAGCTGGGAATACAGGTGTGCACCACCACACCCAGCTAATTTTTGTAGTTTTAGTAGAGACGGGGTTTTGCCATGTTTCCCAGGATGGTCTTGAACTTCTGAGCTCAAGAGATCTCCCGACCTCGGCCTCCCAAAGTACCGGGACTGCAGGTATGAGTCACTATGCCCAGCCCTTCCTTTCCAAACTTCATAGAAATGACCTATCCCTAGTAAGCTGTTTACAGATAGAAATAACAGCTCTCAGCATTATTAACAAATTATTTTAAGGTAAACTCCATGAAGGGAGAACAATTAGATGTAAAAATAAAAATGGGCTGTTTGTCTATTTCACCACTATTTTTCCATACTCTTTCTGAATAACTGATAAATTATCTTGCTGTGTTTGAGCATTAGACTTAGACATTTGTGATTAGAAAACCCCTCAACTAGTCATATATAACCAACCCTGAGTTCTGGCATTTTTCACAGGTTACTATTGGCACTTTCATTTTCTTGTGTAAATAAACCCAAGGCAATTAAATGACATCTCCCTCTATCAGCTTAAAACAGGATGAAAGGCATGATTCAATAACTTCCTCCCTATACCCAGGCTCCACACAATTTCCTGTTGCTATTTTGTGAAGAGACTTTGATGTGGTTTGGTTCTATGTTTCCACCCAAATCTCATCTCAAATTGTAATCCCCCACATGTTGAGGGAGGGACCTGGTGGGAGGTGATTAGATGATGGGGGTGGATTTGCCTCGTGCTGTTATCATGACAGTGAATGACTTCTCATGAGATCTGATAGTTTCAAAGTGTGGCACTTCCCCGCTTGCTTTCTCTCTCTCCTGCCACCATGTAAGAAGATGCTTGCTTCTCCTTTGCCTTCTGCCATGATTGTAAGTTTCAGGAAGTCCCTCTAGCCAAGCGGAACTGTGAGTCAATTAAATCTCTTTTCTTTATAAATGACCCAGTCTCAGGTCACTTATAGCAGTGTGAAAACAGACTAATACAGACTTCTTAAACAATCTATTTTTTGTCATTTGTTCACCCACCACCCCATGCATCTTCATAACAAGTACCCTGTTCTTAAATACCCACATATCACAAATTTACTGCTTAAACATTGTTTTCTTTCAAGTTCCATGTGATTTATTTCTACAAAAGTGATAGGATTTATGAATCTTTATTTTTTGAAATAAGTGCAATTTAAGAGAAAAATGAAAAGAAAACCACATTTTTTGAACCATCTGAGAATAAGCTACATGTGATGTTTCCTGGAATATGTTGAATATTTCAGCCTATATTCTCCATGAACATTCTCTTTGTTTATAGAATAATCATAGAATTACCATCAAAATCAAGAAATTAACATTACTACATTACTAACAGCCATTCAAGTTTTGCCAAATATCCCAGCAATGTCTTTTATAGCCAAAGGAATAAATAAGAGTCACATTTGGCCCACAGTTTCATATTATTTTAGGCTCTTTCAATTTGGAATAGTTCCTAGTCTTTCCTTGAAACTTTTTGAAGAGTGTAGGAGAGTTATTTTTTAAAGAAAGTCCTTCAAGTTTATCTGATGTTTATTTCATGATTGAATTCAGGCTATGCCTGTTTGGCAGGAATATCACACAAATGACTCCACATTCTTCTTGCATCTTATCAGGGAGTGCATGATTTCAATGTGACTCATCAATAATGATATTCACTCTAATCACTTAAGGTAGTGTTTGCCAGGTTTCTTTACTATAATGTTTTTTCCCTTGCGTATTTAATAAATACAATCATTCTTCAGCAACCTTGGGTGACTGGCTCCAGGACCACCTGTGAATACCAAAATCCACTGATACTCAATTCCCTAACATAAAATAGTGGAGTGTTTGCTCATAAGAAGCTTGTCCAACCGGTGGCCCAGGATGGCTTTGAATGCATCCCAACAAAAATTCATACACTTTCTTAAAACATTGAATTTGTTTGCAATTTTTTGAAATTTTTTAGCTCATCAGTTATCATTAGTGTTAATATATTTTATGTGTGGCCCAAGACAATTATTCTTCCAATATGGCCCAGGGAAATCCAAAGTTTGGACACTCCTGGCTTATAAGCTGTACATATCTTCCTATATACTTTAAATCATATTTAGATTACTTATAATAGCTAATATGTCAAGGCTATATAAAATAATCATATTGTATTGCTTAGGGAATAATGACAATATTTTAAAAGTTTGTATGTGTTTAGTACAAATGCAACCCTCCATTTTTTTCCTGAATATTTTCAACTTGTGGTCGGTCGAATACACAAACGTGGAACCTAGGGATCCAGAGAACTGACTGTGTTTGGGAAAATATATTGAGACTATGTAAATACCCTGTTACCCATCAACCTTTTACCAACTACCACTGGCATTCATTTCTACATTAGTTAGAATTCAACTCTGAGGTAGTTGGTTTTTTCCCTTAGTTTTTTAATGTATTAACTTTCTTATATCCATATAGACTCATGGATTCCAATTTTATTTTCAGTTGATTATAAACCATTACTATAATTTACTTTGATGCTCAGATTGTCCCAGATTTGGTCAATGGGCATCACTTTGTTAGATGCAGTGCCTGACATGACTCCACCATTCTTTGAACACATCCTTACACTCTGTCATAGCAAGACGTTTCAGATTCTTTGTGTACTTTTCCTGTCCCAGGTCTAGAATTAACTCTATCTAAGAAATGCTGGTTCTTTTTAGCAAATAATTGTTTTAATAAACCAAGATATAAGTGTAAGGTATGCTTATTGCTATCGGGTTCTCCTGGTGGACAGAATTTGTACGTGGATATGTGTGTGAATACCCACATTAACGTCCATATTTCCCTATCTTTCTAATCTATCAAACCACGAGTTAATATTATTCAGTTCCAATCTAACAACACAGTGTTCATTCTAGTTTTTTCTCTGTTTGTAACTCCCTTCTTCAACAGTGAGAAACCTGGCTGCTTTGATCCTCTCCTCTATTTTCTTAACTTAGTCTTCCTTTTTGGAGCCAGTCTTCCAAATCTTCTGGAGCACCACCTTTCTCACTTCCTTCGCACAGGCTTTGATCCTAATAACTTTCTAAAGAAAAGACAGAAAGGTAGGCAGGCTAGCTGGCTTCTAGTGCATTTGTATGTCAGTATTTTGAAGCACTGCACTGTGGCAGATTTGACTGTATATATACATCTGGCTCTTTCCATCTCTTTTTTACTTCCATGCTATGATTGGGGTAGAAGAACCTTATAGTATCTTCTTCCCTTTTCCTTCTTGATATTGGCTTTTGGGTTTATACCATGCATGAGTCATTTCTTGGGAATCTAATGTTGCTCTCTTCTTTGATATGCGGACATTCCTGAGAAGGGTTTCCTTTATGCAGTATCTCATTCCATTTTCATGTCATAGATCTTATGATATTGCAACATCCCTCTTAAAACATTTAATAACTGCTCATTTAGGGTTTTCAAAGTTTTCTCTTAGAAGCAGGTGTTCTTTTTCAAATGACATCACAGGTGGAGGACCAATTTAAAACAAAGTCCTTTTCATAGCAAGGCAGTCTTTCATACCATTCTATGAAAACTGCCATCTATGTGAAAAAACTTTTTGCTTTTAAATTGGTCCGCAGTTGCCTGTAATTTGTTTAATCTTAAAAATTGGCTCACAACACACTTGTATCATTAGGTCTATACACGGCCTGCATTCATTCATTTATCTACTCATTTATTGCTTTTTAAAAATGATTAAGCACCTACAAACTCACCACCCTAAACAAAAGCTAACACAGTAACCTACATTAACCTCAGTCTCTTACCCCACTACATCCTTCTATTATTCCCAACCTAAAAAGTCGCTATCCCGAATCTTATGCTTGTCAATTGTTTGCCTTATTTTTAATAGCTTTAATGATTCTATATGCACTATTATAAAGTATTCTTTTATTGTAATTGCTTTTAACTTTATTAAACAAGGTATATAACTTTATTCAGTTAATATTATGTAGCTAAGATTCATCCAGCTTATTGTATATCACTGATTCATTTGTTTTGACTGCTACATAATATTCTATTGGGTGAATACATCACAATTTAGTCTGCCATTGAGAGGTGTTTGACTTATTTCTAGCCTTTTCTCTTGTAAGCAGTGCTTGTATAAACATTTGTAGTGTCTCCTCTTGTAAATGTGCAAGCATGTGCTGGGTACTTACTTAGGCATGCAATTGCCAAGCCATAAGATATATAACTAGTCTAGTTTAGTACAAGGTTTCTCAAACTTGGCACTGCTGAAATTTGGGGCAGATAATTCTTTGTCCCGGGGGCTGTTGTGTGCAGCATAGGGTGTTTAGCTGAATGGCTGGTCTCTATACACTTGGTGCTGATAGTACCACCTCCGAGTTGTGACAACCAGAAATGACTCCAGACATTGCCAAATATCCTGAGGCAGGGGGTACACAAATCACATCTGGCTCAGAAACACTACTTTAAAGAATAAAACTGAGGCAATTACAAAGTGGTTGTATCAGCTGATACACTTGCCAGGAATGTGAGTGTATCCTATGTATCTTTATTCTCTGTGACACTTAGTTTTGCCAGACTTCTGAATTTTTGTCAATATTCTTTAGCATGACAATTTATATTCCTAATCCTATGCTGTAATTAGTCAACTGTTCTTCTTTGATTCAACTAACTCAATATACTTATTTATTTATTCATCCTGCAAATATTTGAGTAGAAATGTCATGTCCAGTACTGGATAGGTGTGAGATAAAGTAATAGCAGAAGGCAATGCATGCCTCTTCTCTTACAGCTTGCACAACAGTGGGTGAAATGAGCATTAATCCATTTATCATCCTGTTCAATAGAAAGGGATGAATATCTAGTGCTGAAGACCTGTAATGGGGGAATTTGACCCAGACAGCAAAATCAGGAGCTCACAAGAGAATGGAAGAGCATGAGTGTTTCTGGTAGGTGAGAGTGAGGGGGATTATTTTATGAGGTCTTACAGGAGATGGAGGGTCAGACTATGTAGGGCCTTGTGTGTCAAATTAAGGAGTTTGGATGTTAGCATAAGAGACATGAGAGGCCTTTGTGTTAGTCTGCTCAGGCTGCCATAACAGAATACCACAGACTATCACAAATAATGGAAATTTATTTTCTTACAGTTCTCGGGGCAGGAAGTCCAAGGTCACCATGTTGGCATGGTTGGTTTCTGATGATGGTTTTCTTTCTCCTGGCTTGTAAATGGCTCTCTTCTTGCTGTGTCTTCACAAGGCCTTTCCTCTATGTGCACATACTCCTGGTATCTTCTTATTCTTCTTATAAGGACAGCAGTCCCTGTTGGATTAGGCCCCCACCCTGATGAACTGTTTAGCCTGAATCACCTCCTTCAAGTTCCTGTCTCCAAATACAGTCACATTGGGGATTGGGGCTTAAATACATGAATGACTTCATTCATTTTTAAAATTTATTCGCTCACTAATTTATTCATTTAATAATTCAGTCATTCAGTATCTACTAGGTAATGAACACACTTCTAGGTGCTGGGAATATGGCAGAGAAAAAAAAACTGATAAAAATTCCTGCCCTTGGGGGACAAACCAGGCCCCAAACCTGAGCAATGGTCTGTTAATGATGCCCAGTTCCAGATGGGTGAGGTTAGTAGCTTCCTCATTCTTTTATGCAGAATTTGAGAAGAAATAGGAAGGGATATGAGAACAGAGGGGTGGTGGTCATGATTTTGGAAGGAAAAGAATGCAGATTTTGGAGACAGAAAGATGTGGAAAGTGCATCTGTCCTCAGAAGTCATCACACAGGGCAAAAAGAACATGGTACCTGCCTACGGAGTGACTTTAGTGAGATGAACTGTTTCCCTGTCCTCTGGTATTGAAGACACTAATCTATAAAAAGAGGCCAGTCTAGCTGATACCTAAGGCACTCCACCTCTTACAATTCTTCCCGTGATGCCGTGAACTACGGAAAATAGGCATATATAAACCCTTGCATTATGTGACAAGAGCCTAGGAATCCTAGATAGTCATTAGTTACACTAAATTTAAATATTTACTTCCAAATAGCCAAACCAAGCTCACTTTCTTGATCGGTCCCCCCTCCTCAGTCCTTCTCAGTTAGAATAAAAGTCAGATGAGAGTTGATTAAATATCTAACATTAAAACACTTAGGCTTAAAAAATCCTCCTGCAATGATGTAATAAACAAGACAGGATGTATTTGAAATTCACTGAAGCATAAAACTAAATTAAGTAGATAAGTGCATATTTTTAATTTGAAGCTACGTAAAGACTGCTATTTAGGCATTAATTCTTAAACAAAGGGCTGCTGTCAGGGTCCTAAGATAAATAGCATATGTTCAGAGGTAAAAGGAAGCCCCAAATTAGACAAATTTAAACAATCTAGACTGCTCAAAGAAGACATAAATATGCATTTGCCTGCATTCCCTGGGAAGTGAAATGAATGCCTGCAAGCTCTGAATAAAGAATGTTGACATTCTCTATCCATTCATGTTAACTCAGATGTAATTTAATGCTTCACCCCTCATAGTATAAATGTCCCCATCTGTTTATTTACTCACTAATGTTGATTTCAAAATAATTCCTTCAAAAAATAAATAAAACAGGAAGCATTCTTTATAATAATTTAGGGGGAAAATCTTTTCATGAGTAAAATATATACCAGAAATAACAGATTTTTATGACTCTCTTTGTTGATGTTGAACTGGCGTTGGGGATCTGTACTGTAGCATCTTATTAACATAGTTTTTCTACTTGACATTAATCACTGGGGATTGGTGCACTTCCCCAAACTGACCTTCCTACCCCCAGAAACATGATTATTTCAGAGAAGATACTGATACCTCACAGATTGACTCTGTGGGTGATAAGGCTAAGATCATTTTGTGAAAAGTAATTAGGAAGTCCAAGTTCTTGCAGATCATAAAATCTACTTATGCTGATTGAGCAGAAACAAAATTACCACAGAGAATTAGGTAGCTTACCAAATTTTCTGGAGGACCAGGAATCAAGCTGAGATCTATGTAACCAAGAACATGTGGTCAAGAGAAATGCCCAACCATCGTATGAAATGTTCTGAATGAAACCCCACTCCTGACATTCATGTCACTTGGTACCAGTGATGTTGAGACTTCTTCCTGAACTGCCCCTGGAAGAGCTCTCCATCTTTCTCATCATGCTTGGCCAAAGCTCTACTCTCTCTTTGCGGACACCTCCCTGTAAGGCTCATACTGAACTTCCAAGTATCCTGGAGGTGTGTGTCTGTCTTGTGGCCCATTGGCTACCCATATAATTCTCTGCAGGGGAGACTGGGAAATGCAGTCCTCTCTGTTCAGGAAGGTGTTTCTGACTAGAGTAGGAGCCATAGGTGCCTACCTGCCACAAGGGAGTAGTTTCAGCATGCTGTTCACCTATTCTCAGACCTTCCTCCATCTTCAGGACCTCTTTCCAAAATCAAAAAACTAGTCAAGGGAAAAGGAAGAAATTCAGTGATGTTGAGTTTTATGGTACCTAATATACTTTGGGGGCATTTCTAAATGCATGAATAGTGTAGGTAAAATGCTAACTTCTTAGAACTCACCAGTTCTAGACTCAAATATGTCCCTTTCTAGCTACTGGTATTTGACATCCATTTATTCAACAAATATTTGAGATATTTTGCCAGGAATCACCATTAGACATATACAAATGAACATAAGTTTGTGTGTACTGATAGAGTGAATAAGTAATTTTGTATCACTGTGATGTGTGTTAAAGCCTAGAATAAGTTTGATGGCATAGAGCTATGCAGGAGATAAAGTTTGTGCAGGTTTTGAGTTGTGGGAAAGATTTTCTGATTCTGCTGGAAGTTATATCTAAGCTGCAAAAAACCCAG
The DNA here is from genome assembly GCF_000001405.40 of Homo sapiens. NCBI lineage: Eukaryota > Metazoa > Chordata > Mammalia > Primates > Hominidae > Homo > Homo sapiens. The sequence continues at coordinate 7,869,768 of NC_000003.12, read as the reverse complement.
GTGCCAATGTTCAACAGAAGCTAAGCAAGGATGGGCTTTGGTACATACTATGGCTCTCTCAGAGAGTAGAAGAGAGGGTCCCAAGAGATTGGAAATAGTATATACAGATGCCTGCCCAATGTTGAGAAAAAGAATGTTTCGGGGAAGGGCCAGCACTTCCATGTGGCTGGTGTGCAGTGGGCTAGGGTGTCAGGAAATGAGTCTGGCAAGGCAGTAGGTTCAGTTCAGAAGGGACCTTTGTGTGTCAGGCTATAGAGTTCATTCTATATCAACTATTTAGCTTCTTCTGGAGCTAACTTTCATATTAGTTACAACACTCAATTCAACCAGCTTAAAAAGCAAAAACAGAACAAAGAGAATTTATTATATAGGTTGGAAAAGATACTAAGATATCTCATAGAATCTGAGGATGAAGTTTAGTAAGCAACCTTTGGAACTGGAGCTGGGATTCAGGATCTCTAGGATAGTTCTTATCTGCCCCCCACCCCCCAAACACTTCCTCTTTTCTCTCTCACTCTCATCTCTATTTGTTCCTACCTGGCTTCATTCTAAAGACAGGCTTCCTTCACATGAAACATTAGATCACATCTACCATCCTGGAACTCAAATTTCCCAGCTTAGAAACGCTATAGAAAAGAGTACCTCTTTCACTCTTTTCTCTGTAAACTGCATTTCAATCCCAGGCAAGCACTCTGATGGATCCTACTTGAGTTATATGCCCATCTAGTTCAATCACTGCTACCAGGAGATGGCCAACATCAAGTAGCTCTACCTGGATCACATGTCTTCCTTGGGGATGTGTGGGTGCAGTATTTTATGACTGACTGCTCCGTTAAAGCCATATTTTATAGTTTCTCTCTTGGTGGGTAATGTGTCTGTCAATAGTTCTGTATTTACATTCTCAAAGTGTATCATCCCCATCAGACTTTAATGGAGTACCTGTAATGCTTGTACAAGATATTAACTCTGAGAAGATTATACATTTTTCTAATCCATTAAGATCAAGTTTGGCCATTTGACTTGTGGTACCTTTTTCTGTGGAAGAATTATAATTTTTTACTTCATTGATATCATATTTGGATCAAGAAAGAAATCTTGACTGTTGAAAGCCATTGGGATTTGGTAGTTTGTTACAGCAGCATAACTAAGCCTAAGTTGACTGACAGAGACAACTTCTTTTTTCAAACCTTTCTTTATTAAACTCATAGAATAACATTGTTGGCTCTGCTGTCCAGACCTTGAACCAATCACTATCATTGGAAAGTAGCAGAAAATAATCGGCCAGCTCAGGAGGACACATGTAGATTCCTTTCACCAATGAGGAAAGCTTTAGTTGTGGGTGGGAGGTGGAAGGTGCTCTATTGACAGGAGCAGAACTTTATTGATTGAGGAGGGAAGTTATAAGATTCTTAATGGGAAAGGAAGCATTGGTGGCTAAATTCAAGTATCCTCTAGAAGTTCTTCCTTTCTCATATTTAAAATTCCAGGCCGGGCACGGTGGGTCATGCCTGTAATCCCAGCACTTTGGGAGGGTGAGGTGGGTGGATCACCCAAGGTCAGGAGTTTGAGACCAGCCTGGCCAACATGGCAAAACCCCCTCTCTACTAAAAGTACAAAAATTAGCCCAGCGTGGTGGCGGGCACCTGTAATCTGAGCTACTCAGGAGGCTGAGGCAGGAGAATAGCTTGAGCCCGGGAGGCAGAGGTTTCAGTGAGCTGAGATCGTGCCACTGCACTCCAGCCTGGGTGACAAGAGCAAGACCCATCTCAAAAATTCCAAAAACTTCTCACCTTTACCTCTGAGTTGCTAGTTTCTCTCTACCTGTTCACAAAGGGTCATGAACAGATTGTCACTGAAAAGGTTTTTTTGGGAATAGAAAGATAAATACTATTTTGTTTGGGGTTGGCCTATCCTGTGTTAAAAAGGCAAAAGTTCACTTGTTCGTTCTCTTTCAGGAGGCCAGAGCTATCCTACGTTTCACTTTCTGATTTATATCAAAGACTAAGTGACTGTTTCATCTTCTTTTATAAACAGGATCTCCATTCCCCATTTCAGTTCCCGGAAGGCTTGATAAAAGATAAAGCTTCGACCTCAAAAAATAAAAAAAATAAAAATTTTAAAAAGCTGTGGATTCCTCCCATCACCTTCATAAATATAACCCTGCTTTGTACCCTGTCCCGAGTGTGCCGTTACTTTGAGGAAGCCCTGAGACTGGGCCCACCTTGAGGAGGGAGTGTGTGCTATCAGCATATTTATGACCACCTTGCCTCTGTGGCAAACATTCCTTCAAACAATTGTGCTTTATAGAAGACTGCCAGACTGATGTGGGGCCACTAGTTTATGCTGGCATTTGTGGTCAGGGAGAAATTGTATGCTAACCCTATTGAAAACACCATTTTTAATGGCCCTTGTGACATAGGACTAAATGAACATCAACTGCTATTTTATATCATTGGAGCCTTAAGTCTAACAAATGCATTTTCTCGGGAGCCGCCTTTGGGATTTTAAATCTGAGTTGGATTATTGTTGGTAAAATGTAAATTTAGACTTTTTTCCTGCAATTTAGTCCAATATATACAAGATAGGTCTGTTTTCCTAGCAGGGTCAAGCCTATTCTTAAGCAGAGGCAATTGAATGGCATAGAGTCCTTACTACCTTCCTATATGTAGTCTGGAGCTTGCTCCTCTTAGAGCCAGGCAGGCCCACAAGTGCTTACAGAAGGGATGGGATGGAACACTTAAAAGATGGCATTATATTTTCTATTCTTACTGATGTTTATGTTCAATCCATATGGGAGCTAAATTTTTTCTTGGGCTGTGCCATATTTCAACTTATTTATCTTCCTTGGAGATCACAAATGTGGTGAGACACGTTTTTACTTGTGCGCAATGGAAAATAGTCTTAATAATTCCATGTACTTTATTTTATACATAAGGAAACTAAGGCCTAGAGGGAGGAAGTATCTGAGTGAGGTAGATCTGTGACTTAGCAATGGTGGAGCTGGTGTAGGTATCCAGTTATTTTGTCTCTTCTTTCTCCTGAACCAACATTCCCCAAAGAGCGGGGTTCCCAGTACTGGTAATCCTGTGGATTTAGAGAGTTCCATGCCAAAAGAGGCATTTTCTTTTCAGTTCTTTTCAGCCTTTCAGACTCCACTAAGAATGATCTTAGTTCACGGTCATACTTTATCCTTTTGTGAATATTTTCCAATCTTCATATAACAGAGACGGTGAGATTCATTAAATTCTGCTAGTTAAACAATATAGCTTTGTTTCTATTTATTCTCAGGTATGTTCTCTGTATAGGTGATACTGCTTTTTATTTTCGATAGCTATATAATGCTATTGAAATTTTAAAATACAAATAAGTATTTATTTTAAAATAAGATTTTTAAAATAAATAAGATAAATTTTATTTATCTTAAAATAAAGCAAGTTGATTTAAAGAAAAACATTAAGAAGTAGAGGTAGCCTGAAAATGTGGTATGGTAACAATTTAGTTTCCTCAGGGCTCAAGTTTAGGAAACACAGAGTGTTAACTATATTGCTCTTCAAATAGACTTCATAAATAATTGGCTATTAGTCCTTACCATTATGTATATCTATATATAGCTATAAAGATATATAGATATATTAAAACTTTTTCAGGCCAGCCCCAATTTTTTTCCTGATTGGATGAGTTTCATCCAGGCTTTGCTGCTTTGCATGGCAACCTTAAGGCAACTCACATATGTAATGTGAAACTTCAAGCAAATACATAAGCAAGAAAACCAACAAAGAAGCCCAATAACCTTGGTATATGATGGTTTTGCCTACTTAAAAGCATGTGCATGCTCATTGAAATGTAGAGAAAAGAAAATTTTGTGAGAACTTTGTTTCCCAAGATCTGCATTTGTATAACTTTAGGCCTGCCACCTCTTAGTACCTCCCTCATCAGATGGTTCCATTGTGAAGGATGACTGAAATGAATGATGTTCCCAGTATGAAACTCTGCCTGACTTCCTGAAGCTTTCAGTAATACTTACTCATCCCCCAGGAAATAAGGAGCTGCTCATCTGCGTTTGATAAGAACGGAGTTTTAGGTTGGCCCGTGTGATGGTGGCAGCACCAAGGTACAATTTTTTTTTTTTTTTTTTTGAGACGAAGTTTCATTCTTGTCACCCAGGCTGGAGTGCAATGGCACAATCTCAGCTCACTGTAATCTCTGCCTCCTGGGTTCAAGCGATTCTCCTCCCTCAGCCTCCCAAGTAGCTGGGAGTACAAATGCCCACCACCACACCTGGCTAATTTTTTTTTTTTTTTTTGGTATTTTTACTAGAGACAGGGTTTCACCATGTTGGCCAGGCTGGTCTCAAACTCCTGACCTCAGGTGATCCACCTGCCTCAGCCTCCCAAAGTGCTGAGATTATAGGCATGAGCCACCGCGCCTGGCCAAGGTACAATTTCTAATAAAGCCTATGTAGCTATAATTTCTGGAGTGCTTTACTGGTCACCATGCTCAAAGGTGAGCACTTGGCATATGTTGTCTTGCATAATCCTCTCAATGTATTTATGAGACCTCTATTCTTATTTTACAGCAGTGGAAATCAAGGATCCTCTTACTCATACTGTCTCTCCTTTTTTTTCCCCCCAAAAAACCATATTGTTACACTTAGATCATGACTACCATTCCTAGATTCTGTCCTAGGAATTTACCCATGACCCACATATGGGCTTTCACTAAATAGTTTATTAAACACTTGCTAAGTGCAAGTGGGCTGGGGAAACAGAGACAAATCCTGAAACCAAACTCTCAGAGACGACTCTGCTGTTCCAAGACACAGGAAAATAAACAGATCCATCACAATCCCGCTTGGGTATAATTTAACAAAGGAAGCCAAATTTGAACTTGATCTTGAGAGAAGATAGTGGATCAGGTAAAGAGAAAAGGACAAGCAGCAAAAGTACAAATTGACTTTGTGTCCAACAGCCACAATCATGCTGATAACAGCTATTTGTTGATTGTCTACTACTCTTCTAACCTGGCACTAGGTACATCACATTCTTTACCTCATTTAAGACTTGAACTACTATGGGGTAATATGTTAGCCCAGTGTGCATTGCTATAAAGGAATACCTGAGGTTGAATAATTTATAAAGAAAAGTTTATTTGGCTCACGGTTCTACAGGCTGTACAAGCATGGCACCAGCCTCTGCTTGGCTTCTGGTGAGGCCTCAGGAAGCTTTTACTCATGGAAGAAGGTAGAGAGGGAACAGGGATGTTACACGGTGAAAGAGGGGGCAAGAGGGAGAAGAGGCGGTCCCAGTTGCCTTTAAACAATCTGATAGGCTCTGAACTCATTACCATGAAAAGGCCACCAAACCATCATGACGGATCCCCAACCATGACCCAAATACCCCCTACCAGGTTCCACCTCCAACACTGGGGATCACATTTTAACATAGGATTTGGAGGGGACAAATACCCAGGCCATATCAGGTAGCTAGTAGCACACCCAACTTTTGAAGAGGAAAGTGAGGATTAATTAAGATAATCCAAAGGTGTCCTTTCAAAAGGGAGACACATGTGGGTGGCATCAAGAAGCTAAAATCTGTGTCACTAGACAGTTGATATGACTGAATGGGAATAGCTTCTGGAATCCTATATTGAGAGGTGTGGTGAGGCTGCATCCAGTTCTCTAGAAAGGGATGTCATAATTAATTACTCTCAGTTTGGGGAGTGAAGAGTAACAGCGTAAATGGTATATGATCCCAGAGAAAAATGACACCATGAATGGCTCATGCAAGAACCATGAGGAACAAACCTCCCATGAGAAGTTGGAAGAACAGAACCTCCCATGAGCTAACACCCCTTTCAGGCCTGACCATTTCATGCCCACATTTCTCTTCATCCACCAGCAAATCCCCCTGCCCTCCATCTTCCTTCTCCAATGCATTCTCCATATCTCCACTAGCTCATTCTTTCAAAAGTACTGCTTTGGCCAGGCACAGTGGCTCATGCCTGTAATCCCAGCACTTTGGGAGGCTGAGGTAGGTGGATCACTTGAGGCTGGGAGTTCGAGACCAGCCTGGCCAACATAGCAAAACCCCATCTCTACTAAATAGTAAAGTACAAAAATTAGCCATGCACACAGTGGCACATGCCTGTAATCCTAGCTATTTGGGAGGCTGAGGCAGGAGAATCATTTGAACCCAGGAGTCGGAGGTTGCAGTGAGCTGAAATCATGCCACTGCACTCTAGCCTGGGCAACAGAGTGAGACTTCATCTCAAAACAAAAAAAGTACTGTTTTGACCATTTCCCTTCCCATTGTCTAAAACCTGGACTTCAATCTTATGAAATGAACCTGTGGCCCTCTTTTCTTTCACTGTGAAATGTAGTTCTCTAGTACGTTCTTCAGACTTGGCTGCTTCTGAACATCTTCCCCCAACCACCCCAGTCACCATAGAAACACCAAGTCAAGCCTTATAAAAATCATTATCTAATTTTGTCTTATTTCTAAAGAGGAGCTTTTGGTTGCACTTTGTCTTGATGTGACAGACATTATAACCTGTGATTGAATGTCTGATCATTTTATACTTACAGTCCTCGAAGGTGATTTCTGTGATATTGGCAAAGATAGTGAATTAATTTCCATTCATTAGTCAGGAATCTTATGAACTGTATCTTTCTGACTAACATCAACAAAATGAGCTGCCCACCTCTGAGGGGGTGGCCTTTGCTGTCCTGTTCTGCCCCGGTACAGCATAGGTAAATCTATCTAACTGAGAGGGGCATTACAAGGAACAAGCTGGCTCACAGATTAAAGCGACAGTCTCCAAAGAGCTTTGTCAGTAATACATGAGATATTCTGATCTCCCTCTGTGCATCTCCTGTGTCTTTATCCTTATTTGATTCCTGCCCTGGTCACTTGCTTGTTTCCTCAGTTCCTTCTCTTGTGCATTCCCCCAGCTTCATTATAAGGGACCTGACCCTTCAAGCTACCCTTTCAGCTTTGTGGCCGCTGACTGCCTTCTTGTCAGCAAGAAGATAGATACCAGCCAAAGATAGAACTAGCAGGATGTAGAAGGACAGGAAAGGAGAAGCCATGGTATTTTTTCCTTTTTCTCTCTCACTGCGTAGGGCAGAACTTGCAGCAACAGCTGCTCAGATACCTTGGTTCCATCTCCCACCAGCCAGTCGCTCCCTCTAAGGGTTGATGCCTTCCAAGCTCCAGTGTGATTTCTAGAGCCCACTGGAGATGCCCACTCCTTGACTCCTCTAACACAGTTACTTCCTTTGTCTCTGCAGTCCTAGATCTAGTGATGGCTTCCTCCAGATGCTGATCTGTAGATCACAATCCCTTTCTGTGTCTGTTCTTCTTGCTCTGCAAAACATCACAGTATCCTTGTATAAAATTCTTTCTACCGTTACTTGGGTGGGTTTTGCTTTCCTGCCTGGATTTCCTGATGAATACAGTTTCAGGTTCAGGAGGAGGAAAAATGGACTCTGAACACTTAATTGACCACCTGTAACCCCATCAATATCCAATCCAAAGTCCAGACATGTCTGGTGTGGTATGATATCACACAACATTGGATTTATGACTAAATCCAATTATAGTCCATTTCTCATACCCTAAAAATGGGCCTGGAAAAAAATTGGTTGTATTAATGGTCCAAATAAAAATGTGTACATATACAAATAGTATGGGAGAAAATTTTTAAAATTTTGGCAAGAAGACCTGTAAATTTTTATCTCATTTTATAGCAGGCATTAAGACCCTGCAAAGGCAATGCTGGTCTCATGCATCATCTATTTCTAGAAAGAAGCATCAGGCTAAGCACAAGGTGATACAAAATATTCTCTTTGAGTAGATGATATAGTTCTGCATGTCATTACTTGTCTACCTGTAACCCTCAGGTGTCACAATAATGGAACTTCAATGATAGCTTTGAAACAGAAAGATAAACTTAAATGACATATTCCATTTGAGAGAAGAGAGGGACATCCTTGATTTTCTAGTAAGAGTCTTTCATCCTACATTTTAACATATAATTCATGACACTCCTGAATGTCTTCTTAATTTTTTATACCAATTTGGCTTTACAGGTGCTAGCTGACATTTATTAGGCAGTATTAGTTAGCATCTTCCTTGGTGCAATTGTTCAGTTTTATTCATCCCTTGTGAATGAAATATAACTGTATGCATATATTTTTTGATACGGTGAGCATGTGTAGTTTGCCAGCCTCTGTGCCAGCTCTGAAATGAATCAAATGCTTACTCTCAGTGAACAGTCTGTATTCTGGACATTTTGTTCTTGTCGCCAAAACATTCATTCTCCATCGAACAGTACATTGTTACCACAACACTTTACTTTTCCTTCATAAACATGTTAACAGCATTTTTGAGGGGTCTAAGTTATTTTCCCAGGGTAAGCACCAGAATCTGGGTTCGAGTGATCATCAAATTAGAGAGGTTCATCAAGTCCTCCATATGGCATAGCCAGGAAGTGTTCTTTAATCCTCGGACTTTTTAAAGGTAATGAAAGGACTAGTTGCAAGTGACCAAACCCTTAGCAACTATTGCCATGCATTATGTGATTATGATAATTATTTAGCTGTTCAAGAAACAACACTTTTACAATTTCCTTTTCAATAAAAGGTGGGGAAAACCTTTGGCATACACCAGTCAAACTATCTTGGCCAGATTTTTGTTTTCCATTGTTGTCCCCCTGCTGCTCCTTCACTGTGACATCACACCATCCTTGCCCTGTCTTCCATTCAGGAGCTACATTCTTGACTTGTAACCCTCCCCACTTTTTTTTTCTTCTTAAAAAAAAGTGATACATGTAGAGAAAGTGCAGGTTTGTTACATAGGAATATGTGTGCCAAGGTGGTTTGCTGCACCTATTGACCTATCCTCTAAGTTCACTCCCCTCACCCCCAACCCCCCAAAAGGCCCTGGTGTATGTCGTTCCCCTCTCTCTGTCCATGAGTTCTCATTGTTCAACCCCACTTATGAGCGAGAACATGTGGTGTTTGGTTTTCTGTTCCTGTGTTAGTTTGCTGAGGATAATGGCTTCCATCTTCATCCATGTCCCTGCAAAGGATATGAACTCATTCCTTTTTATGGCTGCATAGTATTCCATGGTATATATGTACCACATTTTCTTTATCCAGTCTATCATTGATGGGCATTTGGGTTGGTTCCATGTCTGTGCTATTGTAAAGAGTGCTGGAAGAAACATACGTGTGCATGTGTCTTTACAGTAGAATGATTTATATTCCTTTGGGTATATACCCAGTAATGGGATTGATGGGTCAAATGGTATTTCTGGTTCTAGATCCTTGAGGAATCACCATACTGTCTTCCACAGTGGCAACCCCCCTTTCTTAATCTCTGATTATTTATTTGCTCATGGCTCATTTTAAAGCAAATATTCTACTGGTTTATATTGCTAGAAAGGTTTGGTTTTCTCCAGTTGTATCCTGAGAAGTGCTCCCCAGTATGTACATATTCTGTGGAAATGGCTTCTCTTTCATTTTTTAACCTTGATTTTTAATTTTATTTTTATGTTTCTTAATACAATATTGGATATATTTCAGGTATATAACATCTTTTATTGTATACATAGTGAAATTAACATATCCATAATCTCACATAATTACCTGTTTTTTTGTGGTAAAAGTACCTTGATATGGTTTGGCTGTTGTCCCTACTCAAACCTCATCTTGAATTGTAGCTCCCATAATTCCCACATGTTGTTGGGGGCACCTGGTGGGAGATATTTGAATCATGGGGGTGGTTTCCCCCATACTGTTCTCGTGGTATTGAATAAGTCTCATGAGATCTGATAGTCTTATAAAGGGTTTCCCCTTTCGCCTGGCTCTCATTCTCTTTTGCCTGCTGCCATGTAAGACGTGTCTTCTGCCTTCCACCATGATTGTGAGGCCTCCCCAGCCATGTGGAGCTGTGAGTCCATTAAACCTCTTTTTCCTTATAAATTACCCATTCCAGGGTATGTCTTTATCAGCAGCATGAGAACAGACTAATACATACCTAAAATCTACTTTTATCAAATTTTTAGTGTACATTATTAATTGTAGTGTTCATGCTGTATGTTAAATCTTTAGGTTTATTTACCTCATAAAACTGAAACTTTGTATTCTTTTTTTTCTCCACGTGTATTAGGGTTCTCTAAAGGGACAGAACTAACAGGATAGATGTATATATAAAGGGGAGTTTATTAAGGAGTACTGACTCACATGATCACAAGATGAGGTCCTACAATAGGCCGTTTGCAAACTGAGTAGCAAGGAAGCCAGTCTGAGTCCCAGTGCTGAAGAACTTGAAGTCCGATGTTCGAGGGCAGGAAGCATCCAGCATGGGAGAAAGATGTAGGCCAGAAGACTAAACCAGTCTAGTCTGTTCATGTTCTTCTGCCTGCTTTTATTCTGGCCGTGCTGGTAGCTGGTTAGATTGTGCCACCCAGATTGAGGGTGGGTCTGCCTTTCCTGGTCCACTGACTCAAATGTTAATCTCCTTTGGCAACAGCCTCACAGACATACCCAGGAACAATACTTTGCATCCTTCAAGCCAATCAAGTTGTCATTCAATATTAACCATCACAGCACACCCCTACCCCATGAGTTGTTCAAGATACCCACATTAAAGGAATGGTTATGCACCCATTTATTGTGGTGAAAAGAGTAAGATGAAATTGGGTCTAAGCTGCAAATGTATTTCCCCCCTCACTGGGCAAAAGCAAGAGCACCAGTAAACACCTGACATATTATCCTATCTGGTGGCTGTAATTTACTGTAACCATTGCATGCCCATCACAGATCCACATGTGTTGATAATGGCACTACCTGGAGTTGGCTTGAAATTGGATCTGGGCTGCAAATGTGTTAATCCCCTCACTGGGCAAAAGCAAGAGCACTAGGGAAAACATGACATATTATCATCCTATCTGGAGGCTGAAATGTACTGCAAGTATTGCATACCTATCAAAGATCCGCATGTATTGATAATGGCACTGCCTGGAGTTGGCTACCCTGCAGTCCTGGTGCCCGGTGTCTTTTATACCACACATGGACTTATAATCAAGTGTGTGTTTGCATGCCCATACGTGTGTATATATATGTATACACACATATGTATGTAATATTTATATATATACAGACACATATATAGAAAGATTTTCTGATATTTACCAAGGTTTACTCATTTGTGATGGTTACAGAAAATTAGCAATTTGGCCCACAAATATGTACTATATATATTAAGCATCTGCTTTGTGCCAGGCTTTGCTATAGGTGATAGGGCCAGGCAGGGGACAGATGAGTCCCTCTTTTCATGGAGCTTACATTAATGTGCATGTGAATCAGCCTAATCTTGGAGAAATACAGGGCAGGTTGATGGGACTATGTTTGGTGTACTTTTAGTGGAAGCAAAAAGATGTGTTTACAACGTTAAATAGAAATGTAAAGAAAAGTTGTGGGAATTAGGACTGAACTGATTGGTTGCGAGTAGATTTTGAAGAGTCTTGAATGGTGTGAGAATCATTGGAGGTTCTCTATTTTTAAATTGTTATTAAAAGTATCAGTATTTTTAATATAACAAGTCATGGAAATTGTAACATAGGCATTTTCTTGCTCTTAGATTGAAATTAGCAGATCATTTTGACAGCTGTCTAAGTAACTACATTTTATTCTTGAACAATAGCATATGCATCGATTTAGGTATATTGGCATAACATGAATATTTGTGGTTTTGCATTTCAGGTATATGTTCAAATAGGCAGAGTTCTATATTAATTTGTCATCGGTAAAACAATTTGTTTTATGGTTGATCTTCCTGGAAATACCACTATAGACTTAATTTATTTTTAAATGAGACTTAAAAAAGAACCCCAAAACTGACATAATTTTGATAGAAAAATAAATGTATTCTTGTGGAATGATCTATTTTTTTCCAAGACCATTAACTAGGCAGTCAAGGCAGATTATTGATATATGATTATATGAGATATTGATATATGAAGCATGAATTTAACTGTCAATAAAACTTAAAACTGTCAATATCAGGATAGTAAAATAAAAAATCTAGGTACTTTCTCCTGCAAACTCTGCTTGTCAAAGGTTTATGAGCAGGAGAGTGACCTATTCTAAGCTCTCTCTTCCACATGATAGTACTTCAAATATTTGAGAATGACTGTCATCTGTCTTCAAAGCTGTAATGTCAAACTGAAACACACACACAGATTCACAAATTTAATCACTACTGCTTTGACTTACATATCCAAGACACCACATCATTAACATAGGTCATTGAATATTATCTGTTGAGATATTGGCCTTGCCAATGGATTTTTGTCCTCCACAGATGCTTCTCTCTACACATTTCTAGAATAGTCTAGTACTGTGAAATCTCAACCTAATTTCAGGTTTTCACCTTGTTCATAGGTTTCTTATGGATGAAGTACATTGGTTATGCTTTTGAATAACCATAATTTGCAGCAGAGGCATAAAATCTGTTTGGCAGGTTAAAAGTATCTGGAGAGCACTAAGACGCTAGTCCCTAACTGTGGAGGACTGAGAAGCAGTTATAAATGAGCAAACATAGACGTTCCAAACAGGAGCAAGTAATGCTAATCAAGAAATATAAATACCAGCTTGTTTTGGTGAGAGCCTGATTGATTTCTCCCCAGTCGCACAGAGGCAATTGGCCTGCAGTTTTCACACTGTATTTGGTTTGAATTGTTGAAGAAAAATAAAGTTGTTCATTGATTAGCATTTGAAAACCCAATTAGTACTTAGTTTGCTTGAAAGACAAAAGAAGTGCATGGTGTCAGAACCAGATATAAGCATTTCCAGGACTAACAAGCTCTCCAGGACTAATAAACTGGCCCTAAAATAAGGAAGAAACAGTATTCAAACGTGAACTTGATTTCAGCCAGATCTCCAGGGCCTGAGTTCACACTGGGGGCCAATTGTTGACTCTTTTCACCATATGGCTGTGCAGTTGATGCACTATGCCTGTGTCTTTGGGAAACACAACAGTTTTTTATTTGTTTTTATTATGACATATTTTTCTACAACACCCTTTGTCCCCTAGTCCCTATCTCAGTAGAACACTAGAGAGAAAATTACCATGAATGTGGAAAAAACCCGGAAATCAGTTTCTAAAATATAACACGTGAACACTAGTTCCAAGAGATTAAAAAGTTACGTGAAGGAGAGTTTGTAAACAACTGAATTTGAGAAATACTGGGTTAGATGTAGCTTACTAGAGAGCTTTGCTCAAATGCTTATAGAGAGCCCTTAATATGTTAATGTAAATGGTGGCTCTCAAAAAGAATTTAGGGTTTTCCAAAACATTCGAAGCTTCTTAGAATGCATGTGCCAAACATCTTATGGACCAGTGTTGCTAGGAAGCTGCTTTGGGTAATGCTGTAATATATCCCTGGATAATTTTAACTTGCCATGAAAAGTCTGGGAATGGGTAAAATGGACTGCCTTCTAGTTTATTTTCCTTCTCCTGGTCCTGTCTGTCTATCCATCTGTGCATCCATACATCCATTCATGCATTCATCCATCCATACGTCTATCCATCCAACAAATTTTGTTCAATGAACTATGAGAGACCCTGCGCAAAGGGTTGAAGTGACTTATTGTGGGGGTAGAGAAGAGGTAAAAGAAAGTTAGAAAACAAAACTGGGCCTAATCTTGATGGTATTCAGGACTTCTCTTTTGCAGAATCTGCCTGGTTATATACAACTTTTGTTGCCTGAGAATGTTAACATGTTTTTGTTGCTGTTGTTGTTGTTTAGATTTAGATTAGAGGTACCTTCCTGCAAGCACTACTGGCAGTGGAACTCTGAGTTGGGTGGGCCTGGAGGGTGGGCAGCCAGGGACTACCTCTCGTCTCAGTGGTGTTCGATAAGCAATTTAAGAGCCAGATCCTGGGGGTCTGAAAGTGATGAAAACCCAGCCCTTGCCCAAATAACAGAGCCTGAGGCTTTCTATTGCCCAGCAAGTTGAACTCAGCAGGGAAGTGAAAAGGTGTCAGAGAGAAACTCAGGGCATAAGTTCCCAGCATTTATTATTGTTTATCTGTGCATGTCAGATAAGAGTACAGTGGCTGGAGCCCCTTACCCTGTCCATGTGAGCAAGAACTGCATGTAAGGGTGACAAAGGAATGAATTTCCATATCCATTAGAAAACTCAGCTCCCAGATAGCAAACCCTGAAAAGAGACATGCATATTGATTCTTGAAATGAAATATTTTCAAGCTGACAGTTTGGTAGCAATAAACGTGAAAGTGAGGACTGAAGACTTGCAAAATGCAATACATTTGAAACTTCATTGTTATGAGCTTTAATCAGTAAATAGGGATCTTTCAAACTGGCCCAAACCTGAACCCAATTGTCCAATCTAGGGGCTAAAGCAAAACTTCCCCATATTCACCCAAAGCCTGGTTACCCAAAGACAGCTCTACTCTGCCTCAAGAATGAGAAGAGTGGGACCCTCGTGTACCAGGATCATCATCTCCTGTAAAAACAACATACTCCCTCTAGAATCAATTGTGTTTTGTCATTACTTTTTTGATTAGGTTTTTATAACTTGAGCTGTGTATGTTAATCAAATTAGCGCTCTCCAAAGAGTTTGGCTCTTGCTGAGCAGTTAACACTTCTGTGTCCTGCTGAGATTTGGAGGAAATGCCATCTTCTGAGGCCCAATGAGTGCTGGGGAGAAGGCAGCTCCAAAGGTTTCCAAATCAGGACAAATCTGACTCCAGGGTTTCGGTCTTGCAGATAGCACAGTGACTATGACCTCTTCAGTATTTTAACGTGTTCAGAGCCCCAGGACCCCATATGGCATCTTGAAGTGGGTAATTGCCTACTTGCTGTTTTTGCAGGGTTACCAAGAAAACTACCTTTGCCCCTCCACAAATCCGCTGGCTGACTCACATTCAATTGTCTTATCTTCAGTATTCTCACTCAAGGCTTTGGTCCTAGTGAACGTGAATATGCGCCATGGCTTTGGATGGAAACCTACTTATCAGTTCTTTACACTATAGTGTAAATGTGCTTCATAACACTTCTCCATGTCAGTGAACCCTCATTTGAAAAGTACATATTGATCTGTGCCAAGATACCTTAATAGGCACCTGGGGTTATGTAAAGAACCAAACAAATGTGCCCCCTGACTTCATAGGCCCTTCTATTTCAATGCTTTCATGATCCTTTAAAACCAGTCAGCAAACTAGAACCTCTGGGTCAAGTCCAGATGGCTTCTGTTTTTCTAATTGAATTTTACTGGAGCATAGCCAGAATAATACAAAACAAAACCATTTGTTGTGTATTTTTATGGCTGCTTTTGCAATGCAACAGTAGAGTTGAATCATGACAGAAAGCATAGTGCCCGCACAGCGTAATTTATTTATATAATATTTGGCCCTTTACAGAAAAAGTTTTCCAACTCCTGCTTAACGTTCCAGGTCTGGTAGCCCCATCCCAAAGTTTTTTGAATGAGTAGATCCACAGGTGTGTATCTGTTGGCATGCATACAACCTCATGCCTGCAGACCACCTCCACTGCACATGTTCTTTCTGTGCAGTGGTTCTCTGAATTCTCCATGACTGCCTTTGATTTTTCCTTCAGCAGCTTCTCCTCCCTAGCCCTCTACTTTCTAGGGTGAATGTTCCCCAGCAGCCTGTTGTCTGTCTTCCACAATTCTCCTTGGCACTTCATATGTCATCTTCTATCCTCCTGGCATTAAACTATTCCTTGGTGATCTCTCATAACTGCACATTTAACCCTCTTCTCAGAATTGCCTCCCTACACTTCTGGTTACCTAGATCAGAGGGTCCTCTGAGCTCTTAGTATGTCTGAAACCAATTCATCATCATTTCCCTCAAGCCAACTCACACTCTAGACTTTCCAATTTTCTGTTATTGGTAACATCAGTCTCCCACGTTGAGATCTCAGTCATTAATAATAATGATCATATTTGTTTCATATTTTACCTCCTGGTCCTGAAAAACAAATATAGCTTCAAACAGAATTTAACTAAAAATAATGAAGGGCAAAACTTTGTAAAATGTTCACAAAGCTTACCTGATATACAGACCTTTTTAAAAAGTTTTTTCCTAAGGAAGAAACAAGGAGGAAAGGAAATTGACCTTGAACAGGCACCTACAATGAGCTTGATGCTGTGCCAGCCACTTTTTCTACAAAATACCCATAATCCTTCCAATAATGCTTTGATAATTTTTATCATTTAATGAGAAAGCCAAGTCTCAGAGATTAAGTTACCTTGCCAAGTATCACATAGCTAGTGAATCATGGTACTACTATCCAGATCTAACTTTTATTTCTCATCCTCTTGTGGCATATAAAACACACATTCTAATCATGAAAAATATCTTGGTTTTATTGAATTTGTATATTGACTTGGTTTTTGCTACATTTTCTTTTTAAAAATATATATCAACCAAAACTGACTAAATTCAGTTAGCAGTGACTGTAATTTTAAGTATTTGTGTCCCTCACTTGTTCTCCACTAAGAAGTGATGATGATGATGATGATGATGATGATAACAGTTGACTTTTATTGAATGATACACTGTGTAGGCACCCTGCCAACCACATTATATGGATGCTTAATTTCTATTTTCATTTTTATCCTGTAATGCTGGCTCTTTTGATCAAGTGGAGTATGAACATGAGGGCTGATAGGCTTTAGTCTTTAACTTTGTTATCTGTTAAAGAAAGATATGCTGTTATGTGTTTATCAACTAACACTTTTTTTTGGAGGGAGGGCAACTTGTAGCACTTACCAACTTCTATGGTATAAATATTCCCAACATGGCTAATTTCCAGCTATAACTATAATATCACTGGTTCACAGTAAACCTCAAAATTTAACAATCTGCTCTTAGGATCCTGCCTTAACTGGCTCTGCACCACACCAGAGATATGTATTATAATGACTTATTAGGGAAATTTATTAATTTGCTTAGTGATTCAATATGCTAGGTGAGACAGAATATGCTTCAGTGTCATGTAGTTGGGTAATATTGGGGTGAACTGAGTTGGTTAGTCATGGAGTGAACAGTGGGAGACTTTTACAGAGGTAGAAAGGGTGTCCCAGGTGCAGAGTCATGAGTCAGTGGGAGATGTTTAGGAGACAGTAAGATCATACTGACCTAGAATAGAGAATGGCTTGGGAAGAAGAGTCTACAAAGAAGCCCATTCAACAGAAGAACATGTCATTCAGGGTCTTAAATGGGTGAGTGGCTGAGACCTTCAGCTTCTCTGGTTGGACTATGGAAGAGGTAGTGATATCCACCCAGGGCAAGCCCCTCTGAGCGTTGGCCTTTTATGTTTTCCTGTCGATCACTTTGAGTGCTCAGATTTGCAGCATCGCTTTCAACCAAAATCTTCATTTTTCACAGGGTTGCTTTTTATACACGTGAATAATACCCATTTGAAATTAAGACAAAAAGTTTTTAAAGATTCTCAGTGCCTCAAATTTCAAACAAAACAAATCCCTAAGTTTATTTTTTTAATGTGGTTTTAAAATTTTAAAGCCATCAGGCCACAGAAAATATAAATCATGTTAATGTTATTATCCCATGGGTGTGCCACTTGAGCCATTGAAGTGGAAAGAACCCATTTTCCTTTGTTGGAATTCTATGTATCACACTGTGGTTTATAGGCTCTGAATATTCTGCAAGCAATAATGATGTTTAAGTTAAAACTGCAGCAACTGTTAACATGGTCTTTGTTTTATGTAATAACAATGTCATATATGTGGTAGTATTCATTTCAGCATTAGACGATACATCCATAGAACTAGCAACCCTGGCCTGGAAGTTGAATTTGATAAATCAATATGCCATGGTGTTACCTGAAGAGCAAACAGTCTGCACAGTATAAGAGATGATGCTTAAAAAAAAACAATGCAATAAACATACATGTGCATGTGTCTTTACAGCAGCCTGATTTATAATCCTTTGGGTATATACCCAGTAATGGGATGGCTGGGTCAATATTGTGGCACTATTCACAATAGCAAAGACTTGGAACCAACCCAAATGTCCAACAATGATAGACTGGATTAAGAAAATGTGGCACATATACACCATGGAATACTATGCAGCCATAAAAAATGATGAGTTCATGTCCTTTGTAGGGACATGGATGAAGCTGGAAGCCATCATTCTCAGCCAACTATTGCACGGACAAAAAACCAAACACTGCATGTTCTCACTCATAGGTGGGAATTGAACAATGAGAACACATGGGCACAGGAAGGGGAACATCACACATGGGGGCCTGTTGTGGGGTGGGGGGACGGGGGAGGGGGGAGGGATAGCATTAGGAGATATACCTAATGTTAAATGATGAGTTACTGGGTGCAGCCCACCAACATGGCACATGTATACGTATGTAACTAACCTACACGTTGTGCACATGTACCCTAAAACTTGAAGTATAATTAAAAAAAAACCCACAAAAACAGAATTGGACAAGAAAGCAATCACGGTTACAGATTTATGCTCTGGGAAAATGTATGCCTAATTTTACCTATTTAAACTATTATTTAATAACAAATATTAATTTTGAATTAGAGTTGTAGATTATGTGAGATCCTGGGGAATGCATGGCTCATGTTGTGACCGCCACATAGTTTTGTCAAGTGGCGGTGCTGTGCCTCATAGGGACCACTCTGTTATTCAGTAGGAATTTTGGAGCTTTCCCCCAGGTTGCCTCTCTGCCGAGGAGAAGCTAATAAATGCGTGGCTCTATAATCCTTGCATATAAAACTCAGATGTCTATTATGAAAATGTTCATGGACTGTGACCATTCATTCTCTTCCTAAGATAGGTTTCTTGCATAGATCCTCTGATACAAAGTTGTCTGCAAGGTGCTAGGGAAGAGCTGGGCTTCACACACAGTTTGCAAGCACCTGCTGTGAATCCAATGCTACTTCACCCAACTGTGCTTCATGCTGGGAGAGACCAGTAGACAGCAAGACATTGTAAGGAATCTTCTCTCCCTCTTTGAACTCCTGGCACTCTTAATTATTTAAGGCACATTGTTCTGGCTTGTTAAGAGCTATTAAAAAACAAAGAATTACCACTGCCCCAGACTGGGTGATAAACTCTTTGAGGACAAGGAACCATTCATGTGTGAGTCTTTTTATCTGATCCAGCATTTAGCATGACGCCTACTCAAATACTGACTACCTGATTTTTTTTTTCTATTAGACATTATCCCCAACAGGATTGCTTACTGATACTTTTACTTCTTTACTTAAAAAATATTTCTTTAATAAAAAATCCAGATGCAAAGTTGATTATTATGAAACATTTTTTAGAGATTTAACCTCAGTTGCTAGCCATGCAGATTTATATAGACATCTAACCTATTTACAAATGGACCTGTTTACTCATTTGTAAAGTAAGGTGATAAAGCTTAGTATTGTATGAGAGGCTAGTTGGTCTCTAGAGTTACCCTGTGGAGCTCCATCTGCTCAACATTTTTCTGGCCATGAGGATATGGAAGGCATTCTAAAAAACACCGCAGACGATGTGGAGCTGGAAGGTGTGGATAATGTTGGAATGATAAAAGCAGAAGACAAAAAGATTGTGGCAGCTTGGAACAATGGGTTCAACATGCAAATTCTTCCTCTAAATATAAAGCCTTTAATGTCAAGCCTTCTATAATGGTGTGAAATGATTAAGAACAAGACAGGAAGTTCTGTCTTGTCCTTAGTAGTTTCAGAACAAGCATCAAAATAGCATCAATTGGTAAGACTTGGAAAAATTAGGCTACAAAGTCAAGGTGTAATAGGACTTCAACAAAAACTTCACTTCTGTGAGGACATCAGATCAAGGGCATAGGATGTGACCAGATCAAGTTAATCTCTCTGAGACTGAGTTCTTCACCTCTAAAGTACAGATGGGCATAATAGCCACAATTTTGTAACTATCTCCTATGAATCCTAAACACCTGCTAAGCACTCTGCTTTGCTTATTTCAGTAATCTTCACAAAAGTTCTGTGAGAGATAAATGCTAAAAAAAAAAAATGTCCATTTTATAGATGAAGAAACTGAGGCTTAGATTATTTAGGTAATTGCCCAATACCACACAGGTAGAGTTTGGACAAATGTCCAGCTCCTTCTGACCTCAAAGCCTCAGCTATGAAGTACTATTCTCCATCACATTTCTCCATACTGTTTAAAGCATAGAAGGATAAATGTGACCATACATTCCTGGCATATGGGGCCTTGTGTGCAAGTGTAAAGTCATTGCTAATATTCTTCACTTGTGCTCATTCCTCTCTCCTTCCATCCTCCACCATAATGACAGAATTCCAACCAAGCATGTACCTCTGGGGATTATTCTGAGTCTTCAAGGATAGAACCTTCTCACACACAGGAGCAATCTTTGCATGGCTTCGTCTACCAAGCTTAATTTCTCTTCCTACTTCAACACACATCATTTGCACCCAGCTATGTCGGAGACTAGCTAATTATTCAACAATAGCAGCAATACTTACCTCTACATGTTCATATTCAGGGGTTGCTGAAAACATTTGTGAAGGGTTTGAATTTGTGTCGCTGAATACATCCCATGGAGGAAGCTAAAACCTCTCTGCCAAAAGCCAAGTAAATAACCTCAAGAGAAAATAATTTGTTAATACCATGTCAAAGATACAGTTTGAGTCATAGGCAGCATCAATGTCCCTACAAAGTAGACCTGCTTAACTTTGAGGAGTATAAACTCTGTTCTTTTAAGAATTTTTGGCACTACTGATTTCGGAGAATTGATGAGATTGGTTTCCTCAAAAGAAGTGTAGTATCTGAGTGTCTGAAACAAACTTATCAGCTGCTATATTCCAAAGAAGGCCAAAATCTCTCTTACTCTGTCTTACCCTGTGGAGCTCCATCTCTTCCATCTGGTTTTAAAAAAAAGTCACAGCCACAGGTTTGTCCCAAATCCTACCTCAGTAGCATCTACCACTAAGGGAAGGGCGCATATGATGAGAGTGTATCCAGGAGTGAACTGGTCACTGTTAGAAACATCAGCAGAGCCACACCCTCTTGACAAAATGATCTTCCTCCAACTGCAAGAGATGTGCCTCCACCAGTAGCTCCCAAGAGCTACTGGAATCAAACATAGGGATAAATCAGAGTTTACGTCCTTCGGAAGATTGAGTGCTGCAAGACTTCCCTGTCCAGAGGTTGAAAAAAAATATTATTATTCCAAACATGGAAAAATTCCTATCTAATGCACATAAGGCAAATAATTTTTTAAAAAATAAAACAAAGTTATTAACAAATGAAAAAGAAACTGTCTTTCTATATACCTTAAAAAGACTATGGGAAAAGAGCAAACTGTTAGCAAGGGTTTCCTCTATGTTCAGAGATTGTAGGCAGTTTAAGATAGCTTTTCCTTATTTTTATTTTCCAGATTGTCTGCAATAAGAAAACATTCTTTTATAGTCACAAAATACAAATGTATTTTTAAAAATAAAGTCTGACGGTAATAAAACAAACTGCTGTACTTATGCCTACCTACAGAGGACCAAGGAAGTGCCCACAAGTGACACGAACACATTGGGCCTCTATGTATCCACTCTCTGAACCAGTGCTGCCTTTTGAGCAGGAAAAAGCCTTCACAAGGATGGCTGTGCCTGTGTGTGTGAAGTCACCTGTCAAAAGGTACTTAACAGTGAAGATATCTTTCTGTCTTTTGGAATACTATGGAGGCTGTCAACTGCTGCTGAGGAAATCTATTCACATTTATTCTTTTTTTTAAATAAATCATGACAATTTTTAAGGAAGAAGATTAGTAGGCTTTAAAGAAGAGATGCTAAAATTTCACAGTGTACCTAGTTTGGATGGTGGTAGAGAAATATCATTGAGATGCTGCTGCCGTTACAAATGAGTGAGATGAACCTCTCCCAAGAATGTTATGTTGATGGAGCAGGATACTTGGTACTGTATTACAGAAAACAAAGACCTTTTGTTGGGCAGCTCGTAGTCTGAGAAGTTAAACATGAAGAAAACTGCATTAAAATCGGATAGTTGCTGTGTGGGATAACAGTTGGCACTTAGTTCACAGAGCACGGTGACTTATTTGATCCCTCAACTTGCTTATCCCATTGACAGTTTACAACACAATGTTAGGAATTCGTAAAATTCCTAAGATTTTACGAATGATTTTTGAAATGTATTACCCCCATCCTATACAAACTTGAGGGGCCTGGAGTTATTACTGTCCCCATTTTACAGCTGAGAAGAATGACACAAAGGCATTTAGTCCTTGGCCCCGAATCACCCAGCTGATTAACATTGAAAGGAGGATATGAATTCAGGCTTTTCTCACTTCAGAATCTGCACTCTGTGCTATCTGCCTCCAGCTGAGAGAAGGGAAGTTTCTAGAGGAAAAGGGGCGTTCAAGGGCTTAGTATGCCTCCTCTCGAGGTCAGTCTGGTGAAGAAGAGCATAAACTTGAATCTGTCTTACTGTCTTTGACACATGCCCCTTCTGGAATGTTTGCAGTTTGGAGGAAGAAAGAATGCATTTGCTTCAGACTGAAATTGCCTGAAGGTTTGTGGCTTTTTTTTTTGTTAATTCTTAGCTTTATTACATTTCAGAAACAGACCAGATAGAAAAAAAAAAAAAAGGAGGGAAAGACAGAAAATCTAACTGTTGTTGTTTCCTATTCTAAATTAGAGTAAATCTTGCCATTGGCAGCTGATTAAGCACCTCCCAGGTTCCTCTCTTGATGCACAGATGAGAAATCAATGTCCAGCAGGAATTCCTCATGATGTTCTTTATGGGTTTTTAGCACAAGTACTCAGAGTGACCTTTCCTGCATTTTCTTCACTGACTTGCTCATTGCCTGCTATGGGACCTCCAGGCTTCTCTGCACAGCATGCATGCAGCAGGTCCAACTGCTGTTCTTACCTCAGCTCTGACTTCTCCCAGTGCATGTGGTAGATCCATCAGTCTCTGTGGCTTTGCTTGTGCCCTTTGCAGACGTGTCCACATGGCCATGTAGCACCTATCTTTCTCAATCTTTCTCCATTATCACCTCTATCCCCCATGGTAGCTTTTCTAGTGGAAATTTTAAGTTTTGTTTGATTGCCTCCTTTTGTGAGATGTGGAAAACACAGCAGGTGTTACAGATAAGAGCATGGAGAACTTACTGATAAAATGATCACTGAGGTATTATTGAATATATTTGGGATGAGTGGGGAAGTATGCTTGGATTTATAACTTTATGTGGAATGTGGATCATCTTATTCTAGTCGGTATAACCTAGACTTAAGATTTTCTTTCTTTCTTTCTTTTTCTTTTTCTTTTTTTTTTTTTTTTTCTTTTTCTGAGATGGAATCTCAGTCTGTCACCGAGGCTGGAATGGAGTAGCACAATCTTGGCTCACTACAACCTCTGCCTCCTGGGTTCGAGCGATTCTCATGCCTCAGCCTCCTGAGTAGCTGGGATTACAGGTGCACACCATCATGCCTGGCTAATTTTTGTATTTTTAGTAGAGATGCGGTTTCATCATGTTGGCCATGCTGGTCTTGAACTCCTGACCTCAAGTGATCCATCCACCTCAGCCTCCCAAAGTCCTGTGATTACAGGCGTGAACCACCATGCCTGGCCCAAGAACTTTTTGATATCTACATTATTTTTTCAGCTATATTTTCTTAGGTTTGTACATTAAACTCAACAATTGAAGTTCCATAAACTTAAAGCAGATTCTAAGAAGAAACAAGATCTAAGAAAATGAAAGAAAAATAAAACCTCTGCTTCTGATGCAAGAATAGTCTTAGGAAGGAGGAATCAATGTCTCCTCCAAATATAGATTTGGGTTAGTTTTTGTTTTCATTGGTTTTTATATGGCATGGTGTTAAGTGTATAATCTGATTTGTATCCATGCATTTGATGAAACCGATTAAAATATGTGGTCCTTAAGTTTTCTTGTTAAGGGTTTCTATGGATTGGGGGCATAAACTACTAAGGATATCTATGGAAACAGATTATATAACACTAACTCACATTGCAATATCATTTTTTTCAATTCTCTTTCCATATTTCTAATTGCTTTAAGAGGCAAGACTCTGATGCTAATATTTCTTTAACAACTTTAAGACTCAATCTTTTTGTAGCCAAGAGAGCCAGCCTCAAGCTCTCTTTAGTGAGCAAAACATTTGACTGTAAATTGATAAAGTTCATTCATTTTCATTTTTAAATAATTACCCATTGTGGCCTTTGATACTGGTTTTCCACTTATAACAGTGATGTAAAGTTTCCTTTTGAAAACATTTGTGGCAATTTGTGAGGTGAATTAAAGAAAAATATTGAGCCAATAATATAGTTGCTTAATAGATGTGGCAAAAATTGGACAGTGGTTCATGAGTGGATAAAGTTTGAGCTGGTCTAGGAAAGGTAGGGATTGTTCACTTAATCATTTCCCATATTATCCCTGAAAATCCCCCTCCTTGGACATCTCAAAGCACATGTCATATACACCATTCCCCAGAATTATATTTTGTTGTCTTGTATGTTAATTACATACACATGTGCATACTCATTGAGAACAGAAATTGTCTTTTCCTTGATTGTCTCATCCACTCAGGATCCATTAGTCACCAAGAAGGGTACTTTTACAGGCAGAACTAAGCCCTCTCATCTGTAGCCTCTCCCTCCTTGGCCATGGCTCATTGTCACTCAATGCCATGCTCTTATGCCATCCTGAACTAGATAAGAGGGACTCTGAAAACTTTCAGCACACTGACTTCTATATAGGGTGGAGTTCTGAATCTATTTGACCCAGGGCAACACTAAAAATAGAGATGCTATAGTAGAGAGAGTTGGGACCAGTTCAATCCAAATTGGCAGAATTGATTGTTGCTGTGAATAGACTAGGGGATGACAGTTTCTTGTGACAATTGAGTGTACCTATAAAATAAGTCCATGTTTAAAAAATGTGATGTTGAATAGTACTAGGATGGGATGAATCATGAAGTTGTATTTGCCACCAAAGGTTAAGTGATTAGTCAGTTTATTGACACTTGCCTCTGCTTTATATTAAAATTGTATCTTCTGGGTCTTGAGTAATTTTTTAGTAAAATTATTGATCAACGTCAGATATAAACCAGAATCTTGGACTCATAGAATCAGAACTAGATAAATACCAAACTATAATCCCATTGATGTTCTGGATTAATGGGTGGGAATAAAAAGGCCCAGCAATGCGAAGTGACCCATCTTGTATCACACAACTAGTTGTCAGCAGTAGTAGTGGCAGAACTTGAACTGGGGACTCTCCTCCCAACATGATATTCTTTCTTCTACCCTTACATTGTTATTACACAGATCACTATGTTTTAGTACATTTCTGCTTCAATTTATTTTATTTCAAATTCAATTTATCTTTATCTTACAGCATGTAATCTAGCAACTTGCTACTCTAAGGATGGTCTCCAGATCTGTCAGAATCAGCATTGCCTGGGAGATTTTTTTAAATTGCAGAATCTTGAGCTCTACCTTCTGAATCAGAATTTGCATTTTTTTTAACAAGATCTCCGGATGATTTGTATCATATTAAAGGTTGAAAAGTACTTTTAAATTATTTCCTGTAAGTCAAAAAAGTGTTCTGAACTGAATGAGAAAGGTGAGCAACCTTTAGCTCCATGGTTCTCAAATTTTATTGTACGTAAGATAAACGAGGGTAAATTTGAAGTGTAGATTGCTGAGTATATCGTTCCCACAGATTCTATTTCGTGTCCAGAATGAACACAGATGGAATGATTTTAACAAGATGTACAAGTGGTTTTGATGCAAGTGGTCTTTGAAAACTTCGTTTTTACTCCTTCTTAGTTGAGTGTTTATAAATGACCATTATTGCTTTGAAATGAATGCCTGGAACACATTTATAACACAGTTATCAAGACTAGAATAGACCTTTAAGATTCTGGGACAAATGCCTGAAACAATTAGATTAATAAAACATGGTATGTAAACTATTCTGGATAATGTTCCTGGTAGAGTATCATTGTACTTCCCCAAAGAAGTTGAGAGGCTATATAAGCTGTATAAACCTAGTTGAAACTACATAAATGGGAATTTATGTAGTCTAAGATAGCTTTGAGCTGGCTGGGTCCAGTTCAAGATTCTCAGAACACTCATCTTCCAATCATCCCCCAGTTCTGCTGCTCTATGTTGTTTTCCTTTCTCTTCTGCTGTAGAGATGTGTTTTCGTTTAAGTGGAAAAGAAGATTGCAAACACCAGTTTCACATTTTTCAGTCTTTTTTTTTCTTTTTTTTTTTTTTTGAGATGGAGTCTCATTCTGCTGCCCAGGCTGGAGTGCAATGGTGGTATCTTGGCTCACTGCAACCTCTGCTTCCCAGGTTCAAGCGATTCTCCTGTCTCAGCCTCCAGAATAGCTGGAATTACAAGCGCCCACTACCACACCCAACTAATTTTTTTTTTTTTTTTAAGTAGAGACAGGGTTTTGCCATGTTGGCCAGGCTGGTCTCAAACTCCTGACCTCAGGTGATTCACCCATCTCTGCCTCCCAAAGTGCTGGGATTACAGGCGTGAGCCACCATGCCCGACCTTCAGTCTTCATCAGCTCTGATCCAAAACACAAATCCTGGGGAATGTTTCTGATTAGCCTTCCTTGGATCACATGTTTATTTCTGGACTTCAAAGGCCAGAGAAAATGTATACTATTATGGTCCATGCTATACCACCTGTGGCCAGTCTGATGCTTGGAAGCTCTAACCAGAACTACATGTTTTCTGAATTGAAAGAAGCAATAGGCAGAAAAATAAAAGATGTCATCAAAACTTGAAATAGCATCAGTGCTTTGGAAACAACCTAAGTGTACACTAGTAGGGGAATCAGACAAGGATGATACGTACCTGGGTTGGAATGTTCTTCAGATGTTAGAACTGATGGCTATGAAGAAAGTGTAATAAAGTAATTAAAAAAAATTTTGATATCATGTAAAATGAGAAAAAACAGATCTCAAAATTGTGTTCTCCATGATGTAATAGAAATGTGTATGCCAGCAGGGTGTGGTGGCTCACGCCTGTAATCCCAGCACTTTGGGAAGCCAAGGCAGGCAGATTACTTGAGACCAGGAGTTCGAGACCAGCCTGGCCAACATGGTGAAACCTGTCTCTACCAAAATTACAAAAAATTAAATGGGCGTGGTTGTGCATGCCTGTAATCCCAGCTACTCGGGAGGATGAGGCACGAGAATCGCTTGAATCCGGGAGGTGGAGGTTGCAGTGAGCCGAGATCACGCCACTGCACTCCAGCCTGACAACAGAGAGAGACTCTGTCTCAAAAAAAAAAAAAAAAGTGTTTTTTTCCAGGCTTGACTTCATGGTTTTCAAGATCTAAGTTAGGATTGCTGCATCTTTTGACTGCCGCTGCAGAGGAGATAAGAAAGTGCCCATAATTGATGAAAGAAATGAGCCAAGTTCATGGACGCGTAGACCATCATAATTCATGTTGTTAACTCTTATAAGGCAAGTTGTTTCATATTGATAGACATGAGTAGATTTACAGCAGCCTTGTTCATCACTTCCAATGCGTGTTGTCCTAAGTACCATCATTTAACTTGAGAATGGAGAGTCTGTGGATAGACTGGAGCTGGTGGTATTTTCCCCAGTTGATGGGACAGTCCCTTTCGACTTCATGGTCCTGCAAAATATGGTTCTGTACCCTCTCTGGCAACTGGCAGTTTTGTTTCATACTAAGTAAATAGGACTACTTACTTTGTCTAGAGACTGCTTTCTTCAAGCTGCAAACAGAAGCCTTTTATGTCTCAGGAAATCCAAGTCCTAGTTTCACCAGGCCACTGACTGGCTGTGTGATCTTGGGGCTAGCTTACAACCTCACAGTGTTTGTATCTGCTGTGTTTAAAAAAGAGAGAGTGAGTCAAGGTACAGATTCATGGCTTGTGAGATCCCTTTCAGCTTTAATAAGCCATGAATCTACAAAATCTATGAATATGCACTGATTTCCCTGGAGCTGTGCAACATATGGTTCATATCCAGGGCATTGTTACAGCATGCTTACTGGCTTTTCCACAATGGGTCTTAGAGTGTCAGTGACTCCATGTTTATATTTCACACTATGATTAGATTGTAAGGGCACAAGTCCAATCCTGGTCAATGAACGTTGGGCTGAGTTTAGCTTGCAATCCACTCTGACCTCTAAATATTTCTCCAACCTGACCCATTTACTCAAAACTGGTCATCCTCCACCTTTACTCATTGTGATTTGCAACATGCAGTCTATTTCAGTGTATCTGGGAAGCATCATTTTGCCTTATTATTCAAGATTACTTTTAATTCCAGTCTTTTAATCTAAGCCCATACTTACAAAAATAGTGAAGGACTGGGTTTTCGGTTGTTTTTGTTTCAATTTTCAATCTATTATGGACCTATACTTATGAAATCTTGCATTTGGATATTGTAGCGGTGCCAAATTGCTATAAATCTTTCTAAATGCTTCCTCTCAACTTTGTGTATTTTCTACTTATACACATGGGTCTGTTGTTGGATTCTCTAATTCTATTCTGCTGGTATGTACCGATATTACACTGTCATCATTACTTTAGTTTTATTATGAGGCTTAAGATCTGCTAAGGCAAGCTCCCTCTCCTCCTAGCCAATCTTTTTCAGGAATAATCAGTTTTTTCTTGTTTTTGTCTCATCTGTGTAAAATGTAGAATTAGCATGTCAAGTTTCACAAAGAATCTTGATATGATTTACACTGGAATTTAATTCTTTATCAATTTGAGGAGAGTTTTGATATTTTTAATGTTTTCTTATCTATAAACATAGTTAATTTTCTAGTTAGTGAAACTTTCATAAAGTTTTATTTTTCTCCTTTAACATGCCCATGCATGTATGTTGTTTATTCTTAGATCACTTATGATTTCATTGCTATTACAAATGCTATATTTATAAAAGTTGTTAGAAAATACACTAATATTTTTGTGGAAATTTAATGAGTTTGTAATTGATTTCGGTAAATTAATTTTACATCCAACTCTGCCCAATTCATCTTCAAATAAAACAACTTTTCCCTAGGTGCTTTATTCATATAGTTGTTTTTTGTGAATAATAACAATCTGTTTCTTCCCAATCTTGGTATTTAAATTTATTTTCTCATTGCAAGTGTGTTAAAATACTGTTGTAGTGTTGGGTGGTGACTCATGTCTGTAATCCCAGCACTTTGGGAGGCTGAGGTAGAAGGATCGCTTGAGTCCAGGAGTTCAAGAATAGCCTGGGTAGCATAGTGAGACCCCGTCTCTATTTTTAAATAAATAAATTTGTATTAGTTGTCTAGGGTTGCCATCGATAATTTTGCCTCTATCTTTACATGACCTTCTCATTCTCTGCCTTCTCCTTCTCTGATAAGGATGCCAGTCGTTAGATTTAGGGACCACTCCAAATCCTGGATGATTCCATCTTGAGATCCTTAACTAATTACATCTGCAAAGACCCTATTTCTAAGTAAGGCCACATTCTGAGGTTCTGGGTAGACATGCATATTAGGAGGTATTATTCAGTCCGCTTACCAAGAATAACTTAAGATGAAAAATAAGAGGGTTTGGAGTGGGCATCCTTATCTTACTCATAAATCTTTTATTTTTATGTTATTTGTTTTTGTTTTTGACGGGACCATCACAGGTCACTGGAGCCTCAACCTCCTGGGCTGAAGCCATCCTCCTTCAGCCCGAGAGGATCTGAAGAGTATCTTAAGAATTCTGATCAGAGTTTACCACAGTTTAATTGGTAGCATTTTTTTTCTTTCTTTGTTGTATATTTTGTAAGTGGTACCTTAGATTTGACATAATACAGTTAGTTTTTCTGTAAATTTAGTAGATCAAGAAGTCCCCTTCTGTATTTCTTTTAATGATTGTTTTGTTTTCCCTTTTTAATCATGAGTAGATGTTGAGTTTTATTGAATGTTTTTCTCTTCTCCTTTTGAGGTTATGTGATTTTTCTCCGTTGGTTTGTTAATAGAGTAAAATTCATTAATAAACATTTTGATTTTAAACTAGCTTTGCATTCCTTTGGTAAGCCCCATTTGGTTGTAATGTATTACCTTTTTTTTTTTTTTCTCCGAGATGGAGTCTTTCTCTCCCAGGCTGGAGTGCAGTGGCGTGATCTCGGCTCACTGCAACCTCCGCCTCCCAGGTTTTAAGCAATTCTCTTGCCTCAGCTTCCGGAGTAGCTGGAATTACAGGTGCACACCACCATGCCCAGCTAATTTTTGTATTTTTAGTAGAGATGGAGTTTCACCATCTTGGCCAGGCTGGTCTCGAGCTCTTGACCTCGTGATCTGCCTGCCTCGGCCTCCCAAAGTGCTGGGATTACAAGCGTGTGCCACTGCACCTGGCCCATATTACTTTTTTACAGGCATTGTTGGCTTCTTTCTTGCCAATTAAAAAAGAGCTTTGCAACTCGTTCTTGAATGATATTGGCTTATACTTTTTCTTCATCTTGTTATTAATGACTGATTTTGCAATCAAGATCATACTACTAAAAGTAATTGATGGGATTTTCCCTTTTTATTCTTTGAAAAGTTTTGTATAGCATTGAGATTATTGATCTATTGACTTTCATTAGAACTTGCCTATGAAACAATCTGGGCGTGTGTGTGTGTGTGTGTGTAGTGAAGATGTTTAAATATTTGTTCAATTTTTGTAACAGATGAACTGTTGAGATTGTGTTTTCCTTTTTAATTTGGTTTTGTTAAATAGATTATGTCTTTTTTTGGTTTTCAAATTTGTTAACATCGAATTGGTCATAGGACTTGTGTAAGATTCCTGCTGTGTCTCTAGTGATGCCTCTGGTGGTTCCTGATTTAGTTGTTCATTTTAATTCATTTATTTACTTTTCGGGACAGTTTAACTTTGGTTTGTCTGCTACTTCACATCTTAACTGACTCCATGAAGGTTTAGCTCATTGGTATTACCTCCTCCTTTTTCCTTCTGTTTTGTTTTTGGTTATGCTAATAGCTACTTGTATAATTTTAAATAATATAAATATTTTACTTTTTTAGTTTTTGTTCTCTCACCTTTTGAGAGGGGTGATTTGAGACAATAGTCCTTTCTTATGTCCTTCACGTAGCTACTTACAGGTTAGTTGTCCAGTCCACCAACAATAACTATCTGTGTTCCCCTATCTTTTGTCTCTTTTAAAAGTACTCCAGATACAGCTAATGTGCAATGAAGGTTTCTACTTATTCAGAAGCAGGTTAAATAGAATCTCATTTTCAGCAACTCACTAGTTGTATGTCACAGATCGAGTTTCACCTCTTCAGGCCGTTTCCTCATCTGTAAAATGAGAATACAGCTAATTTTACACGTTTCTTGTAAGACTAAAATTAGGTGACAATTACAATACCCTTCGTAGAATAGGTGCTCAAAAAATGTTATTCCTCTACCTACTATAATATAATTTCTGCTATTACAACAGGCTAACATTTGTTTGACAGTAAAAATTGATCATGCACATTTTTTAACAGTACTTATTTAGTAAGTAGTCTAAATTTGTAGGAGTGAGTAAAGAGAGGTGTTTTCTCTGCCTATGCATATATATTTTATGTAGCAAAGGAAAAATTGTCAAAAATCTAAATAGCTCTATTACATATTTTGTAATCTTTTCCTTTAAGAATCATAGATTATAATATCTTTTGTATCACAGATGCCTTTGAGAATGAAGTAAAATCCATGGACACTATCTCTGTCAAAATGCAAATGTATACATTCTTTCACATACAGTTCTATATTTGATATCTGGAAGTTAGAAATACTTTGAAGAATATCCATGAAAGGAGGAGTAAGAATCCCTGTTTTTGGAAGTAACAATTTTCTTTAAGGTTATCAGAATGTCATATTTTTGACAACACCAATGTTCTCATTCCACACAGACTAATATATCCTGAGTTAGAAGATGAGTTTGAAATGGACAGGTAGATTTTTTTGACATTGTTATTCCTCATGGTGTCAGTCATCATGACCCTGAAAAGAAACTGGAAACAGGGAAACAGCTTATGAGCTTAGACAGAATGTGAAGACATTTTTCAACTCTTAGGATGTTCTAAAGAATGTGTCCCTTGTGAAGACCCAATAAATCTTAAATTGAATGCATTTAAAACTTTCAAAACTCTTCTTCTATTTTCCCTTCACTTTGAAATCCATGTTATCCTGGTATGACTTTGTATGAAAGCAGTATCTAAGTGAGGACTGTGCTCAGTATGTCAATAAATAAGTGCAGAATGTCCTTTATTTCTGTTTTAAAAACAAATTGGTTTTTGTTAGACAAACACATGTACATACATACAAAACAGAGAACGAAAATTGATAATGACACACATGTTGGCCTAATGCTCAGAAATAGAAAAAGTCTGAATCCAAAATGTTCTCAAATAGCTAAAACAATGAGGTATATACAATAATGTAAAATGCAGAAGAAATAGATTTGAAGCCTTGAATTTGTCTTTAAAAATGATAAATAACTGTAATATATTAATAGCTCCCGCTTTATAAGGTGGTGATTAAGATAATACATATAGATATCTGTAGCAAAGTACCTGGTGTGTAGACTCATCAAGAATGTTACTAATTCCTCTTATTAAGAAAATATTTATTTATAAATCACTAGGCTGTAGTTCCTCTTGCTGCTGCTTTTGTAAAATGAATAGTGAAAATAATTGTGCTGGAGAAGTGGTTAACCTTCTCAAGTGAGAAGGTTTGTTTCCTAGAATTTGATAGAATTCTGTTTGTTTTCTAGAATTTGATAGAACCATCTACTTATGAAAAATTATTTGCTATCTAGAAAAAATTCACATGAAGTAGTTATGAGCACAAATTATAGGCTTGTTTCATCTTTAAGGATGACTGGAGATAGGATCAAATCTCAGAATCTTCAAAGGCAAAATTAGGCTTAGTAGTGGCAGTCCTAAGTGTGGGCACAGGAAGATTGGCTGTTGGGGGAGGTGGAGGGGATAGGAAAGGACATACTTAACAAAAACAACCACTGATTTACAACTATCCTTTTTGCAATCCAGGAAACTTACAAGATTTAAAAAAATCTCATTCATGAAGGACTTAAATAAATGGTGGGCAGAAAGTCCTGCATTAAGAACAAAGTCCATTCCTAGTCACTAGATTGATCTGGTGTGCAAGCTGACATTCTTATAGCACTGTTAGGCATTTGTATTCTAAATTTATTAAGGCAAGTCCCTAAAGATGTTTACTCAGGGACTCCCTTAAAAGAATCAATGGTTATTATTGTGTAGTAGATAAGATGACAAACTCTGATTTCAGAACCAAAATCTAATCTTGAACTTTCATTTGGTAGCTGGATGCCTTTAGGTCAGTAGTTTAACATTCTCCAAGTCTGTTTCCTCATCTGAAAATGGGGATTATAAGATCCCTGACTTTATAGGTTTCTATAAGCATTAAATGTGGTTCTATATGTTTAGTGCACATAGCACAGTGTATTAATCTGTTTTCATACTGCTATAAAGAGATACCTTAAGACTGGGTAATTTATAAATAAAAGAGGTTTATTTGGCTCATGGTTCTGCAGGCTGTACAGGAAGCTTAGCAGCTTCTGCTCAGCTTCTGGGGATGCCTCAGGGAGCTTTCAATCACGGCAGAAGGCAAAAGGAGGAGAAAGGAGCTTCACTTGGCTGGAGCCAGGAGGAAGGGGGGAAAGGGAGGCAGGGGCAGTGCTACACACTTGTAAACAACCAGATCTCAAGATTACTCATTATTAGGAGAACAGCACAGAGAGGATGGTGATAACCCATTCATAAGAACTCTGTCCTGGGGATCCAATAACCTCCCACTAGGCCCGACTTCTCACACTGGGGACTACACTTTGACTTGAGATTTGGGCAGGGACACAGATTCAAACCATATCACACAGTATGTAGTACATAAAAAGCACATAGTATATCTTAGTTGCTATGGTTGTTGACACTGTTGTTGATTATTTTGACTTTAATGAATCCTTAGACCTCAAGGAAAGTAGTTGAGAAAAAAAGTAGAAGGGAAGATAGGTCGTAAAGGAGTAAATATACTTATTCAGAGATATCTAAACAAGCAAACAGGAGCATTGCGTACATGAATTACTACATACAGAAAGTGAAGTGCTCAAGTGAAAAAATAAATGAGGTGAGAAAATTCATAGTCATTTCTTGAAGTAGGTGGGAGAAAGTGAGGAACATTTCAACTTCTCAGAAGGTAGCACTGGATGCCTTTCCAGGAGTAGCATCACCATGGACAACCCACAACATTTCACCATTCATTTGCTTTTATCAGAACCACTTGAAAAAGTCATAACTGTATAATTATGGTGGCTGTAATAAACATTTTAATGCCTTCGAGATGTGTGCAATGGTATTTTCCAAAGGTCATTTCTCTGTTATCTTAAGAGGTAAACATAGGAAGATATATTGGAATACATAAATGATTCACTAACTCTCAAAAGAGAGTTGAAAAAAATATTTATATTGGTTATTTGCCATCCATTTAATACTAAAGCAAGTTACATTTATCTCACACTTCCCATGTTAAACATTTAAAATATTCCTATGTGTGCGATTTTTCTTAGCAGTGATACCGGGCGGGGGGGGGTGGGGGTAGGGTAAGAACCAGCTGATATGAGGTATCTCTGCACCTTGATACCATACTTGCGGAGCAACTGTCTCCTATATTTTACAAATATAAGTGTATGCTGTTATTATAGTAAACTTCTATACTGGTTCACAGATTGCTATGCCTGCTAGACCCAGAACCTAGTAGAAAATAGCTTGACCTTAAAAGAATAGTGCTTTAGGATAGTGAGAAAATAATAAAATAGGAATCATAGACGGTAGCATTGGGGCAATAATAGTCACTTTTGCCTCCCATACAGGACACACTTTGTCCAAAATCAATCATAAATTGACACATGAAGTAATTCAATCAATATTTATTGAGCAGCCAGTATGATATGTATAATCAATATACACGAATTATGTGGATAAATCATGTATATTGAAACATTATCCTTGTGTTTAAGTGTCACATAATGTAGTGGTGGTGACAACGTTATAAGCAGAAATTATGGAACACTAAGGAATGTGTAGTGACAGAGATGGGCACAGAGTATATCAGGAGTAGGAACATCTAATTTGTCCTGAAGTGGTCAAAGGTAGTTGCACAGTGGAGAGGAAGCCCAGAAATGATATTCAGTGCACATTGTTAGGGTTACCTGTTGTTTACAGATATATACATAATGGTGCATATCTGCCTATGCCACATGAAACTTGAAATAATTTGAATATCACAGACTAAATTTTATGGACTAAATCTTAAAGAACTTTGAGTAAGATTTAGTCAGGTTAAAAAAAAGTGGTGGAGTAGAAAGGCATTTCAAGCCAAGGAAATGGAGTGAGCAAAGGCTCAGAGCCAGGGACAGCAAGAGTGAGTACAGAGAATTATAAATCATTCTTACTGAAGATTGAAGAATTAGATTCAGATGATAAGGTTGCTAACATAGTCAGGGCAAGACGATGGATGTCCTTGCGAGCCATTGCCTCTGGTGTCGTTTCCCGAGTTTATGCTATTTCATTGATGCCAAGTCCATATGAACTGTTTTGACCAGTAAGAATGTGAGCAAGAAGTGAGGTGTGCCAAATCTGGGTGGAAAATTAAGAGCCATTGTGTAGTCCTGTCATTGCTCTTTTTTATATGCATCAAATCAGAAGGCAACCCATGATTAACATACATGTGAATAAGAAAGAAATGTTTGCTGTTGTAAGCCACTGAGATTTGTGGTGCCATTTGTCAATATAGCAAAAGTTGATCTAAGCTGATTATTATAAATTATTATAGTAATATTAGAGTATTAGACTCTATTGGGCAATGTAGAGATTGTTTCAATTATACTTTTTTTTTTTTTGAGAGGGGGACCAAGTTTCATTCTGTTGCCCAGGCTGGAGTCCAGTGGTGCGATCCCGGCTCACTGCAACCTCCACCTCCTGGGTTCGAGCAATCCTCCTGCCTCAGCCCCCCGAGTAGCTGGAATTATAGGCATGCACCAGCATGCCCAGCTAATTTTGTATATTTAGTAGAGACGGGGTTTCCCCACATTAGCCAGGCTGATCTCGAACTCCCAACCTCTGGTGATCCGCCCACCTCAGCCTCCCAAAGTGCTGGGATTACAGGCTTGAGCCACCATGCCCGGCCATATCTATTATACTTTTATTGAGATATAGCAATGTGCAGAATTTGAGTGTCCAGACTGAGGAATTATGCAGAAAGCGTATTTATATGATGTCCATCCTGGTTTAAATAAAAAGTGGAATGTTTCCAGAAGTCTGTAAATTCTACACACACCCTCCCCTTTACATTAACCACCTGTTCCCTAAGGATAACCATTGTCCTAACTTCTATGTTATAGACTAATTTCAACTTTCTATAAATATAAAACTTAGATTATCTACTCTCTGGATACTTTCACAAACATTTGTGAGATTTAGGTCTATTTCATGTAGGGCACATTGTTCATTTTATTCATATACGGTTTTTCATTTTATTAATGTATCACATTTATGCTACTATTCACGATTGTTTCTAGTTGTAATTATTTAAAATAGTGCTGTTATGAATATCCTTATTTGATTTTGGATGAATTTATGTAGGCATTTCTATTGTGAATATACTAAGGAGTATCATACAGTATGCCTATCTTCAACTTCAGTAGATACGGCAAAATAATTTTCCCAAGTGGTTGTACAAATTTCATTCCCATGAGCAATGTGTGAGAGTTCGAGTGGCTCTATAGTTGCCAATAGTTGGCATTGTTCATTTATTTTATTTTTAGGCAGTCTGGTTGTCATGCAATGATATCTTTTTTTTTTTTTCATTTCTCTGACGACTAATAAGTTTAAGGATCTCGTTAGCTCTTTAGTTGCCATTTGGATATCTACTTTTGTGCCATCTATTGTTCATTTTATTAGGTGTAATATTGTTCTTATTGCTCCTAAGAATTTTGGACATATTCTTGATATGATATCTTCATCAAGATGTATTAAAAACACCTTTCATTTTCTCTTTGGCTTGGCTTTTTACTCTCAATATGTTTTTGATAAGTATAAGTTCTTAACATTAATGTAGGAAAGTTTATCTACTTTTTTTCTGGATGACTATTGCCTTCTGTGTCCTGTGTAAGACATCTATCTTTGCCAAACGCATCAAAGAAACATGTATATATTACAACTCATCTTGAATTAACTTTTGCATATGGAGATTGAAAACTATCAATCAATATTTTTTATTTCCATAAGAATATCCAGTTGACTCAGTCATATTTGTCTAAAGTTCCATCCTTTTTCCACATCTCTATATCAGTGTTACTTCTGTCATAAATTGAACCTATCGATATGTATGGATTTATTCTTAATGGCTTGTACAAATTCTATTGTATCTAAATTACTGAAGCTATATAAGTCTAGTTATCAGTTAGTAAAAATCACCAGCTTTATTCTTGAAAATGGTTTTGAATCATCTTGGCCTTCTGCCTATCCACTAATGGAGTCACCTTTTCAATCTGCATACACAATCACACTCTGCCAAAATTTGATGGTAATTGCATTGTAACAATATACCAGCTTGAGAATCGATATGACAGTAGTGACTGTTTCAGTCAATAAACATGATGTGGCATAACCCTCCATTTATTTAGATATTTAAATCTCTTTATGTTTTACTTTTTGATTCGGTTTAATTTGGTTTGGCTTTCTATGTAGAGACTGCATATCTTAAATTCATTCGTAGTTATTTGATTAAAAAGCTTTATGGTATTAAAAGTTCTATATTTTTGTTGCTGGTATATAGAAATTATACACACACACACACACACATACTCTCTTGCCTTCAACAACCTTGCTAAATTCCATTATTCCGCAAGTTTATTTTTAGTGTCTCAAAATTTCTAGGTACACAAGGCTATTATCTCCAAATAATGATGATTTTACCAATTTTTAAACTTTTTAATTGGAAATAATTTTAAACTTACAGAGAAATTGGAATAATGAGTGCAAACAATAATTCTTTTTGTATAAATTCATTTCTTGTTAATACTTTATCCTATTTTATTTGCTCAGTTGTTCTCTGTCTCCCTTTCTCCAATATGGGCATGTTTCTTTCTAATCAAACTGAGAGTAAGTTGCACACATAATGGGTTTTTACCCCCAGGTTCAGTGCATATTTCCCAAGAGTAGGCATTATTGTCTTATATAACCACAGTGTAATTATCATCTTTAGTTAACTTAACATTGACAGAATATTTTAATTTACCAAATGATTTCAGTTTTGTTGATTGAACCAACTATGTTATTTGTAACAGTTGATTTTCCCTTCTAGTATAAGATGCTACATAAAATGAGAAATATTTTTGATTTCCCTGTCTCATTAGTCTTTTATGTGGAATATTTCCATAGAATTTCTTTGTCTTTTAGAACACTGACATTTTTGAAGACTGTATAGTTCCTGTTTTTTGGTAATAGGATTTTTGGCTTGCTTACGTTTTCTCATGATGAGATTCATGTTACATGAGGGAAGTTGTATCCTCAGAGCATCATATCAGGGGGCACACGGTGTTCATCTGCCTCTTGCTGGTGATGTTAACTTTATCACTTTGCCAAGGAATCCAATGTCTCTACTCTATAATGGTTATTTCTTCCCTTTTAACTAATAAGCATACTTTAGGGAGACACATTAAGGCCATTCAAAGTATCTGTTTCTTGTCACAAATTTTCCCTGGGGTCTATCCATTGATTTTTGCCTAAACCAGGCTTTCCTATGAAAACTGCAAAATGATAACTTTAACTTAGCATTGTCTCTGTATTTGCCAGTTGGTACTGAACATTCTAGTGTATGAAAGATCCCTTCTTCCTCCTTTTTAATTTATGTATTTAGGCGTTATCATTATGGACTTGAAGATTCCCATTCTCTCATTGGCTTAAAATATATTAGAGTATTTCATTATTTTGATGCTCAAATTATCCCAAATTTGGTCAGGGGATATCTGAAAGCTGTATTTTAAGTTCCTCCTATCCTGTAATGTTTTCTCTGTACATCCACAAGCTTGCTATGTGGCAAACAAGAAGGGGAACTCTGTTGGATTTCTTCTCTACTTATAGGTAGTTATTATCAAGACATCTTTTTAGTAAAATTGAAGGCAAAGCCCATGTGTGGTTTGTGTTCTCCTTGACTTTAAGATTCATTATGGAAGGGTGTAAGGCTGTTTCCAAATCAAGTTGCTGCCATTTTCTACAAATTTGTGTGTCCAACATTTGAAATATTTCCAGTAGTTTTATTTTTCAAGTTTAATCTATTTATTTTCTTACTATACTATATTTCAAATAACATTGTTAACTAAAAATGATATTAGATGCCTTCATCTCATTTCTTTCACAACCTCGATAAAGAAGATGTGCGCCAGACATGGTGGCCCACACCTGTATTCCCAGCACTTTGGAAGGATGAGGTGGGAAGATTGCTTGAGACCAGGAGTTTGAGGTTGCTGTGTGCCAAGAACATGCCACCACACTCCAGCCTGGGTGACAGAACAAGACTCTATCTCTTAAAGAAAAAAAATGGATAAGAAAGATGTAAATATTTCTTCATTAATTATAAAGTATCTTGTAGGCTTTTGCTATATAATCATAATTAGATCAAGGAGATATACTATCCAATGAAGCAGTTATTTGAACACTGGAGTTTAATTTTGATAGGGGTTTTTGTTGTATATTTGTTTTTAATTTTCTGATGTAATCTCTTTTCTATACATAGGTCTATTCAGATAGTCTGTTTCATGTGTCAATTTTAGCAAACTATTTTTTTCTAAGATTTTGTCTTTTAATAAAAAAAGTTTTTTTCAGTCATTTCTGATTATCTTTGTAATATCATTAGGATCCATAGTGGTATATCCCTTCTAATGTCTGTAGTTAATAATTCTTCCTTTTTTCTTCTATTGATACATAATAGTTATGGGACACATGTAAGTGTCACATGCATAGAATACGTAATGGTCAAGTCAGAGTATTTCAGATGTACGACACTGAGTATTTATTCCTATGTTTTGATATCAAGTTCTCTCTTCTAGTTACTTTGAAATGTACAAAATATTTTTGCTAAGTATATTTATTCTAAACTCGTGAAACTATTTATTCTGTTTCATTGCATGTTTGTCCACATTAATCTACCTCTCTTTATGCCCCTACCCACCCATCCTTCCCAGTTTCTGGTATATATCATTCAATTCTTTATGTCCATCTGATCAAGGTTTTTAGCTAACACATATGGATAAGAACATGCAGTATCTATTTCTGTGCCTCACTTATTTCACTTAATGAGCTCCAGTTCTATCGATGTTGCTGCAAATAATGTGATTTCATTCTTTTATAGGGGCGAATAGTATTTTGTTGTGTATTTCACATTTTCTATCTGTTAATAGACACTTATGTTGATTTCATATATTTGCTATTATGAATAGTGTTATGATAAACTTGTGTGTGTAGATATCCCTTTTTGATACACTGATTGCTTTTTCATTGGATAAATACCCAGTAGTGGGAATGCAGGATCACATGGTAGTTATATTTTTAATTTTTTGAGAAACCACCATGCTATATTCCATAGTGGTTATACTAATTTACATTTCTACTTACAGTATATGGGTTCCCTTTTCTCTGCATCCTTATGAGCATCTGTTACTTTTTGTCTTTTTAATAGCCATTCTAACTGGAGTACATTATCTCATTGCGGTTTTAATTTGCATTTCCCTGGTGATTAGTAATGTTGATCTTTTTTCACATATCTGGTTGGCCATTTGTGTATCATCTTCTGAGAAATGTCTATTCATGTTCTTTGCCCATTTTTAATGGGATTATTTACTTTTTTATTGTTGAGTTCTTTGTATATTTATATTAGTCCTTTCGCAGATGAATAGTTTGCAAATATTTTCTCTCATTCCAGAGGTGTTCTCGTTATTCTGATTATTTCTTTTGCTGTAAAGAAGTATTTCAGTTTAATATAGTTTCATTTGTCTGTTTTTGCTTTTGTTGCCTATGCTTTTAATTCTTAGCCATAACATTTTTGTCTAGACTAGTGTCCTGAAGAATTTTCCCTGTTTTCTTCCAGTAGTTTTATCATTTATGTCATTAATCTATGTTGAGTTGATTTTTGTATATGGTGACATATAGAGATAGAGTCTGGTTTTATTCTTCTACATTGGTTATTCGGTTTTCCCGGTACCATTTATGGAAACAGGTGTCCTTTCTCCAACATATACACTCGGCAGCTTTGATGAAAATCAGTTGGCTGTGAACATAGGGGTTTATCTTTCAGTTATATATTCTATTCCATAAGTCTGTGTTATTTTTATACCAATACCAGGCTGTT
This sequence comes from Homo sapiens, assembly GCF_000001405.40. Taxonomy (NCBI): domain Eukaryota; kingdom Metazoa; phylum Chordata; class Mammalia; order Primates; family Hominidae; genus Homo; species Homo sapiens. The sequence goes on along the minus strand of NC_000003.12, from coordinate 7,828,256 downwards.
TTGGTTACTATAGATTTGTAGTAAGCTTTGAAGTCAGGTAGTATGATGTCCCCCGCTTTGTTTTTTCGCTCAGAGTTGCTTTAGCTATTCTTGCTCTTTTTTGGTTACAAACACATTTTGTAATTATTTCTTCTATTTCTGTAAAAATGATGCTGGTATTTTGATAGGGACTACCTTGAATCTGTGGATTGCTCTGAGCAATATAGTAATTTTAATAATATTAACTATTTCAGTCCACAAACACGGGATGTCTTTCCATTGTTTGTATTATCTTCAGTTCCTTCATCAGGATTTTTTTTTGTTTGCTTGTTTGTTCTTTTTTGATTTTGTTTTTTGTTTTTTGTTTTTTTCAGAAGTCTTTCACCTTCCTGGTTAAATTTCTTTCTATGTATTTTCTTTCATAGTTAGGGTAAATGGAATTACCTTCTTGATTTTTTAAATATAGTTTGTTTTTCATGTATAGAATCACAACTGATTGTTGTATGTAGATTTTTGCATCCTGCAACTTTACTGAATATTTATCAGGTCTAAGAGGGATTTTTGAAAGGTTTTTATGTTTTTCTATATATAATACCATTTTCCCTCCACACAGGGATAATTTGACTTCCTCCCTTCTGATGTAAGGCTGTTTATTTCTTTCCCTTGACTGTTTACTCTGGGCCAGTACTTCCGGAAATATGTTTAATAAAAGTGGTGACAGTGAGCATCCTTTTCTTGTTCCAGTTCTTAGGAGAAAAGCTTTCAGTTTTTCCTCAGTAAGTATGATGTTAGCTGTGGGTTTGTCATATATGGCCTTTATTGTGTTGAGGTACTTTCCTTCTATACCTAATTTATTGAGAGTTGTATTATAAAATGATGGTGAATTTTGTTACTTTTTTGCATTCATTTATATAATTCTGTGGTTTTACTGGCCTCACAGAATGAGTTAGAAAGAGTTCCTTCTACTTTGTTTTTTGGGAATAGCCTGAGATGAACTGGTATGTATTCTTTTTTAAAGGTATAGTAGAATTCATTGGTGACATTTTCCAGTCCTGGACACTTATTTTTTCGGAGAGTTTTTATTACCGACTCAGTCTTGTTATAGGTCTGTCTGTGTTTTCTTGTTTTTTATTGGTTCAATCTTGGTAAATTATATATATCCAAGAATTCATCCATTTTCTCTAGGTTTTCCAACTTATTGGCATATAGTTGTTCATTGTGGTTTCTAATGATTCTTTGTATTTCTTTCATATTTATTGTGGCATTTCCTGTTGTGTTTCTATTTACATTTTCTCACTTTTATTCTTATTAGTCTAGGTAGTAGTTTATTGGTTTGGTTTATCTTTCCAAAAAAATCTTTTTTCCTTGATTTTTGTACTTTTTTGTTCTCAGTTTTGTTTCTGCCCTGATCTTTATTATTTATTTCATTTTACTAATCTTGAGTTTGGTTTGTTTTTGTTTTCCTAGTTCCTTGAGATGCAGCATTGACTTTTTTATATGAAGTCTTTCTAGTTTTTTGAGGTAGGCATCTATTGCTATAAAATTGGCTCTTCAATACTGCTTTTGCTCTGACCCATAGTTTTTGGCATGTTGTATTACATTTATTTCAAGGAATTATTAACTTCCATTCTTAGTTTTTACTTTCAACCATTGGTCACTTAGGAGCATGTTGTTTAACTTCCATGAATAGTATTTGTATAGTTTTGAATGTTTCTCTTGGTATTTTTAGTTTTATTCCATTGTGGTCAGATAAAATACTTGATTTTTTAAAAATTTTTGAGGCTTGTTTTATATCTGAGCATATGATCAATGCTGGAGAATGTTTCATGTGCTGATGAAAAACAAATGTGTATTCTGCAGCTGGTGGGGAAAATGCTCTGTAAATGTCTGTTAGTTCTGTTCTCTGGTGCAGTTTAAGGCTGATTTTTGTTGTTGTTGTTGTTGATTTACTGTCTAGATGATTTGTCCAATGCTGAAAGTGTGAGCTCAAAAAATAAATAATTGGCTGTGTGCAGGGGCTCACGCCTGTAATCCCAACACTTTGGGAGGCCGAGGCGAGCAGATCACAGGGTCAGGAGTTTGAGACCAGCCTGGACAACATAGAGAAACTCCTTCTCTACTAAAAATACAAAAAAAAAAAAAAAAAAAAAGGGCTGGGCATGGTGGCGGGCCCCTGTAATCCCAGTTACTTGAGATGCTGAGGCAGGAGAATTTCTTGAAACTGGGAGGCAGAGGTTGCAGTGAGCCAAGATTGTGCCACCGCACTCCAGCCCAGTTGACGGTGTGAGACTCCATCTCAAAAGTAATTAATTAATTAATTTAAAAGGCCAGACATGGTGGCAAATGACTGTAATCCCAGCATGTTGGAAGGGTGAGGTGGGAGGATTACTCGAGCTCAGGAGTTCGAGACCAGCCTGTAAAACATGATGAAACCCTATCTCTATAAAAAATATAAAAATTAGCCAGACATGGTGGTACGTGCCTGCAGTCCCAGCTACTTGGGAGGCTGAGGTGGGAGGATTGCCTGAGCCTGGGAGGTTGAGGCTACAGTTAGCCAAAATCCAAAATTATACCACTGCACTACAGCTTGGGTGACAGAGTGAGACTCTGTCTCAAAAAAACAAAACAAAACAAAACAAAACAAACAAACAAAAACGTTGAAGTACCCAAATATTATTATATTGAGGTATATTTATATTTCTCCCTTTAGGTCTTATAATATTTGCTTTATATACCTGGGTGCTCCAATGTTGAATAAACATATATTTATACTTGTTATATTCTCTTGTGAGTTGATCCATTTACTATTATATCATTATATAATGTCCTTCTCTGGCTCTTTTTAACAGTTCTTGACTTTAAGTCTGTATTGTCTGATACAAACATAGCTACTCCTGGTGGCTTTCGGTTTCTATTTGCATAGAATGTATTGTCCATCCCTTCACTTTCAATCTGTGTGTCTTTACAGGTAAGGTTAGTTTTTTATAGGTAACATATAGTTATGTTTTTTTATCTATTCAGCCAATTTATATCTTTTAAATGAAGAGTGTAATCCGCTTACATTCAAGGTTATTATTGATAGGTGAGGACTTACTCCTGGTGTTTTATTGACTGTTTTCTGGTTGTTTAGGTATATCATTTTTTCCTTAAGTCCTATCTTCTTGTTTATTTTTGCAGTTGGGTGGTTTTCTGTAGTGATAAGGATTCTTTCTCTTTCTTCTTTTTGTGTATCAGTTCTACCAGTGAGTTTTATAGTTTTACATGTTTTTATGATGGTGGTTACCATCTTATCACTTCCAGATGAAAGAATCTTTTGAGCATTTCTTATAAGGCTGATTTAGTCATGATTAATTTCTTTTGTTTTTGCTCATCTGTGAAAAAATTTATTTTCCCTTCATTTCTGAAGGATAACTTTGCTTGGTATAATATTCTTGTCTTGCCACTTTTGTTTTTATTTATCTTTCAGTACTTTAAATATATCATCCCATTCTCTCTGGGCCTGTAAGCTTTCTGCTGAGAAATCTGCTGTTAGTCTAATTGGGATTTCTTGATATTTGATATGACACTTTTCTATGGCTGTTTTCAGAATTCTTTCCTTGTTTTTCGACAATCTGACTATAATGTCATTTGGAGAGGACCTCTTTGGGTCAAATTTATTTGGGGAGTCTTTGAGCTTCCTAGATCTGGATGTTCATATCTGTCCTACAACTTAAAGTTTTCAGTTATTTTATTAAATATGATTTCTATACCTTTTCCCTCTTCTTCTGGATAACCCACAGTGTGAATTTCTGTATGCTTTATTGTATTTCCTATATCCTGTATGCATTCCGTATTATTTTTCCTCTTTTCTTGTTTGCTTGTGTTTTTTTCAAAGACTTGTCTTCAAGTTTAGAAATTATGTCTTCAACTCGATCTATTCTGTTGTGGAAGGTCTCACTTGTATTTTTTATTTCCTTCACTGAATTCTTCAACTCTAGGATTTCTGCTTGGTTCTTATTATATCTCTTTCTTTTATTGAATTTCTCATTCAAATCATAAACTATTTTCCTGATTTCGTTGAATTTTCTATCTCTATTCTCTGCTATCCCAGTGTTTTCTTAGGATTATTTTTAATTATTTTTCTGGCATTTAGTATATCTCCTTTTCACTGAAATCTATTACTGGAGAATTGTATTCCTTTGGAGGTGTCCTGGTTCTTTAGTTTTTCATGTTTAATTTGTTCCTACATTGACTTCTACACATTGGGTAGGACATCTGCCTCTTCCAGTTTTATGAAATAGATTTTGTAGGGAAAGACTTCATATAGATGGATCTTGGGGTGTTGATTTGGTGGAGCGTGTTTGCTTTGGTTCTAAGTGGATGTAATAGTATATCTTCATGTAGTATCTTCAGCTGTAATTTGTGCTAGTGACATTTGTGAGTGTCTCAGTGGCCTAGGCTGAGAGATTTTGTGGTGGTGATGGTGTAGCTTTCCTGGAAGAATTATTTTCTGTGTTTTTCAGGTCAGGGGCACATGTGTGCACAGTGTGGGTTGGCCAACTTGGGGTCTGGCTTGCTGGGGTTAGGATCATAGGACTGTTCTCTGACGAGGGGCATGGGTATGTGGTTGTTCAGCAGGCCTAGGGGTCCACTTGCCAGGGGTGATTCACAGGGATGATTTTCAGGACGAGGACATGGGTGTACAGCTATTTGGCTGGCCTGGGATCATGTCTGTTGGAGTCAGCCCATGGGGTTGTTTCTCAGGACTGAGATGAAGGTGCATTTCTGTTTGGTTGGCTGGGGGCATGTCTGATGGGGACAGCCCACAAAGCTGTTTCTCAAGCCCTAATTGCAGGCACAGGGCCTTGGGCAGGCCAGGGGTATGCCCCTGGTGGGACAGCTGGGTGACATAGAGCTGTTTCTCAGGGGCTGGGGGGCACAGAGGCTGTGCCAGTCTGGGGCATATCAGCTGCTTAGTGACTCAAGAAACATTCCTGCTTTGGGGAGAGCACACAGTGGTTCAGCTGGCTCAAGGCAGGTTCACCTGCCAAACTGTTTCCCTGGCTGGAAGTGTGGGTGACATAGATTAGCTTCCCTGCTGTGCAAAATCAGAGTCACAGCTGGTCGTGGGTCCAGGTTTCACACAGCTGGGGTTGTGGCTTTCATCCACCTGTGTAGGATTGGTAGAATGAAGATGGAGGCCGCCTTACGCACAGTGTTGGAGAGGTGCGGTGGCTACTTGCCCCCCAGAGGAGAGTGCGTTCTAGAAGTGGATCTCATCTCAAGGTCACACCATATTGTAGCAGCTTGGCTCACAGGGGATGGGTAGGGAGTGGGAGTGCACACCTTGTGCTACTAACCCAGAGCAATACAGCTTTGTGAATTCCTAGCAACTCCCGTAAACTGGGTCCAGAGCGCATGAGGACTGTGTGATTCTTGTGCACTATAGGAACCGTAAGTGTTTACAGTGACAATGGGGGCTGGTGAGGGTCTTCTGATTAACTATTCTCTGCAACAGGAAGTCTCTCTTGACTCTGGGTAGATTTGATCTGGATGGGAGAGGCAGGATTGTAGGATCTGGGTGCCTCCACATTGTCTTCCTGGCTTCTGATCACCACAGGTGAATTTCCACTTTCCCACTGTACTCCAGCACCCTCCCTTCAGCACTCCAGTCAAATCTTAACTGTTTATTCATCGTCTTGGTCCTTTCTTGTGTGAGGAAAATGAGAGCCGAGGATCTCTAGTCACTCATATTTCTGATGTCCTATATTCTGTATTTTTGAAGGATGCTTTTGTGAGGTACACAGTTCTAGTTTGGCAGTTATTTACTTTCACCTCTTTTAACATAATCTTTGAAGATCTTTGCTTTTTGATTTCTGGAATCCCTGTTCAGAATTCATTTATCTTTTTTCATGTATTTTTTTATATTGTTTCTCTATTGAAGGTGATATATTGGCACTAGTATTTTAAGATTTTTCTTTGGTTTTTTTTTTGTTTGTTTGTTTGTTTATTTCCAGAATCTTTACTATGAGGTCCCAAAGTATAGTTTTCTATATCTTTATCAGCTTAATGGTTGTAGTGATTGCTACAATCATTCTTCATTCTTTTTTTACACTTTCTGTAAACCCTAATAGCATATAATTTTTTTTTTGCTAAATCCCTTATGTATTTTATATTTTTATTTGTTAAAAAGCTTTTTGCTTTAGTCTTTATTTTCTATTCATCGATCTTCTAATTTACATATTCTCTCTTCAGCTTTATCAAATCTAATTTCAGTTATTGTATTTTTAATTCCATGATTTCCATTTGAACCTTTTAAATAGATTACAGTTTTTTCCTGAAATTCCTCCTCATATCTTCTAACTATCAGGCATCAGTTATTTTCAGATACCTGATAGCTCCAATATCTGAGTCTCCTGTGAGTCTTTTTTTATATATAGCTATTTACTTTATTATCCTATTGACTATTCAACATTTAGTCTTGATTACTAGTAAGTTAAATAATATACATTTTTAAAACTTTTTATTTAATTTCAGATTTTTTGTATGAAGAATTGTAGAGATAATTTAATGGTCTGATAAGGTTATCTTCTTTGAGATAAGATTGAATTTTGTTTCTGTCAGTTGGGAGAATTGATTTAGTTTGATAAAGCTGGAAGCAGAGCTGTATATCACTTGTTTATGTGACACTATCAGATTATCATTTTGGAAAAGATAAGGCTGGCTAAATTTGTGGTATAAGGTGAGACCCAAATCAGCTAGAAGCATTCACAGATAGTCACATTGCATTTTAATTCATTAGCAGTGTTTTTCATTAAAACAAGGATTTTAAACCCTTCATAAGGTGAATTTTTTGTGTGTGATTCAGCATCCTCTTATTTTAATAAATCTTGAGACTTTAGATTTTCTTAAGTGAGACACACTTGTTATTTCTCTACCTCTTCTTGGTACCATTAGAGATTTAAAAATCTTTTTGAGTTTAAGAGGAGAACCTGATTTAAAGCAACAAAACCCACTCAAGCCTGTGAAAATATTGGAGAACCACATGACTTTCTTTTTTCAAATCAAGTGTTCCAAGAAAGATCCATTTTTAAAAGATGATTTGCTGACACTTCAGATCTTGAATCCAAGGTGCTGATTCATGCAGTTTGAAGTTCAGGGAATTGCTTAAAGTTATAGCTTCCTAGGAAATAATCATGTTGATGTCAGAGGAAGTTTGTAGAGCTATGAAGAATTGTAATTACATAGTCTACTGCTAGGTACCACAGTCTGATAGATAAGGGGCAGATTTAACAATGGTGCGGACAGCTGAGCTGTTATCGATGTTTTGTTTTTAAAGCTAGCAATGATGTATCTTGTGCTATACCTTCAATCTAAACCCACATAAATAAGAAATTGCTGAGGTGAGAAGAGGACACAGAGCCAAGAGGTGAGAAGAAAATGTGATCACCTATTTAAAACTACAAGACAAAAGTGCATCACTGATAGCTGGAATCAGTTATTGAGCTAATCTTGCCATATTAGATATTTGTAGTAAACTTTACAGGTTCCTGGGATGCTTTTTTCAAAAAAGCCAATACATAATATTGTTATATTATTAAGTTATACTTTAATCAATCAAAAATATAATCTTTGAGAAATTTCTGAATAATTCCCTGGATATAACACCTACCTAAATGCTTTAAAAATATCAAATATATAATATTTTTTTCTATTCTAAGGCACATAGTTTTCCATATTTTTGTCATCTCTTAAATTATTACATGTATTTATATCTGCTGTGATCTGAATTCACATATTGAAAACTTATCACCAATATGATATTAGAAGGTGGGGAATTTGGGAGATTTGACCCTGAGGGCAGAGACCTCATGAATGGGAATAGAGCCCTTACAGAAGAGACCCCTGAGAGCTGCCTTGCCCTTTCCACTATGTGAGGACACAGTGAGAAGACGACAAAGAGCAAGGAAGACACCTGATCTGTTGGCATCTTGCTCTTAAACTTCCTAGCCTCCAGTACTGTGAGAAATAAATTTGTTGTATGTAAGTCACCCAGTTTATGGTATTTTTTTTATAGCAGCCTGGGTGAACTAAGACAGTGTCTGTTCTGTAATTCTTTGGAAACAAAAGCTGTGAAATAAATTCTGCCCCACCAATGGAACAAATCGATATAGTATAAGAATAAGAGGGAAGCTTTGAGTTCTGCCCTTTAAAAATCATTTAATTTTGTTCATGAACCATTAGGTTGATTATCTTGTTAGGACTTTTAAGTTCAATAAATTTTTATTTTATTAAAAAGTTTGTACACAAAAATGCGCAAAGGAATGCATGTGTCACTCACCAACAAGCAGTTAAATGACTATTTTCCAATATTTTCTTTACAGCTATTTTATGAAGTAAAACTTTACAAATACAGCTATTCTTTCCATTATTTCTCCCTTTTTTGCTTCCCTAGATAGAACCTATTAAGGTTGGTGACCATAAATTATATATAAAATCAAATGAATTTTATATATTGTGTATATTACATAAACAGTATATTATTGTACTTTTACTACAGGCAGGTAGCTGTGCACAAGATATTGTATTATGTTGCATAGCTTAAAATTATGTAAATGGTATGATGCTATATGCAACTTGTTCTTCCATTTTATTTTTGAGATTGGTTCATGTAGATGCATGTATCTCATTAATTTATTGCCACATAAGATTGAATTTATGAATAAGCCTGTTTATTTTTATCTTCCCCTAATCATGGGCAATTAAGATCATTTACAATTTTTGATGTTTCAAACATTGTAATGAATATACTTTCACAGGTCTCCTTATGAACATTTGCAAGAGCTTCTCTAGGCTATTTACCTAGAGATAGAATTCAATTAGAAATTGCTTAACATGCTCTCTAAAGCGGTTGTGTAAATTCTCACTCATATCACTGTGAGATTTCTCATTTCCTTACATATTCACCAATGCATGGCTTACCAATATAAGAAGCTTTCAAGACCCCCGCCCTGCTTTCCCCATGACCAACGATCAGAATGACATTTCTAAACATAAAAAGTGGAAGAAACAAAGCCATATTCTTTAATTTTTATGTATTAACAGAAGACCACTTCTTTTCCCAAGCACTCTTTCCTGGTTGGAAACGCAACATCACATCTCTCATTGTTCGACAAATAGGCATTGCTGGCCTTCGTTCTGCCTGATAACACAATTTATCTCTGTAGTCATAAGAAATATTCTATCTGGAAATATATTTAGCCAGCGATTCCCCAAACATACAGTTTATAAGAATAGTCTAAAGAAATTTCCTCTGAAAAATAAATTCCACCTGGGAAATGATACTTGCTATATCCTTCTTCTTAAATTTAACAAAGACTCTGATAAGTCCCACAGTATGAAAACCTATCTTATTTAACCCAACATTTCTCAAATTAAAAAAAAAAAAAATCTAACCCCTGCTAATAGAAACACACTAAAAGACACTAATCTAACCTCCTCTGGCTGGCGTGAGCACAGAATTGAATATTAGAAACCTGGACTTAAATCCAGACTTCACCATGTTTTTTCAGTTTTCTTTTTTTAACTTTAAAAAAATTGACAAATAATAATTGTACTTATTCCTGGGGTACATAATGATGTTTCAGTGTAATTAGCCTATCCATCATCTGATTTATTGTTCCTTTGTGTTGGGAACACTCATTGTCCTCCTAGCTATTTGAAACTTATTGTTAACTACAGTCACCCTACAGCGGTATACAACGCTGGAGCTTATTCTTCCAATCTAGCAGCAGTATTGTATCCTTTAACAAATCTCTCCCTATTCTCCCCTTCTCCCTACCCTCAGACTTGACCATTTTTTGGTCCTTTAATCTTAGGCAGGTTATTGACTGTTCATGAAACTCAGTTTTCTGATCCATAAAGTGAACACCAAGTTGTCTTTACCAGTTAGGGGAACTAAGGTTCTACACAAGGCACCTAGAATAACCTGGCACATAATAGACACTCAGTACATGCAGAATTATCTCTATTTTCAACTTTCTGAGATAGCCTTGTGCATTTTGCTCTACATTGTGCAAAGTGGTCATTTCATTCTCTAAAACTACTTTTCTCATGCATGCACAGGCTGTCTCCTGTAAGTTAGCCAGGACTTAGAAAATCATAATGGGTTCATGATTATATAGACCTTGGTCACAAAAGCCTTAATTTTTTCAACCTGTCCTAGCAGGACAGACCTCAGGCTTTCCTGATTACAATTTAGCTTCTGAAGACTTTTTTTTGACTTTTTTATGGGTTGCTTGATCTGCAGCATTAAGGACTGCATTCAGTATTTAATCATTATACGATATTTTTCAAAGTCTCATCAGATAATAAAACTAAAATATTCCTGCTCTAATCCTTTCATTCCCATAACTCTCAAGAAGAAACTGAAGTTCAAACAAGTTAAATGAGAACATTTTAATAAGGAAATGGTATCTCATAACAGTTCCATGCCCAATAGCTGATTGCATGGGCCTTTGACTCAATCTTGATTTAAATATCAGCCCTTCACACGTGTGACCCTAGATGGGTTACTTAAACTCTCATAGCCTCGATTTCCTTATATGTAAAATGGGGAAATCAATGTATGGACTCCAGTTTTTGCTGCAAGGAATGGATCAGGTAATGCAGCATCAGGCATGTCAAGGATGCTTAACGGATATGTGTTACCCTATTGGAAGTGCTTAACTTGGGGTGGCCTCCCTGTGCTCCAGATGTCTGTTGAATTCCTATTGCTTTCAGACCCTTGAGTTCAAGTTCTGTATCTATAATGCTAGTTGAACGAACAAATCTGGCGGGGGTTTTGGAACAGAACTGATGATGTTGCATTTAAGTTAGAAGTGTGTTGTGGTAATTATCATAAAGCTTATCCTGATGTCAATAAGGCTTATTCTCAAAATAGGAGGAGGAATGCATTTGATAAGAATGATCATCAGAGCACTGCATTACCATGTGTAAAACAGCTGCAATTTATTGAGCATCTGCTATAGCCAGGCACTGTGCTAGAAAGTTTATTAGATTAGAAGTATTGTTCCCCATGGTTTTATAGAAATTAGGGGAAAAAAATCTCAGCACAAGACACTGTAATAGGGTAGGAGGGAGGGGTTAGTAATTCCAACACTACTGCATCTTAGTATTTATTCAGTGCTTGTTATTTGACTGTTATTATGATTAATATCTAACATACTTTATGAAATCTATTAATAATACCCAACACAACCTAAGTTATTACAGACGGGGAAACTGAGGACTAGACTGGTTGAGCAGTTGTCCAATGTCATGCTGATGCTAGCATTTGAACCCAGTTCCCTCTGACATGACAGAGGCAGCTGCCTCCTGAGAGTCCTTGAAATATGGCATCCACAGCCTTGATGCTTTTTTCTTTGTCCTGCCTTGAGCACTCAGTCCTATGAACTTGGAAAGGGGATTCTATTTACCCCATCAATTCAGAGACATACATCTTTCCCACATTTAACCTCTCCCAAATCAGTATGTGATTCAGTGCCTCCTGTCACCCCCACCCACACACACACCTGGTATATAAAATAGCAGTGCCTCTAGCATATTAGATCCAAAGAAATTTAGTAACTCATTAATCCTTATGTCAATCCTTTGAGAAGTACATATTATTATCCCCAATCTGAAATATGGAAACTCAGACATAGAGATGCCAGTGAGCTTCCCAAGGACAAACAGTCAATGAGAAGTAAGGTCAGGATTCCAACTCAGGCAGCTGAATTAGAAAGTCCCAGCTCTCACCAATACAACTGCAATACCTACAACATAGTGTTAATAATGTACAAATTAAAATTCATCAATGATAAGAACCAAATCTTTAAAGCTCGGCAGTTACATGCTATCTTGGTTTGAGCTCTGATTAACATCCCCCTTCTCTTCCTACCAAATACTTCCACTATGTCATCTTAAGACTGTGGAAGATTAACAAGTGCATGAAACACATTGAGTCTCAGAAGGTACAACTGGGAATTGAGTTCTTCTCTATCCATAATGTGATGGCAAATTTTCTGTCTTCACCAGTGATTAATTTATAATAATGGGGTCCACTGTCATTTCCTGCTTTAGATATTTCAGTTTAAGAAACCAATGGAGTGAATATTGCTTGCAAAAGAGATTCAGAACAGCCTTCAAGGGTTGAAACACAAATCTTGAAGACACTCCGGAGAATTTCCAAGGGTGATAAATGTCAAAACTCAGCATCTGTTAATGAGGACAAAAGGAAAGGTTATAATTTATTGTAAGGTCTTTGATGCTTCCTTTTTGTTAGGAACTTCTTGGCTTTAAACAACTGATCAAGACAACGAGGCAGAGGGAGCATATGGCAGAATAGAATGTAATCATGTCAGCAACTACTGTTGAAATGACCACTTGTAGGAGCCATCTTGCTTATAAGAATGCTCATTAACTCATATGATTTATTGAGATAATACTTTGGACCATAGCCATTTGTGAGGTCTTTAATTTTTTTTTCCTCTTATTTTGGGTAGCCTATTGTTTCCATTTTCTTAGCTATTTACAAACAAAAGTTAAAATACCAGTTGTATGTTATTACAGTAAGAGTAACATCACAATGTTTGTGATTGTTTTTTCAATTGTTTTGTTACTTTGTACCTCATGGTAGATTTTATTAATGCTGCATAGAGTTCCTTGAGATATTATGTTAGCTACAGACATAGTATATATTTTTTAGCTTTTAAAACTCTAATAAACTGCCCTAAAACTTAATGACTTTGAAACAATACCTATTTATTTAGTTCATGGCTCGGCAAATTGACAATTTGGGCTAGCCTTTGCTGGGTAGTTATTCTGGTCTCAGTTGAGTTCACTTATGTACCTGTGGTCTATTGTTGGGTTTGACCAGGGACTGGCTTATCTTAGATGGCCTCAACTGTAATAGCTCACCTCTGTTCCATGGGGTCTCTCAGGTTCTAGCAGGTTAGCCTGCAGTCTTCACATGGCAACTGAGCCAGTTTCTAAGATACCGAGTGGAAGCTTGTAAGCTTTTTTAGGCTTGTGCTCAGAACTGTAAAAAAATGTCATTTCCATCCCATTGTTTTGGCTAGAACAAGTCACAGTGCCAGCCCATATTCAAAAGGAAGGTAAATAGACTCCATTTTAATTGGTAGAGCTTCAAACACACATTCGCCAAAAAACAGGGATATAGGGAGATAGAGTCAAATGGCCATTTTTGCATTGTACCACACTTAACCTTTCATTTGTCCTATTCTTTCTTGGTACCATTCATGCATTTATTCTACCAGACAACCTACCATGAGATTTGTGTGTGTTGAGCAGAGGGAGTGGTAGGGAGGAAGGGTTGAAAAACATAAAGACAAGTTTCTCAAATGGACAACCCTTTCTACAATGCCTTGCTACCTGATGGTGTCAATGATTACATGATCACTACAAGTAATTCTATCTTAAATTCAACCTTTTCCTTCAACCTACCAGCGTAGCTAACAGAGTGTAGAAAAGCACTGTTTCAAAACGTAATTGGCACCCTATGGAAGATGAGTTCTTAACATGGCAAAGGAATTGGGGCCCATGAGATGTGAAGGGCAGTTGAAGGAACCTAGGAGCTAGTAGTTCAGGGAAAAGAGGTCTCAGGGTAAACACAGATATCCCAAGACATAAATTAGGCAAGGTGTAAATTGGTTTTATTTGGTCCCGAAATACTGAGCTAGTACCAAGTATCAGAAATAACAAGAGTCAGGCTTCGGCTTATTATACTGAGTGTTTACTTTAAACAATTAGTATTTTATAGAACTGAAAAGGATGGAACCGGCATTAGTTAATATCATGATAAGCCTGGAGACAGATTGATCTGGGCTCAAGTCTTTGTGCTTCTTAGGTGTGATATTGGTCATGCCGATTAACATCCATTATCTTTAAAATGGGCCTAATAACTGTTTGTACCTTCTAGTATTATTATGAGGACTCAGTGATTATGTATATGGAAATCCTCATTGTAGTCATTGGCAACATAAGTGCTCAATAATGCTTAATAGTTAACAAAAATATCTACATACCTAAAATTGACTAAAGCCTCTTCAAACAATGCACAGTAAGTGAAGTACCAGGCAGTCAACAATACTAGCACTTTCGTGCTTCCTGGGCAAATGACATCTGTCTATGTTATTGGAGATTTTCTCCTACACTGTTACAATTGCCCCTGGCAATTCAATAAAAATCTGCTTTCCTTTCCATCTATAAAAATACATTATTATTATTTTGGTCCAAGTCTAATTATTATGGACTGAACTGTATTTCCTCTTGTTGGAGTAATCGATAATTCCTAGTGTGCAAAGATATATACTACCAACCCTGACTTTATATTTAAAAAATCATTATTTTAATGATCATAACATTTTCTTCCTTTTTGCCAACATCATTCTTCACCAAACCATTGCTTTAGGTGACTTATAAAAATCAATTCAAGGGAGAGAATGCAGTGTCTGTAGGAGGGCAGAGTAATGGTGGATAGTGCCCAAAGCAACGGCTTCTGATTACCAATCTGCTAGAGTGGGCCTTGGGATGGAAACAGATTATTCAGCCAATGGCTGCCTTATCAGTTTGTTTGTAAATTGGGGCTATTTGAGTCACAGGACATTGCAGAGCTTCAGCTGTGCTCTTAATGTGCTTGGGGGACTTGGATGAAAGATGCTAATAGCATTACTAGGCAGGCCAGGGCATGTGAGTGATCACCTGCTGACTTTTGTTAATGTAGGCCAGCAATCAGGAGAATTCAGTTGCAGGAAAAAATCCATTTCCTGAATCCAGCCTACTCTGCTTAAAGAAAACTCCTGTGAAAATTTTCACTTCATACCAGCCAGAAAAATACCATAGCAAGACTTTGAATAACAGCTGCTATTCTGGGGTGTGTGTGTGTGTGTGTGTGTGTGTGTGTGTGTGTGTGTGTGTGTGTGTATCTTATATACATATATACACATTACATATATATGTGTGTGTGTGTATATATGAAAAATAGAGTGGTCGTCAATTTACAAGACATGCTACAAAAAGAGCATAATTGTTATATTGTCCTAAAGGTTGCTTATAAGAAATAACACTCAAGTTGAATTGCTTGAATAACAGCAGCCAAAAGCTTGGATTTTATAAGTGTAGTCTTAGTTCTAAGGCTGCACACCAGTGAGAGCCACACTGATACTGCTGCACTGACCAAAGTGGTATCCTCTAGCCATAGATAGCCACTGAGCACTTGAATGTGGTATTTCAAATTGAGATATACCTTTATGCATATAATGTATGCTAGATTTTGTAGATATAGCACAAAGCAAGATGGCAAAATATCTCACTAATTTTCTTATGTTAATATTGAAGTGACACTATTTTGAATATATTAGGTTAAATAAAATACTTATTATATTTCAATAGTTTCTTTTTTTAAAAAAAATATGGTTACCAGAAGATGTAAAATTACATATTTGGTTTGCATTAGTGACTCATGTTTGATTTCTGTGACACGGTGCTGGGCTAGAGCTTCATTACTCAATAAAGGGTCCTCAGACCAGTGGTCTCAGCATCCCCTGGGAGCTTATTAGAAATGTAGACACTCAGGCCCTGCTTCAGACCTATTGAATCAGAATCTTCATTTTAATAAGATCACTGGTTGATTCGTAAGCACGCATGTGAGAATCACTGGGTCAGAGTGTAGTGGGGCTGGTGTCAATTGAGAAGAGAGGGCCTCTTGAGCATCAGTCTCTGTGTCCTGGCTTCCTTTGCAATGTCATTCTTACTTCCAGTTTCTTCCAAGTATGTCCAGCCTTGTCCACAGAGATCTTCCATGAAACCCTGTTCACGATTTTATGATGTAAATCAATGGGAAAAAAATGAGGCTCAAGTAGCAGAAAATGAACCTTATGGCCAACTTTTAAAGAGTAGCTCTTTCAGAAAGCAGAATTGTTCTGTTGCTGATTTTGACTTGCTTTTTCGGGATTGTCCTGTTTGGTGGCTATCCAAATAAGGCAGGGCCCAGGTATCCTTCTTCATCCCTTTCATCTTTTGAGTTTCAACTCATGTCTAAAAGGCCTTCCCTGACCACACCTTCCCTTTCCCGCTACCCCGTCACTTCACATCCCATTAACCTGCCTTAGCTTTAAAGCACTTCTCTCTTGCTGAAATTCTTATTATTTCTTTACATGCTCGCCTTCTTTGTCTACTAGAATAGAAGTTTCATGAGGTCAAGGGCTTTTTCTTGCTCACCCCTGCAACGACTCCTGACGCTACCCCAACTTAGGGCATAGCTTACGGGTATAGTCCCCATAAACTGTCCTCCCTTCAGATACCAGCTGCAAGTTTGGGGGTCCCCAGGCCACTTCACTTCTGACCAGCTGACCCCAAATTTGGGGGTTCCCACTATCCCCTCAGGTTTGACACTGCTAAAATGGCTTGTAGTAACCGTAGCACTTTCCTGCGTTCTACGACGGTTGTGTTACAGCAAAAGGATACAAATTAGAACCAGCCAAAACAGACACATGAGTAAAGTCTGGGAGAATCCCAAATGTGAAGCTTCTGTTTCATCAGGAACATGTCACCCTCATGTCATATCAATGTGTGACAACACTCAATAGAATATTGCCAACTAGGGAAGTTCCCTTGAGCTTTAGTGTCCAGAGATTTTATTGAGGTTTTCTTATGTAGGCATGATGAATTCAATCAGTGGTGGTGAGATTCAACTTAGTCTTTAACCCCTTTCTTCCTTACAGCCTCCAGGTTTACTGATATTACATGGCTCAAAGCCCCAGTCTGCCTGTCACTCCCATCCTGATTCATCTCCTTAGCTTAAACTATCTAGAGGCCCACTGCAAGTCACCTTGTTAGCATAAAGACAGGCTCACCATGAACAACAAAGATCCTTCTGTCACTTAGGAAAGTTCAAGGATTTAACCTTCTTCCCAGGAATTGGGAACAAAAGCCATTGCCAAACAAATATTTTCTTGCATAAGAACCTCTCTATACCAGATGCCTATAACAGTGTCTGACAGATAGTGGGCACCCGTCAAATATTTAGATAAATGAGTTCACAGTGTCTAGCAGTGCTTTTCACTAAATGAGTGCTCAGTAAAATTCTGTTGGTAGAATGAGTATGCTCTTAACTCTTACAGTTAGACATACTGTCTTAGAGTCAGACCAAAGATTCAGTCTTCTTAGCAAGTAGTCTTCTAATGCCTCACAGAGATGCAGATTATTAAACAGAATTAACTACAATAACAGAGGCTAAGTATATAAATCTTTTACTACTTCTTTTAATGCCAGTACCATGTTAATGGAGGGAAATCAGCTCTATAAAGTGACTGCAGACTGGTATTTGAGCCTTTTTCTTCTGTAATTAATTATTGACAGTTTACGCTCATTACACACTTTCAGGGAGAAAAACACCACCAATAATTAATGTTTCAAGGAAACTCCCACAGATGAACCTTTTTTGATGAATATTTTGTTGTCCTCAAAAACAACATTGCTGTGTCAATAAATAGTTGCCGTTACTTTTTTGATGCGCAAATTATTGGTTGGAATTGCTAAAATGCTGACTCTGTCAGTAGAAGCATTAAGGGCAGATGGGAAAACAAGAGTTTTCAGTTGAAACAGGATTAAGCCAGGCATGATATTGAATCTGTGGCCTCATGAAGGTTCAGAACCCTCTGTGATTTCTGTGAAAGGAAAGGGAGTCTACAGAAAATAAGAGTGGATTTGGAATCAGGGCAAGGGCAGGATGCAAGGAGAGTCACAGCCATGTGGTTTGGGGAGCAACCTCCTACTGCTTGTTACTCTAGATCAAACCTATGATGAAGTTCAGGAAAAATAAACAGTTGAGTCCTTTTGTGTTTATAAATTTAAACCTTGTTTTAGCACCTGTTATCTAAGCGACTTGGAGTCAGCTACTTAAACTCCTGACACTGGTTTCCTCATCTGAAAAATGGGGAAAATAATTCCTATCTGAAAAAAGCCTCTGCCTGGCAGGACTGTGGTGAGAGTTCAATAGGCTGTACACGTGGTGTTCTTAAACAGCGTGTGGCACAGAGCTGCAGCTCCATAAACATCATCTCTCTCCTTTTTGATCTGCAAATTTTCTCATGTCTGGATTCTGATGGTAGAACTCAGCAGGACTTGGTGACACTTGGTGAGATGTGGATGGTGAACAATTCCCTAGAAAATTTTCTGCTTCAGACCCTTTTTTGCCTAGCAATGTTTCTTCTCTATATCCATTCTTCATCAAGCCTAGCATAAGATATTCAGGTTTACCTGTTTCTTCACATCTTTATTTTTTTATGAAGGTTCCTGTGTCACATAAAAATTGTATTAGATAAATGTGTATGCTTTTCTCTTACGAATCTATCTTTTGTTACAGGGGCTTCAGCCATGAAACTAGAATGGGTAGAATGGAAGCTCTTTTTCCTCCTCTGTAGTAGCTAATACTGGTCCACGGTGAGCTTTCCAGTGGTAGCATTAACCACCAAAAAAGGACATCATAACTGTGTTCACATTGGCTTATGCCAGTTCTCAAAAGCAGTGCTGAGAATGGGAAGGCTAACTGTGGAGGAGTTAACCTCGAGGAATCAAGATGCTGTGGTCAAGGTAGAGGGGGCACGAGGGAGGGGAGCGTGGCTGTTGGTCCCAGAATAGAGAATAGCACACCATGATGGACAAGGATGGTGGAGGCTGAAAGAAGTTTAGAATTGTGTAGAAAGTGAAGCTTTGCAAGAAGGGAGCAAGATTGGGGCCAGTAAGGGTGTGCATAGGTCAGGCTCACTGTAAGACAAATATCAAGTAAGACTTCAGTGGGCCCCAGAACTACATCAGGAGAATTTAGTTTATCTGGGGAGGAATCAGAAAAGCAGGATAGTGAGCAACCCTCCAGCCCTCCTTAATAATGGCACTTGATTATTGAAGGGATTTGTAGGACATGAAGCAGGGAACACAGAGTTTGGACCTTTACTAGAGCTCAGATTCAAGGTGAGACTCGTGTTCATGGGAAATGGTAGAGACTCAGTTATTATCTCTGTGTTGCCAGATCATAATAGATATTTATGTTGAGCCATTGAGCAAGGCCTCTTAAATCCCTCTCTGGCTATTGATCATATTAGTCAACAGGAACCAAGGGGACCAAGGGGACCAAGGGGTAAAGCCATTAGGTGGATTCTAGTGAGAACCTGTTTCCAGTTGCTTTTCATCCATGGATATCTCATGGCGTGGCTTGGTAATTTACTGGGATTTCAGTTTGTTTTCTCTCCCTGTGTCATCCTTCTTCTTAATGGACTTTTTAATAATTTTTTTGTGTTAAACATTATGTTGCTGACATAATAACATATATTACATGCTAGTATGTTCTCTTTGGGGCTTTTGTTTTCCTAAAGTTTCAAAGGGAACATATGAGCATGTAATGTATGTTATTATTTCAGTAACATAATTCAAAAAAAATTAGGTATGATCAAGGGAGATGCAAGCTAAGAGGATAGATGTTCCCAGAGAGAGGAGAGAATAGGAGTCTGCTATGCTTATGGGCCTTGAGGACCCACGACCTGCTCCCTGACACTGCTCTGAGGAGATATACAAGTCTCCACAATGAAGAAAATTTGGAATAAGCAAAAAAGAGTTCTGGGTGACTGCAAAGGGAAACAATGCATATAATTGTCCAGGTTATATGATTCCAGACTTTGATTGCTTTTGAGCTATTTTCCAAGTTGTAGATGATTAATAGTAATGCAAAAACTTTTCTATATGCATGCAAATAAGTTCTGTCCAGTGGGAGATCTATTGACTTCTCTTCCCATCCCTGCATCTATTTGTAAATTCACTTCAAAATTCCCTTGCTCTATATAAATGTATGCTTCTTTGACTTCTCCTTTGAACTTGTAACAGCTTCCCAATCACCTCGTTAATAATGGATTAAATACAATCTTTAACATGCCTTCATTTTATATCAGTTTAATTGGTAAATTCATGATTTTACCTTGTCTTAAATGTATTATTTAACAGGATGGTGGCATGATACAGCTAGTGTGTTTAGGTGGTATCCCACAAGGGAGGCTGTTCCTGTTTCAACCTTACTTCACCCACTTGCATGTCATGTTCTTTGGGATTATATCTAATTTTCCCCAACAATTACATGCAAGGAGTAGCTTACCTCTTTCCTTACAACCTAACTACCAGAGAGAATGGTTAATGACAACCAGTCCCAAAGAGACTATGCCACATGTACAAGTGTTGTAGGAAGACAGACTCAAGAAGCAATAGCCAGTTTCTAGAAACTCCGTGAAGTACTCACTTGGTGAAGCACCTTGCAAGATAGTTTCACATTGAAGCAGATGAACCAATATTCTCAAAGCTGGATCAATTGGCCTTTTGGTTGAATTTGATGATGTCTTAGTCCATTTGTGTTGCTATAAAGGAACATCTGAGGCTAATTAACAAAACAGAAGTTTATTTGGCTCTTGATTTTGCTGGTGAAAAGATCAGGCATGTGGTGAAAGCCCCAGCTACTTTGACGGAAGATGAAGAGGAGTCAGCCAGTGCAGAGATCACAAAGTGAGAGAGAAAGCAACGGAGAGGGGAGATGTCAGGGCTTCTAACAACCTGCTCTTGTGGGAACTCACAGAGTGAACACTCACTCATTGCCATGAAGATAGCACCATGTCATTCATGAGGAATGTGACCCAAACACCTCCCATTAGGCCCCATCTTCAACACTGGGGAACAGATTTCAACATGAGGTTTGAGACAGACAAATGTCCAAATGACAGCACGTGGCAAGAAGAAGGGACATAGGAACATATAGATTATTCTAACCTAGGATATTTCTCCAAAGTTAAACTACTGGGCTCACCGTATCCTTACACATTGCTCATTGAGGGCAGAAGTTCTCATTCAGTCTCTCTAGCCTCATGTGTTCTAGCACTACTCATTTCACCAAAAGTTACAACTTTCATACCCTATGCTACTTCTCAAACCCTTTATTGCCAATTTAGTTAGAGAGATTTGAAGCCCTTCCCATGGCTGCCCCTGGAGAGTGATGTCCTGCTCCTTCATATATTGATGATCTGTCTGTAAGGTATACAATAAAATGAATTGGCACACCCATATGCATATCACTTTGAACTGATGTCTGTTAAGATAAATTTCTGAAAGATTTTTTAACAGGAGAGTGGTATGATGTGTACTTTAGGGCAACGTTTGTGCTACCTCGATGCCCCCATGAATCTACTGAGGTTTTTATTAAAATACGTAATTGGATTCAGCAGTCCTGAAGTGGAGCCTGATATTTTGCAATTCTAGCAAACTTTCAGATGCTACTGATGTTTCTGGTACGTGGAGCACACTTTTGAATACTAAGAGTTTAGAATAGGGATCTGCAAACTTCTCTGGAAAGGTCCAGATAGTAAATATTTCCAGATTCGTGGATCATATCGTTTCTGTTGTTACTGCCTGCCGTTATAGCGTGAAAGCAGCATTAGACAATATGTAAATGAATGGACATGACTACGTTCCAACACAATTAAAAAAAAAACAAAAAAAAAACATGGGCAGAAGGCTGGATTCAGCCTGCAGGCCATAGTTTGTCAATCACTGGTTTAGAAATATCATTCTGTATGTAAATGAATTGGAAGGATGGCATGGGGATTGGAGACAGGTAGCCTACTTAAGAGGAAGGAAACGCTAATAAATACTTACAGACTAAGGCAGAAAGATGGGAAATAGAAAGTGAAAGGAGAATTGATAGGACTTGACAGGGATGGACAAAATATACAGAGTTGACATCAATCTTAGATGATTTTGGGGTCCTCAAGTAATAAAGCATGAATTTTCCTGGGCACATTTTTGGGGGATCAGTTTTTGGTCTGTTGCTTCCAGGATTTGACAGCTTCTCTTACTGATGTTGTTCTAGATTTACGAAAACCCAGAGAGCTTTATGCTCCCATGAATGACACAGAATTGGAAAATGTTTAATATGAGGTTTCAGGAGAAAAAAATCATTTCAATTATGTTATCTTTGTACTGTAATATAAACAGATTTGTTTTCTACATTAACTGCAGTTTTTAGAGTTCAACGATTTATGGAAGATTTTAAATAACAGAGGTCTTCTGTTTAGGGACTTCTGGTAGGTGATAAGGTATATTCAAAAGAAGCATGAAGTATTTATTGTGCTTCTGTAGTAGGTGCTTATGATTAAAAAGATGAACTTTACAGACATGCCCCAAACTTGAGAAATTTAGTATCTTTGTGTGGAGTGAGTATAAGGCAACCATCCTCAAGTCGAATAATAGAAGGACTGACTTAGGTTGCAATGCAGTGTTTCTCCAATTGAGTCTCACTGAATACTAGTCCTGAAGTTAAAAATTTAGGAAACACTGCTACCTACTTCAAATTTCAATTAAAAAAAATGACATAATTCTCCATGCTTGAATACTACCATCTACCCCATGAAAATTAAAAATCCCATAATATTTAACTTCCATTTTTTTTCAGATTTTCCCAATAAGTCCTTTAAAATCTTATAGTTTGTGTATTTTAAAATAAGTATCTTGTCAAATTTCACGTATTATATCTGGTTGTTACGTCTTTTTAGTGCAGTGTTCTCAGAAGTTAATCACTGGACCAGCAGCATCAGCATCTTCTGGAAACTTATTAGAAATACAAATTCTCGAATTCTACCCTAGATCTACTGAATCAGAAACTCTGGAGACTCAGCCAAGCATCTGTGGTTTAACAAGCCCTCCAGCTGACTCGGAAGCTAAAGTTTGAGAAACACTGCTTTAGTGCAATCTTGACTCCTAGTCTCAGCTGCTTAATAGAATTACCTAGAGTTATTTTAAGAAGACCCAGTATCAGGTGTATACCAGGCCAGTTAGACTAGAATCTCTGAGTGTGAAACTCAGGCATGCATCAGTCTTTTTTCTTTCTTTCTTTCTTTCTTTCTTTCTTTCTTTCTTTCTTTCTTTCTTTCTTTCTTTCTTTCTTTCTTTCTTTCTTTCTTTCTTTCTTTTCGAGACGAATTTTTGCTCTGTCGCCCACGCTGGAGTGCAGTGGCGCAATCTCGGCTCACTGCAACCTCTGTCTCCTGGTTCAAGAGATTGTCCCGCCTCAGCCTCCCGAGTAGCTGGGATTACAGGCACATGCCAATGCATCTGGCTAATTTTTTGTATTTTTAGTAGAGACGGAGTTTCACCATGTTGGCCAGGCTGGTCTTGAACTCCTGACCTCAGGTGATCTGCCCTCCTTGGCCTTCCAAAGTGCTGGGTACTTCTAAAGCACCCTAGGTGCTTTCACTACACAGCCAAGACTGAAGACCCTTGCCTAGTTTTTGTTAACCTTGAACTGTCCTCCTCCCCTTTCATGGAATCACATTGACATTTATCTTGCTAATTATCTTGTAGAAGGACCCATAATGTGTATTTGTTTGATCATATGCCTCGTTTTTGTACCCTATTGGGAATTACGTATCTCTTCTAGTGCCTTTCCGAAATAGATCTGGGCTTGAATATGCCTTGCAAGTAAAATAGATCATCTTCCCTCCATCTCTTTGTATATTTTTTTCCAACCAAGTGCGTCTCCTCTCTGCCACCTATTTGTTCCATCTTGCTAGGTCAGATTATTACCACTTTAGCTTTCAATTCTGTGTTTCATTTCCAAGTTGGTTTTTTTGTGGAACATGTCTTGCGAATTTTGCCCTTTCTAGGTTTTATCAGGTATCTCCTGATAGTGTACACTCGTCTGTTTCACTTACCTTATTCTTCTATTCCAAGCTGTGTTTTATTAGAGGATTTGTTTTCAATATCATCTGGCCATCCTGTGTATAAAGTGGAGTCTTTGTTCTCACAGGTTTTTGTATTTTCCTTTTTTTCTCCAGC
Source organism: Homo sapiens (assembly GCF_000001405.40). Classification (NCBI taxonomy): domain Eukaryota; kingdom Metazoa; phylum Chordata; class Mammalia; order Primates; family Hominidae; genus Homo; species Homo sapiens. Next base: position 7,804,373 of record NC_000003.12, on the reverse strand, counting down.
TGGTCGGTACAGATTCGCTGAGATGCCCACTCTCAAAACTGTTTCTGGAGCATCTGTCCTGACAGTCACACTGAATTTCTTTTTGTTCAGGTTTGCAGGACAAAGCTGTTTAGAGTTAATATGTTTCTACATTCTCACAGGTCTCAGCAGTTGACCCACTTTTTTCCAACCTAAGTTGGAACAACTCTGCAATATTATATGATGCATGCCACCTGCCTATGAAAGTAAATCAAAGCATCATTCTATCATTTCATATCCACTATAATAAAGGTGGTTGAATGTAATGAAAAGGGAAATCAGAGCCTTTGATGCCTCATGTGCTGACAGAGTGAGTAAGCCAAAAAAAGTGAGTTTTTTTATTCTTTCATAGTAATAATCAGCAGCATTAAAGGATAATTTTCACACACCAAGATGTAAAATCATGAGTCTCTTACAGATATAAAATGAACACGTGTTAAAGATTTTACTTAACTCATTAGTAATGAGGAAATCAGAAAGATACTATAACAGGTTCACAGGAGAAGTCTAAGAAGCACAAAAGGATATAGTGTACAGGAGGTTGAAATGAATGTGCAAATGGATGCCAGACTGTTTCTTCCCCCAGTGGGAAAAGGGTTGAAGTTAACTGAACCCTCTAACAGATGTAATTTATTTGTAAATCTATAGACAAATTTCTTTGGGATTATTTTTAGTTATTTATAACTTAGAGTTGTAACAGAGCTCTATGGAAATGAAAGGCTAGAAGCAGATAATTTAGAAAAGTATGCTCTAAACATTGTTTGGTAGTCCATGGCAGATAACCCAGTAATTGTTTTTATATTTTCAAATGTCTTCCCAGTGACGGCATTTGTAAGAAACTTGATGGCTTTCGAAGCAGTTTGAAATAGATGCTTTTGACCACTGCTTCAACCTAATCAGATACTTTAGTGGCATCTCCTTATAAGTTACCTCAGGGAGGTGAGTGATGAGCACAGCTACCATGGTGCCAGGCACAGGATCGGTGCTCAGAAATTCGTAGTTGTCGTTATAATAGAGACAGTGTTGAGTAGGGGTTAAGAGTGAGGACTTTAAAATCATTTTGTAGATTGTACCTTATTCCTCTCATGTGTACAATGGTGACAATAATAATACCAATCTCTTAGAGTTGTTAAAAGCAGTACGTGAGTTAATTTGCATGAAGTACAGAGAATACTGTGTACACTGTGGCCCTGAAGCCATGTGAAGAGCGTGGGGAGCCTTAGCAGAGTTGGCGCCAGGGCTAGAGAAGCACGGAGGGTGAGTCCTGGGTTGCATGAGTCCCTACCACATCTACCCATCAAGCTGGAGGTCAGTGGATGTCATTGTGATGGAATGAAAGCCTGCTTTTTTCCTGACTTGTAGAACTCTGTTGCCTGTTTAATCAGAGTTTTGGGACCAGGGAACAGATATATTTTCTTTTTCCAGGAGAGGGTGCGATTGTGCATGGACAATGGCAGAATACGTTTGTAGGGTAGGAAAGGTTTGATTGATGCCTTCTCTCACCTACCGTAAGAGTCATGGCCAGCACTCCTATAACAGAAAACAGGTTAACGTGAGAAAAGCGTAACAAATTTATGTAACCAAAGTTTTTACATGGCATGTCTTAAAAACCCCAAGACTCAGTGAAAACCATCTATTTTTATGCTTAAGTTCAGTGTATAAAGGACACCCAGGTAGAAATGTGATTAGACAAAAATGGAATGTTCTAGTGGTAATAGACTGAAAGGACCCAGCAAGCCCATCTGTTCAGATTCATCTTGACCTCTCTGCACAGTATTCCTCACCCTCCAGCATGGAGCACAGCCCCTCTGGGAATGAGGTCTTAGGATCTACTGTCAGACAAGGTGGGTCAGAGAATTTCTTTATGGTCAGCTCCTACACAGAAAGATAGGGGTAGGTTAGAGTATAATTTCTAGTTTCTATGACTCACCATGGGGAAGAGAAATTCCAGTATCTATGACCTACCTTAGTAGAGAAAGGAGAGCAGGAGAAGGTCACAAAGAGACTGCTCTGAGGCCCTTTCAATCTTTCAATCTTTGAGGCCCTTTCAGTCTTTGAATTCAACATATTCCGCACAAACAGGAGATCCTGGGTTTGAAGAAAAGGAAACAAAGGATGCCAAAGGATGCCAAACTGCCATACTCTGGAGTATCATTTTCGAAGCCCCAGCATCTCACGGTATCAGTGCTGAGCCTTAAACTCAGTGTGTGTTTGATTCCAAAGCCTGTGTGTGTCTCCCAATCATATCCTAGCAACTCATTTGTTTTTTTTCCTTCAGGCTCCCTTTTACTTTTGAGCATTCAGATTTTTAGCATTTTATCCTAATTCTTTGTTCCTTTATCCACACATCCATCCATAATTTCAACCAAAATATTTTGTGGTTAGCTTGCTGTGTGCCAGGCGCTGAGCCTGTAATGGTGCCTGTGAGCGGACAGGGACCCGACCCTGATGAACCTTCTAGCCGAGGGAATGAGAGACAAAGTAAGTAAACAGATGGATGAAAGGGTCACAGACTGTACTTAGTGTGATGAAGGAAGGAAACAAGAGGTTGAGATAGGGAAGGAGTGGTGAAGGAACACTTAAGAGTAGCCAGTAAAGGTATCTTTGAGGAGGTAAAAGCTGAAATGAGACTTAAAGGATGTGAAGTGATGTCCATGGAGGCCTGGAAAATAGTTACATAGGCCAAGGGAATAGCAAGTGCTAAGGCCCTGAGGCAGGAACCAGCTTGGCACCTTTGAGGAGCAGGAAAGTGGCCAGTGTGGCCTGGGAGTTGGAGTCAGGCAAGAGAGACAGGGTTGGAGATTTAGATAGGCGTCAGATCTTGCCGTGCCATGGAGGAAAATTTGAATTTGAACTTATGTTAACACATGACATCTATTGTAAGACCAACAACATGTCATGATAAGAATTTATTATGCCTACTATATGCCTATCATGCAACCAGATACTTCTCACAAATCATGTCATTTTCTCCCCCAACTTTGAGAGGTAGAGATTTTGAGTTGTCTTACAGCATCTGTTTACTCTTACATTTATAGAGCAGGTTCCCTTTTCTTGAGGCAAAATGCTAGACCCTAGAAAGATGATCCCTATTCTTAGGGAGCACACAGTTTAATAAAAACATCTGGTAACCAAGGGTCATGCTAGTAGCTCTATGCCCTGGCTTCAGCTTTTAGCCACTCTGGGCTTCTCTTTACTCCAGTGGGGAAGTAATAATTTCCCCATTGCAGGTGATGGTGAAGATGAGAAGAGTCAACAGGCAACAAGTGCCTAGGCCAGGTAGAGGCTCACTCACTGGGGGATATTAGGAAAATCTTGATGGTGCTCTGATTGAAGCCTGCTCACAGTGCACATGGCCAGTGAGAGATGGCAAGATCCTCTGGGAAAGAAGAGACAGGAAAGGAAAGGCTTGGAAGAGGAGAGGGAACTGAATCTTGAAAGAACAGTGGCCATTCCCGAGGCAGACAAGGAGGAGGATGACAAAAATTCTATTTCTATCAAGCCTAATGCGAGATAGTCCTTATCATGAAAATTAAGTGTGAGGAACAAATGCACCTGTGATTTTGGTAAAAAGGGGCTACACATCGTAATTTAATGTCTAAAATTTGGACACTACTTTGTAAAAGTACTACTTACCCGTCACTGTTCTGCATGTAGTTTTAACCAAGATGAGAATCATGTAATAAATATAAGCTGATTCAAAGGCTTTGTTTCCCAAAATGTAGCACTATCTTTTCTTTCAGTAAAATAAATAAAGCATATGTCAACTTGCCCTCTAGTGACAATATTTTGTATTTCACTCAGGTTCAGAAAATAAGCTGCACATTAGCTCCTCCAACAATGTGATTTTCTTTTTAAAAGACAGAGGCTCATCCTGTATAGATAATACTCTATAATAAAGAAGTAGAAAACAGTAACCTCTGGGAAGTATCTTTGTGGTAGCCTATTGTGGTCACTTCTAGGCTGCTTACTCATGAAACTTTGGGCAAATTACTGAGCAAGTAACTTTGAGCAAGTTACTCAGGGATATGGTCTCCTCACCTCTGAAACGAGTTAGCCAGAATGCTGTGTATTTACTTCTCTTTTTTCTCTTTTATGCCTGCTAGAATGCAAGAATGCAAGCTTTGTGAGCACAGATCACAGGGATTTTGTTTTCTACTGATCCCCTAGTGCACAGAACAGGCTGGGCTTGTAGCTGGCACACAATGCATGTGATGTAAGAAAAATGAACAATGACAAGTATGAATATTGAAAATCATGAGTTATGGAAATTGCTGGAGTGTGGTCAAGCAGTTAGTGGATGCTTTACTAAATGATGACGTCCTGTCTTCCCTGGCTCTTGTCACTTGTGTTTTTTCAATTTTATATCAGTTAGATTTATTTCCCTTTGGGCCGTTTGTTTTGTTTTGCTGTTTTTTGTGGTTGTTTTTGTTGTTGTTTTGTTAAACTATCGTGAGCCGAAATTTGAAAGAGACACAGAAGAGGGAGTCAAGGATGAGGCTGGGTTTTTTTTTTTTTAGGTTTGAAAAACAGTTTGCTGACCTTTCCTTCTAGTTGATGACATTTCAAATTTAACCCATTCCACTAGACTATTTTTCTTCATGATGTGCTTTTGTACTAAATTATACACACATGCTAGATTCCGGAAATCTACTAAATCTGTCTCATGGCTGTTTACTGGTCAGTGTCCCTTAATTCGGCAACACCCTGGGTTTTTAGGAAGGATAATCACTTTTTTTTTTTTTTCTTTTTAGTCACTCCGTTCATAAGTGTTTTGTTCCTTTCACCACAGGTTTATTACTCACTTCTACTTTGAAAAGCAGGACCTGGGAGGCTGTAGAGATGAAAGAAATGCAATAACACTTTTGCTTGCTAATGGATGAACATGTTGCTACTTAGAGTTGAAAAGGCATCATTTTCAAGTGCTTTTTAGGGATGTTCATGCTATGGTGTAAAGGGGAGTGAAGAGAGGAAGAGAGCAGCTCTTCACGTGTTTTTTACAGGTCTTAAGTGTCCAAATCCTTCCTTACACAGTAACACCCCTGGAGAGAAGAGAATGTGTCTCTTAAGTTTCTACCCAACATCTAAAAACCCTTAGAGTTCTATCAATTTGGAAATGATGGTGAAAAGATATACTTTGAGAAGTAGTGGTGAAGAATGGATATTGATTTATCCTTTTGATCCATGACGGTCTCCAGCTCCGAAACAAGTAATGATTCCCAGTGGGTACAAGATGAAGTCCAAACTTCTTAACCTTGAATTTAGAGGCTTTTGTGAACAAGCACCAAATCTTTTTGACCCCCTCTTCTAAAACTCCCTCAATGATGTTCTGCTCAAATTATTCTCCCTCACTGACCTCTAGCTAGGCTCTGTGTTTTAGAATTTTAATTACATTTATTGGTCAGGGACGGATCATTTTAATTGTTGGAAAAGAAATCTAAAAAGTACAAAACAGAAGATGACATTCATAATTCTGCTATTTGGAATTAATCTTTGTTGGTAGTTAGCCAATCACTTCCTGTTTTTTAAAATACATAAGTCTATGTATAATTTCTACGGTTATAGTTTTTTTAATTACAAAAATGATATAGAAGATAGATAATCCAAAAGAGAAGACTATGAAAGATAAACTAAAGTTTTGTTTAATTACTGTTTCCAATCCTGATTCCCTCTCACGTTCCCCTGAAACAGCCCCTGTATTAGTATTGTTGTATATTTTTCCAGTTCATGTTTAGAGTACATAATTGATGACATTATTCTGTGTTTATTTTGGCTCACATAGATCGTGTCATAATGTGTGTATCTTTCCATAATTTGCTTTTTTTACTCCAAATCTGTTTAAATGTCTAGAACCAGCTTGCGCAACCCATAACCCATGGGCTGCGTGCAGCCCAGGATGGCTTTGAATGCAGCCCAACACAAATTTGTAAACTTTCTTAAAACATTGAGATTTTATGTGACGTTTTTCTTTATTTAGCTCATCAGCTATTGTTAGTGTTAGTGTATTTTCTGTGTGGTCCAAGACAATTCTTCTTCCAGTGTGGCCCAGAGAAGCCAAAAGATTGGACACTCCTTCTCTATAATTATTACTGACCATTGTAAGTTCTGTTTATCCATTTGCCTACTGACAGGTATTTGGGCTGTTTCCACATTTTTGCAAAGCTGCAGAAAAAATGAATGTGATGATTTTTATGCAGATGTGCAAATACTTCTACAGTATGCATTGAAGTGGTATTGCAGGGTCACGGTGTCTGCACATCTCAGTGTTCATGGATGTCGCTAAATTTTCCTGTCACTTTGCTAGCTTACATGCCCATATAGAGTGGGCTGAGGGAGAGACTTCTCAGGCTGTTCCTTCTTTATTCCCTCACATTTCCCCAGCCTAGAATTTCCTTCATTCTTCTCTCTTGTGGAAACTGTCTGTTTTGCAAGATTCAATAGAGATAACATTTGTTGTATATTCCTCTCACTTGACATTAACTCTAGATTTTGACTATTTTTATTTTACTTGTTTATGTCTCTGTCCAGGTGAGTAACTAAGCTTAGAAAGCACACAGGCTGCATGTTCCTTTGTATTCCATAGTGCCTAGCCTAGTCTCTTACCCATGGTGAGTGCCAAGTATAGCAAAGTCTGGTGTTGCTTGAAATTCAGGTTTATAGCCAGTTGAAATGTGAACATCCAATATAGTGAAAATTATTCTCAATTTTAAAAAATGCCTGTAATATTTTGTATCTAAATTAGCCACTTGGCACTTTTTTCCTGCAGCATTGCATTTAGTCAATGCAGTTAATTAACGCATAAAGGTGATAGACCTTATGTATGATAAATATGTCCTGTAATTTTTAAACACATTTCACATATATTCCTAATACACCTATTAGGAGAGGCATGCAGGAAATGTAACTGATAGCACATACAGCAGACAAACACCCATCTTGTCCTCCTGTAGAGATACTTACGCTTGCTGACTGGAGGAGAAGGAATCACTTGAACTATCTAAATTGCAAAGTCCCATTTTTTGCCTCTACATCCCAACACACATACACACACACACACACACACACACACACACACACATTCCTGTACTCAGTATGCTTTCTGATGTTGCCTCCCTGATCAGCACCACAACACGGGCAAACACACTTCTGCCTCCTCCTCCCTGCCCGATCTCTTTGCTCCCAATGAGAGAGAAGGAGGAGACTGAATCAAGCAAGCATGGCAATAGTGCAGCTCTTCTGTAATTAATATCCTAACTCCCTGGGACTTAATGGAAATAATTTGGTCACAAACACCTTTTTTAAGATACAGTGTCCTGCTATGTTGCCCAGGATGGTCTTGAACTCCTAGGCTCAGGTGATCCTCCTACCTTGGCCTCCTGAGTAGCTGGAACTAAAGGTACATGACTTTCTATCACCTTTTTAAAGGCCATTTTTCACTTGCTGTTGTAGGGACCATTTTCTGTGAAAGCCCCAGGAAGCAGCCTTGGTGAGGTGTTAGTGATGGAGGAAAAAAGTGTCCTGAACAAGAATAGGAATGTTCTTCTGTGCTTCCTGAACTCATAGTCCCAACTTATCCACACAGTATGGGAGAGATTGGTCATTGATTGTTTTAAAATGTTGATTTTTATTTTAGTATGGCAAGACCAGGAGATCATGAGATAACTGCTATTGAAAAGATAGCTCCTTACCCACAGATCCCAAGAGGAAGAGCACACCACACCAAACGAGCCACATGGGAAAGTACCAAGGTCTTTCAGGAGACAGGGGAGACTGAAGGGAAAATGGGGGCGAGAGCTTTTACTGTAATTTCCATGGGAAGGAATGGGCAAGACTAGGTATGCAGGATTAGGATTGGCTAGTGTGGATAATTCCACTGGGCTGTGGAGTGTAGGGGTTGTCTCTAGTTTTCTGGTACCTGGCCCTGGGGTGATTAGAGTCAGGGAATAGTGGCCTAGAGTGTGAAAGCCTAATCAAGGAGGTGGTGGGGATGTGGGTTGTGGATTGGTTGGTTTGCACATGACAGGCAAACTTCCAAGTGAGCTGTTTGCTATTTCTAGGAATTGTCTAACCCTGGGAGAGGCTAGTCCTCAAAGGTCAGTAAGGCCCCAGATGTCAAGGCATCAGAATACAGAAAAAAAAATCAATGATGTTCTCTAGGGGATATTTCCCTAGCTGTGACTTGGTCTCAGGAACCCACGTATTGTGTTTTTTGCCCTTCTGTGAATAATATAAGTTGTTCAACAAATGAGCAGTGTAAAATGCCACAAACTGGGTATCAATAATGGAGATATAGAGGCATGGCTAAGAGGGCAGGCAAAGACCCTGATAGCTACATAGGTTCTGCAGGTCTGTTCCTCCCCCAAGATGCCTTCCTTCTATACTTAACTATCAGAAACTTCACAAACCTCTCTGTTTTCATCCAAATTATTACGATTTCTAGACAGTTATTTTTGTTTTTATGAAAAGAGATGGCACACTAAAATTAGGAATGAAATCAGAGACATTACTTCCAATTCTACAGTAATTATAGGATGAAGAGGAAATTTTATGAAAAATTTGATGCTAACATATTAGACCATTTAGACAAAATAGACAAATTTCTTGAAATATACAAATCACCGAAAACATCTCAAGAGAAAACAAATCTATTCGTACTCATATCAAGTAAAGAAATTAAAAAAAAAAAAAACTTTTTGCAAATAGAAGTCTAGGCTCAGATTGCTTCCCTGGTGAATTCTGTCAAACATTTAAGAGAAAATAATACTAATTATATGCAAACATTTTCAGAAAAAGAAAAAGGAAACACTCCTCAATTAATTTTATGATGCCTGTATTGCCGTGAAATTAAAACTGGACACAAAAGTTCTTAACAAAATTAGAAAATCAAGTCCAGAAATATATATAAAAAACGTTTACCATGACCAAATGAGTTTATCTCAGGAGTTCAATGTTGGTGTAACATTTGAAAATCAATTAATGTAATATACCTTATAGATAGACTAAAGGACAAAATGCCATGTCAATACATGTAACAAAACACTTGAAAAAATCTTATTCATGATAAGAGAAAAAAATTCTAAACAATCTTAGAAGGAAACTTCCTCAACCTGATAAAGGGTATCTATGAAAAGACTGCAGCTAATATCATTTTTAATTATGAAAAACGAATCCTTCGCCTTTGATTAGAAACCAAACAAAGCTGTCCTCTCTCATGACTTCTACTCAACAATGTACAGGAGGCTCTAGTCAGTGCAAAAAAGCAAGAAAATAAATTAAAGCCATGCAGATGGCAAATTTAGAAACTATCAGTATTTGTAGATGACCTAATCTTGCATGTAAAAAATACTAAGAAATCTATAAAATTCCTGTAGTTAATAGTTACGTTTAGTAAGATAGCAGGATTCAAAATAAATAAACAAAAATCAGTTATATTTCTACATACTAAAAAAAGTCTGAAAATAAAACTAAGAAAACAGTTCAATTCACAATAATATAAACAAGGATAAAATAAACAAGAACAAATTTAACAAAATACATGCAAGACCTATACAGTGAAAATTATAAAACATTGCAGAAGAAAGTTAAGATTTAAATAGAGAGACATATCACATTTATGGATTGAAATACTCGATATCATTAAGATGGCATTTCTCAAATTTGTCACTAGATTCAATACAGTATCTATCAAAATCCTAACAGGCTATTTCTGACTATGGTAAGTTTTGGTTACATTTAATAGGTGTTCTGTAGGGACTTTTTTTTTTTTTTTTTTTTTTTGGAGACAGAGTCTCTATCACCGAGGCTGGAGTGCAGTGGCACAATCTTTGCTCACTGCAACCTCTGCTTCCCTGGTTCAAGGAATTCTCACGCTTCAGCCTCCCAAGTAGCTAGGACTACAGGTGCCTGCCACCCTGCCTAGCTAGTTTTTTTATTTTTTATTTTTTAGTGGAGAGGGGGTTTTGCCATGCTGGCCAGGCTGTTCTCAAACTCCTGGGCCTCAAGTGATCCTCCCACCTCGGCCTTCCAAAGTGCTGGAATTACAGGTGTGAGCCACCATGTCTCTATGGGCCCTTTTAATGCATGGATTCAAATGTTCTTATCTCTGGAAAAGTTTCTTGTAGCTTTAAATATTCATTGGGTCCCCAATCTTCATTATGTTTTCTATTTCAAGCTCAATTTAAGTATTTTTCAGCTGCTTATAACTTCATATTTTTTTCTCAGCACATTACCTAGTCTCCTCCTCTCAAATATTCCTGCTATGTAGAGCTGGCTAGAAGAATTACGGATCAGTCACTGATATTTCTTGGTTTCATTTGTGTTATTTCTCACTGGTAAATGATTATCCCAAAGAAAGCGTCCAGGAAACTGGAGATGGCATTTATAATCTTTTTTGACTGTATTAGTCAGCTTGGGCTACCATAACAAAATACCACAGACTAGGCGGTAGGAATTTATTGTCTAACAGTTTTGGAGGCAGGGAGTCCTAGATCAAGGTGTTGGCAGGGATGGTTTCTCCTGAAACCTCTCTCTCTGGCTGGCAGACAACCACCGTCTCCCTGCGTCCTCACCTAGACCTTTTCCCTGTGTGAGTTCCCTGGTGTCTCTTCCTCTTCTTATGAGGACACAACTTCTACTGGATTAAGGTTTCATCCTTACGACCTCATGTAACCTTAATTACCCATTAAAACTTAAATCTCCAAATCTAGTCACATTGCGGGTTAGGGACTCAACATATAAGTTTCGGAGGAAGACAGTTCAGTCCATAACACTGAAGATAACTGTTTTCTAATGAAAGCCTCAGTGTATTCATGACTCCTCTTTTGTGATCAATGGAGCCTTCAGCTGGCTCTCCTTCCCTTGTTATTCCATATAAGGGCGCCTTAGGTTTTCCTTAAGTAGCTAACATTCTGCTCTTATTATGATTGTGTGTCAGGTATTGCTTGAAACATTATCAATATCCCAATATATTAAATCATTTGTTACCATGGTTTCGATTTCTAGCATTTCCTTTAGATTTGTTTCTTTCCTTTTTTTTTTTTTTTTTTTTTTTTTGAGACAGAGTCTCTGTCTGTCACCTAGGCTGGAGTACAGTGGCACTATCTCGGTTCACTGCAACATCCACCTCCTGGGTTCAAGTGAGCACATTCAGCTAATTTTTCTAATTTTAATAGAGACTTTTTAGTAGAGACATTTCATCATATGGGCCAGGCTGGTCTTGAACTCCTGACTCCTAATCTGCCCGACTCAGCCTCCCAAGGAGCTGGGATTAGAGGTGTGAGCAACCATGCCCAGCTTCCTTTGGAGTTTTTCCTTAGCTTTTCCATCTCTGTTTTCATTCCCCATCTGTTCTTACATGTTATTTACTTTTTTCATTGGGGCCCTGTGTTAGTCTATCCATGATGCTATAAAAATGAAGACTGGGTAATTTGTAAACAATATTTATTTCCCACAGTTCTGGGCCTGAAAAGTCCAAGATCAAGGTACCAGGAGGTTCAATGTCTGCTGTGGGCTGCTCTCTCTGCTTCAAGATGTGTTGTTGAATGCTGTGTCCCTTGGAAGGGATAAATGCTGTGTCCTCATGTAGCAGAAGAGATGGAAGGGCAAAAAAAGGCCGAATGCTGTGTGAAGCCTCTTTTATAAGGGCCTTAATGACATGTAGGAGGGAGAAGCTCTCATGACCTAATTACTTCCTAAAGGCCCTACCCCTTAATACTATTACACTGAAGATTAAGTTTTAACATTAATTTTGGAGGGGACAAAACATTTAAACCTTAATAGGCCCTTACCATATGAATCACAGTTATTTTAAATTTCCTGTGTCACACAGACATTTGATTCTGAGGCTTGCTTTGTCTCTTAAGACTTTTGTTATTGTTGTTGTTTGTTTGTTGGCATGCCTTGTAATTTTTTTCCTGAAAGTCAGATACATTGTATCGAGTACTAGGAATTAAGGTAAACAGGCTTTAGAGTGAGATTTCATGTTAATCTGGCTAGGAGTTAGGCTGTATTTAATCTTTTTTGTTAACTATAAATGCGAGAGGCTTGACATTCCTCTTGAGATGCCTTTGTTTCTGTCTTCCCTATTGACTTTGAGACTCCTTACATTTACCACCTCAGACAGAGTCGGCACGGTACTCTATTTACCTGTAATATGGGAGACCTGTTGAGGCAGTGGTAAGGTGTGGGGAAGTAGAAGGTTTTTTAGCCTTCTGATTAAATCTCAGTCTTTTAGTAAGCCTGACACTCAGGGGTGTGACAGTAACAGAAGTCTCTCTAGCACTTCTGCCCCCATCCTGTACCCCTTCCCTGGCTGCAGTATTCTAAATGAATTTCCTTGCAGCCCTGACCCATGTTGACTACGTTATTTACTCCTTTTGATGAAACAGGATGGCTAGATGATACTTAACATGAAAGAAATGCCTTCTCCAAGCTGAGATAAAGCCTCCAAAAACTTTTCTGCTGTAGGGAAGGCCTTTCCTATGGATTTCATAATGGTTACTCTTCTCCTGCTTCTGTTGGAGCTCAGAGAAGAGCTTTCTTGGATCTTTAGCTTGAGAATCTCATAGGGTCCCTGGAAATAAAGTCCAGAAAGGTGCTTTCTGCCAACCCAGACTGCAGCCCTCAAGCAATTAAAAACACAAAAGAAATTTTCACACAAAAATGTCTAGGTTCAGATAGTTTCACTGGTGAATTCTGTCAAGGAAGAAATAATACCAATCCTACACAAACTCTTCAAAAAAAAATGAAGAACACTTCCCAACTTACTTTTTTTTTTGAAATGGAGTCTCACTGTGTCGCCCAGGCTGGAGTGCAGTGGCACGATCTTGGCTCACTGCAACCTCTGCCTTCTGGGTTCAAGCAATTCTCCTGCTTCAGTCTCCCCGAGTAGCTGAGACTGCAGGCATGCGCCACCACGCCCAGCTAATTCTTTTTTGTATTTTTAGTAGAGATGAAGTTTCACCATGTTGGCCAGCCTAATCTCGAACTCTTGACCTCAGGTGATCTACCTGCCTCAGTCTCCCAAGGTGCTGGGATTACAGGCGTGAGTCACTGCACCCAGCCCCCCAGATTTTTTTTTGTAATGCCAGGATCATTGTGATATATGCTAGTCCACAGTCGACCTCTAGCCATTAATCAACATGACCATTTGAGTGTTTCTACCAGTTTGTGTCTCCGTGGACTCCTGCTCCAGACAGGCAGATCTTAGCTGTGATCCACTATGTGAACCTGACTCGCTGGATTTCAGGATGGTAGTTTGCTCTGTGACCTCCGTTTTCCAACAGGTCCAAAATAGGACACTAATTTTCCATATATCTAGCTTTCTCCTGTTAGAAAGATGGAAATGTTGACTTCCAAGTTCTTTTCATATCAAAGTTGAAACTGGGAACCCACATATACTTTTTAGTCCTCTAACCCAAGAAGGTAGATAATGTTACTATCCCCGTTTTACGACTTGTGAAAACTGAGTGCAGAGAGATTGGGATTTTGCCCATGATGGTGAGAGGTGAAGCCAGCTAGACTTCTGGGTCAGGTAGAGACTTGGAGGACTTTTTTGTCTTACAAGAGGATTGTAAAATGGACCAATCAGCACTCTGTAAAATGGACCAAAATGCATCAATCAGCACTCTGTAGCTAGGATTGTAAAATGCACCAATCAGCGCTCTGGCTAGCTGGAGGTTTGTAAAATGCACCAATCAGCACTCTGAAAAAATGCACCAACCAGTTCTCTGTGGCTAGCCAGAGGTTTGTAACATGGACCAATCAGCACTCTATAAAATGGACCAATCAGCGCTCTGTAAAATGGACCAATCAGCACTCTGCAAAATGGACCAATCAGCAGGACGTGGGTGGGGACAAATAAGAGAATAAAAGCTGGCAACCCCAGCCAGCAGCAGCAACCCGCTTGGGTCCTGTTTTAGGTTGTGGAAGGTTTGTTCTTTGCTCTTGCAATAAATCTTGCTGCTGCTCACTCTTTGGATCCATGCCATCTTTAAGAGCTGCAATACTCACCATGAAGGTCTGTGGCTCCATTCTTGAAGTCAGCGAGACCACAAACCCACCAGAAGCAACAGACTCCAGACACAATGGCACAATGGTCAGTGGTAGAGTCAGGCTTTAGATTAATTAAATTTATTTCCTTTTACTAAGTACCCCAAATACATTTCCTGTTTTCTATGCACTAGATTAACTGCATTAATTCTTCCTGTGGTCATTAATGCCTAGTCAATGCTGTTTTCTAGTGAGCATTAAATATAATGTTTTTAAGTCACTTAACCCAGTACCTGACACAAAGTAAGTGATCAATAAATAATGGAAGTGCTGTCTATTGCTCCTATTATATCATTTATTCCTCACAGTGACTCTAGGAGATAGAGTTCTCTGCCTGCCATTTATAGGAGAGGTACCACCTCCAGGGTCTATTAGAATTGGGCTGAGATGTACCCTAGGCATCGCAATTTTTAAAAGCTGCTCAGAAACTTCAAATGGGAAGCTAAAATGCAGAAGCACAGCTCTAAAAGGTATGTTGATCACCTCATCCCATTGGTGCCATGAGGAAGGAAGGACTAATCTTGCCAGATTTATTTATTTTTTTCCAAAACAGAAGCTGAAAATTTGAGTCACAGTGAGAAATTTCCTAACTTAAGATTGTCTCAAACCTTATTTTTAACAACACATAGAATTATGGAAGCTCAATATGGGACCGATACTTGGCAAGCAATGTATTTGAAGTTAAGTTGTGGAGAACCAGTCGGCTCCCTGATTAGAACAGTGGTTCTCAAAGCGTGGAACATGGACCAACAGCATCAGGGTCACCGGGGAGGTTGTTAGAAAGGGAAATACTCAGATCCCAGCCCAGACCCGCTGAAACAGACACTCCCACTCCGGAAGTGAGGCCCAGAGCTTGCATTTCCATCAGCCGTCTAGGTAATGCTGATGCCCACTGAAGTTTGAGAACCACTGGATTTTTTATCATGTATCATTTTATCATGTTCTTCTTGCCTCCATAGTAGTAGAGGAAACCAATGAAAGAACATAATAGTCATCACAGCATCAAACTTCAACTGAGGTACGAGTTTGTGGAAATACAGAGTTTCAGGAGAGACAGATCCTCCCCTTTAAATCCAGTTTGAAATCGAAGGCAGAGAAAGCTGTACTTTGTGGCACTTTGTTTTGTTCAGATCCCACCTCTGCTATTTGCATCTCAAAAAACCTATTAAATCAGCCCAGTGCAAGATCTGCAGGAAGCACCCTACCATTTCAGCAACTTGAACTACAAAGGGAAGGGAAGGTGCATGACTATGGTTAGAGCAGGGAAGATTATTTATGCTATAAAGGAGGTGAGCCATGGAAAGTGTTTACAAGCTGAGTCATAAAATATTTTAAAAGATAAGTGATATGGAAATGTGTATGCCAGACTCCATAGTTTCAGTATATTCATTTCTCAGGTTAAACACACACACATACACAAGATCACGCTTACACAAATACACATATGCATTCATATAAATATATGGTGTGTGTAAAATGCACGTGTGTGTGGGGGGGGAAGCATATGGAATATGCTATAAGAACTATGAGCAGTTATGTAAACTCTTCAAGACAGAAAATGTTTCAGGGTACAGAATAAGAGTGCTGACAAAATCTCAAAATCAGGCTAGCATGTGAATTGAGAGGCTTGACAAGAGCACATTGCCATTGGCTGCTTACAGCCAGAGTGCAGTATTGCATAGTAGTTGACATTGGGTGCTTTGGATTCAGACATCCAGGATTTACCTCTTGCTTCTCTTTGAAGGGTATTTGAGTTTGGAACAGGTAACTTAACTACGTCATTGGTAAAACTAGACTAATATGAAGTTTTTGAAACTGTGTGTGTGTGTGTTTGTGTGTTTATGTGTTCATGGTAGCAGCCACTAGTTAGCACTTACAGGGAAAAAAACTTACTGAGTGCCTGTATATCAGACACGGTGCTAAGCATTGGGGATACTGCTTGCAATCGCTTATTCAGGAAAGACAGAGGCTAGGCAAAGCATTATAGGTATACAGAGTGTTTTTAAAAAGTGAGGCTGCTGTGGGATTGCAATAGGAAAATAAATCAGAGTCTGAAAGTGACTTAAACCTTAGCAAACAGTATTGGAAGGTAAATGAGAAATGCTAGGTGAGTTGCTCTCTACCTTTGGTGAGTGGCAGAATCTCCTGGAATATTTGTTAGAAATGCAAAGGACTGACTTCCTGCAGTGCAAGTGCCCACACCTCCAGCTGCTAACTCCTGACAATGACTCATCTAAGAAGGCAACAGGATTATTGAGGTGTTGGAGCTGATAAGAATCTTAGCTGTGGTGGTGGGTACACAAACCTACTCAGATGAAAACATTCTAGATCATGAAACACACATGCACACATACACGTTAGGACAAATACAACTGGAAAAATCTGAATAAGAGCTTAAAAAGGAATCCTGTGGGCAGATCTTCTTCCTGGAGATTTGGGAGTTAGAGTGGAGTGGAGATGGGGTATCATATTTTTTAATATCCCAGGTCATTCTAATATTGATCCAGAGTTGAGAGCCATTGTGAAGAGTAATGGAAAGCCACAGTAAGGTTTAACCAGGGATGTGGCTTGATCACATTTTCGTTTGAACATCACTCTGGGTATAATGAGAAAATGGAATACAGAGCAAGAACAAGGAAGGAACTAGGAGGCCATTAAGGTAATCCAGGGAGTGCTGATGTCTTGCAAAAGCAAAATGAGGGTAGGGATAGATACGTGGTTTTTAAATTTTATGACTGACACGATCTAGTAATTGACTGGCATAAGACTGCAGAAGAAGAGTTTTTGAGACCCACGTGTTCTGACACTCCAGAGGAGACTGGAAGTTAAAGGAGAACGATTCTGAAGTTAAAAGTGAAGCTTAATTAATCAATGAGAAACAGAATCAAAAAAACTCATTTGAGTCTGTGACTTGCAAAGTCCAGAATCAAAGGAAAGGGACAAGGATGCGCCACTGAGGCCTGAACTCTACAGCCAGAGGCCAAGACAAGTGTTTTAGGGGACTTAGAATGTGACTAGGGAGTCTTGATCCTATAGCTTTCCCTAAAATCAACAAGAAGAGGACACAGCATGGTGAAAATACTCTATTAGTGTGGCTTCTTAAGAGGTATGGTGCCCAGAGGAATGGAAGGAGGATAAATTAGAAGAGGGAAACTGAAAGTAATGAGAACTGCAAGGAGGATGATTATAATAGCAAGGTGTGGAGTCATTACAGGCCAGAATTAGAGGGATAGCAGTGACTGGAAGGAAGGGGGTAATTACAAGTGGAATTATAAGGGAAAAATCAACAGGACCAGATGGCTGATTGAAAGTGGGGAGCCATAGGAAGGAGGCCAAGAGCCAAAAGGACATAGAACCATGGCAAGAGCACAGAAAAACAGGAAGCAGGGTAGGAGTAGGTTTGGTAGGACAATAGAAGAGTTTGGTTTGTGATGTGTTAGTTGGAGGTGATGGTGGGGGAGAGACATGGAAGTGCCCATTCAGGATGACAGCTAGAGAGAGGAGGCATGGGGTGGTGGCTAAAGGGTGTCCTCAGGGCAATGGCCAAGCACAAGAAGCGCCCAGGTTGAACACGGTGTTTGCTCCTTGTATTCAGTGTTGGTGTAGCACAACATGAACTAGAGGAGGCTCGATTCACCAAGGTTAACAAAGATGAGGCTTTGCTAGCAGACTTCTGAGCAGTTGCAGGATGGCAGATGCTGAGGCAAACAAAATCAGAGGTGGTCATTTGCAGTGGAGGTCTTCCATGAATACATTAGGGCAAAGGCCGAAGAACTCCGGATACCCATTAGAAGTGGCAGGGGAGGGGGCTGGCTTACGCTGCTTCTGCTACCCACCCTTACTCATTACTGCAAATCACAAGTTTTGGTGTTCAAGTTCAGGGGTTGACAGAGGACTGCCGATATGCCAAATCCAGCTCACCCTGTGTTTTTGGTAAATTGTTCTTGGAACACAGCTGTGCCTGCTCATTTACATATTGTGTGTGGCTACTTTTATGCTACAATAGAAGTTGAAGAGAGGTGACAGAGACCATATTAGCCACAAAACCTAAAACATTTACTATCTGGCCCTTTGTGGAAGATGTTTGCTAGCCTCTCCTCTAGTTCATTGGTGTCCCCTCCAGTATGTGGCTTAGAGAGTCTTCAACATTACCAATCACCTCCGCCATCAGTTACCCCAGTACTATATTCATCTGTTCATTCCTGCCCACCAGATTATTTGCCTATATTAAGGATGTCCAATCTTTTGGCTTTCCTGGGCCACGCTGGAAGAAGAATTGTCTTGGGCCATACATAAAATACATTAACAGTAGCTGATGAGCTAAAAAAAAAAAAAAAAAAAACTGGTCAAGAAATCTCATATTGTTTTAAGAAAGTTTACGAATTTGTGTTAGGCCACATTCAAAGCTGTCCCAGGCTGCATATGGCCTGTGGGCCATGGGTTGAACAACCTTCTTGTATACAATCTTATTTAAAATTTTATGCAGACTAAGTCCCTCAACCTGTGTGCATGGAACAAGTGGCTGCCCCTCAGCCTTCACTCGTGTTTTCCCTACTTGGGTGGGATTGATCCTGTGACCTTTCCATTGTTACTAATTTAGAGTCAGCTCTTTTTTTTTATTATTAGACTTTAAGTTTTAGGGTACATGTGCACACCTGCAGTTTTGGTACGTATGTATACATGTGCCATGTTGGTGTGTTGCACCAATTAACTCATCATTTAACATGAGGTATATCTCCTAAGGCTATCCCTAGCCCCTCCCCCCACCCCACAACAGGCCCCCATGTGTGATGTTCCCCTTCCTGTGCCCGTGTGTTCTCATTGTTCAATTCCCACCTATGAGTGAGAACATGCGGTGTTTGGTTTTTTGTCCTTGCGATAGTTTGCTGAGAATGATGATTTCCAGCTTCATCCATGTCCCTACAAAGGACATGAACTCATCCTTCTTTATGGCTGCATAGTATGCCACGGTGTATGTATGCCACATTTTCTTAATGCAGTCTATCATTGTTGGACATTTGGGTTGGTTCCAAGTCTTTGCTATTGTGAATAGTGCCGCAATAAACATAACATGTGCATGTGTCTTTATAGCAGCATGATTTATAATCCTTTGGGTATATACCCAGTAATGGGATGGCTGGGTCAAATGGT
This sequence comes from Homo sapiens, assembly GCF_000001405.40. Taxonomy (NCBI): domain Eukaryota; kingdom Metazoa; phylum Chordata; class Mammalia; order Primates; family Hominidae; genus Homo; species Homo sapiens. The sequence continues at coordinate 7,785,155 of NC_000003.12, read as the reverse complement.
ATTTCTAGTTCTAGATCCCTCAGGAATCGCCACACTGACTTCCACAATGGTTGAACTAGTTTACAGTCCCACCAACAGTGTCAAAGTGTTCCTATTTCCCCACATCCTCTCCAGCACCTGTTGTTTCCTGACTGTTTAATGATCACCATTCTAACTGGTGTGAGATGGTATCTCATTGTGGTTTTGATTTGCATTTCTCTGATGGCCAGTGATGATGAGCATTTTTTCATGTGTCCTTTGGCTGCATAAATGTCTTCTTTTGAGAAGTGCCTGTTCATATCCTTTGCCCACTTTTTGATGGGGTTGTTTGTTTTTTTCTTGTAAATTTGTTTGAGTTCATTGTAGATTCTGGATATTAGCCCTTTGTCAGATGAGTAGATTGCAAAAATTTTCTCCCATTCTCTAGGTTGCCTGTTCACTCTGATGGTAGTTTCTTTTGCTGTGCAGAAGCTCTTTCATTTAATTAGATCCCATTTGTCAATTTTGTCTTCTGTTGCCATTGCTTTTGGTGTTTTAGACATGAAGTCCTTGCCCATGCCTATGTCCTGAATGGTATTGCCTAGGTTTTCTTCTAGGGTTTTTATGGTTTTAGGTCTAACATTTAAGTCTTTAATCCATATTGAATTAATTTTTGTATAAGGTGTAAGTAAGGGATCCAGTTTCAGCGTTCTACATATGACTAGCCAGTTTTCCTAGCACCATTTATTAAATAGGGAATCCTTTTCCCATTTCTTGTTTTTGTCAGGTTTGTCAAAGATCAGATAGTTGTAGATATTTGGCATTATTTCTGAGGGCTCTGTTCTGTTCCATTGGTCTATATCTCTGTTTTGGTCCCAGTACCATGCTGTTTTGGTTACTGTAGCCTTGTTGTATAGTTTGAAGTCAGGTAGCGTGATGCCTCCAGCTTTGTTCTTTTGGCTTAGGATTGACTTGGCAATGCGGGCTCTTTTTTGGTTCCATGTGAACTTTAAAGTAGTTTTTTTCCAATTCTGTGAAGAAAGTCATTGGTGGCTTTATGGGGATGGCATTGAATCTATAAATTACCTTGGGCCGTATGGCCGTTTTCACGGTATTGATTCTTCCTACCCATGAGCATGGAATGTTGTTCTACTTGTAACCTCTTTTATTTCATTGAGCAGTGGCTTGTAGTTCTCCTTGAAGAGGTCCTTCACATCCCTTGTAAGTTGGATTCCTAGGTATTTTATTCTCTTTGAAGCAATTGTGAATGGGAATTCACTCATGATTTGGCTCTCTGTGTGTCTGTTATTGGTGTATAAGAATGCTTGTGATTTTTGCACATTGATTTTGTATTCTGAGACTTTGCTGAAGTTGCTTATCAGCTTAAGGAGATTTTGGGCTGAGATGATGGGGTTTTCTAGATATACAATCATGTCGTCTGCAAACAGGGACAATTTGACTTCCTCTTTTCCTAATTGCATACCCTTTATTTCCTTCTCCTGCCTAATTGCCCTGGCCAGAACTTCCAACACTGTGTTGAATAGGAGTGGTGAGAGAGGGCATCCCTGTCTTGTGCCAGTTTTCAAAGGGAATGCTTCCAGTTTTTGCCCATTCAGTATGATATTGGCTGTGGGTTTGTTATAGATAGCTCTTATTATTTTGAGATACGTCCCATCAATACGTAATTTATTAAGAGTTTTCAGCATGAAGGGTTGTTGAATTTTGTCAAAGGCCTTCAAGACTAATAAAGAAGAAAAGACAGAAGAATCAAATAGATGCAATAAAAAATGATAAAGGTTATATCACCACTGATCCCACAGAAATACAAACTACCATCAGAGAATATTATAAATACCTCTATGCAAATAAACTAGAAAATCTAGAAGAAATGGATAAATTCCTCGACACATACACCCTCCCAAGACTAAACCAGGAAGAATTTGAATCTCTGAATAGACCAATAACAGGCTCTGAAATTGAGGCAATAATTAATAGCTTACCAACCAAAAAAAGTCAGGACCAGACAGATTCACAGCCAAATTCTACCAGAGGTACAAGGAGGAGCTGGTCCCACTTCTTCTGAAACTATTCCAATCAACAGAAAAAGAGGGAATCCTCCCTAACTCATTTTATGAGGCCAGCATCATCCTGATACCAAAGCCTGACAGAGACACAACAAAAGAGAATTTTAGACCAATATCCCTGATGAACATCGATGCAAAAATCCTCAATAAAATACTGTGAAACCAAATCCAGCAGCACATCAAAAAGCTTATCCACCATGATCAAGTGGGCTTCATTCCTGGGATGCAAGGCTGGTTCATCATACGCAAATCAATAATGCTAATCCAGCATATAAACAGAGCCAAAGACAAAAACCACATGATTATCTCAATAGAGTCAGCTCTTGACGCTTCAGGGTGAAGTTCTGTTTGAGGAGAGTAGAGAAACATTCTCTCTTCCCATGTATGTGCATATCAAAGGGTTTAGCCCCAGGAGCTGCTGAGAGAGCCCAGACTGAGAAGTGGGGAGGAAAGCACCAAAAGAATGTTAGGGAGATGGAGCCATGATTCCTAAACCATCAGAAACCTCAGATCAACCTGAATCCTGCCCAGCCTCTGGGCTTCATGGTTTTGGTTATGTGAACAAATAACATCCTTCATCATTTCATTCAGTTTGGACTGGGTATCCAGCAACAGGCCACATAATATTGAAACCACCTTTGCAAAATTATAACTGACAAAGTTATGACAGTGAAAGAAATCAGACCTAACCAACTCCATTTTGCTTCTAACCTTAAACTGTCCTTGTTTATTACCGGACATAGGCCGAACTAACTTTGGGAAGGAAATCAGTTTATGGTTTGACTCTGAAAGAAAATTGGTAAGAGTCCTTTCCTGAAAAGACCCCCTTCTTGCCTGGGGACGTGTCTGCCTTTGCAGGACTAACAAATTAGCTACAAGATTAGAAATTACAGTTTAGGGGTCATGGAGCCTCTGGCTCCAAGTGTCTGAACCTTCCCAAATTTCTCCTAGAGATAACATCACTATTGTAAAACCTAAGATCAGTGCTTGAGATAGTTTGCAGACCCTGCACTCAATGGATCAGCTGACACCACCCAGACCAGTAATCTGGCTCAATCATTTATGCCATCCCACCCAGAAACAGAAGATAGCAAGAAAAACTCACTTTGACCCCCTCTATGATTCCATCTCCAGCCTGATCAGTCAGTACTCTCTGCTTCCCAAGCCCCTACCCACCAATGTGTCTTTAAAAACTCTGATGCCCAAATACTCAGGAGACTGATTTGAGTAATAATAAAACTCCGGTCTCCTGCACAGCCGGTTCTGTGTGAATTACTGTTTCTCCCTTGCAATTCCCCTGTGTTGATAAATCAGCTCTGTCTAGGCAGTGGGCAAAGTGAACCCACTGGGCAGTTAAAATGAGTCTTAAATGACTAACATGGAAACATCTAACATAGATACATCTCAGTTTACCTTAGTGATGCCACTGGGGGAGCCCCATCCCCTCACCAGTGCCTAGTGGGGGATCTCGTAAGAGCCCTCCTCACAGTGCTTTTCCTGGGCTCAGCCCTCTACCAGCTGCTTTGGCCTCCATCCGTGCATGTCGCTCAGAATTGCTTGTGGCCTCTGTGCCACAGTGGGGTTTATTTTGGTCAATGCATGGATGTTCCTCCTGCAGATTGGTCTTATTGGACAGCTTAGCAACAGCCTTCACTGTTCAGGTACTTGGTCCTTTCGTCCAATTAAAATATCTTTGGTAAGTATCCTTTGGTTCTAAGGAGCAGCAACTGACACTGGCAGTTTTCAGGAAACAGAAAGGCTTTATTATGGAAGGATACTGGGTAGCTCATATGATGGACAGAAAAGCTGGATCATCACTACAGCTTGGAAAGGGCAGGATTCTGGAAGCTCTCAAGAATTAGTAAGCAAGAATTAAAGACATACTATTTAGGATCCAGATGTTGAAGCCACCCCAGCCTTCTTGTTCCCTTGTGTGTCTGCTCAAAATTCAAACTCCCAAAGGAAGAGAGGCCTTGGGTTACATATGAAGGCAGAGCTTTGATGGATAAACTCTCCTAAATCGTTTGTAGTGGAGGAAGGATGGTTAGCCAAAAGAAATTTTGCCATGACTACCAAAAGAAGGGAGGAGGAGGATGCACAGGAAAAGAACTGTCGGTAATAAAACTCTGCCTGATTGCACAGGGGCCACGTTCAGGGACACTTTGGTCACTTAAATCAGCATTTCTCAAACTTTAATATGCCTCAGGATGTCCTGGAGGGCTCATCACAACACAGATGCCTGGGCTTCTCACTTCCATTCTGATGCAGTTGCCCTGGGGTGAGAGCCTGAGATTCTGCATTTCTAGAAATTTATTAAAATGATACTGATATGGCTAGTCAGAGGCGCAGACTTTGAGACTCACTGTCTTGTACACATTGTATTCTTTTTCAGAATTTTAGTTAAAAAAACTTCCTAGGAATAATGCATCAGTGTTTGTGCTTGGAAGAAATTTAAGCTCTCTTCCTTGTTGTAGCTAAACAGTTTTTAACTCCATCTTTTACTTGTTAGTGGTAGTGGGTGGGTGTCTTTTAAATTTTCTTGGACTATACCTCACCTAATCTTTTTGAGAAGATGCCTTTGTTTTTACTCAGCTTTAAGGTCCGTGTCAAAACCTATGATGAAAATCAAGTCCTCGGGTGTGTTGAAGTCTATCCATTTTGACAGCTACAGTCAAACTCCAAATAACTTCAGAGGACTGAGGGAATTTGTTCCTGAAAATAGTTTGGCAGGTGCTTATTCTCTTGAAAAAAAAAGTCTTAACGTCTGAAAAATATCTCTTAACCATACAGATTATTTGCCATTGCTCATAGAAAGAGGGAAAGTAAGTTAATTTGAAAGTGCTGCAAATTTTAGTGAATCTCTAATAGATTGCTTGATTATAGAAGATATTTATGGCGCAGGAAGGATTGCTGAAGGTGCTCTGGTGACATCATCTTTTTAAAGATAATGTCCAGAGAGGGAAAGTAACTTGTGTTAGTTTGTTTTGCATTGCTATAAATTACCTGACTGGATAATTTATAAAGAAAAGTGGTTTACTTGGCTCAGGGTTCTGCAGGCTACCCAGGAAGCATGATGCTGGCATGTGCTTCTGATGAGGTCTCAGGAAGCATACAGTCACAGCAGAAGGCTGGAGAACAGCAGACATGTCACATGGTGAGAATGGAAGGAAAAAGGAGAGTGGAAGGTGCCGGGCTGCTTTAAACAACCAGCTGTCACCTGAACCCACAGAGCAAGAACTCACTCGTTACCACGGGGAGTGCACCAAGCTATTTATGAAGGATCCACCCGCCATGACCTTAATACTTCCCACCAGGTCCCACCTTTAACATTGGGGAATCACATTTCAACATGAGGTTCGGTGGGGCAAATATCTAGACAACATCATAACTTGACCAAAGATCACAGTAAAGGTCAGAAGTACAACAGGATTTCACATCCCTGGTTCCCAGCTTTGACGATGATGGTGGAACAACAACGGTGGTGTGATCACTGTCGCCACTATTAGCATTCTTATGGGGCACAATAGCAGTGGTAGTTCTGCTCTGAGTCATTTCTGACATCAGCCTGTGGAGTCAGCATTACTATGCCATTTTACTAACGAGGACATAGAGAAGCAAAGAGAAACTTGCCCCCAGATTACAAACATCAAGGAGATGGGATCCAAATTAAAGTTCATCAGCCTCCAAAATTTGTTTCCTGTATTTCTACACAATCCCTGATGAATTTGGCTAATTGTATGAACCATATCTTATTGTAGTAATATAATGGCTTATAATGTGGTGACATTTTTTTCTCCTCTGAACAAAATAAAGTGACATTTTAAAACCAAATAACAAGAATTGGCCTCTGCAGGATAATCACATCACATTGGCATATTTACTTTTAAAAGTAAATTATGTTTTATGGTGGTTGTTAAGTTAATGAAATTATCATACTACCAACTAAGTGGATTTTATTATCATAGGCTTTGCGCAGGGCACCTGAGCCTTGACTGGTGCCCAAGGAAATAACTGATTGCCAAGAGGGAATTTGAGCCCTGAGGCCTGAGTCGCCTCAGTAGCTGGATGCTTGCATGCAACTGGTGCTAATTACCTCATTCAAGCAGGTGTTCTGTGTTGCTTTTAAACTTTCTAGCTCGGTATTTTAATTCAGGGAATTTCCATCTTTATATTACTTCACCGTCATATAGGAATGCTTTACATATATACATATATATATGTATATATGTATATATGTGTGTATATATATATGTATATATGTATATATGTGTATATATATATATGTGTATATATATATATATGTATATATGTATATATATATATATATTTCTATGTGAGGCCAGTGCTGAGAAACACCATAAAGGATGTTTTAGGCTGGGCGTGGTGGCTCATGCCTGTAATCCCAGCACTTTGGGAGTCTGAGGTGGGCAGATCACGAGGTCAGGAGTTCGATACCAGTCTGGCCAACATAATGAAACCCTGTCTCTACTAAAAATACAAAAAATTAGCCAGGTGTTGTGGTGTGCACCTGTAATCCCAGCTACTCAAGAGGCTGAGGCAGGAGGATCACTTGAACCCTGGAGGCGGAGGTTGCAGTGAGCCAAGATTGTGCCACTGCACTCCAGCCTGGGTGACAGAGCGAGACTCTGTCTCAAAAAAAAAAAAAAATGCTTTTAGCAATGACATATTTGAAGTCCTGCGCCCTGGATTATGGTCCTGTTGGCAGCAGGCAAGTTAACAGTTTCTTACTTGAATAAGCAGCTGGGGAATTTAACATATTGTCGTGAAGTTTTTATTTCCCCCTCTGTGCATCCATTTCTATTTTTTCTTATCACCCGGTCCACATTCACTTGACCATCTTTAGGAAAAAGGACTACATAGTATAGATTGGGAATGTAAAGTAGACACAGTCAGACGGTAGTTATTGGGTGGGGGAACCCCAGGAAAGTTAAAACATTGTTTCTTAATTTGTTGGAGAGCAGCTGCTTCTAAATTACTAGGAGCCCTGGTTAAATTGCAGATTCCTGGGCTCTACTCCAGATTTACTAAATTAGAATTTCTAGGAAGGGGGCCTGGGGAGCTATATTTTTTAAATGCTGTAAAGGTAGTTCTTATACATACTAAGTTGTGAGAATGGAATATAGCAAGACATAAGTTTCTATTGCTGTGTGCATGTTCCTATGTTGAAAGAGGGAAAGTAAGAAAAGCACACAGGTATATTCAGCTCACAAAATGTTCCATTCATATGTATCATGTGTTATGTATTTGCACATACACATTACTCACACATGCATCTGCATGCATACACAAGTGTGTATTTATATCTATGTATAGATATACACACTTTTTTTTTTTTTTTTTTGAAACAGTCTCACTCTGTTGCTCAGGCTGGAGTGCAATGGTGTGATTTCGGCTCACTGCAACCTCTGCCTCCTGGCTTCAAGTGATTCTCCTGCCTCAGCCTCCCAAGTAGCTGGAATTACAGGCATCCGCCACCACGCCTGGCTAATTTTTGTATTTTTAGTAGAGATGGGGTTTCACCATGTTGGCCAGCTGGTCTCTAACTCCTGACCTCAGGTGATCCACCCGCCTTGGCCTCCCAAAGTGCTGGGATTACAGGTGTGAGCCACTGCGTCCGGCCACAACTATCTTTTCAAAAGGCCTCACCTCATTGCATCACCACATATATATATAGTTCTCTACTTCCTTTTCATTATTTGAGATTATTTTGTTTTTTTTTCCTGACTTGCTCTATAAGGATATAAAGGTATTAAGGATAGTCTCTAGCTTGTTTGCTGATAAACTTCCAGTGCCTAAAACAGTGTCTGGCTGATAGCAGACACTCAGAAAATACTTATTGAATCAATAAATGCTTTCATTTAGGCATCCCTGGCAGATTCAGCTTCCTAATTCTGTATTCATGTGGCTTACATTGAATTTACTCATGTGGGGTCTATAATGGGAGCTAATGGGAGGTTTTCATCTAGTATGCATATTGGGTTGCTAAGAAATGCCAGTTTGGAAGCCAGGTGTGGTGGTGCACACCTGTAGTCCGAGCTACTTAGGAGGTTGAGGCGGGAAGATTACTTGAGTCCAGGAGTTTAAGGCTGCGGTGAGCTTTGATCGCGCCACTGCACTCCAGTCTGGGAGACAGGGTGAGATCCTGTCTCAAAGAATGTGTATGTGTGTGTATATATGATATATGATATATGATATATATATATATATATATATATAAAATATAATACCTATATAAAAGAAATGCCACTTTGGGAAACGAAGTAGGCTACCCTCAATGCACAAAGTCTTAACTGAAACATATGTGCTTACCTAGTATCCCAAGTGGGTCCTGCCGTATTTTGTTTTAATCCCAAATTCTGCTGCATTGGCTTCTGTTGATTTTTCAGAGGTTGAGAAAATGTTTAAAAGATGTTAAATCCAGAGCTTTATGTGTTCCAAGAAACTCATTGTCAGTGATACTATGTCCAAATATTATATTATTTGTTTTCTGTGCATTGAGCAGAAAATCTCATGGCATGGCTTATCCTTGGCAAGTACATTAAATACTGGTCTGATTAAGCCCTTTTCTGCTGGCTACACATGTCTGACAGTGTGTCTCTTCTCTGGGATACATGACTCTCTCGCCTTCTCTTCCCAATCTTTCTTCTTCCAGACCTGAGATAGTATAATGGTTGAGGACCTGCACTTTACTTTGGAAGCTGATTTCCAGAGTTGACATAGGCATTCCACTGCTTACTCTCTGACCTCAGGCAAATGACTTAGCATTTCTGTGCTCCAGTGGGGTAAGAGTACCTACCTTATACGAATATTATAAAAATAATCTAATATATGTAAATCTCCTGAACTAGAGACTAGGAATATAGTAAATACTATGTAAGTATTAACTGGTGATATTATTTTTATTGACATTCCTTATCAGTCTTATTCCTGGAGAATAATTTGGTCAGAATTGGAAAATCAATCTTAGAATCTAAAGTTGATGATCACATTCCTATAGTGGGGCCATTAATCATGATTAATTTTAATAGTGATAATAATTACATTTGCTGTCTGCTTATCCTCTAATAGACTGGGGGCTGAAGTGCTTTATATTTCTACCTACTTGATCCTTTTCACAATCCCCTGAGGTAGGCAGGATTCTTGTTCTTTTACATATGAGACAGTCAAGGCTCAGATGGGCTAAAGAACCTTGTCCAAGTTCACCCAGACAGTAAGACAGGATTCCGACCTAGGCAGTCTGACTCAATACACCACCCAATCCTACCTACTTCTGACTACCCATAATGGAAATAAAATATATTAAGGTAGAAACTACCTCACATAAGAGACCCGTCTTACTGACGATTCTGTTTCTGTAGAATGCTGATTGTTTACCTTTACATAGGACTTTGCAGTTTGTGAAATGTTTCCCCATGTGCAATGTCATTTACTCCAGTCCTCACAGCAGTATAGGAAGTAAATGAGTCCACATTTTCAAAACAGAAGGAACTGAGGGCGGGAGAAACTCAGTCACTTAATTCCCCAGCCAGCAAGTGATAACATTTTGACCGTCATCTGGAGGCCCTACCTCCAAGCCCTGCCCTCCTTTGATGATGATGTGCTATGCTAATATGCTACCCGTGGCTATTTTATTTGAATTTCTTTTCCAATCTGTGAGATCAGGAGCATATGCTGGAATACAGTTTTATAATTAGGACAGCAGGCATTCTTAAAATGCATATAGGCTTAAAATATCACTCTAGAGGGGGGTTTAACCTACTGAGAAGTACAAAATATTTTGAGATACTTTAGATAACATGTTGTCTTTATCTAGCTAGCATTTTATAGAGGTCCATTTTAAAATCTGTTAATGAAGTAAAATCATTAACTAGCTCCTAAGTCTATTTCTTGGTTGTCACAGTCTAATTTCGTATGCTGCAAAGACATGTTTTCTCAAAGGCTGGTTAAAATAGACTTTAGGTGGGAAAAAATTAAGATAACTTGTTAGGATATGGTACTAAACACATTTCTTAGTATCTTTAAGAGCCTTTCCTACGTTAACGTGTGCTATGATGCTCTAGGAAGAAAATGTATGGCCTCACAAGTTTACTAGACCATAAAAATCCCTAGGATGGGGATTGGCAAACTGTAGTGTGTGGGCCAAATCCAGTCTGATGCCTGTTTTTGTTTAGTCTGTGAGCTGAACAAAATAACTTTATTATCTAATCAGTTTAGTTAAACAAACAATATACAACAGACTGTATATGGTCAATAAAACCTAGCATATGTACTGTGTGGCCTTTCATTGAAAAAGTGTGTCAAACTGAACTCTATCCTGGAATGACAATATCATCACCGTTGCCCCCATCATGCTAGTTAGACTCTAAAGTGGCCATCCATCCACCCTCTCTTAAACATGCATGTGAATCTTCCATCAACAGGTGGTGGCTATCCTCTCACCCCTTCAATCTGGGCTGGCCTGTATGTTCTTTGACAAAGTAGAAGAGTGACACTGTGGCAGTTTTGGATGTAGCCATAAAGAAACTACAGTTTTCACCTTGGTTTGTTGTCATTCTTAGTCACCATGTGAAAATGTCACTTGGCCAAGAGCAGCTAAAATCTACTTAGGCAACAGAAAGCCCTGGTACAATACAATTTGATTAACTCTGCTACATATCTGCTATTTTATATCTTTTAACCTATATCTCCCCATTTCCTCTCCCTGCCCTCTACCTATAGTAACCACCATTTCATTCTCTGTGAATTTGAGCTTTCTAAAAAATATTCTTGTTGCAAAAAATAAGTAACTATGTAAGATGATAAATGTGTTAATCTGTTTCACTCTAGTAACCATTTTACTATATGTGTGTATATATACATAACATTATGTTACAAACTTCAATTATACACAATAGTTTTTTAAGGCTATTGGAGAGGGAGAATAGCCTGGACCAACCCAGCCTTCCAGCCATTCCCGTCAATGTACCACCTGTATTAGTGAAACTAGCCTAGACCTTAAAGACCAGTGCAGATGCCAAAAGGTATCACCCAACTGGTCCTGCCTGAACAGACCTCCACGATTGTGAGATATGATAAATAAGTTGATATTTAAAGATACTAAGTTTGGGCATAATTTATTACATAGCAATAATTGAAGCAATCCTTATGTTCCTTCTCATCATTGGCTTCATCATCATTTTGCAGAGAATCTCTAGGGCTAGTATCCGATGGCACTCACTTTGAGAAAAATCTGATTTTGAGAGTACAGTGGTGCTGTCTTCAAAATTTGGTGTTTTTATTAATTTACATAGACTATTCCATGAAAGGTCTAAATTGGTGTAGGTTGGCCTAGTAATAGTCATTTTGTCAAATACCATCTTATGCAGGGGACTGTGTCAGATGTGATACACCTGCAGAGATAAGATAGCAGCCCAAACATCTGAACCCCTTCATCTCATATCTCCAACCATTTCTTATATCCTCAAAGTGGAGGATTTCAAAAAGTGAAACCTCTGCTATCTAGCTGTAGTACAATCTCTTTAGGGGGTTACAAGATCACAACATCAGGAGAAAAAAGGTCTCTACATATGCACCAAAGCCCAGCACATTACAGATGTTCAATGATAGTATCATGTGGAGGTTAATTTCAAATTCAGAAAAGCATCTTCCTTCACTCCTAGATGGTTGATATTTTCTCCCATAGCTGACAATTCTGCTACATAAGCCCTGCATAAGCCACAAGGTACGCTGATGGCTTGCTTCAGCTTGTCACACTCCTGATTACAAATCTTTAGCATCCCCACTGTTGGAGAACCTCTCATTTCTCCAGCTGTGCACATGTGCCCCCTACAATCTAGCCGCAGCTTATTTCCCCATCTGCTGCCTAAAAAGTGTCATTGAATTTTTTATTATTCCTAAAATGCACCATGTCCTCTCATAACTCCATGGCTTTGCACATGCTATTCCCTCTTCCCCGAATGCAGGTCCTGCTTTACCACCTAATCTATGTCTTCTCACCAAGGCACTACCATCTCCTACTCCATCTTGAAAGTTTTTCAGACTCCCCTGGGGGAAGTCTGTCTAGCTATTTATGTATACCTCTGTTATACTTCTGTTACAGTGTTTACCACAGTTGGTTAAACTTTATTTTCCAGATGTAAACTTTGCTTTTCTAGGCTCTAATTTTTTTTATCTGTGAAATGGGTATCCTATGACTTGCCTGCAGGCTTGTTGTGAGAATTAAACCTGATGTAATATATATTTAAGCACCTAGCAACTGCTAAGGAAAAGGCCCTTTATAAATCTTTGCTGTCTTTACTTTCTATTTATGGATGACAATCTTTCCCTTCCCCACCTCCTCCATCACACTCTGAGCTGCTCCGGAGTAGGCAAGACACCTTTGGTATTGTCCTATCCATAGTGCCTGGCAAAGACCACGTGCTTGGTAGGTAGGTGTTGAATGTATTGTCCCTTCTAGTCTTTTTACTTATCCTGACTGGTTACTGTATTTTGTTTAGGACAGCCAGCTACTTGTGGAGGAAAGTATTTAAAGAGGAAAAAAAAAAAAACCCACACTAAGTGCCTTCCATTTAGTTTGGGGGCATTATAATATAGGGAAAACACCGTGGCAGATGTGGTCATTTGTCCTTCACCATTGGTGGCAACCATGCACAACACCATTTTGGCTGTAAGTTTTTTCCTGTTGGAGGGTCAAAGACAAATCTGGGCTCAGTCCGAATTCCCAAAAATGATTCAGTGCACTCCTTACATTGGAAAAGCAACTGTGAAGACATTTGACACTCACATTGTTTGCAGGAGTCCAATTGAAGGATCTTCATTGTGATTTATCCTTTCTTGTTGTATCACTCCTTCCTACACAGGGTATATATTAGAACAATAGATGGAGGTTCAGCTTCATTTAGATGTTCTTGCCTTCCCTACTAATTGATTTTGAACTTTGTCTGGTTTCTTAATGTAACTTATTGTAAATTCAGCTGAGGTTTTAATCATGAAATTTTGTTCTTCATTGTCTTGTGAAATGACTTGGAACAAACACCAGGAGAGTCACCTGGTGCCAGTTGGCTCTGTGGGCAGAAGGCAGATAGTTAGCCTGGGCTTTCTGGTCCCTCAGCATCCTTCGGAGTAGATGGGTGGTTGGGCTGGAGAGCAGGGGGGTGAGTCAGGTGGCTGTGCAAAAGCAGAAGGACCTACTCTTTGTTGCTTTCCCTTTTCTCACAGGGCCAGAGACAAAATTGTTTGAACTCCAAGCAGCCTCAGCTTAGGTGGCATAAGTGTAAGTCAGCGCTAGGAGACACCAGCAGCAAAGCACCAGGAAACCTGGGCCAAAGTATTCTGCAGCAGGGAGACCCATTAAAGCAAGATGGATGCTTGAGGGGCTGCAGTCCCACGAGAAGTTGAATGTGGCCATGGCCCCTCCAGTTAAGGTAGGGTAGCGAACATCCCAAAGAGCTTGTTGCCAAGGATCTCAGAGAAGGGACCTGGGGTCATTCACTGGAGAATCCTGTTTGTCTCCATATGAATTTCTGTTGTTGTACTCCTCCATTTGTATATATAAATCCAAAACAAGTGAGTCTCTAAAAATCTGATCCTGTAAACACTTTCCACAAGAGCCAGAGTTTAAATAGCTTGTATACAGGTGAATACAAGTGAGAATTTTAATATTTTAAAGCTGAACAGGTACCACAAAGGGTAGGTGTAATGGAGATGAATTTGCAGGAGAAACTCCAATTTTTAAAGTCCTCTCTCCAATTTTCTTGTTTTTAGATTTCACTGTCCATGGTTATTGTATTGCCTTCAATTTCTATGATGTTGACAGGATAGTTAATCAATATGGATTTCTGAGTTCATATATTATAAAGTAGGATATTATTTGTAGTAGTAGAGCATATACAGTTACATCACTTACTGACATCTGTAACTAAGCTAAGGCACTGTCAGGAAAAGAGTGTTAACTGTAAATGTAGTACCCAGGAGCAGAAGGGATTGGTGCTTGGCCCATGTTCTCTGGGCCCTGGCATCATAGTTGTGATGGTTAATATTGAGTGTCAACTTGATTAGATTGAAGGATGCAAAGTACTGTTCTTGAGTACGTCTGTGAGGGTGTTGCCAAAGGAGATTAACATTTGAGTCAGTGGACAGGGAGAGGCAGACCCACCCTCAATATGGGTGGTCACCATGTAATCACCTGCCAGCATGGCTAGAATAAAGTAGGCAGAGGAACGTGGAAAGAGCAGACTCACTGAGTCATCTGGCCATCATCTTTCTCCCATGCTGGATGCTTCCTGCCCTCAAACATCGGACTGCAAGTTCTTCAGCTGTTGGACACTTGAACTCACACCAGTGGTTTCCCAGGGGCTCTCAGGCCTTCAGCCACAGACTGAAGGCTGCACTGTTGGCTTCCCTATTTTTGAGGTTTTGGGACTCGAACTGGCTTCCTTGCTCCTCAGCTTGCAGACGGCCTATTGTGGGACGTCACCTTGTGATCATGTGAGTCAATTCTCCTAATAAACTCTCCTTCTTGTATACATCTATCCTATTAGTTCTGTCCCTCTAGAGTACCCTGACTAATACAATAGTGTTTTCTGCCTAACTTCAACTTCATATGTCAGCATCTGCTTCTCTGCATAAAGAATTTTTTTCTACTGGGCAAGCCCATTCTGCGTCTGTGCATGGCAGACTGACGCAGTAGAAAATTAATGCGTCCTAAGAGAAGCTCTCAATAAATAAGTGGCAGAGACTCCCTTGCCTCTGGTGGGATATTTTTGAGGTACAAATCTATGTGGTTCTCAGAGATTGTAAATGAGATTATGCTCCATTAACTCCCAGTGGTAAGCTTCTTGACAACACCCTCTGTTTTCTGGCTGCTCTTGTTTGTTTCATCTCTCCCTTTACTACTGGTGTTTCATGAGATTCCCTCCTAACTAAACTATTAGTTTTCTTATTATTTCCTGAGGGTCTGGCTCTGAGAGAAACCAAACCAAGACATACTTAGTGAAAAATTATATTTAGGAGCCCATGTGCCTTGAAAGAGAGTCTAGAAGCTAAAAAAATTGAATGGAGTGGTCCCATGAAAAGACAAATTGACTGAAATACCAACCTTAGGAGGAAATCTAGGAACATGGACTGATGGTCCCAATGCACCCCAAATATACCCAATTGTGAAGAGAAGAGAAACTGGAATTACTCAAATGGAGCAGCTTTGCAGATAGATTCCTTTCTAGGATCTGGTTCACAGCCTATAAAGTCTGGATCTTTTATGTCCCCTAGTGTTGGGAGTGGCTGGGAAAACAGATTGCTTTCCCAGCATTAAGAAGGCTCAGAGCTACCCCAGAGCTTGTGCATTCTTTCTTATTCCTCTTCTCCTCTTGTTTTCAAGTCACATATGGTAGTGGAAGAAAAGTACAACAAACCACTTCTAAAGAGACTACATGGCCACTATTGGAAAAAGTTAAATAACACTACTTGTATTTTGGCATTTGAACCTAATAATAGGGATACAGAATTACAGAAACTCAGTTTTAGGAGGGATCTAGAGGCTCTTCCAGCCCAAAGCCTCATGTTGTACATTCATGCCTCTCTGATGGACTGTTACATACTAGGTAATTATTAAATATTCTCTAAGTGTCTATTTGAAGTAATTAAGTGTCCTTCTGACAAGCTTGAACACAGTCCATAACTGAGAGTTGGCTCCCTTCCAGGACAATGGTCTCCATCCCCACATATAGTAATCAGCAATCTTTCCTTTTGCTCCCCTGTGGTTTCAATTAATTCATCCTAATTCTACTACTTAAGATCCTAAACAAGAGAATTCAGTACAGCTCCATCCTTCGGTGGCATCCCTTTTAATCTGTTCTCTAAGAAACACATCCACTAATCTTTTAGTTGTTCATCAGGTGATCTGCTCATGAATCATTTTTGCCACATCTCTCTGAATATATCTCTCCATACTTAACTGCCCTTAAAGTATAGCTCCAGGTATTAAGTAGAGTGGAAAAGGCCAAGAATGATTCTGGGGCTCTGGATTAAAGGTGATGGAACTATTCACAGGGAGAGAGAACACTGAAGGAAGACCAAGTCTAGGCATTACTTTGATTAGTTTGGTTTTGGAGAGGTTGAATTTGAGATGTCTTGGAGAGATCCAAGAAGAAATATGACAGATGTATTTGGATATATTAATATCCAAGGTCTCAACTGAAGAGAGACATTTATAAATCATCTGCAAATAGGTGATAATAAGTATGATAATTGAGGAATACAGTATATAAGAGTGAGAAGAGCAGAGGCCCTTAGACCAGGCCTTGGTGAAATCTTACATTTATTTTCTGGGCAGAGAAAAATGAATTTATTTTTAAAATGAGAAACATCAGCCAGAGAAGTAGAAGGAACTCCATGAGATTTCTATATCATAGCAACTAAATTAAAAGATTATTTTAAAAATAAGGGACTGAGGCTGGGAGTGGTGGCTAATGCCTGTAATCCCAGCACTTCGGGAGGCTGGGGTGGGCAGATCATGAAGTCAAGAAATTGAGACCATCCTGGCCAACATGGTAAAACCCTGTCTCTACTAAAAATACAAAGATTAGCTGGGTGTGGTGGTGCGTGCCTGTAGTCTCAGCTACTTGGGAGGCTGAGGCAGGAGAATCGCTTGAACTCAAGAGGCAGAGGTTACAGTGAGCTGAGATCGTGCCATTGCACTCCAGCCTGGTGACAGAGTGAGACTCCATCTCAAAAAAAAAAAAAAAAAAAAAAAAAAAAAAAAAAAAAAAAAAAACAAGAAAGGGACTGATAAGTACTAATGAATATCCCTGAGAAACCAAGTTAGAGCTTCAAAGAATGCCCTTTGAATTTAGTGGTAAGGAAGTATTTGATCAGTTAAGCAAGGTCATTCTAGGAAGTGAATAAAAAAGTCCAAGCTTCAGTGTTTATGTATGTAAACTACTGGAGTTCTAAAACTGGCTCTAAAATCAGATCCCACAGAGAACTTTTCTGGATATTCAGACCATGGCAACACCATTTGAATAAAAATGCAAAGTGCTATGATTTCTTCAAAGGCAAGGAGGCTTTTGTTAATTATGAATTCTGGTGAGTTTAGGAATTTATAAATTTTCTAGCTAATTTCCCAAATCATGTTAGTCATTCCTTTGCTCAAAAGCCTCCTAAGCATCCCTTTTGATTATGATACAGCTTCATTTTATATAGATTTTGTAAGCTGCTGCTCACCTTTCTTGCCTTATTCACAGTAGTTCCCCAGATCCCCTCTATGGAGCCATACCACACTTTCTTATGACCCCATGCATTTGCTCTTCTATTCCTTTTGCAAGGCACTCATGTATTAGTCTGTTCTCATGCTGCTAATAAAGACATTCCTGAGACTGGGTAATTTACAAAGGAAAAAGATTTAATTGAGTCACAGTTCCACATGGCTTGGGAGGCCTCACAATCATGGCAGAAGGTAAAGGAGGAACAAAGTCATGTCTTACATGGCAGCAGGCAAGAGAGCTTATGCAGGGGAACTCCCCTTTTATAAAACCATCAGATCTCATGATATTTATCCACTATCATGAGAACAGCATGGGAAAAACCACCCCCATGATTCAGTTACCTCCCACCGGGTCCCTACCATGATACATGGGGATTATGGGAACTGCAATTCAAGATTTGAGTGGGGACTCAGCCAAACCATATCAATATGTATTAGTTTTTGCATTGCTGCTGTAACAAATTGCCATACATTTAATGCTTAAAATTATACAAACTTGTTATCTCACAGTTCTGTAGATGAGAAGTCTAGATACACTATACCACAAC
Organism: Homo sapiens; assembly: GCF_000001405.40. Taxonomy (NCBI): domain Eukaryota; kingdom Metazoa; phylum Chordata; class Mammalia; order Primates; family Hominidae; genus Homo; species Homo sapiens. The sequence continues at coordinate 7,767,285 of NC_000003.12, read as the reverse complement.
TGGGTCCTCAGTTTAGAGACTCACAAGGCTAAAATTGAGGCATTGGAAAGGGTCCATTTATTTCTGGAGACTCTGGGAATGAATCACCTCCAAGTTCATCCAGGTGGTTAGTCAACTTCTGCCTCTTAGAGTTGCAGGGCTGAGATCTTCATTTTCTTGTCGGCTTTCAGCTGGAGATGAGCTTTTGCTCCCAGATGCTGCCCAGATTCTTTCTCATGCTTTTCGTGCCCCCCTACCCCAGTCACCCAAAAATGTCAGCTTGAGCCCCTCTCTGGCTTCAAATCTGTCTAACTTCTTCTCCCTTCTCTCGTGGAGTCAAGCCAAAGAAAAGCTCTCTGCTTTTAAGGGCTTTTACGGCTAAATTAGGCTATCCAAGGTAATCTAAAATAATATCTCTATTTAAAGATCTATAGCCTTAAAAAATTTACAACACCCCTTTTGACAAGTTGGGTGACATTTGCAAGTTTTAGAGATTCGGGCATGGGTATATGGTTGGTGAGATGATTCTGCCTACCATAGCATGCCTTTCTTCCTCTTTCTCCCCTCATGTGCACCGACATAGCCTTCAAGTCCTAGCAGAAATGCCACTTCCCCTATATTTAAATTTCTACTGCTATCCCCACCTCCAGGAAGAACCCGTTGCTCCCTATGTGCGTCTCCTCAAACCTTTGGCCATACTTTCAATTTTATCTTATTGTATTATTCTTAAGAGTGCATTTGATCTACTGCTAGGCTATCAATGTTTTGAGGACAGAGAAAATGACTCATTTGTCTCCACACCTTAGTGCATCAGACTGGGTTCTGTGAGATGTGTGGGGAATCTTGGATGTTACTTCTTCATCTTTCTATTGTTCTCTGTCTTTTCTGTCTCCCTTCTTCCTGTGACTCCTAATTAAGCACAACTATGAAAATGCCTCTCTTCATACGCCCAGAAGGTATAAATCTGAGTGTTGAGTTTCCTTCTTGGATTTTTATTCAGCCCAGTATTTCATTCCATCTCAAATTCCCTGTAAGTCAAGTGACAGAGAATCAGGATCTGCAAATCACCATTGAGTAAGCTGTTGAATAAGGTGATTGTCCTTCTAACAACTACTTGCAATGGGTATAGGCTTTCCCTCCTCCTCCTTTTAGGTTAGGAAACTCAATCATGAACAGGTAAGGAGGTTTCCTGACCTCATGAGATATAGGTGAGAAAATAGGTGCTCTGAATCGAGGCTCCAGGCTTCTGGGTCCGTGACTCTTTTTTCTATCTATAGTACTTCAGCATGCATTATTTTCCTATTACTCTCTTAGCCTCAAAAAAGGCTCCATTCAAGTGCTCCCTGTCATGTTTGTCACTGTATCAGCCAAGTGTGAAGTTTGGACTTGCCTTCTGTCATCCTTCTTTCCCAGCTGGGCCTCATGACTTCTGGATTCATTGATCCAGGTCCTACCTCTCCATCCCAGCAGAGACTTTTAGATACGTCTGGTTTATTATGGTCTCCACACCTTGGTGCGTCGGACTGGGCTCTGTAAGATGTGTGAGGAATCTCAGATTTTAGGACAGAGTTTGCCAGAAGTGCAAGGCATGCACACCATCCATGCAAGGGCTTGCTAGGTCTCCTTGGAGAAAAAAGCCCTGGAAATGACCCAGAGCATTCTATACACACAAATGTCTCAGGGAGAGGGAAAAAAGGAAAAGAGTAAAAGAGAAAGGAGCAGATTTTGCCTTGTGTTATTAGGCAGCAAACTCCTGTTTGAGTCTAGAAGGAGAATGATGCCTTGAGTCTGTCATAAAAGTTTCATTATCACTTCAATTCTAAACGTCCTTTATCATAGACAACCTTGGGAAGGGTGTGTTTTTGTTTTGTTTTGTTTTGTTTGTTTGTTTGGTTGGGTTTTTTTTGCTTTTAACTTTCTTTTAATATAAGTAACAAATTTTCAGTTTTTTTAAGGCTATTGTTTTCAAATTTGATTAAGTTGTCCTTGAACTTATGTGCAAATTTAGTCATCATCTACATAGCATATTATATTTTCGTGGAATTTTATATCTGTTGGGCACCCTTTCTTCACTCCGTTTGGGGAAGTACTAGTGTAGTTTGCTTGGTTTCTCACTCTCACAGCCTATTGGTATTTTTCACATCAAGTTGTATGGGATGTAACACTTAAAAATTGCCTCAGAAATTGCATTAACTGGTATTTATGGCGTTAAAGGGAGAGATTAAATTTTTCCATTTTTTAATATAATTTTGCAATGAGTACAACCGACGGGATACAGTATTCATGAGTGCAAAGCCTCCTCCAGATAAATACAAAAATCCTATTGACTATACTGTGATTAGGAAGAACAGGAACCAGAAGTTTATAAATTCGATGCTTACCGAAGCAAGTTCTAAAATTTCTTTTTTGCTGCATATGCTCATTTTTGTGTGCAGTTGTCCACTATGGAAGAATCGGAATGCACAATGGGGAGGTAGAAGACTGATTCTTAGATCTGGTCTGTCACTAACTAGATGTCTAGGGCCTAGGGCTGGGGACATACAAATTGTTAGTGACAGAACCAGAATTAGGTTCTTTTGAGTCATAGGGAAAATGCATAAACTTTAGTGGGGGTTGGACCAAACCAGGGGTCTTGAATACTTACTGTAGTAGTCTTTTATTTCCCTGTCTTTAGTCTCTTCTTTTAATCTATCCTTTCTTCAAAGTAAATCTAATACATGCAGAATCTGTGAGCTGTTATTCATGGAACTCAATCCTTTTGCTTTTGGAAGGGTTTTTAAATCATATCCGACTTGCATCTTTGCCCCAGCACTACCGGGGCTTCTGGCTGAGGAGCCAAGACAGCTTTTGTGTATGAAATGAAGGTGACTTGGATTAGGAGAGTGTGGCTGACCCATGGCTCTGCGAGTCTCTTCACACTGCCCAGGGCACTGCCACAGGCAGGGACTCTGTGCACATGGATGAAAAGAAGCCAGCCTGCTGGACTACCCAAGGAACCAGAAGGCTTTTGTGCAGTTGGATGCCTTCCAGAAACTTGGTGACATGAAAGGATGAAACATTACCTCTTGAAGAAATAGCAGCTGTTAACATAACTTGGTGGGGAGTGAGGGTAACACAGGGGAGAGCACCAGCTGGAGCTGGTAGAGCAAAGTTGTGACCTTAGCATTCCTGATTCCCCCTCCCTTATAGAGATGCCCACCCAGATATCACCCTATGTGCTACATTAGAAATCCATTTCTTCTTGTGTCATATTCCAGATGTTATCTCTTGATGTACAGCTTCTCAGAACACCCCCAGATTCTTGAGCAAGTATCATCTGTCTCCTAACGGCTATGGTGGAATATGACACTTGATTTGGAGTTAGGCAGACCTGATTTTGAAGCCCCAGCTCTGCCATATCCCTAAGCATGGTTTTGAACCTGTTTCCTAGTTTCTTCATTTATAAGGGGAAGAAATGATAACCATGAGAGTGATCATAGCAGAAGATACCATTCATTAAATGATTACTTGATGCAAGGAATTGTATTAAGCAGAGTACAGAGGTTTTCATTTACTTCATTAAAACAAAATCTGTGTCACAGTAGATGGCATTACCTGCATTTTGCAGATGGAAAAACTTGAGGTTTACTATACTTAAGTAATGTAAGTATTACTTAAATTAAACTATTTAGGCAGCCTAAATAGTGGCAAAGCAACAACTGAAAGCCAGTGCCGTCTGAGTTTGGTTGTTGTGTGAGTTTCCTGGGGCTGCCTTACCAGAGTACCACAAACAGTGTGGCTCAAACATGAGAAATTTATCACCTTGCAATTCTGGGGACTAGAAGTCTAAAATCTGGCCCATGCTCCCTCTAAAATATGTGGGGGAGAATCCTTGGTCTTTCTTAGTTTTTAGGGTTTGCAGATAATCTTTGGGTTCATTGGCTTATTGATGCATAATTCCAGTCTCTGATGCTATCACTGCATCACTGCATGCCCACCCTCTCCTTTTGTGTCCAAATTTTTCTCTTCTTTTGAAGACATGAGTCATATTGGATTAAGGGTCCATTCTACCCTAGTATTACTTCTTTTTAGGTAATTTTACCTGCAACAATCCTGTTTTCAAATAGGGTTCCGTTCTGAGGTGCTGGGACTTAGGACTCCATATCTTTTTGAGAGACATAGTTCTTAAGAGTACAGCCTCTTGAAATGAGTGCTTGCAGGGTTGCCATGAGGAAGAAATGAAGTAATGGATGTAAAGTACCTGGTAAGCAGCAGAACTCAGGAAATGCTAATTTTTCCATTAAGATTATCTTAGGAGATAATGCCTTAATCCAAAATATATATTCAAAAGGTAGGAATTGGAGGCATGGTGGCTGGCCAATAGGGAAACATTTTTGGACATGGAGATTTTTGATCCCCTTAAAATGTAATGGCATGAGGAAGGAATGACCTATTTGATCTTTCTTTCATCTGAGTAGTTTAAGACACTGTAACTATTGAGTGCAAGCGCATTTCTTCTGTTGTCTTCAGAAACTCTCTTTGGAAAGTTAAAAAGAGGAAAAACAAAGATATGATCAATTTTGTTTGACCATGTGATAAAGTGGAGATGTAGACATTCCAACAAAAGGGAACATGTAAAAGCCAAGAATGTGTGTGACCAGTTTAAGCATGAAGTCATGGCCAAGGAAACATGGTCCAGCCATCAAAAGGTAATTTCAAAGTAAATTATTCTCCTGAGTTTCTAAATTATCGTGAAGGAAAGAAAGAGTCCATTGCATTATTTCCTAGAATCTCCTTCCATTTTCCATTTATTTCCCTCATGCCCCAAGCCCCCTTGCTCCTTTCTTTTCTAAACTCCATCATCACTTCCTCCCCAGGAGCTAGCCTGATGCCTCTTGTTCCTTCACTGCTGCCTCTCTGGTTTTGTCACTTTCTCTTGATTCTTCAGTTTCTACATCACAGACTCTCAAACAGCCAACCTAACAGTGACAGAGCCCTAAGTAAAAGTCCTGGATGATAAGAAACAAATTAGTCAAAATCCACAAGCCTTTTGAGTCAGCAGAAGGAAAGGGCGTGGGGGAAATAATTGCAGTTGTATCAGGGGACCCACCCCCGATAATTCAACGTGAGTCCTTTTCTATTTTCCCTAAGTGTCGGCCAGTCTGAGAAATAAAGGGAAAGAGTACAAAAGAGAGAAATTTTAAAGCTGGGTGTCTGGGGGAGACATCACATGTCAGCAGGTTCTGTGATGCCCCCTGAGCCGTGAAACCAGCAAGTTTTTATTAGTGATTTTCAAAAGGGGAGGGAGTGTACGAATAGGGTGTGGGTCACAGAGATCACATGCTTCACAAGGTAAAATATCACAAGGCAAATGGAGGCAGGGTGAGATCACAGGACCGAGGTGAAATTAAAATTGCTAATGAAGTTTTGGGCACACATTGTCATTGATAACATTTTATCAGGAGACAGGGTTTGAGAGCAGACAACCAGTCTGACCAAAATTTATTAGGCAGGAATTTCTTCGTCCTAATAAGCCTGGGAGAGCTACAGGAGACCAGGGCTTATTTCATCCCTTATCAACTACCGTAAAAGACAGACGTCCCCAGAGCGGCCATTTTAGAGGCCTACCCATAGGCATGCATTCTCTTTCTCAGGGATGTTCCTTACTGAGAAAACTCAGTTCCTTACTGAGTAGAATATCAGCGATATTTCTACTATTTGCTTTTGAAAGAAGAGAAATATGGCCCTGTTCTGCCTGGCCCACAGGCAGCCAGACTTTAAGGTTATCTCCCTTGTTCCCTGAACATTGCTGTTATCCTGTTCTTTTTTCAAGGTGCCCAGATTTCATATTGTTTAAACAATTTGTGCAGTTAACGCAATCATCACAGCGTCCTGAGGCGACATTCATCCTGAGCTTATGAAGATGACGGGATTAAGAGGTTAAAGTAAAGACAGGCATAGGAAATCACAAGAGTATTAATTGGGGAAGTGATAAGTGTCCATCAAATCTTCACAATTTATGTTCAGAGATTGCAGTAAAGACAGGCATAAGAAAATATAAAAGTATTAATTTGGGGAACTAGTAAATGTCCATTAAATCTTCACAATTTATGTTCTTCTGCCATGGCTTCAGCTGGTCCCTCCGTTCGGGGTCCCTGACTTCCCGCAACACAGTTGCTTTGCTTCCTCATATATAATAGGGAAATATCCTGGGCTGCAGACAGTGTTCAACTTGATTCATGTATCTGCCTTGCTCATTTGCCAGGAGGCTGGAAATAGAGGCATCTGTGGAGCATCAATTTGGTGGCCATTGGCATATTTTCTCTATGCAAGGCACTGTGCTAATCACTGAGGATGTCCAGAGACTTTGTATACTAGCATCACTGTTGTCAAGGTCTGAGGCTTGAGGGCACAGTGAGTTCCCTGAGCCTCCTGGATGTGCCAGCCCTTAGAGCCAGCTCAGAGCAGCATGACTCAGAAGCAACTATTGAGGTCAGTTGCAGCACTCTACCTAAGATTCAGAATGTAACATGAAGGGATGTTCTTTAGGTTTGTGCCACAGGGTCTTAAGTGAAGTCAGAGACTTCATGAATTGCAAATTTATGAATGACACAAGTTTTGAAGGAATTGTAAAATTATTAGATTCTAGAATCAGTTTTTAAAATGATTTCTACTGGCTGGAAAACAGGTTCAATGTCAGAAGATTAAATTCAAGAGGGATGAGTATAATTTCTTGAGTATAAGCCCAAAGAAAATTCTAACTACCAAGTCCAAGAATGAGGGTAGAAGACATAATTTGGAAGCATCCAAGGGAACAGTGACACGGAGTTTCTATTTGCTGTTGGTCCACTGAAATTCCTTCATCAGGGTTATGCAGAACAAATGTAAACGTTATCTGGGATGTTGTTGGTGCTCACAGAATGGACCAGCTCCTTCCAGAGTATTTTGTTTAGTTCCCTTTGTTGTGCTTGAAGAGAAACACGTAAAAAGCTGAGCTTGTTTGGTGGAGAGCATTCTAAGTAAGTGGTAGAGACAAAACCGTCTGTGTGGAGAGAGGATGTCTTGGCCCAAGAATAAAAGACCGTCTGATGGTTGGTCCAGGGTCATGAAGTCTGGCTTGATGCAAATTCAAAGTGAAGAATTAGTACCAATAGGAGATGATCTAGTAAAAGTAGACTTTAGCTTAGAGAGCAATGGTTTAAATGCAACCTCTATATCAACAAAGATTTTTCTGCCAACTCAGTGTGTCAGAAGCCTGTTTCTCTGCCTGTTGAAGCGTCATGTTCTCCCCAGAAGGTGTAGACTCACTCCTGTTTGGTTTCTGACAATTCACTTATGAGGCCTTGGTGTACATAAGATACTTTACTGGAGACCTAAAAAGATGAAGAAGTTTAAAGCACACAATTAAAAAATAATACTTGAAGTTCGGTGCTCTATTTCCCTCTTCCAAGTACTCCTCAGTCACTTCCGTGGGTCAGGATCTAGTACCCCACCCAGTTGCTCAATCTCCCTCTCTCCCCTGCTTCCCTTTTCTCTGTCCCCTGTCTCTTCCATGTAGAGATAGCTGGTGGTGTCTCTTCTTGTCTTATTTCTCGCCAGTCCTTGTGCACAGGATCTCGCCTGCCTCCTCAGGTGCGGCGCTTCTCAAGATTTTCCTAAAAAGAACATGACTTCCCTATAAGGATCGCTGGTGTGAGCCATCATACTAATCCATTGTTTCACCCATTCCATTTACAAGTCGAATTCTGTGAAAGTGAATTGAGCTGCTTCAGGAAGTTCCAGCTTCCTCAAAGGGGGACTGATGAGAAGAGCTTGTACATCACCTGAGTGACCACCCATCCAGAATCTGGTAGGTGTGCCTCAAGGTTCCATTGAATGGTGGGACTCAGGTGGTCTCCAAAATGACCCTTAGTCCTGACAGACCATTATTCTTTAATTTAGGTCTAAGTTATGAGTGACTGATCATTGCTTTGTGTGGACCATAAGGCAACTTGGTGGGGGCCACTGTTACATTGATTAGGATTATTCGTTCAACAGGTATTCATTGAGCCTTCCCATGAGCCTTTTATGGTTCTTGTAATGCTATAGTGTAAAATATTTTCTCATGGAAAATAAGGCCTGTGTGTCCTCTTATTTTACAAAACAACATATTGCATAGGAGGGATTCACATGGGGCTTTCGGAAAGACCCATGGCGGAAGTTTGGTGGGAAAGAAACTTACTTCACAGGAGCCAGGCTTATGTGACTTTTGGCATTGTTCATTGTGGTCATGTGTTTCCAGACTCCCCTATTCTTTCCTAGTGAGACATGGGATTAAGACCACTCTGGCCAAAATTTCTGTTTTATATCCTGTTTGTACTGCGCTCTGTGGTGACTTAGTGATCATTCAAGTTGTATCATTGTCAGTAACATTCACAGAGCCCATAGGTTGGTAGAATTGACATAGGTTGGTAGCCCATAGGTTGGTGGAATTGACAATGTCATCTTAGGAACCTCCCCCATGCAGAAATTACAAACACAATAGATTAATTCTCCCCCTTTAGAAACATGGCATATGTAGCCTGTTGATGACACAATTCCCAGAAGAAGTTGTTGGAGTACACTGTATTAAAGGAATGTAGTGAGGTGAAATGACAAACAAAAATGATAAATAGCCCTTTTGTTTCAGGTAGGCAAAGCATAACCAAATAGTTAATCTTTACGTTCCTAGCATGTAATAATGGCAGTGTTGTTTGACTGAAAAAAAGAGAGGTGGTAACCTCAGAAGGAGAAGTGGCTTTTTAAAGGTATATCAGTTGGGCTTTGGTGTGAAAATTCCTCTAGGTATTTTAGTAGGAAAAGATTTAATCCAAGGGCTTAGGTGCTTACAAACTTATGTGCTGGGCTACAGGAGTGGTTTTAGACTGTGACCCAAGAAAGATACCCTCACTATGAACCAGTGAACTGTAGGTGAGGGGCCTTTCACATTCATGGCCCCCTTCCTGGGTTCTGGGAGGTGTCCTGGCAGTTTTCTATTGAAAGTGTATATATATATATTTTTTTGCTTATAGAGAATTATACAAGTAAGCATTAGGCCAGGAAACTATGGCTTGGACCTTGCTCCAGGACAATAAAGAGTCAGTCATCTTGCTGCTATGTCTGGAGCCACAACTGAAGTTAGGAGCTTAAGATATCTCCTCCATAGTAACTAGGACACAGAAATGAAGTCTCCAGAACTAAAGAGTGTCCTCTGCTGCTATTAAGGCTGGCTCTTGGCCCCCAAGAAGGAGAAGAATGGACACTAAAAAGCTGCTTACAGATAACTTTGTGATCCCATGGCCTTACTTTCTAGGAGAAAAGACAAACAGAGCAGAAAAACAGCTGCACTTTCTTTTCCTTTTATCACTTTCAAATGACTGCTTCCCAGGTAAGAAGCAATACTAGAGATGAATATATAGTTATTCCAGCTTTCCTTTGGTTGGTTTTGCAAGGTATGTTATTTTCCATTTGTATTGGTTTCCTAAGGCTGCTATAACAAATTGACACAAACTTGGTAACTTAACACAGCACACGTATTTTCTGACAGTTCTGAAGTCTGAAATCACAGAGTTGAAAAATCAAGGTGTTGGCCTGGCTATGTTCCCTTCAGAGGCTCTAGGGGAGAATTGGGTCCTTGCCTCTTCTGGCTCCTACTGGCTGCCAGCATTTGACTTGTGGCTGCATCACTCCAATCTCTGTCACCATGGTCACACTGCCTCCTCTTCATCTGTCTATACACAGCAAATGTCCCTCAGCCATCCTCTTATAAAGACACATGTGATGGCATTTGTGGCATATCACGGAATGATGTGGTTTGGCTGTATCCTCACCCAAATCTCATCTTGACTTGTAGCTCTTGTAGCTCCCATAATTCCCACATGTTGTGGAAGGGACCTGGTGAGAAATAATTGAATCATGGTGGCATTTTCCCCCATACTGCTCTTGTAGTAGTGAATACGTCTCAAACAGATCTGTTGGTTTTATAAGGGGACATCCCTTTTGCTTTGTTCTCATTCTGTTTGCCTGCTGCCATGTAAGACATGCCTTTCACCTTCCATCATGATTGTGAGGCCTTCCCAGCCATGTGGAACTGAGTCCATTCAACCTCTTTCTCTTTATAAATGTTATATATAAAGTTTTGGTGCCACTAAATAAATAGCGCTCAAATATAAAATTTTCCTTTTAATTCTCAGCAACGCAAGTTACTTCTATAGAAGGGTGGGCCCTTATAGATGGAGCAATGGTGAGCACACACTTGGACAAGGGAGGGGAAGGGGTTCTCATCCCTGATGCACGTGGCCCTGCTGCTGTGTTGTTCTCCTGTTGGCTAGGGTTAGACCGCACAGGCTAAACTAATTCCGATTGGCTAATTTAAAGAGAGTGATGGGGTGAGTGCATTGGCGGGAGTCAGGGCAGAGCAGGTAGCAGGTAATCGGAATGAGTTAGGGTAGAGCAGGTGATCAGAATGAGTCAGGGTGGAGTAGGTAACAGAAAAAGGTTGCTTTACAAGGAAGTTAAGTTTAAAAGTAGAAGACAAATAATTGAACATACTGACATATTAATCCTTTGAAAAGAAATTTGAACTCATATCTAACATATATTACCCACTTTTGGGTATGTCTTTATCAGCAGCATGAAAACAGACAAATACGTAAAGACACATGTGATAGCATTTATAGCCCACCCAGATAATCTAAGATAATTTCCCCATTTTAAGAGCTTTAATTTACTCACATCTGCACAGACACCTTTTGCAAATAAGATAACATTTACAGATTCCAGGATTAGGACCTGATATCTTTGCAGCCATTGTTCAACCTATCACACCATTCTTTTATTTGTAGCCATTCTGTGCCCTGTATTTAAGGACCATCTCTTGCAAGCAACTTAAAGTTGTTTTTTTTTTAAAAAAAAAAAAACTGACCATCTCTTCTTTTAATTGTCATACTTAACTCATTTACATTTACCAAAATTACTGATTTACTTAGGTTTAAGCCAACCATCATACTAATTGTTTTTTGTCCTCCCATTTTATTTTTCCCTTCTCTTTTCTTGCCTTCTTTTGGATAAATAAAATATTTTTTATTATCTACCACACTTCCCAAAGTTCTATATGTGTGCTTTTAAATTATGATAACTAATTTGCATCCAGAGTCTTAGCTGCAAAGTCATCTGGGAAATGTATCATTTAACTTTTCCACCCAGAGGAAACATGGAATGTAGTTGAGAGACATTTCACAGCAGCCAACACACGTAGTGAGTGAACAGTGCTGTGACTTTTCCCACTTACCCCTCATTGCATAGCATGGGTCCCACTGTGTGTTTACAAGCTTTCCAGTACAGAATACACAGCTTGGGGGACTTAGATGGATACCTATAAGCCCAGGCATTGAACTTAGTGATAGATAGACAGAAGCATCATGATATCTTTGTATTTTCATAATTCTTCAGTAGTTTGCAGTGTGAAATGAACTGGGAAAATGATTGCGTGGCTTCTGTTTTGATTTCGAAGGACTGTCAAAAAGTCTAGCAAGGTGATTAAAAATGAGAACAGAGATCAGTAAAACAAATGTAAAACTCTTTCAATCAGTAGATGATCTACACAAAGACTGAGGTCTAGGCATCTGCTTGGATGAGGATAAAAATACAATTTCTTTATCATATCTTTAGTTCTGCCTCCATTTTGGATGAAAACATATCACCTCGATTTAGGATTATACCTAATTTTAATTTTGGTTATAAAGCAGATGAGAGTGGATTGCAGCAGGGAGTGGCAGAATTAGATCCATGCTCAGTTCTGTTCCAATACAGTTTGGCACAGAAATCACAGCCTGAAATGGAACATCTCATTGTGATTCCTCATGTGCTAGCAATAGAAGCTGAATAGAAAATTTGCCTTAAAATACAATCCAGAATGGGAGTGAATGTGGGACAGTTGCTGCTACCCACAGAGCGGGCAGGCTTCTGAAACAACCTAATGATCTATGCAACATGGATTGGAGTGGTCCTTGCCAACCCTGATGTTTTCCTGTGCTGAGTTTTAGTTAAACAACTCTGGGGATAGTATACATTTAAGCAGCCTTCCAAAGACAGCTCTGTGGAAAATACCCTGCCCAGACCATCCGCTCTGTGGAATTCTCATTGAGATTTCCTTCAGAGTCCACACATGAGCCTTCCTTTCTTTGCCCTCTGTTTAAACACTTAAATTCTGGGCAAGTTTTCCAGAATTTAATAAGTTGTTTAGAGATCTCCAAGGTTTTTCTTATTGGCATCAGTGACTGTGCTGAGTCCTTGTTACCTGCCAGTTTAAAGAAGTTGCTAGGCAGGAAAAGTTTATATGACATCTCCTGGGATATTAGTTTGAGAGTTTTCTCAGCCAAGATGCATTTTCAGTAACTTCTGTTATCTACTCTATAGTTGGAAGCAGCCGACATTCAGAAGGGGCTAGGCAATGTGCTTGGGGCCAAAAAATTATAAGGATTGTGCAAGAAGGGTGTCCCTTCCTGAATAAAAATATAAAGCCTCAGGAAGAGGGAGGTCTGTAGCTTTTTTTAATGTTTTTTGCTTGGATCGTGGGTGTGAAGTCTGGAAGTGCAGCAGTCATTTCATGAATCTGAGGATGAAAGTCACATGCATCAAAGGGAGAGCAAAGCAGGAAAATAAAAATAATCCAGGTTCTTGACATCTTCCTTAACCAGCTGCAATAGACCTCAACTGTTTGCAGACTTTACCTTGTTTCAGAAAAATAAATCGCTATATGTTCACTGAGTTTTCTGTTGCTTGCAGTCAAATGCAATCCTATTTGATACACTTTAATATTTTAAACTTCTTTTCCTATTTTTACTCTCCCATGTGGATACTTCCTCAATAACAGCTCCTCACCCAGTTTTCCCCTACACATCCCACCTGCCATCCCCACACTGACCCACTGACATAGCCATCTCCAACCCTGTAACACCCAATGTTTAAAATTTTTAACATCATCATGTGTGTCCGGTATATATTATTTCAATTACATGATTCCTTTAAAAACATGGGCTGAAAAATATAATTCATTTAAAATGAAGGTATTTCTGTGTAACTCCAAATATGCCTGAAAAAAAAAAATAGCTCGTTGGAGGTTGAATTTTTTTCTCCCTAAGATTTCAAAATAAAATTTTGAAGCATGTAAAAGTAGAAAAACTATACGGTGAATACTCATACATTACACACAATTTCCACAGTTTACATTTCACTGTATTCGTGTTACTGCATGACTCTCACTTAAGCTATCATCACTGGAGAGTTGATCGTCTAAGTGCCACTTGCAATGGATGGGTAGAACTTCATGTTTGTAAGTATTAAGGAATCTTTCAGAAGTATTTGGAGCTCTGCCTTCCAGAGATACATACTTGGACTTGTTTAGATGTAAGACCACTGAGCTTGGGGAAAAACATTACTTTCCTACCCCTTTGAGAACACTGTTTTCAAAGTGTGATCCTTCCTGAACAGGATCAACAATAGGAACTTGCTAAAATGCAAATGTTGGGTTCCATTCCACTGCTACTGAATCAGAAGCACTGTGCATGGGCCCAGCAACTTGTCTTTGAACAAGCCTTCTATCTTAGTCCATTTGGGCTGCAATAATGAAAAACAGTAGACTAGTTAGCTTATAAACAACAGAAATTTATTTCTTACAGTTCTGGAGACTGGGCAGTCTAAGATCATGACATTAGCAGATTTGGTGTCTGGTGAGGGCTCACTTTGTGGCTTAAGAAGTTACCTTCTCTCTGTGTCCTTATGTAGTAAAAGGGCCAAGACAGCTCTCTGGGGCCTCTTTTATAAGGTCATAATCCCAATCATGAAAGCACTCCCCTCATGACCTAATCACTTTCCAAAAGGCCCCATGTCCTAATACCATCACCCTGGGAATTAGGATTTCAACATATTAATTTGGGGAAAACACAGATAATCCAAGGGGATTCTGATATTCCTTAAAGGCTGAGTATTAGAAATCATCTGCACCATGGTAGGTGGTTGGAGGTAAATGGATGGCTTGTATTACCCATTCCTTCTATAATTAATAGTCTTTGATATATGCTACACAATTTTTTCCCTATAAACATCATCATGTCAGATAGCTTGTTAACATAATAAGAAAAAGACAGTGCAATCCTATTGGTTCCACTGGATTCTCTGCCTGTGTGGCTTTTGTAGATCAGGTACACCCCTATTGCAAAATCTTCCTGGATATTGATTATCTTCATTAGTGTAATTGATCTGGTTGTCTGCATAAAATGTAAGGCAACAGGCTGGTAAATATATCAACCACTTCCTCTGAATTGCAGATGAGCTGGGGACAGGTGTGGCCTTATTTTCCACATATGACAATTTAGGGGGAATTCCTGCTTGTATATCATTTGTCATTTTTACTTTTGAGCCACTGTGCAAAGAGGGTGAGAAAATGAACAGGATGTAATTCCAGGATATGGTAACATTTAGATTCCAGTTATTCGAATGTCAGAAATCTTGGTCTGAAAGCTTTTTGTTCCAAATAAATATACATACACCCTAGTGAGTCATGCATGTCATTGTCAATGTGAATGAGAATTTTCAGAAGGACAACACATAGATGAGCATGGGGAAATGAGAAGTATTAAGAAATCTTTGAGAAAAATTTATGCCCATATCTGCAAGTTCTCTCCAGAGACATAGACATAAACTTGTTCACATATGAAAGCCCTGGGCTTAATTTTGACCTATCCTAAATTTTTTCCATTCATGAGAAAAAGAAAAAGGTCTATTATTAGGTTAGTGCAAAAGTAATTGCTGCTCTTGCCATTTTTCTCTTTCGTGGAGAAAAGCTATAGCTTTCATTATTCATGGCTTCTTTAAAAGTAATGGCATTACTTTCATTACAAGTAATGGCAAAAGCAGCAATTACTTTTGCACCAAACTAATATGTCAGAATGGGATAATTGAAGGAGTCCAGGTTAGGGGGACCAACCATTGCAGTGTGCCCAGGATTGGGGGATTACTAAAAAGCTGGACTTTCACTACCCAAGCCAGGAGAATCCCAGTTAAAACTAGAATGTAGGTCACCTTTGTGAGGGTCAGAGGAGGAGCCTGATGTACATAACAATGGATGTTTCCTGGATCTTTCATTTCTCTATGGTAGGTTATTGCTGCAGACCTGAGGTCCTGCCAGTAGCCTGGATGTCTGACCTTAATTTTTTTTAACAC
Organism: Homo sapiens; assembly: GCF_000001405.40. Taxonomy (NCBI): domain Eukaryota; kingdom Metazoa; phylum Chordata; class Mammalia; order Primates; family Hominidae; genus Homo; species Homo sapiens. Next base: position 7,752,087 of record NC_000003.12, on the reverse strand, counting down.
TTATTTTCAATTCAGGGATACAATTTCAGGTTTGTCACGTATGTAAACTTATGTTGTGGGGGCTTACTGTACAGATTATTTCACCATCCAAGTATTAAGCCTAGTACCTGATATTTTTTCTGATCCTCTTCCTCCTCTCACCCTCCAAGAGGCCCCAGTGTATGTTGTTCCTCTCTACGTGTCCATTTATTTTATCATTTAGCTCCCACTTGTAAGTGAGAGCATGTTAACACTTGGTTTTCTGTTCCTGTGTTAGTTCACTAGGAATGATGGCCTCCAACTCCATCCATGTCCCTGAAAAGGACACGATCTCCTCTTTTATGGCTATTTAGTATTCCTTGGTGTATATATACCACATTTTCTTTATCCAGTCTATCACTGATGGGCATTTGGGTTGATTCCATGTCTTTGCTATTGTGAATAGTGCTGCAGTGAACATACATATGCATGTCTCTTTATAATGGAATAATTTATATTCCTTTGGGTATTTACCCAGTAATGGGATTGCCGGGTCGAATGGTATTGCTGTCTTTAGGTCTCTGAGGAATCACCACACTGTCTTCCACAATGGCTGAACTAATTTGCAATCTCAACAACAGTGTATAAGTGTTCCTTTTTCTCCACAATCTCATAATTTTAATCTTTTAGGGATCACCAGATAGAAGCACAGGATTCATGTTTCTATATAGGACAAAGCAGAATGTCAGGCTAATGAAACAGAAAGGACTGAGGCTTATAAAGGGTCATAATTTTCTCTTTCATGGAGAAAAGCTATAGCTTTCACTATTCATGGCTTCTTAATCATGAGAGTGAAAATGATACTAAAGATAAAATAGGTCCAGGTGATCTGCCTATTGTTGACCTGGTGACTCTGATACTCTTTCATAAATACACATAGACTCCTTCGAGCAACCCTCCCCCACGCCCCCAGAGCTTCTGGGATGCCTTAGAAAAGAGAGTTTATTTTGATTTGCAAGTCCTACATTCAAGCTTTGACTCTTCTACTTACAAGCTGTAAATCTAGGGGGATTGGCATAATTAACTCCAGTGTTCCTCAGTTTTCTCTTCTGATCAAATGGGAATAGAACCACATTTTTAACAGAATTGATGAGACAGAGACAGTGGCTGTGATGGAGATTTGTTAACTCTTAAGTCATTTATAGGAGAATGGCTCAGTAAATGATCCAAGAAGCACAATAATCATTATTTATAGATGTAGAGGAGGAAAATGAGAATCTTAGTTGTAATTATTATGTATGTATTTTGTGTGTTGCCTCAAAGGCATTTGAGGTAGACATTTCTTATGCGAAGGACTGTCATGATTGGTCCACACACACTCGCACTCTTTATGTTTTAATAATATAATTAGAACTTGCTAACCTATCCCCAGCCCAAGAACTATAATAGTACCAGTAATTCATATCTGTCTATGTACTTCTTTCTTATACCATCTTCTTTTTTTTCCCAAGAGATAACTATGCTCCTGAATTTTATAGACAGTCTTTTAGGACTTACAGATAGTCTTTTAGGAAATCCAATTGATAGTACTGGATTTCACCCAATACTATGTTACTATGATTTATACAATGATTGCATTGTTCCACTGCTGCATAGTATTCTATTGTATGACTGCACTGTGGCTTATCCATTTTCCTGTCAATGAATTTTGGGCTGTTTGCAGGTTTTTGTCATTATGAACAGTACTACTGCAAATACACTCATACATGTCTGCTGGGGCACTTAGAAAAAGCATCTCTTGGGTCAATATTGAGCAGGAGAGCTGAGTTGCTGGGACTTAGAGAACATGAATGTTCAACTTTATGAGATGGAAATTGTTTGCCAGTGGTGGTACTAATGAATACTCAGATAAGCACTATATGACATTCCTTTGACTTTATTTATTTATTTGAGATGGAGCTTGCTCTGTTACCCAGGCTAGAGTGCAGTGATGCGATCTTGGCTCACTGCAACCTTTGCCTCCTGGATTCCAGAGATTTTTCCACCTCAGCGTCTCAAGTAGCTGGGATTACAAGCAAGTGCCACCAAACCCAGCTAATTTTTTTTGTGTGTGTTTTAATAGATACAGAGTTTCCCTATGTCGGCCCGGCTAGTCTTGAACTGCTGGCCTCAAGTGATCTCCTTGGCCTCCCAAAGTGCTGGGATTACAGGTGTGAGCCACTGTGCCTGGTCTCTTTTTTTTTTTTTTTTTTTTTTTTTTAACATTGCCAGTTAAACTAGTATCAAATACTCTTTTACTGTGGTCTTGATTTACATTTCCCTGATTTCTAATGAAGTTGAGCATCTCTTTATATGTTCATTGATCATATAATTTCCTTTTCTGTGAAGTGCCTGTCCTTTTTTCTATTGAGTTATTTGTCTTTATCTTCCCGATTTGTAGGGGATATACACATATGTATTTCTAATATTTTATTTGCATATGTGTGTGTGTGTGTATGTGTGCATTCCATATACACACATAGTGTCTTTTTAGCCTGGGGGGTGCTATAACAAGGTGCATAAACAGGGTGACTTATAAACAACAGAAATTTATTTTTCACAGTTCTAGAGACAGTTAGTCTGCCATTAGGCTGTCGACATGGAGGGGTTCTGGTGAGGACCTCTTCCCAGATGCAGACTGCCTACTTATTGTACCCTCACATGGCAGAGAGCAGAACAGAGCAAGCAAGCTCTGTGATATCTAAAGGACCCTCATGACTGCATCTAATCCTAATCATGTCCCAGACAACCTGCCTCCTAATAACATCACGTTGGAGGGTAGAGGTTCAACACATGAATTTTAGGCGGGCATACATATTCAGTCCATATATATACACATATATATATACATATATATATATACACACACACACACACACACACACACACATATGCAACACACACTCCTAAAGCATATGTTCCATGAGCATATGTATGTTTAGTCCTAGCATATATCCCTAATGTAATCCTTTATTGATAGAGGTATTGCAAATATCTCCTGTATTAGTCCATTTTCATATGGCTGTAAAGAAATACCTGAGGCTGGGTAATTTATGAAGGAAAGAGGTTTAATTGATTCACGGTTCTGAATGACTCGGGGGCCTCAGGAAACTTACAATCATGGCAGAAGGCAATCATGGCAGAAGCAAGCTTGGAGCTTCTCATATGGTGGCAGGAGAAAAAAGAGTCAACAGAGAAGAACCCCTTATAAAACCATTAGATCTCGTGAGAACTCACTATCATGAGAACAGCATGGGGGAACTGCCCCCATGATCCAATCACCTCCCACCAGGTTCCTCCCTTCACACGTGGGAATTATGAGGATTACAATTCGAGATGAGATTCGGGTGGGGACACAGCCAAACTATATCATCTTCTCATGGGTTGTATCTTTATTTCCACTTTCTCCAAAATGTTTTTTGATGAACACTAGCCTTGATTTTAATGTAATCAAAATTTTCTGTTGTTTTGGAGTAAATAATAATTTAATGGAGTAAATAATAATTCATAATTGCGTAAACCATTTTGTATATTTCTTTCATGCTTTTTCTTGGCATGTATATGTGCATTTATGTAGTTGAGATCATCTTGAAAATAACTGAGCACTTCTCTATAACATTCATTCTTCTGAATCACTTTCAGTGCTGTTTAATAGTCAATCTTAGTATAATTATTATGTTCTGTCCACACATTTGCTTCTCTTGTAAAAAAAAATCTTATTTCATTCTGGTTAGGGGTTTATTACTTTATATATGTTGTCTGTGATTGCTGTTCTTGGGCAAATAAGAAATCATGTTCTGGGCATTCTAATTTAGTGATTAATAGTATAGAGTTCTGGGCCAATGATATATGAGTTCAAATTCCAGCTTTGCCATTTATCAACTGTGTGACATGAAAATTATTATGCCAATCTGTCCTTTTATTAAAATTAGGATAATAGTCCCCAAATAGAGCTGTTTTCTTTCAGGTTTAAATGGGGTGATGGATATGAATTGTTTGGCACAGTGCTGAGTACATTTGTCTCTATACTGTCTCTATGAACCAAATGTCTGGGTAGTTCCGAAGGCAGCTCTGCCCCATTGGCTCAAAGACCAGTCTGATTTGCCTGACCCAATTTTACTTAGTTATAAATGTTCACTGGGAGGATGGCCATTACTAAGATGCACTCGGTCATTGTTCAGCTCAATAGCCAGATGCAGATTTTGCAGGAGAGCCCTGTTTGTTAGAAGAACAAGGTTAAAAAAATATGCCAATTACTCCAACAATGGATGCTGCTAGCTGGCTGGCTGACTCAAAGTTAGAATAATTGCTCCCTAGGAAAACACTAGTTCCCTTTCTCATAGTGAATAGTTTTCTGCAGTTGAGAGACAAAGCAATTTCTCAACTATGGAGCCAGGTGTGTAGACAGCTGGGGATTTGCCTGCTTGGATCTTCATATCTTTTTGGAGCCCTCAGGATGGTGGGCTAAAGCATAAAGTAATAGCAAACAAAATAAAGCATTGGAACATCCAAGTTTTTTAAATAGAAGTGAGGGCACAGTAGAGAGAAGTGAGGGCACAGTAGAGAAACAGAAGAAATACAGTAAGGAAAGTACAACTCTGAGTTGGAGTGTTCTTCAGTGGATCTGATTGTGCATCTTGCAGCAGTAACCTCTGGATAAAAGTGGAGAATGTGAGAAATGCTGCCCATGTCCTTTAGAATGCCAGCTCCCCTATGGCAGGGGATTTGGTTTCTTATGTAACCGCTGTGTCTTCAGGGATGAAGAATGGTGCCTGGTATATTGTAAGTGCTCAACACATTTGTTGATTAAATATCCTTCCACTGTCTGTTATTATACCCAAGGGCCAGTTAAGAGAAAATAATTGCTTTTCTGAATCTTACTTGAGCCAGCAAGGAGGACCTAGAGAGGAGGAATCTTGGAGGAAAAGATCAATGTCATCAGAGCTCCTTAGCCAGGGGATAGTGGCCTGGACATAGCCAAATGGACAGGTGATGCTTTGGAGAGACAGATTTCAAAAAGGCAAAAGTAACTTTCTTAATGAACTTGAGACCAGAAGCAGGAAGATGGCAGAGCCAAGGGAAAGAGAAGGCACATAGGAGTAGAATTCTCAATCTCTAGTCATGACCCCAGGGAAGAAGAGCAGAGAAATAATTTAAAGAGATAAATGTGAATACATAGCAAACTTTCCATGGAACCACATCCTACAAAAGCTGGTGGGTGGTGGGTGGTAAATGCAGACTCCTGTGAAACAGTGACGAGAGACTACAGGGGTAGTATCAGGAAGCCTAAAGTCCCGGAGTGGAGGTTTGCAAGATGTTTGAGTCAATGAAAGTACTAGGTTTGGGTTTTGGTTTTCTTTTTTTTTTTTCTTGATTTTTTAAACCTTGTGTGCAAGGTAGATGTTGGAAGAGCAGTTTGGTTGCTTGGATTTTTCCAAAGTATGGTCTATGGACCACAAGCAGCATCACCATCATCTGGGAGATTGTTAGGAATGCAAATTATCAGCCCCATCCTAGACCAATTGAGTCAAACTCTGGGAATGGGACCAACACTGTATTGTTATCAACCCCCTGGGAAATCTTAATGCTCACTGAAGTTTGAGACCCACTCGTGTGGAATATTAATCCTCATCCCTCTACACATTACAATCACCTGGGAAGCTTTCAGAGAAAAAAATGTCCTGGCCTTATCCCAGACCAATTAAATGGATTCTTTGGAGTAAGGTCTAGCCATAGGTATATTTTAAAACTTCAAGGTGAATCTAATGTACAATCTAGGTCAAAAGCCAAACTCTAGTTCGGGGAGAAGCAGTGTGATCATCCCCGGAGAGCTTACTAAAAATGCAAAATCCCGGGCCCTTCTTGCTGCATCAGAATCTACATTTTTACCAAGATCTCCAGGTAATTCACAGACACATTAAAGTTTCAAAAGCATTTGTATAGATAAAAGTTATAGGGAAGAAATTAGAATTTGTATTTTCCCTCCACCTTCTCTTTATTGGTGGATTTACTGACTTCTTTTAAAGAGGAAAGGTACTAGACAGGAAAAGGAAAGACAAACTCAATGGTGTATAAGTCACAAAGCAGTGAAGGTTCCAGGTCAAAGAAAGGCAAGTAGCAGGTAGAGCACATGAAAGAGAGAACTGGGTGCTCTGTACAACTGACTTAGTCACTGGAATTGCCTACAGCTCTTTGGCCATTACTCACATTACCAGATAGCTAAGCAATATGCAAACAAAATAAACGCACCAGGTAAAATTCAGAGCCAGCAACCAATTTGTGATTTCAGGCATTGGTAAGTTTGTAAGTATGAAGATAAGTCCTTTCCCCTTCAGAAGTCTTGGAGAATGGGAGCTTTGCTCAGTCTGGAGGTGGGTACAAGACTTCAAAGGGGAAAGGCCTTGGGAATAATCTATGAACTTGATTTGATTCTCTGGCAGGATTCCAGTGAAGAGTATCAGGCAGATTATCCTGTCAACACTTGGAGAGAATAAAAGGGAACCCTGAGCCTTTCAAGGTTAATTGATAATATTATTGGTCTGATTTCTTCCCGTTTGTGATGGAAAATCAGAGAAATGTTGTAGATACCAGTGTCTTCATTTTCACAACGCATGATAGATGCCCCTTGTCTTGGCATATTTTACTATTATTATGTGCAAAAGAAAATAATAGACTGGTTGTTCCTGTAGTATTTTGGGTATTGTAAATGGCAAAATAACTAAACCTATACTTATCTAATGATGATGAATGCACCAAAGTCACTGGTCTCTGGTAGAAACTTCCAGGGCCCTATTCTAGGCACCATCATTTTCCAGAATGTTATCAGTACCTTAGCTGATGATTGGCAAGGTGGGTTTATCACTGGAACAGAGGTTGGAAGAGTAGAAAGTATATATGCATATTAGGATCTAAACAGACACTGCAGACAGAGCATGATAAAGCAAATTTTACAAGAGGATAAATTATAAAGGGAAAATGTCAAATGGAGAATGATATGGCAGTAACAATTGGCAGAGGGATTGTGGGATTTTAGTCCATTGGATCCTGGTTGTTTTGTTTGTACAGCTGCCAAGTGCACTGATGGATACCTTAGGCTGCCTTAACTGTGTTCACAGCAATAGAGTGATTCTTCTCTCTACATGGGGCTCCAGTTCCTGCCTCCAACATGCTTTACATTATTATGTTCAGTCTAGATTAGCACACATTGAAAGCAAAGCTAGCATTCTGGAACAAGTCCATATAGAGTCAGCTGGTTAACGAAAGTACTTGAATTCATGTCCTACTGCCATTGTAGAGGTGAATATACAGAGAATCCCAGGGATGCATGGATTACCTGATACTGCAGAGCTAGTAAGTAGTGGAGCTTAGTGCTCTAACGCAGGCATTCTCATCCTGAATCCAGTGCCTTCCTACTGTAACACCTCCCTGTCCTCTCCCTTCTTCCTTCAGATGAAAGTGTTTGTGATTCAGCATATCTATCAAGTTCCCACTGCACTTCTCAAGAAGTTCATTTTCCAATTAAAAGAAACCCCATCCAACAGCAGTAGCTTCTCCCTTACTACTGAGGCTGAGTGTAAAATGTGTACACCTTTTCTTTCCTCTTGGTTACCTGAGTCTTGTTGGCCCTTAATGTCCCAACTCTAGTCCTTCCTGATGTGGGGCTGGCTACAACTATTTGGCAGCACAGGCTCCCTCAGCCCTCCTTCGATATTCTTGAGCTCTTTCACTTCATCTATTCATTCTTGCTTGCACTGATTTATTTGTAAATATTTATGGAGTGCCTACTACTTGTGTTACAGGTAGTTAGACAGGCATGGGCTGAAGGAGAGGGGGCAGGAGAGGGCTTTCCCCCGACCTACCAGGAATAATGTCAGGCAATTATCAGGTTATGGTTCAATAGGTATCACATTGCCTCTCTAAAAATGATAATTTGGTAGCCAGCCGGCACCAGGGAAAGACTTATCTCCTGAAGGTCCGCAGCTGTCACAGTAAAGTGTTAATTAAATGCAGACACCAGGGAGAGGCAACTTCCCAGGCATGCAAATTAAAAGACAAAATGTTGGAGTATAACCTTCTGAGGGCACTCCACCAGAAAAGGGAAGAAAGCCTCAGAAGGGCATGCATACAACTTTCTAACCCAGTGCACATGCTCACTTCCCGTGGGCAAAGAGGGCACTGTGCATACAGGGAGCCCATCTTAAGGGAAGAATTATGGGAAAGGGTCTCAAGACACTGGGAGTGGGTCATCCAGGTTAAAGGCTGCACTTGACCTTCATGGTGTCTTTTTCCAAGTGTACTTTCCTTTCTTTCCTGCTCTAAAGCTTTTAAAAATAAATGTCCATTTCTGCTCTGAAAGTTGTCTTGGTCTCTTTCTCTACCTTATGCCCCTTAGTCGAATTCTTTATTCTGAGGAGGTAAGAACTGAGGTTGCTGCAGACATGTATGAATTTGCTGCTGGTAATTCAGATACCTTCCACCCCTAACACTTGTCAAGCATTGTTGTAAGTGCTAGGATATTACGGTGAGCAAAACAGAATATCTGATCTCCTGGTGAATACTGCAGAAGGAGGCTGATGAAAACAAGAAAGCAAATCTGAAAAGTCAGATAATCATAAGTGTTGTAAAGAAAAATGAAGCAGGTTAATGGATTCACTGGGGGGCTGGGTGGAGGACTGTACTTTTAGATATGGTCAGGAAAGACCTTAGACATGATGTTTTAGCAGAAACTGGAAATAAATGAGGATTTAGAATCATGCAGCTATTTCGGGGAGAGTGTGTTAGGAAGAGAATCATGAAATGCCAAGACTTTGAGGTGGGGTATACCTGGTACAGGTGAAGAGCAAGGAGACCTGCATACCTGAGGGAAGTGAGTATTCATTGTGCTGCCTGGTATTGATAATGTTACCCAATCTATCTGTTCTATGGCTACAGCCACACCTTAACTACTGGGTTGGAGATTAGCATTGTGGAAGATGATTAGAACTGCATTTTGAGGACTAAATAAATTGATATATAAGGTATACATTGTAATATATGTAGTATGCATAAAGTATGTAAAGTATATTATATATATGAGTAACAATTTCTTAAAAATTGTGCTGCAAAAGTTTTACTTTTTATCATTGTCGCTATCCAGATCATTATCTCAATTTGCCCCTGGGAATCCAGAGGAAAAGCAAAGGTCTTTGAAAGTAGCTCTTTCCAATTCTAGATGGAATTGCTTTTGCTACTTCCCTGAATGCATGGTTGTACATTTGAGTACTCGGGAAAGACTCTTACATAATTTCTTTTGAAAGAAATGATTTCTACCACATGCCACAACACAGTCTGGCTTGCCCATGTACTTTTTAAGTTTCTCTTTCCATGTCTGGAATGGAAAGCATAGCACACTTGATTTTATTTTTAAAAGAAAATATAGCAACCATGATGATGTTGATGCTGGTGGTCATAGCCATGTGGTCATAATAGCTAACATGTATGGAGAGTTAGCCATTTGCCAGGCACTGTTGTTATGTCCTACGCATGGATTTTCTCTTAGCCCTCATAACACTATGAGACTGGTAGCACGATTAACCTGTCATCTGCCTGAGGAAATGGAGAATTCAGAATGTTTATGTAACTTCTCCAAGGAGAGTTAGCAGGAGGAGGAGCCAGGTTTTATACCACTTTGGCCTTATGACTTGGAAATGTGGATCACCCAAAACTCATTTCTGCTTTGATTTGTATTTTCCTATGGTCTACTGGTTGAAGGGTATTTAAGGAGTAGGGAAAAATGGGGAAATACATTTGATTTTCTTTAGTCGGATATTGAAAAGAAATAATTTCTAGTGTCTCTAAGCACATTGCTTGGGCTGTGGGAGCTAAGGCACAGTAGGAAGAGTTCTGCAGATGCCAAAGATGAGATGCAGGTATGAGTTTTATTAGTCACAGCAGAAAATAAGTCACAGTTAGCTCCACCATAGAACCTTTAAATACATTTTACTGTTTGGGGCCCGGCCCTGAGTACTAGGAACCAATGTTCCCCTCTGCAAGTAGACAATCTTCTGAGTTCCTGATGGGCCAAGGTGCTATGAATTCATCCTGATGATACTTCCTGCAGTTGAGTTTTGAGAATCCCAAGTCTTAATCTCACTACTGATAATATGGCCACCATATTTGTTTGCAAATACAAAGACAACATAGTAGCTATTTTTACTTATGTCCTTTGGATAAATTTTGCAGAAATATTTATCTCTTCACTAAATTGCCCCCAGACTATTATTTGCTTAAGCTAATATTTCCTCTTCCCTTCCCACTTGCTGAGTAGACATCTGGAGTTATCAGGTCTCAACTTCAATTACGAAGAAAAAAATTGCATGGACTTTGTGATAGGACTTTTTCTATGAGACAACATAGCACCTCTGGGTTTTTAATATGCCTTTCAGAAATGGCTGTAGTCGTGAGCTAAAGCATGTTACTTGAAAAAGTTGGGCTGTCCATATGGCTCTCTAACTTAGGACTTTATGAAATAAACTGTAACTAATGGGAAAAACAACTAAAAATATTTATTGCAGAAAATAAAAAAGTTAACCAAAGTATTTTATTGATACATTCTTGGACAATATCACAGAATTGAAAGAGAATGGAAAGAGGGAATTTTTCAGCAAGGGTTGTTTTTTTCCACTAAATTGGCACATAAGCAGCAAGATTAACGAAAGTACTTATTACAAACAGTAAAAAACATACATGCTTTTTTTCCTAAAGTCCTTATCACACTGATCAGTCAAAGGGGGCATGAACAAAACCTCAAGACATGAAAAATCCATATTCTTTCCTTCAAACAGCTTAATAATTATTAAAATTATTGCAAAATATTCATATACCCTAATTAAAAATAACAAAAGAGAACACAAATACAAATATTGAACATAATAAACATGTACTGTAAAATACATTACTGGCATGCATTCCAAAGATCAAGACCTCTATTCAGTTCAGCCAATACCTTCCTTTTATGTAACCTATCATATACCAAAGATAGGTGGGGCATACTTTCTCAGCACAGTTTTTGGTCTTTAAACATCTTTTTTGTCTTAAAAAAAAAAACATGATGTGCAGTGGTACTATAATCGTAATTATACAGTCATGTACAGATGTACTTGTTTTAGTCTGCCAAGATTGCTTTAAAATTTTAATTGTTTTAAAATTTTTCCAAATATTCCACCGTCTGAGAGAATAGGGCTCTATGAAAACAAGGCATTCGAAAACAAACAGTGAACCGAGGTACGACATCAGATGGCAAAGTGCAAAGGTCCTCACAAACTGTACAGAAAATTTCAAAACCTTGCAACCTAGAAGTACATACGTAATAAGACAGGTCAGCCCCAAAACGGTCCTGTGGCTCTCAGTGGTCCATTCTAAAGAGCCAGGGCGGGACTTGAGTTTCAACACTCCCTTTGGTAGGGAAGGTCCACAATTGCAGCCGAGTTGGCAGTGCTGATGTCAGTGACTTATTAAGCCCAGATAAAGTAAGGATATTTCATAAAGCAGCTGTTTAGGTCGCTTGGATCCTCTAACACTGGTCTCCCGGCCGGGGAAGCTCCTCCGGTGATGGGAAGCGGGTAGGACCAAAGAGTCCTATGCCAGGTTGGGTGACAAAATAACTGAGGGTCTTCCTCCTCCATGGTTCCATGGAATGGAACAGGTTAGATAACCAGGTTATTATAACTGACATACTTCTTTTTTGCAGCAGGGCCTGAAAGAAAAATTAGAAAGTGTCAGTTGCAGTAATAACCCTGTTTGCAAAGGTAGAAATAGAATTAGAACTTTTCACTTGAGGTGCAAAGTCAAAGTGAGGTGATACAGCTCTGAAGAACACACACAGACAACTTTGGATTCCTCTGACTCTAAGGCTTTGGCCACCAAAATCTGTGGTTCCCAGTGATTCTCAAATCAATTGCGTTCTCTTCTCTGAGATGTCTCCAGCTTCCCTCTTTATACTCTATTAATAAATTTATCAGTGGTTGTTATGCTTTCTAATCAATCAACCCTTAACTTAAAGGGTTCACTCACACTGTGGTATATTTCGTTGTGTGCTCTTCTCACAGACCTTTTAATAATAACTGGCCTTTGCTTGGAAAAGGTCTGTCCTGGGTCACTGACATTAGTTGAGGTTGAATGCAGATTAGGTCAGAGTGTCTTCTTTAGTGCTGATTCACACAATCAAAAGACTACAGATTGACTTGTATAGTGTTAACTGTAAGTTATAAATGGTCATTTGCAGAACTATTTCCATTAAGATGTAAAGCTCACTTAAACCTGTCAGGTGTCTGACACATACACACTCTACATTTGTTTTCCCTAAATGTAGAAATTATTTTTCTACTTGGTACAGTGATTTCAGGACTCACCTTCACTCACTCACTCAGGCAGTAAATATGTATCTACTGTATTGCAGCCACAGGGCTAGGCACTGAAGACCAGCCAATGAGCACAGCAGATTTCATGTCCTCATGCTGGAAACAAAGACACCAGGATCCCAGAGTGTGCCTTTGGTTTAGGTTCTAGTCCTCAATACCAAGTCATACTGTTGCAATGATGTGATATATTCTTTATTCACTAAATCTTGGTAGTTTTGCATCAGTTTCTATTGGGCACAGAGTAACTTTTGTGTAGCATTTACTGATGGCTTATTTTGCTTACTGTTTTTAGATTCTAAATAGAAGTGTTCACTCAAGACAGAGAAATGTCAAGAGCTCTTCAAGAACTCTTAAGCAGGGATTCATATACAATTTTGGAGGAACGGAGAAGTCATATTAACATACTGAGAGTTTGTATTTAAACTTTGAATAATACAAGTAGTACGTTACAGGTACATACATGATTATAGATCTTACACAGGGTACTGTACACTATACAACAAGCCTGGTCTTCTTTTCTGGATTAAAAATTGGGATTCTCTGACAAACTTTGACTTGAAGCCTCATTTTTGTTTGAAACTTATTTCTATATTAAACCATACTGAATTTATTAACTAAAATACAAAAAGGTAAATAAGAATAGAATTTTATGAAATTCAGGGCCTCCTGGAAAATCTGGTGATGAGAACTGAGTCACCGTATGTCCTCATTTGATGAACACATGGCCTCAATAATGCCCAAATCTTCCAGGAAGTTTCCCATTATCCCAGTGTTGTCTTCAACAATACGCTTGGTTTGGGTACAAGGAGGAAAACTTTCAAAAGATGTTTCTTGACTCTGAATCTTATTTTCAGTGTCATAGCTAGAAGATCTCAGCTGACAGTTGCAAGCAATAGTCACAGCTTGCCTTGTCAAATATCAACACACTAATTATCCTCAGGACAAAAGAAGGGGAAAAAAAAAAAAAAAGAAAACCCAGAAGCTTGTACTGACCTAAATACCTGAGACCACCTTTACTGTGTGATTAATTAAGACTGTTTTCTGTAGCATAACTGTCTAGTAAAAACAAAAATGAATTTCCTTAAATTGATTACTATAAAACACTAATTTCTCAGGAAGAGTTTTTACCAAAAGAATAAGTAGGTTAGAAAATATGATCCCCAAATTGTAAAGCTGAGCATTGGCTGGGATTAAGTTAAAATCACGATGAGGTTATGTTTAAAAAAATTGGATATAAAAATAATGGCATTCCGTTGATGCTTTACTTAGATTATCTTCTTGTGTTCTCTGTGGCCTTGAGATGAGCACTGTTTATGATCTCCATTTTACATAGGAGGGGTCTGAGGCTCAGAGGAACAAGCAATCCAGAACTAGGCTGCCTGATGGTTGAATCTTTATTTCTGTCTCCATGCTATAATAGGAAGACAATACTGCAGTTGGACTCACCTGACCTGGGTTCTGATTCAGCTCTGTCACTTACTTGAATGTGACCTTGCCCAGTGTCTTGATAATGAACTCGTTGTAGCCTTTGTAAAATTGGGAGAGGCCGGGTATGGTTGCTCATGCCTGTCATCCCAGCACTTTGGGAGGCCGAGACGGGTGGATCATCAGAGGTCAGAAGTTTAAGACCAGCCTGGTCAACATGGTGAAACCCCATCTCTACTAAATATACATAAAATTAGCCAGGCGTGGTGGCGGGCGCCTGTAATCCCAGCTACTCGGGAGGCTGAGGCAGGAGAATCACTTGAACCCGTGAGGCAGAGGTTGCAGTGAGCTGAGATTGCACCATTGCGCTCCAGCCTGCACAACAAGAGCGAAACTTTGTGTCAAAAAAAAAAAAAAAAAAAAATTGGGAGAATAATTTTTACCTGGTGCACTGTTGATATCACCAATGTACAAAATACCCGTTTCTCATCTGGGAATATAATGTATAAATGTATTTTTAAATTACAGAGTTCTATGCAAATGATAAGGCTTAGTACATGCTTTCTTTGCAGAATTGCTAGGAACATTGCCCCAAAATTATAATGAAGTTTATGCAGGTCCTAGAAGGGCAATTTGTGTACTTTTCACAGCAATGTCCAATGTATTAGGTTTATTTTTAAACCATTCTAGTCCTGTGAGTAAATAAAATAAGTGCCTGTGGTGTCTGATAATTCCATTTATTTCACTAGAAATGTAGTTTATGGTCAGGAAAGAAAATTACTGAGCTCAAAATAGTTGCGCAATGAAGCACTTGCTAAGGAAATATACTTTTTATTTTAAAATAGTATGTTTTTCTCTTATAAAGTTACAGATTTTAAAGAATAATAGTATATGGCATTGTCCCTATTAACTTTTTAAAGTTATATCTACTTATCTACATAAGTAGTTCTCAAAACAAGGTATCCTGAAGAGTCAATGTTTACAGTGAGGTAGTGTTAAGAATACTGGTTTATGAAATGAATTATTAATACACCATTGCTACTTAAGAAAGGTAAGATATTCCAACTCATTCTTGATGTCTTGTCAAAATCAACACTCAATTTGACATTAACTTTATTGAGCTTCTTACTTTATCTTTGCTTTTCTCTGAGCTTTTTTGTCTTACAAAAATTTCATTCCTCAAAGTGCATTCTATGGAACACGCGTAACCCAGATTCAAGGAAGTGAAGAAAAATATAGAAAAGAGAGCCTCATAGATATTATGTTGAGAAACACTGAATAAGTGATATTAAACAGTACTCTTTCCTGTTGCCACCCCATATTTAATTTCTTTATATTTTAAGTGATAAGAAATACTGTAGCTTATTAACTATATACCATGTGTTCTCCTCAGCTCTTTTTGAAGAATGTGTGTATAGATGTGTATGTGAATAAGAACATACATGAAGTGATTTAAACATCCAAAAAGGATAAAAACAAAATATAACAAAATATTATATAAGCCCTGAATATAACACTTTGACATACTGACATCTTGATTCAGGTGCCCCTCCATCCACTCATAGGAAATAAGATGCAATCAAAGCCCTTTACACTCCATGTTCTTCCCCATCCCCCCATAGTATCTACTATCCTGAACTTGGGATGTGTGCTCTTGCTACTACAGTGTTGTCCATAAACTATAGCTATATGGATTTCTGTGTTTTAAGTTGTGCAAATTATTCCTTGCATATCCACTTGAAATCTGGTTTCATATAACATTGTGTTTTTAAGATTTACTTACATTGATTTAATAATCATAGTAACTATATAGCTTTCTATATATTAATGTTAGCATAACAGATTTTCTGTAACTCTTTTCCTATTGATAGACTCTGCTTTCTAATGTTTTTGAAATAAGCAATGCTGCAGTAGATGATACCTACAAAACAATATTTTTAACAAAGTTGAATGACAATGCTATAGGGCAGGATAAAACATTTGTCATGTATTTAACTGACAAAAGATTGATATCTAAATTTTTTTAACTTATGCAAAGGAATAAATAAGAAACAATCTAATTTTTAAAAACATAGATTCAAGATGAATAGACAATTTGTAGATGAAGAAATCAAATAAATGAAAATTGTTCAACCTCATCAACTAGAGAAGTGGAAATTAAAACATTAATAAGATAGCATTTAATGCCTGTACCATTACAAAAGAAAAAATGAACTAATACCAAGCATTGGTGGGTGTGAAAAAGTGAGAACTCTCAGACAACACTAAGGTATAAATATAAGTTGGTAAATTTATATGGGAGAGCCATTTGGAAATATCTAGAAAACCTAAAGCTATGCATACCACTGAATCAGCAATTTCACTTCTAGATCTAGACCTGAGATACTTTCATATGTACACATAGACATGCTTAGGATTTCAAAAGCCTTTAATATAATAATTTTCTGTGTGATTCTCCAAGAAAAAATTCTCTTACAGAGGCTAGGCACATAAAGGTGCAAAGTGAGCCAGGTGTAAGATATTAAGGAAGGATACAGACCATAGTGAACTAGAAATCACCTGCCCCATCTAAAAGGCATAATTATGTGGGATGTTACCACAATAGGACTTTATAGTACATTTTTTGAGGAGGAGCTTGACTGTATAATTTTATGTAAAAGTTCATTTTTTCACTCAGCCATCTAACAAATATTTATTGAGCATGTATTATGTGTTGGGCTATATTCTGAGCATTAGAAATACCTCAGTTTTCAATAAAAGTTTTAAGAGCATATTAAAACCATTTAGCAAATCAAAAAAGAAATAGAGACCAGAGGCTAGATAGCATCTCTAGGCTGCTTGTTTTCAACTCTGTAATCCTGTCTGCACCCTCTCCTGCTCCCCTTTTTAGTGGATCATTTTGCATTATGTAAGAACATACTTTTGGAAGTACATGGGGATATTTCTTAAACCTTAACCCTGCCTATCACTTTAGTCATTTGTAAATCTCACCAAACTTCTGCATGTTGGATTATTGCCTGATACAACTTTGTCCAAACTAACTTTTGTATGAAACCATTCAAAGCACTGTCTGTGCCTCTTCCCCCACCAACTCTGCCAACTAATGCTTCCCTATTAAACATGATTCACAGTTGTTGTTTACTTATAACTATTTCAACTGGGAGGGATTCTTTATATTATGGTTTGCAGTTACTAAAATAAAAAGAAGTACTTTTTTTTGTAATTACTTCTGTAGTCAATGGCCTGTTTCCTGCCTGTTCATTTCATTAGTAAATTGCCCTTAGCCCATCACTAAATAGCAAAAGAGTAGATGTTCTCTTCAACATCTCAATTCTCATTTGAGACTTCAAGAAAGCTACTAAACTTCCTGTATCTTACAAAGAAGAAGCAATTCATTTTATAATGATCTCTCTTAAATCCTTTTTTAAATTTACTACTCAGTTTAGCACATTCCTCAACTTGAGAAGATACAAAGCTAAAGAATGAAGAACATGACTACCAAAAAAATGGAGACATTCCCAATTATACCAGTTCAATTCTGAACTATAAAACAATGGAGACTTTCTCCATCTCCCAGGAGAATGTGAGGCTATTGCTCATATGTTTGGTACCTGGATTTGTTGACACAAGAAACTTGGCAGGGGTAAAAACATGATCAGTCAGAAAAATAACTCAGTATTTCAAATCACCATAATTTCCAATCCAGTGGCAAAAACTCCCAAATCTGGATTTCTGTTGACTACTCAGCCATTCATCTAACAAAATATTACTTAACACATATTAAACACCAGGAACTTTACTACATGCTAACATTGAAAGCAGACATGGGAATCTGTAAGCTGTTCACTTTAACATTTACTCACTTCTCATTCATTGTATATTCACATTTTTTAACAAATATATTAAAGCTGCCATGTGTCATCAGCAAGGGATTGGCATATCCTTTTTTTCTACTCAGTGAGATGAAGATAAAGCATGAATTTATAAACTAAACTCACATTGAGAGGAAACCCCCCCCCCGCCCCTGCCAAAGCAAATTGGCACCCCTTCCTAATGGTGAATAAGGGAGGTAGGTCAGTGGATGGTGAGGCAGCAAACCTGTTACCATATTTGGAGAAAATAGTGATCCACTTCAAGAGAATGGAGAAGCATCAGCCTAGATAACCTTAGAGAAAATGTGTGAAGTGTTTGCCCCATTTGTGCCAGGAACAGGGAAATGAGTCAGATACAATCTTTATTGTTATAGAACTTATAATGCAAAAAAACTATTACATATCTGTGATGAGTGCTTAAAGATATTTTACAAAGACTAATTTTGTCTTGGAAGAGGATGTACTGTGCTAAGCCTGGGAAGGCTTTTCAGTGGAAGGGGCATTGATTTGGACCATGCAGTGTGAGACAATTTAAGAAGAGGGCAGGGCAATATAAAGGTATACTTTGTTTCCAAAGGTGCGTGGAGAGGAGGGTCAGACAGTGCTGGAAGTCAAGGCTGGAAAGGTAGGCAGGGCCACATAAATTACTTCAATAAATAAAACTTCAATAAACCTGCAGATTGTCATAACAAATTCAGGGTAGTGTCAGAGGCATTTGAACCAGGGCAACTCCATCTTGAATAGGGACTGGGTAAAATAAGGCTGAGACCTTCTGAGCTGCATTCCCAGGAGGTTAAGGTACTCTAATGATAGAGGCAGGAGGCAGAGAAATGGCTAGGCAGATAGGGAAGGGTCCCCGGAAAATCTGACCCACCCCACAAGTGTTTACAACAGATGTTTTGTGCAGACAAGGGGGCAGTGGACTGGAGGCCCACATGCACTGGGGGAATGGGGTGGAGCCACCAGAAACAAACATCTTATTCAGGGGAAGAGCCTGGCATCTTTGGCTCCTGTGTGGTGACCCTGGTATTCAGTTTGTGAGGTGGAAACCTGCTTGCAGGATCCCTGTCTTTGCTGAGAGCTTTCCTTTCGCTTAATAAATTCTGCCCTCCTCACTCTTCAGTGTGTTCATGTGCCTAATTCTTCCTGGTTGTGAGATAAGAACCTGGATTTAACTGAAATAAGGAGTAAAAATCCTACATCACTACTTAGGATGACTACTCAGCCTAAGTCACAGGATGAGAGAGGAGGTTGGCACAAGATACAGGTCATAAAGACCTTGCTGATAAAATAGCATGCAGTAAGGCCAAATCCCACCAAAACAAAGACAGTGATGAAAGTGACCTCTGGTCATCCTCGCTGCTACCCTCCCACCAGTTTACAAATGCCATAGCCACATCAGGAGGTTACTCTATATGGTCTAAAAAGGGGAGGAATGAATAATCCACTCCTTGTTTAGCAGATAGTTAAGAAATAACCATAAAAATGGGCAACCAGCGGCCCTTGGGGTGCTCTGCCTATGGAATAGCCATTCTTTATTTTACTTTCTTAATAAACTTGCTTTCGCTTTGCACTGTGGACTAACCCTGAATTCTTTCTTCTGCAAGAGCCAAGAACCCTTTCTTGGGGTCTGGATCAGAGAGTACCAGTACCAGTGTGGTTCAGTAACAGTACCAGAAACAGAAGAATGAACAAGTCAGAATGTCTATGATTATTTAGCTTTCTAATGAACGTTCTCATAAAAAGCCTTTAATGCTAAAGCAGTCGTACTTGAGAAGCCACAGGGAAATATTCACAGTTTTGAAGAGGATCCTCACACTAGTTTTTCCCTCTCGGTAATGTCCTTCTTTGCCTTTTTTCCTTAACTGGTTTCCTGTTCTTTGCTCTGGTTGGTTTTAGTTTCTAGTCACTTGCTCCAAGTGGCCTTCCTATCCCTCCAGACAAGTGAGATGTTCCTGCTGCACCCTCTCATGACCTCTCTACTATTCCCTCCTCATACACAACCAGGGTGAAGCACTAATTTCTCATGTGTGTTTCTGACATTAGAACTTTAAGTATCAGGATGGCAGAGACAGTTTTTTTCTAGTGCTTGGGAAGTGTGCAATGTATAGTTGGCACTCAATATTTTTGGGATGTGTTACCATAGAGAAGCCTTTTGTAATTGCCCTTCCTGCCCACTGCATAAAGAAAGACCACAGCATTGTCATAGAGAAAGAGCTTAATACGGGAGGCTGAGGCAGGAGAATGGCGTGAACCTGGGAGGCGGAGCTTGCAGTGAGCCAAGATCACGCCACTGCACTCCAGCCTGGGCGACAAAGCGAGACTCTGTCTCAAACAAAAAAAAGCTTAATAGACACGAGGCCGGCCATACCACGTGGAAGATGGAGTTTGCACTCATATTATCTCGTTCAAAGCTCACAAGTTAGGGGTTTTTCAAAGACAGTTTAAGGGAAGGGGTGGGAGTGGCCAGGTAACAGATGCTTGCTGCTGATTGGTTGGGACAGAGATGAAATAGTGGGCCAAAGCTGTCTTCCTGAGGACTAAATTGCTTCTGGGTGGGGCCACAAGAGTGGGGGCGCTGGCGATCCACGGGGAGCCATGAGTGTCAGACATGCAAAACAAACAGAAAAGCTATCTCAAAAGGCCAGTCTACAATTGTGGTGTTATTTGCAGGTGTAATTGGGGAAATTGCATGTCTTAGAATCTCTGGAATAATGGCTGACAATCATGCATGTCTGAGCCTTAGCAGGACTCAGCCTCCTCTCCCTCTCCTCCTCCTAGCCTGGTGGCCTCCCTTTAGCTTTACAAAAGTGGTTGAGTTTTGGGCAAGGCCTATTATCATTTAAATTGTAGCCTAAATGTCTTCCAAAGTTAGCTTGGCCCAATAGCCCAGCAATAATTAAGGGAAAGACAAGATGGGGGTTGAGTTAGCTCGCTTACTGTTAGAATTTTCTCACTGATATAACTTTTGCAAATGCAGTTTCACTTTGCTCTCTGAAGTCATTGTCAGCTCTAGGAGGGTCTTAGAGATGAATAGAACAAAAGAAAAATATGTGGGAACTTCATGAGCTTTGCCATCCTTTTTTTCCATCCCTTTTTTCAGTATTCTCCTATGGGTTACTGTATTTAAAGCTAACCCTTATTATAACTCATCAGATTTCCTTTGTAACTTTTCAGCCACAGCATTCTTTTTTTCCCCCTCTTTTTGCATCTAAACATGGCCAAAACAGCCTGGCTAAATTGAGAAATCAATTTTCAGTTCTGTCATGAAAAGAGTACATGAACGTTCTAGTGTCTCTTAAAAAAAAAAACAAAAGAAAAAACTAATTTGTACTTTAAGATGTAAAGCATCAAACAGAGGTTTACGTCGTTCTTAAATGGCATATTTGAAACAAACAGACAAAGTCTCTGTCTTAAAACATCTTTAAGCTTGGCTAAGTTAAAATCTAGGTACTTTGATGGTGTATATGTTTTACTTTGGAAAAAAATAGATATGCATTAAATTACCACATCAGATTTCTACTTTTTCTTATGCACTTTGGGCACTGAAAAGCTTTTGTGCATTTTATAATTTCAATATATTATAGATGCAAGCAATCTGGAGCATATTATGAATGCAGTGCAATCATACATCAAAGATCGAAGCTGTGAACCAAAGTCTGTCTTAAGGCTAATGTTACAAACAAGGCAATAGTGACAAAATAGCAGCAGAGTAGTACTTAGTGTTCCTGGATGAAAAGCTCCTGCTGAAATCCAGGTCTTGCTATTTTTGGATAAGACATTCATAGTCTCTTCATTCATTCCTTTATACATTTATTGAACTTTTACTAAGAACTCACAGTGTACTAGTATAGCCTGGCTATAAACCAGTGGCACAGAAGCAAGGAAAAATAGTCCATATCCTCGAACAGTTTCTGGTTCAGTACAATTCAACATGTATCTGTTGAGCACCTACTATTTGTCAGATACTGTTTTAGGCAATAGGGATGTAGCCATGTTACTGTGCAGGTTCAGTCCCTGCTTTCACAGAGCTTAAATTCTACTTGGAAAGACAGATCTTAAAACAAACAAACAAACAAACAAAAAAACAGGCCAGGTGCAGTGGCTCACGCTTGTAATCCCAGCACTTTGGGAGGCCAAGGTGGGCGGATCACAAGGTCAAGAGATTGAGACCATCCTGGCCAACATGGTGAAACCCTGTATCTACTAAAAATACAAAAATTAGCCAGGTGTGGTGGTGGGCGCCTGTAATCCCAGCACTTTGGGAGGCCAAGGTGGGCAGATCATAAGGTCAACAGATCGAAACCAGCCTGTCCAACATGGTGAAACCCTGTCTCTACTAAAAATACAAAAATTAGCCAGGTGTGATGGTGGGCGCCTGCAATCCCAGCTACTTGGGAGACTGAGGCAGGAGAATTGCTTGAACCCAGGAGGTGGAGGTTTCAGTGAGCTGAGATCGTGCCACTGTACTCCAGCCTGGGCGACAGAGCAAGACTTCATCTCAAAAAAAAAAAAAAAAAAAAAAAGCCGGAGGTGGTGGCATGCACCTGTAATCCCAGCTACTCAGGAGGCTGACGCAGGAGAATCCCTTGAACCCAGGAGGCGGAGGTTGCAGTGAGCCGAGATTGCGCCATTGCACTCCAGCCTGGCAACAGAGTGAGACTCCGTCTCAAAAACAAAAAACAAAAGTAGATGCAGCCAATTCTCTTTATTCACGGCACTTATATTCTATAAAATCACCACAAACACTGAATTACTGAATACTGAACCACTGCTTCTAGAGCAAAATACAGCGTTAGTTACCTATACCCCTCCAGTCACAACATAACCTTATTTTGTGTATATGTTTGGTTAAAAACACTTTATTATTACATATTGTTGACTCAGTAATATTGAAATCAGAGCTGACAAATGCCTGTAAAAAGCGTCTCTAACACATGTACTTTCTCCTGAAGGCTGACACATCATAGCCTTCTTGCACTTAGGAATATGACACAGCACTTTAGTAATATGTATAGGAGTTATTTTAAACTGCAAAACCACCAACCAAAAGTACAGGTGTTAAATAGTCTGAGAAAAGGACACGTTCAAATATGAGAGCTGAAACCAGAAGGTAGGGCATCACCCTTTTTGACCTCAGCTGCAAATGCGTGCATTGGGTGATTCAAATAGTTTGGTGCACTGTATATTCCTGTGAATGACTGTGAAAACGCCATAAGTATTGATGTTGGGGTTACCAATCAATTTCAGCGTGTGGGTGAATTTGCAAATATAAAATTTACTGATACTGAGAATCAACTGTATTACAATGTCATGGAATCCCCAAAACTATGGGGAAAAAAAAAAAAAAAAAGCCTGAGGGCATTATGCTGAGGTTGCTGTCCAAGGTGCAGAGAGGATGACTTGTTTCTTACTTATCTCCATAGGTAGGAGGTGCCAATTACAAGAAAGAAGACCAGCTAGGAATTGATGGAATAATTAGCACTATGTGTTAGTGGAATTCCAAGTCAGTACTACAGTGGGATTCTAAACGAACAAGCAAATAGAGATGCCGCTGCTTTCACCAACACCATGTGGTGTGGCAGACCAGTTCTTCCTAACAGTCACACAGACAGGCCTCCATAGCACTCCAGTTATACAGGCAAACTTCCACAGCATCTGCCTTCACATTAAGTTAATAATTAAACCTAGGGAAATTGATGCCCTGGCACCAAAGCCAGAAATGAAACATGTTCCATAAGAGCCTTGCTCAGGCTTCTCCTGAAACCTGGGGTAAGTCAAGATAATAAAGATAGTCCTGTGCTCCTTGGGACCCATCTTGGGTTGAGTAAATTTCTGGGGGGTTTGAAGTAACTTTCCATACCCAAATTGTAGGTAAGATAAGATAGAAGTAATCACTCCAGTACCAGGGCCCTCATAGGTCAAGTAGATTTAGGGGATAATTCTGGCCTCTTACCTTTCAGTTACAACAAAATTAATCAGGCATAGAGATCGGCAAGTATGTTACTACATGTAGGTATATAGTTTGAAACATATATAAGCACTGGAAAAACTTTACAATTGTGAGTTGGTCTGGTGAATTATCTCTGACCTTCTCCCTTTACCTGGTTACAGACATAAACTCTCTTCTTTTCCAGTTTGTCTGCATCTTGTTATTGGGCCACAAGAACACACAGCCAGACCCGGTTCGGTCTGGGAACAATGTCCTCTTATGAAAGCATCCTTGAGGCTGGAGCTACTTTTTCTTTTCTTTGTTTTTAATGTGAGAAGGGTACGTGTGTGCCATCACAGTCAAGTCCTGTTAAGTTCAGTGGCTTCTTGTTTTGACTGCGGATCTCAGAGGACCAAGAGGGCTCAAAGGAGAGGAAACCAGAAAGATTCCTGGCTAGGAAAAGAGAAGAGATGAAGGGAAACTTAACTATTTTTTCCTTTCTTGGAATCCAACTAGGCTTAGCCTGACAGGCAAAAGACAGAATCGCAGAGCTGCAGCTCTGTCTAGGATTAAAGATGGCTAGAATGTCCCAAGGACTGTGTATGTTGGGATCTTGGCCATGGGAGATGGAAAGGTTGGGACCTAGGATAGATAGGAGAAGTGAGACAAAGCTCGACCAATATAAAACAAATATCTACTAAGTTTTAAGCACAGGTTGCTGGGGATACAGAGGGAGTAAGATGTCTTTGTCCTCAAAGATTTAACAGACCAGAAGCCTATGTGGTTAAATTGGGTCGGCATTGACTGTGAAGCTTGAGAATGTAAGTCACTTCTCATACATAGGCTTCTCGTGTGTATGAAGCTGACCAGCTCACACTCAGACTGGGACATAATGTGTCAGTCTCAACACTAGAACTCTGGAGTTACAGTTCCTTTTGTGTTCTGCTTATATTTCATATACATTTGTTAATTTATTTAATAGCAACTCCTCTGAGTCAAAGAAACTAAAATTAAAACACCAGTGAATTTCAGGGTGTCTTATTGTTTTTTGTTTTAATGTGAACAATAATCATTTTTAAAAATTTAGTCAATCTATGATTTAGTACAAGCAACATGCATTTGAAAAGCAGTATGTATTAAGAATGTGAAAAAAGGACCCTGTTAACTGCATTAAGATGTTCATGATGATGTACAATATAATTTGCAATTTTAAATAACCCAAATGCCTAACATTAAAGGGTGATTAAATTCTAATACATTCTTTTGATGGGGCATTTTAAACCTGTCAAAGGTGATAATGATGATTAAGATTATGGAGCAACATAGAAAATGCTTATGTGCTATATTGTTAATAATATTTAGTACAAAAGGACATGTTTGAAAATTGTGAGTATTCTGTAATTAAAACTGCATCAAAAATATGAAAGAAAATAAATCAAAATTTTAAAAGCCATAAGAAAACTGGTGACCTTTTCAAATATTTCAACGCTGTAAAAGACAAAACAAAATGTGATGAGACTGTTTTAGATTACCGGAGACTGAAGAAACAAAAAGATTAAAAATGCATGATCCTTGATTACAACATAGATTTTTTTTTTAAAGGAAACAGCCATGTTGGGAAAATCGTATCTTGACTTTATAGTAAATAATAATACATCAATATTAAATTTATTGGATGAGAAATGATATTGAGGTTTTGTAGAACAAAGTTGTTCTTAGGAGGTACATGCTGAATTATTCAGGAGTATTACAGTCATGATGTGTGCAACTTGCTTATAAACAGCTAATGGGGAAAACCTATATATATATATATATATATATATATATATATATATATATATATATATATAGAGGGAGAGAGAGACGGAGAAAATGAATATGGCAACATGTTAGTGAGTGGTGATTACATATTGTTGGTCCTCATTTCAATGTATTCGTAAGTTTTAAACTTTTCAAAATAAAATGTAGGGAGAAATGATTTATAAAGCTCTATTAGGGTAGTTGAATTAAATGTTTTTTACATTTTACTTTGTACATTTTACTTTTTAAGCTACATTTTCTATAATGCTATCTTTTTATATTGAAAGTAAATTAGTTATTTTTAACAACAAGATATAGGTAGATGACAGTGACCGTCTCTCAGGCCTGAGTAGCCACATCCCTTTTCTTCTTTTTCAAGGGTCTCTTTAGGATGAAGGGAATTTCTTGTTCTGCCAGTTTTGTCCTGTGAGCTCCTGCAAAATAGTCTCTGAAGAGGCCTCTAAGGGGTGACTCTCCTACGCAATCTAATACCCCCATTTTGTCTTCTGTCATATTTTTTGTTAGATTGACCAATAATTTAAAACCACTGTTATAGATTCTGACTCATTATTAATTACAAAATGACCCTTTCTTCCAGGCTTTTGGGAAAATAGCCCTAAGAATTTTGTCTAGTCTTCATTTTTCCCCCACACAATGTGTACCTACCTTATGTAATAAATGGCCTCCTAAAATATTTCCTGAGGCATTCATATGTTGAATACACCTATGAGAGACTTCTCCCCCTAACGTTGGAGTGGAATTTTTTTTTCAATAAAGTATCTCTATTTAGCTGTTTTATAACTTTAGCTTTTAAACTATGTAAATCATGATGTCATGTCCTAGAAGGAGAAAGTGCTGGAATGGATTGATAATGTCTGTTGAAAGTAGAAAGTGGACAGCCCCAGCCAGGTAATGGACTAATCTGGACTAAGTCATGCATCTCTCAATGCACTGGAACTTGTCAGCTTATCCTCAGAAGAAACCCCGGTGGGAACACCTGTCTACAGAGGGTTGGCTTCCCTCCCACAGAGGAGTATCATTGAGATGCAGTGATAAGTAGAAGCGAAAATGTAAACACCATGCCCTGGGTCAGAAGGATAATGCCTATGACCTTTCCTGGCTCTTCCAAACCAAGGCCTTTACTTCTGTGTGTGTGTGTGTGCCTGTGTGATGTCTCAGGAGTTGATTTATTCAAAGGATGGAGAAAATATAGAAATGGAAGGAAGAAGTGGGGAAAGAATTCTGAGTCTGGCCCCAAAGCTCATACAGAGTTACTTCTACATAAAACCCAGGCCAAAAGTATCCACAGGAGAGGAAAAGAGGCTGTGGAGGCAGTGATACCCTCTAACTATCTGTTCCAGAATTTTTTTTCCCAAGATATTCCCAAAGATGGCTGTTTCTCTTTCTTCAGGATTAAATTTCTCTTCCTTGGAGAGGCCCTCCTTCATCCCCTCTGTGAAACAGCACTTGCCAACCCCCAGTTGCTCCCTAGTTAACTACAGCTTATTTTTTGTCATATCACTGTCACTCTCGAAGTGTTCCAATTTGTTTATATTTCAATGTATTTTCTTGTCTGCCCTCTGGAATGTAAACTGCTCATGTCTTGATGAAAATTATATCCACAGGACTTAGAACTGTGTATTATTGCTTGAAGCTAGGAGTTTGAGAATAGCATGGGCACTAAAGTAAGACCCCATCTCTGTAAAAAATAAAAAAAAAATAATAATAAAACAACAGCTGGGCCTGGTGTCAAGCGCCTGTGGTCCCAGCTACTTGGGGAAGCTGAGGCAGGAGGATCGAGTGAGCTCAGGGATTCAAGGCTGCAGTGAGTGAGCTATGATTGTGCCACTGCACTCTAGCCTGGCAACAGAGTGAGACCCTGTCTCTAAAGAAACAAAAAGACAAAAATAATGGAATGGGTAAATGGTGAGAGGTCCTTGGTTTGGGATTAGTAGGAAATAATGACAAACAGGCCCCAACTCAACGTTCTGACTTGTATTCCTTAAAACTGGTGCCTTTGACTGTATGCTTTCAGCTGGTATTTTCACCTTCTTTTTGAGATAGATGCAAAGTGGTGAGGAAACTGACAGTGTTGTCCTTATCTGCTTCCATGAGTAGGAACAGCCTCTGATCCTCCTAGCTGTTGAGCAGTTCTTCTAGTTACCTAATCGGGAAAAAGTAGTTATTTATTGCAGGGAATAATGAAGAGTATCTAAACTTATTGAATGTGGGAAATAGAAAAGGGACTGTATTCTGACAAAGTATGGATGGAACAGGTCCCTAAGAATTCCATGCCTGAATTAGGAGAGTGGCTTCTACTGAATAAATGAAAGAGTACACTAGAAATCGGTTATGGCTGTGGATGTTTCAAGCATGGTGAGTTGAGGGAAGAAATTGAGGGCATCTGTGGCATGGGCCTCACTAACCAAAATGTCCTTGCTTCATTGTTGCTTTCTCATGGATAGGGAATTTGAGTGGTTAATACAGGCAGGCATGGTTCCGTATTACAGGCAGGCATGGTTCTGGGCACCTATGGCTGATCAGAGCAACACAGCCTGTGCCCAGACATATCAGGCTCACAACAGCTCCGTATTTTCCATCTTCACTATTCTCTGTGGACGTGCTTTCTGTTGTCTTCGTTTCTCATGCACACTGCCAGTCCGTTGCTTTGAAGCTAGCTTAGAATCCAGGTAGGAGATGGTGGATGGATACTGGCTCTCCAACAAGTATATTAGATTCAAGGAGTTTCAGACTACTTAAATTATTTTAGGGATATATATCAAGTTCCTTATTTTTTATTAAAAAAATGTTTTTGGGGTGGGGTGCTCTCACTCTGTTGCCCAGGCTGGAGTGCAGTGGCCCAATTATAGCTCACTGCAACCTCAAACTCCTGGGTTCTAGCCATTCCACCACAGCTTCCCAAATAGCTGGGACTACAGGTGCACGCCACCATGCCTGACTCATTTTTAAATTTGTTGTAGAGATGGGGGTCTTATTATGTTACCGAGGCTCGTGTTGAAATCTTGGCCTCAAGTCATCCTCCCATGTCAGCCTCCCAAAGTGCTGGGATTACTGGTGTGAGCCAAGTGTGCCATTGTGCCCTACCTAAATTCCTTATTTCAGATTGATGGGGTTATAGCCTTTCCTTAAACACATTCTGCTTGCTGTGGTGATGTCTAGTGGACCTGCACACACTGTCCATTCCTGTTTGCACTTAGACCAGACAACTTGTGATGTAATTTGAGGGGATCTAACAAGAGCCTGGAATTCCCATCACTAGAATTTAGCAGGGGTCTTACAGAGGTGAGCACTTAGCTGGAAGGTGTTGAGTCTGGAGAGACTAGATTGAGGAAGCTCAGGAGTTCCTTCCATTAGGAGCAATAAAGGGATCTCGAAGATGAGAGCACAAGCTGGGTATTAAGTGATGTCAGAGAATTACTGTTAATTAGGTTGGACATGATAATGGTATTATGATTATGTTGGAGAATTGCTGTATTTTGTGATAAGCTAAAATAATTTGGAGTACTGGTGTCTGTAGGTAACTCTAAAATGTTTAAAGACAAAAATACATAGGTATAGATGAAGCAAACATGGTAAAACCTTAACAGTTAAATCTTTGTGGTGGATGATACTACTGTTCTTTCTACTTTTCTGAATGTTTGAAGTCTTATGATAAAAAAATTTGAAGCCTCCTGTCTCCAAAGCAAAATTTATGCTTCACAACTTTTCTGGAGCTTGTCTCACTTTTATCTCCTAACATCTACCACCAAGAATTAATACTGTCAAGTCAGTCTTCTCTATGTATTTCAGAGTGCCACTGCACTCCAGCCTGGGTGACAGAGTGAGACCCTGTCTCTAATTCAGGAGTGATCATCAAAATAGCCACCAGCATGAAAAACAGAGCAGTGGGAAAAACACAAGGGGCCGGGCGTGGTGGCTCACACCTGTAATCCCAACATTTTGGGAGGCCGAGGTGGTGGATCACTTGAGCTCAGGAGTTTGAGACCAGCCTGGCCAACGTGGTGAACCCCTGTCTCTACTAAAATTACAAAACTTAGCCGGGCATGGTGGTACATGGCTGTGGTCCCAGCTACTCGGGAGTCTAAGGCAGAACAATCTCTTAAATCCAGGAGGCAGAGATTGCAGTGAGCTGAGATCGCCACTGCACTTCAGCCTAGGCAACAGAGCAAGACTGTCTCAAAAAAAAAAAAAAAAGACACAAGGATTGTCACCATTCAGCTGTATGACCCTGGCCAAGTTACTTTATCTCTTCATGCCTTGATTTTCTCATCTGAAAAATGGACAAAGTAATAGTACTATAGTATAACAACTCTAAGGTTTTTCTAAGGATTGAAGGAGTTACTGTATTTAACGAACTAGAACAGGACTTGGTAAAATTTGTACTCAATATATTTTAGCTATGCTTAATCTTCTGAATGCATATGGAAAATTTCTCTGCACACACATATAACACTGATACGTGTTTTCAAGTACTTTTCTCTCGACAGAAAGGGGTCCTTCCAAAGCAGGTCAGCCTGCCTATAAAATGAAACTAAATTCGTTGTTTGGTTTTTTGACACTGTTAGGGTGCCAGCAACTGTCCTTGAGAGGTTTAAGGAGATGTCAGAGCACCTAGTACATTCCATCCATTGATTGAAAAAGGAATCTGTCAAATGTTTGTCAACATATTTCCACTTCCATCCACGCATACTGTCATCATTAGCCACTGTTCCACCTCTGTGAAAGTGTGACCTCGAAATCTTGTGCTTTGAGAGGTTGTATGATTCAAGTGGACTCAAAGGGGAAAGCAGGGAATTGCCAAAAATGACAGTTTCTTATTCTATAGAATAGTATTGTGTGTGCACATAATCAATGGCCCCGCTAGTCTTGCATACAACCATGTCAACTCTGTGCAATACTGGAACTGGGAATCATTGAGTTTGAGAACCTCATTGTAGTGATGTGACACCATTTGCAAAATCAGTCACTGGAGACTATAAATGAGCATTTATTTATATATTTTATTCATTTTGGTTTAATAAATTGGATATCTACTGATTAGTGCTAGAAGAATGTCAGTTAGGTTAGCTGAAGTAAGTTTATTTATTCACTACTCAATTTTGCAGTGAAGAATTGATCTATGTCTGCACTGATCAAGTGAAGACTGGGAGAACTACCAAGCTGATGCTGTCAAAAAGACTACAACCAAAGCTATCCATGCACATCTCTGGCGTATGTCTGTACATACACATTGAGCCCATATGGCCCAGGTTGGTTATCAAACAGACTCAGCAGTTATCACTGAGAATCCCACATTCCCCCAGAAACGTTATGTATCCAACACCCAAAACAACTTGTTACATCTCAAAGAGGGGTCTACCTTATACAATTTGACCAAAAACTGAAAACTGTGTGGGATGAATCTTTATGAAAAAACCAATATTGCCAAAATAAGGAATACCAACAAAATTTTCTCTTGATAGTTTTTGTTCCTAGAAATTAAGAGGTTAAATATGGATCCTGTTAAGAACTTAAGCATGAGTCCTAGATGATGCAATAAACAGTACAAACACTTGTGCTCTGAATGTAGTAGCATCTGTTGAGCATTTACTATGTGCTAGAAATAGTGCTAAGCATTTCATATTCATGGGCCCTTTTAATCCTTCCAGCAAGCTCTATGAAGTAGGTACCAGCATTATCTCTACTTTACCAAAGTAGATCTGAGGCTAAGAGAGGTTAAGGAACACATCCAGTGCAATTTCAGATATCCCCGCCTTTTCTGAATCATGGTTTTGGTAAGACAAGAGAGGGCTATGAGAGGAGGGGCTGACATCAGGAGCCAGAGGTAATTCTCATTCAACAAACATTTTCCAGCTGTCTACTATGTGCCAGACATGGCTGGATAGTAAGTACCAAAAAGTTATGGACAACATCATTGTTGCTCAGTTCTTTTTATCTTTAGCACCTATCACCTCTTGATTTCTTTTCTGAAATTCTATCTCCCCAGCTTCCATGAATGTTCAAGTTGTTGCAGGAAGCTGCAAATGCTGTAAAGTGCTCAGGGAGCACTCATTCAGGGGAATTGTTAGCACGGATATTTGGATTCTGGGAGACTGAGGAGCCCCCTTTTAGGCAGTGATACCCCCTGGCAGCAAAGCCTGGCAGGTAAGATTCCACTATTCAACATCACCTTCCTTCTTCCTGAGGGGACCAGTGCAGGACACGCTTTGAAACATAAATGCAGGATTTGTTTGGGCTTGGAGGGAAGATCTGAAATAAAGAATGTAATCACAGGCCAATTTTACATTTCTCTTGAAATTTTGAGAAATGGTTATGGCTGGAGGAAAAAAAAAAGTTGAAGATTGCCTAACTTTTACATTCCTCAAAAAAAGGAGATGGTATTGCCCAGGTCACAATGTGAGAGGCAGTATGAAGTCATAGTTAAGGTGAGGCTGCTCATGTCAAAGTTCCTGGATTTAAATCCCAGCTTTGCTGTGATCTTGTGAGAGATTGTCAAGTTTCAGGTTTCTTGCCTTTAAACTGTCTATAAGATGAGGAAAATGATAATAGTGATTGTTGGGAGGATCCAGTGTGATGCTGTATGTGAAGTGTGTAGCACAGTGCTGGACATTTAAGAATATACTCTTATTATGACCATCATCACCACCACCACTACTACAACCATTATCTTCATTTACTTTATGATTCCACCATCATAATTATTATCAAAAGCTAGTCATCTGTATGAGACAATGAAATTCAGAAGGGTGACCGTATAAAAACTCAACTGGAAGTCCTTGTTTTATAGGCTGAACTCCTTTTGTAGGTTATCATTTCTGTGTGTGTGTGTGTGTGTGTGTGTGTGTGTGTGTGTGTGTGTGTGTTGCCCAGTGGTGCAATCTTGGCTCACTGCAAGCTCCGCCTCTCAGGTTTATGCCATTCTCCTGTCTCAGCCTCCCGAGTAGCTGGGACTACATGTGCCTGCCACCACGCCAGGCTAATTTTTTGCACTTTTAGTAGAGATGGGGTTTCACTGTGTTAGCCAGGATGGTCTCGATCTCCTGACCTCATGATCCGCCAGCCTCGGCCTCCCAAAGTGCTGGGATTACAGGCATGAGCCACCGCGCCCAGCTGTAGGTTACCATTTCAACATGAAATTGATGCAAGACATGGGATTGCCAGCCTTTGCTATTCCTTACTAGAGAGGTCTAAACTCTGAAATTGATCTTCAATACAATCCCTTAGGCCTTTAGTGAGGAGCTTTCCAAAACTGTGATAGTATGTAAGAAGACTATATTTTTGCAAAGAAAACGCAGGGGCACAATTAGATAGTAGATCTTCATATCACTTCAGAGAATGGCCATCTATCTCTAGATTATTGAGTTTGGATAAAGAAATATTTTACTTTTGGAGACACTTCCAGTTTTTGGTGGCAGCAACATGGATAATTCTTAATATCCAGGCTGTCTAGGACAAGCAGGGTTGTTGTGTTACTAGGGAGAAAAACACTGTATTTTCTGACAAGTACTTCCAAATAGCGTTCCCTGGGGTAGTCACCATACCCTTGGGTCTGTCACCTCAAGCCATCATAAAATTCACACCATTACCACAACCACCCATCTCATTGGGAGAATGAGGTAAAATATCAGGCAATAAATATTTACCAAATCTCCAATATGAATCATACCAGGTTCTAGTGCTGTGATAGATGCACAAACATATGAGACATTGCACCAGCCTTCAAGAGACTTCTAAGCTGGGACAAGAACTAAACCACTTATGAATATACCAAAGTCTCCAATGTCAGCAAGATCATCACCAAAGACCCTGCTGTTCTAGAGGCAGTGACGTCTGAAAAATCAGTCCTGCATGACCTTATGCCCAGGGAGTTGTTTCCTGAAGCAGACCTGGAGGCCAATATGTCAACCACCTCCCAACTAGGAAGTCTAGACTGTTGACTTGGCAGATGGTCTTTGGATAAGTCTCCTCCCCAGGTAGGCCTGGTCTTCTGACTGGGTGGCTTCTGGCTTTTTAAATTTCTATTTTTATGTCTGATTGTACTCTTGGTGTGCTGTGGGTGAGGTGTCTCAATTTCCAACTCCCTGCTATCTAAGTGAATAATTTTCTCTTTTTTGGCTATATTCTATTAATGCCGTATTTCCAAGTCTGAGCTCTCCTGGAGGCAGGGATTATTTTTCTGCAGTCTTTTTAGTGTTGCCTGGGTTCAAGGCCTTCTCTTTTGTTATACCTAAACCCTTTATAAACAGTCAGTGAGTTATAGGGTTCATTTGTTTATTGTGAGAAAAATATACAGGGGAAGGAAGAATGGGATGAAGCTGGACTGTTCTCAAGGACTATTTAAAATGGGAAGGGAAGGGATTATATTGCATGGTTGATGAAAGAGCGTTTGCTTAACAATAGTGATGGTTAACATTTACAGAGCGTGTCCTATGCTCAGACATGGTACTAAGTGCTATGCACAGACTGCCTCATCAACTCCCTGAGAAGATGCTTTCATTCTCCCATTTTGCAGATGGGAAAAGAGAGGCACAGAGAGGTTAAGTATAACTCCCAAGGCCCCAGGGTTGGCTGAGCTAGGCCATCTGACTCCAGAGTTCATGTGAACCCTGCAAACCTCTTCTTTTAATAGGCGATGTCACTCTTGCTAGTCCGCATCATCTTGGAAAATGGAAATATTGTAAGGCAGAAGGGTGAAGGAACTGAGCAGATTTAATGACATGTAAGGTCCTTTCTTCTGAAATGTACTACCATACCTCTGATGCCACAGTGAGTGATTCTGATAACACACAGGTATGGGTTTGAAAAGCAGAGAACAGAGTTTGTCCATAGTAAGCATCTCTGGCAGAATTGTCTATCTTGAATACTCTCTCCTTCCTCCCTGCCTCTGAAAGATCTCATACTGGGGCATAGAATCTCATTTCTGTCTAGTACTGGAGACTCTCCCTTCCTGTTGCTGGTGGGCCATTGCACCTGGCTAAGCTAGAGGTTGCCAACAGATATCAAGAAACAAAGACATATCAGTTGATGGGACAGGAGTTTGATTTATCTTTGGCCACTTTGTATTTGAATCCAGGTTTCCGTTTAGCTGGTTATAATTTCTAATTTCTGCTTTCAAAATAGTATATCCATTGCCTCCCTAAGGACCAGCTCACAGAGATGATGTATTTGAAAGCCCTGTGGCAGGATGGCTGACTCTGTTTTCTGGTGGAGAAAAAATATATACCAGCATTTTCTAGACCTTCCGCAACCACCT
The DNA here is from genome assembly GCF_000001405.40 of Homo sapiens. Lineage (NCBI taxonomy): Eukaryota > Metazoa > Chordata > Mammalia > Primates > Hominidae > Homo > Homo sapiens. The sequence goes on along the minus strand of NC_000003.12, from coordinate 7,717,389 downwards.
GTGCAATTTTTTTTTTAAATCAACCTGATTTTAGCTTTCTAAAACTTCAGTCAGCAATAGGGTTGTGCTGTGGTTCTGTCTACTGGAAAATAACTTTGTGTGATTTAATTTTTTTTAAGAAGTAAGTTTTGGAAGTCTTTTCTGTCTGTTTTTTGGTGATTTCAAAATGAAAACTAAAATTGACCCATCTATAATTCATCCATTTTTAGATGGGAAAGAAGAAAGTGTGTCAAAATCACCATTTTGAAAAAAAAGGAAGGGAAAAACTATCTAGTTTGAAGAAATTAAGACAATCCCAGGAAGATGTGCAGTATTCTATCCTTCCACACTTACAGTCTTTGTACAATTAGCACCAGTGGTCAGAAAAGTGAACCAGAGGCCCTTTCAGAATTCCCACCTGAGCAAAAATAGATAACACTCAGCCTGCCTCATCAAGTAAACAGAGTACAGTGATATATTTTTGAAAATAAGGATTTCAATCCTGTGAAATGAAACAAAGGGAGGATTCAGGTAACCCCAGGTCAACCAGAAAATTCAATAAATCTCAAGCACACAATTTCCCTTGCTCACTACTTAATCAAAATGTTATTGGAATTGGTTTGCATGAATCTGCTTACTTTTCAACTGACTGTACTGATGTCCTGTAAATACAGCCCAAATGTCAATTTCTGTAACAGAGCCAACCATAAAAACAAAATCAATCAGCAGCATCATTCAACCCATGGGAGTAGGATGTCCAAATGTTAGGTATTCAGGCTAGACTGGGGCTGTTAATTTCATTCTATTTTTGCATCCTCTGTGACACTGTATGAAAAAACTCAGTCACTGTTTTGTCCATGCCATATTTTCTTTCTCATAGAAACCTATAGATGCTTTCCCATTTGTTAATATATGCCCCTGGCTTTGAAATGTTGACAAGTACTAAATATTGGTATCACTTTTGCTGGAAATAGTATTGGATAATGTTCAATTTACAAACTCTAATCTATATTCTGAAAAGTATTATTTTCCCTGTAGGCAGAAAGAAAGGGAAATGAGGGCACTAATTGTATCCCAGCCCTTAGGTTGTGGAACAAGTTAGTTATGGAACGAGTGTGGGGAATTGCTGGCCAAAGGAGTAGATGCTTTAGAATGGATTGTAAGAAGGAGACAGCTTGTGTGCCATTAGCAGAATGCAAATGGACATGGATACATCCATCCCATATGTCTCTGAACTAGGAAAACACCCCCCCACAGCATGATTAGAAAGCTCTCTATTGGCCAAAGCTCCAGACCTTTGAATTAGATGTTGGGTTTTCTCAGATACCCCTGCATTCAAGACAGGTGATAGGTTCCTTGGGAGAGGAGAGCCTGGTGGTGCAGGAGAGGAGGCTGGTAAGGAATTAGAAGGGGGTGAGAATAACACTGGGGAGGAGAACCTGGCTTGGGTTAGGGAAGGGCTGCTGAATCCCTGCAGCCTCTTTTTAGGAGGAGGTGGAAATGAGCAGAGTGGGAGAAGAGACAAATACCTGCAGTAGCAAGTGAAGAAGAAATAGGAAGGAGACAAATGATTCAAAAACTAAAGAAGGCTGAATTGGAAACCTTTATGTTGCACTTATTTCTCTCTGTGTATGCCAGATACATGAGTGGAGTGTTCATATGTGAGATTCAGGAACCCAAGTGTGCGGGGTCTGAATCCCTGTTCTGTGATTTACTGTGTGACTTTGGCAGGCTGGTTAAACTCTCTGTACTATTCAATAAGAGTTTGTTTAGCTCTTTAATAAGAACAACAATGGAACCTACTTAGTGGTTCTGAGGATTATATAAGTAAAGTACTTAGTAAACACAGACACTTAGTAGACATTTAGTAAGCACTCACTATTAGTATGTCAGTCCTTAGTAAATATATGTTACCATCTCTTTCCTCCATTGCTTTATTTGTTTTGAGACAGGGTCATGCTATGGCGTGGAGTGCAGTGGCATGATGGTCGCTCACTAAAGCCTTGAACTCCTGGGTTCAAGTGATCCTTTTGCCTCAGCCTCCTAAGTAGTTGGGACTACAGGCACATGTCACCATGTCTGACTAAATTTTTATTCATTTATTTTTTATTTTTGTAGAGATGGGGTCTTGCTATGTTGACCAGGCTGGTTTTGAACTCTTGGCCTCAAGTAATCCTCCACCCTTGCCCCCCTGAAGTATTGGGATTGCAGGTGTGAGCCACTGCACCCAGCCACCATTGCTTTCCTTTTGTCATAGATAGAGTAGAAGATGTGATACAGATAATTTCCTATTGGGTCATGCAGTGAGAATTCCTTCAATCCTTACTAAAGCTGAAAGTGAGAAGAATCGGCTATTTATCTCCCAAATCGAAGGCATGTCTATGTTCCTGCAAGAGCCTTGAATGCCATGATTTTGGCAAGGAGAAGCCTTGGTTCAGCCATTGCTTTGGCTGGGAAGAGAAGCTACCAGATGGGTGACTGTTCATTGCCATTGGCATGAGAACAAGATCAATTTAGCATTTTGCACCTGCAAACCTTCATAGGTGGGAACAAAGCTATGTTCCAGTTCAACACTGTTGCACCAATAGACCTCTGGTTTTTGATGGTGTCCTTTGGTCTCGCAAGGAAATGGACTCTGTTACAGGACCCAAACTGTTCTTGGATAGAGGATTTATCCACAGAGGAAATTACGTGCTGGTGGGCTCTTGGCTGGTACAACCAGGCTGCTGAGTAGATATATGCACACAAAGTCAGCATTAGGCAGATTGGGAGAGCAAACTTGTGCCAAAGAGCATGTTTCAAACTGTAATGTGTAGAGGAATCACCTGGGGATCTTGCTAGAATGCAGATTCTGACTCAATCTGCAATGGAACCTAAGTGAATGCATTTCTAACAAGCCCCTGGTGACAATGATGCTGCTGGTCGACAATCCAAACATTCAATGTAGCAAGGTAATAGGGGACATTTCTAGAAATTCACGTCTTTGTCAAGTTCTGTTTATCACTCTTGGCCTTGTTGGCACACACACAGTTTAGAAGATAACTGGCACTTTTCACATGACTGTTTAAATCTGGGAAGTTGAGATAACTGAAGAGACCCAGTTGGATTTTATTCTTTGTTTTGAGATATGGAAAGAGTTGCCTCAGTTGTCCTACTCTTTACTAGATATGTGTGAAAAGGCCTTGTGCAAATATCTCCTCCCCCAGTTTGATTTGTTTAATAAAGCCTTCAGGTTAATTCCAAGCCTTCTGGATGGCACAGCTCTGTAGAGTGTTTTGTTCTCCATCCCAGTTTCTTTCACTAGATAACCTTGGCAATACATATTCATTGAAATGGGATTTTAAAAACTCAAAAACAAAAACAGAAATGCATGCTTAGCTGAGATTGGTTTTGCCTTTCAATTTTGCATCACAAGGCCTGATGCAAGTGGCTCTCTCTGCTTACTTTCAGTAAAGAAGAGACTCTGCGGATGGCTCTTAGGAATGCCCTTGTTTTTGTTCCCATCAGCTACTTAACTAAATGTGTGTTTCCACTTCCCAGGCAATGAGTGGGTGGATGTCTCAAGGCAAACTCTACCCATTGCTTTAAAAAAAAAAAAAAAAAAAAAAAAAAAAAGAAAGCATCCGTGGCTCTTCCAATTGAGAGCATCCCAGGAGCAAATTCTGTTTTATACCTTTCTTTCTGTTGCAGTTTTACAATTATTATGCTGTTAACATGCATTATTCAAATAATTTTTTTTGGTACTAATCCTTGAACTACTCTCTGAGCTGGCTATTATTTTCCCTGTTTTAAGATGAGAAAACTCAAATTCTGATCAGAGAACTCATTCAAGGGTGCTGTAGAAAGTGGAGGTAGAACCTGGATTTACACTCATATCTGCTCTAGAGCTCCGAACTCTTAATACTACTTGGAGTTTGACAGGGGCCACATTATAGATTGGATTGTGTCCCCTGAAAAGATATAGTGAAATCCTGGCCAGGCACGGTGGCTCACACCTGTAATCTCAGCACTTTGGGAGACTGAGGCGGGTGGGATCACTTGAGGTCAGGAGTTCGAGACCAGCCTGGCCAACGTGGTCAAACTCCATCTCTACTAAAAATATGAAAATTAGCCAGGCATGGTAGTGGGTGCCTGTAATCTCAGCTACTCAGGAGGTTGAGGAAGAAGAATCGCTTGAACCTGGAGGCAGAGGTTGCAGTGAGCCAAGATCTCACCACTCCACTGCACTCCAGCCTGGGTGACAAAGCAAGATTGTCTCAAAAAAAAAAAAAAAAAAAAAAAAAAAACAAAACAAAATTCGAATCCTCTCTATCTGTGAATATGACCTTATTCAGAAGTCGGATCTTTGCAGATATAACCAAGTTAGAATGAAATCATACTGGATGAGGGTGGGCCCTAATCTAGTGATTGGCATCCTTATAAGAAGAAGAAAACTTGGACACAGGCAGGTAGACACAGAGGGGGAAGGCCACATGAATGAAGACAGAAGCAGAGATGGGAATGATGGAGCTACAAGTCAAGAATCACCTGGGGCTGCCAGAAGCTGAAAGAACATGAAGGACCTCTACTACAGGCTTCAGAGGAGGCATGGCCCTGCTGCCACCTTGATTTCAGACTTCTAGCCTTCAGAACTATATCCAGTTCATTATACTTTCTTTAGGTAACACAGGGAAAGTAACATAGGCCAGGATTATACACTTGAAACTTTGCTAAGTGTGTAGATCTTAGCTTAAGTGTTCTTACCACAAAACAAAACAAACAAACAAAAAAAAGAACAAAGAAAAAATAAAAATCAAAACCAAATACTTAACAAAGGTGAGATTTAAGGAAACCAGTGGTGGTGGGGCCTGTTATTAAGTGAAAAGGTACTTAGATCTACTGTAATTCAGGAAAGAGGGAAGGAAAGAAAATTTAGATGTGAGGGTGGGAGGAGAGGGAAGGATCCAACAAAAAAGTGCAAGGGTAAGAGAGAGAAGGAGAGGGAGGAGGAAGAGAGAGAGAAAGTCATCTTTCCACAATAGGCCTTTGGGCTGGGTGCAGCTGAGGATGCCACCAGGTCAGAGCCCCAGCACAGTCCTACAGCCCCCACCCAACCTATGTTAACAGTGTATCTATGGCATATACTTCATAGGCCTTATTCATATCATACACATTATGAGAAAGGTGTGGTTTACTTTCATTCATTTTTATAATTGTGAAAAGTGAGGCCTAGAAAGGTTTACTTGCTCAAAGCCTCCCAAATGGCAGAAGATGGAGCTGGGTCCCTTCTGTCTGGCACTTCCCTCCACTGCCGCTGGCACGGGGAACAGGAAGGCATGCCCCGCTAAGGAGATTGAGTTTCTCCTGGAGTGCTCATAAGTCAAAGACAAAAGAGCTGTGATGGGTACAGCGCAGTCTGCTGTGGCTCAGTCATATGTCATGATGACAGAAATGCTCATTTTATGACAGTCACTAACTGCAAAAATCTTGAAATATCTTCTTGGGCTATTCATTGGTTTAGTTACAGTGTAGCTCAAGTGGGTACAGAAAGAACAGGAGGTAAGCCGACTGTGTTTGTGCTCACTGTTTTGGGAGCATATGAAACACCTTGGAGTGGCTTGTCAGTTTCTGCTCTTCACAGACATTTCCCCTTTGGAAGGAGCTGATCTTTGAAAGGCGCCAATGGTGCCGCGTGTGTAACACACAGGCGAGGCATCGAGAGAACTAAAAGAACGCGGATAGGGAGTCATGGCCCAAGATCGGTGGTTGATTCATTGATTCAGAGTACAAAGCTTTGGTGCCGTCCGAGTTCCAGGCAGCATGCCTTTGAGAAATGCTATAACGGGAGTTAGAGGTGGCTTAGGTCATGTTACAGTCTTGATTACGAGACTCCAATGGCTTCCCTTTAATCTTTGAAACAGAGACTGAATTCTTCTCACTGCCAGCTTCTCACTGGACCAGTGGACCAGTTTCTAACTGCAATTCTGACCTCATTCTGTTCCACTTTCCTGCTCGCTCACTACACTAGCCTCCTTGCCATTTGGGTGCCCACTAAATCTGTACCTGCCTCAGGGCCTTTGAACTTGCTGTACGTGAATCATATCTTCACTGCCTGAAATACCTTCCCAGGTATCTTCCCATGGTTTGTGCCTTCTCATCATTTAGTCTCATCTCAAATGTCACTTCCTTGGGGACATCTTATCTAAAATAGCAACCCCCAGCCACACTCTATCTTGATATACTGCCCTTATGATTTTCTGCATACATATTCTTTATCTTTCTTTTTCATTAAAACATAAGTGCCACTTGGGTAAAGATTTATCGTGGATACCACTGTGTCTAATACTTAGGGACAACTTGCCAATGATGGGTTGAATAAATGAAACAGAGCAACCAGAAAAACAGTGTGACAGAGGCAGTTTCAGGGCTGTGGGAGTACATAGGAGGGACATTCCTGTCTTAGGCAGTTAAGATCAGAGACATGCCCAGAAAACGTGACTCTAAGCGAAGTGCTGAAGGCAACGTGAGGTTGAGACAGGTGAAAAAGGTGGGGAGGATCTTGGCAGAGACAGTGGTACATTTGCAGGGATAAATGCTATTTCACATGATGGGGTGAAGATTATGGCATTGAGAATTGGGGAGATAAGACTAGGGCAAGATCTTTCAAGAGTTTTATACCCTGTGCTGATGAGTTTGGGTCAATATATTCTACACAGTGAAGGAAAGAGCCCAGCATCTTCTGGCTTGTGAAGTTTACCGGGGAAGGACTAATGCCCCAACTTTGCTCCACCCTGTCATTTCTTAGGTAGAAGCTGAGAAATGAGTGTCAGTGGAGACAGACAATCAGGCTGTATTTTCAGAAATACTCAGTGGAGCCTCAGATTTATCCTCTGGTATGGGGCTCAGGTTGGTTTCCTGATAATGCTCCTTTTACACCATCTGGCAAGGTTCCAGGAATGTGAGTGACAAGGCAAAACAAGGCACCCTGAAATTACCTATAATGAAAATGACTGGTAATCTCCAGCGATTACTGTGTTTGTGAGTGACAGGGCTGCACTTTGTGCAAAATCTTTTGCTACAGCAAAAACAGGTCCCGTGGCATTTTCATGTTGAGGTTTTTGGGGTTTTGTTTTTAAGGAAAATAGCTTCAGATCTTTTGCATTACGCATTCTTTTGCCTTCATAATGAGTCTGATTACAGATATCTAATGTACTTTTTGAAGAGATATGTAAGTCTTTAAAAATATAAACCCAAGTTAAAATGAAAGCAATAGTATAATTCTTATACTATTAAGAACAGTATACCTTTTATAGTATTGTTTATATATAATAATATATACACACATAATATACATACTTATGCATAGTACTTATGTACTATATTTATAATCCCAAGAAGTGGGGCAGCATTCAGATTCCAGAAGTCCCACCCATGACCTGTCCGAATTCTTGGAGCAACCACAAGTCACAGGAAAAAAGGGAGCTTGGGTCAGGAGGGCGCCTAATGTGCATTCCAAGGCTGACGTATGGGGAATGAAAGGTGGACCTGGGTAGCCTAATCATCTGTCTCCACTGGCACTCATTGTCTTCTGTGGAAGGCAGCTTCCTGTAATGGAGATAAGGAGTCTAGAAATAATCGGGCACATTCTCTGCTCCCCAACTCCAGAAACACAAGTTCTTCCAAACCAATGCAAGGAGTTTTGGGCTGTGTTTATTTTTCCTTGAGTTTGAGAACACTGAACTGCTTATTGAAAGCAGAAATCTTCACACTTGTTTGGAAATCTTACTCAAATGAGTCCTACTGGGAAACCCAAAATATACAACGAATGATGGGGAACTTGTGGTTGACACAGAGAGGAGGAGCCCACTGAGCCACCCACATCCCCTCACTCTCTGAGGCTCCACTTTCTGTATTCTGAAAATACAGCCTGATTGTCTGTCTCCACTGACACTCATTTCTCAGCTTCTACCTAAGAAATGACAGAGTGGAGCAAAGTTGGGGCATTAGTCCTGCCCCAGTAAACTTCACAAACCAGAAGATGCTGGGCTCTTTCCTTCACTGTGTAGAATATATTGACCCAAACTCTCTGTTCCAAACTATGCCATTTTTCTATCAAAGTTTGTAAACAAGAAATACATGCATGCATACACACAATTTTAAAATTATATGTAACATATTTTATAGAATTATATTCTTATATTTGTTTATACATTGTTTAATTTTGACTAAAACATAAATGCCACATGAGTAAGGATTTATCATGGATACTATCCTGTCTAATACTTAGGGACCGCTTGCTGAAGATGGGTTCAATAAGTGAAATAGGACAACCACAAAAAAGTTGAGATTTTTTCAGAGGATGGATGTTGACTTTGACTACAGAGGTGGTGGAAGGAAGTGGTAGGAGATAAACAATGTATCGGGTAAAAGCAACAAGACCTGGTGATTGAATTGACTTTCAATTCCACTTTTCTAGTCTTCAAAGTCTCAGTTGTGTGTGCATACACACAATTTTTAAATTATATATAATACATATATTCTATATTTCTATTTTTATATTTGTTTATATTTATGTATAAATTACATTTATTTTTTCTGATAAAGAAATTCCACCCTAACCCCAAGCCAACTCACATCTCATCGGAGGTACTTCCCTGGGATCCTACCCGGCTGCTGGGAGAGCTAGGGAAGATCAACCGTAGGATGTTGGGATGTCATGCTATTACGAGTGACTGGTTTCCAACCTCTACTACTGCCTTCAAACTCTTTCTGTCCCTCTTCCTGGAAAACTCCTTTGCTCTTATGAATGAAAGTTTAGGCTCGCTCTTCAAACCCTATTACCTTCCTGTCCCTGTACCTGTATAAAGTTAAATGCACCTTATACTTTATGTTGTCCAACAGACCATGACCTTCCTCTCTGGCAACCCCCGATCACTTCAAGACATGGATCAGACGTCACCTCTCTCAGGAAGCCTCCTCTGACTGCCTTAGGCAGAATGAGGACTTTTCTTCTTGTGCCTACAGCACTCTGTGCTTTCTGTGCAACCGGCCAGTCTACCACATTTGTGATTTTTTTTTTTTGCCATGTTTGCTTTTCTATACTATTATTTGATGATTGTTTTCTGTATATTAACCTTACATCAACTCATATTTTTAAGGAAACTAGGCTTTACTCTATATAACAAAGTACATGAAAGCACGTGTTCAAAAATAAAATAAATGAGACAAAAACCTCACAAAGCCAAAACCTAGCTAGATGGTGTTGGGACTGAAGGTTTGAAAGTAAAAAGAGAAAAAAAAAAGATTTGGAGAGGCAAATAAAATGACAGAAACCAGTTTATATCCTGTAAAATCCTATAATTATAGGAAATTAACCAAGATGAGTGTTCCATGATATTCCCAATTTTATAAGCACTCAAAATTCAGTCTCTGAGTTTGGAAGTTAAAAAAAGGCTTGCTTTATAGGGCATGGGAAGTAAAAAAAAAAAAAAAAAAAAAAAATTGAAAGCTTCACAGCAATATGTTCTATTGTGGTACCACAAAAGTGAACTCTGATAAGAATGAAGTTAAATGGCAAATGGGGCAAACTATGAGCATACAGCACAGTAAGTAGACATGTGCAATGGTTCTGGCTTGGCCAGAGAGGCCATAGTTAAAGAAAAGACAAAGGGAGCTTGGAATTTTTGTGGCAGAGACAGCGAGTAGTAGACTAGTTCCTGGGGCTGTTTTGGAGGCATCTGGCCTAAGAGATTTTGGAAATTTCTGGTGATCCTAAAGGCTCCACCATCTTCTGGTGTTTTGTAAATAGTATTTTCATTTTCCTTTAAAATAAATGGTTTAATTATTAAAAAAAATAGATGCCAGGCCAATGACTGTGCCCACTTAACATGGTGCTCTTGGTGATTGTGCTGTCACTTAAGCATTATTCAAGTGGCGGCCTCCATGGAAACTGCCCGATTGTAATTAATGGCAAAGCACACGTGGGCAGTCATGCTAAACAGGAAGTCATCCTGCCTCTCAGTTCCCTTGTGACTTTTCCTCAGATACAGGAAGGGAAGGCCTTAGAATCTGGCCCATTAACTGACTCAGTGGGCAAGAAATGACTAAACCAAGAAACTCAGACTATGGAGAAAGGTTAAAATGCTGAAATGTAGCCCAACTTCCTTTTTTGTCAGTCTTCTCAAGAAATGCATTTTTCTCCTAGTTGGTCACAGGAAGTAGGATTTTTGAAGCTAGCAAGGGAGGAAAGATAGAGAAAGCCGTTTTCTATCTAAGAGGTGCAAAACTTACTTCTGCGCAAGGTAGAATGTAACCTCAGTTAATTTAAGCTGCTTATTATGAGAAAAGTAGCATATTTTTCTATAAGCTTATACTCTCATTTCAATGCAGTATTGATTTTTAACTTCATTTCCACTACTAGTCACATAAATCATTTTTTTTGATGTTACTGGTATATTATACATAAAGAATTTAACCTTTCCCAAAGAGAGGTCTGGCTCCTTGGAGACGATCTTTGCTGGTCTGGGTGCCTCCTCCTAGCCAGATAGTGACCATGCGATTTAGGGTGGTGGTTGGTCATGCAAAAAATACCACATTGTGAGTTATGGCAGAGGCTTTGGGTCACATGGTGTCAGTCAAACTAAAGACTGAGTTCAACCACATAGGCAATTAATCAGTCATGCAAACATAATGGAGCACCAGTAAACATTCAGAACACTGAGGCCCAGTGAGCTTCCCTGATTAGCAATACTCTGCATATTGTCACACAAAGATACAGGAAAGTAACATGTCTATGACTGCATGTGGACAGGACTCCACATTTGACACTTCGCTTGGACCCTGTCCCATGCACTTCCCTTGGTAGATTTTAATCTATATCCTTTCCCTGTAGTAAATTGTATTGTTAGTATAACAGCTTTCATTGAATTTTCGGAGTCCTTCTAAGCAAATTACCAAAACTTAGGGTAGTTTCGAAAAATCTTCCCTCCAAACTTGCAGTTGGGGATGGTCTTAGGGAGTGTTCCTTTTAAAGTTTGCAGCTTGCCTAAATTCTTCACACACATACAAACTACAACATTCTGCATAGGGTCATACATATAATATATAGACAGATAGAGATATCTTTGTAAAGATCTCAAAATAATTGGCCTTGTGTATTGGAGAAATTTCACTCTACTCCATAGTATGGATAAGTGATCAAAAATACAATCAAGTGAATTTGGGCAATATGGCTCTATAAAGATGCAATCAACCTACTTGTTTTTTCTATGTCTAGGGCTATAGAAGTCAATCTGAGTATGTAGGTAAGCTCTGAAGTTCAAGTCAGTGGGATTTATTATGGGTGGTGAAGTGGAATTGAAAGTTAATTCATCTCCAGTGTTGTTGTTTTTACCTCTGATACATTGTCTCCTTCCACTTCTTTCCTGCTCTACCACCACCTCTGTACTCAAAGCCAACATTGATACCTCAACTTATGAAATATTTCCAAGCTGAATTGTTCCATGTGGCAGCTAGAGTGATTTATTTTAGATACATAATTTAGATCATGGTACTCTTTATCTTCTTACCTTCTGTGATTAAAACTCTTAAATGTCCTCCCAATGCTCTTAGAATAAAGTCAAAACATTCCTGAACTGGTCTGCAAATATTGGTGCCACTTGATGTATATTAATTTCCCAGGCTTTTTCTTGAACCACACTTCCTGAGGCTCTCTTATCTCTAGTCACACTGGCCTTTCTTCGATCTTTTACATTTACCATACTCCCAAAGCATGGCCATTGCACAAGTTCTCTTTGCCTAGCTTTCCCATCCATTTTGTGTTTATTAATGCCTACACATTGTTCACACAAACCTTTAAGAAAGCTGCTTTTGATCTCTGTAGCTTTGTTTCATAATTCCCTCTACTTCTTATTCAGAGGTTTTTCACAGTTGCAGTTTTGTATTTGTTATCAATTGGTAACCTGTGTCCCTAGCTGGAATGAGTGGTTTGGATTTGGGTGGATCCATAGTCCTGCACTTTTCACAATGACCTCATGCCATTTTGATGCAGGTAGGCTTCAGACTGGACTTTGTTTAGATAATGATTGTGGGGTAGGATGCTAGCAGCTGCCACTCTGAAATTTTAATTCGAATGAGTAATTGTAGAGTAAACATTGCCACCCAGAATAATCATTTGTATCTAAGAAGTTCTTTCAGATGTTTTGTGCCCTGGTTGATTTGTCCTGAACGTTTCTTTCAAAAAGGCCTTCACATTCAAGGATGACATGGGTAGGAGAGTTGGCCAAGGTGAAGCTATTTTGGGCTTCAGGGCTTCAGAAATGTGTAGAGTATATGAGATACTCTAGAGGGATCACCCTCTAGACCTTGGCACAGCAAGTCAAGACCTGGGGGGTAATCTTGCTTATCATGTCTAGCCAGCACAAGCCTTGTCTGGAGTCTTGAAGGCTTCTCGAACAGAGAAGGAACTGGTGATTTGTCCCAGGTTTTCTATAGTTAAGCGAACAATTAATGATATCCAGCTCTTGCCATTCTGCCGTAAAGCATGGCCAAGGAGGTTCTCTATCCACCTGAACATGAGGTTCAGTACATATGTTCCACTGCCCAGGGTGGACAAGAGCCCTGTGGAGCTCCAGGATATGCCCAGAGAGCCAGGCATTTGGGGACATCAGGGAAAGATGGCTGGATGGGCATTCTGGCAGGTCTAGGTCCAGCTGCCAGTCCATATATTTGTGTTCACGTATATATTGAATACTTCTTTCTATTGTAACTGATGTACCCTTTTGGTAGCATCCTGGCTAGCTGCATGACAACAGTGCAGTGTATTCAACAAATTAAAATATCGTTATTTTAAAAACTTAAAGCTTGGATAGGATTAAAAATTAATTCATATTATCAAAAGACATTTTAATATTACATTTTTTTCAATAAAAGAGAAGCTATTGGATTGTTCAAATATAAATTCAACTGTTACACATTTCTGAATTATAGAAAAAAATACTCTCAAACTTTTTATCATTCACTCAGTGTTTTTCATTTATGTTCTCTATAAAGAATTTGAAGAGAGTATCATCAAAAAGTCTTGACCAGGAATTTTTTTATAACTCTTTTATGCATATAAATTGATGTGAAATAGCTGTTCATGAAAGCAAGCCTGAGTTTTATTTTAAAACGTTGAAAATACTAGGTTTTGAAGTTTGATACAAAATAAACATTCAACCGCTTTAAAACTTTTGAATTTAGTAATCATACTTAAATAACAAGTGATTTTTTTCAGCAAGCTTTACATACATTTCCCTAAATCCTCTCCAGTTTACCCAGTGTGCTTTACCAATGTTATCATGTTTTATATGCACTAAGACATGAAAAATCACTGTTTGAATGGATGCATAGAATGGACAATCTATTAAGTCTATTTTGTGTGCTGGTCAATGGAACCCAGCAGAAATGATGGATGGGTTTAGAAATTGGCTGCAAGGAACAAGGGCTTCTTATTTTGGAGACAAGATAGTATGAAGGGACAGTTTCATTCTGACAACAGCTTATAGGTAATCATTTTTGAAAATGAATTTTGTATGTGGCCTCAAGATACAGAACTTGGTGCAAGCTTTATGAAAAGCCATGTGAACTTAGTAACTTACACAGTCTCTCTAAGCCTCCATTTCTGCAGGTATCAAATGTATATTATAACAACTAGCTCAAGGATAATTGTCAAGCATGAATGAATTATCTTTGTAAAATGCTCAGTATAGCACCTATGCCTAGTAAGCAAATGGGAAAGACTGGGCCAGATGGTAGTAGTTTCCCTATCACTAGAAGTATTCAAGCATATTATGGAAGATCACATTTTTAGATTGGCACAATTAAAATAAAATCTTTAATAACCCTAAGATCCCCTGTATAGCTGAAACTCCCGGATTGGAAGTGGCAGAGCCATCTCTAGAATAAACACCACAGCCCAGGGTGTAGGCCATCCACCAGATTAAAAAAAAAAGTCTTAATGTGAAATCTTTCAATGAACCCTCATAAGAATTTTTTAGTAAGAACATCGATGAGGACCCTTGTCTTTCTTAAGAAAGAACTTACAGTAGCATGCATCGGACTTACTTGGGGGGGTTGTTAAAACACAGATTAATGGATCTAAACCCCAGAGTTTCTGATTCAGCAGGTCTGGAGTGGGGTCCCAAAATTTGCATTATTAATAAGTTTCTAGACATTGCCGATGCTTCTGGTCCTAAGATCAGAGTGGAGAACATTAGAGCAATGCTACATTGCAGCAATGCTTCTCAGTTCTAGCTGACATTAGATTCACCTGGGGAGATATTTAAACTTATAGCTATATGGAAACTTACCCTAAACCAATTACATAGAATCCTGGGTGACAGATCCCAGGCACGGGTGTATGTTAAAAGGTGTCCAAGTGATTCAGATGAGCAGTCAGTACTGAGAACCATAGAGATAGAATATCCATATTTTAGCTAGTGATCATCTTGCTACTAGATCCTAATGTTGGATTAATTTTTTCATTAGTTTTTGTTATGACTATCTCCTCTGTATTTCAGTGTATTTTTTAAAATGTCATAGTGACATTTGAAAAAAGTGTTTTTGTACTCTGAGACTGTTCCAATAAGTTGCATCCCATCCTCTTCCTAATTATTCAAGAGCTGACTTACTGTTCGCAATTAGATGAAAATCTGTAGCCTGTAATTAGGATCAGTATATATGACAGTGCAAATGGAGTTTGAATATTTTATTATTTACGTGTTTAAGTGTTTCAAATCATTGTACTTATAAGAATAACTTAAAGCATCTTTTAAGTGAAATTATAACTTGCAGTATATTTTGTTTTCTAAGACAGAAACACCTTTAGATAACAATAGCCAATTGAATTGCATCAAGTTTTCATATTTAAATTTTAGTGTAGTTATATAATGGCTCTTTGAAGCCAGATTAAAATGTTTATGACTAGTGGACTCATATCTGCCATAGGGGTTAGGTTTTTAAATCAGCATGCATGGCAAAGGTTGTACATAGTCAAAATTTTCTTTCAGAATCCTTTAAATCTACATTATCCAGACTGTGCTCCAAAGACCAGCAACATGGGCATCACCCAGGAGACTGTGAAAAATGTGGAGTCTCCACAACTTACTGAATCTACACCCACAGTCTAACAAGATTCTTGGGTGATGGTATGGACATTAAAATTTGAGAAGCATTGCCTTAAATTATTCATTAATCACTAAGGCCTGAGACTTCAGTAGCTGAAGAGCCCACAATTATTTACTCAGTTTCTCTTTGCAGTTTTGTTGAGGCTTCATTTTTCCTTCTGAAGTGGGGGCCTGCCTCTAGGTTGAAGAAGGAAAGTAGGAAGAAGAATTTTTTTCTTTACTTCCTTCCCTGCTCCCTCCCTTTTCTTCTATATAGACTTCATGTGGTCCAATGCATGTTAGCTGAAAATGCATGCATTGAAACTCCATTGTATTTTATATGATAGTGTAAAAAATGGATTGCCTATCTACCATAGGCTTGGTGACGAAGATGCAATGGCAAAGAGGAAACAACGGTTCCCACTGTCATGGAGCTTAGTGTCTAAAAATGTCTAATTGAAGATCATCAGTGATTAGCAGGCTTTCAATGCATGAAGGATACTGTGTTCTGTTGAACTTAGTGTTCAGTTTCCAAATCTCTAGTGAAGAACATCTTCTCTTAGGAATCCCTGTGAACTGACCATCCACAGGGAGTTTTCTGAGTGAAGCTCCTACCATCCTACCACCCGTTTAATTACCCTCCTTCAATTCTTACTGAGGCCTGAAGGGATGACTTGAAATAAAGGCAGCTGGGCATGGTGGCTCACACCTGTAATCCCGCACTTTGGGGGGCCGAGGCGAGTGGATCACGAGGTCAGGAGATCGAGACCATCCTGGCTAACATGGTGAAACCCTGTCTCTACTAAAACATACAACAAAAATCACCTGGGTGTGGTGGTGTGCGCCTGTAGTCCCAGCTACTCAGGAGGCTGAGGCAGGAGAATGGCATGAACCCAGGAGACGGAGCTTGTAGTGAGCCGAGATCGTGCCACTGCACTTCAGCCTGTGTGACAGAGTGAGATTCCGTCTCAAAAAAAAAAAAAAAAAAAATGCAACCACAGGTATCTTCTGTATGAGCTTCCAAAACCAGGCCTCCAGTGGCCAAGGAGAATTAATGGCATTGGGAAAGAAAAGCATCTTTGGAGACAGACTGGGCAGCCTGCCAACAAGGTCCCCTGTATCGTTATGCCAGAGCTTCTCACTCATGCCCAATCCCAAGCATGTCTCAGGATGCTGGCGGTGCCAATTCCACATCATATATCGGCAGTCTCCAAATATTCTAAACAATTTCATGCATCTGTTCCCCTGGGGGAAAGGGTAAAAAGGGCTTCATTTTTCACTGCCCTCATAGGATTTTATTGATTCCACCTTCTGGATGCTTGCTTTCTGTTAACAACTGTCTTGAAGAAGAAAGCTTTTCACTTATGAAGGGAAGGAAAGAATGACCTGTGAGATGAGGACTGATCACCTAATCCTATGATCTGAATTTCTTTCTTACCTCTTAAAACTATTTACATTCCTGCCAGCTGCTGGCTGTCCTTAAAATGCCGCAAGATACTTGTAAGTGTCCTTTTTTTCCCTAACAATGCGTGGCAGATGTTTGGGGTTTCATGTCTTTCAATGCCTTTCATCAGTGCAGAAACTGCATTTCCTGGTGGCTGTTATCCCCATACAATGGCTGTTGTATAATGATTTATTGTGTTTAATCAGAAATTACAACTTGCTTCTGAATAAAGGGAACAAAGCACATATTACAGGATATTTATGACTAAATCTATTTACTATTTATGAAGAATCTAAAAGCTTAGCAATCTCCTTCAAAGACAAACTGTCAAGCTTGAAAAAATCTCCAGCTGTTTGAGATTTCAAATCCTTAGCAGAATGACCGATCTAGACTGAGGCACTCTATTTGAGTATCTTTTTTAAAACAAAGCTGTTGAAGACAGTTTTCTCTGTTATGTATTTTCTTTACTACAATGCAAGCTAAGAGCTTGGTGGCGTTCCCAGGAGAACTGCTGATGCTGAGATGCTTGGATCCTACAATTCCAGCTTCCACTGTCCTTCTGGCTGTCATTGAGACCAGAGAGATGTGTTGTTGGGAGAGGGAGGCAGGTTTCTGACTTGAGTTCAGGGACATCCACTGAGTCGCGGGGATGTGCCCTTGTTGAAAGCAGGTTGTTGTCTTATCTGAATACAGAAGAAATTTCTGAGAGGTTCCAAAGGAGATCTGATCTCCCAAAAGTCCTAGATGATTCTGCTAAATGCTAGTTGAGAAGGGACACCAATTTCTGAGTATCAGCTATGTATCAGATCACATCCTGGGACGTTAGCTTGTGCCATCTCACCCAGTCTTGAAATAACTTGCTTACAGAGGGTACTGTATCCCTGTGTTGACAGACGAGGCAGCTTAGATGGGAAGATGTTTGTTTCAGAGTTATGCCAGGTCCAACTCCAGAGCCTGTAACTCTGACCCTAGACTGGCTCTCCAGTCAAAGATGCCTCACTTCTTCTGGGATCAGATAACTTTTGTTAGGCAATCAGGTTATTTTTTTAAAGAAAAACTTGTATCTTCAAAACTATAAAGTTGGTTAGAAGCTTGGAACTGCACTAGATTCAAAATGCTCATAGCAGTCTTATAAAGAGGGCTAAGAAAATAATTCTTTGTAATCCTTCCCAATGACATGATAAAAAAAACCCAGTAGGAGCCAAAATAAGTAGCAGAAAAGAAAAAAAATTCGCTAATTTTTGAAAATGGATGAATTTTATGATTAGATCAGTGTTGTCTACTCACCAACAGAGGTGCAGTTCAAATTAGATCCATTCGAACCATACATTTTCAAATTTAAAAAATTGTTTCATAAAAGTAACTTGTTTGTTATAGAATTTAGAAAGTACATAGGCTTTTCCTTTCCTGATTATAAGAACTACTCTAAATACATATCCCCTGGTTTGAAATGTGTATGTAGAGAGTTGAAGGAAGAATACTTCTATTTTTTCCCATTGTCACCAACTGTCTAGTAAATATTCCTGTAGAGATGTCCTCTCTAAAGTTTATGTAATTATGTTCACATTTACAGGTGACCTGGGGTCTGATGACAGAGCTTTTTCAGAAAACTAGGTAGTCAGTTTTTCCCTAGATGTAGAATCTTTCTTACCTGAAATCAAACTTTGAGTTTTGAACTTTCAGGTCAGGATTGACTGTAACCCAGAGACCACTAAGGTCAACTTTTGCACTGTTCTGAGAGATTACCCTTTGCCATCTGTAGCTTTGAGATTTTTGAGCATAGATTTTTATAAAGTCTGCAGATATATCCTGTTCCTAAGCTAAGATGCCGAAAGCATGTAGGGTCTCTGACAATACTTCCCGCCCCAGTGTTTCTGCATATTATCTTTTCTGCTACTCCTTGGTTGTAAAACCTCAATTGACATCTTTCTCTATATAGAGTACATTCCCATAGCTTTCAGAAGAGAATTTGGGAATATTCACAGCTAAGTTCTAGTTGTTTTTTCTGCTCTTCTCCAGGCTTACCCATCATGTAGTAGCCCGGGGGTACTTAACTGAGAGTAATTGTGCCCTCAGAAAACATTAGGCAATTTCTGGCGATGTCTTTGATGGTCAGCATTGGGGTGGAAGTCAAAGATGTTGCTAAACATCCTCAGATGCAGAGGACAGCCCACTGCAACAAGAATTGTCCAGGCCCACATGTCAGTAGTGCCATGGTTGAAAAGGCCTGTGGTTTAGCTGTACTGGAAAACAGACCTTCCACAAACACACCATGTATTTACCTACCACTGGGAGGTAGTCCATTGGTTAGAGCATGATCTCTGGGCCCAAATGGCCTGGGCTTATCTCCAAGATCCTCTACTTATCAGCTGTGTGACTTAGAGAAAATTATTTAAAATATCTGTACCTCAGTTTGCTTATCTGTAAAAGGAGCCTAATGATGTCTATCACATACAGTTGTATAATTAAATGAGCTAATACATATTAAGTACACAGAATAGTGGCTGGTGCATGGGAAGAACCCAATATGTGCCACACAGCATGGCTGCCACTGCTGCTGCCACTTTATGCATTTGGACTTTATTGAGGACGATCCCTCTGCCCAGAACACTATCTCCCATATTGCCTCATCTTTAAGCCATAGTCAGACTTTCCCCTTGCAAATGGCCCCCTTCAGTCCTCTTTACATACATCTGGCATAAGTCAATGTATAATGCCTGGCAAAGAGTAATTTGTTCTCCTTTCTCCTTTTAATTGCAAACTCTTGGAGGAGCTACGGCTTGCTCTATCTCAGCCTTCCATGCAGAGTCCCTAACAAGAGTAACCACTCTGTAAATTAATAGCAAACTTTTCTTTCTTTTCAGACTTAATATAACCTTTTTAGTAAACCTCACAAGACGATTTGTTCGAACACAAGAAGCCTGGTTTTAAATTGGGCATTTGCAGTGTCTTTATAACCCCTACAGTAATGGTGGAACCTCCTTAATAGTTGGCACTGAAAGCCAAAAGCTGAGTGAAAGTGCAGAGTGGAATGCTGTCTCCTCCCTCAGACACAAGACAGACACTCATCTTCAGCTATGCCAGCCTTCTGGCCTTGGGGAGATATGCACCATGAACTGCTATGTAGCGCTAATAATTCACTCCTCCTTTTAAAGCTGTCTGTCTTGATTGATTTTCCATTCTGGCTTGAGCTAGATAAGGTGACAAGTGGCGACTCACTGCTCATCATCTATGAGTAGAAGAAACTAAAATGATTTTGTACACTGCATTGTAAATCTGAATCTTCTATCATGAGATAACTTTTGTTGTTCTCTCCTTGGCTTAAAATTAAATTTTTTAGTTCAAAAATATTACAGCTCTTTAATGAAGAAATGCTGAGGTATAAAGGGATCAGAACGGGTTCTAAAACTTCTGTCACTAATACCTTGGATCATTTTCTTAGCCTCTCTGAGCCTTACTTCAGGCTTTCTATAAATGAGGATAATGACACCTACCTCAGTGAGATACCCTGAAGATAAAAAAAAGATGCTGAATTTGCAAGCACATAATAAAACAAAACTATAAAATGTTACATAAGGGCAAGTTGATTACAATAGTTAATTGATGATGATGTAATTTTTAAAAATTAGGTATATTTTTCTTTTTTGCCTATTTTATACTTCTGGACACAAACTCATTGATGCTATTTTATTGAGAAGATTGAGAAGTCAATATTTTTAAAAATGTATAGCTTGTATGCAAGTTCATAGAAAGAAAGACATGGTTCTTTCTTTCTCAATCCCTTATCTGGCCATTTAACAGCTTGAGTTCTGTCTGGAATGAGCACCTGAGATGCTGAGGGAGGTTTATCTTTAGCTGTAGTGTACTCAACCCGATTGATAGAACTGGCCTGGAACTGGGATTAAATATCTTTTGCTGGCTCTTCTTACTAGCTTTCCATGCTAGTTTTAAATAAAAGCTCTCCCAATATATAAATTGACAGCAGAAACTCCTCTAGCTAATGTAAAACATTATTAACTGTTCACGATTCACATAAAACTTCTGATCGCTGAAAAATAGCCATCTTCAGTCCTTTGCCTGTACTGTTTTTTCCTTCTGAAACATTTACAAAGCAACTGTCAGACAATGTTGCCAAGGGCTAACCATGCACAGAAAAAAATAAGACACGTCAATTTGACTTTTTAGAAAAAGAGAATTTTCCAGCTGACAACCGAATCTCAAAGTTGGCCAATCCAAGTGAAAAGTGCTTGGAAGTGTTCTGTTTAAGGTTGGGTGAAGCCTCTGTTCATATCCTTGAATATTTAATTTGGCTTTTCTGTTACTAAGGAAACATGGCATGATGAGTGAATATGCACATTACTTCCATTTGGGTGGTGACTAAGAAAACCATCCTCCCTTAGATACAGGGCCTTACTGTAGTCATTATCCATGTACTGACCACAAACAAACTTGCCATCTTGCCTCCTTTTCAAGAATTAGGTTCAACTATAGAATGAATGAATAGAAAGCATTAAACATAGCTTGTGAAAGGAATTGGGGAAACCTTCTCAACTAAGAGAACATCATTTCTGGCAAACTATTTTTGTTAGCTCACAATATATGTCGTACACTCTACAATGTAAATGGCTTTTTACTAGAAGCTACAAAAGAAATGGGTCCAAACACTCCTGAGAGACCTATAGACAATTCTCATAAGCAATGGGGAGTATTAAGAACAACAGGAACTCTTCTGTAAAGGACGTTCTTATCCCTCTTTTTACCTTCTCTAAGCTGTGGCTCAGTGCTATTTAATTTTTTGTGATAATGGAAATCTTCTCTAACTTTGTGGTCCAATATGGGAGCTGCTAGCTACATGTGCCTGTTGAGAACCTGAAATCTAACTAGTGCAACTGAGAAGCCGAATGTTTAAGATTATTTAATTCTCATTAATTTAAATAGCCACAGGTATCCAGTGGCTACTGTATGGATTGACAACTATATGTCAGTTGATGATAGTCATTAAGGAGAAACAACAAATTATTTAGCATTCTATTTTATGCCAATCACTGTTTTAAGCATCATGTCATATATATTAACTAATCTAATCCTAATAACTGCCCCATGCGGTAGTTACTAAGATTATACCAATTTTACAGATGAGAAAACTGATGTGCAGAGTAGGCAACATGGCCACATCACAATCTGGAGAACGACAAAGTTGGATTTAGAATCCAGGTATATGGGCTCCAGCATCTTAAGTCTTAACCTGGGCACTAGACTGCTTCTCCACAAGATCATGGCTGATTTATTAACAGCAACAGTTATGGAAGACTATCCTGACCATTTTCACTACTTGATTGGGCAGAAACGCATAGAAAGCATAAATGAAGATTTAAAAATCATAATCTCTTTGAGGACTTCAGGGCTAAAAAAAAATGTAGACTTCCTCGGCTGAGTGCCTTGAAATGATTGCATAAGATGTATCAACACACTTTGCCTACAAAAGGCCAGGCCTTGTGGCTGACTGAGTGCAGAAAAAAGGAATATTGACCCAGCTTCTTATTGAGTGTTGTCATGGAGATTCAGCTTTAAACAAAGGTGATGCTATGTTTTTCTGCTCCAGTAACAGAGCTCAGCAATTAACTTCAGCTTTATTTAGTCTGCAACACCAGTCTGGAGAGTCTCTTGAGAGAGGACCTTGACATAGCTTCTCACAGTGCTAGCCTACAGAGGGGTGACTTCTTGGGGACATGGTAGATGCCACTTGTGCAATAAACCCAAATAACTTTTCAAAAATCAATCATTTTAATACCATGAAAAACACTTTGCTCTGTAAGTGATCACCATCACTTCAATGCCGTATTGCATGTGTTTCTTATCAAGGACAATTTAAAAAATAAGACTGTTTCCCAAACCTGGATGTGCATCAGAATCACTGGGAAGCTTGTTAAATACAGGTGACCTTTTGATGCCCACCAGGTTAGGGGAACAAATGATTTAAATTAGACCGAAGTATAAACTGAAATGTACTTTAGAAGGTTTGTTTTTGGCAAATTTTCTGCCATACATAGGACTTTTTAAAATTGGTCATTGGTGTTTCCTTAAATATCTGAGTACTAACAGGTACTAATTTTTAAACCATGATGGTGAAAATGTTGAATGTATTTATGCCTAGAGTCAGGAAACATGCGTTGTGTTATGAAATTAAATGAAAACTGAGTGTGTTTAAATGTGATTTCCCAGATAGCTCATTTGACAATACAGTGAAATTTTGGCTTTAAGGCATCATTGCTCCAAAAATGATCAGTACTAAATAGGTTGAAGACAAGACAGGAGATGTGTTGATATTTCAAGATGTAAAATCCTGCAGGTTGTTCCAAACAAAAATTAGATGCAGATGGATTGCTTGACATTCTTAAACTTTATTATGTGTGGTACAGGATGACAATGGGTACAAGAGACCAAATAGAAGAATATCAGATGGGAATCTCCAAAATCCTTTCCTAGAGGAAACAGAAACAGAAAATCCAGTTAATTTGAGATGACGCCATCACAACACTGATGGTTAACATTTGAACGGCTGTTGTGCCAAATTCTGATCTAAGCCCTTTACCTTTATTTATTTCTCACTACTACCATATGAGGTTCTATTTTGCAGATGAGGAAATTTAGACACAGAGAGATGATCTTTTCTAAAGAGTCAGCATTTTCTTGCTTGGCATTAATGATAAAGTTTCACCTACTGATCCCTTATTTGATTTTCTTTTCCTGTAAATGGGAATGGGTCAGAACCCCCCATGAATGCTACTCTTCCTGCATTCTTGACCCAGAAAAAACTGAGAATCCAGTACTCAGAAAGAGACTGGCTTTTCAGTATTGCATCACAGTAGAACAATAGATCACAGTAGGGATCTCTTCATCATTTGGTACCATGGATGTCTTCCTTACATAAAGCTCCTAGACAATATTCTAGTGGGCCATGATCTCAAGACATCTTTAGTGCAATTTCCTTAATTATGTTGGACTTTTAAGAGGATGTTGCTGGCATGTGATGAGAACTACCCCCGACTAAACTCATGCAAACAGGATAAGGTCTCTTTCACTCATCATTAAGTTCATTGGTGGGCTGGGTAGCAAAGCTTCCTTAGGACACTTAGAAGGACAGATACTTGCCTCAGACAATCGCTTGACTAGATGCCAGTGCAGATGGTCAGTAGCAGTTGCACTTCTCACCTGAATAAAAACAACAGCTCAAGTCTCAGTCTGGACTTTGGCAAACCACAGGAAATTAAATGCAAATGAAATTTGCAAACATGACAAAAATGAGGGAAAGAGGAATTAAGGTCCAAGAACAAAAATGTAGCATTTTTCATACTAACCCTAGGAGGCCAGCTTAATCAAATTTTCAGCTCAGACTGATAATGACCCTGGTGGCCAGTTTCTTTATAGGGCTTTGCTATGGCAAAAGCAGAGAGAGGAGCAGGTGATGAGGGGGTGGGGGGAATTAGCTTTTC
Source organism: Homo sapiens (assembly GCF_000001405.40). NCBI lineage: Eukaryota > Metazoa > Chordata > Mammalia > Primates > Hominidae > Homo > Homo sapiens. Next base: position 7,693,351 of record NC_000003.12, on the reverse strand, counting down.
ACATTTTTGTTCCAGGAAATTGCCATTTTTTAATGTTAGCAAATCTTCTGAGTTTAATTACCTTTGCTCATGTTTCCATGCCAAACTTGATTACCTTAAGCAGAGGTGAGTCTTTTTATAACCATCTGTATATGAAGACTCATCGTTTGAACTCTGAATGGCTAAACTTCACTCAGGATGACCAGTAGATGTCAAATATGATCATCAATGGATTTCAATGAATTCTGAGAATTAAACATTTCCGTTCTAGCAGACCATGTTCTTTGTATAACAGGAAGTACAGTATTTAAATTTTTAGACCATCAAAAAAAATCCAAGAGGAAGTGAAATTATATCCAGTGGTCTTTGCAATATCGAAAAGAAAAAAAAAAAAAGAAAGAAAGAAAGATGCATCTCACTCCACAGTGGCCCTGAAGTTAGATTATGTTTCCCTCCTTGAAACCCTGGAGGACCTATCTAATCTTTAGCAAACTGAGGGCCTCTAGAATCAACTTACGAGAAGAAGAAATGATGATGAGATGGATGATGTAGACTGAGACATTTTACCCTATTCAATCCCATTTCAGAAAAATTCATTAGAAAGACCTCTGGTCATGAGACCTGAGTACAGGTGTCTACTCTGCCACTCATTGGTGTGTGTTACTAGAAAGTTAATTCACTGCTCTAAGTCAGTTTTGCCACCTGTCAATAAGACCTGCTTCAATGGATAGTTGAGTACATTCTAAACTTTGCAGCAATAGTGAAAATATGGTGAAAATTTCTAATATTATTATTAAATTGTTGCAAATGATCATGATAGGCCCTTTGAAGACTGAGATGAATGAGTCTGGCCCCCCAGGGTGGTCCCATATTTAATATAAGTGCAATAAAAGCCAAACTTCCAAGTATCAAGGAAGATCTCTGAGAAGTTTTGTTAATTGATTTTTTGGTAGGATCCCAGCTTCTGAAGGAAACCAAATGTGTTTTCATGAGCTAAAATTAAGGGAATCTGTTCCACTCAGTCATCATTCTATCACTCAAGACATACCCCAGAACTATTATTTGTACTTAAAATGCTCTTCAGCTTGCCAGCCGGCCAGGAGCTACCTGTCGAAGTTAATCACATGTAGTGGTTCATATATCAGGTGGTATGAGCCTATCTGTCCCATAGCAGCTTTGCTGAGTGACTGATAGCCTTCTCTCTCAATTTCACCAAGCCAAAAGACTACTAATGATGCATCAAAAGGCCACAGTAAACTATCTTGAAAATAGAGATTGTTGTACCTAGAGAAAAGGTTGCCTGACTTTATTGGCAATCCTAGATATCATGACTTCCAACTCTGAGAGTTTATGATAGACAAAAATGTAACGAAAACAAAAAAGAGAAAGGAAAGCCAGTTAAAATAAAACACAGGGCCGGCCACAGTGGCTCACACCTGTAATCCCAGCACTTTGGGAGGCTGAGGTGGGCGGATCATGAGGTCAGGAGTTCGAGACCAGCCTGACAAACATGGTGAAACCCCATATCCACTAAAAATACAAAAATTAGCCAGGCATGGTGGCACATGCCTGTAATCCCAGCTACTCGGGAGGCTGAGGCAGGAGAATCACTTGAACCCAGGAGGCAGACGTTGCAGTGAGCGGAGATCATGCCATTGCACTCCTGGCTGGGTGACAGGGCGAGCCTCCATCTCAAATAAATAAATAAACAAAACAGAATAAAAAAACCAGATGAGCAGAGACCAACAATGTTATCTTATGTACCCTGACATATGCACAGTCAGCCCTTCAAAACAGGGCTTTCATATACAGAATCTCATGCCACCTCCATGGTACCTCATCAAGATTAGCTTATTTCCATCTTATTAAAGAGGAAACTGAGGATTGAAACTTATCCACAATCAGAGATCCATTAAGTGATGAAGCTTATGCTACCCCAAGTATCAGAGCCAGGATGGGACTCCCAGTCCAGTTTTTCTTTTTCTTGACCAGAGAAAAAGATAGCACATGCCAGGTTATAACCAATACTTGGACCAACACTTACAGAAAATGGAGTTGCTGATCCATGTCATGTTTTCCTAAGTGTTGGGTCAGCTCAAGAAGAACAAGCTTTGGAAATGTTATCTCAATCCTCTTTGTGCAAGCTGAGGTCCTCAGAGGTTACTATGAAAAAGGGCAGAGATATAAAGGGAATTGAAAACTAATCTTCAACTTGAAAAAAAACATGAGAATAGTCATTTAGATCATAGAGAGAAATAATGATTACCTTTGATTCCTAGAGAAAGTTAATTTAAAGTGTAATCCAAGTTCCACTGTACAGCCAAAAAAAAAAATCTGCAAAGTTGAGATACATCTTTAGTAGATGGAAACGAGTCACAAGGGTCACCTCTCTTGAATATTGGGAAGATGCTCATTCACAATGATTGGGGGAAAGAAAGATTTTGGAGATTAACTGACCTTGGTTTAGGATACACAGTGTTTTTTAAATACAAATGATATTTGGTATCATGATAAAGACAAAATCTGTCCTGAATGACAGTCTCTAAGGAAATGCACTCAACAGTCAGAAAACCACCAATTTGATTGCTTATGTTTTTGTGTTTACCAAATTAGAATCTATAACTATTTAAAGCAAGTCCTTAGGATCCATGTCCAGTGGAATCTTTCAAGTTCATGTGCACTTTGAAAGTATAGATATCTGTGGCCCATGAAATAAAATAGGCATAAAACTTCGTTGGTTTATAAATGGGTTTAGCACAAGAAAAGAAATTAATTACACAAGCTGAGATGTGGCACTGACACCCATTTCAGGAGCTGTACATTACAACTACACCATATTTTTGAAACCTGTGACATCACGTTTATACATTGTATTTTTAGGGTGGGCTTTGTGACCTTAGAGGCTTTATCTGGAAGAATATAATTTCACCTGCTGAGGCTGTAGACTTATTATTGTTTTTATTTTTATAATATTTATTATTATTGCTAACAAATATTCACTTATAAATGTTTCCCGTGCATCTACCGAGTTCTAGGTAACAGGAGCCTTTGGTATGGGAAGTATTGTGCGCTACTCATTCCAAGCACATTTTCTCACAGCCTAGTACTTACTAGCCTTTGTACTTAAAGGCACAAAGACGAAGGAAACTCAGTCTTTCTACCCTCAGGCTGCTTCCTGCATTTCATTCCCGAAAACGGTATGCTTCAAAGCCCAATAGCCTCACGTAACTGCTTTCTAGTACCAGAACATGTCACATTCTCTTGTACTGCAGGTTCTTTGTGTATACTTTCCCCTACCTTGAGTGCCTTTCCGTTTATGGCTGCCTGGAGCCCTTTATCTTTTAAGAGCAACTCAAGCAAAACATCCCGGGTGATGGTCTCCACCTGTAGCTTGGTGACACTTGGCACATACCTTGAGGAAGAGCCCTTGTCACCTTTGAGTCTATTACTTACCTTTGAGTCTTCCATCAGATCTGAGCTCCCTGAAGGCATTGTCCCCTCCTGTCCCCCACTCCTAGTCAGTTCATGGATGGCCTAGAGGAGAGGTGCTTGGCAAATATTTCTTTGATTGACCCAATTTAAGGATACTCAGTAAAAAATCTTGACCAGATAGGGCAGTGCAATGCATATATGTAAAACTTGACATAGTTTTTGTGACTTTGAGATATGATGTGTACATTTCTTTTATGCAAGGAATGAGAGAAGTAGTAGCCATGTAAACATTCATCCAGTTCTTTAAGTTGAACTTAAGACGGCAGTTGCAGAACCAAGACGGCAGATATTAATTGGATTTTGAAGATATGCTGAGATATCAAGCCTTGGCGAGAGAAATGATGGTGTCTCACAGACCTCTTAGGCAGAGAGAAATATGCCAAAAAGATTTATAGCTGCATTTATTCCCAAGGTGATTTAGTGTCAAAGGTCAGATAACATATATTCTTTGCTGTATTTATACTGTTTCAAAGTGAATTTTAAGTGGAGGTGGTCTCCAGTTACAGCAGAGATAACACATTGAATGTTAAAGAGGGAGAGTCCCAACATGATACGAAAACTTGCACTGCACAGTTCCAAAAAGCTTAAAATTGCCAAATAATCCCATTCATTACAATAAACCAATATGATTTTTATAATATCATTCAATAATGGATGTCAATAATACAATTCATGTGTTTGGCATTCTCGCAAGGCTTAATTATACTCTCAAAGTTTTTTCATCCAAATACCATCCTAGGGTGTGAAAATTTACCTCCTAACAAAACTTATTTCCTGACCCAGTCATGGTGATGATGCCAGATTAATTGTGCTTTTTATTTTGTACCTAATTGCATTTCGACATAAATGTCATTAGGTTGATAACACTTTGCAGAGTTTTAAAATTTATAAATATTCATGTAAAGGATGCAGAAAGTATTGATTCTGCTGATGCCTGGCTGAGAGTGTTTGTCACCTGAGAGTGCTTTTAAACAGTGGCATGTTACAGAATGCATTTTCAAACCAGGCTTAGGTTATGTTCCATCTGAATTTGAACCTACTTCCTTCAAATCCCTGTAAGCAAATATTTGATTTGCTGTAAACAGTGTGGCTTTGTTGGAACATGATGCCTGACACTAAGTTTTAATAGCACAGTAATATGAAAATTTACTCTTGAATCTGTGGTTTTCTTTTTACTGTCTTGTCTCCCCAAAAGCAATCACTTAGAAATGGATTTGAACGCATAACCTTAAGAGACTTCTTTCATTGCCCTCCCAAGTTTACTAGTCCCATTACTGACCTGAACAAGTAAATCACGTGTTCCTTGAGTTAATGTAACTTAAACCAACTTATATCCCCAATTATTTTGAAGCAGTTCTACAAAATGTTTATCATTAATGTTTAAAGTCACATTTAAATTGGTCAGAAAAGGGAACCAAATATAATTATTATTTGTATTTGGAATACCATTGCGAAAATAAAGATGGGAAGAAATAGAATAATAAACTAATAAAAGCCCTATGATATTGACATAGGAAACAGACCAGTCCACATTATTAAGCAATTATTCCCCTCTCATGATGTGACCTCATTGCTTTATCTCATCAAAATCTTTGAAGTAAGACAATTCTAGCTACAAGTTTGAATTTACTTCTAATCTGTATATCCTAAAAGTGTTTTTTAACCAAAAGATTGACTTAAAATATTTTCATCTGACTCCCTTTAAACCCAAAGGCGTCAACTTAGACAGGAGCAAAAGGATTTTTAATGGATTGAGATTAAATCTATCATTTTTACCCAGGAAAATTCCTTCTTATTTATTCTCAGTCAGTCTCACGTAAAAAGACTATTAAAGTGTTGAGCTCCAGTGTTTTGACTAGCACTTGTACTACAAAAAAAACTTGAAATCTCACGGGAATACAGTTACATATTCACTGGGAGAAAGAATGGCCTATTTAAAAACTAGGACAGATCATGTTGATAGGGAAAAAGGAAATAACTATGTGAACAATATACCCTAAATTAAAGACCGAGTTACTGGCATCCATCTAAAGTCAACAGAAAATGTCATTACTCTTTGGAAGTACTCTTATGCTGTTTTACCATACTAAATGGATAAAAGAGAGAGAGAGAAAGATTTTATTTATATTCGGAATACTATTACACAAACAAGGATGGGAAGAACCAGAACAGTGATCTGATAAAAGTCCCATGTTATCAGTGTAGGAAAGAGAAAGGCCAGTCTACATCATTAAGCAATATTTTTCCCCTCCTGCGGTATGACCTCACTGCTTACTCTCTTGGAATCTCTCTAGAGACAGGTCTCTCTATTATATGAGTACAATAGGAGGTTCAGAGAAAATCAAAAGAGAACATTTTACTCAAAGCCACCACATGACTTTAATAACTTATTCCATGTTCTCTACTGCATATTTTTCCATAGTTTGGAATGCCCTGTTCCACGTGGATGAGGATGCTTGCCATAGCAAGTGTTGTTTTCCACTGTCGTGTAATATTGCTTAGGCTGAAACAGCGTGATGATAATATCCTTTCAGAGTATATTTTCTTTAGTGAGAGCCTAAAGCAATATAAAAGCATCTGTGGTGAATCCATTATTATTCTTATGCCAGCCCACTCATGTGGCCAGTTCACACATCACACAATACATCATTTTCTCTAATCTATTTATTTGAACACCTTTGGCATTTATTGGTATTTCTTGGGTATAACCAATGTTCAAACTAATCTTTAGACCCTTGTGGTCTTTCATTGACCCTTTTTCTGCTTTTGTGTGATGACTTGATGACTAAAGTTGGTTCAGTGTTTCTCAAAGGCAGAACTATGAGCCACAAATCATCATCAACATATTATCAATCCCGGCCAGTAAACCGATTTATTTTCTGCAGAGAAGGAACCAAGACAACTTTGAATTACAGATGGAAAGGCCATTTGTTGCTATTTCAATGGATACTTTTTTAGGAATGTGTACACTTCTTTGAATGTATTTACTAAAAATAAATTAGAACAAACAATTTACTAGGTCTGCATTTACTAAGCATCCCCCTTCTCTCCTTGTAGGTTTTCCACACTGCCTTCTAAGCCCACAGTAGGAAAACATACATTGAGAAATACTGAGAAATAGTTTTTCACCACTGGTAGTTTTAAAGTAGAGCATGTGTCGGAATGACCAGCAACAGTTCTCTGCAATTACTGGCTAGCTGTTCAGGAAGACAAATGTGTATATACTCATAAACGTGTTCCTTAGAAAATTAAGCAGGCATATGACCAATGGCAGCTGCTGGCACTAAGCTTATCAAATCGATCATCTTTGAAAATTCATTTCTTCCTATAGATATATTTTCAGGTAATCATGCACAGTTTCCATGGAAACATTTCTAATTCTCATTGGAGACAAGAACACATAAATAAATAAGAATTAGATTGTTTTCTTACCTTTGGGAAAGCAGTCAAAAGCTATACTGTTGGTGGGATAGTGTACCAAGTAACAGACTTTTGTACACTCTTTCTTACTGGTGGTATACAGTCTACAGGAAAAGTAAATATATAGGTATGTATAAAATAAATGTGCACACAATATTACTTTTTATTATTATTATTTTCCTTTTGGGAAAAGGCTGCGATAGAGACCATACACATCATGCCCACTCTTTTGGTGGGTTCAATATCCTTTGGTAGACCAGGTCACCTCAATTCAGGTACCTCTGAACATGGGAGTACTGGTGCCTCTTGAGTTAAGGGAGTTGGGTTTTACTTGCTTGAGTTAGAACAGCTGAGGGAACCAGCCCAAACATAATTTATCTATCTGCTCAGAGCATTATTTTCTTCTTCTTGCCAGCCCTTTTTTCTCACCCTAGTCCAGTCATGCTGTCCAGCCTGTGTGGTTAGTCCAAGAGGATGAAACAAGTAACATAATGTTGAGAATGTTAGGGATCCAAACAAATGGAGAAGCAAAACAAAACAAGAACCATAACAAATTAACACAGCACAGAAGTGTGTTCTAGAATTTTCTAGGCACCATTATTTGTGTAGAGTTTTGGTGCCCACATCCATTTTCCAGCAGTCTGAATTCTTTTTCTTTCTTTTTTTTTTTTTAAATAACATACCTCCTTATATTGACAGTCCTAGTTTATGTAACAAATTTATTTTGTTGAGAACAGCACAAGTTGTTATTTATGTATTTTCCTTATTGTAGATGCAAATATGGTAGCACAAGAAAAACACCATCAGAATACAATTCCATATCTTATTTTGTATTTCAGGTACAAATTGTTATTCTTCTAACATGTGGTTCATCATACAATGTGTTAATTGGCTTAAACCAGTCTTTTAGGTAGTCTATGTCCAGTCTCTATCCCAGAGTGAGTTCATCAGTCATACATCTCCACATCCAAAAAAAAGGGTGTGTCCCTCGCTGTCCACCCGCCTGCCATCTCTAGTTGCTGCTGACCTGCCAGAGTAAACTCTCTATATCTAGCTAAGGTCCTTGAAGTATTTCTCTGCACGGCTTGCGGGCATTAGCTTAGAAAATGGATGGTAGCTTAAGAGAAAGGTAGCTTAGGGCCAGGCCTCTCTTCACTGTGATCTTTTACTAAAGAAAGCATGAGAGCCAAAGACAATTTACAGAACATCTTCTGGTTGATACCAGTCCAGGTGAAGAAGGCTGCAGTTCTTATCCGCCCATCCCAATAAAGCCATGCTGCCTCTTAGTTAATATTATCCATCCAACTTGAAAAGGATCGTCATGGCCATCAATAAGCCATAGCCCAAGCACAACCATGGCATCTTGTTTATCTGGCATCTACAAGTTTGCCATGAACATACATCTGCCAAGTGAACTGTAGAAAGTACAGGGAAACATGCCAAATTCAGGATGCAGGTGGGAGAAACAGTTTGAGGTGCCCTTCTTCTTAGACAGGAATGTGAGAAGGCATCATCATGGCCAGATATAAAGCTATTCAAACGAGGCCAGGTTCTTTTACACTTTTAGCAATGGAAGTCTTATTTGCATAAATAAAATTTAGTAAGTAGCTGAGCTACAGCCCTATGCCCTCTGAGCTTGCTATTTTTCAATCTAAGTGCAGAGACTAGCAAGCATTGGCCCAACTCTGAATATCTAATATGCCAGCAGTGCGCAGATAAATTGAAATTTTGAGATTTACTTTTTGTTTATTCCACACATAATGGAGTTTTTCTTTCATACAATGGACTGTTAGCTAAGGAAGCAAACTAAGAGGATAATTATATTTCTTGAGGAAAAAATATGGTAGTATAAATGTCTTCCCATATTAAGTCAGCAAGCAAATTCATTTTTATGTAGACATGTAGCTGCAGTGTGGAGTTGGATGAGTAGAAGCATGCATGCACCAGATGGCAAACTGCAGTGATGGAGCAGAGCTGTTAAAAGTGAAAACACTGAAGATTGAAATACATTGAGACTAAGTGTTTAGAGCAACAATGAATAAGAGGACATTTCTGTTCCACTATTTACTTTGTAGCTCATAGTGTAAACTCTACTTCCTCTCAGACACCCTCCCTCAGAAAATATTGTACAGAATTTGCCCACTGGAGAGACAAATTCCTTTTTCAAGTGCATGAGCTACGTTTTTGTTTGTTTTTAACCAGTCAGCTTAAATTCAGAAAATAATGTCATTTATCTCTGTTACAAAAGTTAAGATATTAGAGATAATTTTAGCTATATTTGGCATTAAACAGAATATTATAATGTTACCTAGTATAGCATAGTCATATCTGTTTTTATTAATTGAATTTTTCACTATCGTTCTTTTCCTATATACATGCATTTTTGCATTGCTGCGGACTGGTTTTTCAAATGTCATTGCTGTCTATGATGTTACTTTTTCCCTATTAGTGGCTCGTTTTGAGATCATTTTAAATGACTATTTGTATGTTTGTCTCATCTCAAATGTTTTATTTCTTTGAGTTTTGACTTTGTCCTAGATCAGTATCAATGCTAAAACTTTGGGAGCTATATCCAATGTGGACTCAAATTGAGTTTCCTAGAATAAAATCCTTGTCAATTTCTAGAGCTACACTGTCCAATACAGTAGCCTCAGTCAAAAGTGTGTGCTTAAATTTAAATACAATGTAAATAAAGTTTACTTAATTAAAAACTAAGTAAAATAACAAATGTATTTCTTCAGTTGAGTAGCTATATTTCAAATGTTCAATAGCCACATGTGCTAGTGCTTACTCTATTAGACAGCACACACATAAAACATGATCGTCACTGCAGAAAGTACTGTTGGACAGCTTTTGTGCAGATAAGCTCTTTGGATTCTTTTTTGGGACTTTTGAGAGTTGGGTCATCAGAAACCCCAATGTTTGGAGGTACATGAATCTCCTCCTATGGTTTAGCCAATATCTAGTTAAGTTTTCATGGTGTTTTAGGGTGTGTCTACACAATAACCAAAGAGCTAAAGCAATTTAAAAAAATCTTTCCAGCTGGTGGTGAGAAAAAGACTCTATTTTATTTTATTTTTCTGAATTGTTTACCTTGGCTCTATGTAGACACTAGAACAACAACAAAGACCCAGTGAAACTTTTGCAAGGAAAGAGATACCAAATGAAATCATTGGAATACAATTTTTAAATTAATCAAATGAGGCCTCTACCTGGGCAGCCTTCTTTGAGCTCAGGTTACTCCTGTCTTTGTAGACAAAACAAGCAATAATACGTTACAGTATGTTTAAAGAATCTCCCACCAAACATCATTATATTCTGCATATACAAATGATATTACCAAATAAGGAAACCAAAAGCATAGTTCCTGCATTGGAATTTCGACATGCCATTCATATTCTAAGAAACAGAGGAGCAAAGAGGAACAAGCGTGGGTTGAAGAGTCAGACCTGGGCTTTAGTCCAACCTCTGCTGTTAACCACATGTGTGGCTTTGATAATGTTACTTAATCTTGGGAAGCCAAGGTTTCCTCAGTAAAATAAGAATAACAATATCTATTCTATAGATCTACTGTGAGGAGTAAGTGGGACATTCCACACAAAGCATTCCGCATAATGCCTATTTCAATGAGTACCTTATGCAAGCATTAGCATTAATGTCAGTGTTAGCATTTTAACAACCAATGTCATACCCAAAAAAGCCTCAACAAGGATTGCACCTCATCATTAAATAGCAACAGTAGTAATGTTTTTTGAAAGTTAACAATTCTTAAGTAGCATAGTATTGAATTGTCTAAACTCAAAACTTCTAATTTCGTCTTTTTCCCCAGTAAATATAGCCCTCCAATTATGTTTTCTGCTTATTGACTTTGAACAGTATCTAGTTAAATGTGTGTGTGTGTGTGTGTGTGTGTGTGTGTGTACAAAAATAAAGCTGTTATTGGAATATTTGCAAGAAAAGGTTTTATGAAATGCAAATTTGACAAGACAACCTATAATAAAAAGCCACTAATTATAAATATACATATATGTTTATCAATACAGGTATAGGTATAATAGATGCACACATATGTTCATATAAATTCTTCTCTTTTTTTTCTTTTTCTTTTTTTTTTTTTTTTTTTTGAGATGGAGTTTTGCTCTTGTTGCCCAGGCTGGAGTGCAATGGCACGATCTCAGCTCACTGCAACCTCTGCCCTCCTGGGTTCAAGCGATTCTCCTGCCTCAGCCTCCCAAGTAGCTGGGATTACAGGCACGCGCAACCATGCCCGGCTAATTTTGTATTTTTAGTAGAGACGGGGTTTCTCCATGTTGGTCAGGCTGGTCACCAACTCCTAACCTCAGGTGATCCGCCCACCTCGTCCTCCCAAAGTGCTGGGATTACAGGCGTGAGCCACCACGCCCAGCCATAAATTCTTCTTTTGAGGATTGAGTTTTATCTACCCTGTGGTGTTTAATCTACACTTAACTGCATCTTTTTAGCTACTATATCTTAATAAATTATGCTGAAACTTATTTCTAAGCAAAGCTTTTTGCCTCTTCAGGAAGGGAAAGACGTTGACATTTAGTTGATATAGTATTTTCTCAATATAGTATTTTGTGATACACTTATGACATAGTTATTATCTCTTTTATACATAATTATGTTGAGTTTTAGAAAAGCTCAGTGATTCTTAATGCCACATGGCTGGTAAATGGAGTGGTTTACATTTGAACCCAGGTATGTCTCAACCCAAAGCCTCTTCCTACATCACACTGAATGCCACAGCAAGTCACCATCCACTTGCCCTCCTCTCAATTGGCCACTTGCTCTGGAGACACAACAGAGCCTATATCATTCATTCTGTTCCTCCCTTCTCAGTATGTTCCTTTAGACTTGTCCTAGGACTTCTGTCACAAAGTCAAACTGGAGCCCACAATGTTGTTAATTAACCTTGTTACTTTGTCTACATATTTTCAAAGTATTTCACGACATTCACTCAACTATTCATAAATAGAGACAGGCCAAAATCACAGTTCTTTGTGTAGTGTTTGTCAGGATCAAACCCAGTTGGCTTCTTGGTTTTTATTAAAGATATCTCTCTTATTTGCAGAGCAAAAAGGATTTCTTCAAGAGTACTTAAAATTGAGACTTCCTTCTATTTGGCATTAAGCATTTGACACCAAGATCAGCTTCTAACTGAAATACAGTATGTCGTGAATGACTTAATGGATAACCTGAAATCCCTTCTGCCTTAAACAACAGGAAGTATCACAAATATTTGAATCTGCCTCATTCTAAATGCAACTAGCCAAAATATTCCTGGAAAACAAATCTTAAAACTAGTATTTTAAATCTGAAATTTACTCTTACCACCATATTGTTAGTAAAGTTAGCAATTGGGAATTCTAAGCATTTAACCTTTGAGCTGGTCTTGTGTTACTTACAAAGTGATAGCTATATGCCCATTTTACCTGGGGACATTTGCATGCATGACTAAAGGCTCCTAGAGTTTTGCAGATATGCCATATAATAGCATCTTAAATCCAATGTTTTTTTTCCTTGATTTCTTCCCTAAGGTTTGTCTTGCATAGAATAAAACTCTTCTCCAGTGGTATGGTAGATATGTTTTTCCCCACAGTATGATGCCGTTATCATGGTAGTGTCTGGCCCTGTGTACCTGGATTTGACAACTTTTTCCAATATTTTATATGTTTCTAGAAGACCTGATTAGTACAAAATAACTTTTTCAACATTCACATGCTAGAGGAAAAAAGTTTCGCTTCCAAAATCCTAATTAATTCCCACCGATACAGTTCATTAAGTATGGAAGTTTCCCTGACAAAAAGTTGTTGCCTTAGCAGGAAGGGTGCAAGAAAAGAACAACCTGATAGGTGCATTTGTCAGTTGGAGGATTCAGTACCAGAGGACAAGAAGCAAGGGAAGGGGGAGGCTTCACACTTCTGAAGCAGAGCCTCCAAAAGCTTCTTTCCAACAAGGAACAAAAAGAAAATGGTGGCAGGAATGAGTCAAACTCAAAAGAGCAGAAGCTGGCATTCACCAAGGCAACCCAGCCCATAAGACAAGAACGATCACAGTATTTCTCCAGAGAGGCAAGCACACCCCACATCTTCTAGAGCTTCCTGATGCAGGGTGGGAAGATGAAAGAAACGGAGAGTTACTTACTGTTTGGGTCTACGTTTTCACAGAGCTCGGTCTTTGCCTCACCGTTGGGTCTGTCACTGGGTTTGTGTGACAGCCTCGATGACATGGTGGCTGCTGTGACTACCGCCTTGAAGCTTCGCTTCCGTTTCTGGACATTGAGTTCAGGGTGGAAAATGATGATGTACACTTTCGGCATGTATAGCATCCCCAGCGCCACTGATGCACTTAGGTTCATGGAGATTGTAAGCGTGGTAGTTTGTATGTAGAGCTAGGAGACACAACACACAAGGCACTATTACAAATAAAATGACTGCAGTAGGGGTCTGAACACTTAAAGCGATGTCAAGAACGACTATGGCTAGGAGATAAAGCAATCTTCAGGGCATTTTGATAAATAAAGGAAAGCACAATAACTCTGCACAGTTATTGGAGAGCATATGCATGTATTAATTGATTGAATGCTATTGGGTCAATCCATGCACATGCTTGCCCTACAGAAGTCTCTTATATTAAAGTTCAGAGTAAACCTTTAATCATATTTGAAGGACTTCTAATTGAAGTGGCAGCTAAATATAAAGACATGAAGACCATAGAAATCTGTAATCTTGATTAAGGTGTGGTTAGGTTTTATCTTTCATACATGTAAAAGAGGGTTCACACTCCATGATTTCTTCCTACATTGAGATTCTGGGGCCTTTTGAGAAGTCTTTATCTTAATGTATGTCTCTTTTTATATTGTTTTCTAGAAAGGCACGCCTTTTCCCTATCTGCTGAATAGTGAGTTGACTTTCTCTGAAAACTAAGATCTTCTTGCTTAATTCTGTCTTATAAAACACAAGTGACAAGTGAACAAGATCTAGTGATGTTGGCTTGTCTACTCTATATTGTCAAATTACTAATGAGATGCAACGCCTTATTCTGGAGTTGTGTTATTTGCAGTTTGGATGGTTTGTGCTTGCCTACTGTTTTAGACTAATTGTCCACTATTTCCCAACTCCCTGACCCCCTGATCCCCTGTCTTGCCTTCCCAGGGTTCCGTCCATTTGGGCTGTCCTTTAGATCATGAATGAACTGTACTCATTCAATCACAGAACTTTTCTCCATGCCCCTTTTCTTTATTTTTGTTTTCCTACGTATGGAACGTTCCTCCTTTTCTTCTTAGCATGCCCATCCCAGGCTGCCCGCACTCACAGCCTCAAGTCTAGGCCAGCTTCTTTACTGATACACTCTCAAAGGACTTCTTTAGATCATTTGTCTCTGTTGTAATTATGCACTCAGTATCTTGATCATTTTTCTGCCCATTTTCCTGCTAGGCCTTAAGTTCCATGAAGGCAGGATCTGTCTTTCTGGGACATTATTATTGTCTGCAAAGAAGGCACTTGATAAACATACAATGGATAGGCTCATGTGTTTGTCTAATGGACACCTTTTTCCTACCTATAACTCACTGGTTAAACAGCCTATCGCTATACAAAAATTTCCATCAGACATATTGGCTGCCTGGACATTTCTGATCTTAATTCTTCAAACAGAGGCCCTAGTGAAATCAAAGACAACTTTGCCATCTCGTCTGGAAATAATACAGTTTTCTAGCCAACATTAATTTGAATATGTATGTCTCCAAACGGTTAAAAGGAGCTACCAGCTGCTGACTATAATACATAATGAATGTAACATAGAAAGACAAAACAATGTTGAATTAATGACTCTTTAAAGTGTAAATTAGTTCATATTTTTAAAGTTCATATTTCCCTACTAGCATACCTTTAGACTTTTAATGTCATTCCACCTTGCCAGCCTACACTGTTCAAGAAAGGCTTTACATGGTCACAGGGCTTTATAGACATAGACAATTTTTGTCACCACTGTCACCGTACTTATGAGAGATTTGCAAACCATGGCTTAGTTCAAAAAGGAAAAGGATGTCAACAAACCTATGGGATCTTAGGTTTTGTTTCTGTTTCTCTGCTTATGAGTGAATTTTGCAGTTGATGAAATTATTCAGACTTCTTGTTTTATTATTTATAATTATAAATTATACATGCATATATGCTTATGTATATTTGTATGTGTGTACACATATGTTTTCTTTTTTCAACTTTTAGATTCAGGGGTACATGTGCAGGTTTATTACATGGGTATATTGCATGATGCTGAGGTTTGGGGTATGAATAATTCCACACTCAGGTACTGAAGATAGTACCTAATATTTATTTTTTCAACCCTTGCCCACTCTTCTATTAGGCCCCAGTGTCTACTGTCATCTTTATCTCCATGACTACCCAATGTTAAGCTGCACCTTATAAGTAAGAACATGAGGTATTTGATTTTCTGTTTCTGTGTTAATTCACCTAGAAAAATGGCCTACAGTTCAACATGGTTTGTTCTTTTTTATGGATGCATAATATTTCATGGTATATATGTACCACATTTTCTTTATCCAGCCCACTGTCGATGCACCTAGGTTGATTCCATGTCTTTGCTATTGTGAAAAGTGCTGTGAGTACATGCGTCTTTTGGTGGAACAATTTGTTGTCTTTTGACTATGTACCCAGTAACATACATACTTTTTCTTAACAAAGACTACTTAGCAATTTAGGACTCTACAACTATCATGTTTATTTTATGAAGTGTTTAGTTTCATCATTTTTAAACTAGAGACCATCAAGACTTTGATTTTCATTTAAAAAATTTTGCAGTCTCTGGTGACACTTCGAAAGTATGTGAAAACTGAAATAAACTTCACTAATCATATTTTTTCTACAGCCCCTCCATCCCTGAATCCTCTTGACATAGCACAGTGGATAAGAATGCAGATTCTAGAGCTAGTCTATCTGAGTTCAATTCCCATTTACTAGTTTTGTGACCTTGGACAAATTACTTCTCCTCAGCTTCGGTATCTGCAAAATGAGCATAAAAATAGTACCTACCTCATAATGTTGTCTTGCTTGATGGTTAAATAAGTATTTGTAAAGTGTTTAGTGTAGGGCCTAGCACATAGTATTAATAAGTAATATGTAAGTTTTTTTTTTTTTTTTTTTTTTTTTTTTTTTTAAAGACAGAGTCTCCCTCTATTGCCCAGGTTGGAGAGCAGTGGTGCGATCTCAGCTCACTGCAACCTCTGCCTCACGGGTTCAAGCGAGTCTCCTGCCTCAGTCTGCTGAGTAGCTGGGACTACAGGCACGTGCCACCGCGCCCGGCTAATTTTTTTGTATTTTTAGTAGAGACGGGGTTTCACCGTGTTAGCCAGGATGGTCTTGATCTCCTGACCTCGTGATCCTCCTGCCTCGGCCTCCCAAAGTGCTGGGATTACAGGCGTGAGCCACCATGCCCAGCCTTATTTTTTAATAAGTACAGTCATGCATCACTTAATGACAGAAATGTGTTCTAAGAAATGCATTATTAGGTAATTTGTTATTGTGCAACCATCATAATGTACTGACACAAATCTTGGTGGCATAGTCTACTAAAGTCCTAGGCTAAACGGTTTAACCTATTGCTCCTAGGCTACAAACCTTTACAGCATGTTACAATACTGAATACTGTGGGCAATTGTAACACAGTGGTATTTATGTATCTAAATATAGTTAAACATAGGCTCACACCTGTAATCCTAGCACTTTGGGAGGCCGAGGCGGGCAGATCACCTGAGGTCAGGCATTCAAGACCAGCCTGGCCAACATGGCAAAACCCCACCAGGTGTGGTGGCGGGTGCCTGTAATCCCAGTAACTCAGGAGGCTGAGCCAAGAGAATCACTTGAATCTGGGAGGCACAGGTTGCAGAGAGCGGAGATCACATCACTGCATTCCCAGCCTGGGAGACAGAGTGAGACTCCATCTCAAAAATAATTAATTAATTAATTAATTAAAACAAAGAATAAGCATGATAAAAATATAATCTGTTTATCAAAATGTCATTATGTGGCACATGACTATATGTAGGTATGAAGGCTAAGAAGGCTTCAGTCCACAGAGATCTCAGAGGTATTGGTCCCCAGGGACCTGCTCCCACTAAGCCTAGCAGGGAAGCTAGGCTACTGACTCTTTGGCTTTTGGTGAGGTAGGAGGCTCACACTGAAGTTATGAGTTTTCACCCCACCATCTTCTTTAGTACATTCTTTAGTAAATTCTAGCATATCTATATTTAGTCCCATGGTTATTATTTTACCTGATGCTTATTGTATAATGCACTGCCCTGTTTAAGGTTAGGTATTTCACATCACTTTCCTTTATTTGTAACCCAGGAGGCGGAGTTTGCACTGAGCCAAGATCACGATCACGCCACTGCACTCCAGCCTGGGCGACAAAAAAAAAAGTCCGATGTGCAGAACCCATAGCTATAACTATTCTCTCTGTCTTTCAGTTTTCTGAACTGTAAAATCAAAATCATAATAGTTTGTACCTCATGTGGTCATTACGAAGAAGTAACCAATTAATATATGAAAATGGTTTAGCAGAAAGCCTGGAAAATAAGTACCCAGGAAATGTTATCTGTTAATATTTATTTTCTGCCAGGTTAGGTTTCTGGGGTTTAGATCTAAGGATACGGCTTTCACTGTAACCACTTTATATATTTTAAACTCTTTATGTATAGGTTGTTGATTAAGTAATAGTGTTTATAAAGCCCACTCCTATTCATGTCTAGTCAGATAGAAATGTACCAGCAAATATTCTATTAAAGTGCATAAATATGTGGTGAATTCAATGCCAGGCAAAGCTCAGTTGAACATGCTCCATGCCATTTTCTCATCTTGGCCTAAATAGTTCATTGTTGGATAAAATATGAATGCATATCACAAGATGCCTTTATTGCCTTATAAGATCATATAACATTTAGTGCTAACTGAGTTCCGTGTCTAATTTTCAATTGCTAGGATGTTAAGAAATTTGAAAACTTGTTACATAGTGCTCACAACCAACTCTGGAATTTGCCAGCTCTCCTGTGTAGGTTTCAAAATCAGTTTAATTGAAGAATATTCTGATAGATTTCAAGGAAAGCTGTTAATAGTTGTAATAATGATGGGTCTTCAACTTTGAAAACCAGAATATTCTCAGTACTGTTCAAAAACACAAAAGGAAGTCAAGAAAAATAATTCACAGGGCACAGGGATAGATATAAGACTAGAACTATCAGGAAAAACCCAATTTCACATTTTTGAGAAATCATCTTATTACTATTGATGTCTTTAATAATTCCATAAAAATGATGTAACAATATATGAATACTAATGAATCACCACTTTTATCTATATAAAAATTTAATTTACTCAGAAAAGTGTTATGCGGCTATTTCGTGGTGTCAAACCATTGGTTTAGGGGATGTTAATGCTTGACCATGTTTGGCAAATCACTGTTAGCTGTAGTTTTCAGATAGGCTGTATATGAAAAACCTTACTCTTCCACTACTTGTACAGTCATCCATTTATGGGTTTACCTATTTTTTAGTTTTGGTACTTTTATCTTTTTAAATCTGATCAAACTTAAAGCACACTAAGTTCGCCATTTTTATTGAGATACAAGTGCCTGGACTGGCGTATGTGCTGTGCACACAAGGGTGACACGCCAGGCATGCTTCCCGCCATCAGAAAGCTCCATTCTAGTTGCAGGAGGAAGGCAAGAAAGACATCTGTTGCACAACATGGTGACTATAATTAATAACAATGCATTCTATATTTGCAAATTGCTAAGAGAGCCATTTTTAAGTTTCCTTACCACACACACAAAAATATGTGAGATAAATGAGTATGTTAATTAGCTTGATTTAGCCATCCCATAATGTATACATATTATACAATTTGTATTTGTCAATTAAAAAATAAATATTCATCCGGGCACTGTAGCTCACTCCTGTAATCCCAGCACTTTGGAAGGCCGAGGCAGGCAGATCACCTGAGGTCAGGAGTTCAAGACCAGCCTGGCCAATGTGGCAAAACCCCATCTCTATTAAAAATACAACGGTTAGCTAGGTGGGGTGGTGGGTGCCTGTAATCCCAGCTACTCGGGAGGCTGAGGCAGGAGAATTGCTTGAATCCAGAAGGCAGAGGTTGCAGTGAGCCAAGATCGCGTCACTGTATTCCAGCCTGGGTGACAAGAGTGAAACCCCATCTCAAAAAAAAAAAAGAAAAAAATTCAACTACTAAAGAATTCATGATGCATTATTTGCCCACAAAATCATTTCTTCATAGTGTATATTGTCTCTTGCTTTTCCTTCCTCTGCTCACTGCTCTGCCCCTGATACTATTGTTATATTTGATGCTCAATCCACAGGCATCCTCTGCATAAACCATTCCCCATCTCCCCAGTCAGGATAATTCCTTTATTTGCCCCTTTCTGAAGTTATGGCTCATACAGTACTTAACCTGGTCTGCTTAGGAGAGGTCAGTGTGTGCTGTGTAGTTGCTTTGAAACTGCAAATTCATCCTGAAGAAATTGATCTATTAGGAAGCAATTTGAGTATACCACAAAGTTCATGTTTGTAAACATGTGATTTCTTCTGCAAGAAACACTAGGTGAACACGGTAAGCTGCTGCTTGCAGAAGTCAGCTATGTGGGAATACACAAAATGCACACTCACACCCATGATTCCAGCATCTGCCTGTAAGCCTGCCTCTTCCACAGTTTTACAATCAACCTCCTGCAGCAATCCTGCTGGCATCCACTTCCATGAAAAAAATTTCAGGTCACTTTTTATCAGGTAAAGTGATACATTTATTGTAGTATTCATGGGTTTCTTAGCTATTAAACATATGTAAAATCATGCCACTATTTTTATTAGGTTCTGGTCTTTTTTTTTTTTTTTAACTGTCACT
Source organism: Homo sapiens (assembly GCF_000001405.40). Lineage (NCBI taxonomy): Eukaryota > Metazoa > Chordata > Mammalia > Primates > Hominidae > Homo > Homo sapiens. The sequence continues at coordinate 7,673,507 of NC_000003.12, read as the reverse complement.
GATGATGTTTCTTAGTGTTGTATCTCTAACCCGGTTTCCTGTAAGTCCTGTGTTTTTTCATGGGAAACTTTTGAATGGCAAGGTGACCTTTTAAGAACCTATGTCATGTTACAGAAGAAATGACTGGAAAATAAACACGATGTCTGCTGCAGAGTATGCACTTATGAAATTCTGGTGAATCAGAAAGTTCGACACTTGAAGCAAGTATTAGGTATGATCAATATTCTTGGCATTTAGCACTGTTTCAAGAAAAGCTATTATTTGTAGTCTATTAGTAGCATTTTTTCTATTTGTGTGCTTCTGTTTCCTCATTACTGGAGCGAGGATGACAGTAATACCTATCTCATAACGCTGTTGGGATCAAATGATGGTCTCTGTAAATACACAGAACAGTTACTAGCATGTAACAACCACTCATCAAGGATGTTAGAGTTATTGATTTATTTATTGGCTATAACATGAAATAATTTATTTTCTACACTGTTATTTTTCATTCAATCTTAATACATTTTAAAATGATTTTCTTCTTATGAAATCCACTGAAAAACAACAGCCTGTTTTAGGGGGAACATCTCGTTTAGTTTGCTTCCATTTTGTTTGAAAGTATATTCAAGGCTGGGCGCGGTGGCTCACACCTGTAATCCCAGCACTTTGGGAGGCCGAGGCAGGCGGATCATGAGGTCAGGAGATCGAGACCACGGTGAAACCCCATCTCTACTAAAAAATACAAAAAAAATTAGCCGGGCGCCATAGCGGGCGCCTGTAGTCCCAGCTACTTGGGAGGCTGAGGCAGGAGAATGGCATGAACCCAGGAGGCGGAGCTTGCAGTGAGCTGAGATTGCACCACTGCACTCCAGCCTGGGTGACAGAGCGAGACTCCGTCTCAAAAAAAAAAAAAAAAAAAAAGTATATTAAAACTCCTATTTCATCTGTCATTGACTATTTTATGAGAAATAAACCAGTTTTGTATGTTCCCAGGTGACAGTTGAGAATTAAGACAAAAAGGCTTTAATGGAGTCTATGGATGGGATCAGAGAAGTTTCACAATTCTTATGAAATCCCAGTGACTATGTAATAAAAATGAAAAATGTAGCCAATGTTGTCACAGTAAAGAGGAAGGGTACATTATTATCTGACAGATGTTTGAAACATTCACATTATTACATTGCAATGAAAGTTCCTGGCAGTTAAGACCAGTGTTTTCTGTCTTCACTACCTGTAACCATTGCTTCCTAATTGGAGTGCTCACATATTTGTGAAGTAAATGTCACATAGCTGAGAATGAGACAGAATGTTTGCAATTGGGATTCTTTCAGCCATCCTGAAGGTCAGTACTCTGAGGGTTTTTGCTAAAGTATGAAATAATACATGATGATGGAAGAACCCAGTATATAATGGAAAAAAAAAATACTGTTTCCCTCCCCCCGGGGCAGGGGAGGGAGTTTGCATCCTTTAGAAAGAGGATTCAAGGGAGGAAAAATATTTTTGTTGTTAAAACTGATTTCAGACTTTGGCCTTGGATTATTAGTGGGTGACTTTGGGCAAGTTTCTTTACCTCAGGCAAATGATAAAATCAAGATTCAATGCCAAGAAGTTTGTTACTAGAATGTCTGATATAAACTCCTACCTCATTTACCATTACCACAAAGACTTCCTCACAGTTCTGAATATGAAAAGAAATCATGTGTAAAGAGTAGGTAACACAGTCCCTGTCACATACTGGTGCCAGAAATTGCAAGTGTCATTATTAGATGGCCTCATACTCTGCAGATAATTTTTATGCTATTCTACTTAGATCTCTTAACTTTGAATAGATGCCAGATAGACAGATAGAGATACACTCACACACCAAATAGCGTGGGACAGGCATCTGGTCATAGAATTATAAATAATGGAGGCAACTAGATGAGTATTGGACAAGACCTAGTTTCACTGTGTTTTGTTTTTCTCATTTAACATCTCCAGGCAGACATGATATTAAGGCTACACACAACTGCATTCTTTATTTGGATAGACGTAAGGCGAGCGCTCCAGGTGAATGCAAATCAGTTTCTGGAGCATGAGATAAGTGATTATGTTCATGCTTGGAATCACCTGCATCTCAGTGCTGTGCTCTCCTGACTGGAAGCCTGATGCAGTGTCTATTCCCAAATAGTGTAATCAGAGAAATGCTGTTATTCCAATTGACCACATCCTTGGAAAAGTTTAGAGTTCATCCCCAACCCATGCCATCCTAATAAGCTGCAGACCGTCTTGGTGGCCAAGTCTTCCAGGAAAGTCACTACTGATTTTGCTGGGCATGTGCAAGCACAGCCTACACATTCAGTGGTACACAGAATTTCTCTTCCCTAGCAGCTCTCTGACTCCTCAATTTTGATTTCAAGATGTTTTCCCTCTCCAATTGCAAGGTAGGAATTTTACTCTCTTATGTAGCCAATACCAGGTACTATTTGCCCTGTTGTGTTATCTAAAAGGTTATTGACCATTCCTGCTGGTTTGAGAGCACTAAAAATGTTAGATCTCTGCCTTGCAGTGATTTAATGTACAAAAGCACAGCATTTTCCCTATAGTTATCCTGGAGAGACGACTCCTGCCAGAATCCATGGGCTCCCTTTAATCCTCTGCCATATTCATCAAAACGGAACTACTAGCCTTTTTGTAGGAAGCTATGTCAGATTCTGTCTTATAATGTGAAAATGCTGTCTTGTACCTCACTGGGGAATATATTGGGTAATACACCATGAAGTTCTGTGTTACTTTACAAGTCACCCAGTAGTTTAAAGAATTAATCTGAGCTTATCAGTTTCTAAAGATGTGAAATATCCATTGTATAGTACAATGCTGTCAATCTTGCCAAATTTTAAAGTAATCTTCATAGTTCTAATGAACATAAAAAGAGAAGAATCAAGTGGAAAACACTGATGTCAAATAAATAGTTAAAAAGCAAATGTCCTAAGCATTTCTTGGGCCTATTCAACTTGTAAAGGGTTCATTAAAACTAGATCCAACAGTGTCATCGACAAGAAGACAATGTCAGATTCTCACAGAAACAAAGTATGTTCTTATCTCAGTTTTCAAAGCCATCGACAATGGCTTTCTGATGAACTTTGACAGGTTTTGATGATCGGATTCATCCCAGCCTTCTCTTTCCTCTTGTTAATACTGGCTCTTATGTTTGCTGATCTTCCTCTGTTGCTGTTGGACTGCATCTTTCCTGTCCTGCCACCAAGCTATGATAGCTCCCTTCCTGCCCTTCAGCTTCCTCTTTTCACCTTGCACTAGTCCACACTTTTCTCTGTATATGTCTTTGTTTTCCTGCCTTTCCATGATCACCACTGTGGCAACATGGTTGTGGGTAGAGGCAGGCTCCCCCATTCTCCACCCTGAGCGCCTGGCACACTGAAGCACATCTAGGTAATGTGCCGTGTGTTGTCTCTGGATGATGGGCAAATCACTTCAACAGCTGGAACCTAGGCTAGTTGAATTGCCCATTGGGGTGACTGTGCACTCAAAACCCCTCATTACGCCCCTCTGCTATTTAATGGTTTAAGCCCAAGAAGAGCAAATAATTGAAATGACACTGTTGCACTGTTGACAAAAGTGTAAACAAGTAGTCATTCAGTCCATGCCTCTAAATGGAACAGTGAGAGCTTTGAGATTGGGCAGGAAAATGATGCCCATCCTGCCAAGGCAGATGCAGTGAGAGTAAGCCTGGCCAGGCGTAGGAGCTGAGCAGTTTATGACTTTGATCTTGCCTTCCCAAGACCCATTTCCCTTTCCTCTTGTTACCAAGGTGTTGGCTGAGGGATCTAAAAAGTCCTATTTCCTGACCACTCACTCTTTAGGGCCTGTCGTCAGGCTTCTATCCCCTGACCTCCTCTGAATTTGTCTTCCACATGTTCTTCGACTCCTTGCCAGACCCTGAGAGGCAGGATTCTTCTAGGTCTCATTCTTTTCTTCTTTAAAACTCTGTCCTGCTGCATTAGCTCAAATTTCTACCACACTTTGGATGAAGATAATATTCCTTCACATGGCCCAAAGAACTCTGTGGGGTCCTCCTTCTGACTTCCCTTACCTTCTCTAAATCTCTAAAATGAGCCATGCTCCATCCATCCTTAAGCCCTTTGCACATGTTGTTCCTTCTGCCTTAGATGCTATTCCCACCCATCTTTACCTAGCTACCTCCTACTTGTCTTTCAGGACTCTGCCTTACTTCCTTGGGGAAGCCTTTTCTGGCCTTCAAGTCTAAATTATGCCCATCTTGTTTTACTCGCTTATAGGATGTATTATTTTCCTTTGTTTCACTAATCACAATTTGTGATTATTCGCTGCATATTTCTTTTATACGTGTCCCCTTGCTAGACTTAACATTCCATATGTTCTATATATTGTACAGCAAAAGATATGACAAGTGCAATAGAATTGGCGTCAAGCATGCTGGATTTGGATGCGGGCTTATGCCACTTGCTAACTGTGTCATCTCCAACATTTTATTTAATCCTGTAAGTCTGAGTTTGAATACAAAATGAAAAGTAGTAACATATAATAGGTAGAGAACCAGAATACACTGTGGGAATCAGGGATTGAGGGAGCATCTAGAAGTAATGAAATCAAAGGCATGGGCCATATTTACATTATCTTGCATCTTAGTACCTGGAGCAAGAAACAAGTTCAATGTATGTTTGATGAATGAAGTGGTCCTCACTCATTTGAGAAATCCATGCAAAATTCGAAGTCACTCAACTTCTATCTCTCAGTTCATGATGGTCCCCACAGCCACTCTGTCTTCTTTCATATTCCTAAATATGCTGTATTTCCTTCTGTCACAAGGCCTTTGCCTGTGCTTTCTTCTTCCCCTAGTATGTTCTTCTACCCCACCCAGTTTGTTATCTTCTATTCATCCTTCAGAGAGCCACTTAAGCTTCACTTTCTCAGCAAAGACTTTTCTAACCAAGACTAGGGAATACTGTTCTGTTAGGCAAGTTCTCAAAGCAACTTTTGCCTCCATATTTAAATGTGTACATGTGCGTAAAAGAGAGAGAGAGAAAGGGAGGAGGAGGAGAGAGAGTAGTGTATCTCCTCCTCCAGGAAGCATAGCTAGTTAGCTCACCATTGTATCTCCAGTGTCTGCCACTGTGGGTGGCAAATAGAGGGGACTTAATTGGTGATGTTAAATAAGGAAGTCTTGGACACACAAAGATAGAGATTCCATTTCCAATCTTTGGCTCCATGCCTGGCATAATCACAGAAAACAGAAAGGCAAAAGGTACTCGGTGGGAAGGGGAAAGAGCCTGAGGCTCCCAGGGCACACACTTTCCCTGCAGTAAGTATTTCCTAAACTGGCTCAAGAGAGGAGGAGTGGACTCTGCTGTCCTGAGGGTGGCCACCTACATTTTCTCTAACCCATCTTTGATATATTCACTAAACCATAAAGCATAATTGTCAATAATAACTCCTATAGAGCCTGTGGCAACAATGAAAATCCAACAACTCTGCCTCTTTTGTAAAGATGGGAGCTTATCTTTCAAACAGCTTGTGCTAACACCCAGGTTAGCACCTAATTGTCTCCTCACAATAGAAAAATGAAATGGTTGCCATGACAACTCAGTGATGAGTTCAGGCGTTGAAGTTTTTTTTTTTTTTTTTTGACATAAATCTGCTGACTTTGACTTAACTGAGACCCTATATGTGTTTTGTTTTTGTAATGCTAATTTCTCCTAGAGTTTTAAAGAAATTATCAATAAATATTTTTAAAACCTACCCTTCTTTAGATAGTATAAAAGTGATCTACAAAATAATTAATAAGAATGTGAGTAAATTGCTGTCTTTCCACAACTCAGATCTCTCCATAATATCTAGGACCATGTTTATAATTTAGGAAAAAAAAATTCTTAGAAAATGTTCTATTGCTTCATCTGACTTCTGAAATGAAACTATATGAAACTTTGATATAATTATTAAAAAATTGATGGATGAATTTTTTAAAATAAGTAATTTTAATGGCAATTTCTCTATTCAAGTTTAGCTTATGGGATCACCATACTTTTTGTGTGTTGGTGGTTGGAGCAGGAAGAGAAATAAAATACCGAAGTCTCCTACATAGTGTACTCAGAAATGTCTATAGGGATGTCAGGCCCACCCATCCGAGTGCCTGCAGAAGTGCCTGAAAATGTTATTCTCATTTCCATGCAACTAGATGCTTATCTTTTCTCTCTCTCTCTCTCTCTTTTTTTTTTTTAACAGACAGGGTCTCACTCTGTCACCCAGGCTGGAGTGCAGTGGTAGGATCATAGATCACTTCAGTCTTGAACTTTTGGGCTCAAGTAGTCCTCTTGTCTCAGCCTCCCAAGTAGTGCAACTACAGGCATGTGCCACCACCTCTGGCTATTTTTTTTGTTTGTTTTTTGTAGAGACAGAGTCTTGCTGTGTTGCCCAGATGACTTCAAACTCTGATGTTTATCATCTCTAGTGTAGGGATGATCATCTCCAACCTCATAGGTCTGCTGAGACAATCAAACAGGCATCTCAATGTCAAAAATAGGGCATTCGCTGTGCAACATGCCTCTCCACAAATTTTCCTTTTCTTGGGAACTATTTATCTACCTGGTTGCACAAATTGGAACCTTAAGTGTTATTCTTTAATACTTGTATTTCCCTCACTTTTTATACTTCGTATCAGGTTTGTTTTCTGGTTGGCTAATCTTACCTGTAATATAAGTAATGCAATATATAATATATGTAATAAGAAGTAATAATAATAAAATTAATAATACCGGTAATATTTCTGTAATTTGTTCCCTTCTCATCCCAATGCCCTCACCTGTCTCAGATATGTTTAACCAGTTAATAACACCTAAAGCACAAAGACCAGTGGCTACCATTTTTAAGTTCTAACGTTTTGGCCGTTATCATTGTTATTATTGTTCTAATGGACTTGCATCGTGCAGAGGATGCCATGGTAGCATCTCAACTGGTTTCGCCACATCCATTTTTTGCCTCCCTCCAAATAATTCTGCACGGAGCAACCAGAACGATCTTTGTAGAAGCTGCAAAGCAGATTATGTGGTCTGATGTAAGACATCCTTCAAAGACTTCCCATGGCCCTATAGTATCTGGCCTGGCTATGTTTTGAATTTTTTAGCTAGTCTCTCTTGAATATGACTTATCTATCCTGGCATTCTTGGGGAATCCAAACTTAATTCCAGTGAAAGGACTTAGTGTATATTATTCTCTCTGCCCAGAATATTTTCTGTTTGTTTGTTTTGCTTCAGTTCTCCTAACTCATTCTTCAGGTTCAACCTTCTTGCATTTTCTCTGATGAAGAAATGTAACTCGAATGACGACAGACACACCACCCCACCAATTTGAATTTTCTCCTTCCGTGATGCTCCCTAAGAGCAGCCTGCTCTTTTCATTCACAGTATATATAATCATCAGTAATTATCATTGCGGTCATAGATTCAGTTATCTCAAGTCCTACTCTCCCACTAGAATTTAAGCTCTGTGATGGCCAGGGGAACACCTATCAAAAATGAAGCCTTCAAAAAATAATTTTTGAATGAATAAGGAGTATAATAATTCCAAAGTATGGTGCACATATAAAAGTCCTAATGAGTAAAACGGACCCTCTTTTTGAGGTGTAAATATATAACGGGTGGATTTAGAGTCTTAAATACACATAGAGAATATACATTAAAAATCCTAAGTTTGCAGAAAGGTTACATGACTTGGGAAGAGACACAGTAATCAGGAGCAAAGCTAAGAAGAAAGTTGAGGTCTTTGGGACTCTAAAGCTCACTCTACTGCACAGATACTCACTTTCAATTAAAAACTTATTTAATGAAAGAGTAGATTGTAAAGCTGTTTAATTTTTCATTCTCCACAGTTTTAATTGCCAGTACTTGGAAAAACAAACAGCTCTAAGTATTTCTAAAGGGAACTGACAAGAAAATTCTGATTCTTTACCATGGAGTGCATATTTGCCTATGTGTTTTATATTTAAATTCATATTTCCTATTAAGAATCATGGGCAAGGCCGGGCGCGGTGGCTCACGCTTGTAATCCCAGCACTTTGGGAGGCCGAGGCGGGTGGATCACGAGGTCAGGAGATCGAGACCATCCTGGCTAACACGGTGAAACCCCGTCTCTACTAAAAATACAAAAAAAAAATTAGCCGGGTGCGGTGGCGGGCACCTGTAGTCCCAGCTACTCGGGAGGCTGAGGCAGGAGAATGGCGTGAACCCGGGAGGCGGATCTTGCAGTGAGCCGAGATTGCGCCACTGCACTCCCGCCTGGGCCACAGAGTGAGACTCCGTCTCAAAAAAAAAAAAAAAAAAAAAGAATCATGGGCAAACATTCTCCGTATGCAGTTGAAACTGTGTCCAATTCCCTTACCAAATACAACCTTTTGTCAAGAGAATGTGTCATTGCTATCTTTTCCACCAATAGTGCAAACACACCCAGGCAGATGTCCCAAATGATAAAAGGTGTGCTTGAGCAGGCAGAAAGAAAAAAGAATGAAAAATAAATAATATACAAATTAAATATAAATATTGTCTGAAACATGAACAGGTTGCAATGTCTGATTCTGCTGATGTGTGGTTATAATATGAAATTTACTAATTTGAGATCAAGAGTAGACTAAGAAAACCAGCCATAAAGCAGGAGGGAGGAGCTTAAGCCACATAAGGAAAATGAATTGGAATTATCTGAGTTTCAAGTAAGCATTGAGTGCCCCAGTATCTTTATAATTTTCTTTCTATGGTAGAGCAGAGACTACCTGTCTTTATTCATTTTCTAGCTATTTAGCTTACATATAAGATGGAATAAAAATAGAAGGCATGGGGGTTGGGGAGGGATAGCATTAGGAGAAATACCTAATGTAGATGACGGGTTGATGGGTGCAGTAAACCACCATTGCACGTGTATACCTATGTAACACACCTGCACGTTCTGCATATGTACCTTAGAACTTAAAGCATAATAAAAAAGTAGAAGACATTTGGCAATTCCAAAGCACAGACTTTGCCCATAGTAACACATGAGATACTCGGAAAGGTACCCCAGATCTCCAGTGAGAAAAGTCTGACCCCTTTACCGACATAAAGAATTGATCTGAATCATGAAATACCCATATCAGAATGAGGACAAGGAGTGGAATCCTGGGAAGTGCAGTCAAGGGGATTATGGAGAGGACAAAAGATAATTTATTCCACGATTACAACAAAAGTGGAAGCCTGAGGGGTGGCCTCAAATGAAAAGACCCAGGCATGTCCAGCAATTGAGGGAGTGAGTTGATCTTGGGGGAGGAACACTGAACTCCATAGGAAAGAGGACTCTCATCTTGGGTTGAGAATTGTGGCTGTAACCTTAAAGAAATGACCATTTTACATACCCTTGTAGATTCTGGAAAGTTTGGCAGGGTAATTATAGGGTGTCTAATAATGAACTATCCATTCTGTTTCTTCCACTGTAACCCTGTAGCACAGGCTTTGCACGCATTAGAGATGTTTGAGACAAGCTTTTCTTGTCCTGTGGTCATAAAAGCGAGTCCAAAGTTTGCATTAAGGCGCAGTGTTAACAGACATGTCTCTGGTGTAGGGATGAAACCACTGGACTCAGGTGTCAGAAATTCTAAATTCTAGTTTCCTCTTTCACTTAATATTTGTGGGAATTCGTATAAAGGCTGTTTATAAATCCTTATGTGCCAATGTATTATCTTCACCTTGCCTTTGAGTCTCAGAAGCATATGTCTTCTTTCTCAAGTTAACTTATTTCTTTTTGATAAAATCCATGGTCTCCATAACATGCCATGAATTGAAGAAAGTTAAGACACATGCTGAAGAAAATTAGAATTTTGAAATAATGTGTTAACAATGTATAACATTTATAAATGATTATATGTCAATCATTATAGGCAATTATTTATGCATGCCTTGTATAAAAAGCATGAACAATATATGAAGGAAACACAGAAGCAGTGTGTTATGAATGTTGTGCTGCACCCTCCAGAGGCATTCCACCTTGAGGACCGAGGGATCTATTGGTGCAGATGCTGGAAAGTTCACCAGCTGACAGCTCTCTTTGGGAATTGCCTTGACTAAAGAGATTTAGCTTGCTTACGTTTATGCCCCCTTCCCCTGGGCATCCTGCAAATAATGACTAGGATATACTGGTAGATAAAGGCCCAGTTCCTTGTGCCGAGTGGGACAGCTCCATAAGGCAGCTTCTGAGCTCCCTGAGCGATGCCAGCTGAGACCAGTTGAGTCTGCATCCCAGCCCAACTTCTCCATCAGCCCAATCCTGATTCTCTCCCTTCTGCCCACTGGTGCTGATACTAAGGGCGTTTCCAAATACACCTCCTGCACTTGTGTTCCCTGGGAGTTCAGCCATAATCAGAGTATCACTTAGAACCCTCATGGGCATCTCAGTTCCAATTAAAATCAAGACTATTCTAAATGTAATTTATTCTATAACTCCTCTTCCAAGCACTTACCTCAATGATCACCTGAGCACCCTACAACATTTATAGCAAGTACTAAGTCACATCAGCATCTCTCAGAAAAGACACATCCTCTCCCCAGAACTTGTTTCTGCATTCCTATGACTATGAATTGAAACATCCCCATCTTACTTTTTGTGCCTAGATACATGTAAGCATATACAATACATATATTTTCCCCAAATTTTTATTTTGAATACTTAAAAATTTTTCAGAAAATTTGACATAGGACAAAGAACATCTGTACACTCTGCATGCAGATTCACCATCTGTTCATTTCCTGCTTATTGTTTTCTCTTTACGCTTTTTGCTAAACTATTTAAAAGTCATGTACATTATAATACTTCGCACTTTATTTCTGTAAGCGTCACCTAAGAAATAGACACTTGTGCATAACCACAGTATCATTGTCACACCTAAGAAATTTAACAGTAATTTCTATCATCTAACATATGATACAAAGTCAAATTTCTCCATTTGTCCCAAAAATGTCTCATATGATTTTTCCTCAATCCAAAATACAATCAAGGTTCATACATTGCATTCGGTTATGTCTTATCAGACTTATAATTTAGAACACTCTCCCTGCCTTTGGTTTTTAAACAGATTTGTTGAAGCATGCTCAATAAACTGTGCATATTTAAAGACTAGAATCTGATACATTTTGACAGATGTACACCAGAGAAATCACTATAGTCAAGATAGTTATCAGCATCACCTCCAAAAGTTCCTTATTCCTCTTTGTATTTCTCCCTCACTCCTTTCAACCTCCCCCATAATTCGCTTTTGCTCACTGCAAATTCTTTTCTGTTTTCTAGAGTTTTATATAAATAAAATTCTATGATAACTACTATTTTTTGTCTCGCATCTTTCATTCAGCATAATTATTCTGACATTCAACCATATTATTGCATGTATCAATATTTCATTAATTTCTATTGCTGGGTAGTTTTCCATTGCAAGGATATACTATGATTTGTTTTTCCTTTCATCTGTTACAGACATTTGGGTTGCTTCCAGTTTTGGCAACTACTGTCACTAATATTCATGTGTAGGACTATATACATATTTTTCATTGGGGGGGATAAATACTTTGGAGAGGAATGGCTGGATCATGTGGTAGGTATATGCTGAACTTGTTAAAAAATTGCCAAAGTATTTTCCAAACTGATAGTAGCATTTTACATTTTTTTTTTTTTTTTTTTTTTTTTTGAGACGGAGACCTCGCTCTGTGGCCCAGGCTGGAGTGCAGTGGCACGATCTCGGCTCACTGCCAGCTCTGCCTCCCGAGTTCACCCCATTCTTCTGCCTCAGCCTTCGGAGTAGCTGGGACCACAGGCGCCCGCCACGACGCCCGGCTAATTTTTTGTATTTTTAGTAGAGACGGGGTTTCACCGTGTAAGCCAGGATGGTCTGGATCTCCTGACCTCGTGATCTGCCTGCCATGGCGTCCCAAAGTGCTGGGATTACAGGCGTGAGCCACCGCGCCCGGCCAGCATTTTATATTCTTATCAGCAGTGTATGAGAGTTTCAGTTCCTCCAAATCCCTTCTAACATTTGATATGGTCAATCTTTTTTAACTTCAGCCTTTCTAATAGGTGTGCAGGAAAATTCAATTGTGGTTTTAATTTTTGTTTTTCTAACGACTGGTGATGTTGAGAAAATTCCCTGTTGCTATTTGTGGTATCTTCTTTGGTGACATATCTGTTCAAATATTTTTGCCCAGTTGTTTTTTACTGCGTTGTTGGCCTCTTGCTAAAATTTGAGGGTTTTTTGATTCAAATATAGGCCCTTTATCAGACACATGCTTCGCAAAAAATTTTCTCCTAGTCTGTATCTTGTCTTTTCATTCACTTAACACTATCTTTTGAAAAACAGAAGTTTCTAATTTCGATGAAGTCCAGTTAATCTGTTCACGTATAAATTGTGTGTTCGGCATGATACCTAAGAAATATTTGCCTAACCCAGTGTCACGAAGATTTTCTTCTATTCTGGAAGTTTTATAGTTTAGGTTTTATGTTTAAATCTATAATCTATGTTGATTTTTATATATGGCACTAGGCATGGGTCTGTGCATGTTTGTTTATTTTGGATATTACTATTACTCTAGAATCATTTGTTGAAAAAGCTATTCTTATTCATTGTATTGCCCTTCTGCCTTTGCCAAGACCAGTTGTTCACACATTTGTGGGTTTAGTTCTGGACTCTACTCAGTTCTAATGATCTGTTTTTCTTATACTCTGTTGTTCCGATTTCTAGAGCCTTATAATAATTCTTGAAATCAGATTATATTAGCCTTCCATTTTCTTCAGAGTTGTTTTAGCTAGGTTTTCTGTATTTTTGTATAAATTTTAGAAAAAGTGTGTCAGTTTCTATAAGAAGCCTGTTGGGATTTTGATTGGTATTGATTTGAATTTATATTATAATTTGGAGAATTGATATCTTAACAATATTGAATCTTCCAAACCATCAACAAAGCATATTTCTCTATTTATTTAGGTCTACTTTAATTTATTTCACAAATATTTTATAATTTTTCATATGTATACATCTATAATATTTTGTTGTTTCTCAAGACATTTGACTTTTTGGAAGATCCCAGGCCCATGCAATGTCTTATAAAATGTCCTGCCTTCTGCATCCCTTTGTTCTTTCCTAATTAAATTCAAGTCAGATGTTTTTGCCAAGAAAGCTTCATGGGTGGTACTATAGGCATGTGAATGCATCTCCTGTCAAGAGGCACCAATTGTTAGGCTGCCCTGCTACTGGTGATGCTAAATTTGATCATGTGGTTAAAGCGGTGACTGCCAGATGTCACCATTAAAAAAATTACAGTTTACCTTTGCAACTGGGAAATAATCTAGGGCTGATACATTCAGACAAAATATATTTTGAAAAGTTAAACCATAAGGTTTTATTTAATACTTTGCTTTTTAGCTTACATCCTATATTTTATCTACCTATTTGGTTTTCATCTATTCTGTCTTGGTAAACAGAACTTCAGTTTTCTCTGTAGATTAGAAAGCAGATGCTACTACTTCCCTAACCCTCACTCCCATGAAATAATGTACCACTAGAAATAATATGCCACTAGGAAATGTTTGCCTAGCCCTAGTACCAAACGCCCAGTGATTATACTATTAATGGTGGGGTTAGTCTGAAGGAAATGTGGGATGAGCTCCCAAGAGACTAGAATAGGAAAACAAAATCCTCACCCTTTTTAAAACATCTTACCGTGTTGAAAATCCACACTCTCTTCCTATCTCAGTGAGACCTTGTTGCTGTGGAGCCAGCCAGAGTTTGATCAGTTTTATAGATTTATAAGCTATGAACCAATCTGTTTACAGGCCTTCAATCAACATTAAACAAAACCAGATGTCTCACTTACATAATGGTGTGTGCTACCTGTGAACAGATGGGGCTTCCAATGGGTGATTACTTTTTCTTTTCACACAGGATGTATTTTATAACCTATGAGGAGAATTCATATCTATTGAGATTCTACTATGTGTCAGGCTTGGTGCTGTTGATTTACATATGTGATTGCTTTAAAATAGTCTGACCATTACCGAAGTTAAAAGAGATGCCTTTAAATGATCACTGGGCCCCTACTAGATTAATCCAATGGAAGCCTCTTTCTCTTTCCCAGTAGCTCATCTCTCATAGCTATAGACCATATTTCTGTACAATAACATTCCCTCCAACTCACAGGCTATCTCCTGTACTGCATGATGCATTGTGTCCCCATCCCTCAGTGTCCTTGAAAACAGGAGTAAACCAGTATTCTGCAAATTGTATGGAAGCAGTAATATTCATTTCTGCTCATGGGGAACATTTTCAAGATTCAGTAAGTTACAGCTAATGTTCATTTCATTTGGCTTAAATCAGAGCAGGTCTTGAAGGGAGACAGCTCAACAGAAATATGAGCAATTCAGACAAACGAATATTCAGTTACTGAGTTGATAAATAGGAATTGCTTCCACTATTTTAAAACTTTGGTTTGCAGAAATCTTAAAATCTTTGTGAAAAATGCAAAGAAATCTTTGGTATATAAATTCTCAATATTATATTTATGTAAAATGATAGTATTCACCTTTCAAAAACGTTCATGTTTTATTATCTTTTTATAAATTAGAATTGCAAATGTAAAAAAAGCTGAAAAGCATATAAACAAGAAATGGGTGGAAAATTGTTGGAAGAGTTCAAAGATTCAAATTCAATATAGATCATGCATTTATAGTCACTATCTGATGATTTCATTTTATTTGGTGTTTGACATTCTGTGGACTATTCTATAAACAATGGTATGGATTTTCCTAAGATATGTTATTCCTACTTACAGAATCTTTATTCCCCCCAAATAATCCCTTTAAATTGCCTAAACAGCATTTTTCACAGAGGGTATCGTTAACTTGCTTTACATCAGCTATCTCTCTAAAAATTGACTGTGAGTCAGTTTCACTGGATTTTGTACATGCTTGCTCCTGGGAATTCTTGCTGCAGCTAGCTTTCATTAAATGTCAGAGATTGCATGAGTGGGAAAGATAAGATGAGGCAAACTAAAATTATTGCCAACTTTTATCTAGGCGAAAGGCTACCAAAAAATGGCAATGGAACCAATTTTCATTTTCCCAAAACTAAATGGTTCAAGTTTCACGCAATCATCTATTTTCCCTCTCTGACTTTTTAGAACATTCTGTACTCAAAAGCTATACAGTGAGCATTTATTTGGAGTTTTAATACTGTATGCTCTAAATTCATTAGCAGTGTATTGAATTTGTCTTATAAAATTAACCATGATATCCATCAAGACTTGATGCTTCAAAGATTCATTTAGACTTTAGAGTGTTTACATGGATGTATACACACATCCCCATTCTTCCTCCATGCAGCCATAAGGAATACCTTTTGATGCACCTAAACTTGGGAATTAAAGAGGGAATAATTCACAATAGTGTTCTTCATTCTTATCAATTCTGGTTTAGTAATTAATCTATGGTTATGGTCTTTAGTGATTCAGTAAGAGTGGAGACTCATACCCAGGAGCAGAATGCTCTCTCTAAGCCTCACTTAATTGCTTAGAGAGATTCCTGGAGAAGTGAGTGTTTCCTTTAGCTGCCAGCCTGGTCAGTATATTGAGACCAGTGCTCCAACTCTCATTGGCCAGGACTGAAACTTAAAAGCCAGCTAAAGGTCACATTTTCTTGACTTTCCCAGGAAGAGTAAGGTTTTCCCTCTATTATCATTTCCAGAATTCATAATTGATGTATCTGTTTCTGCTCCCCTCCCAGCCACCACTACACTTAACTATGAGGCTCTCCAAAAACGTGTGATTCGTTCTGAGAGCTCAACCCTTCCACATTCATGACTAGCAAAGTGATGGGGACTAAATGTTTATTTTTAAAAAATGGAAATAAATTCCTACTGGAAAAAAAAAGAAGGGAATTCTTGTTCTCTTTGCTATATTTCATAACTCTTTTCTTCTTCAGTGGTAACTAAGATTAAATGAAACTCTTTCTCCTCTTCCAATAACATGTTGTAGCTGCTTCAGTACATTTTTTGGGGTTGAATTAATTGGATTGGGTAAATAGTAACACATGCACATCACACGTGAACCCTGTCCAGATGTTCATATCAGGGTTTGTATCTGATAATACAATTTCCTTTGGTTTCTAACCAGCGTGTTATGGCATGACAGGCATGACTCAAATAATTACCATTTATCTTTTTATTTTTCCCCAATTTAGACTGTTTCTACTTAACATTTTTTTCTCACTTGGGGAATGACAATGATATTAGAAGGCAGGAACTCTAGAATAACACCACCACTACAACAAGGGTATTTTGGGTTCTGCAACAATACTCAGGTCATCATTTCTGCTGAAGAACATCGGGATTGTGGAAAATTGGCTTTTCTTTCCTAGGCACAAACTTGCCATTCTCTTGGCACTCATTTTCTAGTTATTAGTCATATGAGTGTGTAGAAAAACACTGTAGATTTTCCTCTGTTGATTTAAAAATATGTTTGTACTTCACTCAAAGTAAATACTATGTTTTCAGTAGCATAAGTGTTCAAGTGGCAATCGTCAATGTGAATTCACTTACCTCCCCCATTGCTAAGGAATTATGACCATTTTAGGATCTCATACTTCAGTTGATAAAAATATCCTGATATTTAAAGGCACAGTGTGAAAACTCCAATTATTTTATTTGTTTTTCTAGAACCTCTCTTTGACCATATTTTAAAAAGTGCTTCACTTTTCAAGTGACATTCCTGAGGTAGGTGGTAATTGACACTTTTAAGTGGGGCCATCGAGTATCTTGACTCAGGTACAAATGAATGCTGATGTTCCCAGAGAGACTTTAACCTCCCTACCCCTGGGGACATAAAACACGACCTGCTTTTCCTCTGTCTGCCACAGCACACTTTGTGTGTGTGTGTGTGTGTGTGTGTGTGTGCGCGCGCGTATATATATATATATATTTTTTTTTATTTGTTTGTTTGTTTTTTGAGACAGAGTCTTGCTCTGTCGCCCAGACTGGAGTACAGTGGCATGATCTCAGCTCACTGCAATCTCCACCTCCTGGGTTCAAGTGATTCTTCTGCCTCAGCCTCCCAAGTAGCTGGGACTACAGGTGCACGCCACCATGCCCGGCTAATATTTAATAGCTATATTTTTGGTAGAGACAGGGTTTTGCCATATTGGCCAGGCTGGTCTTGAACTTTTGACCTCGGGTGATCCACCTGCCTTGGCCTCCCAAATGCTGGGCTTACAGGAGTGAGCCATCGCGCCCAGCCAGGAAATGCACATTTAACCACACACACTCACCCACAGGTTTTGATTTATGGACAGGATAGAAAGAACATCTGAAGTAAAGATACATACCCATGCACTAGACAGAACCCCCAAAAGATCTCTCTTCAAGTTGCTATTATATGCCAAGCACAGTGCCAGATGCATTTACATTTATTATTACTCTTAATCTCCTGAAATAACATCATTATTCTCATTTTATGGGTTGGGATGCTGAGGTTCTTTGTATTATGTGAATATGATCACATAGCATGTAAGTGGTAGGACCTAGATCTTTCTTACACATGGTTCCTTCATAAAGAAATTATGAAAATGGATGCATTTATTTTGGGTTTTTCCACACGTCCAAAATTCCTGAAAAGTGCATGGGTAAACAGATTTCCATTCAGGGTGAGAAGTTTTTTCTCCAGTTAGAAGCCAAATGGTGCTCTGGGGAAGCAGAAGATCATAGGGGGTTTCTTTCCTGTTATGAAACCCTCAGCGTCTAGGAGCCATGACATTTGACAAACCTATGTGAAGGTGGTAGTAAGGGAGATAGATGCCTCACCCTCAGATCCCTCTCTATGGGCAATGCACTTTTGCAAAGATACCTCCAAGGCATATAAGTGCATTCTCAAACCAAGAAGTCATTTGGAGGCTGGCCAGTATAGTGGATTAAATAGTGACCCTCAACTTCAATCCTGAATCTTTGAAAGTGACCTTATTGGGAAAAGGGGCTTTGCAGATATGATTTGGATTCATGGTTTTAATTTGCATTTCTGGGATGGGTTTTATAACTCTAATCCTCCATAGCCATCCTAAAGGATAGAGCCACATGCTTCATCTTGTTATTGGGTGAAGAGTTGATAACTTTGAACCTTGGGTTGTTAGACATGGCTAGCTTGATGGCCAATACAAAGTTGCTCTTTCTAGCTTTGAAGATTTTGCAAGAAATTGTTTTCTCTTCTGCCACAAATTCAACTATACATCTCATTTAGGCCTTTGACAACAAGGTAAAGCAAATTCCATTTCCTGGTGGAATTTTGACATCAATTTACCTGTTTTTCTACTTTTCTTTGAAATAACCCACCACAGATGTCCCTGTGGTTGGCAGGTCACAACCAGGCCTGAGCTGGGCTTGTACTTAGCTGACTTCTCTTGTTAAAATGGGTCTGTTCACAGAACTAGAACCACGGACAATTGAGGACACCGTTAAGAGAGTCCTCATGTAAGTGCATTGACTTCCCAGTGTAAGAGGGAAAGGGAAGAGAGGAAGGTAAGAAAAAAGGGTAAATTTCCAGTCTTCTTAGGTAGTAGAGCTGATCAGAAGTAAAATATATGTGTGGGCCACCCCAAGCAATTATTTCCTAATACAGAATTGGGAGTTAAGTTATGGATAGTATTTCGTAAGAACAAAAATTTGTGGCTACTATGCTTAACATTTACTATGTATAAGACACTGTGCTTTGTATAATGTACTTTATAGAGTAGCTAATTTCAGTGCTGTGATATCAACCTCAGGTGATTCTCATTTTTTCAGATAGACCCATAGATTTAGAAGTTCACAGAGCTGATTAGTGGAGAAGCTGGGCTTCAAACCCAGAGCTTCCTAGTTCCAAAGCCTATGTCTTAAGCTCTTCACTGGACTGGAAACAGTCAAAGTAATAAAATAGAAGTGTTCTTTATGAAACAGTGCAGCAGTAGTAACAAATCCAGGAAGGACAGCTTCTGATTCCCTCCATTTGAGGAGTTTCTAGGGCCATTCATTTATAAACAAAAGACAAAGTAAGGTAGAATGGTGACTGGAGTGGGTGATGCTTTAATTATAGAGATAGCACAGGGGCTAAAGATGTCACCCAACAGAAGTGGGAGTGACAGATGAGGCTAGTTACACTGTGCTTTGTCATTGTTATGTTGAGGAGACAAGTTTACTGAAAGGACAAACTCATGTCCAGGTTCTGTGGCATTTTCACAGTATCAATTACCTTGCAACTTATTTATGAACCCTCTCTACTTGCGCAAAGGTCTTTTTCAAAGCTGTTTTGAAGGGGCTTGCCATAAGACTCTATGAGCTCAGAGAAAGAGACCAGAAATCAGCAATATAGAGGAAGTGAGGGGAGAATTTGAAGAGGAACCTAAGGTAGGACAGCTATTAGCTATCAGCATTAGGGCATGATTATAAGTTTTCTGGCAAAAAATGAGAGAAGGCAAAAGTGCTGTCACATCAAGATGATTTAAGGAAGGGGGCAAGGGAGTAGCAGGGGTGCCAGCAGGATTTGGAAGCAGCACTGGTCTTAGAACCCTGGCCCCATCTTTTAGGTGAATTATTTGTCCTGTTTCTTTCTACATCTGTAAAATGGGTGTAACTTTACCTACCCTGTCTACTCCACAGAATCAAGGTGACGCTCAAAGGAGTCAGTATTTGTGAAAGCCCTGCTCTCAGGCAGGTTTTATTTGGCCAATGCAGTCTGTAAATTCAAATTTGAATGCCTTTCTTTGGAACATGCACCATCCACTTAATATTCAGTACTCATCTCATTTTACATCCTGCTGCTTCAGGAATTTTAGCTTGTGGACTCAAAACCCTTGGTTTAATGAGACTAACCAGCCATGTAATATGAGCACATTAACCTGTTTACATCTGGTGGCCATGGAGAGACTTGAGGGGCAGGGGTTAGAGGAAGGCTGGTTCTGGGGACTGGACTTTGAGATAGCCTAAAGTGCTAGGCAAGAGTAGACATGACCCTCAGAAACAGACCTTCCTCAGAGAAATCCAATGGCTTCTCAGATCTGTTACTTTGTGGATTTCACAAGTATCTGACCCTGGACCACATCTGAACACAATATTCTTACCTGGATCTCAACATCAGAATTATACATTTTCTGAAGACTAGTAGAGAGGCTTTTAAAAAATTAATAATACTAGTCATAAATGATGCCATTTATTGAGTGCTTGTCCTAAAAGCATTTACAGTTAGGTAGAGTAAGAGGGGAGAAAGATGTAAAGCAAAAAAAAAAAAAAAAAAAAAAAAGGATATAGTATGTTACAATGGAAAGTGCTATAGAATATAACACAAAGCAGGCTAAGGAGATGCTGGAGGGCAGAGGAGTGGTTTGCGGTATTCAGTAAGAGTAGGAGCTCATTGCAAAGGGGAAATGTGAGCAATGATGTGGCGGTGAGATTGTTAGCCAGGCGGGGAGCTGGAAGCAGGACATTCCAGAGAGACCCTATGGTTCAACAGGGATGGTGAGTTCAGCCTGAACCAGGGATGTGCCTGATGTGAAAAACTCCATTGTCCTGTGGTGAGGATGAAATGGGATCATAAATGCTACATACTTAGCCCTGGTCCTTGCCTTATGGAAAGGTTTCAAAAAGAATTAGATGTTATGCATACAGCTGGTCTCAGAAAACACTCTAATTTTTAATGATCTGGGCCTTATTGTCATCTTATAATTTCTGTAAATTTACTGAAATGGGTTTTGCTTATTTTGACTGGCATGGCCAACCATAATGGGTGGTTTCAGTCAACTTAATTCCTTGTGAAAGCGTATTCCTGCAAAAGAGCCATGGGGTGCAAACTGCAGGCTGGGTGGAGTCCCATCTAGGTTCAGCACTGAGGATTTCTGATGGCTAACAACAGCCTTGTGAAGGGAGCCATGTTTGTTCCCCTCACTGGACAAATGAGGAAACTGACGCTGACAGAGGTGAAGGGATTGACTTGCCCCACTAGAAAGGGGCAGAGCTAAGCAAACACACATCTTCTACCCAGAGTCCTTCCATGAGTCTGTTTATTGAACAAATGCTCTTTGCCGGGTACTGCTCTAAACCCACCCAAAGTGGCCCTCTCTTTCCTTCTGAGAACTTTCCCTATCCCTTCTCCCCTAACCAGTCCTTGGCCTGAGCAATTAGATTCATGGAACATAAGTAGAATGACCACATGTCCCTTTTTGCCATGGACGGTCCTGTTTTTACCTGTGTCTTGGCTTGATTATTACTGGTTTCCCCCTTCACTCTCAAACATGTACCAGTTTGGAAGACTAACTTCATAGTCATTCTGGATAAAATATCTGTATACTATTCAGAACAAGCCAGCTGCCATTCACTGATTTGGTGCCTTGGTTTAAAGCATGGTTTGCTCAGGTAAATGGACTACCCTTCAGGATTGAATGTTCCATTTTTTCCCCCCAAATGTTGGTCAAAATGTCCTGTTAAGAACTTGTTCAATTCCAAAGGAATAAGAGGTAGGAGAAGGCAGGGACAATATTCAAGATATTTGCCAACCTTGGCAGGGGCTGAGAGCTTGAGCTGTATGTGTGCAGCTAGGCTTGGCTGGGGGAAGGAAGAAATTCCACTCCCCACCTCCAATCTTTCTCCTGCTGGCTGGAGCTTTTTGCTATGGACTTCGGACCACATCCATTAAGCTTCCTCCTGTCTATGAATTGCTATTTCTTCTGCAAAATGAGGGATGGGACTCTGTTATCTCAAAACCCCACAGTGCTGCTTACTTAACAATTGCAGCAAGACAGAGAAGAGGACCTCTTTGGACCAAATGTTGAGATTTAGTTGAAATTTCCTGCATGGAACTGAGCAGCAATTCTTCTCACAGAGCCAGGACTGAGGATTCTTTGCCAAGGAGATATAATGAGATGTATGTAAATAGCTCTCCCCTTCTTGTTCTTTCTGCCTTCAGCCTCCTCAATTATAGAGCAAGAGCTTTGCCAGTTTGCCCGAGTTCTAGAAATTTACCTCTTCGGTCCAGCAAAACAGGCATTAAGAAGCCTATAAATAATCATCTTATTCTCACATCTCTGCAACAGCAGGGAGGCTGGTACTGCAAACAAATGAACTGGCAGTTCATAGACAACTCAAATGAATACTGAAGGAGGAAGCTTACAGGATGCATTTGGAAGTAAAAGCAGCACTTTTTTTCCCCAAGGAGGATCAAAAGCAATTCCCCTTCACTCCCACCTATCTTGTGGCTTTAATTCTTTTCCAGGATAAGGTCCACAGCTTGGTTTCTCTCTTTGAGATGCTGATGCTAAACATGAGAAAGGAGAAAGAAACCCTTTGGGTCCCTGAACTCTGGGATCCTGTCAGTTATCAGGAGAAGACGTGAACTGTATGAACACCCTGTGCTATTTAAGCTTCATGTGTTGAATAAGAAAAAGAGGCTGCCTTCTTTCCCCACAATTTTCCTTCAAATCAAAAAGTTACAGTCAGAGCTGGGGTTTGGGGGTAGGATCAGGAGGCAGTCTTCATGATTTTTCATTAGTGCCCTCACTATAATGTTTTAAGAACCCTCTGACTCTTTCTTTTTTAGAATGAGGCAAGCCGGATGCAGTGGCTCATGCCTGTAATCCCAGCTACTCAGGAGGCTGAGGCAGGAGAATCTCTTGGAGCCAGGAGGCTAAGGTTGCAGTCAGCCGAGATTGTGCCACTGCACTCCAGCCTGGGCAACAGAGGGAGACTCCATCTCTAAATAAATAAATAAAAGCAAAATATTGTTATGGACTTTGAATTTTCTCAATCTATTCCTAGAAAATGACCTTTGCTTGCCCTCTGTAGACAGAAAGGAATTCCACACTTCATAGTGCTATTGTAATCAATAATTAACCTCATCTGAAACAGAATTAGAACCAGAGCCTCAACAGCTAACAGAATTCCTTCTGCAAGGTAAATTAAAAAACAAAAACAACACTTTTTTTACCTTTTGAACCAGCAGCAAGAATTATTTAGAAACTTCCATTTGGCCTGACACAAAGTACCATCTTTTTAGTATAGTAACTAGTAGTGGGTTCTGTACACAGTGGCTTATACACAGCATCTCACTTAATTCCTGCACAGCATAAGAGACGGGTAGATGGGTACCATTACTATCACCCGGGTTCAGATCAGAAAGGGAGGCTCAGAGGACTTACATCCTCATTCAAGGCTATAAAGCTGGGAAGGGGCAGAGCCAGAATTCATACCTGAGAGTGTTTTCACTCTGTAGCTCATGGGCTTATAGCAAGCAAGCTTTTGAGAAACACTAATGTTACTTAATAGCATTAACCTCGAAACATCATTAAGTCATTTTTTAAATCACCATATTTTCCTTGCGTAGGATAAAAGGTTTTCTTCCTTTGTGGAATAAGCTGGATATCTAGACACAAGCATTCAAATACAAATAATGTAGAAAAGAACATAAAAACAAATAAGTCACCCTATAATTAAATCCTCAAATTTTCCATTTGAAGCCTAGATAATGATGTACTGTAATTATTATAAAAATAACAATCTATTATCACCACTATGAAATTAGCTGTTATTACAGAACTCATATTGGCTTTGAACATCTCTTCTTGTTAAAGAAGTACCCCCCCGCCCAAACCTGTTTCCTATTTTTTTTTTCTTTTGCCAGCAGTAGAAATAAATTTGGGTGGAAAATTATATAGGCCATGTTATATGATTAGGAATAGTTTTAGGGAGGAGGATGGTAAATAGTTGAAGTCAGCCAACAATCATTCTTTACCTAAATATCAATAAATCCCCTGCCGAAAGACAAAGGGACTGTGTTACAAAGGTGATGATGGTGTAAAAATAGTCAACTCACGCAAGTTAGCAAGGGGGTATGTGTGACACTGTCATATATACCAGTGTTATTCATATGTCTCTGCCACGTTGAACCACTGAGCAAAAACAACAAAAAATCGCAAGAGACAAAAATAACCACTATCAACAAGAAGTCAAGAAATTTAATATTTTTTGAAACCTTCATCAAAAAGGTTTATTTTACCATCCTGGCTGAATGAAACATACAGTAACTTAAAGAAAATTTGAATTTCGGCTGGGCGCGGTGGCTCACACCTGTAATCCCAGCACTTTGCTGTAATCCCAGCACTTTGGGAGGCCGAGGCAGGAGGATCACGAGGTCAGGAGATCGGGACTATCCTGGCTAACACGGTGAAACCCCGTCTCTACTAAAAATACATAAAATTAGCCGGGCGTGGTAGTGGGTGCCTGTAGTCCCAGCTACTCGGGAGGCTGAGGCAGGAGAATGGCGTGAACCCGGGAGGCGGAGCTAGCAGTGAGCCGAGATCGCACCACTGCACTCCAGCCTGGGCAACAGAGCGAGACTCCATCTCAAAAAAAAAAAAAGAAAATCTGAATTTCATCTGAGGCTGTCATTTTCCCTGCGGCATGAACTTGGTACTATCTGGCAGACACACAGTGCTAAGGGGCCTGGGGGGAAACAATGAGTGCTTCCTTCAGTTTGCTCCTTTAACCAAAGTCTCAGGCCACTCTGACTGAAATGTAGGAGACAATGGCCTGAATATTAGCAAGCCGTACTTGACTAAATCCACTAGTCAAAAGGAACGCCACAACGTCTGACTTTCGCCAAGTCCTAGAAGACCTATTTTTGTAGTCTTACCGTGGCTGTCACCTTGGAAGACAGCACACTTTATGTAATCTTTGGCTTTGCTGCATCTGAAGTCCTTTTGATATTTTCACAACATTAGACTTCTCTGCCCAGGTCCTAGGGGAAGTTGGCCTCTTCTTGATCCTTTTTTTTTTTTTCTTTTTGAGACGGAGTATCACTCTGTCACCCAAGCTGGAGTGCAGTGGTGCAATTTCAGCTCACTGCAGCCTCCACCTCCTAGGTTCAAGCGATTCTCCTGCCTCAGCCTCCTGAGTAGCTAGGGTTACAGGCACCTGCCACCATGCCCAGCTAACTTTTTGTATTTTTTAGTAGAGATGGGGTTTTACTATGTTGGCCAGGCTGGTCTCGAACTCCTGACCTCAGGTGATCCGCCCGCCTCAGCCTCCTAAAGTGCTAGGATTACAGATGTGAGCCACTGCACCCGGCCTTGATCCTTCTTGTGTCCCAGATCTTCAAGTCTTGCTTCAATTATCAATATGTTTTTTATTTTCCTTCCCCCTCATGGCCAATTTTTTTTTTTCTTTTAAAAACATAAAAAAAAAACTATTTATAGCACTAATTAAAATAATAGCCATATTAAGAGAAAGAAGTTAAGGGGTACTCATTTCTTTCTCAGAATCTTTTTTGGGAGCCCCCAAAACTCTTAAAGAAGAATGAAAGCTTTAGATACTGCTCTGGAAGTCACTGCCACACAAATAAGTTGTGTCCTGGTTTACATCTAGGGCCTCTACTGAGCACTGGGGGCATTGTTGTAAAATGCAGTTAGGCCGAGTGAGCTTCAAAGGCAAAAGACTCTTCTCTGGTGGAAATACTCTGTTTGTAGGGCTATGTAAAAACAAACAACAACAATGAAAATACAGATAATATTAATAATGGAAGTGGATAGCATCTCAAGTAGACTTGGGCACTTTTTATTTTCTTTCCTGCTAACCTCAAATCCATTTCTCCCTTGGTCTACCCCCTCCTTTAAAAAGCAAGACCATCTGCTCAAGTGACTCTTTCCATCCTCCATTCCTCTCCCTACCCCAGCCTGTAGCACATTTGTTGTCTGTTGACTGTTGATTCCAAATCCACATCTCTTGAGTCTGCCTACTTAACCTTCACTGCCACCATCGCTAGTCACCTAGAAGACTCCTAGTGGTCTCTATTATTACTCTTGTCCCCTCTATAATTCAGAGTGATTTTTTTCTTTCTTTAAATAAAATTATGTAGCCCTCATACTTCCAACTCCCCATTGGCTTTCTATTGTATTTGCCTTAAATTCCAGCCTCCTCAATATAGTCCACTTTGCTTCTGCACAATCTGACCTTAGCCTCTTTGGGTGCCCTTGTACCTGCTCTGTCCTAGTATACCAGCCTCCTTGTAGTTTCTTCAACAATTCAGTTCCTTTCCCAGTTGAGTTAGTTGGTCAAGGTAAATGTGTTTCATTTGTGGGCAAGGTGGGCTACAGCAAAAAAGAAAGCTGCTTTCTCAGGATTGGGAAGAAAAGGGAAGTGTCTGTACCCATTCTTTGTAAGAGCAAGGCAGGGGCCACTGTGAAGCTAACCAAAGAGGAAGCCAGAGTTAAGCTCTAATTCTTTGGCTCGGAAGCATGAGGAAAAAGAGGTTTTCCAGGCTAATTTTTACTGGCTGAGGGTCCACACCCACATCCTCATACCCACACGGGTTCTTTCCTTCCATCTACGTAATCATCCATTATCTATTTAGCAAATTTCATCAAGCATGGACTACGGCCCAGCAGGATAAAATGCCAAGGGAACATTATTAGGACAGAATGGATACAAATGGATTGAACTTTGGCCCTTGACCCAGTTCACCTCTACAAGTGTACCTGGTAATGCAGCCTTGTGACACAGACCCTGTTCGTGCCTCAGCCCCTGAGAATGACCTCCAGAATACAGACTTTACATGGCTACCTGAGGAAATGCTATTCTGATTAATGAAACAGCCCAGCTGTGGAATTACTTCCTTTAGACTAGGAAAGGGTTTTTTGGCCTGAAGAGGAATTGCAATCCAGAGCCATTCATTATCATCAAAGATGCTAACTCCATCCTCCAACTTCTCATACATGCACACATATACATATAACCTTCCCCCCCAAAATCACCATGAAGCACAGGAAGGTTTGTGGCTGTCTTTTTTTGGACATGAGAAACCAGGCAAAAGCTGTTGACAAAAAATTACAAGCATATCTTTGGGCCTATGTGTACTGCATGGCACTAACAAGGACCATCAAGAAGTTCAGTATTGGACCTGACAGGACTAACTGCACCATGATGGCTTAAAAATTGACTGTGGTCAGCGGGGCATGGCGGCTCACGTCTGTAATCCAAGCACTTTGGGAGGCTGAGGCAGGTGGATCATCAGGTCAGGAGTTCGAGACCAGCCTGACCAACATGGTGAAACCCCCTCTCTACTAAAAATACAAAAAAATTAGCCGAGTGTGGTGGCATGCACCTGTAATCCCAACTACTCAGGAGGCTGAGGCAGGATAATTGCTTGAACCTGGGAGGCAGAGGCTGCAGTGAGCCGAGATTGCACCACTTTACTCCAGCCTGGGCAACAGAGTGAGACTCCATCTCAAATAATAATAATAATAATAACAATAATAATTGACTGTGGTCCACCCAGGCAAACACATTAGAAGAAGGGAAAAAACCGGCGTGACCGCCATGGTGCATGGGCCCTGCATGGACACAAGACTTCTCTTTTGCATTAGATCGTGAGCTGCTCGTTAGATTTAAGTTCAAAACCAAGAGAAAGAGAAATGAAGAGATGTAATATTCTGATAGATCTTTAAACTTGTTAATGAGGGCTTAGCAAAAAGTCCTTCTGATTAAAACAACCAAACAGACGCTCCCCAAGTAATGACAAAATAAAATAGCTTATTTATGCAAGGACTGGGTGTGATAAGTTCTGTCTCAGTGTACTCCCAGGAGACTTTGGACATGGAAAGGAAAATTGGGGTCAGATTGGGGAAGATGACCACCTGTGGGGGCTAAATGCAAAGGCTGATAGCTCAGTCGTAAACAGGTCCACAAGAGCTTATTTTCAACACTTTCTCCCAGTAGCACACAGAACCACACTGCTGCTTCCAACACTGCACTCCAGGAGCCAAGTTAAGATTTTCTGTCTTATGACTCTGTGGCTCATAGAGATTAGCTTGTCAATTAGGTTTGGTGGGTTTAGGGAGATAGGGAATGTAGGCTTTTTTCTTTTCTTTTTTTTTTTTTTTTTTTTTTTTTAAGATGGAGTCTTGCTCTGTCACCCAGGCTAGAGTGTAGTGGGGCAACCTCGGCTCACTGCAACCTCTGACTCCTGGGTTCAAGTGATTCTCATGCCTTAGCCTCCCGAGTAGCTGGGATTACAGGCGCGCACCACCACACCCAGCTAATTTTTGTATTTTTAGTAGTGACGGGGTTTCACCATGTTGGCCAGGATGGTCTCAATCTCCTGACCTTGTGGTCTGCCCGCCTTGGCCTCCCAAAGTGCTGGGATTACAGGCGTGAGCCACTGTGCCCAGCCAACTGACAGTAGAAAATTCAGCTTCTTTGAAGTTTGCTTTCCATGACCTCTTTGATCCATCTACCTCAGTTTAGGAAAATGTGAGGTATAGGGAAGTAATTAGTGGTTTCTGAGGCAAGGTCTTAGTTATTCCTCCTGTCTGGTGGTAGGCAAGGCTCATTTTGGGGAAAATGGGCAGGACAGCCAGAGCTTTTGGGTAGGGATGTGAAACCTAGTTCTTTTCCATCTCCTGTTTGCATGCTCAACACACAAGCTGAAAGGGCATCTGCAGAAAGATGTTCCTGGTCAATGAAGCTTCAAGGGCAGTCTGTGAGTCTCAGTGGAGAACCAGCCAGGAGGCTGATGGGCAGGGAGGCTCCACTAGGACCAAGCAGAGGACTCTATGCTCTGGTCCTGACCTGGAAATGGAGAGTGAAGTCAATGCAGAATTTATATAGACTGTCCAGACAGTCTGGAAAATTGCCCCTAAGACTGTAGATTACCAAAGTCTTGGGGACAACTTTCCAGATAAAGTTGGCCTTAAAAATCTATATGGAAAAATCCAGATAATTGAGGCTAAAACATTTTCTATGGTAATTTGTCAGAATAATGGTTCACATTCTTATTTTCCCCAGCTAACATTCCCAGGACTACCCTTTCAAAGACTGAGAACTGAGATACCATGTTACAGTCTTCAGCATGGTGAGGAATAAAGATTGAGGAATAACATTTTTTCCTCAGTTTCTGCATCTTTGAATTATCTGAGAGGGAATTGAATTATTTAAGTAACTTGACAGAATAAAGAAAAATCATGTTACTCTCTAACATAATATACATCAAATGGCAACCAGGAGATAACTGAGGAATTAGGCCTGTGCCGTTAAAACTAACTATTTCTGCAAATTATATTATCAGAAGGTCTGTGGTTGTAGAAATATGTTTATGCATGTCCACAACTTCCTCTCCATTCTTTTTTGTGTTCTTTTGGCATCTTGTTAATCACACACTTTAAATCATGCCATATATATATGTACAGACACACACATATATATGTACAGACACACACATATATATGTACAGACATATATATATACGTACAGACATATATATATGTACAGACATATATATATATACGTACAGACATATATATACACACACACACACACAACATGCACAGTGTTTTAAAAATTGCAGATAAATGACAAGGTAAATATATAAGTATATATAAAAATATATACATATTTTATATATGGTGTGTGTGTGTGTGTATATATATATATACATGGTGCACACACATACATACACAATCTGATGATCTTCTCTCCAAGACCACATGTAGAAAAGCAAGACCATGGAATGGCCCAGCCCCTTAGATAACCATTATTCATATCTCACATACAAAAGACATGTTAAGGGAAAGAACATGCTGCTTCTACTGTGAATGGGTAAATGGATTTTAGAAAGAAATATCCTCCTTTCTCTCCTTCTCCACATGTAAAACACTTAGGCACTGTGGGACAATAATTGTGATGATGATAGTGATATTAATAACCTCTTATTTGGATGCTTGATGATTTATAAAGTGCTTTTCTCTGACATTGTCTCTGACCCCTGCCACACAATCCTGTATTGTAGGTGTTGTTAGCCTCATTTGACATTTAAAAGAAACAAAAAGCAAGGATTTAAGATAGAGTCCCTAACCTGTTGGCCAGTGGAAAGCTTCTGACCTATACAACAATATGTACAGTGTTTTAAAAATTGTGGATAAATGACTAGCATTTTAAAGTCTCAACTTTTTATGTAAAACTCTGGATTTCCAACTTCTCTTTAAAATTCTCAAGGCCTGGCCACCTTTATTTTAGAGGAATGACTCTTTTAAAGTAGGGCATGAGTACTTCAGTTTTCCAGAGTCCCACTGTGCCCTATCACCCATTAGTGCCCTGTTTTGTTTTTTTTGTTTGTTTTTCATTGGGCTCCCTGCGTAGCCCTTGTGAATACTGAAGTTGCAACCAGTTCTCAGAAAGCGTAAGAAATATGCTTAAGATCATGCAGCCAATAAATGGCAGAAGGAGAAATTGAAGCCAGAGCTCTGGTACCAGGCTTCTGTCTCTGACAGTGGCTCTCAAAGAGAATGACTTGAATTGGATGCTGAAATCCCAAGTATGGCGTATAGGGATCTGCATGTTGAACAATCACCCAGCACGTGATGTGATTAAAATCCTTGCAGTCTGTGACAAACTGCAAAAAGCCCCGTCTTAAGGACTCAGGAGACTTGGGAATCTCCTTGATTCTCTTACTAAACTAGCCTGTCTCTCAGTGTTGAATCATCAAGTATTTGGGCACTTACAGAGTTCTGTGTTCTCTGCTTGTAGATAACAATTGTTAGGGACCATAGATCCATTCATGATCTATAAAATGAGTGCATACCATGTGCTCATTTGTTTTCATGTTCTCATACATGAGAAACAGATTTTTCTGATTTATTCATCAAATATTTACTGAATGTCTACCTTGTAATTTGCATTATGTTTGGCTGTGAGGATCAACATGCCAGTTAAGACGTGATTGTTTGAGTTCTCCAACGAATAAATTCAAGTGAGACTGAGCCTGGATTACCCCAAAAGTACTTTGATACTTCACTTACCTTGGTAAGCACAGCCTTATTTAAAGCGTGCATGGAACTCACGTGGTTAATACAGTCCCGTGACCTTATTTCTTTCCTGGTGGCCACTGTATTTAGACTTACTTGACCAAATGTCTTTTACAAAAGCAATGTAAGTATTTCATTTTCTAGGCAAGGCATGATGAAAGCAGGAACCCACTCAAAACACCAGGTTTTAACCATCAATATTTCATTTGTTTGTATGAGATTGAGAATAGTTGAAATATTTCGTCTATGAGAGTGCACGATATGCATGTCTAAATTATGTCTTACCTCTCCCTCTACCACTTTTTTTTTGAGATTCTTAGGAAAATAAAAGGCAAATACAAACTCTACCCCTCTCTAAAGTTTTGAAATTTGACTAAGTATTTGGTACTCAAAATGTAGTCCCAGGACAAGGTATGTTGGTAGCTCCGGGAAGTTTGCTAGGAATGTATATTCCTAGGCAAAAATGTACATTTACGAAGACTCTCAGGTAATTTCTATGTACACTAAAGTCAGAAAAGCAAGCCCTTGGTTAAGTTCCTTGTTAACAGTTCACTAGATGTGGTTGTTTTGGTATATAGCCTTATTTTAGAAGGACTATTAGATGCAGAAAAGCTATGCAGTAGGAAACAGGTGGTACGATGTATTTACTCACTGAATGGTCTGGAATATGTTGATTTTTTTTTTAATGACGGTTTTCCCCATCTTGATTTCAAAGTAAACATGGTAGGAGAGTGTGAGCTCATAGAAAATACCAAAACAAAACAAAACGACAATGTAGAAAATGTGATCTTAAGAATTTACAAGGATTTCTTATGTATTAGACATTAAGTCCTTGTCTTTTATATGTATTTGCAGTATTGTCCCTGTTTTTGTTTTGTTTGTAATGTTTATCAGAATTTCATGTTGTTATGTAGTCACATCATTGCGTATTATTTTCCTTATTATCTCTTCTTTTAAGATCAATAATTATTAGCCTTGGCTGTACATTAGAATCATCTGGGAGCTTTGAAAACCATTGATGCTTGGATTCTCCCCATTCTCCCCTCCCCTGGACATCCCAATTTGATTAATTTGGTGTCCTACATGGGTATAAAGATTTTCACATGTTCCCAAAGTGATGGTATTGTGCCACCAGGGTTAAAAACCACTGCCCTAGAAAGTCCTTCTCTATAGCAAGATTAGATAATATTCAGCCACAAGTGCTTCTAAATATTCCATGGTTTTATTCTTCACCTGTTTCTTAGTTTGTCATATAATATGGATTTGGATTAAACCCAGGACACATTTGAATAATATATTGTCAGTTCTTCTTTCTGTCTGTAATTCCTATTTTATCTTTTCCTTTTAGTTCCAGCAGATAATTGGTCTCAAAATTAAATTTCAGATGACTTATTACTACAATGGCAGAGGGTCAG
Source organism: Homo sapiens (assembly GCF_000001405.40). Taxonomy (NCBI): domain Eukaryota; kingdom Metazoa; phylum Chordata; class Mammalia; order Primates; family Hominidae; genus Homo; species Homo sapiens. The sequence continues at coordinate 7,641,222 of NC_000003.12, read as the reverse complement.
AAAGTAACATTCCAGAAGTAAAAAGTTCTAGAGGTTTCTGGAGTCAGAGTTTTTGGAAGAAGTAGGAAGAAATTGAGTTTACTGCTTCATTTGCAAACAATCACTAGGAAATTTTTCCTTTCACTAACTAAATTGGTTAATGATTAATTTATTCAGTTTAGATTGAGTCAACAACCATCTTAACAGTAATCACCAGAGAGATAAAATGGAAACTTCTGGGGCTCTAAAACTTTACTCTTTAACAGTTGCTCTATAATTATGACACCTCTACTGAGTGGTTTGTGAATGGAAAAAATAGCTGTCAGAGGCAGACATATCTAGTGGTTAGTCATTGTCATGGCTTAGTTGAAAGTCAGAGGTCTTGACATTGCATTATATCATCTTGACTTCAGTTAGGAGACAAAGCAATTTGTCCTTTACCCAAAAATGCAGATGATATCACTCCAGAAAGCTTCACATCATTTTCATAATTTTTATAGTTTTCCAAGTCCCATTAGATTGCCACTCAGTTCTAAGACTTTACAAGCTTAAAGTAAAGTACTAGGCTATAGCTATTGCTATAAATAGTATTTCTCAGACTTTCCTTAGATTCTCTTTACACACAAACTCAAAGAGAAAATGGAATATATTTTCCTTCTATATGCTTGACTGGCATCATTCAGATTTTAAATTTTCAACATGGATCACATTCCATTATTATTGGAGAACAAGTAGAATTTTTGACATTTTAGTTTAAAATTTGTGCTTATAAAATCCACAGAATTCAGAGCATGGTAGCCAATTCCAGGCATGTGGGCATGTCAAAATGCAGAATTTCATCACACAAGGCACTGAGCCTTTGCTATTAATTCTCACAGAATATAAAGTGCCATAGATATTGCACTGTCTTTCTCTTCGCATCATGCTTAATAAACCCTCATTGCTATAGAACACCTGTCCCAGTGGCATGTAGTTTTACACAGATCATGCTATCTTGCTTCCATGTGATCTTTCTAGCTGAAGTCATCTAGTGAGCTAAGAATGAAATTGATCATTTGCCCAACATGCGTTGGTCATCAACTATATGTAAAACCCTGTGTAGGGCATTGTGGCGGATAGGAAGATAAATTAGTGTGGAACCTTGCCCAAAAGAGGTCATTTGTTAGGCAAGGATGTCTTATAAAATGTGGAAACAAAGCATTTCAGGAATACAGGGCTGTATATATACTATGACATGATTGAATCTCAAAAAATAAATTGAGTATAATTATACAGACACAAAAGAGTATATACTGAATGATTTCATTCATATGATGTTCAAGCACAAACAGAACTAATCTATGATGATCAAATCGGAATAATGGTTATCTGAAGATGGGTCCTGACTAGAAAGGGACATAAAAAACTTTCTGAGTGATGGAAATCTATATCTTGTTGTGGGCGACAGTTACATAAGTGTACACATTTGTCAAAATGTATCCCAAACACATTTAAGACTTGTACATTTCACTGCTTTATGACATATATAAAATTATATGTATACTGCATACATATATTACATGTATTTTTCATTAGTGATGCTGCTTATGTAGCATCACTAATTTAAAAAGGTAGTAGGAGTTTAAAGGAAGGAGAAATTTTAGGGAAAGTTGTAAAGACTTAAAAAAGGTGATAATATTAAAATGGGCCTTGAAGAGTGAATAACACTTAATATAGAGGAGATCTATGGGAAGAAAGAAAACAAACTAGAGAGTGTTCACTGCAGGGTCAATAACTCTGTAAGCCTTGCACTTTCAGGGCAGTTGTGAAAGGAAATACTTGCAATATATTAATGGGAGAGATAGAAGGGCAGCTTGGGGAATTACACTTAGATCATCAGGTAAATGGGAGCCAGTAAATGTTTTTGGGTAAGGGAGAAGTGTGCTTGCGGCTGCGCATGGGCAAGATGGGTCTGGCCACACTGTGTCCACAGATAACTCACAGAGAGAGAGGGGAGTGACAGAAATGTATTAAACTCTAGAGAGGTGCTGGAGTTTCTAAAGAAGCAAAATTGGTGCTGGACATATTGAATGATAGTGGAGAAATGGGGAGATGTGACACATTTAATACACACCATGTAGGATTGTCTTCGAGTTGTCTGGATGTTGGAGGTGAGGGAGACAGAGGTGGAAGGTTTTAAGTTTGGCTGTCAAGAGGGGGTCAAGCAAATTAGGAAATGGAAAATAATAACAGGTCTATGAGAGGGTGTTGGACATCCCAAATTAGAGGAAAACCTGGGAAGACAAGCACATTTTGGACACATATTCAACAGCTGGCAAAGCTGAGAAGCTCAGACCAAAAGCATTTGGGAGATTCTGCCAAATCATTAGCTCTCTCTTCCCCTTGATTTCTCTTGACTTCCAATCCTTGACTGAGCCTTTAGATACAACTAATGCAGGGAGCACACAGTAGTGGTGTCTTCGTTTCCACATTGTCTTCTTTGTGCTGTGATCCCTGTTGATATTATGACCATCTTTCAAATGCTTCAGGGCAATGCAAATGTTTCTTCTAAGAGCATACCCTGAAATGGCCTTCCATTTGGATTATGGCAACAGCCCAAACTCATGGCAACAGCATGCCAATTTCAGAAAAAATATGGACAAATCCAAACACTAGATCCATTTTTCATTTAGAAAGAAAAGAGGTGATCTTACAGGAAGGCTTTGTTGCATTAGGGTGAGTGGGTGTGACTGACAGTAGGAATGTGGAGACCTTAGTGGGCATCCCACTTTTATTATCATCAAACTGGATCTAGAGCAATCTTTTACAGTCAATGATTTAGCTTCCTCTTTCATAAAAGGGGATACTGATGTCTTCCTTAGAGAGTTATTTTGAGTATCAAGTAAATTAATTGATGTCAAAATGCATTGCAAACTAAATTACTGAGTAAAATTGAATAGTGGGTATTCTGTTTTATAATGATGCAGTCCTTATATATTATGGAGCTTCTACTTTCATCATTGGATGCATTCCCAGGACATTTCAAAGACAGATTAATCTTTGCAAAGATTAATTTATGATTCTGGAACTTGACCTTACCCTCCCCTCAAACACTGTGGGCCTATTAAAGGAAGTGTGGAAATAAATGAAGAAGAAGTAGATAATTGTTGAACTCATAACCCAGGAAGATTTTCTTTCTCCTGGATTCTTATCTGGTGTCTCAATTCTCTTGGATATGCCAGAGAGAAATTATAGAAATTATAGAACTTTGCTCAAGGGAATACTCAGTACCTGGACACTGCCGTTCCTGTTGTGGGCAAACACAGCTTACTGAGTCTGCTGAGATCGATGTCAGAATTGTCAGATCAGATTCTGTGACTGCCGCCTGTGACTAAAGAATGCCGAAGAGGCTCCTGTGGGAGAGGCTGCTCAGAAACACAGCCTGCCAGTCTGTGTCTTTGCATTTCAGTGCTAATATTGCACTAGCTGTTGCTGTCATTCTTGCATCAAGTTCACATGACTCAGTGACAGGGCAACACCATTGTTCAGGTTGACCAACCTGTCACTACGGCCAGTGGTCTGCCATGAGCGTGTCCGCAGGTAGGTGTGTTTGTGTAAAATGACTCCATGTCATGTTTCAAACAGGTGTGCCTCCTCTTTACCTAACAGGCGATAGGCTCCTGCAAAGCCATGTTGGAGAGAATTTCTGTAAACCAAATTTTATTTTTCTATTGATTTCTTCTGGAAATTTAGGAATTCTTCGTGTCTGATGGATTTTTTAATAGAGGGTTGTGCCTGGCATCTCAGGATTGCGATCCGTCCTGAATGACAACAACAAAAACATCATTTGTTCCTTTGACTCAATGGCTGGCTTGACGTGATTCATTCTTTTGTAAGGAAACATATGATCAAGCCACCTTCTAATACACATCTTTCAGGAGTTTGGATGCTGTTTAAAGTGAGCATGGTGGCTCATGTCTAAAGTCCCAACACTTTGTGAGGCCAACAAGGGAGGATCATTTGACCCCAGGAATTTAAGGTTATAGTGAGCTATGATTGTGCCACTGCACTGTAGCCTGGGTGTCAGTATGAGACTTTGTCTCTAAAATTAAATAAGTAAATAAAAAATAAAGGGGACATGTCTTCAAATTTTCTTCTTCCTAATTGCAACATCTCCCCATGCATTTCTACCAACCACTCTTTTAAAAAATGGGGCAAAAATTTAGAATGCCTCAAATCATCTGGAGTATTCTCATGCCATGACCACGAAGTTAAAGGCTATTTCCATAATAAAGAGGGAAGACCATTTCACGGTATGCTTTTTGAGGAAATAATTGCATCTTATGAAACCACTGATGTTAGTAAACAGAATGCCTGGTGTTTCTATAATTTGCCAGTAACCCTGACAGGTCTGCAACACGAGATGGGGCTTGTCATTTTGCCACCATGCAACATTGAATCTTGGGCACTGAGAGCTTTGGGCATGATCAGTTAGGGCATGAGCTGAGCTTTTACCCAGCACTCAAAACACTACAACCCTAGGGTTCTCTCTGCATCTACACCCACTTGCTTTATGGGGAAGAATTTCATACTACAAAAGTGCCTGTGATCCGAGGATTCTCTAAAGCATCTGAACATTTCTGTCTTGAATGCCAATGATCAATTACATTTTTAAAATAAAAATTCTTGAATAAGATTTATAGGAACCTGCATGGTCTATCTCCCAAGTCACTTTCCTTATGTAGACTAATAGAACTCTCCTTATTACCTGACCCTTGGAATTTTTCTACCATGTTCTCATGGAATTATTCTCAACCGATGTTCTTGTAACTTTAGAGTGAACATGTACTCATTTTTCAAACAATGACAGTGTGTGTCCAGGCACCATTAGATGCTCAGGAAAATAAATAGGACAGAGGCCCCGTCTTCATTTAGTCCGGTCGGGGAGGATAACAAGAACAGTCATTGCTGCGTCTCCATTATCTTACAATGATTCAGGGAAAGCCTGAGACCTGGGAAGTGGGGTAAGAGAAGACATTACAAAGAAATTGAGGCTCAAGTTAAATCTTGAAGAATGAGTAGAAGTTAGCCTAGTGGACACAGTTTAGGCAAAAGATAAACATGCATCAAAATGAACAACCTCTAGGTAGAATTCACCATAAACCTATTTTAAAGAAATTTCTGTTCTAAAATTGGCTAGTTTTGATAATATAACATATTTTCAAAGTGATTAATAATTTAGATGTGCTTTTTTGAAGCAAAGTAAATTAGCTTGTAAAGATTTGAAACAGCCAGCTGCAATGGCGCACACCTGTAATCTCAGTTCTTTTGGAGGCTGAGGCAGGAGGATCGCTTGAGGCCGGGAGTCTGAGACAAGCCTGGGCAACATAGTGAGACCCTATCTGTATAAAATATTCTAAAAAGTTAGCTGTTTGTGGTGGCATATGTCTGTAGTCCCAGATACTCAGGAAGGTGAGGCAGGAAGATCGCTTGAGTCCCCAGGTTTGAGGTTGCAGTGAACTATGATTGTGCCACTGCACTCTAGCCTGGGCAACACAGCAAGACCTTGTCCCTAAAAAATAAAATTATAAAAAAGATTTGCAGCCACTTTGGCTTTGGCTCAGAGAAGTGTTCGATAGAGGACTGCGGGCCTCAGATCAGTGGAACAACTCCCAACAAGGGCTGAAGTAATTATCTACTGAAGAGACTACATGCAAAGGCAACAGGGCAGACTATTGCTTTCAGTGGACAAATGGTGAATTTCATCTTAAACAAGCAAAGTGGCATCATCTTGAACAGTTAATTAAAGATGCCATTTTATTAAGGAGTTAGGTTGGTTTGACAACTCCATGCTTCAAAGTTCTTAATGAAATGGACACGTTGTTGAACATCCCTCAAGTTCTACTTGCCTTCAGCCTAAGTGTTCTTTAGTCATAGGAGAGATTTAATCCACGTTCATCTTCCAAATCCACTTTTTGAGATTTTTCAAAGTCCCATCTACTCTCTGGTAGTTATTGCCTTAAAGTTCGAAGTTCCTCATTTCTTCCTCTTACTTTTATTCCAGGAAACTATTTATAGCTGTGCTGTTCCAGATGGCGGCCATTAGCCGCATGTTGCTGTTCAAGTTTAAATTGATTAAAATTAAGTACCTCATTCTTCAGCCCCACCAATCTCACTTCAAGTGCTCAATACCCATATGAGGCTATGGCTGCCACATGAGGCAATTCAGAGGACATTTCCATCATTACAGAAAATTCTATCGGGCAGTGCTGATCCATGTACCCTGTGGTTAATACTACCTGTCCATATGTAAGAATAGGTTTTTGGTATCATTATTTGATGATCTTTGAGAAAGCCTTTATATCTTCTGTTGGCTTTTGTGGGTAAAATATTCAAAATCTGGCCAAAGTACCATAGCCTTGAAAGATCTGCGGATTTCTTTTTTCTTTTTCTTTTTCTTTTTTTTTTTTTGAGACAGAGTCTCACTCTGTCGCCCAGGCTGGAGTGCAGTGGCGCGATCTCGGCTCACTGCAAGCTCTGCCTCCCGGGTTCACGCCATTCTCCTGCCTCAGCCTCCCGAGTAGCTTGGACTACAGGCGCACACCGCCACGCCCGGCTAATTTTATGTATTTTTAGTACAGATGGTGTTTCACTCTGTTAGCTAGGATGGTCTAGATCTCCTGATCTCCTTGATCTTGTGATCCACCCGCCTCGGCCTCCCAAAGTGCTGGGGTTACAGGCGTGAGCCATGGAGCCCAGCCCTTTTTTTTTTTTTTTTTTTTTTTGGAAAAAAAGTGCAAAGTTGGATTTCCATCATTCAACCCTTAGTGGAAATTTGACAATGTGTTTAATGGTATACGCTTTCAGTTTGCAATGGGAAAAACACTTGTCAATGTTTTTGTTGCTGTTTCTTCAAGAAATAGGCTCCTAATTGAGTTAGAAAAGAATGAGATGATATGTGACAATTTAGTTGATCAACAAGCAGTTGGTCAGGGTAAATAGATGAGGAGTTTTAGCAAACTACTTGCTTTAGCTAACTTTACTAGGATAATATTAGTTACACTGTTCTGAGTTCAAACTCACTTTTGAATTACTTTATCAGCCAAGTCATCCAAGCATAATTCTGAGCATGGAAAGAAGGGAAGCAGGAAATGGACATTTGGGCGAAATACCATGTGCTAAGCACAATGTTAGAATTTCCACATATGAGATTTTATTCCAGATGAAATGAGAACTGCAATGCTTTTTGAATACTAAATTAATAGAAGCATCTTGTGAACAAAAGGAAAGCATAACACACAAGATAAATTGGGATATTTCCTCTGAAACTGCTGAACAATGTCTGTTGTTATTTGTACACCCCAAGGTCAAGGTTAAGAAAAATCCCTATCTGTTGGGATGTAATTAAGTTAATGAAAATGAGAAGTAACCAAAGAAGAAAAAAATTAAAAGATCAGCTTGAACGGGTCTGATTTGTTGACAAATCAGACATTACATACAAAGAAATTAACGGTAATGCATTGCGGGGAAGGAACATCAATGATCACTTTGGAAATTTTTGTTATTATCTTCTAAGAGGCTATTGTTCATAGCAGACAAAATGGAACCATTTTGGCTTGGAATTAGAAGCTGCAGGAGTAGTGGAGGATAGAAGGGCTTCAGTATTTAGGGCTACCCTAATTCCAGTTTAATTCCTCCCTCCTCCTAAATACCCCTGCTTGTCCACACACACCCCGCTATGCACACCAGCCCCACTCGGCTTCTTACAGTCCCAGTTTGTTCGTCTCGCTCCTATTTTCCTCTTTTGCGGCAGTGTATGTTAATGGTTAAGGTCCAGACTCTGGAAAAAAAAGTTCCTCATTTCAAACTCTGGCTCCATCACTTGCTAGCTATGTGTTTTGGGACAAGTTACTAAACTTCTCTAGTTCCTCAGTTTCTCACTATAAAGTGAGGATAATAATACCTACCTCATTATGAGCATGGAATGAGTTAGTATCATGACTAGTTCCTGGCACATGGTAAGTGCCTTAAGAGTGTCTACCATTATTAGCAAAATGTCTTCAGTAATGCTTGGCAGCACCTGGCCACAAATTCACGTTTTTGTCCTGTGATGATTATAAGAAGGTATGCCTCCTCTACTCTCGCACTGGCCCAGGCCATTTTTAGAGTTTTATACCCATTACATCCCAGCACCAAATATGTACCTTCTTCAGAGTAAGCATCAATCCACATTTGTGGATCAATGACTGCTTCGGACACATTTCCTTTAGGTTCTGTTTCTATCAAAAATATAATCATGTTTTCTTTTATGGTTCTTTAAAACTGGCTATCAACACTATACGTTATATTAAGTAAAATTATTCCATTGAAGGGATTCTTTGCTTTATGACTACTTTTTAAAGATGCACTGAAATCTTTTTTTAATGTGTAAAATAATTAAATGCAAATTTTCATTGCAAAATGCAGCTGGGAAATAGATTGTAGGATGACAGTGCTCAGGAAGACATATAGGAAGTGAAATGTGATATTTACATGTAAGAAGTTTATGCTATTGTTATGGATGAAAACAATTAAAATAACTATATTCATAACTACCTTTTTAGGGATTTGCTCCCATCATTACAATAAGGCTTCACTCAATTATCTCAGTCTTCATTAATCCACATGTAATACATTCTATTTTGATCTTCATTTTACAGATTGGAAAACAGCCCCAAGGCAATATTCAGATGGCTCTTATCACTTTGCCATTTTGATTTTGTATCATCAGCATTTCCTTTTAAATAATGGTATTTAAGATTAGATTTTCCTGCACATTAATTTCCCCATATTGATGGGGCTCTTCAACATTATTCTTTATTCCTTTACTTTTTGTGTTCCCCTAAGGGTTCTTAGTACATATGCAAACATGCAAAGCACCATCACACAAGAGACTGAGAATAGTAATGGCTACTCATGCCCACTCCATTCCATTCTCGCCAATATAGTCTCTATACCACGGGGGAAATGTAAATCAAGTCATGTATCTTTCTTGCTTGAAATTGTCCAGTGCCTTCCCAAGATACTTCTGATAAAATCCACACTCCCTATCACAGTTTCTAAGGCCCTGCATGATATGATCTTCACCTGCCTCTAGCACCTCCACTTACACAAGCCTGCATTACTGTCCTGAGTGGATCAAACTCTGTCCTCCTTCAGGGCCTGTGTATTGTTCTTTCTTTGTTCTGGAACACGCCTATATTCAGTTGTCTTCCCTTAGGCCTCCTTTTAAATATCATCCTCTTAAAGAGATTATTTCTAACCACCTAACGTATATTAGTTCCACTCTCTGACTCTCTCTCACCTATTTTCTTGTTTCCCTAGTGATACTTGTTATAAGTTACAGATACACACACAGACACACACATTCTGTTTGTTAGTTTCTCTGTATTACGGCCTAGGTCAACCCAGGGCAATTTTGACCCTATTCTCACCCTGGGGAACATTTGGCAAAGCCTGGAGGCATTTTTAGTTGACACACCCGGGAAACGGGGGTTGCTACCAGCATCTAGTAGGTGAAGACCTGGGATGTTGTTATATATCCTACAATGCACAGGATGGTTCTCCTTCCCTCCCATGAATTATCTGGAGCAAAATGTCAATAGTGCAAAAGTTGAAAAAGCCTTGTTTATTTTACCACTTCCCCCATTATACTTAAAGCTTCATGAAGGCAGGTATCTCTTCACTGGTTCCTTAAACAGCATGGTTCCAGAACCTAGAAAAGAATCTACTGAATGAATGAGTGAATGGGATAAAGGAGGAAAAATATATAAAGTAAGTAACGTCCTTAACATCTCAAGGATCTCTAGGGGCCTCAGAGTCCACCATGGCTTCCATTCTCCTGTGGTGGTCTCTGTTGAAATAAACATCCTTCTGTGCGGCTCCTGAATACTCCCTACTGCCGGGCTACTTCTACCCGAGGCACCAAGTGTCCCTCTGTTGGAATCTTTATCTTTTACAAAGATTTGCAGCAGAAACAGGCTTCCCCTAAAGTGAAACTGCAAGGCATAAAGAGAAAGTACAAAGAGCCCAGCTGGCTGACTGCCCACTGGTGGTCTGGAGCAGCAGTATCACTGGAAGGGTGATTGTACTCCTGCTGTCTGGTCCCCACAGCTGAAATGACAAATGTTCTTTGACCCTGCGGCCACGGTGTTTGGCAAGCAGTCTGCTAGGAATCAGAACACAGATCCAGAGAGGACTGAAGTGATGGCTTCACAGTAATTTTCTTTTGTTAACATCCAAGGGTTACAGTGATAATTACAGTTGGCACTTTTAAAAAGATCACATCATCATTGAAAAAATTCATCCTGTATTCACTGGGTTCATCGGGCTTAACACTTAACAGCAATGAAGATTACCAGACACAAATTTAAACTATGTAACATCCACCAAATTCCTCTGAATGCTGACTAATGCTCATTTTGTACCTACTTCCTGGGGGTCAACTGTTTTCTCCCAAATCCATTTGTCTATGATCTAGGGAAGTGTGTCACATGCTTAACGGTTTTTGAGACAGTGTCATGCTTTCCTCTGATAAAGAGATGACTTGGTTTTGCTGATAACGTTAAATGCTCTCATGGGAAACAGAGGCAGTATGATGTCACCTTCTAATGGGTCCTCAGGACAAGCCAAACCTGTCTTCCCCATTCCAAGTGATTTCCAGAAGCCCAAGTGAGAGAAAACCTTTTGGGGTAGTAGCAGTCCCTTTCCCCTTGTTATCTTTCCTCTGATCAAGGAAGAGGTGCGTCTGGCAGGGATGACAACTTAGGGGTTGAGCTCAACAGAGATACAGGTCACCACTGACACCTGAATTGACAATCACAGTCATTTGTCCATTTGCACAACATTGTTGCCAGGTGTTGAAAATACTGTGACAGCTGGGATGATTCTTTCGTCATGCTTGTTTGCATCTAATCAGACAACTCAGGGAAGATTCCTTAGCTTAATAGAATGGGCAGAAATTCTTCTTCTATCCTGTAGTCTGTCTCCTAAGGGGGCCTTCTTTCATGAGTACCCCACCACCATCACCATCCCCAGCCCAAATTATTTAACCTTGAGCTTGGAAATCATTCTTGTCATCTGAAGTTTTAATAAAAAATATATGCAGAGTATCAAACTTATGTATGGCTGAGAGCCTCAGGCTAAATTTTAGATGTCGGATTTTACTAACAATGTAACTTGCTTTAAATACCACCTCGTTTCCAACTCTGAAGAGAGCCTAGTGATTAATTCATATTAAACTACTCCAAAGCCAAAGAGGTATGTGTTACAAAATATGAAAGCAAGCTGGCTGAAAAATTTTAATTTTCCCTACTTATTAGCTATCTGTTCTGGGAATAAATCGAAGGTGCTAATTTCCTGGGTTTCAAATCTATTTTTAAATGTACTAGGCTGGGAGATTTAAAAAAAACTTGGAATGTAAAACAAGTTTCTTATCTTTGAAACAAAATTAAGAAACTTGGTTACATTTTCAGAATTGTGCTTGCTTTTAAGACACTGTGTTAGGTTTTAGACGGCAAGCTCTGGCTACCTGGTCCGTGTGATACTTAGCGTAAGGCAGTTCTTAAAGCTTTGTATCAAATTGCTATGGATGAAGTTGTCCCCATACCATTTGTATGAGGCAGCCCTAACCCCCAATGCACGTATATTTGAACATAGAGCCTATAAGGGGATCAATGGGGTCAAAAGGGTAGGGCCCTGATCCAATATGGCTGGTGTCCACATAAGAAAAGGAGGAGATACCAGAGTGCTCTCTCTTTCTGCACTGGGGAAAGGTCATGTGAGGACATAGTGAGAAGGCAGCTATTTGCAAGCCAGGAGGAGAGTCCTCACCAGAAACCAACCCTGCTGGCATCCTCATTTTGAGCTTCCAGCCTCCAAAAGTGCAAGAAAAATAAATGCCTACTGTTTAAGCCATCCAGTCTGTGATATTTTCTATGTCAGACTGAGCTGACTAATATACAACTCTACCTACCTCTTTGCTTTGGTTATATAGTACTATCTATTACAGTAAAATCTCATGTATATGATCATTTCCTTGGGCAATTTAATCTATCAGGAAAACCCAATATTAAATGATGAATACAGCTATCCCAAAGCCCATGCATTTTAAGCTGCAGCAGTCAAGTTATCTCCTTTTTTTTACAGAGCCTTCATAAATAATATTACCTGTTAGGCTATTAGAATTATTGTGCCTTTTCTAGATTATTGCAAAGTTTGAGGATGGAGTAGGTAGAGATTTGCAATATGTATCCTCATGCCTACTCTAACCAGGATAGCAGTAGAGAGTGAACAAAAACAATGAGGACCACCTAAGGCCAGTGATCTACAGGGCCAATTGTGATACGCAGCTAAGCAGTCATTGTTCAGTGTTACCTCTGCATTTTCCTGGAGGTGAGCAGTCTTATGTTCAAATACCAATATGGCTGCTGAGACCTGGGCCAAGTGCTGGGAGCTCACTAGCATTGCTTTCACTTCTTATCCTTCCACTGCAAACAGTGCCCCTCTCTCAACTCTCACCTATTCTCGGAGATGACTCTCAAATGCCTCCTCATCTAGGAAGGCTTTTTGGACTCCCAAACCTGAGTTAGACGTATAATTATTGAATTGGAAGTAACCTTAGGGATTTCTGGCCCAAATCATATTATTTTACAATGAAGAAACAAAGATAAGTGATGATGTTGGCAATATAATATAGAACCAGGACTCACAGTTCAACATGTTCTTTCTCTCAATACATTGAAATAATTACATCCAAAATAGTTTTAAATATGTAATTGAGAGAAGGCAGGAGACTAGTTTGCAATGATTGCTAAGTAAATTCCAGGCACTGAGGATACAGAGATGAATGAGAAATGGTTCCAGTTCTTTCTGAAGTCGTGACCTGGGCAAGCTGTGAAATATAATGAAGGCTGTTAGAACAAAGATTTTACCTGAGGACAGTGCTGCACTCCCCAGGCTGGGCACACAGTAGGCCCTCAGGAAAAGTGTGTCAAATCAATTAGCTACTATTAATAATATAATTAAAGTGTGTGCTACCCATTTTAAGTGGAAGAGAAGAAGACTCTAAATATCTTTATTTCTAAGAAAAAAATGCCTCAAGTTTTTTAAAGATTTTGAGAGCTGTGCTTTGAAGTTCAAAGTAAATGGTAAATTATTTTGTCTGTGAAGAGGAAAGGGGCATGAGTTTGCACGGGTGGCAGGGGATGGAGTGTCCCAGGCTGATTTGTCTCTCTTGTCTCTCACACAATTCATAGGTTGAAGTCCTAACCACTAGTACCTCACCAGAATGCCATTGTATTTGGTGACTGAAATTTTTAAAAGGTAATTGAGTTAAAATCACTAGGATGGGCCCTCATCTAATATAACTGGTAGCCTTATAAAAAGAAATTTGGACGCAGATACACATAGGAGAAAGACCACGTAAAAACACAGGTGGAGGCAGCCATCTGCAAGCCAAGGAGAGCAACCTCAGAAGAAACCAATTCTGCTAACACCTAGATCTCAGACTTCCAGCTTCCAGAACTGTGAGCAAATAAATTTCTGTTGTTTCCACCACCCAGTTCGTAATACTTTGTGAAGGCAGCCCTAGCAAACTAATATAACAAGGAAAATATACTTTGAGATTCAAGTTCAAGTGTTTTCCAGTGAACTACAATAAGCTTTCAACTCTGGCTAGTTGAGAGTTCGTGGTTTTAATACCATGCGAATGTCTGTCATGCTGACCTTTCTGCACCTACAAAGGAAAATTCCTTACCATTTTCTAGGAATATGAAATGTTACTATTTCATATAAGAGTCATTATTTCTGAAAATTTCTAACTTTAATAAGCTAATGAGAACCTCTGAAACAGGGGACATGATCTCTGTTCTACATCTGCAGAAAGATAGAGTGCTAATTTGTACTCCAGGTAACATTTTTGAGATTAATTTGCCACCTAAGGCATGAGCATGATCTCAAACATGTGCTGATCAATAAGAGGAGAAATAAAAATCACAAAGTTTCTTCTTGCTTTTGTATTTGTAAACTCAAAGTGATTTAAAAAACACATTGCTTTATAGCTCTTCCAATCTCTGTTTGCATTTTATTTGGTTTGCACCACAATACTTTTGAGTTGGAAGGAAGAATTTCCAATGTATAGATGTGGAAGCTGTGACCCAAAGCTCAACAGCCTTATTATGGCTGAATTAAGGCTTCAGTGATATTTCTTTTCTACCCAACCATCAGCCCTTTTAAGGTGGCCAAAAGAAGGCAATATAGTCATTATGTAAATGTTTCTAGAAAATGAAAAAAAAAAAAAAAGAGGTGCTCATGTAGGCTTTTGGACCTGGGCTATTGCAAACATTAATAATGTTCGGTCTTGACATGACAAAATATTTGATCTTTTTTATGGGTTGAATTGTGTTGCCCCAAATTCATATTTTAAAGTCCTAACCCCTTGTGCTACAGAATGTGACCTTATTTATAAATAGGGCCATTGAATATGTAATTGGTTAAAATGAGATGATTAGGGTGGGTCTCTAATCCACTATGGCTAGTATCCTTACACAAAGGAAAACTTTGGACACATACAGAAGGATCACCACTATGCGATGGCAGATGTTAGAGTCATGCTTTTCATAAGAAACACCAAGCATTGCTGTCTGCAGCTTGGCAGAGGCATGGCACATGCTCTTTTTCACAGCTCTCAGAAGGAGCCAACCCTGCTGACACCTGAATTTCAGACTTCCAGCCTCCAGAACTGTGAGAAAATACATTTCTGTTGTTTATGCCACCCGGTTTTGTGGTATTTTGCCACAGTAGCCCTAGCAAATGAATACAGTCTTTAGAGAGGATGCCCACATGGCGATTTCAGAGCCTACAGAGAATCGTCCAGCCTGTGACTGAGTAACTCTAGTTGCCTTCTGGACGTTTCATGTTAGAAAGTTTAATGTATCTACTTACTCCATAGAACTGCTATTTCTAGAATGGCTAGCTTCTACCCAGTAGCAATTAGTGAGCCACGTTGTCAAAGTGAGGTTCTGGGAGGGGAGGGACGAGGGCTCAGGCTGGATGACCCTCAGAGTAGGAAGTGCTGCCTGCAGGAACCAGTTCCTGATATTCTGTCTTTACCTTTTGCAGTCTGGCCTCCGGACATACTAATGTGCTAAAACAGCTCCCCCTCTCCCAGAAAAATGGCTCTCTGATGCCTAAGAACATGCCTCCCATGTTTTTGAAACAGCTCCTTTCTCAGCTATAAGGACAATCTGTAACTTGAATGTTTACTCCTTTCTTGCCTCAATGGTTGTTCTCTTTTAACTCTGAGTCCTTTCTCACCCTTTTCTGTAATTTCTCCCTTTGCTGATATCTTCAGCAAAATGCCTTGATACAAATGCCCTTCTCCAGCCATTGCCTCTCTTTAGAAGTCCTACCTTTGAACTGCACATGTTACATTTCTACTTGGATATCTCATCGTCACTGCAACCTGCACCTATAAAGCCAGGCTGTGCAGAAGTCAGGGCAGAAGCAGACAGGGAATATTCTTCTGTCCCTGATTCTTTTCAAAATTTACTTATCTTAGAGGCAGGTCTTGCTCTGTCATCCAGGCTGGAATGCAATAGCACCATCACAGCTTACTGCAGCTTCCAATTCCTGGGCTCAAAGGATCCTCCTGCCTCAGCCTCCCACGTAGCTAGGATTACAGATGGGGCCACCAAGCCCAGCCAATGTCCCTGTTTTTTGACTCATGAGTTGGGCAATTCTTAGCAAACCACTTCTGAGACTCAATTTCCCCATCTATGCAATAAGCAAATAGTGTAGAAGGGCTTGTAAAATTTTTTCATTAAAAAAATATATCCCCTGTACGAGTTGCTTGCTTTTTGTTAGCATTTCACCCTTTTTTCTTGCCCTCTAGACTGTGAACTTTAAATTATTCCCATTGCTGCTTCCTCAAGCGAATCTTGTTTGTTACTGCTTTGAAAGGCCCTTTGCATGCATTGGCCTCAACATTCCAAATGCACCACCGCATTGCTGGCCTCAGTACAATATGACAGCTACCAGAGTGTTCTAAAGAGTTTCTCTCCTTGATTCCATTACCAGCGATCTAAGGGGCCAATTGTGATACACAGCTAAGCAGTCATTGCATAGTGTGAATATTGCCTCTGCATTTTCCTGGAGGTGAGAAGTCTTGGGTTCAAATACCAACGCGGCTGCTGAGACCTGGGCCAAGTTCTGGAAGCATATTAGCATTGCTATTACTTGTTATCCTTTCACTGCCAACAGTGCCCCTCTCCCAACTCTCATTTATTCTTGGAGATGACTCTCAAATGCCGCCTCCTCCAGGAAGGCTTGATATGTGTAAACAGCTCTTTCTAAAGCTTTGCTTTCCTTTCCTGCTCAAATCCTTCTCATGTTTCCAACCAGGTAACGTCTAACCTTTGAAAAGACACAGAGGAACAGCCAGAAGCCAGGAGATTAACACTAAGCTCACCTACAGTAAAATTTCTAAGATAAACTAATGTTTATTGAACCCCTAACATGCTTCATACCCTGATTTAGGCACTTCCCATATATTATTAAATTTTCATAACAACTCGGAGATGGTAGATTTTATCAGAGTTATGACAGAAAATTATGATAACTAAATTTGTAGAATTCATAATCTGTTCTAGCATGTGCCATTACATTACAATTTTGTAGTGTCTGGGAAGGGTTGTGCATCCTGGAAGCAATATATGGGTTTTGTAAAAGTATTGGAAATTCCTGTATTATCAGGTACTTGATTATTTATATGTATGTATAATTACGTAGTTAACGCAAAGTCAAATGTAAGTGACCTGTAGTTTTGGAGTTTCTCAGTATGTTAGAGGTGCTATTATGGTTTTCTCTGTAGAATCCTACTTCAAATCCTTAACCCCTGATGTCCACATGGCATCCCTCATGCTAAGATAGCATCTTTTTGGAGAGGCCTTCCCAACTCCATGTATGAAACTGTAACCACCCCATTCTGATCCTCCAGCCTGGTTTATTTTTATTCATAAGTCATCAGCTTACCTTCTACATCATATTTTGAATGTAACCTCTAACACTATTGACTTTGGTTAATTTTTATATCTAATTCTCAAAACAACCTTATCAGATAGAAATTAGTTCCTGTATATTATAGAGGACCTAAGTTCAATGCGTTTTAGTGACTTGTGCCAATTCTAAGCTCAGTCTGATAAACTAGGCCACAGATGTTCATCCATTGTACCATATGACACTTTGAAAAGTCAACAGGCTCTACTCTCCGGAATGCTAGCCAGGTTCTTGACTGGAGCTGCACATACCCACCTAGGAAATTTTGTACATTGCCCTTCTAGGTCATGAGGTTTCCCCTTCTTTTCTCTGTAGAATAAACTCCTGTCCATCTTGTAGGACCCTCAGTTCTGTTGGGACTTGTGGATTATGTATGTTATTTTATCATAGATACTGTACTGTGTGTAATAGTTTCACTAGTGCACATCTGATTATGCTGGCAAGTTGATAACTAACACCTTGAAGGCTGAACTCCCATGTCATGCTTGGTGTCCCCTCCCATGGATGTCCTGGTTGTAGGAGATGCTTCAAGACAGATGGTTGGCCTGATCTGCAGTCAGCCAAGTGGGCAGGTTGAGCTCATCAGACAGACTCACTGGTCTCAGTGTCAAACTTCATTGCTTCTTTGTGTGCATTCAGTAAATGTGAATTTGGTGCCATTCAGCTTACATGAGTGCTGATTCAATTTCACTTTGGCCTAGCTTTATGAAAATTTTGCTAGAGGGATTCTAAGACAGCAACTGAATAAATTGCAGTATTTTGTTTGTAGTTAAAAAATTTAAGATACATGAAGCAGAGTTCATTCTCCAAAATCTTCAATGAAGAGACATTGGATTGGTAGAAGAAACTACTTATGAGGACCAGCAGTCTCTGTCCCTCTTCAATTCTGCACACTGTTCTCCTTCATTCCCTCCATGGCTGCACATCATCCTTCAGTCTCCATCCCTCTTTAATTCTGCAGACTGGTCTCCTTCATTCCTTCCATGGATGCACATCATCCTTCAGGACAGAGTCTTGAACAAGTCATCACCTCTACTTCTCGTGTGTGCCTTTATAACATGTCAACTTAGCTAGGCTGAATTATATTTCCCAGATTTCCCTTTCCTGGATGTTTCCAGTTAAGGTAGATCACAAGAAAGACTGCCACATGGCATTTGGAGAGCAGGAGTGAAGCATTCACCGTTTCTTAGTTGACGCCCATAGTTACCTTATCTTCTGGGCCTGCAACCCCCCACTTTCCCCTGGAACCTCCTTCAGCTTCTTTGACTTATAGGCAGCAGGGTGTGTGGTTAGCACCATGACATACCATCAGGGTCAGAGGAAATAACACGGACACGGGTTTCAGTCTGCCCTCATGGACTCTGGTTTGTCCATGCTCTCTTTCACTTTACATCCCTCTTCTAAACTTCACTGGCTGACTTGTGGGCTTCAAGTTCCAGTGTGAGACACCGAGGCAGCCTTACACATACTGTTTAACCAGTTCCTGCAACCACCTACAGGTTCTGCCTCCCTTACTGAACCCTAGCTAAGCCTTCTTTGGGATTTCAGCTCCATCCCTGCTTGAAAATATGTCAATTCCACCGTATTCTCTATGCCACAGTGTCACATGCCTCTCGCCTCTCCTTTATGGCACTTAACACAGTTGCAATTTTCTATTTGTGGGATTATATAAAGAACAGCTGTCTCCCCCATCTGACCACAGCTTCTTGAAATGAGGGCCATGTCTATTTCACTCATCATTGTAGCCTTCCCACATGATAATGCATCTAACTGATATCTGTAAAATGTTTGAACACTGAAAGCAGATTTGTTCACAGCCAAGGCAGTCTGTTGCATTTTGAAAGAAAAGGCATCACAACATAGAGACAATATGAAGGGAAGGCTCAGGAGTGGAGTTTTGCTTGCCTTTTTATCCCATGTGCCTACCAAAGAGTGGGTGCTTAATGCAAAAGTTTGTTGAATGACTGAACAAACTGACACATCTACTATCAACCCCTGGCTCTTTACAAACTCTGGTCTGCAGCTTTTGGGACAGGAATAGCCCTGGAATGGCGATTTGGGTAAATCATTTTGCCTTTCCAAGTCTCAGCTCCGCCATCTGAAAAATTGAGCCCGTGACAACTTTTTTCCCAGGACTGCGAATGCTGAGAGATAATGGATGTAGACGTACACTTAGAAAGTCTGATGAGGATAGAGTTGTTGTTCTAGCATTTGCCCAGATTCACAAGTAGAATTTAACAATCCCATCTTCATGTATCTCAATCCAATCTATCATATTCTTGCTACTCTTGATGTAAAGCTCACCAGGCTTTCAATGATGTCAAAACATAGCTGGCTGCCACAGTTATGCCTGTGTCAGCTTTTTCCATTATAAACTCCTATTTTCAGGATCTCAGTGTGTTAGTGGCAAATCTGTTGTTTCATCGTTTTCTGTAATTGCTGTGAGCTACCACCTCCCTCCATGTGAAATTTCATATATTTTACTGGTCATAGCAGCAACAAAAAAACATGTCCCTTTGATCACTGCTGTTGTATTTCATTTGAGGATGCATCTTAAAAATAAATTATAAAGTGGTTCTGTAACTGGATATGGGTAAGAAAGACATGTTTAGAATACACAAGCATTTCAACTCCATCGTGCGTCCCCTCCCCCAGCTGACAGGACTAATGCAAGTCACATTTTACAGGTGCATTCCGGTAGATGCTAATTTCATCCATAATTCTTTTGGCAGGGTCCACGTTTGTGTTTAATTAACTAAATGACTTGAGACATCCAATTCT
Organism: Homo sapiens; assembly: GCF_000001405.40. Taxonomy (NCBI): domain Eukaryota; kingdom Metazoa; phylum Chordata; class Mammalia; order Primates; family Hominidae; genus Homo; species Homo sapiens. The sequence goes on along the minus strand of NC_000003.12, from coordinate 7,621,389 downwards.
TGTTGCTACTAATATATCACAATTAGTGCAAATGGTAGCCATGGAAACCACTGGCTTCATCATAATTCCTAAAACAAGCATGGCTTACTTCTGAGCCCATGAAATTCTCGACTCTCCACAGCATACATTTACGGTTATTGCTAAATTGAGATTTGGTCACTTTGGAATGTAATGTGTAGCTCCTCATTTCAAACAAATGTCATTATAAGGATTCTGCCATTTCACTGATGTTTGCCAAGTTCCAATCATTCCCATATCCCTGGTAGTTATGTTCAATCAGGGAGACATTACAGTCTATAAAAATAGGTATGAATTCATGTGGGGTGGGAAATGCATCCCGTTTCTACAGTATAAAAAGGAGGAGATGAAAATCTGTGTTGGGCTAAGACTACGACACCCTGGAAATTAATTATTCACCCCCTCCTCTATGGCAGGCTTTTCTCCCCACTCTCCTGTGGCAAGAATATTAGTTAGGTTGGTGCAAAAGTAATTGTGGTTTTTACCATCACCAGGGTCTGCTCCATCACTGGAAAAAAGAGGTACACTATTGAAATTCTGGACAAGGCTGCTCTAGCGTAACAGGCAAGAAGATGGAGCTTGGTGCTCCCAAACAAGAGTTGCTAATGGTAGTTTATAATTTGGGTCATTTTAAAGCAATTTCTGTACTCTATAACCAGACATAAAAATGAAGAGAAAAGTAACACATGCCACATCTCCACCAGCATATAAAAGTCATTTTGGAAATAAACCCACACATATGTATTTATCTATTCCACATATATAATATTGGTTCTGTGCCCAAGTGCCGCACTGCCTGGTATGGTGTAACTATAAATTAAGACTGCTTCAAATATAAAATGAGGACTGCTGTTCTTCTCATTTCACTCTCCTCAGTGTAGCTTTCTTTCTGAAAGTAATATAGCTATGGCTATAAGTCATAATTCACCAAGACATTCACTTAATATTTAATCTTTCTAAAATCCTAAAACATAACTCTCTGTCCCCAACATAAATTGTATTTAGTTGAGCAAATAGATAAAATTCTTATTTTATTTGCCAGATAAAATAGTGGACAATCCATTAAATTAAATTCCAGATAAACAATGGATGAATTTTTAGTATAAGTGTGCCCCAAATAGTGCATATTTTACACTAAAACATTTTTTATAGTTTTATTTGCTAAATCTGGCAATGGAAGCAAAATTTTTGTTCAGATAATGTTTCTTTCAGTCCTGAAACACTGCTAATGAGTCTTAACCATCTTTCTAACCATCTTTCTTATCTTCTAATTATTCATACGATTGGTGAATACTCAGCGTTCCCCAGAGGCCAGGCAAGTAAGCACATGGACAGTTAGACTTGGTAAAGAAAGTCTAAGGAGTGGTCAGGATTTTTGGTCTATATTCAGTTCACAGGCTGTCATTTCTAAAATAAGGCAAAGGCAGAATTTTAAGAAAAACGTCATTGGACTGCAGAAGTATTTTGCCAAGAGCTCTCTCAGTCATCATGCCGAATTAAGGCCAGATCCCATGACTACTGAGGAAGGTGAACTTAGAATAGAAGGCACAAAAGGTTGTGGGACTGTTGACAAAACACAAAGCTTCAATAAGCCTTCCTTGTCCCAACTTCTTTATCAGATATGCATTCCATTGGTTTCTTTAAGTCAGCCTTCAGTAAGCACCCCACACTGAATCTAGCCATAAGTAGATTTGCTTCCTTCAAAATAGATCTCTGGATACTTCCACGTTCACTGATCTTCCTCAGAAGACATGAGGAAAACAGGGCAGTTAACAACTATCCTTGCAGGACCGTCCCCTCTACAGCTTTTGAAGTCACCTCTAAAGTTTGCATTTTGTTCGAAAAATCAACTGTTAACATTCTACAGTTTAGTATATAGGCCCGGAATGTCTTGGTTTGGGCCTTTGCTTAATCCCCCGAGATGAGGCAGATCCTTCTATGCCAAGGCTGACCTTTTTCTGAAATCCGCCCATTTCTCCTTAACTTGTAAGTGTACACAGTCTGACTTGCAGCCACTGTGCTGTCCAATTTAAACATTTATTGACACCTGGCATTTGAGTAACATCCCAATTCTTCCATTTCATCAGTTAGGGCCAATTTAGTCTTCACCTTATGTTGATAACCTAAATTGTTGGCAGGAGCTGTGTCACCACTAGAGAGGAGAAACTTGTCTTCAAATTACATTTAATTACCTTCATTAAGGACTACAGCATTTCGTGACACATATTTGCAAAATGGGCCGACTAAAATAAGTCTAGTGCATCTAATTTCCTGAACATCTCAGGCTCCCTTCCTTTCCTGTCCCATCTGTGTCTATCCTTGTCCTCTCTAGCATGATGGTCAAAGGAAAAGCCACCTATACACCCTCCACAGAAAGATAGAACTATTTTCTGAAAATAAATTCTTTTTTTGATCTCCGAACCTCTGGTGATAGGCACTTTTACAAAGCATCACTCATTAAATATTTACATTCTTCTAACAGTCTAGCAGTTGGCAGTTTCTACATGCAGGTCAATGCCTAAGGTCAACAGCACTGGACCTTCTGTATTATCATCAGGAAGCAGTTGTCAGCACCTCCAGCCCACTGTAATTGTCACCCTTCAAGGTGTGTTCTCCTAAAGGAGTGAGCAGATTGAGCAATTGCTTGACAGCTTCTGGGAAAGAGATGTGCCTTTGTGTTGGCTCGTCATAAGGGGAATTTTAGGTTACAGTGAAAAGAGACTTTGCAAAAGGACATTCATCCAGACTCAGTTTAATAGAGTCCACTCTCACTCAATTTGTGATGATTGGGTTCCTTAAAGTCACAAATGGCAACAGAAAATAAACTACCATTAAACACAAATAATAACAATAATTAAAAAAACCCAAGTTGTCCTATTCCTTTTCTTTAAGCACTTTGAGAGTGGTCACATTTACTAAATGTTCATTTTGGCATTTAAGCTCATATTTTTGATTGCTTGAAATATTTTTGGCTAACTAGACACAATATTTTTCTTTTAACAAACATGTAATGGCACTTACTGAATACCATGCAAATTCCAAAGGTAAAAGAACTTACTAAATATTAACTAATTTAATGATCACACTAACCCTACCTAACATTATTTCTCCATGTTACAAATGAAGAAACTGAAGCCCAGAATGATGAAGTGGTTTACTAAAACCCCCAGCTTCTTTATGCAGGAGGAGTTTTGGCTCTTGGCTCTAAGTAAAATGAAATAAAAAATGAAAGTAATAATTATATCAGCCAACAGTTATTACGCACTTGTTTGCCTGCCTCTGAGCTAAGCCTTGTTAGCTCTTATCTTCAATAATTCTGTGCTATAGGTATTTCTAACCACTGCTCCTCCAACTGTGTATGAAAACTCTAAGGCACAAGAGGGTTTAAGAGATTTGCCCAGAGTCTAAATTTGCATCCAGGCACAAGAATCCAGGACTGGCACTTTTAATTGCAACATTTGCAGCCCCTTCCTCCACATTGTCCTGAGCTATTTATTGATTGATGGGTTGAAATTGTTTTGATTGACTTAAAAACAAACCTTATTCTTTAATAAAGGTCGACATTTGGAATAGTTTGTTGGAGAGACTTCCCCAAGTCCCCTCCAAACTCTTTCCTATCTCTGGTAAGATATTAAATGTCTTGATACTTGCGCTGTTGTTTTATTCATAAGGCTATATCAATTCTGTTCACTCTGTCTCAGAGTTTTCTGTTTCATTTATTTACCTTCCGTACTGCATTTTGCTTCCTTTCCTTGCAGGAATTCTTTGTATTTTCTTGTTTCTTTGTTTGCTAACAATATTTTTGTTGATTCTGTCGATCTTTTGCTTTATGGCTTCTGGGTTATTGTTTTACTTAGAAAGTTCTTCTGATTCCAATGCTTTTCCAAATTTGTGTTATATTTATGGGATTTTTCTCTTTACTTTTAGCTGTTTTATCTAGCTGTAGTTTCCCTTTTCTGCAAGACATGAAGTATGGGTTGAAATTTTTCTCTCTTCCATAATGGATATCTAGCACACCCAACATTATGCGTGAAAATAAGAAAAACATCTTATCCTCATGATTTGCTAAGACACTTTTATTATAAACCAAACTTTCTCATATGCATGAGTCTGTTTCTATACCATATATTCTGTCCCGTTAACCTATTTATGCCTAGTGTTTCATTATTGGAACGTTAAGCTTGTGGCAGTTATTTATATCCTACTGCTCAAGGTCATTGCCAAGGTCTGATTTTTCACACACACACAAAGAATTGCAACCTCCAGCATAAATGGGTAAAGCCATTTATCCATCCTTACACCAACATCACTAGCATTCTAATTATGCTAGCTTTGATATATCTTGCCATGCAATACAGTAAGTCACTAACACTGTTTTTTCAAACTTGTCTTTATTATTTTCTTCTTCCCGGTTAACTTTAGACTTAGTTTAATTCCATTACAATTCTTATCAGAATTACATTGAATCTACGTATTAATTTAGAGCTAGTAATCTTTCCATCCAGAAAGCACAACTTTCACTTAATTAAAAATTTTCAGGTTTTTCATCCTGAAGTCATTTATCACAGTAAAACTGAAGTAAATCTATTATCTGAGGTGGAGTTTCTTTTCATTAGTTTGTAATTTTAGGATTTTCCATTGTGATCAAAAGATTGAGGACTTTTTATATATCTTACCTACTTTTTAAGAAGTTTATTATAAATCCAAAGAAAAGATCAGCTATACATATTTGATTGTTTTAAAAAAGCAAAACATACATACAGAAAACAACTGCATGATTCACTAGTGAATGAACAAACACTTGAGGGTTGTAGCAGGAAAGCTCAGTGTGTCTGGAGTCATGAAAGATAGCTGCATAGACAATGAGGAAATTAGCTGGATCCTGATGGACCTAGGGAAAGTTTTGAGCAGTGAGTGAAACCATCTAAATATTAGTTGGACCAGACACAACATGCATTCCAGATTAGCGTCCTGAGATTTAACATTTCATGAAGGATAAGTCTAAGTTAGGTGTAGGAAGCACACGAAGCATAGATTTATGCACTTGAAATTATTCTAACGGTAAAGAAAACTTCTTTGTCGGGGGGCAGAAGGGTGCATTTAGTGTTTAAAGAATTGTGTAGTTTTCATTTAAGAAGCTTCAAAAATATGTGCGAAATGATGCCGGCAGTAAAGTCTATTAGCATGAGACATTGTTTTGTCTACTTGGAAAGGAAACTTGTTTTTTCATTTGACCTTCAAATAAAATAATTTCTAAATAGAGCATTATTGAACATGGTAATTCAGGACACTTCTCCTAGTAGCCTGCTACCTACTTCAGATCAACCTTTCTACTGAGTACAACTAGAAACCTGAATAAAATTAAAAATATATCACTATGTATCTACTTATCTACTATATATGTGTGTGTGTTTATATATGTAATACACTTATAAGTATTCAAGTATATATAAATACGTTATATGCTTATATGTAATATATACTATATATACATATACACTCATACACACATAAAACCTTCTTCAAGGCATTGAGGAGTTAACAAGACAGAAAAGAATTACAGGGAAAAGGTACCAAGCCAAAAGAAAAATCAGAGAGAGGCAAGCCTGGTATTTTGAGTAGTCCCTCCTCCTCCCCTTTCTATTTTATTTTTCCCTAAGAGCCATCTGCTTATTCTGGAAAACCTTATAAAATTCAGGCTTTGGTTTGAAACCTCAAAGGGCCATAACCTAGGAAGACTACATAGAAATATACCCACCCTCATAAAAACCAGCCTTACTCAGAAGCAGAAGTCAGTTTTCCATAGGAAAAATATTATCCACTACCTCAAATTATCCATATTCAAATTATCCATATAACCTATTTTATAAGGTATTCAAGGTGATGTGATTAAAAAGAAACGGCAACAAATTTAGAATTTAGTGTAGAGGTTTTAATGGCAGAGTAAACAGACTTCAAGAGAAAATGACCAAAACCAGAAATGTATGGAACTGTAAGGGAAAAATAAGTAAGCCATTTTAATTTACCTAAACTTCGAGTCCCAGTAGAAACTGAAAGTGGGAATGGAGAAGTAATATTTAAATAGATAATGGCTGAGAATTTCCAAAACTCATAAGAGATGATGAAAGACAGTGACACACAGATTTAAAAAGTGTTACAAACTCTAAGGGAGGAAGAATACACACATATACACACATATCATGCATATGTACATATATACTCATGTATGCATACAAAAGAAGATGAAACATTGAAAATAGGTAAAGAAAAAAAGGCATATTACTTTCAAATAAAAAAGAAACTGAATTCTCAGTAAAAACAATGTAGTCAAAGACCGCAAGATGCCACCTTTAAAATGTAACTAAATTTACAAACACTGCCCAAAGGGTATGACACAGATAGAATAAAAACTGAAGTCAGATCACAGTTCAGAGATTCAAGAGGAAATGTGGAGAGTCAGAAAGAATAAATAGGTGGGTTAATACAAATGAATCTATTTTGCAATAATACTGACTTTGGGGTTTAAAGCATATGGCACAATGACATAAAAATAAGGAAGGGGGTTGACTAAATTACTCTTTCAAAATACTAGCATTATCAGAAAATTGATGAAAGTAATAATTTTTATTAGAATTTAACTCAAGAATGCCTGTATATTGTAATTGTCAGAGTAACTAAAAAAATTGTCTAACAGGTTAATGTGGAAGAGAAAAATGAACAAATTATATATTTGCTGACTGTTTCCTTCTTGCATTCTATTGGATTGATCAAGAATAACAAACTCAAAACCAAAGTAAAATATTAAGTTTACTGACTAGATTATAAAATCAAACCCAACTATATGTTTTAAGTAGAAGAACACAGTTGAAAGGAAAATGCTAGAAAGATATTCTTCTTGAACTTGGCCATTTCCTGTAAATCCATTTGAGGAATGGGCCAAGATTGAAGATTCTGGGTTGTTCCTTGCACGTGCATTCTTCTCCAAACTACAGAGGGATGGTGACTGGAAGTGGGGGAAAAGGGCACCTCTGGGATGTTAGTGATGTTCTGATTATTTACCTGGGTGCTGTTTATCAGGATATTACAATTTATTTATTTATTTATTTAGAGACAGAGTCTCACTCTGTCACCAAAGCTGCAGTGCAGTGGCATGAACTCAGCTCACTGCAACCTCTGCCTCACGGGTTCAAGCAATTCTCCAGCCTCGGCCTCCTGAGTAGCTGCGATTACAGGTACGCACCACCATGCCCGGCTAATTTTTGTAGTTCTTAGTAGAGACGGAGTTTCACCATGTTGGCCAGGCTAGTCTCCAACTCCTTACCTCAGATGATCAGCTCGCCTTGGCCTCCCAAAGTACTAGGATTACAAGTGCGAGCCACTGCACCCAGCTGACATTTTTATTTTTAAAAAATCCAATGACTGCCTTTAGGTTCAGGCACTTTCATTCAACAACTAATTTTTAAATTAACATTTGACCCAAGTTAAACAACAGTGGTATCAAAACTTCTACTAAAAATGTTTTCGCAGAGTTTCCCTATACCACAACTTACAAGATACAGTATGTATATCTGTCAAAATATTAAAATGTGAGGTCTTGATGTCAGAAATTGAGACTTAGTATCTTTGGAAATAGTTCAGAAAAGGCTATCATAAGATGATCATCTGGAAGGGGCCTTAGAGAGGAAATTAAGGCCCAGATTATCTAACTTCCACAGGAAGGGGTCATATGTGTTCAGGAGAATGCTCAGAGATATCTTCCCTTGTTGTTAAAGCAAAATGTCAGCATTCTGAAACTTCTAGGGGAAAACAACTCTGTACGTTGGGAAGATGTGAGCATTTTCTTCTCCACTTCCCTGCCCTGGGAGAAGTGGTACCTTATGTTTATTTTTCTGAGCGTCAGGGATGAATAATGCCACATATTTAGAGTGTTCATCAAAAGCCCAGCCACCATCTGGGCTAGAATCTAGCCGCCTTTACAAATGTTTTGTCAGCTATAATTGAATCTTGTTGAAATATGCATGACATATGTACGTTAGGGCTGGAATTTTGAATGCATAGACTAAATCCTATCTAGCAGTTTGAGAACAGCTATGGAGGGAAATCTCTTATTGATAAAATAAACCAAACACTTTCACTATTTATATGTTTACTATCTAAGTAAAACCTTATTAATCTGGTAGCCACTGACCCCAAATTCATGTCCATTGAGACTAAGTGAGACAAGTAGAATTTAACTTAACTCATGAAAAGTGTTTCCCAGGAAAACTCGAAGGGTAAATATGTTGGGAGATAGTTTTTACTGTCTTTACATAACATAAATATGTTAAAAAAAAAAAGACTTGGAAACACTATATATTCATGTTGCTGATAATTATATGTTCATATTATCTGCTCATTAAAGCAGCTCATTAGTTTACTCTGCAAAAGTAATTGGTTCAAGTTACTCTGCAGAGTTGAAAGAAATGAAATCCTGCTTCTTTAAAGATAAGCAATGGATCTTTCACTGAATCTAATTGGTCCTCTTTACAAACTAATTCAAATTCATGCAGTTTTACTGAAGCTGTTTCCAAGAATTCTTTCCTTGGTGCCCAAATCACTTTTTCTCCTCTAAAATCTAATTCTTCCCAGATATTAACAAATATGGATGGCCATTTCCCAAATCTTTACTAGTTATCCTTCCAAAATTCCTTTTAACCTTCATGCTAATTCTTCCCTCTGATGCCACGCGGAGAAGTCTGAACCTCAACTTCATGCCAGCCCAGTGTTTGAACACAGCTATTAGGTCTCTTTAGCTTCCTTATCTTCTCCAAGTAAAATATATCCCATGTCCTCTGTAAGTTAGAGCTTAGTATTTTCCTGATCCGCCTAAACATGGCTGGGCACTGTAAATCCAGACCTACCCTGATTCCACTCATTCCTAGGAGGTTCAGCTCAGAGTTTCCTCCTCAAAGGCAGGGACTCATCTTTGACTTCTCCACATCTTAGCCCAGGGCCTGGCATAGGAAATACATGTTGTCCAGTGGTTTTAAGCACTTTATGACATCTCAATTTAATTCTGAACATAAACTCCAGGAAGTAGTTACTATTGTTGCCACACCTATCTTATAGATGAGACAGGGAGGTTAAAGAAAAGTGACTAAGGGCACGTAACCCAAAAGTGATGAGCTGGTATTGATGCCTTTGGAATCTGGCTCTGGCATCCATGCTCCTAACTGCTGGGCTACTTTCTAGCCATTCTACCATGCTATATTATTAATACCATGACAACAGAATTACTAACCAAGACTTTCAGAAGGGTGTGAGAAGGCATCTAGTAAAACCATAGAGATACAGGAGAAATCTGAGAGGTTAAAGGACCTCAAGGTAACAAAAGTCAGAATCAAAATTCTGGACTATTGGTTTTAAGTCCATAGCTTTTCCTATTATATTCTTCATGAGAATTGTGAATTTTTACAGATTTGTTCATAGATTCTTAAAAACATGTATGATTTTTGTATTCTCATACTATGAATTAACTTCAATGTTCCACGTCTCCAGATTTCTCTTTGCAAGATGGAGCTGTCCATTTCTACCTTTAATGGGCATATGTAGGTCACCTGGGATCTTGCTAATATGCAGATTCTGATCTGGTAGGTCTGGGTGGGGCCTGAAAGTCTGCATTTCTACAATGCTCCCAGTTGATGCTAATGCATTCAATCCATCGGGCAACTTTTATGAGCAAGAACAGAGCTATTCTAGTTGGGCTCCAGTTTCCTTATCCAGTTCTTGGGAAGCTTGACCTCAACATCACAAAGGTCCATTTCAGCTCCAGTAGGTCTATGACAGCTGTCCCTGTTTCTCTCTGGCCTCTGTCTTCTATACCTTCTTGGCTGATTGTTAGGCATGATGATGATAGGTGGCAGCAGTGGAGACAGGGAGAACGGAGGGATGACAGGTATCTTGGAGGAAGCACTTGATACAAAGCCATTTCTTGTTTCATAAGGAGTCTTCTGCATCCCCATGTTTCTTCCCTAAATTCCTTGTTTCTCACTGCACATAGTTTATTTCTCTACCAAATTATAGGCCCCTTGATACACTACGGCAACGGTTTCATATAATAATTATTAGCACTCACTATTGGCCAGGCACTGTTCCAAGGTATTTAGGGGACAGATTCCTTAAATCTTTCGCAATAATCCAAGAAGATAAGTACTATTAGCATCTCCATTTAACAGGTGAGGAATATGAGGCTCAGCAAACTTAACTAATGTGCAGAAGGTCTGAAATACTCATATACATTAGAATTAAATTGGATGTGATCCATGAGGTAAGACACAAGGCTATTCAATATATTCTCTCGCATCACAGCCTATAAATGCTACCTAAATATTTAAGGACAGACAGAATACTACTGGCTCAGCTATGCCTAGGGAACCAAAAAAAATATTATACATTAACTATCGTTTTGTTGTTATTTGTTCTTGTTTTTCAGTTGGTCAGCCCAGGATGGCCAAAGTAATGTTTTCGCTAACCACATCCTGTTGGTTGTAGTTTTTCACTCCAGTGCATAGTGTGATGACTACGGGAAAACCAAAACTAAAAACAAACATCTTTCACCTCTAAGAACATGTGGCCTTGGGTACTATCGGGAGGCCGTGGAAGCCTAAAATTTGGATATAATGCCCTGGATCATGAAAATAAGAAACAAAATCCCAAGATGCTTCCTTTGGATATACCTCATACCTAATCCATTTTGCCACCTTTGCAATAGCTGATGTTTTTCCTGGTGTACTTCTTTTTGTTAGGTGAATTATCCATGGAAAACTAAAAATTCCCTCCAAAATTGTTAAATTCTAAGTAGTGATTTCAGGGCCATAGCTACGTATTTTAATAGAAATGAAAACATAAATGAAAAATACCTTATGACACCACAGCAATTAAAAAATCCTATCTATCTGGTTGTTTCATCGAAAGAGTAATTAATTACTTTGTTTAACTAGTCTGGAACCAATGACAGCAGGGCTGCTGGCAATGCCTGGTAATGAGCTGTCACATCAATTAGTGTTGGGGGGTCCAATTACTTTAAAAAGCATCTCTATTATGGCTAATTCTTTACTCAGCAGACAATTCATGAGTGGCTTTGCACATTTTTAAAGAATTGATTCCAAGAGATAACTGGACCGCTAAGGATTAAAGTCCTATGCTGCTGTAGACTTAAAGTTTAAGTGCCTTTTAGTCCAAGGCAGTTAACCAAGAATTCTTCCAAGCGCCCTACCTTCAATAAGACAGATGCTCAAAAGTACTTGTTGAATGACCACCCCTCTTTCCAAAATGGAAAATAAGAAAGTTAAAATGTAAACATCCAGCATAGGAAGGCACTCAAGTCTGTTTAAGTAAAACCACGTCAACCAAGAACCAGCAGCAAAACCTTGGGAATCTATTTGTCAGAAGTACCCAGCTATGAATGGGATGGCTATATCCAGAACTTAATTCTGTCTGGTGTCACTTAATTCTGTCTGGTGTCACTTGTTTTATTTTTCCTTCTTTAAAGGAGTGGTTGTCAAAGTAGGTTTCTAATGTTGGCTGGTTTTACTTTAAATTTACCACTCACTCCAAGTGGGCTTCTGATGTCACTCCATGATCATACTATATTTCTAGCCCTGCATGCTTTTATTCTCTAGGTGATGATTTCATCCATCATCCACTGTCCCCTCTCCTCAAAAGCTCAACATCTCCTTCCCTGGCCTTCATTTACTCCATTTATATCTCATAGAACAGAAGTTTCTCCACCAGCTTCTAACCCCACATTCACCCACCTACCCATACCTGTGCCTGCTCTGTTTTTTCCTCCTGCTAATGTGGAGGAAAGGCTCATCTTCTGTTCCACGAGCTCTGCAAGTTTCACTTGTGGTCTAGAGCTCCTCTACTCTGCCCTGTTCAAGAATATCGTTCCAGCAATCTCCAAGCCCACCCTGCAGCAACATTTGTCCCTCTCTACTGGATATCCCTATCTATATACTAATGTGCTGTTATTTCTCCCAGCATTGAATTTCATTTATGGACCCCACTTTCCTCATGATCTAAAATGTGACTTCCCTGCTTCTCTGTAGTGTTGGATGTCTACATCATTTCTAAGAACAGTGAATTACTGACTTAAGTGCTTTTGTTCCTCATTTAGAGGCTCTATCTTTGGTCCCTGTAAATGTTCTTTCTTGCCACTTTGAGGAGTTGTATGAGGGATGCATGCAGCAGTAGAAAGTTAAGTGTATAAAATGCTACAGTAACTAAAACAGCATGATACTGGTACAAAAACAGGCACATAGACCAATGAAACAGAATAGAGAGCCCAGAAATAAGGCTGCACATGTATGACCATCTAATCTTTGACAAAGCTGACAAAAACAAGGAATGGGAAAAAGACTTCCTATTTAATAAATGGTGCTGGAATAACTGGCTAGCCACGTGCAGAAAATTGAAGCTGGACCCCTTTCTTACATCATACAGAAAAATCAACTCAAGATAGATTAATGACTTAAATGTAAAACTCCAAACTATAAAAACCCTGGAAGACAACCTAGGCATTACTATCCCGGACATAGGAACTGGCAAAGATTTAATGACAAAGACTCCGAAAGCAATCACGACAAAAGCAAAAACTGACAATTGGGACCTAATTAAACTGAAAAGCTTCTACACAGCAAAAGAAACTATCAACAGAGTAAAGAGAAAACCTACAAAATGGAAGAAAATATTTGCAAACCATGAATGTGACAAAAGTCTAATATCCAGCTCCTACAAGGAACTTAAATTTACAAGAAAAAACCCTATTATAAAGTGGACAAAGGACATGAACAGACACTTCTCAAAAGAAGACCTAAATACAACCAACAAGCATATGAAAAAAAGCTCAATATCACTGATCATTAGAGAAATGCAAATCAAAACCACAATGAGATACCATCTCACAGCAGTCAGAATGGCTATTATTAAAAAAGTCAAAAAATAACAGATGCTGGCAAGGTTGCAGGAATAAAGGAATGCTTATATACTGTTGGTGGGAGTGTAAATTAGCTCAACCTTAGTGGAAAGCGATTCCTCAAAAAGCTAAAAGTGGAATTACTACTTGACCCAGCAATCTCATTACTGGGTTTATACATGGAGGAATATAAATCATTTTACCATAAAGACACATGTACGTGAATATTCATTGCAGCACTATTCACAATAGCAAAGACATGGAGTCAACCTGAATGCCCATCAGTGACAGAGTGGATAAAGAAAATGTGGTACATACACACCATGGAATACTGTACAGCCATAAAAAAGCATGAGTCATGTCTTTTGCAGGAACATAGATGGAGCTGGAGGCTGTTATCCTTAGCAAACTGATGCTGAAACAGAAAACAGAATATGGTGTGTTCTCACTTATAAGTGGAAGCTAAATAATAAGAACTTATGAACACAAAAAAGGGAACAAAAGACACTGGGGCCTACTTGGGGGAGGGTGAGAGGAAGGAGAGGAGCAGGAAAGGTAACTATTGGTTACTGGGCTTAATACTTGGGTGATGAAATAACACACACAGCAAAGCCCTGTAACACTTGTTTATGTATGTACAAAAGTTTCACATATACCCCCAAACCTAAAAAAAAAAAAAAAAAAAAAGGAAAGTGTGCTTACGAGCTCTGTGAGTCTGCTGAAATGATGGTAGACGACAAGCTGTCCTCAATCATTCGCCCCCCGCTCCCCAGCCAATTTTCTCTGTGCAACAGTGGCTATTTACTTTGGTTACAAGATAAAATTTATGTAAGTGGTTGAGCCTAGACTTAGGGGCACTAGTTTCAGAAAAAAATGAAACTATATATATTTCCATGTTTTTTCCAAGGCCAAGAGTAGTTTTGTCCTAAGACAACAGTAATCAGTATTTTTTGCTTTTGTTTTGTTTTGGTTTTCTTTATACTCTTTAACTACTTTTTACTTTTCACATACCTTACTCTCTTGTACTATGAAAACTTATTGAAGACTCCAAAGAGGTTTTACTTCTAGGTTGTAAATGTCAGTACTCACTGTTGGAAACTGAAACAGAACCACTACAATGCTTATTGAAACTGAAACAGAACCACTACAATGCTTATTTAATGATGCCAAGGAAGATAGCAAAGATAAAAGCATTGCATATTAATAACATCTCGGTAATAGGATGAAGTTATTTCTGGCCTCAGAAACAGCCCTGAGACCTGTCCGAAAATCAAGTGTCATTTTGTTCCACATATGAAAGAGCAGAACCACAGACACAACTTGGAAAGTAAAACTCATCTGCCTTGGTTTTTATAATGCCTGAATCTGGAAATCTATAAAACCTGTTAAGATACTAGCAAAGCTTTCTCAATTTTGATGAGCTTATTTTCTTTGTTTACTGACTAATATCTTCATCTGCAATATAAAGTGTTACCATTTTTGTTGTGTGTAATCTGTCTAGATAATAAAGATTTTCTTTTCACCAGAGTGACTTCAATGCTTTACATTGACATCATTATGTCCTTGATTATTAAGAAAACAATGCCGGGTGCAGGAGGCTCACACCTGTAATTGCAGCACTTTGGGAGGTCAAGGCTGGTGAATCACCTGAGGTCAGGAGTTCGAGACCAGCCTGACCAACATGGCAAAACCCTGTCTCTACTAAAAATACAAAAATTAGCTAGGTGTGGTTGTGCACGCCTGTGATCCCAGCTACTCAGGAGGCTGAGGCAGGAGAATCGCTTTAACCCAGGAGGCAGAGGTTGCAGTGAGCCGAGATTGCGCCACTGCACACTCCAGCCTGGGTGACAAAGAGAGACCTTGTCCCCCCAAAAAGAAAAAGAAAACAAGCAAAGTTTCCTCACTTATAAAACAGATAAGGTGTTCCACAATTGTATGACTTTCTATGCTTATTTGTGTGTTTTATTGTCATATCTTAACAGTCCAAATCACCCACCTCTGATTTTTTAAAAAATTTTCCTTTCACCTAATCAGATTTTTAATGTATAAAAAACCATAAGGCTTTCAGGACATCTGTTACACCTAAAACTATCTTTGAAGTTTCATAGAGGGTTCCTGGAAAATCACAAGGATTTGTTCTTTAGTCTTATAAAAAAAAAGAGGAGCTAGAAGTCATCTGGTTCATTTGCTCTGTTACTACTATGAGTTTTATGGGAAAAGTCAAATTAGAAGAGTTGCTCAGGCTTCCCTAGATAAAATTTGCATTGAAGAATATTAATTAATGTAAATATTCAGAAATTATATTCCTTAGGGGAAGTTCCAAGAGATCTGTCACTGTCTTCACTGCACATAACGTGTTTCTATTTGTCAGAGTCTTGGTTATGCTTTGTCTGATGATACAGGCAACAACAGTATACCTCAGACATCGGTCAACATGGCCCATCAGCCAAATAATAAGGCCGATTACCTGTTTTTATAAAGTGTTATTGGAACACGGAGAAGCCCATAGATTTACATATTATCTATGGCTGCATTTGCACTACAATAGCAAAGTTCAGTAGCTGTGATGGAGATGTTATACCTCACAAGCCTAAAATATTTACTAATTGGCCTTTTACAGAAACATTTTGTTGATGCCCCATACAGTGTTATCATACATAATTTTAGTTATTATTAAAATGCTTACTTGGCTACAACCTCACTTTTAAAATTTAAATCTAGCATTTTTTAGGCCAATAGATTTCAACTGGGGATGCACATCAATGTTACCTATGGAGTTTTATAAAACGGCAGTTATCTAGAATCTACTGCAGACTTATGTAATCTCTCTACTTGACATTCTTGCTGTATTCTTAGTATGCTAGGTATATTATGCCCCAGGATTATTACGTGCTATGTATCAAGATTTTTTTCTGCTGTGAAAATTATGTTCACTATTTGTATAAATCGTATATAGCATTCCCTCTGTTCTTTGAAAATAGCCTTAATCATTATTCTAAAAGACATTTTATCAAAAACATTTTTGATTGTCTTTATTATCTCGTTTTGCATGCCACAGAAACAACTACATTTCCTTGTCAACTGGATTATTCTTGACATAAACTCTCATTAGATCTTTCACATTTGCAAATTGCCAATAATAAAATAACCACAGCCTTTTGAGTCTCTGTCATCTACAGAGAGCTTTTGTTTTTCTGTGACTCTTCCCTGAAAGCTCTGCAATCAGGTATAAACCCTCTTATGGCCCTGAGGAAAAGGATTGAATCAGAAGGCATCATCTGGGCAGTTTTTCAGATGATACCAAAATTTTCAGATTTCTTTTTAATCAAAAACTCTACTCCATGATATTGCTACCCAAAAGTCCAGTGGAGCAAGAATTAATTACCTAGGACTGAATGAACTAATGAAAGAGATTTTATTGCATTATTTGTTTGCAATATTTATTGATGTTAGCCTAATATCCTATGTTTTGATTAGATAAGGAAGCACTTTTCTATTTTCTTAAGCTTTTGATAATTCATAAAACAATTTGGTAGGCTGTTGTTGTAAACTGAAATGAGACATTTGCAAAGGACGTCTGATTTCTACTTTTACCTGGACTCTCCTACCTTCAATTCAGAAACTCTTATTGAGTCCCTTTACTTTACATGACAGAATATGTATTTGTATGGTTTCAATGTATCTGTCTTCCTTTTCTACCAGAACGTAATAGGAAATATTGGTATGCCTCCAAAGCCTTGCCTGGTATATCATATTTTAGGATGATGTTCTGTTAATCAGGTATACTAAGCCACATGTAAGAAAGTAAGATGGCCTTTTAGGAAACCTTTGCAAGAAAACTGACCAGGTACCTGGCTTTACGGGGTCTGAGCATTATGGGTATGGAATGTCATTTTCTGGCAGGTCAAGAGTGTTGAGGTAATTTGGGAACCTTGAGAAGGGAGAAATTTGCCCAAATTCATAGATAATGCAGGGGAAACCTGGTAAAATTTGTTGGGCTTGGCCTCCTGGCCTTTGAATAGCAAATGACAGAGCCCTTAAAAATCCAATCTGAGAATCCTCATGAAAACTTCCAGCAAAGCAAACTTAAGCTATCCTCTATAGTAAATGAATGCTTGTTCCACCTATGTAAATAATCAGGCTAGGCCTAAGACCAGTCTTATTTTATGATCACAAATAACCTTTTTTGAGATTATTTTTGGTCAAAAGGAGCAAGACTGTAATAAGCATAATACTAATTACTAGTATCTCCAATGGAAAGTTATGCTTTTTTTTTTTTTTAAGAACAAACCCTTCTAAGTTATCTAATCTGTTCTCTTTCATTACTTTCAACAATTTTATGACTCTGTAACTTGCGACTAATTTACAGTAATGAAAAATAAGTCCTGTCTATAGACAAAAAGATAAATTCTACCCAGTATATTTAGAAAGTCCAATTGACTTCTCTGTCCCCTATCCCAAGGCAAAAGCCAACTTTTGTGTCTATTTACACATCCATTTCAGCGTTCTTTATTCCATACAAATGTGTGCTGCTTTTATTTCTCCTTTGAATTGGCTGTAACATCCTCCTGTGTTCTCATTAAAAATTAGTTAGTTATATAATAAAATCTTAAACATGTATTAACATTTTTTAAAAATTACCTCCAAAGTTTCTTTCCAAATTGTCAAATTAACTTGAGTCTCACCTCCCCATATGATTGAAACCTATGACAAATACAACTGTAGGAGGAAAACAAACAAAACAAAAATCCTAACACTCCAGATGTTAGGAGAAAAATGATGGAAAAAATAAGTACATAAGTCATACAGTGTATTTGAAGGTGATAGTGTTATAGAGATAAATATAAGTCACCAACTCTGTGAGCTGCTGTTCTGGAAATTTAACTAGCTTGCACAATTTTTCTCTGGGATGTAACAAAACCTAGAACAATAACCCTTGGAAATCCTCAGTGCTATTTATGGCCTATCAAGGGTCCTGATCTCTGTGACTTGTCATAAAACAGTAGAAATCTGGGGTCTGGGGGTACTAAGACAACAGCAACAACTTCTTTCAATAAATTACATACTGTACCAACTAGTGATCACCTTCCTCCCCTTAGGTTACAAAAGACAGCCTCAGGCATGTGGACTTGAGTGCTTATTTGATGGACTGATTTTTTTTTCTTCATTAAATGAGTAAAGGTTTATACTTCACCATGTTTGCCTAGCTCTTTGGGAAAGAAATCTAAGCTCACTGTATCAACTGAAAATAGGCAAGTTTGATCGAAGGGCATGTATATGGGCATTAGTGCAATATTCAATGGTGGTGGCTCTAACTAACTGGGCAGAATTTATTTTTTAAGTACCGTCTACATTACATATTTGTAGGAAATCAGAGGCCTGTGATTTTCTTTACCATTTCTCCTAATAAAATGAGTTTATAAAATATGACTCATTCTGTCAGTAGATGCTTTGCCAACCAGAATAACCTACAACTTTTAAAAGCTTAACTTACCAACTCAACTCATTCCCCACATGCCAGAAAGCCTCTGGAAATAGTGTAAATGGCTAAAATAATTACTAATCAGTGGTAGTGATGGCAGAATCTCCTGATTTTATACAAGACGCATCAAAGCACAAAACTTGCAAGCTTCAAAGAATTCCTCATTGACTACCAGCCTACCTTAGAGAATTCTAACTTCCAAAAAGGTAATTTCTTCTGAAATAACTTTCTTTATTATGAAACAGTAACAGGCAAATTACCTACAATCACATCTTCATAAAGAAAGATTTCTATTCTGAGAACTACATTTTCTGGAAATCAATGGAAGGCTAATTATGCCCAAGTAGTCGCTGATGCTGAAAGCCTGGGCACAGGGGAGAGCACGGAAGAGATGTGGATTGTTTCCTCTGTGAGATGGTATCTCTCCTTTTGGTGGTAGGCATATGCATCTGTAAGTAATTACAGAGAGAAGCATTCTGACTTTCAGTTCTTTCATCTCAGTAGATGATAATCAGAGAGATGGATACTAAATTAATATGAAGAACAAAACATGAGAAAACAGAAAAGAGCTGTGTTAAATTTTGGTGTTCATTCTACAGCCTTTATTTCACAGGTTGTAAAACCTGATTCACAAGTGTCACCTGACTAGGGGAGGGATGGGGAAGCTTTCTTCAGAAGAATGGGATGCCTCTACTTTCCCTGCCTCTTCCGTGTGCAATTCCATTCCAAGGGCACCAAAGCCAGGGCTGCTCATAAGCATCATCCCTTTATTTACAAGCTCTCCCCTTATCCTGTTTTCCAAAGATAAGTGTTTGTTTAACAAACAGAATGCCTTTTTTTTTTTTTTTTTTTTTGTCCTGGTAATATGCGTTCCCTGGTGAGCCTTCCTGAAAAGTTGTTGTGCCATTCACTCTGCTGGTTTTCTTCACAACATTTCGCCCTTCCTTCTTTTCCGCATGGCTTATTGTTCATGATTCTTCCTCTCCTCGGCTGCAGAGATGGACACTGATTGATTAGTCCTATCCAATGAACACATGGCATTACCCTGGCAACTACTATTGGTCAAGGAATGACACTTCTTCCAATTCGTCTCAAGGAAACTGACAGGATAAATTTATTTCCCCATGCTTGAGAGTTAGGGTCTCTCTTTCCTATCAGACCAAAACAAAGAGGTACATGGCCCCAGTTGCTCCAGTAGCATATTTTGAGCATGAATTCTTGATGACTCCTGGAGACACTGACCACATAGAACCTGAATCCTGACTTCCTATACACGAGAACACACACATCTCCTTGGTATTCAAGCCACCCTGAGCCAGGTTTTTGTTCTTTGCAGCCCAAAACATTTTAAATAGATACAAGATTTGCTGCATCTTTTCTTCTAAGCATTGAGCCTCAGAAGGTTATGTCGAGTAACCAGATCTCTGATTGAAGGGTTATCTATTCCAATCTTGTGGAGTTTTTTTCATTTATTCATTCAACATGTACTTATTTACTACCTGAAGTTTACCAAGAACCTTGATGAACACAGCCAGATAGAACCCCTGTCTCTCTCACTTATGGTCTAATGTAGAGGTTCTTAAGGTTTGTGGTGCCAAAGACCTCTTTGGAAATGTGGTGAAAGCTGTGCACCCCTTCTTAGAATGCCTTTGGATGCATAAGACAAAATGCACAGCATTACAAAGGAAGTCAGAAGTCAGAAGGTGAATGACAGTAATCAAAATGCTTTAAGAATGTTGACAGTTATATATACATGCTTCTCTATTAATGCCTTAAATAACAAGATCAAGGCAGCAGGTTTAATAACCAGCATAATTATAATGATGAACATAAATGATATTTTGAGATAGCCACAACAAGCATAATGTGATGGGAATCTGTGAGTTTCAACATGTGCAAAGACTCCATGGCAGGGCAAATCACGGCAAGTATTAGGGATTGAAGCCTGTGTGGCTGTATCACAGAGAGTGGCAATGAGGAATATGAATAAAGTTGCACTGGTAGACATTGCTATCTATTTCTGTCTGTCTTTCTCTCTCACACACCTCCCAACCCTAAAATAACTTTAGCAAGAGATTTGCATACAAAATAGCAATAAAATAACTGTGCAAGAGAAATCACAGATGTGGCTTTTGAAATGAATGTGCCTATCCATCAATTCAGTTAAACATAAATTTCCCCAGAGATGCTGTACACTCAATTATAATAAACTTTGGTTAAGATGATATGGGCAAACTATAAGGCAT
The DNA here is from genome assembly GCF_000001405.40 of Homo sapiens. Taxonomy (NCBI): domain Eukaryota; kingdom Metazoa; phylum Chordata; class Mammalia; order Primates; family Hominidae; genus Homo; species Homo sapiens. Next base: position 7,600,688 of record NC_000003.12, on the reverse strand, counting down.
TTTAACAGGTAATTTAAAGGCATACATTAAGGAAGAACTGTTAAAAATCCATTTTATGATGGGGAAACTGATGCCCAGAGAGGAGGAGAAGAACACCAGAGGGCACACAGGTAGACAGGCAGAACTTAACCGCAGCCCTGGCTCTTTAACTCTATTTCACTATACTCTGTGGCTTCTAAATACCCCGTTCAACAGCACAGGCATAACTAGGTCATTTGTGTTGCTTACCAAGAGGTTTTTATTGACAACTAAGAGCTCTAAGGAGAAATCCAAATAGAATTATCAAATTCTAAACTTGTCCCTCTGCCAGCCCCATCTCACCACCTCAACCCCTGGGATCTAAAATGAGAATTTTATTTGGTGTGTGTCTCATTTATTCCACATTTCTCTGTGATAAAGAAAATCTGTTTCCCTCTAAATTAAAATTGCTTTTTCTTCCTAACAAACACTATACCCCTGGTACACACCAGAATAAAAATAAATTGATTTTTAAGTAACCACCGAAAACAAACAAACAAAAAAACAATAAGAAACATAAAAATCATGGTGCCTCTGTGTGCCTTTTGAACAATTTAGCTATGAAAATGGATGCCTATCCTGCAGATAGCAATTGTGTCTATGATGGCAACATCTTTGGACAGTTTAGTAGCTTCAGTAAAAACTTCAGTCTCTCAGATATTTTGCAGAATGATGCTAAATGACCTGTTTGGTTCAATTGTTGCTAAGGTGATAAGATAGCTAATGAAATAAACCACTGTATCACTCAAAAAAGAGCATCTTTCAAAGGGCCTCAATAGCCTATGTCCTCACTAGTAACCCCACCCCCCACGACCGTGTACATCTGAGTCTGAAAACCAAGCGTTCCATTTTGTGCTCCCGAATCAACAGCAGGTAATTGACAGCCTTAATTAGGGCTTCATGATATCAGGTTGTCATTAAGCCACCTGATTTTCAGGAGTATAAGATTCTTTGTCAGTTAATCTTATCTGTCTTTCTGACAATCCCCCCTCCGTAATAAAGCTGTAAAATACTTTATCAGTCATATAAACACTGCCTCTTTCTGCAATGTTTTACTAGCTATAGAGTGGACATCTTTGTTTGGATGCTGAAGCAGGCACAGATGTCCCTATGTCAAGCTCTGGATATAAGACCGGAGACAAACACCTACTTCTGAAACCCACATCCCAGGTGTTAATGTGAAAACTGAATACAAATGTTTTGAGGACTAGGATTTCTCATCACTCGGGATACAGGGACTAAAGCTTAAAAATATTTCCACAATATATCATCAAGTGATCTTCTGAACCTTTTTGGGGACCTACAATAGCCAGGGTGAAGTAAATGTATTTCAGTTTTATGAAAAGAAAAGAAACAGACTAACAAAAAGATATTTAAAATTCACAGTGTTGAATTTTGTATGGCAAACATTAATTTTACAATAAAAAATCAAGAACTAAAAATAATGGAAACGTCAATATGTAAAGACATCAGGGTACTCTCAGTGCATTATGGGAAACATAATTTGCATATATCCCATTAAATGAAATCAGTTGCTGCCACTGATGACAGGCCCCTAGGAAGGTCACTGAGATAGAAGTCTCTGTTCTCAGATCTGTATAATAAAAGGGCTTAACTACATCATTTCTACAGTCTCTTCCAGTTGAAATATCTGAGTAGAAATTCTCTTTCAAGAGGAATTTATGGAGATTTAAGAAAAGGATTCAAGTCCCTTTATCCTTGCCCTTTGGTCTCATTAACTATAGATATCAAGATATCTTTATATCATTATATTCAAGCTTGTAGTCCTTCTGGAAAGAAATTCATGTGTCAAGTCATCAATGGTCCATTTTTAATCCACCAAAGTCAATTACTGATTATTTCACTATTGACGCAAACACTTATTTTTTCATCATGGAGAAGCCCTTCTGTGCTGTCAAGAAGTATCTGTACCCAGCCCACTTTGAAGTGTACCTCATTAAACACAGAATTGCCAATAGGATTTTCAAAAGCTTAAGCAAAGATGGCAATTTTTAAAAAATTAATGTTATAATTGTTCCAAGAATTATAAAGTCCTACTTTATTTTCTTATAAAGGACAACTTCAAGACCCTTGCAATCAACCCTCACAAGCAAGAGATTTCTTTCATGATAACTGATAAATATTTTAAAGAAAGTTTCTTTGCTGTATTATATGGTTCCGAGTCAGTCATTGTATCTTTGCTGGGGAGAATGCTGGATAAATGGGTTAGATATGAAAGCTGAGTCTGCCTGTGTTATCAAAGGACAGGTTGTTGGTGTCAGCGTTCACTGTGGCAAAGAGAGTGCTCACCAGATATCCATGTGCTCCTCAACCTCCCCCAGGTATTCTCTAACTGTTCCCCTGCTCCTGCAAAGCAAAGGACATGTGTCCAAATAGCACAGCTAGAGGATAGAGAAGAGCTACCCAACTTTCATGAAACTTTACTTTGTTACCCACCACTGGGATGTGGGGATTTATCTCTTACTGCCTCATACCTATGCATCTCTATATTCCTTATCTGCAATATGTCAGATTATGATGACTGAAGAAGAGTCCTAAGATCCAGAGATGCTTCTAATTTGCATGCAAATTTCACTGTTTGCCAGGAAACAAATACCTGTATCCTAGGGTCAAGGAATTTGGTCCTTTTGTCTTCCTGAGAATGAAGCTTTCCCTCATTCTCTGCTTATGGAAGTAGGAAATGTAGGAGAGAAAGTGGAAGTAGGATGAGGAGAGAAAACTGCCTCAAATGTAACAAGAGATCTGTTGTCCATCACCAACTTCCCTTATTCCTCATTTATGATGTGTCTTGGTCAACCCGGGACTATGCTATTTCCTAGCCAAGCCTTCTTGCATTCTTGGTATCTGCCAGCACTATAGGATCTATTTGTTGAAACTTGTAATTCTAACTTCTAATTGTCATCCATGGTCCTAGCAAAAAAACATACTTTAAGATCTTATCCTCATGGAAACAAACAAACCAAAAATGAGCCACACCAAGAAACAAAGGGACTCTGGATCAGAAGCCTTTTTATGTGCACTATCTAATAGATGGAAACCTCATACCCTTCACGTGCACAATGACCCCAGGATTGATGTGCTAAATCCAGTATATTTGAGTCTGGTAATGGAAGATCATGGAACAGTCTGCTGGACTGCAGGGGTCAGCAAACTATGGCCCATGGGCAATTTATAGCCGGTTTTTGTGTGGTCTACAAGCTAAGAATGGCTTCCACATTTTTAAAAGGTGCTATAGTTTGGATATTTGTCTCCTCCCAAATCTCATGTTGAAGTGTAATCCCCAGTGTGGGAGATGGGGCCTGGTGAGAGGTGTTTGGGTCACAGAGGCAGATCCCTCATGGCTTGGTGCTGTCTTTGCAATAGCTAGTGGGTTCTCACAAGATCTGGTCATTTAAAAGTGCATGGCACCTCCCCCCACTCTCTCTTTTGCTCCTCCTCCTGCCATGTGAGATGCCTACGTCCCCCTCGTCTTCCACTGTGATTGAAAACTTCCTGAGACCTCCCCAGAAGCAAATGTTGCCATGCTTCCTGGAAAGCCTACAGAACCATGAGCCAATTAAGCCTCTTTTCTTTATAAATTACCCAGTCTCAGGTATTTCTTTATAGCCGAATAATAATGGCCTAAGACAGAAAATGTCACAAAACCAAACAAGCAAACAAACAACGAGCACATCACTGTAATAATGATCTCCTCACTCTTCTGAACTTTTAAGTTTCCTCTTCTTGGAGGTTACTGTCTTCACCAGACAAACATTTAAAGGCCCCCTCCCTTGATCCTATAACCCTCTCCACCTACTACCTGGGTCCTCACAGCTGTGCATGGGCTTTACGAAATCATGACAGTAAAACCCCTTGAGAGCCTTTATTATGCTCACAGAAGCTCTCTCTCCTCCCATTCTCCCTAGCACCACTCTAGCCAGGCTTTCACTGATACCAGTCCATCAAATCACTCTTGAATTTTCCAGTAGTGACCCCATTGCTCAATTGGATGCTCTAGTACTTCTAAGCAGCATTTGAAAAACAATGGTTCATTCCCTCTTTCTCCTCACCCTTTCCTCAATCACTTTTTGGGTAACTGTTCCCTCCCATTTACCCTCTTCTCTATTATGATATTCATTTTCAGCTCCTTTGCTACTTCCTCTTCTTCCCTAGTTCAAATATTGGAGTATCTTGGGCATCATTCTTACTTTTCGATCTACAATTATGCCTACATGATCTCATCTAGTCTCCAGGTTTCCTGTATCATTTGCAGTCTGATAATTCCCAGCATCTCTCTTGAATTCCAGAATTGTGTATTCAACTCCTAGCTGACATCTTCACCACCGTTCATAAGCATCTCAGTGTTACTGTGTCCGAAGTTGCCTCTTTCCTGCCAACCTTCCCTCTCCTCTAGTCTTGCCTTTTCAGAAATAACTCTACTGTTGACACAGCTGTCCGCACAACACGTGTGGAGTCATTTGGATTTGTCCCTTTTGTTTGTACCTTATATAGCATCAATCACCAGATTCTGTCTAGCTCATCTTCACATCTCCCTAATCAAACCATTTTGCAACACCTCTAACTCATTCCTCCAGCCCAGGCTACCATGGTCTTTTGCCTTGATTACTGTAACAGTGAACAGTGCCCTGGCTTATCTTCCTGCTTCCACTTTCACCCCTAGAGTCTGTTCTTCTCCAAGACAGAGTGGTCTTTTTAAAATGTTTAGTCAGCTCATGCTCAAAATCATCCAATGACATCCCATACAATGCAAAATAAAACTGAAATTTCCCCTCATGGCCTATACAATGTCAAGGGATCAGGATCCTGCCCCCTCCTGGACTCTTTCCTGCCTGTTCACTGCAGACACAGGGTCCTCCTTACTGCTCCTCTTGCCGGTCTTACCCCTGCCTTGGCGCCTACCTGCCCTTGCATTTGCTCATCTCTGGCCTGGGCACTCTTCCCTACCCCCACCCCCAGTTATATTCATGACTCCTTCTCTTGCTTTGTTCTCTATTCAAGAATACTCCCACCTCCAAGATGGCATCCCTGACCGCCCTCTCACTCTCCTTCCCACCATATCACAGCATTTAAGCAACTGATATATTACATACTCATATTTGATTAATTTAACCACTCTCTCACTCTCCCTCCCATCATATCACAGCATTCAAGCAACTGATATATTACATACTCATATTTGAATTGTTTACTTTATCCCATAATGTACATGTTCAACAAGGATTTGACAAAAACAAGAAAGAGGAAAGTATCTAGCAGATCCTTGTAAAGGAGTTTAACCAATTATGTTTGCTTCTACATCCTTCTCATTACTACTTCAGCTCATGTATTACCTCCTCACTGAAGCCTTTCATGACTACCAACCAATCAGAAGTAGCCCTGCTCCCTCCAGTCATTCTCTATTCCCATGCACCTGTCTTTGTCTCTTCAGAGCACATATCATTATCCAAAATGATGTGTAGCTTTATCCAATTACTATGTAGATTTCATGAAGCACTAACTTTGTCAATGTTGTTCACTGTCCCCAAGGCCTAGATAGTGCCAGGCACAAAGTCGATATTTGTAAATACATATTGAATGAATGAATCAATCAATCAACAATTGACTGAATAGATCATTTCTTTGCAATAGAAAGCACAAGAGGACATAGGATAAGAAAATGAGGATTGCCTCAGAAATACACATGTACAAACACACACACACACACACACACAGAAAGGAAGACTAGGGAATAGAAGGCACTTTTACCACACCCTTCCACAATGGTGAGTTGACATTTTCAACCTTGTAAGAAGTTGGGTAACTCACCATCTGCTGGCTTCTCCTAGGCCATATATCTCTCCTTGCTCTCTGTGTGGGGGCCCTGAGCTTTAAGAAGAGCCTGCAGATGCTTTTGCAGAGGCCCAGATGGTGGTCAGGATGTGTCTGGAATCTCAAATCATCCCTGGTTGCAGCTCACCTCTGTTACCTGCTTTGATCTGAAATGCTTCTGATGGGTTTCCAGAATGAATACTGCGGAGGCCTGTCGGGAAGACAGGTTTGGAGGTTTTGCATTTTTGGAAATGCACCCTGCTGTCAGTAATGCCACGTTTGTATTTACATAGAGGATGGTGAAAAACAAATGAACTCATTAGGATGCCAAGTAAAAGGGCAATCACTCTAACCTGGGCACATGGTTAACCAAAAATATTATGTCTTGCTTGTTCCTATCCCTAGTACCTAGCAGACTGGCAGGGCTACAGGGTGCAGTTATGCAGGCAACACACCGTACAACTCCATGGGGTGGCATTCTTATAACCTATGTGAATAGCAGCCCCTGGCATTACACACTATGCAAAATACAATCTGCATGGACCTACATTTTGGCTATGATTCATGGCATCTGGACACAACAAGGTGCTGAATAAAATTTGCTGAATCAATGAGGGATTTTTTTAAAAAGCCTAGGAGGCTAATTTGCTATCTGGGAACTATCTCAGATGGCCACTGGACAGGTGAATGAGACTTGGAATAGTCACATCATTTCAGAAGAAAGGAGGAAAGAATTGGGGTCAGCAGCCTTAGGACACCACCTGTAAGATTTTCTTACTTCCTGGAAGTTGTAGACCCTTGCCTACATAATTGATTTGATAAAATGAGTTCCCCAAAGCTAGGAAAGTATGATGCTTATTTTGTGAGTAAATCACTTTCAGTGTTTTTTTTTTTCCCCCTTCTGTGGATTGTGTCAAGGGTGTAATTTTGGAAGCTCTATCAAATGTGCAGGTGCTTGGGAAACTTCTATCTGGCCTCCCTGACCCTACTCTTGCTTCTCCACAGTTTTCTTCTTACCAACAGTCCAAGTGGTCGTTCTAAAACATAAATCAGTTTCTAAAGCTTCCCATTTTTCCCTTCTTGCTCAGAATTCCAAAGCCCTACATAAATAGCCACTGGCTACCCCCACCCCATTCCATTTTCTACCTCCATCCTCTACACTCCAGCGTCTGTTTCTCACGCCACTCACACTCTCCTCTGAGCACCTTTTCCCTTGCTTTTCCTTTTGCTATTTCATTTCATGCAGGTTTGTGCTTGAAGAGCACCTCCTCCAAGAAGCCCTCCTGACCATTCACATCTAATACAGGAGTCCAGGTAAGATCTATCTCCCATCTTCCTCTACCTTTCCTATGTCTTCTTGTCATTTTCTATTTGTTTGTTTGCATATTGTCTCACTTTTCAATAGAATGTGATTTCCATGAGGGCAACGAATTTGTCTTGTTCCCCTTTCCATCCCTGGCACCTAAATATGTACCTGGCACATGGTGGCTTTTTGTAGACATTAGTGGGATGAATCAATAAATGTTTGAAACTGGAAAGTGCCAAAACCCCGCAAACTGGATATAACCACAAAATCACTGGAAAATAAGGCTATGAATATGGGGCCACTCTTTCACCATCTGCTACCTGATAAAACTGTACTTTAACGATACCAAAAGGAGAAATTTGGTGAGGCAATTGCCAGAAGCAATGATCTCATCAAAATAGTATTTTAAATGCAGAAGTATTATTGTTGAGTCAGTGCTGTATAGAAGGATGCATTTGAAAAGATACTCTAACTAGCAAGAGCATTTCCATGCATGGAATATTGTTACATTATTGTGTAATTATGTGTGGGAGCCCCATTATCTTATCCATGGAAGAGGTTACCAGTCCACTCGGGTCTTCTAAGGTTTAAACTGTTCCTAGGCTGAGTACAAGGGTAGGGTTGGTGCTTGAATTCAGTTTCCCCATGTTTTCCAACACAAACTAGCTTCTCTCCAGCAGTGGACAAATGGCATATACACAAGTCTGTTAAGGGTATGAAGGAAAGTGAAGGTTTCTCGGTTCCATATATATATTTCCTGAAGAAACTGTGGAAAAAGTATGAAGCTAGAGGAAGATGATATTAATACTGCAAATAAAAATGTGTAATCTTTACTGGTCACTTGTCAGGTAGCAGACACTGTTTTGAGTACTTTACATGAAATTAATGTATTTGGGAGGATCAGCTTGATCCTTTTGAAATCTGTCAGATCATGCTGTGCCTCCATCCAGAATCCTTAAAGGCTCTGCATGTCGTCCAGTCTGATTCTGCATGCGCTGGTGCCCTGCCACCTGTCCTCCAGGCTCATCTCCTACCATGCCCATCCTAGCTCACACTACTCTTCTAGTCATTTCCCAAATAGCCTTGACATGCTTCTGCCTCAGCACCTGCTGGTCTCTCTACCCAGAATGCTCTTCTCTTAGATCTCCTCATGGTTTGCTTCTTTATGTCTTTGTTCAAAGGTTGTCTTCTCAGTGAGCCCTGCTCTGAGCCCCTATTCCTAATTGCAGACTGTATGCCCCATCCTGGTATTTCTTCTCTTATCTGCTTTTTTTTTTATATTTGCCACAGTCTGATATTCTCCTTATATTTCATTTATTCATTTAAAGTCTGTCTCTGGCTACTAGAATGCAGACTCAGGAATTTATCTCTTTTGCTTGCTCATGCCTCTTCTGCATACACAACAGTGGCTAGGATATAGCTACACACACATATATATATATGCATATTTTCATATAGATACATACAGAATGAATTAACTCATTCAATCCTCATGAAAACCTTATGAGACAAATACTATTGTTAATCTCATTTTATAAACAAGGAAACTGAAACCCAGAAAGATCAAGTAATTTGTCCAGGGTAAAAGAATTGATCCTTTTTATTGTCCGTATCCCAGAGCATTATGTGAGTCAGGTCCTGATAAGCAACTTTCTTTTTCCCTTTCTGGCTCTGGGACCTTAGAAAAGTCACTTAACTTTTGTAAGGCTCTATTTTCTACTCTGTAAATGGGGATGATATCAGTCCCTATTTAGAGTTTGCTGTGGCGTTTCAAAGAAGTAATCTATATGAAGTGTTTGGACTGGTGATTGATACACAGAGAATGTTCAACAATTGGTGTTCTGGACTCTGATTTGCACCATCATTTTTAACAATTCTAAGTACTATATTATGTAGAAGTTCTATAATGCACTGTCACCTCCCTTTTGTTAGCTACTTACATTCTCGTGAACATTCTGGTACCTCTATCTTTGAGGAAGTTTCTAATTTCTCCCCTTTCCAAAAATCCTAGAAATGGAACTACTGGGTGAAAAGTTATTCATATTCTAAAAGCTTTTGATATACAGCATAAAACTACCCTTCTTAAAAGATTTGATCACTTTGGACATTCATTTGTAAACAATAAAAATATTCGTTTTCCCACATCCTTACCATCACTGTGTATTACTGTATTTTTTTCATCTTTACTGTTCTGAAGACTGAAAATTATATATGAGATTGGACATTTTAATATATTCATTCATAATCAATTTCAATAAATAACTTCAAAATCAATTCCTTCACTTTAGAAAGTCTTTTTTATGTTTAACAGTGGTTGGTCATCCTTGACTATTAGCTTTGTCTGCGCAATCTTCATGACATACTCCCTCAGCAAGATTGATCTCGCTCAAGGCTGTTCTTGCTATAAACCTACTTTCTTATTTTCACAGACATTAGTGTACATGGCTCTCTCTAAACAATATATTGAGGGTAGAAACTGTATCATACTCCACAACAGATTCATTCATTCCTTCTTTCATTCTTCCATCCAATCCACAGGGATTTATTGAGCACTTACTAGGTACCAGTCACTGCTTAGAGCTCTAGGGATACAAAGTAGAACTAGAGACAGAGCAGGGCCTTACCTTTAAGGTACTTTCATTTTAATGAGGAGATACAGGTACACGTGAACAAACCAGTAAGTGACATAAGTTACTGAGGAATAGGAACAAACAGAACATGACTGGGGTGGAGCTCCCTTTAGCTGGGGTAGAGGAGAGTTAAGGAAGCCATGATATGTGTCTGTAGGCTGAGCTTCGAGTGGTGAGAAGAACACAGCATGGAAAGGTCTGCGTGACAGCCTCCTATAAAGAAGGCATATCCTGAACAAAGGTCCTGGGAAGGAAATGGCCCTGGGGTTTTCAGGAGCAGAAATACTACCAGCAAGACCGAAGAAAAGTCAGCAAGGATGAGAAGAAATTGGAAATGAAGGTCAGAAAGCTAAGAAGGCAATAGATTATCTAAGGCAGGTCCGGCAAGCTTTACTGGTAAAGTTCCGGTTTATAAATATTTTTAGCTTTGCAGGTCATATAATCTCTGTCACAGCTATTCAACTCTGTCTTTGTAGCAATAAAAGCAACCATAGGCAGTACGTAGATGAATGGATGAGGCTGTGTTCCAATTAACCTTATTTATAAAAACAAGTTACTCATTGGACAGGTCCATGGGCTGTATTTTGTGATCTTGAGTTAAACCTCCTGGGCTCTAAGAAAGAGTCTGAATACTGTCGTAATTGTAATAGTGGCAGGAGGCAATGATAATAATAGTAACAATGAGAAGCTGCTGGAAGGTTTTTGAAAAAGCAAGTGATGGATCCTCACTGGTTGGGGGTCACAGGTCATGTTACAGGTACTTAAAATTGATTGTTAAATAACAGGGGGACATTCTGAACAAAAAGGAAATTATTTTAAAACTTGATCTCCTAGAATATCTAGCTCGGGGTGGTAGACACTGAAGGAATAAAGATAGTATCACTACAGGGAACAAAAACCTTTCTTAGTTGCTGTTTCAGTACATCTACTAGTCAGGTTTTTTTTAGACCTGTATGAAGGGAGGCCTTGGATCAAAAAAATCACTGTTGGTTATAAGTCAAGGAATCAATTGGAACATAAAGCTGAATGGGAGCACACAGGCACATTAGAGAGACAATTTTCAATTTCAGGCATCAGAGGACCTGTTATAGACACTGGTGCTTCTGCATCAGCTAGACTGATTGTCAGTGTCACCATTAAGAAATCATTTCCTTACATTTTCTTTTCCCAACAACTGCAGTGGGAAGCTGGATTTCTGTGGGAAAATCCAATGATGATTCCTTTCATTTCCCAAACCCCTTCATTATGATCTAAAACTCAATAAGCTTGCTTACCAATCATCCACACAGCTCTCAACCCTGGAATAATATGGGACGTCTCCTCTTACACGGCCATTTCTAGAGATTTCAGTCCAAGGACTGTGCCATTAACTTGCCTCTACTGTTTATTCACTGTTGCCATATTGTCAACAATGAAGCATCTTAAGATTCTGACCCATTCCTAGTACATTGTAACTGGGTAATGTCCAAATTTAGAAACTAATACAAAGGTTCCAAGGCCTTATAAAACACTTATCCCTATGCAGTCCACTCAGTAAAGATTTGGGAAAAAAAGATCAGCATTTAAGTTGAACCTCAGTTTATGGCAGTAGAAACATCTATGTGGTTCTTTACTCCTCAGTTAATGTCTTTAAAAACATAATGCACAAGGTACTTCCATACCTCAAGATCTGCAACATGAAAATAAAAGACAATGATCTGATTGCTGGGTTAAAACCAAGGGCTCCATTCATCTGGCATTTGGTGTAACACCAGGCAGCAGCCTTCACCTCATCAACAATGTAATTTGGCCATGATGCCTCAAACTAGTCACTTTGACAGGGAACTGGGAAGGTTACCAGAGAAACACAATGGAATTGATAGAATTGGAAGGCAGATTTCGCCAGCCTAAATATCTGGCCTTGATGCTAAAACCCAATCATTACAATCTGATCTAGGGCTTTGGGTCTGTTAGCCAGAATCTCCCAGGTGTGAACAACTGACTCCTTATATATAAATCAAGCCTTTTTTGGAAACAATCTAAGTCCTTTGCAAGTGATAAATCACTAACGTGAGATCACATCTCAGTTGAAAGTGAGGACGAAGAGCGTGCAATATGAGAAGGAAAATGGGATGTTTTGTTTCAGTCATTCATTTGTCCACCAATACATTTCTACCGATGACTTACTGAGTGTGAGTTTCCTCCTTCAGGTATATAGAGACATCGAGAGCTTCAAGGAAGTGCTAGTGTAGTGGCATGAACTTGTCTTTTACATTCCTTGCCACAGTATACCTTGCTCTATGATCTCTCTATTGACTATTTGTGACCCGTTATCTTCCCCAACACCATCATGTACATGAGACTTAGATGGGAAAATGTGGCTTTTGTTGAGTTGGGATATTCCACAGGGGCCCTCCTTGAAACCTGCAATTAGATACCTATTTATTTGAGGTTGCTCACTTCTCAGTGCTTTATGACCTGAAAACTTTATGGCCAAACCCAGCCAGGCGAACAGAGCCGAATGTGGTCCTGAGCTGGGTGGGTAGAGAGCAACCAAATGTATTATAAAAGGTAACAAGCTGAGCCATCTGAAGATGCATAACTCCACAGCAGGTGGCATGTGCCCTGAACTCTTACGCCCCAAGTGCCAGTCATTTGAGGATAGCTTTATTCATTAGGAACTGCTTGCAGTTCAACAGCCAGAGATCCATTATACTCAGAAGAAACTAGTGTTGTGGTAACGTGCTAAGAATATACCAAAACAAGGAAGGCTGTATATGGGCAGTATTTCTAGTATACGGATACTCTTCAACAACAATTCTTATGATTACCCATAATATACATCCATTATTATGGTGTTGCAGTCTCATTCCAATGTCTCATGCTTTACTTGGGGAGGGAGGGTATAGACTGAAGCTAGTGTTCAAGTTTCCACCCCACCAAACATCCCACGAAGCAGAGATGGGAGGAGAATCATATGCTGAGTTCCCATCTAACGTTCTTTGGTATAAGGGGTTCACTGGCCTCTTTCTGAAGGGGGAAGTAAAGGTACCATAGGTGACTGCCAGCTCTGATCCAACTTTTGCTCTAAGGGATTCTTCTCATTCTTCTGCACCCTTCAGGTTGTGTGCTAACCTGGGTCTAAAAATATGAGCATTAGGAAAGTCCATTTAAATCACGACTGGTAGCCAGTGCCTATCTTCCCAGGGTAAAATTTCACGTCTTAACTGTCATGCAATCCATTACTTATAAGCAATGAGTAATTTTTTAAAGCATAAGCCCAAGCGTGTCACACCACTATCCTATAAACCATTGAAACACTTCTCTCCTTGTTTAAAAAACAAAGTGCATGCTCCTTAATAGGGCACACAGGGCCTTCTGGGGCTTTGCCTCTACCCGTCTCTCCAGTGTCAGCTCTTATAGTCCCGCTAATTTATATTACAGCCTCTCCTGACAGTTCCCCCAGATATGTGACTATTTTACCTTCTGGGGACCCTCCTGCCAATGCCCAGGTAGACATATTTTGCTAAGAGGAACCTAGGGTAGAAGAATAAAGTTATCCTTTACTGAGCATTTACCATGTGGTAGAGAGTGTTTAAAGAGCTTTACTTACTCTAATTTGCACAATTGTAATATCATTACAAATATATTTCTAGGTTCAGTACTGTGCAAATAGGCCAGTTGGCATAAGGCCGCTTAATGATTACATTTCAAGAAAAAAAGAGGAAGAGGGGAGAAAGAGAAGGGTTTCTGTAAAAAGCAATTCGTAATGGGTTTATGGAGATATAATCAATATATAATAAACTATTCATGTTGAAGTATGCAAATTGATCAATTTTGACTTATATATATCTGTGAATCCACCTCCACAATCAGGAGAGTGAACACATATTACCCCCCAAATTTTCTCATGCCTCGTTGTAATTCTTCAGCCCTTCCCTGCTTATTCACAGCCAACAACTTACTTTTCTGTCACTATAGGTTAATTTGGATATTTAAAAATTGATATAAATTGAATCATACAGTATATATTCTTTTATGTCTGGGGCCTTTTAATCAGCATTATTTTGAGATTTATCCATGCTGCTCAATGCATCAATGGTCCATTGCGGTTTTTTTGAGACAGAGTCTGGCTCTGTTGCCCAGGCTGGAGTGCAGTGGTGCAATCTTGGCCCACTGCAACCTCTGCCTCCTGGGTTCAAGCACTTCTCGTGCCTCCACCTCCCAAGTAGCTGGGTTTACAGATGCACACCACCATGCCTGGCTAATTCTTGTATTTTAGGTAGAGACAGGATTTCACCATGTTGGCCAAGCTGGTCTCGAACTCCTGACCTCAAGTGATCCACCCATCTCAGCCTCCCGAAGTGCTGGAATTACAGGCGTGAGCCACTGCGCCCAGCCTGGTCCATTGCTTTTTACTGCAGAGTAATATTCCATTTTGTAGATAAACCCACCCCAGTTTGTTTATCCATTTACCTTTTCAGGAACACTTGGGTTGTTTTCAGGGTGGGGCTATTAGAAATAAAGCTACAAAAAAAAAAACCCCTCATGTACAAGTCTTTACATGAATACACTATTTCCTTTCTCTTGGGTAAAATATATAAGAGGAATGGCTGGAGCAGTATGCTAGGTATATGTTTAATTTTTAAAATACCTGCCAAGCTGTTTTCCAAAGCAGTTGTACCATGTTTTATATTCCCACTGGCAGTATATGAGTGTTCTAGTTGTTCTTTATCCTCATTAGCATCTTGCATCATCAGTCTTTTAAGTTTGTATGCTGAGCAATTTAAATATTTTCTCTTAAACCTAGAGGTAGGAATAATTAGACCCATGGTGAAGATGAAAGAAGTGAAGACCAAATAAGTTAAGTGATACATCCAGAATGTACAATGATTAGGCTCAAAGCAGTATAGGATGGTGGAGTAGAAGAAAATGCCCAAATAAACCAGCTTCTAGGACCAGAAGAAGAGAGGGTAAATGAAGTTGGAAAGAATTCACAATTGGGCCAGTATTGTGACCTATAGTCTATGGAGCCGAGAATTTGGCAGTCCCCTGACTGCCCATCAGCACACCACGCTCTGTTATGGTTTCCTGTGCTTTGAGAAAGATTCTTTCTGAAAATGAGAGATGGTCTCTGATGCTTTGAGAAAAGCTAGGGAACAGAGATGTGTCAGTTTATCCTAGTTTGAGGCCTGGGTCCCTGTGGCTGTGTCTCTCAGTGGCTGAGGTCTCAAAGCGCAAGACACCTATGGGGAAAAGTGAGCTCCAGGGAGCTCTCCACGGGAGGTGGCAGGAAGATTCAAAATCTGTTGTTGAGTCTTCCCTTTTAGCAGGAATTTCTCTTTCTGAGTATCACTCTGTTCAAACTTCCAGTGATTAAAGCCTTTCTTTTAATGTAGTAAGCTATTCCCTTATTAGTTTTAGCTCAGTTCAGTTTTATACAGGCCCTTGATATTTACCTGCTAAAGTAGCTATTCTAGCTAAAGCAAGGGTCTAAGATGGTTGAGACTCCAATTATCCTAGGTGACTGCATATGAAATTAGCTGATTCATTATGGCAGGAAGAAAAACGACTGCACCATCCCAAGCGACTAGCTAACACCAGCCTTGCAAACAGCTGGTTTCTGACAGCTGTTTAGAGAGAAACTCAGTTATCACCAAGGTCACAGCAGGCAACAGAAAGGAAATAGTTTCATAGGCTTCTGATGGGAACGTGAACAGACAAAACCAAACAGCAGAAGCAAGACCTCAACAACCAGTATGAGTTCCTGTCACAGCATGAGTGCACAAATGGCATCAGCAAAAACTATGCACTGGGACACCTCTCTCTCCTGTGTTCCAAAGCAAGGTGAAAGTTCTTACTAAGCATGCTAGAAGAGAAAATATGGAGTTTTGTTTTAAAATAAGTTTGGGTATGTGTGTAAATGTGTGTATGTTTATATGGCTGGAAGTTACCACCAGATGATTGGACAATCATTGTCTTTAGGGTGTGGGATAATGAGAGTTCTCTTTCTTTGCCTAGTTGTTGTTGATAAAATAGATTAAATAGTCGGCAATGTTATTTTCTAAATTAAACAAATTTTGAAAATTGTATTTCTATTGAAATAACAAAACAACGTAACACAAAATAAAAGATAAAGCTTACTCTACTCGCATATTTTCTTAATGCTTAAAAAGTCCAAAATAGCTTTCAAACCTGCTCCATCTTTTCCAGTCCCTTAAGCTTTCTTCAAACCAGTGCCATCTTTTGTCAAATTATTGTAATACTCAACTAGTTTTCTTACCTCTAGCTGCTTTTCGCACTCAAGCACTATTTCCAAAATTCCCATTTCAAAATACCCTATGCTCACATTTCTCCCACATTTAGAAACTTCTGCTGACTCTTCATAGGTTCAAGGAGAAAATTCAAACAGAGCCCTTCACAATTTGGCTTTGCTGCTTTTTGCCATATCTTTGCCTCTGCTATAGAGTCCAGCCCTACAAAATGAGAGGGTGGTGGCATTGCATTAAAGGAAAGACCATGCAGAATTCAACAGGCACATAAGTCAATATTTCCTCTTAAGGTAGAACAGGCATTTCAGCTTACAAGCTACAATATTTCAAATTAACTTGACCCACTATATGGAAAAGATGTGACTCTTGCCAAAAGTTAATTTGGAATTCACATTGTTCGAAAATTTGCAGATAGAATGAGGTTTCATTAATTCTGATTATAATCTCACATTTTACAAGAGTCAAAGTTGTGTAAGTGCAATCTGTCTCTTCTCTATGTGCTATGTGTTGAAAACACTGTCCCTCACTTTTTAACGAGTAATATAATTTCTTACTACATTGTCATGCCACTTTTTCTGCCTCTAAATTTCAGTCCACTTGTCATATTTTCTGTGAAGCTTAAGTGGAAGCTCCTTCTCCATGTTCCTGTCCTTCATTCTTTGTGCGACAACTATCATATTTCTCACACTTATTCAATGTTTGTTTGAAGACCTACATTGACCATTAGTGTATGAGTTCCTAATGGAAAAGAACACTGTTTTATCTCTGCATCACAGTCCTTAACAGAGTACCAAGGGCACAGTACACGCATTGTAAGTTTAATTACTGAAAGACCATGAGAAAATTTTAAACAAATCAAATAGCACAGAAGCATAAACTAATATATAGCTTCCTAAGAGAACCAGGGCTGCTCCTTGCTGTATGGCATTTGGCAATTTAACAAAAAAGATTTGTAATTGGAGACGAAACCAACAAGAATTAAAGCACACCCCAATTCCTTGACTGTTCTTTAAGTCGATTAATCTTTACGAAAACTATCATTGGTTTTCACACAATGACAGCAAACAGCTGAATGGGAAGAGGTATCAAGAATCCGAAACTAAATCAGAAATAGCAATGGATTGCAAATTCATTCCAGTTCTGATGTGTTAATAGTCCTTGCTTTAAAACTGTATTGAGAAAGATTTCAAGACTATACCAGAGTACAGAGGAAGTGTGTCATAATTGATTAGTGATGTCTGCCTTGGGCGTGGATGGAGAAACATTTATCTACCTGCCAAATTTTCTGATCCCTCTATTAGTTCTAGGCAGATTTTACTTTGTGTTCAGATTCTGAGGGGCTATCTGTTACATGCAGAAGATCAAAAATTCTTGGTCGATATTCTCAGCCCCACAAAAATACCGCTGGGGAGCACCACTGTCTACCTATTCTATTGCTATCTCTGGTCCCAAGACCAGGGACTTGGTCCTGACTTTTTAATGGTCTCTGGCCCAAGCCTTGGGACTGATGCTTCATTTAGACATTCTAATCCTTGACTTTGTCTTTGTGGATTAGTGTCTTTCTGATCTCCTGGTTCCTTGATTTCTGGACCTCCCCTTTGCTTGAAATGGCAGTTAATTGATTCCCAAAGGTTCTGAAGTTAAGAATCAAGTAAATATTTACAGGATGTCTTCTGTAAATGGGAAGAAAGTAGTAAGGCTTTTAAAAAGTATGGTTGGCATCGTGTCCACTGGCATTTTTCCAGCAAACTTGAAAAGTGAATAGTTCTATGCCGCATTCCAGACCTGTTGAAGCAGTATGGGATTATAGGGTTGGGGAGACATGCAATAATTTGTTAAATTCCTCAGGGGGTGACCATGAACACAATTTGAAGAACCACTGAGGTAAGAATCCTGAACTGGCTCAAAGTTTGCCAATAGTTGCCCCAATTTGGTCATTTAGTGACCGAAGGCTCCCGTGGAAATCAAATTACTTAAGTTTTGTAATATAACCTTGTTCTGTTATAATATGCACAGAAAAGTGGCCTGTGGGTGCCATTTTAGAGGACACAATTCTTTCTTCAAGCCACTTTCCTTTTTAGCAATTTTCTCTGCCCTTCAATTGCCTCAATCTTTTTCTTTTTCCTCTTCTCACGGTCCTCCTATCTAAAGAAACACACTTATACACAAAGGAAGACCTTTGAGAACTTATGATCCCATTCCTTGTGTATCAAGATCATTTTCCCTTTGTAGAGTCACATTGCACAAAGCATGTCTCCCTGCCTGTGTATAAAGATATGTTAACTTACCTAGAAAGCTCTTTAGGCAATAACTGGCTACAAAGCTCTAGATGAACATATCACCTATAGAATTTTTCAGATTTTGACCGGGTAGCCTGTATGTTCCCTACCTGAGGCATACTTCTTTTCCTAGATGTGCAACTCTCTGAATAGACACAACCACAAGGCAAGCTTTTGCTTTTTATAGAAAACATTCTAGTCTTCAACAGATAGTGCCAGAACAAAATAATGGTATATTATCACATCAAACTGGGCCAGCCAGCTTCTACTGTGCTATTGATGTACCAGTTTTAGTGTGTTCTTGCATCATTACGCCACCTAAATATAATTCCTGAAGCTAGAATCATTCTCTTGTGGTTAAAGTTCACCACTTCCATCCCTGGCCACATGGCAAGATGCTCATTCTAGAAGTCATGGGATTAACAATGATAAAACAAGATAGCAGTGGTCTCCCATATCCTCCTTAACAAAAGCAAAAACAAACTTCATGGGGGTTAATATTTTGCAAAAAAAAAATAAGGAAAAGAACACTGCTGTCTCTTTATGTTGTGCTTATGAATTTGACAGAAATTTTTACAGATATTCCTAGCATACTCAATATAAATTCAATTTCTTGAAACAGTAAATTGTTATTACTGAACTCACTGCCTAATCTTATTTTTCCTGTTATAATATAATTCTTTGATTTAAAACACTTAAACTGTTTGTTAGAGCTAAACAAAAATGAAAAACTTGTGATTCTGTAGGTTGCTGGCTTGGCAAAAATCCCTTCTGATGTGATCTCTTTGTTACATTTGATAATTGGCCACTTTCCACATTTTAAATGCTATAGTTTCATGTATACACGCTGGTATTTTCTCATTGGTTGTTCATGCTTCTCTAGCCATATGCCTATAAGTGGATGTGCATTTTCATGTAATAATTTACTGTTCCCATTTGGCAATTTTGTGCCTTTAATTGTGTCAATCAACCACGTAAAACTTCATAACCTATTGAGAATACACAAAGAAAATTACGTGCCTTCTAAAACTCTGGTATAAAAAGCACACTGCTTGAAAGCTTAAATTTCCCCACACTCCAATTCTACCAATACATTGTTCTCTAGAACAACTAGAATTCAATTCCTGAAACCTTGTTTCAATTTCAGGTTTTTAAATGAATGCATAAATTATACCTGTGACCTTATTGAAAAGATCCATAGTCATGACTAGAAATGAAAAATGAAATGGTAGAGACATATATTGTCAAATAGGCATTGCAATCAGACTCATCTATAAAACCATTATAATTATTTTTCCTTTTTATGTTCCCCAAGAATAAACTTACGGGAAAGGTTTTAATGTCTTCAACCTGTTGCATGAGGTATTGAGTTGTTTTAATAACAAAATAATTATTATCTCCATAGGCTTTTAAGATACTCATCATTCCCTATAAAAAGTTCAATAGTTATCAACTTACGAGCACATATTTGGGGATTTTTTTTTTCTTCTCTCTATTGTATTTTACCACTCTAACTCATATTTTACTATTCCCTTGGCCCAGGAATACACAGAAGAAATAAAATGATATTCAAGTTGGTTTCACAGACAGTAAACATAGATTATGAAATTGAAACATGCTATGCTTATTGAGCGTATATTTTAGAAGAACTTTCTCTAAAATACTTTATGACTAAAACCATAATCTGGAACCATTCATTCTCCTTGGTTTTAGAATTCTGTGTGGTTTCATGAAATATTTACTTTTTTAAAAACACAGTTCAAAATTATAGCCCCTCTGAATTACACAATTTAGGTAAAATACATCTTTTCAGCTGGAAAACTAGATGCCATTAATCCTTTGTATGATTATATGGAGAACAGAGGTAACAAAGAAAAACTAGAGTAATCTAATTCCTGGATACACAGGCTGTTGTAAATTTTTAGACATTCTAAATCAATCCCTGTTTTTCCCATTTGAGTCCCTGAATGTTTCAGAGATTTGTCCAAAGTAACGTGGAATCAGACTAGACCCCCAATGTCCTCACATCTAATCAAGCTATCCCTAAGCCCTCTTTGCAGAGTATGTCAGTTAGAACTCTAGATCCCAGTTGTACTGACCTGCCAGAGCTGCCTACATCCAGTGAAAGACACCATATCTTATCACTATCAATATATTAGGGTTGATATTACATGAAACTATAGCCACGTGGGTGAGTATAGGAGTCAGATGTATAAGAATCATGTCTAGAATCAACACCGTAGAATTGTCTAAATCAAAGATTCACAAGACTTATAACTACCTGGAAGGTGCATGTGAACTAGCAAATATGTTGGCCTCAAAGTTTCACAGCTTGATGACACTAGCTCTGCACCAAATATTGACTCTTCCTCTTTTAGAAAGTTGCATCTCTGATCTCACTGTGAATTGCTGGATGTGATTAATGTCCATCTAGTTGTAGGGAGCCTATGCTGAAATGCTAACCAAATCTTTCCTATATTCACCCACCTGGGTATATATTGTGCATATACAATTGGGCAACTCTACTCTGTTGTAAAGCTTGAGTACTAAGTGCAATGGACAGCAATAGCCTAGGTAGCCACTTGGAAGAGCGAGAGAGCATTTACACTGGTGATAGTAATGACCATCACACACTCCCACCTGGAGAAGGTACTATGCTCCTCTTTTCCTACCCCCAAAAAATATGTGGGTAAGTGGAGAAGTTGAGGAATAAATGAATATGAAGGGTTATTTTAGATAGATAATTTTATGCTAGATAATCTCTCATTACATTTAATAATTCTATAATTTAATTGATTTGAAAAGGCTACATCTGGTTGGTTTCCAGTGGAATGAACGTGGCTCAGTTTTAGACTCTTGT
The DNA here is from genome assembly GCF_000001405.40 of Homo sapiens. Classification (NCBI taxonomy): domain Eukaryota; kingdom Metazoa; phylum Chordata; class Mammalia; order Primates; family Hominidae; genus Homo; species Homo sapiens. The sequence continues at coordinate 7,579,515 of NC_000003.12, read as the reverse complement.
AGCATTGAAGCCTACTAGACCTTGAATTAGTTCTCTACTCTTGGAAATACCATTCTGCATATACGAAACTTCTTACTTTATACAATCAATTTGGTTTCAGTACTTACAAAAATGAACACATTTTTAAAAAACATATTATGATGTGCATTTTCACTTACCTTTTCCGCTGATTGAGCGGTGCCAAAAAAAATTGGAATGAAGGCAAGCCATACTATACATGTCGTGTACATAGTGAATCCAATGGGCTTGGCTTCGTTAAAATTCTCGGGTACACCCCGAGTCTTGATGGCATACACAGTACATGTGACCATGAGAAGAATGCTATATCCCAAGGAGCAAATGATTTGGAGATCTGTAATGTCACACTTGAGAACCCCTCTGGCTTGCTCAGGGTTCATTGTCTTGTGTTCATCATAGTCTATGATGATGTTGGGTGGATCAACACCAAACCAAATGAACACCCCTAGAAGCTGAACTGATATTAAACTGGAAGTGATTGCCAGTTGTGATGTTGGGCTTATGAGTCTGGGAGCTGTTACTGATTTCTTGCCCTGCTCAAATATGCGATAAATCCGATTTGTTTTCGTCAAGAGGGCTGCATAACTGATGCACATACCCAAGCCCAAGAAAACTCGCCGGAAAGAACACACTGCCACATCTGGTTTGGCAATCATCAGGAAAGTGATGATGTAGCAAAGAAAGATGCCCGTCAAAAGAACATAGCTGAGTTCCCGCCCAGATGCCCGGACAATGGGCGTGTCATTGTAGCGGATGAAAGTGGCCATGACAAAGATGGTGGCAATGATCCCCAACATTGCCAGGAAGACAGGAATCACAGCCCAGGGGGAGTGCCACTCCAGTTTGATGATGGGAATATCCTGGCATCCGGTTCGATTTTCATTGGGCCTCTGGTCATAGGGGCAATGCTGGCATGTCATCTCATCAAACTGGTACTGGTAACCATCGCAAGGCTCACAGGTCCAACAGCAAGGAGTTCCTTTCTGTGTCTTCTTTCTCTGTCCTGGCTTACATGGTAGTGTGCACACTGAGGCGGGTATCTCTCGGACTCCTTTACCCCACTGCATGTCTTCTATCTGTAACATAAGAAATAAGAAGGTGAATCAGGCAGATTCTTCAAGAGAATAGAAAAAGAACACCAGCAGCAAACAGTACTCATGGCAAGTGACATATGAGGCATGAGGTTGAATAGTTTACCCTCAGCTTGCAAGAGTTACAAGTATGATTTGAGCCCATACCATAGGATTCCAGCATCCTCACTCTTCACCATTAGAGTGTTCTCAACGTGCCAGATCTTAAGAATTCCCTGAGGCAATACAAATTCCCTCTTCCCATTCCTGACATTCTAAATATGAATATCCTGAAAAAGAACCTTAGGGGCTGTATTTATAACAAGTGCCCAAAGGATTCTTGTGAGCAGATAACTTGAGAAAAACTGGCATGCACTCTACTGTCTTCCCCCCGGGTAATAAGTATAAATGTCCCAAATCAAGTAAAAAACAAAAACAAACAAAAAACTAGGACAGTATGAAAAGCTACACTTATCTCCTTTGTTAGGTGTTTTATTTTTTAAAAATGTTCTAAAATTATTTTGGATAATACTGCAGTGCTGGCCACCTTCTCTAAAATTCTCTAAGCATTACTGTCATTTTCACTGAGAACTTTTGCAGCAATGTGAATCTACTATCACAGGGGAGAAGTGGGGCTTACTAATGAAGGCTTTAATTGTATTAGACTATTTCCTATGAATTCAGGAAGTATTTGATAAGAAAATAATATGGTCTGGAAACCATTTGGCCATCCCCCATTTGCAGATGACATTTAGACTATCCTAGAGAAGAATGTATTTGCTTAATTGAAACATTGGTTTTCTGGAGGGGAACATACCCAGCAGTGTTCTGAGAAATAATGGCATTAGAAACAACGGGAAACTTTACTGTTGGGTGGAAATCTCCTTAGAGTAGGCATCTCTCCTCTTTGCCAGCACAGCATCTGCTCTTTCTTTTCTCTTCCCCGGTATCAGTTCCTCAGATTTCTTTTCTATATGCTTTCTGTGCGGTTGAACTTACACTGAAGCTCTTGGGTTGTGCACATGACCTAGGCCTAACCAATTAGTATATTGTAGTGGTTCTCAAAATTGAGAGTGCATCACCATCATATGGACTTGTTACAATAGAGTTTGCAAGATTTTCTGATTCATTGGATCTGAGGTGTGCCCTGAGAATATGCATTTTTAACACGATCCCAGGTGATGCTGCTGAGGATTGTTCAGGAACCATGTTAGTCAACTACTGATAACATTCCAACCTCCTAGCCACAGATATTGGGTCAGAGATGGCATCATTATGTCCCAGGTCATAGAATTTAATTTCTTGACTTTTTCTGAGGTCACATAGGATAAAAATATTTGTTTTCACTGGACTCAGAGTTTCCAGGATAAAAGATGGCTAGTGCTGATGGCTAAAAGGAGGAATTTATTAGAGAAAGAAGCCAACATAGAGGGAAGCTGAGTGGAAAGACAAAGATCACTGGTGAGCTTGTTTGAGCTCCTGGATATAGCTATCCCTGAAGCAAGAATTTTCCTAGACTATGACATTATGTAAGCCAGTAAATTTATCTATGTTAAAATACTTTGAAGTTTATTGTTAATACTTGCGACCAAGAGTCCTGAGCAATATATGCATGAAATAGTTTTAGTATCCACAAGTCACAAAAGATGTACTACGTCTGCAAGTTATTATACAGAATAATTCCAATTAACAATGATGGCTGATTTTCTCCATATGTAGTTAATTGAATTTTTAATACAATTGAACTAACCAATAGATTAGAAAGATACTGGAAAGTCTGAGACATGTTTTTAAGTGCATAATTTTAAGAGATAAAGGCAAAAGAAAAATAATATATTGCATATTGGAATTTCAGTGTTGTGTTAATATACTGAATGAAATGCATAGCAGAGAGTGATTCTTTCATCAACGCTTGAATGTGAACTACATTCAAATTCTGAATTGAATGTAGCTAACTTGGAAAAATAAATGGCTCAGGAGTTAAACTTGGTAAAATAGCATAACCTTTTAATGGTTGAATTTAAACTTTAACCAGAGATCCAAGCATCTTCAGATGACTCTTATTTGCCTAAGCAGAAAGCCCAAGTCAGCACTAATAAATCACTAACTATAAAGCACAATCTTCTCTTTCTCAGTATCATCATTTTTGAGACAATAAGTCACTGGAAGCCATCCCAGAGTCATAAAATTAGGGAAATAACTTATGACAAGAGAGAAAGATCGCATTAACTTTACAAATGTCAAATTTCAAGAGTTGGAACCTAAAAGAACTGCTGGTATTAATACAAGTGTTTTCAAACATCAGAATAAAAGGTCTTACTCATGGCTACCAGGAAAGATGAACAATAACAACAACAAAAATAAATACATTCGCTTGATTTCAACATTAGTGGCTACTCACGTGCCACATAATTAAACTTTATAGGAATAAATGTAGGGCTCATACAAATATATAAACAAATTATCATCATATGTAATACTTTACAGCCAGTTTAAAATGCTGCCAACTCATTATTTTTCCCCTTGGAATAAAATAAAATACCTGGCAATGCTGCCCAGCTTTTTTTTTCTTAACTTATCCAAATATATACAGGAGCTGTAACCACGAACATCACATTGACTGATCACTTAATTTGTTTTCAATTTTCGTTTAAAGCAGGTTTCAACTCAATTTATTTGTATTTGTTAAACCAACAAAGATTCCTCCTGCTCCAGATGGACAGAAGTCTAATTTACTCCTTTTGCTAACAAAAATCATTATTGAAAATATAATCTGTGTCCCATGAAGGTACTGATTAACATTTAAATGCTCTAGTAAATGAGAATTTTGTTAATGTGATGTATATCATTTGTATATATCTATACCCACCCACACAGATACGCTGCCTTGTTTCATAAGAAACAATCAGCTGAAAATGCCCATGGACATCTATTTTAAAGGAAGATAATTATTTAACGCTATGAAAAATCAAATCTAATGTCAATTTACTTTGCAAGAAGGCTAACAGGAATGTAAATTTCAAGTTTCTCCTGAACTCCGCAACAAAACTGTTTCAGTTAGCTGGAAAGCCAGATGTAAGGTGCAGAAAGATTAAGAAAAAGACTGATGTGTTTATCATCATCTTCATTAGAAGATGCAAGTTTACATTTCTCCATAAAGATGCATTTTCCTTCTGGACATCCAAGGTTTATGGTTTTGGGGTACCTGGTCTTAGTAGGTAGCTCCTGGGGAAGGGCTGAGATCCTAGCTTTTGGCAAGAGAACAGAACTTTACATCTCCATCTCATAGCAAAAACTGACACTCTACATGGCAAATAGACTGCATAGATAAATGGATCAGTAGTTTAGGGAAAGAGCAAATTATGCAGTTCTGGTCAAAGAAAGCAAAAATAAGCTTGTTGTAGAGTCCTAGGAAAGTGTTTTTCATTCTTATACAAGAGGAACAAAGAACGAATATGCCATTGTTAACTTAAAAAAAGAAACTCAGACAGACAGGCTGTCTGGAACAAAAGATTTCATTTGGGAAGAGCAAAGGGTTGTAACCCGGGGTGTACAGCACACCCAAGGAAAATTAAGACAAAGGAAAGACACCCACACAAATCGCTTTGAAAGAAAGCTCACTGGTCTCAGAAACTCACTGCAGGAGTTGCCATTAGTTCACTGGGGGAGATAGTCATTGGTAGGCAACTGTCCTGATCTGAGGTTCTTATCTGAAATACTGCAGGCCAGAGAAAATTCCTGTGAGAAGCTCTTCTTGCTGTTTGCAAGCTATGAGCAAGACATTCAAGGATGCAAGTACGTCAGCTTCTTTGTTCTGGCCCTCACTAACTCTATTTTGGTTAGCGTTTTGACACGTGACTCTATTTTGTACTTCTCACTTCCACACTGCCTTCAGCCTTTGAACTTTGATTTGTGCATACATGATGGTTAGAGCTATAGTAGCCATTTTTCAACAAGAAAAAGACAAGGCACCTGGGCACAGTGGCTCACGCCTGTAATCCCAGCACTTTGGGAGGCTGAGGCAGGTGGATCACGAGGTCAGGAATTCAAGACCAGCCTGGCCAACATAGTGAAACCCTGCCTCTACTAACACTACAAAAATTAGCCAGGCATGGGGGTGGGCACCTGTAATCCCAGCTAGTCAGGAGGCTGAGGCAGGAGAATTGCTTGAACCCGGGAGGCGGAGATTGCAGTGAGCCATTATTGTGCCTCTGCACTCCAGCCTGGGCAACACAGCAAAACTCCATCTCAAAAAAAAAAAAAAAAGCAAGCCTAAGACACAAAGCTCACAAGCTGAGGATGGCAAAAAAATAATAAAAATAAAATAAAAATAAAGAAGACAAAAAGACAGATTAAAAAGAATTTACATCTTTGAAGGCAAAATTATGTCACCAAATTAACTAACACTAATAAAACTCTACCCTGGAATTTTGAGCGTGAAATGATAAACTGTCTTTAATGGCTAACCAATTCTCCATGGCCATCTACTAATTGCAGTCACGCATTCTATCTAATACATTTTCTCTGCATTTGGTACATGCAAACCTTCTTAGTGTGTCAGAAAAATTCACCAATAATTCAAATTCTTACGTGGATAGTAGGCAACTCTAGAAAGAAATGGAAGTTTTTCTATTTGTCTCCTGAGAATGCTCAGAAAAAGGTGTGGTAAAGTACTGAATTCAGAAAATCAGCTTTGACTCCATTGCTTCTGACTCAGACAGAAACAGAGAAAAAGCACCACCAGCTAAAGTTTTCTAGCACACATGTTGGGGGAAAAAATGGTGTCTGGCTCTAGTAGAGAGACAAAGCTACTCCGCAAGGAATGTGCAGACCTTATAATCACTGGAATTTTAAAATAAAACTAAATTAGTTGCTGTCTTACTGCCAAACACAAAAACCAAAGAGATAGAATTGTTATAAACACTGTTCAGTGCATCCATTTTTATGGAGAAGAGATCTGTTCCTTTCCCCACGCAGACACACTCTATCTAAAAGAAAATTTTATCACTTCAGGGATATTTTTCTTGGTGAAATTCCATTTGCATATTTCCAAAGCTTACTCCATAGACCAAGCTGGCTGGTGCTTTTATTGCATAATTCTCTGCAATATTATTTTTACTTGTTAGAACCTTAATAGAATCAGCTAATTTAAAAAAAAGAACTTTTTTTATTAAAATGCCATTTGTTCATTAAAATACATTTGTCCTATCTAATTGATAGAAAAAAAAGGCTTTTTAGGAAGAATTCATAGGTATGTTGAATTTTCAATACTAGGAAAGCGCCAGGTTTTGGTTCTGATGAGGAGGGGTGAGGTAGAGGAGCTAGCGAGTGCTTGGTAAGGAATTCTGCAACACCTCAAGACATTTTTAAACTCAGCCTCTATTTCTGAACATTAAGTAGCATGACTAGACAGCGAACAGAATTTAGGGACTATATTACAATAAAAAACATTGCCAATTCAGATTCCACTTATTCAAAACTTATAAAAGTCAACCTTTTTTAAATGTACTCCACATAGAAAGAATTATTATAGGTAGAAAGATTATTTATATATATATATATATATATATATATATATATATATATATATATATATATATATATTTGAGATAGAGTCTCACTCTGTCGCCCAGGCTGGGGTGCAGTGGCACAATCTCGGCTCACTGCAAGCTCCGCCTTCCAGGTTCACACCATTCTCCTGCCTCAGCCTCCTGAGTAGCTAGGACTACAGGCACCCGCCCCCATGCCTGGCTAATTTTTTTGTATTTTTTTTGTAGAGATGGGGTTTCACGGTGTTAGCCAGGATAATCTCGATCTCCTGACCTTGTGATCCGCCCGCTTCAGCCTCCCAAAGCGCTGGGATTACAGGCGTGAGCCACTGTGCCCAGCCAGCATTATTAGAATTTTTTTAACTGCAGTAGACCCTGGGCATCCATAGAAGGATCCAGAACTGTATTTCACTGCAAAGCCCCAGGGGATCCTAGATGGATGAGACTTCCCTAAGGTTTCTGAGGCTCAACTTTGAATTGAAGCAGTAATTCCTAATTTGTTTGCACATTTGAATTACTTGGGGATCTTCTAAAAATTCCAGAGCCTGTACCACACCCCAGATAAATTAAATCACAATCTCTGAGGGGCAAGAAATAGGCATTAGTGTGTTTCAAAGTTTCTCAGGTGATTTCAGTATGTGGACAAAGTTGGGAACCACTGAACTAAGATCTCCAAAAGGCTGGAATGCAGAAGAAAATCTTTGTGCTGTTAAGTGAAATAATGACTACAAAACCACTTCTCTGGTGATATGGTCTGATTGTCTCTCCACCCAAATCTCATCATGAATTGTAACTCCCACAATTCCCATGTGTCATGGGAGGAACGTGATGGGAGGTGATTGAATTATGGGGGGTGGGCTTTCCTGCACTGTTCTCATGATAGTGAATGAGTCTCATGAGATCTGATGGTTTTAAAAATGGGAGTTTCCCTGCACAAGCTCTCTCTTTGCCTGCTGCCATCCATGTAAGACATGACTTACTCCTCTTTGCATTTCACAGTCTGCCATGATTGTGAGGCCTCCCCAGTCATGTGGAACTGTGAGTCCAATAAATCTCTTTCTTTTATAAATTGCCAAGTCTCGGGTATGTCTCTATCAGTAGCATGAAAACAAACTAATACAGTAAACTGGTACCAGTAGAGAGGGGCACTGCTGAAAAGATACCTGAAAATGTGGAAGTGACTTCAGAACTGGGTAATAGGCAGAGGTTGGAACAGTTTGGAGGGCTCAGAAGAAGACAGGAAAATGTGGGAAAGTTTGGAACTCTCTAAAGACTTGTTGAATGGCTTTGATCAAAATGCTGATAATGATATGGACAATGAAATCCAGGCTAAGGAGGTGTCAGATGGAGATGAGGAACTTGTTGGGAACTGGAGCAAGGGTGATTCTTATGGTTTAGCAAAGAGACTTGGTGGCATTTTTCCGCTGCCCTAGAGATTTGTGGAACTTTGAACTTGAGAGAGATGATTTAGGGTATCTGGCAGAAGAAATTTCTAAGCAGCAAAGCATTTAAGAGGTGACTTGGGTGCTGTTAAAGGCATTCAGTTTTATAAGGAAAGCAGAGCACAGAAGCATGGAAAATCTGCAGCCTGGCAATGCAATAAAAAAGAAAATCCCATTTTCTGAGGAAAATTCCAAGCCAGCTGAAGAAATTTTCATAAGTAATGAGGAGCCAAATGTTAGTCCCTGAGACAATGGGGAAAATGTCTCCAGGGCATGTCAGAGGTCTTCTTGGCAGACCATCCCATCACAGGACTGGAGGCCTAGGTGGAAAAAGTGGTTTCATGGACCAGGGACAGGATCCCTGTGCTGTGTGAAGCATAGGAAATTGGTGCACTGCGGTCCCAGCTTTTCCAGCCATGACTAAAAAGGACCAAGGTACAGTTCAGGCCATGGCTTCAGAGGGTACAAGCCCCAAGCCTTGGGAGCTTCCATGGAGTATTGAGCCTGTGCATGCACAGAAGTCAATAACTGAGGTTTGGGAACCTCTGCCTGGATTTCAGAGGATGTATGGAAACTCCTGGATGTCCAGACAGAAGTTTGCTGCAGGGCAGGGCTCTCATGGAGAACATCTGCTAGAGCAGTGCGGAAGGGAAATGTGGGGTGAGAGCCCCCAAACAGAGTCCCTACTGAGGCACCACCTAGTGGGGCTGTGAGAAAAGGGCCACCATCCTTCAGACCCCAGAATGGTAGATCCACTGACAACTTGTATCGTGTGTGTGGAAAAGCCACAGACCCTCAATGCCAGCCCATGAAAGCAGCCAGAAGGAAGGCTGTGCCCTGCAAAGCCACAGGGGTGGAGCTGCCTAAGGCCATGGGAACCCACCTTTTGCATCAGCATGACCTGGATGTGAGACATGGAGTAAAAGGAGCTCATTTTGGAGCTTAAGATTTGACTGCCCTGCTGGATTTTGGACTTGCATGAGGCCCTCGTTTTGGCCAATTTCTCCCATGTGGAATGGCTGTATTTACCCAATGCCTGTACCCCCATTGTATCTACGAAGTAACTAACTTTTTTATTTTATTTTACAGGCTCATAAGCAGAAGGGACTTGTCTTGTCTCAGATGAGACGCTGGACTGTGGACTTTTGAGTTAATGCTGAAATGATTTAAGAACTTGGGGGACTGTTGGGAAGGCTTGATTGGTTTTGGAATGTGAGGACATGAGATTTGGGAGGGGCCAGGGGTGGAATGATATGGTTTGGCTGTATCCCCACCCAAATCTCATTTTGAATTGTAAACCCCACAATTTCCATGTGTTGTGGGAGAAACTTGGTGGGAGGTGATTGAATTATGGGGGCGGTTCTTTCCTGCGCTGTTCTTGTGATAGTGAATGAGTCTCATGAGATCTGATGGTTTTAAAAATGGAACTTCCCCTGCACAAGCTCTCTCTTTGCCTGCCACCACTGTGGCCGGAATTGGTGGGTTCTTGGTCTCACTGACTTCAAGAATGAAGCCACGGACCCTCGCGGTGAGTGTTGCAGTTCTTAAAGGCGGCGTGTCCGGAGTTTGTTCCTTCTGATATTTGGATGTGTTCAGAGTTTCTTCCTTCTGGTGGGGTTTGTGGTCTCACGGGCTCAGGAGTGAAGCTGCGGACCTTCGCGGTGAGTGTTACAGCTCTTAAGGTGGTGTGTCTGGAGTTGTTCCTTCCTCTGGTGGGTTCATGGTCTCGCTGGCTTCAGGAGTGAAGCTGTAGACCTTCATGGTGAGTGTTACAGCTCATAAAGGCAGTGTGGACCCAAAGGGTGAGGAGCAGCAAGATTTATTGCAAAGAGCGAAAGAACAAAGCTTCCACGGCGTGGAAGGGGACCTCAGCAGGTTGCCACTGCTGGCTGGGGCAGCCTGCTTTTATTCTTATCTGGCCCCACCCACATTCTGCTGACTGGTCCATTTTACAGAGAGCCCAGTGGTCTGTTTTGACAGGGTGCTGATTGGTGTGTTTACATTCCCTGAGCTAGACACAAAGGTTCTCCATGTCCCCACTAGATTAGCTAGATACAGAGTGTGGACACAAAGGTTCTCCAAGTCCCCACCAGCGGAGCTAGATACAGAGTGTCCATTGGTGCATTCACAAACCCTGAGCTAGACATAGGGTACTGATTGGTGTGTTTACAATCCCCTAGCTAGACATAAAGGTTCTCCAAGTCCCCACCAGAGTAGTTAGATACAGAGTGTAGATTGGTGCATTCACAAACCCTGAGCTAGACACAGGGTACTGATTGGTGTGTTTCTAAACCTTGAGCTAGATACAGAGTGCTGATAGGTGTATTTACAATCCCTTAGCTAGACATAAAGGTTCTCCAAGTAAGTCCCCACCAGGGTCAGGAGCCCAGCTGGCTTCATCCAGTGGATCCCACACAGGGGCGCAGGTGGAGCTGCCTGCCAGTTCCCCAATGTGCGCCCGCACTCCTCAGCCCTTGGGTGGTCGATGGGACAGGGCACCGGTGGAGCAGGGGGCGGCGCTCGTCCGGGAGGCTGGGGCCGCACAGGAGCCCATGGAGGGGGGGCGCTCAGGCATGGCGGGCTGCAGGTCCCGAGCCCTCCCCACGGGGAGGCAGCTAAGGCCCGGCAAGAAATCAAGCGCAGCGCCAGTGGGCCGGTACTGTTGGGGGACCCAGTACACCCTCCGCAACCGCTGGCCCGGGTGCTAAGCCCCTCATTGCCCAGGGCCGGCAGGGCCGGCCCGCTGCTCTGAGTGCTGGGCCGCCGAGCCCACACCCACCAAAACTCCAGCTGGCCCGCAAGCGCCGGGGGCAGCCCCGGTTCCCGCTTGCGCCTCTCCCTCCACACCTCCCTGCAAGCTAAGGGAGCCGGCTCCGGCCTTGGCCAGCCCAGAAAAGGGCTCCCACAGTGCAGCGGCAGGCTGAAGGGCTCCTCAAGTGTGGCCAGAGTGGGCGCCAAGGCCGAGGAGGCGCCGAGAGCGAGTGAGGGCTGTCAGCACGCTGTCACCTCTCACCACCTTTGTAAGACGTCACTTGCTCTTCCTTGCCTTTCACCTTTTGCCATGATTGTGAAGCCTCCTCAGCCACGTGGAAGTGTAAATCCAATAAAGCTCTTTCTTCTGTAAATTGCCCAGTGCAGGTATGTCTTTATCAGCAGTGTGAAAACAGTCTAATACATCTTGTCTTTAATTCTTGATATTGTGATGCACTATTGAGAGTACACAAGGACCCTTCTGGGGCCTGCCAGGCTCCCCAGTTCCCAAGCATGGAAATAAAGAAAAGTTCTGAGCCCCATCAAGGGAAGTTCCAGGCACCTTAGCTAGCCCTGCCACCAGCAATTAAGGAAGTGAATGAATAACTTACTAAGCAAGAAGATAACAATAATCACCCAAGTAAGTCAGGGTCATGAGATGTTTGGTTCCCTATATAAACTAAAGGTAACATATTGACATACGTTCCTGAGTTGTTTTCATAAACTGGGACACCCTGCTAGATGAAAAATGCTGACTGCTGTCATGCAGACCTCACACAAACTGGAACTGGAAAATGAATGCGGAAGTTCCAAGAATGCCCCCTCCCTCAACTCATTTTGAAAACCCTCTCACCCCTGCCCTTAAAAACCCTTGCATATAAGTCATCCTGGAGTTGTGTCTTTTTTTTTTTTTTTTTTTTTTTTTTTTTTTTTTTTTTGAGATGGAGTCTCACTCTGTCACCCAGGCTGGAGTGCTGTGGCATGATCTGGGCTCACTGCAACCTCTGCCTCCCGGGTTCAAGCAATTCTCATGCCTCAGCCTTCCCCAGTAGCTGGGATTACAGGCATGCTCCATCATGCCCAGCTAATTTTTGTATTTTTAGGAGAGATGGGTTTCACCATGTTGGCCAGGCTGGTCTCAAACTCCTGGCCTCATGCAATCCACCCACCTTGGCCTCTCAAAGTGCTAGGATTACAGGCATGAGCTCCTGCCCCTGGCCAAGTTTGGGTCTTAAAACATTTGCTGAAACTTCTCCTCACTTGGTGCCCAGCAATACACATCTTACTTTCTATGCAAATCACAATGTCATTGTTTGGCTTTGCTGCACTGGGTGGAAAGCCCCAAGTTTGGTTCAGTAACACTGCCTCTTTTTAAAAGTCTGAATGGGGCACCTAAAATGCTTAGTTATACTCTATTATGATTTAATGGGAACATACAATATTGTAGTGGAATTACAACTTTTCACAGTCAGGAGGGTCTCTAGGCTTAAGTTTCATAATGTTATTGGTTAAACAACTTAAAATGCCTACAGAAGCTGGACATATAGAGTAAACAAATGAAGTGAGTGGGTGTAAGAAACATTTTTCCCCACCCCAAACAACCAAGTCTAATGGAACACAAGTTTGTTAAATTATACATCAAGAACGGATTTCATTGTAGTTCTCCCTAAATGACCTGTATTTACTATTTTAATGCTTGCATTATCCTCAAAAACAAAAAATTATGAGGGAGGTTCTTATCTTAAATTTGCAGAATTCAAAACTCCCAGAGAAATTGAATAGTTGGCCACAAAAGTAAATCTAGGTCTGTCTTTGCGAAACCTTTCTATACCCCTAAGTAAAACAGACCCATTTTACTTGATTTCAGAACCATTTTTTTTTTCCCCCTGGAAGAATCGGGACAGCCTTACGGGAAATCTTCAGAATTTTTTTTTTTAACAACCTCTATGCCTTTTTAAAAAATACCATATATTCTTAGATTGCCAAACAATATCCATCTACTGATACCAGTTAGCTATCTTTTTTTTTATTCAGTGTCACAAATTATCCATTTCTGAAATAGTTCTGCCAGTAGAAAAGCCATCTCCTTGTAAACAATTTATTTGCTAACTGCAAATGACCTCCTATTTCTTCTCACTCTGTGATAGTTTCCTAAAAGATGTTTAACAATCAAAGATAGATATTTTTATTCCAATTATCAAATACATTTGAAAATACTTTTTTAAAAGCCTGAATTTAAGAATAATATTATAATGTAAACATAATTCATATGAATCTCTCAATGAGAAAGAATGAGTTGGGTTATTTTAAATTTATTTCAAATTAAATTTGTTCAAAACTGGACTCATATTCTGTACCAGGGGCTGACAAGCTGGCCTATGGGTCAAAACCTGTCCGTTGCCTATTCTGAAAATAAAGTTTTATTGAAACACATCCACATTCATTGATGTACATATTATTTATGGCTGCTTTTATGCTAAAACAATGGTAGAAATGAGTAGTTGGCAATGCATAGCCAGAAAAGCCTAAAGTATTTACTCTCTGATCTTTTACAAAAAAAAAAAAAAAAAAAAAAAAAAAAACAGCTGATTCAGAGCCAAAGAAAACAGAAATACAAATCCTTAGTGCATGGTGGATTTATCTATTCATAAGCCAGAAGTTAGGTGTCATCTTTGATATCTCCCTTTCCCTTAACCAAACATATTTAAATTACCAACAACTTATGTCAGTTTATGTCATGCAGGAAATTATTTATATCATCCAAAAAGCTATATGTGCAGTACTTACTGAGTTCTGGACCTGGCTGACTTGCCAGGAGCAAAACAGATAAAGGTTACTTCCTTAGAGAGTTGAATCATCCTTTCTGATCTTTGCTACCAAACCCTCTTCAGCAAATCTTTCTGTCCAGTTTCCTCACCTCCCTTTCCTGCTGGTCTTCTCCTAAGCCAATTATTGCACAACATCCAGCACAATCCTTTTAATGTGCAGGTCTAATCATGTCATCCTTTCGGTTAATATCATCAATGACTTTTCATTGCTCTCATACCTCCCATATAACTGTGCACAATTTGGCAGAGATATCCGTCAGCTGGCTTCACTCTCCTGGATTTATCTGAATTCTATGAAGTTTCCTGGCCCACAGTGGCTTTCATGTCACAATATGAAATAACCTTTAGGCTTACCTAAGTTTTGTTCAGGAAGTCCCTATACCCACTGGAATGAGCATTGTTTTATTCATAAAGATACCTCTTCACAGCACTTTGTAATTACGATTTGTAATTATGCAAAAATGAGACTCGATTAAAGTCTATTTATTTTCCCAACTAATATGTGTATGCTTCATGAGAGCACAGCCTCCATCCTCTTTGTCCACTATTGTAATTCAATATCTGGGAAGAAATGCAATTGAATTGCTGGATTAAATGGATAAATGATGGTGTCAAGGAAAGAACAGACTGACCTCTCCTTTAGAAGTGATTTTTCTATACTCAAAATTTGAGTTAAAGTGTAATTAGAAATGATGAAAGGATCCATAATTACTTTTGTGAGTCTCATCAGTTTTCTGGTCATTTAATGCATATCTATGTATATAATGAATGTTTGCAGCTTAAATGTCCTTGATATTTTCTTAAAGGAAGAAAGGGAATTAAATATGGAGCACTCAGTTACTAGGTGGAGGACAAATGAACACAATTAGCACATTATGAGACGGGAGAAAAACAAGTCATGTGCAATCTGCAGCCAAGGACAGAACATGATTTCAGTAGTCCCTGACTTCTCTGAACACTCTCCTTCAGTAAGCTTAGGTACAGCTCAAAATAGAAAGAGTATGAGTTAGGAAGTCAGGCTGTCCTGGGTTCAAAGCCTGGCTTCATCGCCTCTAGTAAGTATGGCCATAAGCAAGTAGAGGATATGGAATCTCAGTTCCCTTAGTTTATTAGGTAGGAAGACTAAATAAGATGACACGTGTAAGGAATAGCATGATGCCTGAGACATGGCAGTTACCTAAATAACGATTAATTTAAAAATATATATATATTATGGCTCCAACGGTCAATACATTTCATGCAAAGAACTTTAAGATGAATATTCCCAGTCCTCCTCTCCCTCGAGCTTCAACTTTTCCAGCTGAACATTGCCAGTATTTAATGTCATAGTGGCTTTTCAGACCCTGCAGATGTAAAGTGAACACATCAACTTCCTTTCCTTTTTCTAGATCTCTCCACACACAGTTCAGCCTGTTTTGATGGACTAGATAATAACATGAGCATTGGAATCAGATGATCACGGGTTCAAATCCTAGCAGGGTGATCTTGGCCAAGTCATTTAAGCTCTTGAAACCTCATTTTTTTCATCTGTGAAATGGAGACAGTAATAATTACCTCCTACACTTACTGAAAAAGGGCATGTATGGAAGCATGTTGTCTGACACATGGTAAAACTTGATGAGTTCTGTCTATTACAATTATTAGTGACAATACAGTCATCTTTAACTCTTTACCTTGCTCCCATTGGAGAGTAACAATTGTGAAAGTTCGTTCCTGTTTTCTCCCATAAACCCTTTTCTTCTTTGTCCCCAGTGATGACCATCTATTAAAGTCATCCGTGTTGGGTCCACTTAATTGCTCTCTCTGATTTTGGGTCTTCCCTTCCTTATTTCTTATTCCTTTACTCTGCTTTCTCTTCATAATAATGGCTGGCTTAAATTAAACATATGGATGTTGACTTCTGTGTCCATCTCCCTCCACCTGAATGTAAGCCCAGGAGGTCAGAGACCACATCAGTGGTGTTTCCTAATGTTCATCTCTACCTAAAAACAGCAGCTCACAATGACTGTTTGTCTGAAGTTGACAGAGTACCTTCTTGGAAGGCAAGTGTGAGTTTACTGCATCCTGGATTAAAAACTGAAATGTCTCCATTGCCCACGTGAGACAGTGCAGACTTTTCATTTGATTGTTCATGTCATTCCAAAGCAGACCCCCGAACCTCCACTCCAGTTTCATTGGCCTCTTCTAACAAAGGGCAGTGATTGGGCTTCCCTTTAATACCAGAGTCCCTATTTATATTATTTTATTTACACTTAACCTTTCGGCTGTCATTTTTCCCCCTAATTCTTCCGCCATTATCTTAAATGTCCCAAATCTTTCCTGATGCCTTCAAGCTGAAATGGTCTTTCTCTTGTTTGAAATCTCTTAGCATTTCATCTTTGCCATCTTTCTCTTCCCTGTACTTACACTTTGAAAAGTAGGGCCATTATCTATTTTGTTTAATCTCCTACAGAGCTGAAAAGTAATATGGAACCTGGGGCAGATTCTATCCTAAGAAAGAACTTTTAGGATTAGGATATAAAAGGATAAATCCTTAGAGGAAAAAAATGTCCTCTTTTATGCCTTTGAACACTTGTCATTCTTCTTTTGCGCTTGAGCCTTCTGTATCTGACTAGCTTTAAATATAACAAACTGTACAAAAAAGAACAATAGAAATCCTTAAATCACTGAAACTAAATCTTCTTTTCTAACCAGCTCAGCCATTCATCTTAGATTTTCACACTCAAGACAACTTGCAAATTGCTTTTCACCCACTCACCTGGGGTGAGTCATGCTCTCTGCCAGGTAAATGGAGAAGAATGGCTTACTAAGACAAGAAAGGCTTTTGATTATTTTTTCTGTTATTCCCCTACTTTCTATTTTTATAAGTTTTGAATCTCTTGTTTCCCTTTTCTGAACTAAAGGATAGAAACTGTTTTTATACAGGTTATTTAGGATAGTTATCTCACATTTCATTATAATGAAAACTAGCCCTGCAACATAATCTTTTGAGAAAAAGAAACCACTCTATCCAATACAGACACATCAGGGGAGGCAGGATGCGTATTAGTGTACTGAAGACTTTGAGATGTTTTGCTCTTAAGGAAAAATGAGGCCTCCTTGATTTAATCTAGTGCTTTCTAATCCATTTGAGTATAGAACAAACCATTCTTTTTTTTCCTGTAATATCTATCTCTCAACATTCTGTGGAATCTGTATTCTTTCAATAACACTGTAGAAAACAGTGATGTTGCTTAACTAATACTTTGGTTGGGATTCTAGCATCAACTTTCAGGCTTTCTTTGTTCTTGGGCTAGAAGAACTCGTAGGGTCATTGCAAAACTTATAGAACATGAACTGGGTTGCAAACGCTCTCAATTCTGGCTAGATCATCTTGATCGACTCACTTAACTTCTGTGAGGTCAATTAATGGAGTTACAGAAAAACCAAATATGACTCTATATTTGAGAGTATTTTAGAGGGGTAATAGTCAATTAAAACTAGTATTTTTTTTTTCTTTTTAAAAAAATATAAGGGGGAAAGTGAACTATTACTTCACTTGGGTTTTAGCTTTTTTTCCTGGCACATCGTGTCCATGCCTTTGTTCATGCACCTCCTGCTGACTGGCATACTGTTTCTCCAGCTCAAGTTAGCAAGACTGAGCCAAATACTTCCTCCTGGTGAATAGCTGGCAAGAAAAACTAAAAAGTCAACCTCTGTCTTACAGGGCAATGGGTTAATGCTTCCTACAAAAAGCCTAAATCAAAAGCGTTGTATTCAAGCATGTGCTATCCAATGATGAATTGGAGAATCAGTTCTTTAACAGATAACCTGAGGAAACAACTCAAGCAGTTGGAGTTTCAAACTCAGTTGCGAGTTCAGGGGATGTGGCAGTGACATATTTGGGTAAGAGGCTTTCTGGTATCTTTCATGTCACTTCGATGTAAGTCACCACCCACTGCCACTGAATTCTGTCCCATGCCTTGTGGAGTTTGGCAGAAGGCTGTTGAAGTGTATGTTCATTGATACTGATGTCTATTTTACATGAATATATTTAAAAATTCAATTAGACTATTTAACAACAGAATCTACTATCTCACAAACTTATAAGTCCACAAAGCTAAGAGAGAAGTGGCTTCTAAACCAAACATGCATATCTGCTTATTTTTTTGCATTGAGAAGTTAGGTCAACTTCAGAGAATTAGACAAATAGAGTGCTTATCTGATTCACATTATCTTCCAAGACTGCTGGAGGACTAAAGGGATATGAAAAGTAGCTTTTTCCTCAAACAAAAATATGCTTACACTACTAAGGGTACTACGATGTCCTGGAAGGACTTTCCATGCCAACATTCTGTAGCAGGCACAAATGGTCTCTATCCCATCCTTCTAACATCATCTTGTAATTCTCCTATCTCATAATCAAAGGCCATTCACTGAGCAGCTTCTGTGTTCCATGCACTGTATTAAACAATAAAAATACAGACATGAGAAACACCTATTTTCTTTCCCTCAATAGGATCTCAGCATCACAGTATAAATTTGTGTATAAATCACACTAAATTCAATGTAATTTAAGATGTAAGTGTGACCCAGTTGGTCCTTAAGCATCCTTTTCTAGAATATTGGAGCAGAGACTCTGAGGATGAATATGAGTGCTTTAATGAAACAAGATGGCAAAAACGCATTCAGAAACAGTGAATAGCTTGAGAAAACGCAAGAAAGCATGAATGCACTAGATTCACAGATGGTGATGAGGATGAAGGTCTGTAAGTAGTTTCAGTTGAACTGCAATATAAAGTGCAAGCAAGGGAGGAAGAAAAAATGTTGGAGACTAAGACACAGGCAGGCAACAGATTATGGAAAAACAATTTGCTCATTATTCATTCAAGGGCTATCTGCCATCTATGCAGTATGTGCCACATGATATCCATTAGGATAAAATTGTTGAACGAATTGGATAGGACTTCCTGAGCTTAGAGTAGAAGAAACGGCCAAGGCAAAAATAATATAACAAATTAATAAAATGTATTATAATAAGTGTTAAACAGGAAATAAATAATGTGCTGATAGAATTACATGAAGGCAACCATTCCAATAGAAGATGAGAGAAGTAGCAAAGGTGATTCTTAAGCTGTGATCTGAAAGGTGAAAACATGAGCATGGGAAGTAACACGGCATGTATGCAAAGATCCTGAAGCAGGAAAAGCTCCAGGTATTAGAACAGTGCTTCTCAAACTTGAATGCACCAACAAATCTAGTGTGAACCTTGTTACAATGCAGATTTGAATTCAGTTGGCCTGGAGTGGGCTTGAGACTCTGAATTTTTATCAAGCTCCCAGGTAATGTTGTTGGTCTGGGGAACAAACTTTAATAGCAGAGTGTTAGAGAAACAAAAATCAGAGAATGCATCCAGAACTCAGTGGTAAAGATAAAACACTCTGCGTGAGAGTGGAGAGAAAGAAAGGTGAGCTGAGAACTATCACACATGCCTTTGGGAAAGATATGATTATCAACAGACTTGCAATTCATTTTCCTCCACAGGGGCCGGGAGTGAGGAGGATATGGGAGCATCCTCCAGAAAAGCAGAAGAAAGGTAGCTTGATTGCATTTCCTTTTTTGTATGTAGACAGATACATTACTTACAGATCTAATTTATTATTCCAGGTTAGACCAAAAAGGAAGTAAAGACCTAGGTGTCATATGGTACTTCTATGCCTCTCCCTACTTTGCCTGTGTCTCACAATTATCTGAAACTCTGTAATTAAGGGTAAAGCCTGATAGTAGGGATTATGGATTCAGTTGTGTCCTCCTACCGCAAAGTCATAAGGTTAAATCCCTAACCCCCAATATGACTGTATTTGGAAATGTCGCCTTTAAGGAGCTGAGTAAGTTTAAATGAGGTTCATACAGGTGGGGCCCTAATCCAATAGAACTGGTGTCCACAAAAGAAGGTGAGGAGATAGGAAAGGCCATGTGGGGACAACATGAGAAGGAGGCCATCTGCAAGCCCAGAGGAGAGCCCTCACCAAATACCAATACTGATGGCACTTTGATGTTGGACATCTAACCTTCAGAACTGGGAGAAAATAAATTTCTGGGTTTAAGTCACCCAGTCGGAGGTATTCTGTTATGGCAGCCCTAGCTGATCAGTGTACTAGGTAAGACCACTGATTTGTATAAATCAGATTTGACAATCAAACTCTTTGTGTTCATTCGCCTTCGCAGAGTTGAGAAATAATACTGTAGAGTGATTGATGGCTTAAAGCAATGCTCTTTTGGCCAGGATATATATTAGAAACATGTTGGGAGACTTTGAAACACATCCATACCAAGATTCTCTCAGAAGGGTTATCATTTTATTGGTCAGTGATGGTGCCCGGGCATTGGTATGTTTCCAACCTTCCTATGTGGTTTTTATGTGCACCCAGGGCTGAGAAACAGTGGGGGAAATTATGCTTTGAAAGATACTTCTGGCCACCCTAGAGGCAGCAATAGTAGATAATGTGCTTGTAAATAAATATAGGGTACACACCTTGGCATCTGTGCTTCTCCAGACCTGACAGGTGATAAATAAGAAGCAAAGTTTCTCCTCCCTTCAGTCCTCAACATGCACACATTTCTAGAGCATCTGACTTTATCTTGGATGGGAAGCCAAGCAGCTGTCTTGGGCCACATATCTTGTTGATGCCCTCAGTGCAAGGCCCCTTGGTAATTACTCATTTCAATGAAAAAAAAAAAAAAAAGCGACTGTTAATATATGTGTGTTGTTGAAATGCACTCTCCAATCTTTCTTGCCAACCTGCATATTTCTGTAATAAGCCATTTATTCAGAGCTCAATAATTTTCTGATGTTTGATTAAACAAAATCAACACCAAAATAATTCTATTAGGGTTAATTGACATCTTCTCACAGGAAAATTAGCCACTTTGCTGGTTATGCTTTTAATAACAAGCTTCCCAGATTTCAATGGCCATATTTGAACACAATTCTTGAGAACTGCTTTGAAGATTGAATATAACCTTACAGATTGCTTTTAACAAAACAGTTACCATGTCAACAGTTCAAACAATTATTTAGCCTTATGGATAGCACTACAATATTCACAAGACTTAGCAGCTAGGATTTAACTATTAAGGCCTTATAATTAGTTTCTTAATCTAGAGCTTGAAAATGATAAGAGTTTAATGCCTAGACTATGTCAATAACTTTTAGGCAATATTATTTACTAAAATATGTGGACCCCTAATTGTCTTATTAAATATATTGGGATAAAAATGAAATTGGCATGGGCCTAGGTCAAATAAACTTTCTGAGCATAATAATGAACCATTATTATTTATTATTTTGTTCCCTTCCCTCACACTGGGATAAATTTGCTACACTTGCAGAATTCTCCTACAGCCTAGAAGCACTACATCAAATCTACAGGCCCGTCTTTTCTTTTCCTTTTTGAATACTAGGTTAGTGTTTTACTTGGAAAACTTCTTCAGAACTAAAAACTTAGCCATAGCATTTTATTTCACCGTAGTATATCAAAAAAGGATTTGCTTTTCAATAATAATTATTGAACATCCACTCTATGCCAGGTATTAAATATATACTATCTCTAATCCTCATTAAAAACTACATAAGGTAAGAATTATTCCCCTGAACTTGGAATGAGCAAACCCAGGCTCAAGCATTAAATGTAAATTTAAAAGATGCATCCAAGTCATACATCTTATAAGATTTCAAGAGATACATTGTCATATATCATGGAAAATTAGCTTCCTTTACATCCTTGCAAACAAGTTATCCAAAAGCAAATGCTTTTACCAGTTTTCTATACATGTTTTAATGCATTTATGACAACATCTTCACTAATTGCATTGCTTATGTTAATTTTAATGTCACTCCCTCCACTCTCTCTTGAGGAGAGACAGGAGGAAATAAAAGAGCTCCAAGGCATTTGAAACATCAGTGATTTAATATTGATCCTGCTTATTTCTGAGGGTCACTCCCCAAGTTGCTCAACTCAAAAGTTCTGTGGGGTGATCCTGCCTTATTTGGAAAGGCTGTCTTAAGAGAACAAGGAGGGGATTTACATTTTCGTGCCTCCATTCAGAATTTATTTTTAATAATTTTAGTTATAAATTAAGATTGTTAATGAGTTTAAGTTTTTTACAATTGCCAGGTAGGTTTTTGTTTTATACAAGCCTGTAATGAAATACATATCTTCCTTATCATCAATTGTATGTTCTTAAGCCAGTCACTACATCTTTATAATCATTTTTTGATGTGATCCATGAGGACAGTGTCTGACTTGGAAGTTGATCAGAAGGATAAACCCTGAAAATCTAAAAGCACTCAAAACATGGAGGATGATAAATACATGGCAACTTATTTTTCTTTTCTTCCTCGCTCAATACATGTTTTTCACTTGACAAATACTTTCTAATTTGAAATTAACATTAATTTCAAAATATATTCAAACTGCAAAACTACATCATGATGTTTCTTCCCAGATATGTCAATATCTCCATGTGCCATTTAGAAAATCAGAATTTTAGAGTCTATTTTAACATTTCCTCTTGTCATCTTCCATGTCTAACTCATGACCAAGTCTTACTGATTTTATCCTCTAAGCACCTAGCATAGCCACCTACATTTCTCCTTTTGCACCATTACCTCCCACAGATTGAGCCCAGTGGATTCCTAAGGCAGGCCCAGAGTCTTGGAAGACCCTCCATTCTGATCCACACACATCCACTAGATTTCATCCTCCAGACACAGCAGTCTTTCCAGAAGGCAGATCTAATCATCTAATCTAGTCATAGTAACCCTACTCTTCACTGTTTAAAATTCATCAGATGGGTTTTCATTGCTCATAAGTTAAAAACCCTAATTCTTGGCATGGCCTAAAGACCTGCTTTTTATGCCTCATGCCACATGCTGCAATCCTATGAGCATTCTCCAGAGGTTTACCATAGCTGAGCTTTACAGCCATATTCTGCTCTCTCTCATGGATGGCTTTTCTTTCTTTTGCCCAAGTTAGCTCCTCCTCCATCCTCCAGCCTTCAATGCCTCAGTCACTTCTTCAAGGATACCATTCCTAATCTCTGATTTAGGTGAAACTCCCTTAAAATGGAGTCTCATTGTCAATGATTGTCAATGATGTCAATGATGCAGTTTCATACTGTACATGAGAGAACATTAGATTATCATCTATTCTCCTTGCTAAGTGCCACGTTCAGTGAGGGCAGGGACAATGCTTTGGTTCACCAGTTGAGTCCTCATCAGTTAGTACAATGCCTGGCACCAAACAGACAACTAATAAGTATCAGTCAAATAAATACCAAAATAATGGCTATTTACAACAGAGGGTAGTAATGACCCCTCATAGCAGGTAGCATAGTTTACTATGTGCCATGCAATTTTTTGGGCACTGCAAAAATGCAGTCTCACAATGAGTCTTTGCACTAAAGAGATGTAATAATATCTCTTAAGCCCCATTTTACAGAGGTGAAAATGATGAAAACATAGAGGTTACTATGGTCTGAATGTTTATATCCCCTAAAATTCACATGCTGAAACCCAATCACCAATATGATGTTATTAGGAGGTAGAACCATTGGGGATGATTAAATAATGAGGACAAAGCCCTCATGAGTGAAATTACTGCCCTTATTACAAAAGGCCCAAGAGAGGTGCCTTGTCCTTTCTACCACGTGAGCATGCAAGGATAAGGCATCATGTATGAACTAGGAAGCCAGTCTTCACCAGACTCCAAATCTGCCAGCACCTTGATCTTGGACTTCTGTGAGAAATAAATGCCTGTTGTTTATAAGCCACTCAGTTTATGTTTAGTTACAGCACCCCAAATCAAATAAGACAGGTTAATTGAGAGTGTAATCTATGCTAATCACCTAAAATGCTGGTTCCCCTTTAAACTTTAAAGTTAAAAAATAAGTTTTACTAAGATTAGCAATGCTTTTGGCCCTTCCTATAGGGTGTCTTTTAAGTAAGTAGATATGGTGGCTTCTCACTGCATAGTGAGACAGCTATACAGATGGCAGGAGTATGAGCTGGGACTACTGCACATGCAAGCAAAAAGTTAGCAGAGTAATGACTTGAGGTGCTGCTGAGTGTTCTACTGTTATGAGTAATGTTTTATGAGTTACTCCTTAACTGTAAGCATCTGCCTTAAATATAAGTGTCAGTGGGTAAAAATATTTGCCAATTCAAGATTCCTACTGCCAAACCCAAATCCTAAAATTCAGGCAGTTGTAACAATGTTTTAATTTGCCATTGAAAGGTGCACAGAATTGTTAGGACTAAAAAGAATATTGAAGAATAGCTTGTAGTTGAACACATCATTTGACAAAAGAGAAAAACAACAACAGCTATTGCAAAATGTGAGTTAAAATGAAAATCATGTATCTACCCCATTGGAGTCCTTGTTTGTAGGCTGTCATGGGAGCCCTAAACCAGAAAGTTAGGGGAAGAGATTCTATAGAGCCAGTTAACAAAGGATCAGGTGAAATTTTACATTGAGATGGCTTGTGGGGAATAGTAACAGAACTTAGACAACAGTGTTTCAAAATTTTAAAATTCTAATTCCTTCAGATCCCACCTTATTATTACTAGTGACAGCCACAATAATAATTTAACAGTAATGGTACACTTAGAGTGAACCAATCAGACCTATACTAAATGTTGCTTAAGGGTTGTACCAGTTATTTCATTTGATTTCTCACAAGTGTCATCCACATTTTACAACTGAGAAGAATGAGACATGGAGAAACCAGGCAAATTAACCCAAAGTACCCAGCTGGTAAGGAGCAGAGTCAGGAGGAGACCCTGGCTGTCTGACTTCAGTATCTGTGCTTCTAATCTAAGTTGATTCCTGGGAGATGCCCTTTCTGACCACCCTAAGAGATCACTCTCCCTATCCACTGCCACTCTCCCTTGGGGCAGGAGGCAACTTGGGACTCTATTTTAGACATCCAGCTGAACTGCATTTCCAAGCCCATCATGTATTTATGCTGTAAGCAGTAATGACATGGGCCACTGGCAGGCCATCCATAGGACTTTGTCCATCAATATCCTGCCTTATGGCTATCAACCTGCTGATTATAGAGAAGGGAGGAGGCCCTCAAAATGGCAGCACCAACTAATGAAGAGAGTATGGATCCTTGAAAGACTGAATGGAGCCCAGGACCTACCATCCTCACACCAACCCCAATCCCTACTGTCTGCCCACACTAGACTGTGACATGAGTATGAGTGATAAATCAACTTTTATTAGGCTAAGCGGCTGATATTTAGCGGTGGATTACTTACCCTAGCTAATTTCTCACTGTTGGTTTCCTCCATAGCACTGATTACAATTACACTTGTACTTTATTGTACATTACTCATTCGATGTTGTCACATTTGCTCAACTGTAAGCTTCTAAGGGGAGTGACTGAGTCTGTTTCATCTACCACCATAGCAAGCGACTAGCAAGAGTCCAGCCTGAAGTGCCCGTGTAGCGATATTTGTTACATGATTGTTGGGAAGATGGAAGCCAATGCAACAAAGTGAATGGGCATACACAAAGAGTTTCCTCCCCAGTGTGATGTGGCTACTTTAAACAGGGTTTAGGTTCAATAATCAGGAGTGCCAGCATCTACAAGCATATTCTTAAATAAAAGCTTTAGGTTCAAGGACTGTATATATTCTTCTCCATGATAGGTATTTCTATGGAATTAGAATGCAGGACCAAATTATGTTTCTGGATCTAGCAACGTTCTACTTTGCATAGCTTCGTCATAGCTTTGCTTCATAGCTTTGCACAGAGGGTGGGGCACTAGAACGCTGCACTGAGACATGAGACCCTTTACCCCTGCCCTATGGAGCTACCCCCCATTAGTTGAGTTCTTGAAAACAAATTGGGAACTTAATCTACATTTATAATATGTCCATGTCCCTTCCTGCTATCACAGCTTCTTCAAGAAGATACAATAAATGAAAAGAAAGATTTCCTAGGTAAGAACTGATATGGGTTAGGCTTTGTGTCCCCATTCAAATCTCATATCGAATTGTAATCCCAATAATCCCCATAATCCTCACGTGTCAAGGGAGAGACCAGGTGGAGGTAAATGAATCAGAGGGTGATTTCCCCCATGCTGTTCTCAGGAGAGTAAGTACATTCTCATGAGATCTGATGGTTTTATAGGAGGCTTTTCTCCCCTTCTCTTGGCACTTTTCCTTTCTGACACCTTATGAAGAAGATGCCTTGTGCTCCCTCTTCACCTTCCACCATAATTGTAAGTCTCTTGAGGCCTCCCCAGCCATGCTGAACTGTGAGTCAATTAAGCCTCTTTCCTATATAAATTACCCAGTCTCGGGAAGTTCTTTATGGCCATATGAAAATGAACTAATACAATAAATTGGTACCAGGAATGGGGTGCTGCTATACAGACACTTGAAATTGTGGAAGCAACTTTGGAACTGGATAACAGGCAGAGGTTGGAACAGTTTGGAGGGCTCAGGAGAAGATAGGAAAATGTGGGAAAGTTTGGAACTTCCTAGAGACTTGTTGAATAGCTTTGACAAATCTGCTGACAGTGATATGGACAATGAAGTCCAGGCTCAAGTGGTCTCAGATAGAGATGAGGAACTTGTTGGGAATTGGATCAAAGGTGACCCTTGCTATGCTTTAGCAAAGAGACTGGGAGCATTTTGCCCCTGTCCTAGAGATCTGTGAAATTTTGCACTTGAGAGAGATGACTTAGAGTATCCGGAAGAAGAAATTTATAAGCAGCAAAGCATTCAAGACGTGACTTGGGTGCGCTTCAAAGCATTTGGTTCTATGCATTCAAGAGATGGTTTGGAATTGGAACTTATGTTTAAAAGGGAAGTAGAGCATAAAAGTTTGAAAAATTTGCAGCCTGATTACAAGGAAAGAGAAACCCATTTTCTGAGGAGAAATTCAAGGCAGCTGCAGAAATTTGCATAAGTAACTAGAAGCCAAATGTAAATCACCAAGACAATGTGGAAAATGTTTCCAGGGCGTGTCAGAGGTCTTCACAGCAACTTCTCCCATCACTGGCCCAGAGGCCTAAGAGGAAAAATGGTTTTCTGGGCTAGGCCCCGGGCCTCGCTGCTTTGCACAGTCTCAGGACTTGGTGCCCTGCATCCCAGCTGTGACTAAAAGGGTCCAATGTACAACTCACACTGCTGCTTCAGAGGGTGCAAGCCCCAAGCCTTGGCAGCTTCCACATGATGTTGGGCCTGCGGGTGCATGGTAGTCAAGAACTGAGGTTTGGGATCCTCCATCTAGATTTCAGAGGATATATGGAAACACCTGGAAGTCCAGGCAGAAGTTTGCTATAGGAGTGGAGCCCTCATGAATGACCTCTGCTAGGGCAGTGCAGAAGAGAAATGTGGGGTTAGAGCCCCCACACAGAGTCCCCATTGTGGCACTGCCCAGTGGAGCTGTGAGAAGAGGATCGCTGTCTTCCAGAGCCCAGAATGGTAGATCAACCAACAGTTTGCATTGTGTGCCTGGAAAAGCCACAGACACTCAACACCAGCCGATGAAAGCAACCAGGAGTGGGGCTGTACCCTACAAAGCTACAGGGGTGGAGCTGCCCAAGACTGTGAGAACCAACTTCTTGCATCAGTGTGACCTGAATGTGAGACATGGAGTCAAAAGAGATCATTCTGGAGCTTTAAGATTTGACTGCCTGGCTGGATTTCAGACTTACATGGGGCCTGTAGCCCCTTCATTTTGGCAAAAGGTTTCAAGGGAGAGATCAGGTGGAGTTAATTGAATTATGGGAGTGGTTTCTCCCATGCTGTTCTCATGATAGTGGGCAAGTTCTCATGAGATGTGATGGTTTTATAAGGGGCTCTTCCCCACTTCACTCAGCACTTCTCTTTCCTGCCACCTTGTGAAGAAGATGCCTTGCTTCCTCTTTGCCATTTGACAGTATTGTAAGTCTCCTGAAGCCTCCCCAGCCTTGCTCAGTGAGTCAATTAAACTTCTTTCCTTAATAAATTACCCAGTCTCAGGGAGTTCTTTATAGCAGTAAGAAAATGGACTAATACACGAGCCTACCATGTACCAGGCACTGTGATAATATCATTCACATTTATACTTTTATTGACTTCCCAGGCAATCCTCTGACCCAGGAAAAAATAAGAAAAATTGATATTTATAGCTCTCATTTATTGTGCAACTATTATGGACTAGGCAGAAGCATTGTCATATGTGCTTTATATATAAAAATATATATAATTTTATATATTAATATGTTATATTTATTACAACAAATATATGAAGTAAATGTCAAGAATTGTAAAGGATCTGGGATTTTACCCTACTTGTACACTAACAAGTTAGCTTGCACAGTCTCATGAATGTTGGAAGAAGACACAAGACTCCTAGGTCAGAGACAAAGGACAGTCTACTACTCACAGGAATAGCAATAGCCAGTCACATCATTTGTCTTGGTTTCCAAAGTCTCAATTCCCACAGGGTGTGAAAAAGGTCCAGATGCATGCTGTACAACCTGTAGGTTGTTTTACACGTGAAAAACCCTGAGTTTAGGAAACCTCATTATTTTATAAGGGGTCTGTATGCAAAACTCTTCAATTTTTAATGTGGGCATTATTTTTATTATCCTGAGCAGAAAACAAATTTTCCTCTGCCCCTTAAGGAGAAACTTGCCTCTATTTTCCACAGTGTGTGCTATATAAATATTCTTGGAAAGATGGAGTTTTGAAACAAAAGCTGAATTTATTATTCATAAGACATGCAGAAATTTGAAAAATTGATGGAGTATTTTTCATATTTTATAAATGTGATAACAAAGCTAAGAATCACTAAGTAATTTACCTAGTTAACTAACCCATAGGAAGATGAATGGGGATTCTAACCCTGATATTTCTAACTCTAAAACCCACATTAATATCCACTGTGAAATACTGCTTCCACATTTTATTGAGTAGGAGAGTGGGGCTTAGAGAAATTAAAGATTAAGTCAATTGAGACTGAAGGAGCATGTAAGCAAGGGAGCTGGGATTTGAGTACGCACCATCCAACTACAGATCTGGTAGTCTTGCCACACACCACAGCTATAGACCAAACACCAGCGTACCTGAGTTTGCTGGGTGATCCAGGGCATTTCAGAAAAAGCATACACAGCAAAGAAAGGTCTGGAGAAAGCAGGAAGCCCAGTTGGCTCATGTGAGGTGAGGAGGCCTCAGTGTGGTGGAAGGAGAAAATACACACACACACACACACACACACACACACACACACACACAGAGAGAGAGAGAGAGAGAGAGAGAGAGAGAAGAAAAGGGAGAAGAAAAAAAGGAAGAAGAAGAATAAGAAGGAAGAGGAGGAGAGAAAGGAAAGGAAGGAAAGAAAGGAGAGAGGGAGAGAAAGGAAGAAAGGAAGAAAGGAAGGGAGGGAGGGAGGGAGGGAGAGAGAGAGAAAAGAAAGAAAGCAAGCAAAAGGAAGAGAGAGAAAGGAAGGAAGGAGGGAGGGAGAAGGGAGGAGGGAAGGTGAAAGGGAGGAAGACAGGAAGGGAGGGAGGAGGGAGAGGAAGAAGAGGAGGGGGAGGAGGGGGTTGGGAGAGGAGGAGGAGGAGAGAAAGTGGCTAGAAATGAGTTTGGAAGTTGCTTTCTACCTTTTAGGTTTTTTTTTGGCCTCTGGGCAGTTACCCAATTCTTAAAAAATGGAAAAGCTCTCTGCACTTACATGGACAGCACTTAAATCCATTACTAAGTGGGGGTGGGGGAGCCAAGCTAAAGGACAATAACTATATTACACTATACTTTATGTAAAGAGGGGGAGGATGATGGTGGTAAAAATCCAAATTTTATTTACTTGGATATGCAAAAAGAAACTGGAAGGATATATAAAAAGAGCAGCAGTGATACTGGTGGTGTGGGTATCAGAAAGAGGACAGATGTGTTCATTTCATAGCTTTCTATACCTTCTGGTTTTTTGGACCATTTGAATACATTTCCTTTGAAATTAAATTCATAAAACACAAGCATTACAGATGCATATCTTTTCTACAAGGTCAATTTTCAGAATTGGGAAAGTTTGTCTTCTCGTATTTTCACAAGCGATTTCAAAATCTTCTGGCCTCACTGTCACTTGTGAAAACAGACCTGATTTTGCCTTTAGAAAATAGAGCATGGACTCTGGCTAGTTGCTGGATTTTCTTTTTCAGCATCTTGCCTATTTTGAAAAAGATACGGGGAGAAGTTTTTTCTTCCCATGTGGTTTTCTAGGTAACTTTTGGGAAAATCTTCCAAGTCGTAACCTATTGATGTCTTTCCTGATAATAGTTAAGGTGCTTCAGTTGCACTCATCTCTTCTCCCTCTCCCCACATACAGGCTCAGAGGTATAGTGGTAAATGTTTACAACCAGTTATCTGACAGAAAACACAAAAATAAAAACACCTTGATTTGCAGCATTTCTTGATTTCCATACTATAAACACTATGATTGATTTTAAGGTGCCTATGTGATATTATGAGGCAATGTAGCATACAATTATACAGTATTTCCACCATACAGACCCAACAGATACAAATAAACTCAGATGAAAAGAAAGCAGTAAAATGTAGTGAAATAATTAGGAAGTGATGAGTTTTAAGTATTTATTGCTTTTGCTTTTAATTTAATGTATTGAATGTAAGTTTGTATTATTTAATTTTAATAATGGTTGTTTTTATAAACTGACTCATAACATTTGTAAAATTCTAATAGTTAGCTCTCTCATAGGCTGGCATGTGATGGTAAGAGATAGGTCCAGCCTACTACTGCCAGATCCAAATCTCTCCTCAAGGATACATACTCTCTCTCTCTACTCTACTTACCAAGAAAACTTTGGGAAAACTGAGTAAGACACCCCAGACAGGTACAGTGAATAATAACCACCACCATGCATTGAGTCCTGCAGAGTTCTAGGCTCTGTGAAAAGTGTCCTGATTTTATTTAATCTTTGCATTCACTTTGAAAAGCTTCAAATATTAGTTCCACCACAAAATGCAGAGAGTGAGGCTCAAAGTTCTTAGAAAAGGGGCACACCCAGAACTGCAACCAAAGCCATACACTTGCCTCTTCCTGAATGCCCACACACTAGTGCTTCAAAATGGCTGTAGGAGATGATTTACATTGAGTTAGATAAATGGGAGGTAGTCCTAGGGGATCACAATTGGAAGAAGAACCAAAAACATCTTTAGATGGTGTAACAGATGGCTCTGCTTCCCACCCTCCCCAGAAAACACATTTTTCCTATTTCTAGAAGAGGCATTTTGCCTGAGATTTTCCATTAAAATATAGTCTGGATTTTCCCTCACAAATATTTCTTTCAGACATTGTCTTAGTCTGTTTGTGTTGCTATAGAGAAACACCTGAGGCTGGGAAATTTATAAAGAGGTTTATTTAGCCCATCATTCTGTAGGCTATACCAGAAGCAGGGCACTAGCACCTGCTTGGCTTCTGGTGAAGGCCTCAGGCTGCTTCCACTCAGGGCAGAAGGCAAAGCGGAGCTGGAGTGTGGAGAGGTCCCATGGTAAGAGAGGGAGCAAGAGAGAGACTTAGGAGGTGCCAGGTTTTTCTTAACAACCAGCTCTCATGGGACCTAATAGAGCTGACATTCACTCATTACCTAGAGGATGGCACGAAGACATTCATGAGGAACCTTCACCTATGACCCAAATGCTTCCCATTAGGCCTCACTTCCAGTGTCTGGGATCAAATTTCAACATCATATTTGGAGGAGACAAACATCCAAACTACAGCAGTTATACTCTTGGGTGCCAGCAGTGTTGGCCAACTGTTCAAGATCCAAACTTGTCCTTGCCTGCCTTGTCTTCTTTCCCCATTCATGGCCACCACTCTGCCTTTTTTGGGCTTCATTTCAGAATCCATAGTCAGTCCTCTCTCTGTTCCAAACAAGTTCTTCTGGAAAGGATCTCCAGTTAGTGAAATGATTCACTTGCTGTTGAGTCCACTGTATTTTAAATATCCAAAGGAATGACACTTCTTATGATGATAGATTAGGGGAGAATTTATTCTTTTATCTGTTTCTTTGCTTTCGTTATTTTGCTTGGCTATTTTTTCCTTTTGTACATGGGAGAGTCAGATGGGTAAAAGGATCATTTTATAGGCCACCATTATCCAAATTTTGCTACATACTGGAATTATCTGGGGATCTTTAAAAATTACTGATATCTGGCACACACCCTGACCTGGACTTTCTGATTTAATTGATAAGGTGTTGGACCTGGGCAATAGGATTTTTTTGGAAGCACCATAGCACATTCTTACGTGCCCCAAAGTTTAGCACTCTTCTAGCTATTAATAATTCACTCTTGGCCTTGCGGTGGCCCACGCCTGTAATCCCAGCACTTTGGGAGGCCGAGGCGGGCAGATCACGAGGTCAGGAGATCGAGACCATCCTGGCTAACACAGTGAAACCCCATCTCTACTAAAAATACAAAAAATTAGCCAGGCGTGGCGGCGGGCGCCTGTAGTCCCAGCTACTTGGGAGGCTGAGGCAGGAGAATGGCGTGAACCCGGGGGGTGGAGCTTGCAGTGAGGCGAGATTACGCCACTGCACTCCAGCCTGGGCGACAGAGTGAGACTCCGTCTCAAAAAAAAAAAAAAAAAAAAAAAAAAAAAAGAATTCACTCTCTGGGGGCTGTGCTGAGAAAGGCCACTGTGCCGGGGCTTTCTCATGGATCTGGCATAGGACGGGTTCATTAGTTAACACTTCAATTAATTGAATTTTCATGGAGCCCTCCCGTCCTAGTTTAGGCCTTGGGGGTTCTGTAGGATTCAGATTGCGTTCTGATTTAGTTTCCCAAGGCCTCCCTGCTTCAAAACAAAAGAAAACAAGCATCCCACCTCCCAAAAAAGAGCTGTTTACTAAATAGAGTATAACTCAACTGGCAAACAAGAATGCTTTTTCAATGGCTTATTAAGTTACTCTAACATCGGCATTTACATGCAGATAATTAATGGACCAATTACAAATTATTTGGTTTTGTTCATTAAAGCAGAACCACGATTTATTAAAGCAGGAACCAAAACAAATGCTCTTATTGTGCAAATGCTACATAGTTGTTACAGAAAAACTAGAATATGGAAACTCAGCTTGTCTGTAAGAAAAAAAAAAACTCTAGGCTTTTCTGTATCCATTCAGTGGAAAATATGACTAATTCAAAGTCAGTGTTAATTTATGAATTTAAAAACTCTTGGGAGGAATTTACATCTGCTGCATATTCTCTTGGGCAAGCCAAGGTCAGGAGAAGGCTTTGTTTTTCACTTGCTTCTCTGTAGGGCATAGCAGCCTTGACGCTGTGTTACCTGCTTCTCCTACGGCAAGTTATCTTGTTTCTGGACTGCTGAGAAGTATGAATATGAAGACTTGAATTATTCAACACAAGGTGGCTCCATTGGGTAAGTTCGGCCAGAGACTTCCTGAAACTAGCACAATTGTTTTCCTTAGTAGTCCCCATCCTACTGCCATGGTCAGGTGTCCGTAACAGAAGTCCCTGAGGGAGGGATAGATGGATGGCTATGCAATGAAGCAAATCTAGCAAAATGTTAGGCATAGAATGCAGATGGTGACTCTAGGAGCATTGACTCTACCATTCTTTCCAACTTTTCTGTGTATCTGAAAATTTTTATGATGAAATATGAGAGGATAGGGGAGTGTCCTCATTTTACCGTTTTCTGAATTTAGACTCCTTGCATATGAATTAAAAGTAATGGACACTTTTAGTATGGTTTTAATAAATTTGGGCTGAGTTAATGATAATAATAACTAATTAGTAATAACTGATAAATAATGAACCAGGCACTACACTAAGTAATTTATATACTGTATTTAATACTCACATCAAACCTGAGAAGTAAGTACTATTATTAGGAAGAAATTGAGGCTCAGAGAAGAAAATTGACTAGCCTGAGTGTCTGATTTTCAAAAGGTTAAGTTTGTTGGCCTCATTATTCTTTCTTTTAATTGTGCCTCTAGAAAAATACACAAATTTTAAGTGTATAGCTTGTGAATTATTACAAAGTGAGCACACCCATATAATCAGCACACAGATCAGGAAATAGAACCTTTCCAGACCCTCAAAATTGCCTTCTTCTTTCTCTCAATCACTACCCTCCTTGCCCCAAGTCATCTCCTTGGCTGAATTCTACCTCCATATATTCAATTTGCTAGACCTCATTCTTCTCGTGTTCACATTCCTGAGGCAAAGCTCTCTTTTTGCAAAGTAATAGGATTCTTATCACAAAGACTTTCTGGTTAAAAAACAAGCTGAATAAGCCACTACTGCATTGTGCAAGGTTGCTTTCTCTTTTGCCTACAGAGGGCTTTCAGGTAGCAGAACAAAATCACTGTAATGAGACAGAAATGGTGCCTGTGAGCAAAGGTATCATGTCTCCTTCGCTAGTGGGGCAAGCACTAGACTCTTGGAATTGTTCCGATCAAGGATGAGTTAAACCCTACATTTTAATTCTTCCTTTCATTTATTCATTCATTAAATACTTAACGTAGTACAGAGTACACAGAGTATCAGGCATTGGCCTGTGCACTCAGTGTGTCGACAGTTAGGTTAGAGATAAAAAGAGGAAAATAAATCTCTGAAATAATTTTGATCAATGCTACTGAAAGGTTTTGACAAGTTTCAGAAGTGGAAGCAAATATATATTTTCTACTTGCTCTGTAGCAGGAATAAGACTAAGCAATTTTTTTACATGACTCTGTTAATCCTCAATCCATCAATTGATTCACTCAGTCACCCATCCAATAAATACCACTGCATTTCTTATGTGCCATGTGCTAAGGATACTGTTCAAACAAGATACATATTTCCTGTTGACATATAACTTGCAGTATTAAGCATGCATTTTTTAACAAGGAGTGATAATGCCCCTAAGGGGGCAAAAATTGATTTTAGAGGTTCGAAAATTTTTAGAACTTACAATGCTTTATGCCCTTCCAAGGAATCACATTGCAGAAATTGATATACAAATTGATATCTGTGGTATTTAAATCATAAGGAGAGGGGAGAACAATTAGAGAAAAAAGTGTCAAAAATACTTAAGGGGCAGTATTGAAAAAAAGTAAAGAAATACTTGTCTAAGGAGGAAAGAGACAACATAAAAATAGCATGATTATTAGACTCAAAGAGGTACAGTAACCAATGAAAACAGGTAGCTGTGAGTCCTGTATAAGTCGAGACTTGGGAGTGATCTTAGTTTGCCACCTGAAGGGATTCTTGGAATATCAGCAACTTTGATTTACAGATGGGACATAGGGCTTAGCCAGGCTGGGAACTACCCAGGATCTCCCATCCAGTAAGTCAGAGGCAAATCTGACTTCAAACCCAGGGCCCTGCAGGTTGGGTGCTACTTTACCTCCTCCTAATTTATAATCCCGGTGCTTTGCGAGGCTGAGGAGGGAGGATGACTTGAAGCCAGGAATTTGAGACTAGATAACATAGCAAGACCTCATCTCTCAAGAAATTTAAAAATTAGCCAGGCATGGTGGTGCACACCATAGTTCCAATTACTCAAGAGGCTAAGGCAGGAGCTTCCCTTGAGCCCCGGAGTTCGAGTCTGCAGTGAGCTACCTGCCACTGCATTCCACTTGGGTGACAGAGTGAGACCCTGTCTCTTAAGAAAAAAGTAAAAATAAAATAAACCCAGGGCTCTTTCCACATGATTTACGCCTAAGCGTGAGCATGCTCTCTTTTCTTAGAAGCAGTAGTACTGGGGTCCTATCTCATTTGTCTTCTCTGGGTACCAAACAATGAACTAGGTCCCTCCTGGCTTGAAATCAATCAAGAGCTTTATGTCTAGATTTCCTGACATAATTGTGGAACTTATACAACTGCCTTTTAATAGTGAAAAGCTCTGATTAAGGAAAATCTATTTTTCTTGCCCAGGGAGTACGCTCAGACTCAGCTTTTACTGGGTCAGTATAAGCCCGGGGATGAAACTGTGCCTCTCATTTAAAGGTAACTCAAGTGCAGCACCATCCCCAGACTTGTACTTTGTTTTCTGTCCCTTGAGGCAAGCGCTCACCATGGCTACAGGTTTTCATGTTGATTTATTGCTTTGGAAAGGTCTATCTATAGAATTCTCTCCTCCTATTAAATTCTGACAAAATCTTCCTTCACAACTTCTTGCTAAGTTTTACTCCATAAAATCAGAAGTATGGATCTTTCCCAGTTCATGGACTGCCGTCTTTTCACTTCAAGGATGTGAACTATTATCTGAAAGGGGCAGGTTTCCAGGCCTGCAGCCTGGTGGCAGAATTGCTGCCAAAGCAATTAGCTGAATGCGTGGCTGGAAAGTGAAAACGTGGCCTCAGGATGATGCTGTCCTCCAGGTTTTCAGAGCAGGCACAGAAGCTGCATAAGACAGGATTGGTCCTTTGGGAACTTCCTGGCCAGCCCATCTTATATCTTTGCTTTCTGATACATTGCCAAATATTCCCCTCATTGTCATCTCCACCACCACTTGTGCCCTGGCTACTTCACCTCCTCCTAATTTACTGAGCCAAATTGGTACTGTGATGAACCCTGTTTGACAGACAATGTAATCGAGACTTAGAAGAGTCAAGTACCTTGCAGTAGGCACACAGTAAGTGGTAAAATTTAGTGCTGTCTCCTATTAACCTCTCGGCTCTAAACCAGTTATTGTAAAACTGACTCCCTAATAGGGATGTATGTTTCAGATAGGACACACCATAATTGCTTCTGGCTTATTCATTCATTCATTTGTTCATTCATTCGTCCATTCAAATAAAAACTTCTTGTGATAAGCACTATGTGACAAGCACTGTGCTGCAATTGTGGGGAACCAGAGAGTCAGGATACCAGCCCTTCATAGAGTTTATGTTTGAGGGTATGGCGAGGGTGGGAGGATGGAGAGCAGAAAGTACGCAAGTCGATAATGAAATATTTACAAACAAATTTATAATTTATTTATAACTAAAAATTGCTACGCATGGGCTGGGTGCAGTGGCTCACGCCTGTAATCCCAGAATTTTGGGAGGCCGAGGCAGGCAGATCACGAGGTCAGAAGATCAAGACCATCCTGGCCAACGTGGTGAAAACCTGTCTCTACTAAAAATACAAAAATTGGCCTGGCGTGGTGGCATGTGCCTGTAGTCCCAGCTATTTGGGAGGCTGAGGCAGGAGATTCGCTTGAACCCGGGAGGTGAAGTTTGCAGTGAGCCAAGATTGTGTGACTGCACTCCAGTCTGGCGACAGAGTGAGACTCTGTCAAAAAAAAAAAAAAAAATTGCTATGCATGAAACTCAGGGAATTAAAAAGAAAAAGAATGAAAAAGTAGAATAAAGACATGCTTAAGAAAGGGTGGAATAGAAAACACATCTCAGAGGAGGTGAAATCTTAAATTAAGACCCAAAGACAGAGAGGGAGCAGGCTATAGGAAGTCCATGGAAGTGCATTATTCCAGGCTGAGAGCAGCAGGTTTAAAGACCATGTGGTAGAAACTAACAAGGCTGCTTCAGAAACTGAGAGAAGATCAGGACAATGATGGAGCGGGGAGAAAAGCACTGGATCATAGACAGCTGAGAAGGTCTTGAGAGGTATTTGTTATGGGTTGAATTGTGTCCTGCAAAAAGACATGTTGAATTACTTACTCCCAGTACTTCAGAATGTGACTTTATTTGGAAATAGGGTATTTGCAGGAGTAATGCAGTTACAATGAGGTCATACTTCATTAGGGTAGGTTCTAATGCAATATGACTAGTGTCCTCATAAAAAGAGAAAATAGAGACAAAGAGACAGACACACAGGGAGAACGCCATAAGATGCTGGAGGCAGAGGGTGCCAGGATGCAGCTGTGAGCCAGAGAATGCCAAGGATTTTCAGCCACCCCAAAAGCTAGGAAGAGGCAAGGAAGATTTCTACCGTGAGTTTCTGATAGAGTATGGCAATGCTCTTGATTTGGGACTTCTAGCCTTGAGAATTGTGAAATAATACATGTATATGCTTTAAGCCCCTCCAATTTGTGGTACTGTGTGACAACAGCCCCAGGAAACTATTGCAGCCTTGAAGACACCAGTAAGAAATGCAGATTTCATTCTAAGTGATTGAAGGCAAGCCAAGGCAGCCAAGGGAACACTGGAGATTTGTAGTAGCTGAGATCGTCGATTGGATTAAGGTTGTCACAATACAAATGGAGAGAAAGGGCCAGTTAGGTTTTTTATGTTGGAGCCAGTTTTCTACAGAAGACAGTGGAAAACACATGTAAACTACCACTAACCCACTCACAGTCACTTTGGGTAAGTTCTTAAAACTGAAGCTTAGATTTTCTCTGTAAACTGTGAATCATACAGAGTTGCTGTAAAAATTTACTTAGTGCCTGGTACATAATTCACATCTAATAAAAATGAGCCATTCTTGCAAATATTACTACTATTTTAATCTCACTCCCACCAAAATCTAACAAAGCGTGGTATAAAATACGGCCCCAAAATCATGCCCCGAGTTGAATTTAGTATAAGTTTGGCTCCAAATTTCTATTCTTCTTACTTAAAAAAAAGTTTGAATAATATGTAATTTCTGGTATTTGACTATTTTGACTAAGAAAAATAGCATTTTTACATGGTTTCACCTAATGCCATATTACATCTGCATGCAAAAAAAAGTACACTATGAAATGAAGCATGATAAAGGTTGATCTCTAGCATATTTACACTTAATTTAAGAACCTGAATATTGCCAAACTCCTGACTTTTCCTGGCCCCCATATCACTGTAATCACCAACCCTTGGTTTTATTTTAAATATACATACTTTTTACATACAAACATATCTGTGAATTTGTTTCCAAGCTTTATTAACATATTGAATAATCTATATGTACTTCTTCAACTTGCTTTTTCTTCTAATGAATATTATGTTTTAAAGATTCATCTATGCCCTTGCCTATACCTATCATTCTTTCCTTTTTACTGCTGTGTATTATTCCAGTGTCTGAATATACTGCAAATTTGTAATGATCCATTCTTCTGCCAATGGATATCACTTGCTGGATGAATTAAATAATTTCTCAGGGAGTCTATTTTGTCTTCTTTACATATCTTTTTGTAATTGATATATAAATCACATACATCAAATCTGCCATTTTAAAAGATGTAAGTCAGTGGCTTAAAGTATTTCCAAAGTTATGCACCATCACTACTATCTAATTTTAGAACATTTCATCACTGCAAAGAAAACCCCATATTCATTAGCAGTCACTTCCCATTCTCATTTCACCTTAGTCCTGCCAACCACTAATCTACTGTCTTTATGGATTTGCCTATTTGGACATTTTATATGAATGAATTCATATATGTTTTTTGGGTATCTAGCTACTTTCACTTAGCATAATGTTTTCAAGTATAATTCCTACTGAAGCATGCATTATTGGATCATTCCTTTTTTACCATCAAGTATTTCATTGAATGAATATGCTACATTTTACTTCTTCACTCATCAGTTGATGAACAACTGGGTAATTTCCACTCTTTGGCTATTATAAATAATGGTGCTGTGAACATTTATGTCCAAGTCTTGTGTGGACATATGCTTTCAATTCTCTTGGGTAGATACCTAAGAATGGAGTTGCTGGGTCATCTGGTTATCCCATTTTTAACATTTTGAAAAAATATAAAACTGTTTCCTAAAGCAACCGTTCAATGTGGCATTCCCACAGTGACATATGTGAATTATGATTTCTCCACATTCTTGTCAATACTTGTTATAGTCTGTCTT
Source organism: Homo sapiens (assembly GCF_000001405.40). Lineage (NCBI taxonomy): Eukaryota > Metazoa > Chordata > Mammalia > Primates > Hominidae > Homo > Homo sapiens. The sequence goes on along the minus strand of NC_000003.12, from coordinate 7,540,066 downwards.
TTGATTAAAAACATGATCTTATTTTTATAATGGAATTATAATAAAATCTATTTTGCAAAGTTATTAAAAGGAACATTTAATATAATAGAAATAAAAGTACTTTCTAAATTACTGGTTAGCCTTGTTATTACTGATGAAGTCAAGGAAAGTCCATACAGAGAGTATTTCTTTAGTGTGCCACAGACATACACACAATATTTTAATGATTCAGTAATACAAGACACCTTTGAAATTCAATTCAGTGCCAATATCATTTACAATTCCCATGAACTCTTGAAGTTAAAAGAACCCTAGTGTTTAAAGACTTTAACTCCTCCTTCTGCATTTCAGTGGTCTGCTTTTCCCAGGTTGTCTGTGATGAGTGAGAGACTTTTTTTTTTTTTTTTTTTTTTGAGACAGAGTCTTGCTCTGTCGCCCAGGCTGGAGTGCAGTGGCGCGATCTCAACTCACTGCAACCTCCACCTCCCAGGTTCAAGCAATTCCCTGCCTCAGCTTCCTGAGTAGCTGGGATTACAGGCACCTGCCACCATGCCTGGATAATTTTTGTATTTTTAGTAGAGACGGGGTTTCACCATCTTTTGCCAGGCTAGTCTTGAACTCCGGACCTCATGATCCACCCACCTCGGCCTCCCAAAGTGCTGGGATTACAGGCGTGAGCCACCACACCTGGCTGAGAGATTGGTTTTAAAGAAAGCACGGAGAACTTCAGCAAAATGTTTAGAAGAACTTCCTGATCGTCAGGTGAAAAGCACATCTTTTTCATGGAATTACGCACGCTGTTCTCGTGACATTTTTTAAGAAACTCATAAAGCCTTGCCAGAGGCTGGGGAATAAATGCTAGGATGAGGGTTTGGTGGAGAGTGGTATAGCCCACCCAGCTATTGTAGTCTCACAGTTCTCTTCTGATCTGGGTACGATAAATCACCTCAAGAGACATGGTCTATTACCTTTGGGTATTTAGAATCCCAGATCTCATCTATAAGAATCAATCATCTGAAAGTTAATTTTAGAGGTCCATGAAGAGGAACCAAATTTTGCATCATTTGGCAAAGGGACAGTTAATTTTGGTGTGGGGCTGCTGAGAGTTCCTCTCAGAAACATAAATGCACAGTGCAGTAAGAATTTGGATTTTCTCTTACTAGTTGCAGTCCAGCACGAAATCACATCCTCTCTACCAAGTCCCTATTCTGATAACCTGCTTAATAACATAAGTTTATCTGGCATCTGTTCACTTGATTTTAACAAAAACAGAAATAACAAGATCCATGATAGGTTGCACCTGCGAAACAGCCAATATGCCTTCTGAATCTTCAAAAACCGATTAAACTGTGTTTAGTTGTACATGCTTTTTATCATTTTTTTTTGGTGGCTGTGGTACAGCATATTGCTATAATACTCAGACAACTTGCAGGCACTCAGTGATGTTTACTGATTTGAATACAATTTTACTAATATTTTAAAACTGCCAACATCTCTATAAGCTTTCACCAAAAAAGACTTCTGATTACATTAAACCTTGATGTTTTTCATCCTTGTGAAAAGAGAGAGTTTTGCTGATGCAGATTCCCTGGCCTGGTATGGTTGTTTGTAGCCCAGGAGCAGGAACAGCTAAAGCAGGCCATAGACAAAGTCATGAGTATCAAAATACAGTAACGGGCCGAACATTGTGGCTCATGCCCGTAATCCCAGCACTTTGGGAGGCTGAGGCGTGCAGATCACCTGAGGTCTGGAGTTTGAGACCAGGCTGGCCAACATGGTGAAACTCCATCTCTACTAAAAAAATACAAAAATTAGCTGGGCGTGGTTGCGCACTCTTGTAATCCCAGCTTCTCAGGAGGCTGAGGCAGGAGAATCACTTGAATCTGGGAGGTAGAGGTTGCAGTGAGCTGAAATTGTGTCATTGCACTCCAGCCTGGGCAACAAAACTGAAACTTCGTCTCAAAAAATAATAATAAAAATAAAATAAAATGCAGTAACAACCTAGGCAGAAACTCCTGGTTAATCATGGAATCAGCATAAACAAGTAGATGATAAGCTCAAACCAGTTAAATTTTGGATACTGCTGCTGAGAGCATTCCTTCCAAATACTATTTTCATCTTGCCCAGACTATTCTGGTGGGGAGCGGGGAAACAAAACATAACTCAGCTGAAGCTCTATTTTTTGCTATGTTGACTCAGACTGTAGACCATATTGGCCTACATCAGTAGTTCTTACAATTTAGTGGGCCTATTAGTCAAAAGCGATAGACTTTCTCATCTGAAGATATACATCTGCATGCCTAGTTGAATAATCTACACTAAAACACTCAGTTCCTGGGTCACCTTCCCTGCCAGCCTGAGTTCCAAAGGAGAGTAAGCTTATGCATTCCATCTTTGTAGAATAGGCCCTCCTAACCCAGTGCCTGCACAGATTCTAAGTATTTTATGGAACTGACCTAAAGTCTAATCAATGTAGCAATTGTTTTGGTAAACACAACATGAAAAATAAGTGCCTGTGGACCTTTACATTGAGACTGGGATAGTAGTTAAGCCTAGTCATTTGCCTTATTGATTGACTAGTGGATAGATTTATTTTCGGAAGATTTTCTATCAAGTTCCTTGAATCTGCTATGGTAGACACCCCTGTCTATCTCAAGCCACACAATCAGACACACTAAGATTCTAAAACAGCTTCTTAATAGAACCAAAGATTCATTGTCCCTTTGCTAAAGTAGCCCTTTTGGGTTAGCCTGAGCTGAGAGTTGAGAACCGTAGTTTTAGTTAAGAGGGTAGATACCTTGAAAAGTCAATCCATCAATAAATAAATAAAAGGGAGGAAAGAAGAAGAGATTAAAATCAGGAAGTGAAGAAGAAGAGTGGGCCAAAAGAGGAGAGAGAACCCAAGCTTAGAGGTGTGTATAATCATGCTCAAGTTTACACAGCTGGCCTGGTGCTCTGTCCTCACACACTCCTCCAGACATCACCTGCAGCTCTGAAGAGCCATTCTGGTGTGTGCTGTAAACTTCTTTCCTCAAGCATCTGTGCCCCTTTCCTGATGATTTTCTCTGGCCACAGGAGCTTGTCTTGCCCATGGAAGCAACATTTCAGAAATGTTGGAAAGTTAACACCATGTATGAGTTATCTATTATTCCATAAAAATTACCCCAAGTGTTGTAACTTAACAAATATTTATTATTATCTCACACTATTTATGAGGGTGAGAAATCTGGGAGAAACATAGTCAAATGATTCTATCTCAAATTCTCTCATGAGACTGCACCTTGAAGGGCTGGTCACAGCTACAGTCACATGAATGTTGAATTGGGGCTGAAGGATCCACTTCCAAGATCACTGACTCAAGGCTGTGGGCAGGAGGCCAATATGAGCCAAATGAGCCTGTGCATTTGGCTTCCTCAATGGCAGTTGGCTGCCCCCAAGCTAGTGATCCAAGAGAGAAAACAATGTAGAAGTCATGCTGTCTGTCATAACCTAGCCTCAGCAATGACATCCTATCACCTGTGCCATATTCTGTTGGTTGCACAGACCAATCCTGATATATTAGGGGAACAGATTACACAAGGGCATAAATACCAAATATTATGAGGCAGATATTTCTGAGGGTTATCTTGTTGGCTGGCTTCCACATGTCCCCAGAATTAGTCCTTATGTAATGAGAAATAGGAGTCATTGGATTAAATACCCCAGTTTTTGTTCGTTGCTGAGACAATTCCAAGTTGCTTCCTACAAAGCCCTTCATGTAGATCCTGGTGAACTGAAGTCCCAGCTACCAATACTGGTAATAGTTATTGGTTTTCTTCTGTTGTTCATTATCTTACCATGCTTCCTGGGATTATCTAACAAACTGATAAGTGATCTCAAACTTATTCGGAAACCCAAATTAAGATAGCTAAAAAGGAGCAGACTTCAGAAACCAAGTCCCAGCATTCTGATTCCAGAGCCCATCATCTGAGCCACCACACACTTTTGGTACTAGGAGTGGGTTAAAAAGACTTACAAACATATGCCTACCATTCTTGTATGCTGTCTCCCAAGAAGCCCTATTAGAGGAGCACCAGTTTCTCTCCTGAAACATCTTGAGGAGCAGGGCTCCTATGAAACCACATGTAGGTGTTTTGAAGTTACTTCCCACCTTACGCAGATGCAGACCCCTGGACTTGTTCTTGCAGGTGGATAATGTCCTTGTGGGATGATGCTTTCCTCAGGGTGGACACAAGTATCTGCCAAGGTGCATGGTTTGACAAGTAAAACATGGGCTGGATTTAAATCCCCTTTGGACTCTGTAGCTTGGGTAACTTACACGGTATCTTTATTGAGTAAAATTCCCCAGGTATGTTTTCTGCACAATTGTATGGTTAGAGCAATATTAATTGTTGGTCTCCCTGTGCATGAAGAGTAAAGAGTCCAGCTCTTCAATGCCTGACAGAGACTCTTACTATGAAGGGAAGGAAATTAGAGCATATGGAGGTTAAGTGTTCTTCCCAATACTGCAAAGGCAGTAATTGGAAGATCTGTCAGTTGAATTATGGAGGAAGCCAGGTGAATAGAGGTGCCTCCTGTGTCTATGGTTCTGAGCTTCCCTTGGGCCTACCATGATTTCTAAGCCTTCTCCACACCCAGTAGTGGTCACCTCAGCCGGCTCCTAGGACTACTTTATAACTATATTACATTTGTTTATTAAAGCAATCAATCCTCTTGGTTATCTTCCTAATGTTCATTATTTCCCCTATCTGTTCCAGATGAAACCCTGTTATTTTTTTCTTTTTCTTTTTTCTTTTTTTTTTCAGGTATCCATCCTCCTCCAGTTGCGTCAGCCCTGTCAGGTGGGTCCTGTAAGTCAGTCATGATTGTCTCATTTCCTGAGACACTAATTGTTTGGGGGATTGGTATGTACAAGATTCTAACAAAAGACTCCCTTAAACATGCAGAGAATATTTGGGAAATATTTTCCCACTTTAAAAAGACACATAGGAAGAAATGGCAATTGATCCGTCAGTGCATAGTCATTTCTGGATGTAACACCTGATACTCCCACAAATACTCTAGCAGTAAGAGAAGTTAGCTGAAGGACACATAGCAAAACAAGAGTGGAAAAGTGGAAAGAGGGCAATAGCTCGCATGTACATTCTCATGACACTGGAATGTGGAATCAACCACCCCCCAGAACACCCTATGATGTTCCCATTATATAAGAAAATGCATTTCCTTAATAGCCGTGTTTTTCTATTGCCAAAGATTTCTCGATAGATTCACCAGCTGTGACACCCCTGGATTTCCACATATTGCATTCTGTTTTTACTTACTTGTCATATTGCCAACAACTAGATATATACTCTGTAAAGATAAGGAGTGGGTCTTCAACTATATATTCCACATAGAATTAAGGGCCCTGTTTATTATAGCTCCTGAATAAATGGAATAACCACAACGACTGAAATTTAACTCACACTTTAAAGGGACTTTTTAAGGTGAAATGAGACACTTGGATTCTGGGTGGGGCCTTGGAAATGTTATTTCTGAGTCTTAGTTTCCTCATCTAAGAAATGAGGTAGTAAAGCATAGTGGTTAAAAACACAAGATATGGAATTACCCAGACATGCGTTCAAATCCTGATCCTACAGTATTCTAAGAGGGCAAGTTTCTTCACTTCTCCATGCCACAGTTTTCTCATGTGTAGAATTAGGCAATAGTACGTATCTCAAAATGTGGTTGTAAGGCTTCAATGAGGTTGTATATTTAAAGTATTCAGCACTTTCAGCTGGGCGCCATGGCTCACGCCTGTAATCACAGCACTTTGGGAGGCTGAAGAAGGCAGATTAGTTGAGATCAGGAGTTCAAGACCAGCCTGGCCAATATGTTGAAACCCTGTCTGTACTAAAAATACAAAAATTAGCCAGGCGTGGTGGTGTGTGCCTGTGGTCCCAGCTACTCAGGGGGCTGAGGCAGGAGAATCACTTGATCCAGGAGGCAGAGGTTGTAGTGAGCCAAGATTGTGCTACTGCACTCCAGCCTTGGTAAAAGAGTGAGATTCCATCTCAAAAAAAAAAAAAAAAAAAAGTATTCAGCCCTTTCTATGCCACATTTTAAATACTCAACTGATAAATCACTAGTTGGTTTGCTGTATGAGCATGGTAAAAATGTACAACATAACATCTACCATGTGGTAGGAACGTAGTAAATCAGTAAGGAAAAAATTACTGATATGAGTCTTGGCTATGAGGCTGAGATGGCACAGCTCCTATTACCCTTTTGAATTAGGGAAAGTTGGCAGTTGAACATAGGCCATGGCATTATCTCTTACCAGTGGGAATTAAATATTGATTTCATTTTCACTTCATTGAGTCTCCTATTGATTTCAACAAGGAAGATGACAGTCAATCACTAAACAGACATTCAGTAAATATCAGGAAAGTTTGCTTTTCCTTCAGGATTGGGGTTTCCTCTGGATTGCCAGAGCCCTTTTGTGAAGCTACACAGCTTATTGGAGAGCCTGGCTTGCTCCTTGGGGCCACAGGCATAAAGATGAATTAGCCATCATAGCTGCCCTTAAGCACCTAACATCCTCTAAACACTGGTTTAGTTGTGTCCCAGAGATTCTGGTACATTGTGGTCTTTGTTTTCATTAGTTTCAAAGAACTTATTTATTTCTGCCTTAATTTCATTATTTACCCAGTAGTCATTCAGGAGCAGGTTGTTCATTTTCCATGTATTTGTGTGGTTTTGAGTGAGTTTCTTAATCGTGAGTTCTAATTTGATTGCACTGTGGTCTGAGAGAATGTTTGTGATGATTTCTGTTCTTTTGCATTTGCTGAGGAATGTTTCACTTCTAATTATGTGGTCAGCTTTAGAATAAATGCAAAGTGGTGCTGAGAAGAATGTATATTCTTTTGATGTGGGGTGGAGAGTTCTGTAGATGTCTATTCGGTCTGCTTGGTCCAGAGCTGAATTCAAGTCTGGAATATCCTTGTTAATTTTCTGTCTTGTTGATCTGTCTAATATTGACAGTGGGGTGTTAAATTCTCCATTATTGTGTGGGAGTCTAAGTCTCTTTGTTGGTCTCTAAGAACGTGCTTTATGAATCTGGGTGCTCCTGTACTGGGGGCATATGTATTTAGGATAGTCAGCTCTTCTTGTTGCATTGATCCCTTTACCATTATGTAAGTAATGCCATTCTTTGTCTTTTTTTTTTTTTTTATCTTTGTTGGTTTAAAGTCTGTTTTATCAGAGACTAGGATGGCAACCCCTGCTTTTTTTTTTTTTTTTTTTGCTTTCCCTTTGCTTGGTAAATATTCCTCCATCCCCTTATAGCACTAAATGCCCACAGGAGAAATCAGGAAAGATCTAAAATTGACACCCTAACATCACAATTAAAAGAAGTAGAGAAACAAGAGCAAACAAATTCAAAAGCTAGCAGAAGACAAGAAAAAACTAAGATCAGAGCAGAACTGAAGGAGATAGAGACACAAAAATCCCTTTAAAAAATCAATGAGCCCAGGAACTGGTTTTTTGAAAAGATTAACAAAATTGATAGACTGCTAGCCAGACTAATAAAGAAGAAAAGAGAGAAGAATCAAATAGACACAATAAAAAATAATAAAGGGGGTATCACCACTGATCCCCCAGAAATACAAACTACCATCAGAGAACACTATAAACATCTCTACGCAAATAAACTAGGAAATCTAGAAGAAATGGATAAATTCCTGGACGCATACACCCTCCAAAACTAAACCAGGAAGAAGTTGAATCCCTGAATAGACCAATAACAAGTTCTGAAATTGAGGCAGAAATTAATAACCTACCAAACAAAAAAAGCCCGACCAAACGGATTCACAGCCGAATTAATTCTACCAGAGGTACAAAGAGGAGCTGGTACCATTCCTTCTGAAACTATTCCAAACAACAGAAAAAGAGGGACTCCTCCCTAACTCATTTTATGAGGCCAGTATCATCCTGATACCAAAACCTGGAAGAGACACAACAAAAAAAGAAAATTTCAGGCCAATATCCCTGATGAACATCTATGCGAAAATCCTCAAAAAAATACTAGCAAACCAAATCCAGCAGCACGCGCAATAAACTAGGTACTGATGGAATGTATCTCAAAATAATAAGAGCTATTTATGACAAACCCATGGACAATAACATACTGAATAGGTAAAAGGTGGAAGCGTTCCCTTTGAAAATCAGCACAAGACAAGGATGCCCTCTCTCCCCACTCCTATTCAACATAGTATTGGAAGTTCTGCCCAGGGCAATCAGGTAAGAGAAAGAAATAAAGGGTATTCAAATAGGAAGAGAGGAAGTCAAATTGTCTCTGTTTGCAGATTACATGATTGTCTATTTAGAAAACCTCATCATCTCAGCCCCAAATTGACTTAAGCTGATAAGCTACTTCTGCAAAGTCTCAGGATAAAAAATCAATATGCAAAAATCACAAGCATTCCTATACACCTAAAATAGAGAGCCAAATCATGAGTGAACTCCCATTGACAATTGCTACAAGACAATTAAATACCTAGGAATACAACTTACAAGGGATGTGAAGGACCCCTTCAAGGAGAACTACAAACCTCTGCTCAAGGAAATAAGAGAGGACACAAACAAATGGAAAAACATTCCATGCTCATGGATAAGAAGAATCAATATCATGAAAATGGCCATACTGCCCAAACTAATCTATAGATTCAATGGTATCCCCATCCCGCTAATATACTACAAGGCTACAGTAACCCAAACAGCATGGTACTGGTACCAAAACAGAGATATAGACCAATGGAACAGAAAAAAAGGCCTCAGATATAATGCCACAAATCTACAACCATCTGATCTTTGACAAACCTGACAAAAACAAGCAATGGGGAAGATTCCCTGTTTAATAAATGGTGTTGGGAAAACTGGGTAGCCAGTTGCAGAAAACTGAAACTGGACCTCTTCCTTACACCTTATACAAAAATTAACTCAAGATTGATTAAAGACTTAAACATAAGACCTAAAACATAAAACCCTAGAAGAAACTGTAGGCAATACCATTTAGGACACAGGCATGGGCAAAGACTTCATGACTAAAACACCAAAAGTAATTGCAACAAAAGCCAAAATTGACAAATGGGATCTAATTAAACTAAAGGGCTTCTACACAGCAGAAGAAACTATCATCAGAGTGAACAGGCAACCTACAGAATGGGAGAAAATTTTTGTAATCTATCCATCTGACAACATCCATCTGGCTAATATCCAGAATCCACAAAGAAACAAATTTACAGGAAAAAAAAAAACAGACCCATCAAAAAATGGACAAAAGATAAGAACAGACACTCCTCAAAAGAAGGCATTTATGTGGCCAAGAAACATATGAAAAAAAGCCCATCATCACTGGTCATTAGAGAAATGCAAATCAAAACCACAATGAGCTATCATCTCATGCCAGTTAGAAAGGCGATCATTAAAAAGTCAGGAAACAATAGATGCTGGAGAGAATGTGGAGAAATAGGAACACTTTTATACCGTTGGTAGGAGAGTAAATCAGTTCAACCATTGTGGAAGACAGTGTGGCAATTCCTCAAGGATCTAGAACCAGAAATACCATTTGACCCAGCAATCCCATTGCTGAGTATAAACCCAAAGGATTATAAATCATTCTACTATAAAGACACATGCACACATTTGTTTATTGCAGCACTGTTCACAATAGCAAAGTCTTGGAACCAACCCAAATGTCCATTAATGATAGACTGGATAAAGAAAATGCGGCACATATACAACATAGGGAATACTATGCAGCCATAAAAAGGATAAGTTCATGTCCTTTGCAGTGACATGGATGAAGCTGACAACCATCATTCTCAGCAAAATAACACAGGAACAGAAAACCAAACACTGCATGTCCTCACTTATAATTGGGAGTTGAACAATGAGAACACATGGACACAGGGAGGGGAACATCACACACCGGGGCCTGTTGGGGGGTGGGGGGGATAGGGGAGGGATAGCATTAGGAGAAATACCTAATGTAGATGACAGGTTGATGGGTGCTGCAAACCACCATGGCACGTGTATACCTATGTCACAAACCTGCACGTTCTGCACATGTATCCCAAAACTTAAAAGTATAAAAAGAAATAAATAAAATGTTGAACTGACAAAAAAAAAAAAAAGAAAAGGTCCTAACAGCCAGTGGTCTCCTGATTTAAAACAACAACAACAACAACAACAGCTTATTTGTTCCCCAGGTTGAGTCTTTTGAGAATGGCCATAATTTTTCAGTCATGCCAGGAGTGGTCATTCTTAGAACAGGGCTGGTAGGGGTACCAGGATCAAGGGTTTGATTAGACATTGAGGATGGAGAGTAGAAACAATAAAAACAATATCTTAAGGCAGGTTGATGAACCTTGAGCAAAATGCAAAGGTGTTCATGCATTCAGGGAATCATACAGGCAACGGGCTAGGAACCAAGTTATGAGAACAAAGGAGAGCCTATGAAAAAGCCATGGAGCAAGAACATTTGACAATAAGTGTCCGTTAAGAGTCTATAATGTTAATGATCTTGACCCAATAGTTCTACTCTTAAGACTCTCTCCTAAACAAATAAGGAATTTCTGTCCATATAACAGACTTCCCTTGCAGTGTCTCCTTGCTATGCCAAATCCCAAAACTTGAATGGATGTGCGAATAGACAGCTGGCTTGCTAGGTGAATAGATGGATTCTTTCATTCCAAAGTGCCTCTTAAGAACCAGAAGCTATCACAAAGATTCCTTCAACAAACCTTAACTGAAACCTATCATGTGTCAGTAATTAGGCTACATACTGGAGATGTATTAATTCACTGCAATAATTATTTGATGACTAATAGGAGCTTGGCACTATTCTAGACAATAAGACGCTCATAATAAAAGGCTCTCGAACTTTACCACAAAATATTTTTGAAAGATTCTTGCAAAAATATTCAGTTTCCAGACTTCAACACCCCATTGACAATATTAGACAGATCAAGGCAGAAAACTAACAAAAAAGTTCTTAAGTTTGACACTTGACTAATTAGACCTAATAGATATCTACACAACATACTACTCAACAATTACAGAATATGCATTCTTCCCACTTGCACATGAACATACTCTAAGATTGACCATGTGCAATGTCATTAAGCAAGTCTCAATAAATTTAAAAAAACTAAATCATACCAAGCATATTCTCAGATCACAGTGGAATAAAAATAGAAATCAATACCAAAAGGCACTCTCAAAACCACACAATTACATGGAAACTAAACAATTTGTCCTGAATAAATTTTGAGTAAACAACAAAATTAGGGCAGAAATAAAAAAAAATCTTTACAAAAAATGAAAATGCAGACACAACATACCAAAATGTCTGATATGTAGCAAAAGCAGTGTTAAGAGGAAAGTTTATAGTGCTAAATGCCTACATCAAAAAGAAAGATCTCAAATTGACAATTTAGCCTTGCATCTAAAGGAACTATAAAAACAAGAACAAACTAAACACAAAGCTAGCAGAAGAAAAAAAATAACTAAAAGCAGAGCAGAATTAAATAAAACTGAGACCCCAAAAATCATACATAGGATCAATGAAGGAAAATTTGGTTCTTTGAAAGTGTAAGCAATATCAATAGACCATTAGTTGAATTAACAAAGTAAAAGGAAGACTCAAATGAGCAAAATCAGAAACAGTGAAAGTGACATTACAACCAATTCCACAGAAATACAAAAGATTCTCAGAGACTATTATGAACACCTTTATAAACACAAACAAGAAAATCTAGAGAAAATTAATAAATTCCTGGAAATACACAACCTTCCAAGATTTAATCAGGAAGAAACTGAAACCCTCAACAGACCAATAATGAGTTCTATAATTGAATTAGTAATAAAAATATCTACCAACCAAAACAACGCCCTGGACTACGTGGATTAACAGCTGAATCCCACCAGATGTACAAAGAAGAGCTGGTACCAATCCCACGGAAACTATACCACAAAATTAAGGAGGAGGGATTTCTCTCTTATTCTGTGAAACCAGTATTATGCTTATACTAAAATCAGGCAAAGATGCAACAAAAAAATAAAACAATGTGTCAGTACCCCTGATTAACATAGATGCAGCAATTCTCAACAAAATACCAGCAAAATGAAACCAGAAGCACATCAGAAAGTTAATTCAACACAATAAAGTGGGCTTTATTTCTGACATGCAAGTTTACTTCAACATACACAAGTCAATAAATGTGATTTAACACATAAACAGAATTTTAAAAAACCCATGCAATCATCTCAATAGGCACAGAAAACAAATTTGATAGCATTCAACATCTTTTCATGATAAAAGCTCTAAAAAACTAGGCATCAAAGGAACACTCCTCAAAATAATGAGTCATTTATGACAAACCCATAGCCAATATCATACTACAACAGCAACAGATAGATAGAAGTATTCCCCCTAAGAACTGGAACAAGACAAGGATGTCTACTCTCTCACTCCCATTCAATGTTAATACTGGAAGTCCTATCCAGAGCCATCAGGCAATACAAAGAAATAAAAGGCATCCAAACAGGAAAAGAGGAAAGCAAATCATTTCTCTTCACCAATGATATTATTCTATACATTGGAAACTGTAAAGACTCCATGAAAAGACTCCTAGATCCAACAAACAACTTCAGTAAAGTTTTAGGATACAAAATCAATGTAAAAAAAATCAGTAGCATTTCTATACACCAATAACATTCAAGCTGAAAGCAAAATGAAGAATATAATCCCATTTACAATAGCCACAAAAGAATAAAATACCTACAAATACTTATAACCAAGGGGGTGAAAGATCTCTAGAAAGAGAACTATAAAAAATTGCTGAAATAAATCATAGAAAACAAAAGAAATGAAAAAATGTCCCTCTTTTATGGATTGGAAGAATGGATATTGTTAAAATGTTCATGCTGCTCAAAGCAATGTACGTATTCAATGCTATTCCTATCAAATTACCAACATCATTTTTCATAGAATTAGAAAAAAGAATTCTAAAATTTTTATAGAACTAAAAAGAGCCACAACAGACAAAGAAATCTGAAGTAAAAAGAACAAAGCCAGATGAATCACATCACCTGACTTCAAACTATACTATAAGGCTACAGTAACCAAAACAACATGGTACTGTTAAGAAAAAAATGCACATAAGCCAATAAAACAATATAGAAAACTCAGAAGAAAAGCCACACACCTACAATCAACTAATCTTTGACAATGTTGATAAAAATAAACAATAGGGAAAGGACTTCCTATTCAATGAATGGTGCTGAGAAAATTACCTAACCATACGCAGGAGCATAAAACTAGACCTCTACCTCTCACCACATACAAAAATTAACTCAAGATGAGTTAAAAACTTAAATGTTAAAACCTCCAACTATAAAAATCCTGCAAGAAAACCTAGGAAATACTCTCCTGGACATCAGCCTAGGCAATGAATTTATGACTAAGTCCTCAAAAGCAAACAAAAACAAAAATTGACAGTTAAGAACTAATTAAACTAAAGAACTTTTGCACAGCAAAAGAAACCACCAATGGAGTAAACAGACAACTTACAGAATTGGAGAAAGTATTTGTAAACTATGCATTCAACAATGGACTAATATCCATAATCTATAAGAAACTTAAATCAAGGAAAAAAACATTAAAAAGTGGTCAAAGAACATGAACAGACACTTCTTAAAAGAAGGCATACAAGCAGCCAATAAGTACAGGGGAAAAAAAAGCTTTACATCACCAGTTGGCAGAGAGACACTAATCAAAACCACTATGTGATACCTTCTCATGCCAGTCAGAATGGCTGTTATTAAAAGGTCAAAAAATAACAGATGTTGGCAAGATTGCAGAGAAAAGGGAACACTTATACACTGTTGGCATGATTAGTTCAGACACTGTGGAAAGTAGTTTGGAGATTTCTCAAAGAACTAAAGATAGAATTACCATTCAACCCAGCAATCCCATTACTGGATATCTACCCAAAGAAAAATAAATCATGCTATCAAAAAGACACATGTACTCATATGTTTTTCACAGTAGCAAAGACTTAAATCACTTCTGATGCCCATTGGTGGTGGATTGGATTAAAAACTGCGGTACGTAACATATATGCCATGGAATACTATGCAGCCATAAAAAAGAACAAAATCATTTCCCTTGCAGGAACATGGATGGAGCTGAAGGCTATTATCCTAAGTGAATCAATACAGAAATAAAAAACCAAATATCACATGTTCTCACTTATAAGTGAGAGCTAAACATTGGATACACATGGACATAAAGGTGAGACCACTAGTCACCAAGGAATCAAAAAGTGGGGAGGACGAGAGGAGAAAAAGGACTGAAAAACTTCCCACTGGGTACTGTGTTCCTTATTTGGGTGATGAAATCAATAGAAATCCAAACCTCAGCATCATTCAGTATACCCTTGCAACAAACCTTCACATGTACCCCCTAAATAATTCATTCATACATACACACACATGAACATAAAAATGTAAAAACTCTGTTCCCAGCCAGGCTCTGTGATGGATACCTGCAATCCCAGCTACTTGAGAACCTGAAGCAGGTGGATCACTCGAGTCTAGGAGTTTGAAACCAGCCTGGGTAACATAGGGAGACCCCATCCCCCCAAAAACAAATCAGTTTCCTATACTCCATTCCCAAAGATTTGGATTCAGTTCACCTGGGCTGGAACCCAATACACTGTATTTTTAACACCAGAGAATTCCGACACGTGTACCACAGATTTTTTTATTTTATTATTATTATACTTTAAGTTTTAGGGTACATGTGCACAATGTCCAGGTTAGTTACATATGTATACATGTGCCATGCTGGTGTGCTGCACCCATTAACTCGTCATTTAGCATTAGGTATATCTCCTAATGCTATCCCTCCCCCCTACCCCCACCCCTCAACAGTCCCCAGAGTGTGATGTTCCCCTTCCTGTGTCCATGTGTTCTCATTGTTCAATTCCCATCTATGAGTGAGAACATGTGGTGTTTGGTTTTTTGTTCTTGTGATAGTTTACTGAGACTGATGATTTCCAATTTCATCCATGTCCCTATAAAGGACATGAACTCATCATTTTTTATGCCTGCATAGTATTCTATGGTATATATGTGCCACATTTTCTTAATCCAGTCTATCATTGTTGGACATTTGGGTTGGTTCCAAGTCTTTGCTATTGTGAATAGTGCCGCAATAAACATACGTGTGCACGTGTCTTTATAGCAGCATGATTTATAGTCCTTTGGGTATATACCCAGTAATGGGATGGCTGGGTCAAATGGTATTTCTAGTTCTAGATCCCTGAGGAATCGCCACACTGACTTCCACAATGGTTGAACTAGTTCACAGTCCCACCAACAGTGTCAAAGTGTTCCTATTTCTCCACATCCTCTCCAGCACCTGTTGTTTCCTGACTTTTTAATGATTGCCATTCTAACTGGTGTGAGATGGTATCTCATTGTGGTTTTGATTTGCATTTCTCTGATGGCCAGTGATGGTGAGCATTTTTTCATGTGTTTTTTGGCTGCATAAATTTCTTCTTTTGAGAAGTGTCTGTTCATGTCCTTTGCCCACTTTTTGATGGGGTTGTTTGTTTTTTTCTTGTAAATTTGTTTGAGTTCATTGTAGATTCTGGATATTAGCCCTTTGTCAGATGAGTAGGTTGCGAAAATTTTCTCCCATTTTGTAGGTTACCTGTTCACTCTGATGGTAGTTTCTTTTGCTGTGCAGAAGCTCTTTAGTTTAATTGGATCCCATTTGTCAATTTTGGCTTTTGTTGCCATTGCTTTTGGTGTTTTAGACATGAAGTCCTTGCCCATGCCTATGTCCTGAATGGTAATGCCTAGGTTTTCTTCTAGGGTTTTTATGGTTTTAGGTCTAACGTTTAAGTCTTTAACCCATCTGACTTTCTTTGAGGATCAGTGAATAGTGATTGAGAATATCATCTGAATTCACTTAGGGCTCATGCTGAATTCTCAGATCCAGCACCCTCCTAGCCTCCGTGATCTCTCTAGGAGCAAGATAGAAGAGGGGCTTTTTGATGCTTTTTGGAGCTTATTACCTTGAAAAAGCATTAACAACAAAACCCAGAAAACTATGTTGAGAGACTACCCATACTTACCCTCAAAGTCTTGAAATTTTATAAAGTCCTCTATTTTTCTCAAAGTCCTATTTCCTGGAATCCTTCTTCTCCCCATCCCCGCATTTCCATATCTGTCCTTAATCCCCACTATATCCCGATCCACCTATATGCTAATGCAACAGTGACCATGCCAGTCACAAAGGCAAAATTTGATGACTAGCTTTTCTAAAACGGTCTCTGTTGAGATCTTGAAGATTTCCTCCCCTTTATTAATGGCTTTTCTTGATGATATCATTGTCAGGAAAGTACATCCCTTGTAGTCTTCCCAGATTTGCTCGTTTCCCTCAAATTTAAATGATGCATACCTTAAAACAGCACATTTATTATTTAAGTGCTATTAGCCCTGGCCTTTGATCCACATGATGGAATACAGCAGGAGTGTACACTTCTACCAGCTCGGAGATGCCTGCTTACCAGTCTGCATTAAAGTCCGGCCTAGCAAAACAGAGTGCACATTGCCAGCAAAACTTACTTCCACATTCTTGTAGGTTCCGTTTGTTACAAGCAACCAGGAAGCCTGGTTTCAAGGATTAATTAGGGACATAGGGGAGAGGAAATAGGCAATTTCACTAAGGAAAAAAATTTTTCTGTATATCAATTGCCCCTTCTCCTTTTCTGATCTTTTTGTTGAAAGGCACAATGTGAGACAAATGATGATAGTACCTTATCATGGAGTCATGGGAGAATATAAGAATGCGGTAAGTTGGAGAAAAAGGAAAAGAAACGTGAATGTCTCTGTTAGCTCCGCCTGCTGTAATAAAATACCATAGACTAAATACAATAGAAATTGCTTGAACAACAGAAATTTCTTTTTCCTAGATCTGAAGGCTGAGAAGTCTAAGATCAAGGTGCTGGCCAATTCATACAGGAGTCTTCTTTCTTTCTTGAGGACAGCTGCCTTCTTGCTGCATCCTTACATGCAAAGGGAAAGAGAGAAAGAAAGGGAGAGAGGAGAAGACAGAGCACTACCTCTCTCTTGTTTCCTTGAAGAGTACCAATCCCATCATAAGGGGCACAGCTTTATTACCTCATCAAACCCTAAGTACCTCCCAAAGACCTCATCTCAAAAATAGCATACATTGGGGGTTAGGACTTTGACGTACAAATTTCAGAGACACAACTCAGTTCATAGCCATGGATTTCACAGGCCATTCTGCCACGTACCAGCCTGTGATCTTGACATGTTACTTAATTCTTTCAGTCTTCTACAAATCTGGAGAAATGAACTTGAGACGAAGTGAAAGTGTTCTGGAAGTCTTGCGATGTAGACACAGATATACCTACATCATAAATGTATGGAAAGAAATTTTCTGGCTGCCAAGTATATGTGTGGATGTGGGGAGAATGTCAGGGGGTGAAGGCATAAACTGACCTCTGGAGGTGGGGAGGAGGGCAGGTGTCATAGCTCTACAAGGCAGTAGCAATGGGTGTGTTAATGGAAACGTAAGCATAGATAAGATGGTACATATGGAAGTACAAAGGAACATCTCAAGTTCCTGGGAGAATTGTTGAAGCAGAAAAAGAAGAGCAGGAACCTTTGACTGTTGTTCCTGTTTTTAGTTTGTTCAAACTGTAGTCTTCCTCCCCCTACCCCGAGTTGATTGCGTTTGTACTTAGAAAAAAGATGTTATAGAATGACACAAGATTCAAATTACCAGATTTAGAAAGGCAAGGTCCAGTCATGTTACAATGATTTTGATCAGAAAGAGCCAGCCTATTCCACCATTTTCCCTTTATTTCCAGGTTAGACAAAGATTTCAGAGGCTACGGTCTAACACAAACCTGAATAGGCCTATGAACCTCCAAAATGAGCTGGGAGAAAGGGCAGCTGGAACCCTATATGAGTCACTTTCCAGGGTAAAGCCCAAGGGAGAATGAGATTCTGAGTTCCACACTCCAACACAGAGAAGGAACAACAGAATAGAACTGTCCATGTGGTATGTGGAGGCAGGTGGGGCTCAAGGGACTTCATCTACCTCTCTTCAATCCATTCAGAATTGGGGAGCCATAAATGATTTTGCATGCAGAAAAGTGGTGAAAGACCTTGTCCCCACTGAGTTTCTACGTGTCTACTTGGGAGGGCTACTCGGCGTTCTTTTTTTATCTAAAGAGCATAGCAGTATCTGAGAGGCAGACCTGAGAATATCCCTTGGTGAGGTTCATCAGACATGAACTCATGTCTAGAAAGAGGTATTATACATCTCCAGTATGTCATGTGGAGGGATAATGATTGTCTTAGTCCATTAGAGCTGCCATCACACAATACCATTAACTGAGTGGTAATGTAGTTCTCATAGTTCCAAAGGTTGGGAAGTCCAAAATCAAGTTGCTGGCAGATTCAGTGTCTGGTGAGAGTCTGCTTTCTGGTTCTTAGATGTTGCCTTCTCTCTGTGACTTCACATGATGGAAGGGGCAAGGGATCTTCCTTGCATCTCTTTTCTAAGGGCACTAATCACATTCACAGGGGCTTGCCTTTAGACCCAATCATCTGGCCAAAGGCCTCACCTTCTACTACCATAACCTTGGGGATTAGGATTTCCACATGTGAATTTTAAGGGGATACAAACATTTAGACCATAGCAATGACCAAGAACTGCGGTTTTACCTGGCCATGCACCAAGGCTAGGGGAACATCGAAGGCACTGGGAACCTGGGAAAAGATGGGAAGTCAGGAGAGTGGCCTGCTCAACATCAGGTTCCACCACCCAGTGAAATAGTAAGCTCAAACTACAAATATACACTTAGTCATTCAAAAATTATTTGCACACCTGAGTTTTTGAACTGATACTTCTATGCACTGCAGCTGAACAATTATTATCAGTGTGACCCATTAGGAACAATAAAACCTGGATCCTAACCCACCTACAGCTCAGAATTTGAGTTGTGGGTTGGGGAAGGTATAGTAGGCGTCAAAGGAAAATGGAAAGAATCTGGGATATGTTAGGAGAGGAAATCCTCAAGCTTTAAATGTATTGCAGGGTGTGCAGCAAGGATGTGAAAACTAGAGTTGCCTTCACAATGAAGTGTCATACTATGTATGAGCTGACAGAAGCATTTCTGATGCCCCACTCAGGAAAATACACAAGTTGGATGATCTCCCTCAGGGAAATGGGATCTATTTTAAATGGGAATCTGAATGCTACAATTACAGCTCAGTTGTCTGTGTAACAACATTATGAGTCTTAAACAAGGGCACAGTGTGAATCAGGCTCCAGGAAACCTGTCTTCTATACCCTGATCCACCTTACAAAATAAAAGGGAAATAAATAGTAGAATGTGAACTTGTGTTAGAGTCAGTTCTGAGTTTTAGGTATTTTATCATGATGAACAAAATTAAAAGTCCCATGGTGGTGTTTTTTTTTTTATTTTTTTCAGGTCTAGAGAGTCATTTGAATTTAGAACATAAAGAATCCAGAATATAGGAGAATTAAATGATGCAAGAAAGACCAGAAGTTAGGAGAATTAATAAGGGCAAGATGGGACTTTTATATGCCTAAGCTGGATACATACCTGGCTGACCACAAAAGTGGCTCTTAAACCTATTAATTCAATAAGAACTTGCCTGCCTTTTTCTTATCTTCCTGCCTTTCCTTTAGGGCTCCAGCAACCATGGATAATGAGATTACCAAGCTCTTCTGGGAAGACAATGTGTTCCAACAATGGCCCGTTCCACATGCTTTCTTTATATGAGTGACACTCCTCTTTATCCACAAGTGAGATCTATGTACCTCTCCTTTGATCTGGGTGGGGGATAAAGATTATTTCATCCAATAGTCTATGGTAGTAATGATGCTATATTGTTTTCCAAGGCTAAATCCTTGGACCGTATCTTCCACCTGTCTCTCTTGATCGCATTCTTAGGATGTGTGCCCTGAGCAACAGCAACCATGCTGTGAAGAAGCACGAACCAGCCTAGACTGATAGATGGCATACAAAGGCTCACATGGAGTGGAACTGAGGTCCCCAGCCAGCAGCCAGCAGCCAGCAGCCAGCCTCAACTACCAGCCCAGTGAGTGAATGAAGCTTCAAATGATTCTACCACTCAGCTTTTGATCCACTTCAGCTGTTGCAATGTAGCGCTAAGACAAGTTATCCCCACTAAATCCTGCCCAAATTACAGATTAATGAGCAAAACAAATTTGTCTTGTTTGAAGTTACTAAGCATCAGAACAATTCTTTTTTATACTAAAGGTAACTGTTACTGAGAAACAGGTCTCAGGTGCCTGACATTACTCACACAAAATGATATAAATCTATTTTGAGATCATCAAAAATGACTCTAATTTTGCTTCGTTGTTAACTTGGAATTATCTATGACCTCTTTAACTCCATGCCTTCTGCCCCAGTAAATTGCAAATAAATGAATGGTATTATCTGAATTGAATATTAAGGTTAACTGAGAAGTCCCATGTAACAGCAAAAGTTCTAGACACAGCCTATGTCCCAGATCAACAGACAGATTTCCAGCAGGAATGAAAATATAATGGCAAATATGTTTGGCATTTTTTTTTTTTTTAGACAGGGTCTCTCTTTGTCAACCAGCCTGGAGTGCAGTGGTGCTATCTCAGCTCACTGCAGCCTCTACCTCCTGAGTTTCAGCGATTCTCCTGCCTCAGCCTCCCAAATAGCTGGGATTACAGGCATGCACCACTACACCTGGCTAGCTAAGTATGTTTTATAGTGAAAGTAAAAGCTGTTAAGTTCTACTAAGAAATGGCTTACTTAAGCAAAAAGAGCAGTAAATATATAGTGAAAAAAACTGGGTTGATATTTTCACGCTGTCATTTTCTAGCTGAGCAAGTCACTTAACTTATCCAGGCCTCAATTTCCTCAAATGCAAAATTGAGGGGAGAATAATGCCTCATTGTCACAGTTCTTGTGAAGATTTAATTCAATGGATTAACAGACAGAAAAGTGCTCTAGATTGTTACACAAAAGAAAATAATGAATGGCAATTTTTTAAATGTTATTTTTAAAAACGACCAGCTAAATCTTAAATGTTAAAACAGCCAGCTAAATCTTAACATTAATCAGAGGTCTAGTTTTCACTTAGGAAGATTGAGGACTGATTTCATTAACCTATATTTAGAGGTATTACATGAAATTTATTTTCCATTTACTGCTAACCTTCTTACTAATTTCTATTTGAGCAGCTATGGTTTTAAATTTGTCTGGCTTCTTAAGAGTATGATCAGCTGGTGCTTGGCTGTTAGCCAAAACATAAGCTACAGGGAACAAGAGCTGGCAGCTCTGGTATTATATTTTTGATGTTTGAAAAACCCAGCCAGTTTAGAGGGTTTTTTAAAAAAGCATTTTAATATCAGTGAATTAACAGCTTAATGTCAGGAGCAAGGTAAAATCTGAGAAAGAAACCTTGATATGAAACCTTTTCCTAGGAAGAGAGGAAAGATCACAGTAACTGAAACCTTCTTATACTCTTGTTTAAAACCTATCATACCTGAATTAAATAAGGTGTCATGGCAGACAGAATGAGAAAGCTTATTCTGTGATGCTTTCTAATGCACTTTACATAAGAACCTTCAAATGGCATTAACTTGCAGCTGCCTTCACCCTGGGCTTAATTTTGCAGAACTTCCATTATCATAGTTACAATTCCCTGACGCCTTGGAAATGCTGCCAAGGCCTTCCTAGTTGAAGACATTGAAGCCGCTTGCTGAAAAAGGAATCACACCACAGCTGTGCTCTCTTGGGGCTTGTGCTCTTTTGGGAACTAAAGCCCCACAGTTCTTACAAGAGAGGTCCAGGAGCCATGCCTATGAGCTTTGACTGTCTGAGAAATGAATTATCCTCACCGTAGTGGATAGAAGCAGGAGTGGAATCTCAGCTGACTGCAGCCACCCCAACCAAGTCCTCTTTTATGACAAAATGAGTGAAACATCACACATCGACATTTTAGAGGCTACATCTGGCTTTCACCAATTAGATGTAAAGGTCCTGAGCCGCTGTAAATATGCACTTTGGGCAACAGTTCAAATTCCACCTCTGTCACATGTCAGCTGGACGAGCTTGGGAAAACTACTTAAGTTAAAATCTGGTGATAAAAGAAGTTCAGATGTATTGAATCATTATGAAGATGAACTGGGATAATCCCCAGACAGTGTTAATACCTGGCCCGGATAAGACCTAAAAGGCAATCAGCAGCTAGTATCAAAAAATAATAACTAGGGAAGCATGGTGGCTCATGCCTCTAATCCCAGCACTTTGGAAGGCCAAGACAGGTGATTGCTTGAGGTCAGGAGTTCAAGACCAACCTGGCCAACATGGTGAAAACTTGTCTCTACAAAAAAATACAAAAATTGGCTAGGTATGGTGGCAGGTGCCTGTAATCCCAGCTACTCGAGAGGCGGAGGCATGGGAATCCCTTGAACCCGGGAGGTGGAGGTTGCAGTGAGCCGAGATCATGCAACTGCACTCCAGCTGGGGTGACAGAGCGAGACTCTGTCTCAAATAATAATACTAATAATACTAATACTACTACTACTACTAATAATAATAGTAACCACTGTTATTATTACAATAATATCACACATTTGTTTATTTATACAAACATTTTCTGTTTGACAAATGTTTATTAAATGCTAATTATGTATAAAGTGAGGACAAAGCAATTTCTAAGAAATTAATACAAAATAAATGACCAAAACTTCTCTGCATCTACCTCAATTTTACCAGGAGGAGAGGAAACAGGACATTTGGGGTGTCAGTGTGATTTGCGTAGCCTTGACTTGTCCACTTTCTCCTGTTTATTACCTCGTGAACATGATTCCAAGAGAGATGCAGAGTGTGAAAGAAAGCATGCCATAGCCCTGCTTGTGAAAAGAGTATTTGAAAGATCAAGTGTGCTGAGGGGAGCGGGGCAGCAGAGAGACTGACTGTCCAGAGGGCAGGTGGGGTCTACAGGAAGGTGCATCTCAGGAACCTAGAATTACGGTACATTTATAAAAATACCACCAGTTAGATTCCTATAATAATTCACAAAGCCTTGCCAATGCAAAGAGCAAAGCTCTGACAGGCCTGATTAAACTTAAATGAAAAAATGCTAAAATGCTTGGTCATCAGCAGAAGCAGAGTCAGGTTGCAGAGGCAAATGGTGGCAATAACCTTCAAAGAACTAGCCAGTGTGCCCCATTGGTCCACATCCCTATTTGGAAAGGAACAGCAGGCTCTGATAGCTTGATGCCATTCAATGCTCCAGCTCATACCTCTAGTCCTCGCTGAATGCTCACCAAGGACCTTCAGTGATCTGGCTTCCCCTGCACTTAAGAATCTAAAGTTGCTGGTTATACCAGTTTGAATGGAAGTACCCCTGACGTTCCATTTCTCTTTAAGAATTAATGAACTAACTATTTCTTTTTTTTTTTTTTTTTTTTTTTTTTTTTGAGAGGGAGTCTCGCTCTGCCGCCCAGGCTGGAGTGCAGGGGCACGATATCGGCTCACTGCAAGCTCCACCTCCCAGGTTCACGCCATTCTCCTGCCTCAGCCCCCCAAGTAGCTGGGACTACAGGCGCACACCACCACGCCTGGCTAATTTTTTGTATTTTTAGTAGAGACAGGGTTTCACCATGTTAGCCAGGATGGTCTTGATGTACTGACCTTATGATCTGCCCGCCTCGGCTTCGGCTTCCCGAAGTGCTGGGATTACAGGCGTGAGCCACCGTGCCCAGCCCTTTTTTTTTTTTTTTTTTTTTTTTGAGATATGGTGTCAACTCTGTTGCCCAGGCTGGAGTGCAGTGGTGTGATCACACTCACTGCGGGCTCTACCTTCCAGCCTCAAGATCCTCCCACCTCAGCATCCCAAGTAGTTGAGACCACAGGCATGTACCACCATGTCAACTTAATTTTTTTATTTGTTACTATTCTTATTTATTTATTTTTTGTAGAGACAGGGTCTCCCTATGTTTCCCAGGCTCGTCTTGAACAACTGGATTCAAAGGATTCCCCTGTCTCTGTCTCCCAAAGTGCTGGGATTACAGGTGTGAGCCATCATGCTTGGCCTTACCATTTCATTTTTATATCAGCCTCATGCAAAAGTCATTGTCCCCTAGTTTACACAGCAAGAGGCACTTGGCCCTAGTTTAGTAAGATCTGTGACATAAGCCAGCCTGAGATTATGGCGTTCTAAAGTCTGAGAATCTAACCTTAGTTGTGGCTCATGGATTACTTGTGAGTCCTCAAGGTGACAGGTACCTTCCTTTGCTATACCCTAATAGCGCTATGAGATTTCCCCTTTATAAGGCTGGGGAACTGTCAAAAGGATAACCATCATAGCCAGGTTAGTTTCCTTTTTGATACTGGCTTGGTAAAACACTGACAATTTGATTTCTTGGTTTGATTTTACAACTTAATGGCTTAAAATTATAGGGCAGGAACCAGGACAGTGCTCCTCAATGGGGTGATTTCTGCCCTTGAGGGAACATGGACAATGTCTGGTGACATTTTTGATTGTCAGCTCGGGGCAGTGCTCCTGGTATTTGATAGACAGAGGCCAGGGATGCTGCCAAAGCTAAACCTGCTACAATGCACGGGGCACCTGTCTCCCTTCCTCCCTCAAACACAAAAACTATCAGGCTCAAAACGTCCGTAGTCCTGAAGTTAAGAAACTGAGTTAAGAGAAAATATTTGATGTCTTTTTTTTTTTTTTTTTGTCCTTCTACATTCAACACTGCACTTGTGTTTTAAAGGAACAGGAAACTGGCATCTCTTGGGCATTTCACGTGTGTAACAGGGGCTCTCAAGTGTATTCCTAATTCTCACAACACTCTTTGAGGTGTTTATCAATATCTCCATTTTACACATGGAAAAACCTAAGGACACAAAGGCTGAATGGCTTGCCTAAGGTCACACAGAACCAAAAGTCAAATCCAGTTCTGTTTGAAGCACTAGATGTCTTCTGTGACTCAACAGTCATAACTCGAATTCAGAAAAAAAAAAATCCAGCTAACTCCCAAACACTATTAGGTTTTAGAGAAATTAAAATCTGAGCAAAGTTTCATCGAAGCGGACTCTGGAGAATAAAATCCTGCACCTGCGCTTTATGGAAAGTATTCTACTGAGCTCCACAGTGCGTCACTGTGACACTTAGATCAAGGTCAGCCTCACAGTGGATTTATATTGCACCACGCATTGATGTATGTTAATTATTCAGTTCTGCAAATGAAATAGCCCCATAGTTTTTACAAGGCAGGTCCAAGGAGCCATGCCCATGAGCTTTAAGAGACTGTCTGAGAAATCAGTTATCCTCACTGTGGTGGATAGAAACAGGAGTGGGATTGCAGCCACCCCAAGCAAGTTGTCTTTCATGATAAAATGAGTGAAACATTCCACATGGGCATTTTAGAGCCTACATCTGGTTTTTACCAGTTAATATATCCAGAGATGACCATTTTCCTTTGACCAAACTTCTGAAAATGTAGCTTGTGTCGGAATACTCTGGTAAGCTTACTGAAGATATAGGTATTTTGAGATTCTATCCCAGAGAGTCTTGTCAGGAATTTGCAATATTAATAAGCATTTCATGTACTTTTGTTGCAATAGGTCTTAAGCCAATCTATGCTGAAAGTTACCTAGAGTGAGCATCTATCTCCAACTTTTTCTTTTTGTTCCTCTCTAGGATTTCTCAATAGGAGAATTACAGATTTTTGTATAGGATGTGTTACAATTATTTCTTAAAAGAGACAAAAAGGATATAAAAATCATACTAGTAGTCAATGTCTGAGTTCAAACTACATGCCGGGTTTTTTCTGGAAGGTTCATTCTCATTGACTCAATACTCACCACAGAACTATAAATCGGATGCCATCATGGCCCCCAGCTTACAGCTAAGGAAATAGATTAAGTCACTCAAGGTACACACAGTTAGTAGTGAAGTGATGGGTTTAGCTCTGCTAAAGTGAAATATTGCCTTTGAGGAATTTTTATACTAGTTGAAAGATAAGTCAAATATGCAAATAGCTATAGCTAGGACAGATGAAGTGCAATAAAAGAAATACTTCCTTTGCACTGGAAGTTCAAAGAAACAAAACAGAAAACATAGTGAAGTGATCAGGTAAGAGGTGGTTTTGGGTTGTCTTTGCTGATGTTCTTCTCTAATTTTTTAAAATTTTTATTATTATGGGCATATCAGAGTTATGTATATTTACAGGAAACATTATGTTTTGATAAGTGCACACAATGTGTAATGATCAAATTAGGGTAGTTAGAATACCCATCACCTCAAGCATTTATTATTTATTTGCATTAAGAATATCACAAGTCCACTCTTTTATTTTGAAACATACAATGAATTTTTGTTAACTGTTGTCATCCTATTGTGCTATCAAACACTAGATCTTATTCCTTCTATGTAACCATATTTTTATATTCATTAGCCATCCCCTCTTCTTCAATGTGGAGGAGGCAGGAATACCAATTAAGTGAGTTTAGCATAATAGATAGAAAAGAAAAAAACAGAAAAAAAAAGGTTTTATCTTGGTAACACTGTTAAAGTGCTGTAATGAATATGTATTCCTTTTTCTAAGTTTCTAAATAATGAGGACATTAATCAAGGTTCCCCTCTTCTTTGCCAATGATTTTAATCCATGCAGTAACAACTATTTTGATGGTCCACTCCTCCTGTGAAAACACCAGGAGAAAGGTGAGAGGTGGAAATTGACGACACTACTAACTGCATAGTCCTAGAGGGAAACATTTTTCAGCCTATAATTATAGGGAATCTGTTTTCTCTGCAAAAACTTTCTTAGGCTGAATTCTCCAATGTCTGTCCTGCAATACTCCTAAGAATTGAAAGCAATTCCCTACTCCCTGGGCTCATTTATTTTCTCCAGGTACTACTGCCTGGCAGCCATCTGTAACTGTAAACAATAGTTCCATTTGGGACAATTAAAATTGATTTTCTATTATGCTAAACACTTAATTGGTATTCCTGCCTTCTCCATGTTGATGAATTTTTAAAACCTGGCATTGGGTGTCTGGGCAGGGGAAAGACACCATCAGAGTCCAGACTGGTCACCTCCTTGTCTCCCCTCCTTTCCCTTCTGCACTCCCCCAAAAACGTCTGTCTTCTCCTTCTCAAAGCACCAGCTGCTAGATCCTTTCCCAAGTGTCCTCCAGGTTGGATAAAAATGTTTTCCCCAGCATTAACTAAGGGCTTTTTGAGATAAAATGACTTTATTTCATAGCTTGACATGAAGAAAGAACACCCACAAACACTTTTGCACCAATCTCTCAAATTCCCAAATGTCTCTCTAATGCTCAAAAAAAAAAAAAAAAATCTAAAACAAAAACATAAACAAGATCCCTACATATCCATTTTCTTCCAAAAAGATTTCTAAAGTACTTCTCTTTCTCTGGAACTCAAAAATGAAGAAAAAATATTTTACCATTGCACACACACACAGGGGCTCATTCTCTTTACCCACTGTGTTTGGGCTCTCCAGAAACTGCATTTCATGCAGAGAAACTTTGACTCTCACACTAGAAGGTAATTTACCAATCTCTTATCTATCTATCTATTACACTTCACTTAAAAAATAATAACTGAATTTTCATCTTTTTTCAAGCTTGGAAATCACCTATATCTCCTCATTCTGCTTAGCATGAGCCTCCTACAGAAGCAAAAGTAAAACAGGCTTGCCACTGAAACTGTTGCTCGTAGATTTTCTCATGGTCACTGAATTGTCATTTCTTTTCTTTTCTTTTCTTTTTTATTTCCAGAGACAGGGTCTCTGTCACTCAGGCTGGAGTGCAGTGGTGCAATCATATCTCACTGTAGTCTCCAATTCCTTCCTGGGTTCAAGTGATCCTCCCACCTCAGACTTCCAAGTAGCTGGGACTTCATTAGTGTGCCACCATGACTGGCTAATATTTTTTATTATTTTTGTGGAGACAGTGTCTCACTATGTGGCCCAGGCTTCTCTCAAACTACTGGCCTCAAATAATTCTCCCACCTCAGCCTCCCAAAGTGCTGAGATTACAGGCATGAGCCACTGTTCCCAGCCCTAAATGGTCATTTTTAATTTTAGGCAATAGCTCCTGAGGAAAAAGACTGGACATATGCTGCTGATATGATACCAAGACATCCTGTTCTTCATGTTCTTACACCTATTTAGACAAGCACTAATGCCTTTGTGGTCTCATTGAGAAATCTCCAGGACAGCTTTATTAAAAGGTAGTTTACCATAGTTTTGAAACTAGATTGAGAAAATCAAAATGAATCCTTAAAACAATCCCTGGGGCTCCCAGGTGTTCAGTCACTTTGGCATGAGATGGTGCATGTCTGGGTATGACCATCTTGGGCAAAACGCAGCTGAAGAGATGAGAGGTAACACTCTGATGAATGCAAACACAGTCTGTAATGAGGGGTCCACTCAATCTTGATGGCAAGCAGTCACAATGTCTGTGGTGCAGTCACAATGTCTGTGGTGCACTCACCACTGTGCAGCAGCCTCTGTATGTGACCAGGTAGCAAATGGCTTCTGTTTATCTTTGAAGGGAGAAGGGAATAGGCTCAGGTGTGATTTTACTCAGGTGTGATTTTAACTTGGCATCACTGTTCAAGTACTGTAATGAATAACTGTCCCTTTTTCTAAGTTTCTAGATAATGGGGACCTTAATCAAGGTTCCTTCCCCACAACCCCTATAGTCGAGGGCCAGGCATGTAAACTAAGTCAAGCTCCTCAGGCTCACTTTTTCTGGAATTTGGAAACTGAGTTGAATGAAATTAGGATGTGGGTAATCAGAGTCACTCTGCTGGTGACACCCCAAGTAATTAATTGTCTCTTCCTTTCTGCTACCTAGAGTCCAAGTCTTATCTTGCTTTCTTAATTCCCTAAGGAATTCTGACCACCCTAAGGTCTTGTTGCCCAGTTGGAGTCCATGTGCTAAATTAGGGATTGGCAAAGTTCTGAAAAGGACCTGGGAGTAAATATTTTAGACTTTTCTGATGTGCGTTCTCAGTCACAGTTATTCCACTCTGCCACTGCCGCGCAAACACAGCCATAGAAAATATGTAAACAAATGGGCATGGCTGTGTTCCAATAAACCTTATTTATGGACACTGGAATTTGAATTTCATATAATCTTTATGTCATGACATATTATTCTTGTTTTGATTTTTTCAACTATTTGTAAGTGTAAAAACTATTCTTAGCATGTGGGCTGCACAATGATAGACAGCAGGACAGATTTGATCTGACCTCAGAGCTATATCCTCGAGCTGACCCATCTCCTTCCAATAACTTCTTTTATTTTACCTAATCTTACCCAAGCCAATTTTTGTTGCCTGCCACCGAAGACTGACTATAATGTGTCTTGAATTTGTTTGTATCTAAAGGAGATTGGCTACAAGGTTCCCCAACACTATTCATTCCTTATTTGTTCATTCATGCATTCAATATGTGTTGAGTACCTTTTATACTCAGGGGACTGTAATAGGCACTGAGAATACAGCTGTAATTTAGGCTAATACAGTCCTGCCTTCCTGAGGGAGCTTTCTCCGCAACAGGCACAGACAATCCTGATGAGAGACAAAGGAGGGTATTTAAACAATCATCTGTGGCTATACAGAATGTTCTCTGGGGAGCCTGAATGTTCAAAAGACAAGTTCTACAGAAAAAGAAAAAGTGACAAAGTCCAAGATGGTAATAATAGGGTGACCACAAACATGTAAAAGAGGACCAGAGAAGTTTGGCTCTGAAATAAGCTGAAACTTACTGGGGGAAAGGTAGGGACTATCAAAGTGGGGGTTTAAAGCTCTAGTTTGTAGAGAAGGAAGAGGAATAAGCTATTAAAATCTAAAAACCAGTGATGTACACATGATGCACTTGGTTTAAGGCAATTTTTGTTGCTTAAAAGTAGA